>NC_000008.11:105714222-106964222 GCF_000001405.40 Homo sapiens
TGCAATTGTAAATAAGATTGCATTCTTGATTTGGCTCTCAGCTTGAACCTCATTGGCTTACAGAAATGCTACTGATTTGTGTACATTGTTTCTGTATCCTGAAACTTTACTGAAGTCTTTTATCAGATGTAGGAACCTTTTGGCAGAGTCTTTAGGGTTTTCTCAGCATAGAATCATATCCTCCACAAAGAGAAATAGTTTGACTTTCTCCTATCTTTTTTGGATCACTTTTATTTCTCTTGCCTGATTGCTGGGCCAGTTTTTAAACACAGCCACTAATTAAATTCAAATTATATAAACTAATGATTAAATAAATTATATTTTAATAAGGTAATAAATACTTAAAATTTATCACTTAATCATTTTAGTACACTTTACTATTATCTATGCTTTTTAGCTTATTTATAACTATTTTATCTGTATAATGGAAATACCATATAATGTATGCTACTGAACATTACTTCCCAACTCTCTGTTCAGTGACATAACATTGGTAGCTTGAAGTTGGCCATAGTGAGAGTATTTACACTATGGAAATTTGCAAATGCTACAAGTTAGGCATTCGTTTATTGTTTTGTTCCTTGTATAAAAGATTTTAAAAAGTGATACTAATTATACAAATTAAATATAAAAGTGTGTCTTTCTACAGCCAGTACACTGTGACTAGCACAATAATTTTAGGAAATAATATTCCGATATCTGAAATTATTATCTATTTCAATAAAGAAGTTGCTTATACCATTGATAAACAAGTGAACTTCTGATGTAGGTCTTTGGTGTTCACTTTTGTCTTACTTGTTAACATCCACAGAAAGAGCAACCAACATTCATGTTGTAACTATACTTGTTTCTCAGTTGCAACCGTAGATTGGCTATGGAATCAAAAGTTAGGCAAAACCAGGTACAAGGGCTCATGCCAGTAATCCCATACTTTGGGAGTCCAAGATGGGAGAATCACTTGAGCCCAGGAGTTTGAGACCAAGCTGGGCAAGATGACAAGACCCCATCTCTACAAAAAAAATAGAAAATTAGGCAGATGTGGTGGTGTGCATCTGTAGTCCCAGCTATTCAGGAGGCTGAGACAGGAGGATCGCTTAAGCCCAGAAGTTCAAGGTCACAGAGAGCTGCGATTGTCCCACAACAATGTACCAGCAGCCTGGGCTATAGAGTGAGACCCCATCTCTTGAAAAAAAAAAAAAAAAAGAGAGACGTAGGCAAAAGTCAATGAAAACATTCCATGAGAATTAATATACTAATTTACTATATGGATTTTAATATTGTATACTTTATTATTATGTATAAATTATGTGCTACATATAATTTATATCAGTAAAATTTATAACAAATATGTATATTGTTTATATGCATACATTTTCTTTCGGCAGAGTCAAATGTTAAACATTTACCAGAATAATATTAAAAATAAGGGTCATCTGGATTAACTGGCTTTTTCACCAAAGTATAGCCAGTGAATGCTAGAGCTCCAAATCCAACCTATATGTGACTGATTCCAGTCCTGGTGTTTTCATATTTTATAAATAGTGGTTCTCAGAAAATCAGCTTCAGAATTCTCAACAGGGAACAAGCATTGTAGATTCTTGGACTTTGCCCCAGACCTCCTGATTCAGAATTTCTGGGACTAGGGCCAATGAACTTGAAATTTTCATATTCGCTCTAGGTGATTCATACGGAGTGTCTAATATGAGAAACACTGGTTCTTCATCTTATTTTATTTCAATGCAGAGTTACTGTATTTCAAAACAATCAGGTGCCATAATCTGAAATAAAGTGCCACATTGAAGGACAGATACCAGAGAAAAGAGATGCTGGCAGGAAAAAAGAATTTTTCTTTTCTTTTCTTTATTTGACTTCCTAAAGTATTATAGAAAAGAAAGTTTAGTGGACATTCTTTGTTTTATTTACATATATACATATAAAACATTTATATATAAATATGTAAATAAAATTTATATGTAAATATTCATATATAAATGTTTATATATTGATTTTATCTATATTTTATCCATATAAAATTTTATCCATATAAAATATAGATAAAATCAGTACAGTAATACTGCATTTCAGAGCAAATATGATGAATAAATGGTTCTCATATTAGACATTGCATATGAATGTCTACTAAACTTGTTATATGTATTTATATATAAAACCAGTTTATACATACACACATAAATATATATACATACATACAGATATATCTACATATGTTTACATATATGTCTGTGTTATATACGTGTGTGTATATATGATTCACACTGTATGTGATAATCCTCAATCAGGTATATTAAAATAGCAGCAATAACTCCACAGTGCCACTTGAATGTTTCACATGATTTGCAGGAAATTTTCTAAACCTTGTTGAGAGACCATGTGCTCTTATTATCAAGGATTTCCCAGAATAGGTCTATTCTGTAAGATCCTCTTGATTTAGTCAAATCCAGACACCAAAAGGAAAGCCATGGCCACCTCATGTGCTTTTTCATGAGTCTAAAAGAATCAGAGTGATTTCCCAAGGCCTGCAACCTTACTCCTTCCTGTAGTATATCAACTTCCAGAGGTTTTCAAGAGTACAGCACAACAGGGTAGTCACTTAAGGCAGAAAATTCATCTCCACCAATGCTGAGCCTCCTGTTACAATGGATTAATCATCAAAGTCGATTATTCTGTCAAATTCTCCAAGGGTGAAATCACACATCTTACCACTGGTGTGTGGAACAGGCATTCCCTTCATCTTACTGGCACAGATACAAACTGTAAGTAACTTTTATGCACTGCAGAGGAGGAAGTGCTGATACATTTAAAAGGGAGCTGCTTCTCCAGCAGCACCTGCCCAGAAGTTGCTGAAAAATTATACTGCATGCATGTCTTTCAATACTCTCTACTGATAGGTCAGCAGTTATTACAAAACTGTCCTGATAAGAATCTGCTTGGAGCTTCTGGGATCATATTAACCAAAATGGAACCACTGGGTCAGAGAAAAGCAATGAGATGAATCAGAATAGCTAACATCTCTTTCTTTTCGCCTGTTTATAGCATACCCAACCTTGAGGGGAAAATCAAATTCTTAACTCTTTGTAAGATTTTCCTCACCACCACAGAGCTCACTCATCTCCCTCTTCTCTGATAACATCAGTATTGTCATTATTTCTGCAAGACCTAGTATTTACTAAGACTCATCTTGCTATCTGATTTTCCTCCATTTGCATTTGTTTCAATATCTCTGATTGGTTATTTAGCCCTTTAAGGATAGAAACCATGATGTAGCTTTTTCTATGGCCTCCACAGTATTGAGCACATAGTAGATAACTTAATACATTCTAGTCCATTGATTGTTAAATTAAGCAGAAAGATGTTTGTTGTTCTTGGGCTTTGGTAATACATTTTGAACTGTTAAAAAAAATAGTAGACCCTTGAGAGTTATTGCCTCAATTATCAATTATTTACTATCCTTATAATTTAGTAAAGGAGCATAATTAAAAATATTAATGTATGGATCAGAGAGAAACATTTAGTTTCACATAGTATGCTGTAGCACACTATGTTTTCATTGCACCATCTTGTCACATGCCTTGTCTTTATGTAAAGACATAGATATGTAAATGTAGTATCCCCAAATTGTAGTTAAGGGAGCAGGCTCAGCACTGGTAAGTAGCTTGCTCATCATCTCATGGTGAAGAAGTAGCTGGGCTGAAACTTGAACCCAAGTGGTTAGACTCCTGGCTCCTACTACCGAGAGACTGAGTTCTGGTCTTTAACAGTAAGATACTGTGTGACCTTGAGTAAGTCATGTAACTCCCTGGGATGCTTTCACATTATTTATAAAATAAAATAAGTGAGGTCCAAAAATTTAGAAGTCTAAAATGTGAGGTCATGTTATTATGCAGTCATTGGTCAGAGTCATCCTGGCAACTACCTGGGACTGAATCAATGTCTTGGTCCCTGACTGCAGTTTGATGCCATCTGGTGGCAGTTGCTCACTCTGGCTCTTATATCAAATGGGGATGATTCTGGGTGTGGTGGCTGACTACAACATCCAGAACAGGGGAATCAATTCCAGGAATATCTTGGTTAGTTGATGCCAGTTTCTTCTGTCTGATGTAAGAAGTTAGTCTTGGATAATGTCCTTCACCACCCCCCAAAAAATGAGAACTTTAGCGTATGTCCATTTTCAAACTGTAGCAGGATAGAGATTCACCATCAGATTATATCTGAATTTATGTAACCATCTGCACATTATTGCAAGATATCACTGTTATTTGAAGACTTGTACTAAAAATTAAGTAAGATAATGTCTTTGAAAGGGTTTTTGCAAGTTTAAGACACTAATTGAATGCCAGGGATTATCATAAATTTGTAATTCCTTTAGAGAAAATTATCCGGTGTTAATAAATATGACACAATACGCATTTTTTTTTCTTTTTAAACACATACAGTGGAATTACTGTTCTGCTTTGTCCCTGCCCTGATTCTGTCGTCAAAAGAATTCTTCAAAACAAAGTAAAATCATCTCTGGTTCAAAAAGCTATCAACAGTTTATTCCTCCCAACCCCCAATTGCTTATTACATGCAATCCCCGTGTCTCATTTCATTATGTTTGAGTAGACCCTCTTTCACATATATTTTCTTATTTAGATTTCACAGCAACTTTATGTTACAAATGAGACCCACATGTAGAGAGATGACTTATTAAAGATTATCCACTTATTAAATGGCAGATTTAAGCCTCTAACTCAAAGTCTACTGGCCCCAAATATGACTCTTTTCTACTGCTGCTTCCTTTAACATCTATGAGTTCAGTACATTCTTGCCCCAAACTACTGTTACAAGTTGATTTTTAACCACGTTCTAGTTTTTTCTTTTAAAGAGGTATACCTTTTTCATTGTGAAACATTCTAACAACTATCATCTGCAAGGCTTACACACTTGCCAAAGCCCATGAGATGGTAATGTCTGAATCAGTATCATCATCATCCTAATCACCAATTAAATTGTGCTGGTAGTAATTGAGATGCCTCATGGTATAAATGTGCTATGTTAATTACATGGCAGTTAGAATCACCCATGTCTTTTCACTCCTCTTGTAAGTGATACAAAAAGTACACACGCAATACACACACACACATACAACCACATACAACCACAGTTTGGTGCTGAATAAAACAAAAGCGTCATTATAAATAAATCAGACTTTGATAGAGAGGCTGTATCCTATAGTGCTTAATATCTTGGACTCTGAATTCGGAAAGACTTGGGTTTATTCCTCACTCTTCCATGTATAATTTGTCACCTGGAACATATTACCTAATTTCCCTAAACCTCAGTTTTCTGTTATGTAAAATGGGGGCGATAATATTAGAACCTTAATCATAACATTTAGGGGAAGAATAGTTTTAGATAATACATATAGAGTGCTTCCCACAGCATCTAATAAGTAGTAAAACCCATTGTGTGTTAGCAATTATTATTGTTATTGTGTTTAGCAATGTTGCTATTAGTATTAGTCTTTACACCTTTCAATGTCCACGACTGCCTATGTAAGATCAAAGCCAACAGGAGTGAACAATATAATTAGTGGACTTACAGGTTTCTCCATACCAGTGGTCTTTTGTGGTTAATATTTTATGATGGATTCCATTTTCAAATTAAATTTAACAGCCTTGATAGCTATGCAGAGACCAATATTAGAGAAGAATTATGTCATTGGATAACTTGCATTTAGAAATAATGGTATCAAGTTTAAATGATTTCATCTTACTTAACAGGGAACCACAGCCAACCTTAACTGGCAGAAAAAACTTCCCAATTTACATGTCACATTTAACTTATGCAAAGTATACATTAATTTTAAAGATGCGATAAGGTCCTCTAGTAATCTGGCCTTAGTCACTGATTGCGAATTTTACTAACCAGCATTCTTCTAGGGATGCAAATGAACAGAAATAGTTGTATAAATAATGCAATTTATTATTCATACGATTCTGCTCATGTCCTTATGAGCTGCCCTGCACTCCTCCCACCCACCTGATCCTGCTGTATCAATGTCCTTCTCCAACATTTTCCAGGTTTTACATATTTCACAAAACTTTGATTCAAGTTTCCAGTAAATGAATGTTGAAATATGATGAATTCCCTTGCTATCTAAAGTTTAATCATAAGTTTAAAGAGTTTTCAGTCATTATTAATTCTTAGTGTTCACTACTAATTTATGATTAATTTACTACTAATTTACCACTATTAATTACTAATAATCTCTAGGTTACCTTGTATTGTGCATGTGCCTCCAGTATATTTGTATCAAAACCTTAGAGCTGCAGATTTAGCTCAATCATTTCATGAAAAATATCTGCCACATCACCTAATTGGAAAAGAACATCTCTGTCGTGCCAATCAGCCAGATCACTCCTAGCTGTCAGGAAAAACTCTGACTTCATTTTCCAATTCAAATAAGCATGTAAATTCAGGTCCCCGAGACAATCATCTCACTTCTGAATTCTTATCCTAAAATAGATATATAGATAAGGCACAGAAGCTTACCAATAGCTCTATCACCTGGATGAAATAAACCTCAGCTCACTTCCACATTTCGGATGGGCTCTGAAAGGACTCCCACTTGGGAGAGGAGATGCATCCTAGAACAGTCCCATTGTTTTGGCATCCACCTTGCTGCATCTGTAAAAGTAGGGTCTTGGGCCTTTCGTTGTGTAAATGAAAAAGCCTTTTGTGGAAGAGAAAGTCGAAAAAACTAGTAAGAACGACTGCATTGTAAAAACCTAGAAAATCATTCCTTTTTAGCGACCCATGCAGGCAAAACCCTGAACGTCTTCATTTATAGTTGTCCCTCTGTAGACATAGGGGACTGGTTCCAGGACCACTGAAGATACCAAAATCCATGCATACTCCAGTTCTGCAGTCAGCCCTGCAGATCCCACAGATGGGAAATGTCAGCCCTACGTATAGACAAATTTCACATCCAGTGAATACTGTGTTTTCCGTCTGCCTTTGGTTGAAAAAAATCGTGTTTAAGTGGATCTGCAAACCCATGTTCAAGGGGCAACTGTACTTTCCACTGTTCACATATCCCAGTTATAGATAACTGCCCCAAGGCACAGCACATGATGCAAATTTGGCAGTCAGTATGTGTTGAATGAATGAATTTCATCATGATTCATGTAGCCTTCCATATTTATAATTCCACAAAAACAGAAAGTTTATCTTTTTCTCACAGCTTTTCTATGTAATGACAACAGATTATATTAATATCAAATCACTTTTTTTAAAAAAAGTAATATATGTTCATTGGAGCAATTTGAAAATAGGAAAAAGTATAAAATACTGCTTTGAATTCCCATTGTTGCCAGGTTACAGTTTTTTTGCATTCACACTGTATTTAGGTCACTATTGGTTTTCACTCTATTTTTTGAAAAATAAAATGTAAAATAGACACAATATTCTCTTGTTCTTACCTTCATCAGGCCTTCTATCCATGAATATTGAATTATCAGCTAGATAGTAACTCTTAAGTAATTTTCTCAGAAAGAATATACGAGAACATGTGTTGAAACCTATTCATCTCTTGCCATCTCACATGAAATGAGGCATGGCTGGTTGCACTATCAAGTATGGTAGCCACTTGCCACTTGTGGCTATGGAGCACTTGAAATGTGACTTGTCTGTATTGGAGATATGTAGCAAATGTAAAATACACACCACATTTCAAAGACTTAATACTATATATAGGTATAATTAAAATTTTAACATCAGTTATAAATTGGTAATGTTTTTGATATGGTAGATTAAATATATTATTAAAATAATTTTACCTTTTTCCTTTTTATGTAGTTATTAATTTTTTAAAATTATATATATGGCTAATATTATATTAATGGACAGCTTTGGTCCAGATGTTACCAGATTTTTGCAACACAAAGGCCTTGTACCCCTCTGAAGCTTCTTTTTCTTTCTTCCTTCCCCACCCTGCTTCCTGCTTATAAAGAATAACTTAATTCTTTCATACCAATATATTTTCTAGACTAGGTCAAGCTCCTTTGTTTGTTGGACCATGGGAGATTCTTTGGATCTTTGTTTCTATTGTCAATTTATTTTTCGATTATTCCAATTTCTTCCTTGGTTATGACTATAATTGACCTTTGAACACCTGGATAAGGGTTGCCAATCCCCACCCCCATGCATTTGAAACTCCACATATAACTTCTGTGTCCCTAAAAACTTAACTACTGATAACCTACTATTGACCAAAAACCTGACCAATGACATAAATAATTGATTAACACATATTTTGTATGTTATGTTTATTATACTATATTCTTACAGTAAGGTAAGCCAAAGAAAAGAAAATGTCAAGAAAATCATAATGAAGAGGAAATACACTTGCTATTCATTTAGTGGAAGTGGGTCATCATAAAGGGCTTCATCCTTGCTGTCCTCACATTGAATAGTGTGAGGAGAAGGAGGAAGATGAGGGGGTGGTCTTGCTGTCTCAGAGGTGGCAGAGGCAGAAGAGGTGGAGGTGAAATGGGAGGCAGGAGAGGCAGGCACACTGGGTGTATCTTTATGGAAATACACTGTAATTTCGGTCTGACTCTGCTCTCTCATTTCTCTAAAAATGTTTCTGTATTATACCAATCCTTCTTCCACTTTTTGTTTTAGTTTCAGTGCCAGTATCATATGAGTCCATGTTGACAAGAAACCAAAGTGGTCTTGAATAATCGGAATCCTTCTGCCAGATTATCTAATGTTAATCTGTTTTCTGGCACATCTTCTTCCTCATCGTCTGGCATTGGCTCAGAAACACTGATCTCCATCAACTTATCATCTGTTCATTCCTCTGGTGTGGTGTCTATTCGTTCTTGAATTTCTCCAAGATCCATATCATAAAAATTTCATCCCCCACCCATTTTTTTTTCTGTATTCACAGTCTCTTTCATGATATTCTTGATTGGCTCTGTTGAAAATCCTGTGAAGTCCTGCACAACATCTGGACACAGTTTTCTCCAGTAGGAATTGATTGTTTGGGGCTTGATGGCTCTCACAACTTTTTCTATAACAATGACGGCATATTCAGTGGTATAATCGTTCCAGACTTCGTGACGTTCTGTGGGAGTTCTCTTCCACAGCATTGACAGTCCTTTCCATACAGTACCATGTGAAATGAGCCTCAAAGTTCCTTATGACCCCTCGATCTAAAGACCACATAGACTATTTCAACAATTCTGGTGTTGAACTAATGAAGATCCGGGTGGCCAGGGACATTGTTCAATATCAAAATAACTTTAAAAGGCAGACTCTTATACTGGCAAGATACGTCCTGACATCAGGGACAAAGCATTCGTGAAACCAATCCAGAAAAAAAGGGTTCTCATTGTCGAGGCCTTCTTGTTGTACAGTCAAGAGACTGGCAGCTAATGTTTATATTTTCCCTTCAAGGCTCGGGGGTTAGCAGCTTTATAGATAAGGGCAGTCGTGATCATAAACGCGACTGCATTTGCTCTAAAGAGTAGAGTTAGCCCGTTCCTTTCTGCCTTAAATCCTGGTGCTTGCTTTTCTTTCTTACTAATAAATGTCCTTTGTGGCATTTTTTTCTCCCAGAATAGAATACTTTCATTGACATTAAAGTAAATTGCCCAGACAGATATTCTTTCTCCTCAATGATTTTTTTAATGACATCCAGGAACTTGTTTGTAGCCTCTTGGTTGGCTGAAGCTGCTTCTCCTGTTATCTTTACATTTTTAAAGCCAAAACTCTGTCTAAAATTATCAAACCATCCTTTGCTGGCATTAAAGTTTGCAACTTTAGATTCTTCACCTTCTCTTTGCTTTAAGTTGTCATATAATGACTTAGATTAAAAAAATCATATTAGATCTATAGGTATTTCTTTCTTATAGCAATCCTGCACTCACATAAAACCTGTATTTTTAATATGAGCTAAAAAAGTATTTCACAAAAAGTGCAAGATTTCTATGCCTGCTGGCATAGTTGCAGCAAGAGCTTCATGAATTTCCTTTTCTTTTTTACAATGCGCAGATTCAGTCATCCTGAAATAGTGGGCAACCCAGCTGCAGACCCTGATCTATGATATATATCAAGCAATTCAACTTTTTCTTCTAATGCCATGAATTTTCTCTGCTTCTTGGGAGCACTTCCAGTATCACTAGTGATGCTTTTTATGGGTTCCATGGTGTTGTTCAAGGTTTATGGTATTGCACTAAACACAATGAAAAAATGGGCAAGAACCACCATCACTTTTTATGAGATAAGCAATTTACTGGAAAGAGAAACTGCTCACATGGAGATGATTAGCATCACATGGCATTTTAAGCAGATACTACCAACACTTCAGCTCAGCACAATAGCAATAGGAAGTGGAAACAAAATTATTATAATTAACTGTATGCAGTTATGATTATTACTGCGTCTTTACATTTGTTTAAATTTCTCTAGACTGTGAATGTTAACTTTTTCTGTTTGTGTTTGAGTAAGTTTTGATAAATTTTAACTTTTTGTAGTAGATTTATATATATTTTATGGTAGTGAATGATTAAAGTGTCTACATATATTTTATGCATTCATGGCACACCTATTTCTTAATTTTTTCTATTTCTATGCTATGTGATTCATCTGTGAGTTTTTTCAAATTGTCACAAATCTCCAAAATTTTTTTCTATATATTTATTGAAAAAAATCCACATATAAGTGGACCCCGTGCAGTTCAAATCTGTGTTATTCAAGAGTCAACTGTATATTCTTAAATCACATTTTTTTATCTGCCTTTACAATACAACATCCTTGCTCTTTTGTAAAACATCATTTTTCCTTGTTTTCCTTAAAAGTAACTTTACAGCTTTGCAGCTATATAACTGATTTGATTTTCTACAGTGCCAATTCTACTGTCTATCTCCAAAGCAATATTTTGCTTTTCCAATCAGTTTCCTTAAAATTATTCCTTTCAGTTTTATCCAGTTATCTTTGTGCATCAACCTGGCATTTCCTTATGGCTTTTACCCACAGTCTGACACTTCCATGTCATCTTATCTTTTATTAGAGATATAAGTTATTTTCTGAAAAAAAATTCTCTGATACATATTGCAAATCATTTTCAAAAGTGTGCTCTTCTAAGTTAGAATAACGTATTTTTTCTCTGTTTCTGTAATAAATATTCCTAGGCTGTTTAAATTTACCCATTTTTAAATGAGAAGAGAGAACTATCCAGAACCGGTATTTCCCAAAGACCAAGACAATTGTTTCATATATCAGCTGGGATACTTTTGAGAGTAAATGAGGGTACTACTCATAATTATACCAGTACTTCAGGCATAAATCAGGATGTATGGTAACCTCACCCCAAATTCATGCTGTGTCATTTGAGCAATGGTCTAATTTTCTGTTTAAATCTCCAGCAGGAAAACAGAAGACACAGCTCAGAAGCCAATTCCTATGACTTACTAGCATTTTATATATTGTGTATGCTGCTATAAGAGGTCTTCTCCTTGTCCCATAGATGGTATCTCAGTCTCTAAGTTATTATCTCCAAAAAATACAAGTCTCTTGTGTCAGCTCTTACCACACAGCATCTCTTCAAGTAGGTTTTCTTTCAGTTTTAGCTTAATTTGTGGGAAGAGGGCCATTGGGTCTATGATTCAACCCAGTTCAACAAAGGTTCTAATGAATAGAGATGGGAAACAGTGTTCTGGTCATGTCAAGAGGTGGATGTAGAGTATCCCAAAATACAGACCTTGTGGAAGCAGTCTATAGGAAAACGATGAGTAAAATAACCTATTTTTAAGTATGCAAATCTCCTTCATTTCCTGCTTCTCTGACCATCAGTTGCTTTATTCAGTATGATTTCAGTGGCCTTTCAGCTGAGGAAATTCCATCGAAATGCTGGCAGTAGGCTGCGTCTGGCTCAGATGTTGTGATTTTTTTTTTATTTTTCTGTTTTTGCATGAGTATTTTAATAAGAATTATTTGGAGAGGCTAAAGTGTCATTAACAGCCAAATGCTATTTTAATTTTTTACTGTTGACTTCTAAGTTGTATAACCATAGTACTTAGCACTCTATAAAAGTGAATTCTTCTTCCTTCTCCCTATGTGGAGAGGAGAAAGCTATGGGGAGCCTGATGTTAATAATCCAGATTCATAATGATAAAAAGGGAATTAGTATTTGTACAATGTAAATAAAGAAGTCAGCAAAGAACAACTAATTCCAGAAATGTTCTAGGCTACCAAGTCCTGCAAAGGATTACTCTGTTGGTATCTTCACCATTAGGACTGGTCAGTAAATAACTAGCAGACGCTTCGTTTGTTTGTGCTAGCATCAACTTTGTGCAAGTACTGGTCAAGGCGATGAGGATTAAGAACACCGAAGATGTAATCCCTAGTCATAAATGAGTTTATACTCAATCTCCATGGAGTGAAAGGATGCACTTAAGATTAGCAGTAATATCACATCTTAAGTTTCCAATGGATGGTTTAGGTGATAAGTGTGGCAGGATGTGAGGGAAAGCCTGCCTGTTGTGGGCTACTGCTAAAACATCATGATGGAAGGAGACCGTGAATTAAGTTTTGGAAGTAGAGAATTGCCTAAATAAGCTAAGGACAGGCATTACAGGGGAATTATGAATAAACACTAGGGTTGGGAGAATGTATAGAACATGCGAAGAGTATGGAAAATAGAGGGAAAAGTTGTCACATGTAAAGGAATGTGACAAGCTTAGTCACAAAGTGTATAGTGATAGATAAATTGAACCAGATTATAGGGCTGTTTATGCCAGGCTAAGGTGGAGATAATAAATCTTCGGATATGTTGAATCATCATTATGAGGAGCCTGTCTTAGAGTATTTATGTTTTAAAACTTTTATTGTAAATGTTTCTTTGTTACCTGGGATTTTGGTTGACTTTTTTTTTTTCTAAGAACAGCATAATTGCTGGGTACAAGAGTACACACCCTTAGTTCCAACTACTCTGGAGGCTGAGACAGGAGGATCACTTGAGCTCAGGAGTTCAGGGCTGTAGGACTATGATCATGCCGGTTAATAGTCATTGCACTCCAACTGGAGCAATATAGTGAGAACCCCGTCTCTATACAGACATAGATAAATAAATAAATAAATACATAAATACATAAATAAATAAAGCATAAAATGAAGCAATGTACTATGCGATCTCCTACTATGGTAATTAATTGCTGATTTATGAAACTCCTGAAACTAAACTATTTTTAAGTTACAAAAATGAAATAAAGTTTTACTCCCAATTATGCAACCAGTAGTTTTAACCTGTTCTCTCAGCTAAAACTTTTGAAAAACTAGGCTATTAACAAGTCAACCTCCAACCATTTAATGAACAGATGGATATAACCATCATCCCCTGGTACTTTGTTCAGGTTACAAACTAATTATAGTGTTCCCCTCATTGCACTGTGGCTTTTAGGTGAAAAGAGGATACTGAGCCAGAAAATAAATAATTACCACTCAATAAATCAGTGCTTTAATAAATATAAATATGCCAACCATGTGCTGGGGGAAAGATAGAAAGGAAGGAAGTTATCTAGAGATTTGCAGAAAAGTATCATAGAGCAATTGATACTGCTGATCAGGAAGGATTGGTAGAAGTTCAACAGCAGACAAAGGAAGGAGGCTATTCCAGATAGAAGAAACATCAAGATGTAAAGTAAAGTAAGATCATAGTATGATTAAAAAAAAAAAAACAAAATCAAACAGCTCTATACAGCTGAAGTGTCAGATTCACGGGACAATGTCATGAGAGATGAGATTAGAAAGACAGTTTGAGGCCAGATTGTAAAAAGTTTGAAACCACTCCTTTAACAAGTATGCAAATAAGCTTTAAAATGGTTTTTATAGTAAATTGCCATAGTACTCACATTAGAGAAGGTATTGTAATTGTAATAGTACTCATATTGGGAAAGTTATGAGTTCTAGATTGAGTAAAAATATAGACCCTATGATGGAATTTCTAGAATCTAGAGAGATTTTATTTCCAGTGGTTCAAGATCCTTGATATAAATGTCTGTATCAATCAGAATAGGATGGCTGCAATAACAAGCGACTCCGAAAATCTCAGTGGCTTAAAACAATTTATGCTATGTACTTGTCGAAAGTTAGCTCTAGCACTATTCCATGATTTCTTTATTTCCCAACCCAAGCTCATGAAACTGCTATCTGGAACGATGCTTATCTTGTGGCAGAGAGAAAAGAGACGATGTTAAAGCACAAGGTAGTTTTATGAAACTTCCAATAAGAAATGACACATGTGACTCATGCACACCTTTCATTGGTCAAAGCGAATACCCTGGACTGCCTGTCAATGAGACAGGGGAGTATAGCCTTCTCCAAGGGAGACACAGGAAAGGCATATCTACAACAATTTCCAATCTACATCATTAAATCTCGTGCAAAGAATATCTCAAAGTTTGAGACTTCTTGCATAATTCATTCATATTTCATATTTAAATAGAGTCTTCAAATTAAGTTCCCTAATGTGTTGATTTACAGCAGTGACAGTTGCACTATTAAATAGAGATTTATCTTTGAAATTCATTTAAAGTTGTAAAAGCAATTCCTTCTCTCCTCCAACCCTTTGCCAGTGTTCAAAAAGCAGCTGTGTTCGGGGACACTGTGCTAGATGCTTTCAGATACATCATCTCATTTAATTTGCAGAACTGTGAAATCTGTGTTGGATAAGAAGGCTTTGAGTGTTTAGGTGCCTGTCTGAGAACATATGGTTACTAAGGGTATTAAGATGGTTTTCAGGAGGCCTGTAATGCTATATATCTGATGTTCTCCTGGAATTTTTCAATTATATTTCAAAGTGTCATATTTGAAAATGAATGCATTAGGGAATTATTTATATAAAATCACTATTTTTCGATATAGAAATGTTACATATTATATCTCTGAAGGTTAAGTTCATTATTGTCTATCTTATGATTGAGAAACACTTGAAAATATGGATGCACTTTACCAAGTAGATTTAATAGTTTATGATTTTCTTTGAGCCACATATACAACACCTATATAAGGCTCATTACAATGAGCCTTAATTAAAGCACTCAGGTTTTTAAATTTTCATTGTAAAGGATTTCATTGTCATTGTTGTGTGTCTTTTTTTTTGGCTTGGAATTTTGGTTGACCTTTATGTATTTTTTTCTAAGAAAAGCATAAGAGCCTGGCACAATGCACCTGCCTATATTATGCATAATAATGTATTGTATAGACATTTTAGTAAACCATCAGTTTCTTTACATATTCCTACATGTTTTCTTTGTATTAAAGCCATAATTGTCTGTACTTTAACAACATTACGCTAAGCATTTAGTAGCCCCTACATTGCAAACAAATCTTTTGAAGATTCCCCGTGAAGAGTGTAAATGAATCACTTTCAACTATTGGCCTTATATAACTGACTCATATTCTGCAAATTTCTATCCTATGGTTCATTGTCATAGAGGAAGTTCCTCTTATTAGGCAACCTCATTTCCTCTTTACTGAAATGTCTTTCTCATTGTCAAAGTACAACTTGGGTTTCTTCAAGTGAATTTGTTTTTCATTATGTGTCTACTTGTGTTTGCACAGGTATATGCATACTCTCTCTATTAAATATATATAGTACTTCCATGCATACTATATATATTAAATATATAATGTGCATAATATATTTAAATATATTATGCACTGTGGCATGTAATATATATTTATGAGTGGATCTTGTTCCTGCTGTGAGTTTCATTTATTACTTTTTTCATTCACTTACCTACTTATTTAATTTAAAATATTAATTAAATGTCTGCAGTATCCCAGGTATTGTCCTAGACCCTGAGAATAGAGAAGTGTCAAGAATGATAAGACCCTGACTTACAGAGGTTTCTGTTGGTGGCAGTGGTTAGGTTACTGAGTTCTTTGTCATCCTCCACAGTGTCATTTACAATGCTCTGGCTTATAGGAGAACATGCAGTGTCCAGGAATGAAATAATATTTCTCATGCATGCATGAAAGTAAGACAGTTTTGATATTGAAAGCCCAGCCAATCAAAGACAGAAACTCATAACATGTAGACTTCTTGTTACTATTGGACTATTTAATTCCACGCTACTCATATTTAGGTCCCACTGCTACTCCCAATACCTTTGTCCACCAAGTGCTATTTCTGCCTTCAGTTCAGTGATGCCAATCACCTCCCATCACCTGGTTCTGCCTTACTGATAGATTTTACATGCACAAAGTTGTTTACTCTGAGCTCTTTGCTCCAGCGAGGGATTGCTGCTGAGAATAAAGTCTTCCCTAACCCCAGTGGTCTCTTTACGTTGTTCAGAGTGGATTGCCACGTGTTCCTGATGGCTTAACTCTCTTAATGCCTCTTCTGGACATTATTTTAATGGCTTCTTTTTAGGATGGCATATTTTAATACACACAGTATATTAAAGGCCTGAAGGAAACCGTAGAAGAAAACACCTCGTTCTGTCTAGAAGTCAAAGCGACACCTGAACTTTTTCTTTTTTCTTTTTTTTTTTTTTTTTTTTTACTGGCTACAGAATGAATGCTGCCTGAATGAGTAATGATTAGAAAGCGTTTGGAACTGTATTACCATAGGTGACAGCTCTGCAGAGATAGGCAGGTAATGTTAAGAGGCAAGGATAAGAGGCTATGACATTATGTCTGGAGGGTTAAGGACTCACAGTCAAAGCTTGAACTGCTATTACTGGATCAATACTTCTCAGTTCAACACTTATCTTGACTACTGGTTAGAGGCTTTTGTAGATATGAACACTGAGAGAGCAAAATAAAACTGAAAAAAATGATTGTTGCTGTTCACTTACATGTGGATTGCTGAAGTTATTTAGGCTTCAGATCCACAATTCCTTTTTCATGGGGCAAACTCCAGTGACCTGAAAGCAGGATAAAAACCACCAAGTTATGAATTGTAGTGTGTTCTCCCTTGTCCTTTCCCTTATTTTTTTTCAAAAAGAAAGTGAAACCACTTCTCCTTTTTCCACTCCATGCCAAATCCTGCTTGGATTTCCTTGTACCATACTATACAGTTTCCTCTGCTTGATAAAACAATATTTGCCCATTGTGATTACACTATTCAAGGTTAAAACTCTTGAAAATCAACGAGAAGGAAGCATGCTATAATATCTGTGCTATTTGGATAAGCAGAAAAGAAATATTGCATTGAATTGAAAGGCACAATGAACAGTCTCTGGATTGTGTTACATAGAAGTTAGGGCTCATATGTCCTTCTACATGTAAGACATATTTGTATTCCACATATAATAATGAATTGAATGAACTAAAAGTTTCTGAGCGAACTTTGTTGCTAGGTTAACATCTTATGATTACTGTAAATAGAAAGTTTATAATATAGAGGGGGAGCTTCAACCTCCAAAAAATGATGAATGAACAATCAAAAGAGACACTATTCATGAAATCTAAAGGAATTTGTTGTAAGTTCAATTTTCAGAATGTATTGTAATTTAATGTCCAGATTTTAAAAAATCACTTTGCATGTTTGTACCATGATGACAAATCATTTTGAAAATCAAAGGAAAATGATGTCATATGAATAAGTGTTGCAACTAATAAGAACTATTTAAGCTAAGATGTCTGTTTGTTGCTTGTATCTTCCTGCTTAGTTTATTGAATAGCAAAGTGTGGAAGAATGATGAAACAGTGCATAACTGATGGAGAATTGTGACCTTTTACTAATAAGGTATACTAAATGAACTTTATGGAGCTGAGTGTTTTTGGTAGGCTGTGGCAAAAAGATATGAGAGGGTTTAGTTCCTTTCCCAAAGTTCTGAAGTTAATCCCCACTATACAGTGTAATTTAATGTTTTCTGCCTACAACAAAAATGGCAGCTGTCCCCCTATTTGAAATAGCATTCGTATGATCACTACATATTCATATTCCTATGCATACGTTATCACTTAAAAGGCTTTCTAATTACAACAACAAGACAAAAACTTCTTGGATTCTTTCCAGACTCACTAAATGATAAAATAAGCTTGTACTCTCTCCTTCTTAATCTCCTTAAAGCACCTTGGAGCCTCATCTCCGAAATACATGCGAATGAATGTGAAAATGCCATTTAGAGATGCAGGTGTGACATTTGATAAGAAACTTCTGGATTAAATATGTTCTGCTAATGAGGATCCCAGCTACCCCCATCAGGGCTAACTATTGGTTGGATTGTGTGTGAGCTGATAACATTCCACATGCGAACATTCAAATTCATTATTAATAAACAGCCCAAGTCTCTATCAGAAAAGTCTGGATCCTTTAGCAAGTGAGGGATGTTGCTTCTCATTAGGAGAAGACATCAAATCTTCCAGAATTTAGCAATTTCATTTTTGGAACCAATTTCTAACAGTGTATTAATGGTGCATTGAAAATCTGAACAAAGCCTTCATACTTTTTATTCATTTTGTAAATTACAGTAATCTAGGGAGGTCTGACTAAGCTACTGGAGCAATGGGCGGTAAAGACATTGGACTGAAGCATTGCAGTTCTAATGATTCCTTTATGATTAAACGTTTATGGAGAAAAAATTCATCCTAGGAGAGGGAAATTAACTTTCAGCTTGCACGTTCATTATCTTTGATACCAAAATGGAATGCAGCTTCTTGTTGTTAAAGTTTCAATCTTTTATTTTTAATTCATACATATTAAAGGCAGCCTTATAAAACAAAGCAGAATATAAAATAAAGATGTAAGCATATAGAATTTATACACAAATTCTTTAGCAAATACTTCAAATTTTTATACCCATGTTAAGTCCGCTGTTCATACTAATGATTGGAATATATGTGAATCCGTTCAATATAATAATCTATTATGAGGTAATAGATATCTAATAGATACAGTAATGTGTGCATAAGCACTCACACTGTAGATATAGCTATATACACCCAGATAGGCTGATGCCTGGGAAGCCCCTGCAAACTCTGCTTTCACACATAGGAATCATGCCTCTTATCTGGCCTCATTAAATGAAATGTTCTGTTTAGTTGCACATTGGCTAATTGTGCAGTTCATTCCTTTGCATAGTACAGATGGGTCTAAGGGCTATCCTTTAAAAAAAATTACTCATTTCTGGCTAAGGGAATGATTGAAAACAAACTCCATATGACCTCCATTAGTTTTTTACAAGCCTTATTTACCAATAAACCATAAAATTTGAATGTCTACAAATTTCATCTATAACCTGGAATTTGTGTTTCAAAATTTTCAGCTGCAAAATTCATTCCAAAAAGTTCACAGTGTATGAATTCACTTTCATACTGGTGATTAACAGATTTTTGTACCCTGGAGGCACTTAGAATCTACTGTTTACAGTAGTAATGATGCTTATGTTTTAGTAAATGAACGATAAAGGTGTTGAGAATCTATAAGGTTTGCTTTTTAAAGTGCTAAGAGTTAGTAGTCACTTGGATAGATTAAATTCTATTTACTTTAGAACAACTGTTTTGTACAAAACACTGCCCCTATCTTACTGAGCTGTCACTTACTGACTGTCACTCATCAATCCCTATTACCACTCTAATAATATGGGTTGAAATTTAAAGCATTTGATTCAGATTCTGTTGTCTTACATTGTAAAGAAAATACACATGAGCTTTGTTTCCTGAGAGCCTAGCAAATCAAGGACATTTTGCAACAGCCAAGGAAATGCAACAGTCACAGGACACCTGGAAGAGGGAAAGAAGATCATTCTGCCAGCCAACATTAGGAAGGAGCTATGTTTTCATGAATAACGCAAGTCTATCATGGTATACTGCCCTTGACTGCCAACACTCCTTTCTCTCATATATCCTCTTTTGGCCACACAGCTCCATGTCATATGACATTTTGGCTTCCATAGACTTGTGTTTAATGTTCACTTAAAATTATGTCTTCTGCATAAATGCAAAAGAAAAATAGTTATGAGGTATTTTATCTAGAACCCCACCAGCGATGACATATCCCTATGTGCCCCACAAATAGCCTTGCATCTGAGCCATTTTATTTAACTGTAAAATGAAGTAGTATTTATAAGTAGTTTTACGTATCTTTTTATAAGCAAAGAATACTATAAATGAACACTTCTCCAAATGTTTACTTTACCAGGAAATTCCAAGATACCCACAGAAATACCAAGTGTGCTGTTTCTCTTATAGATAAAGTTGAGATGTATGAAATGTATGTTGTAATGCTGTCTGCAGAGAAATATTCAGATGACAGTGAAGTATCCACGAGATGGTTAATTCCTCCATTTTGTCGGCTGCATTAAAGCTGTGATTCATAACTACCTAGACTTTACAGTCTGTACTGGCTTAAAAGTAAATGGATACAGGGTGGCTTATTTGACTCCTATACTGTGGTTCTAAATATTTGATAAATCAGAAACTGTAAACTTATGAGAGATTGCTTAACACCATCAGCAATTCTACTTAGCAAAGCATGTTGAGCCTCCTATTCCAATTTTGAGAATTGTTTTACTGTCATCACTCTGGTGTTGAAGTCTGCAAGCTACCTCTTTTATAGTCCTTTTTTTGTGTTCCTGTAAACATTTTATTACATACTCAAAAACTAGGTCTTAGAATGCCCCTTTCCCATGAGGCTTATAATTTTTGCACTTATAATATCTATATATACATATATATGGAATATATCTGCCATTTCCAGTTTCTCTCACTGCAGTTTTAACCATTAAGGCATATTACAAATTTATATATACTTCATTAATATATATTTGATTGGTGTGAAAGTTATTGCAGTTTTGCATTCCTTTTAATGGCAAAAACCACAATTCCCTTTGCACCAACCTAATATATACACATATATTATATATATAAATTATATATATATAATGTATCTACATCTATAATATAGACATAGATCTATATAGATCTATATAGATAAATAGATATCCCTTCAAGATTTGTAATCTGTTGCTGCTGTAACAAAGAATAGAAAATGTGTGATTTGTTAGCATTATTTATTGAAAATATTAATATGTGCCCTTTATGAAAGAAATGATACAGTTGCTTTTAAGGACCTAATTCTCTAGAGGGTTCAAAAAAATTGTGGATACATTGTATTATACAATTGATTTTTTAAGGTTGGTGAAATTGTCTTTTTAATTTTTTGAAAGGTATGTGAAACAGATTTACTCTATTTATAAAAACAACTCAGTTTTTATAATTTTATTTTAATAGCTACTGCTTCCCCAACATGAAAACAATTTTTAAAGCCCCAGTATGAAAACAATGTTTAGGAAAGATCATGAGATTCCCTGTGTATATAAAATATTGTGATTTTAAAATTAACAGACCATATTATAGGAGGAGGTTTTTTGAACAGACACAGTCAAGGTTTCAAAATAATTTGCCTGATCAAGAGCTACATTTTTAAATGCCGCTGTTATAATTTTTTCATAAATATATACTTTGAGTCATTTTTAGGTCATCCAAACTTCATTATGGGTGGAAGTGTGAATTTTAAGCTGTGTTGACAGGAAAGCAGCATTTTTGCTGTATTGTATATTATTTGATTCCAAACTGTATTTTCTCAGATATGTGTACTCAGTAGGTCAAACAGCAATGTGTAGCAAGCTGTATTAAGCATAGTCAAGAGGACCTTCAGGGAAAGCAAGCTAGCACCTCTAGCTCCTTTTCAAAAATTTAACGCGGCTATAAACCCCTGGAAAGATGATTACTCTATGGGAAATTTTGCTTGTGAACAGAAGTAATGAGTTTATTTATAAACTGTTAAAGATATGTCACTTGATTTACCTTTTTATTGCGATAGTATTAATGTTTAAACATGTGCTTATTTGTAAGCATTGAGATTTTTTTTCTCTAATCCAGTAAAATTTGTAATATGCCATGATGGTTAAAATTGTGGTGAGCTAAAGTAGAAATCAAACCACATTGCAGATGCCAAGATATCTATGAGTTGAAGTGGGACCTAATGAGGGTAGGGACAATCAAAGAAATATGAGCCAGAATAAAAGATACTTCTGCAAATTTCTAGTATACCCTTGCTGTTTAGACATTTAGAAATATTTGCCAACTTAATATTCATCTTAGTATAAATGGCTTTGACCTTGAGCCTCATATCTTTAATTTGCTATATCAACTCCAGACCCAATGAATTTTGCATTCATAAGGAGCCAGTGTGGCATCCTTTGAGAAGTAAGCAGATAAAAATAAAGACTTTTTTTCCCAATACTTAGAACATAGGGCAAGCAGTTGGCATTAAATAATTTCTTTCATTTCCTCTACAGTAGGGAATAAAATGCCAAGCATATTGATAACTGTTCTGACAAATCCACGAGTCATATTATCACTACTGCACAGAGACCCTAGAAGCAGAGTAAGAAATTAATAAACACTTGAGGATTTATTGATGCTTGGGTTATTTGTTGAGTTTGCCAATGATTGGCTACACATGGAAGAACATTTCACTAGAATATTTTGTAATTTATTAGACAACTTTTTCACTAACTGAATATTCGATTTTGGCTTCTATACACCAGGACTATTTCCTCTACTAATATAATGCAAGTACTTGCAGACATTTCTCCTATAAATAATATCTCTAATATTTTAATTAACACCAGATAAAATATCAGTTTCTCTTCATATTGAAAAATAAACTATGATAGCCACTGATATTTCATCGACTCATTAATAGTTCATAGTTGTTAATTATTTTAAAGATTTTTTTTCACACAAAATTCTTAATTCATTCAGCTACAATGTGTGCACGTGCACACATGATTTTGCATATAATTTTAAGGTGCTCATGGACCTCTGGAAGTCCATCTATGGCTTTCTTTAGATTTCCACCATGTCAGACTTGGAGAACAAGGGAGTTTGTGTGCATGATCATCTTAATCAAATTTGAGAAGATTTCCTCTCAAATTATTCATGTATTTCATGAAAAGAAGATGGCATCTATATAACTATTATTCTTGATTGTCAAGTGATCCTTTATTGAAATATTTTCCTTGTTATGTACTAGCTGAGCACTCCTCCACACCACTGTCAGTGTCATCTGTGATAGCGTGAGGGTGGCGCCGTCAGCATTGCAGCCCACAGACTGGGCAGTCCTCAGGATCTCTTTAATGGTTTCAGAGAGTTCTGTGGCTAATGATGGGTGCAGCATCTGTCAGGCAATGTTGACAATCTCATTGAAAGTGCTATTTTCACTATGCTTAATGTTTTTCTGCTTTTTTTTCTTTGGGTGATTCCTTGAGGACTTTGATGATAAGGGTGGAGGCAAAAGGTATCACCTCAATCTGTTCCGACCTGATTGTCACTTTCATAACAATTCTTAGAGCTTTTCAATCACCAGTTGCCTTGGAAATGTCATCACCAACCTTTTCTGGAGGCAGACCCAGGGGACCAATCTTGGGGGTGAGAGCAGACATGGGACCTAATTCCTCACCTGTGTGCTTCAGGTATATGATTTTGATTTTGTTGGGATTCACCTTGAGCAGCATGGTGGAGGCAGTTACTGTCAAATAAACTTGAATGTGTGACCACTGGATAAACTTGTACCTTGTTATTCTTTGAGTGGCAAGCCCTCCACATAACTTTTCAATGTTAATTTTTTCTTCTAGTGGGTGCTTTCTTATAATGGGAGCAAAATACAATAGTATTTTTTGTATACATAAATTTTGCTATGTTCCAGAATATAACCAAGAACCTAAAAAGATGAGGAAAAAAAAGCAGCTAAGTTTTTTTGATAGTTTTTTTTGTTACTTTTATTTTAAGTTCAGGGGTACATGTGCAGGTTTGTTGTATAACTAAACTTGTGTCATGGGGGTTCGTTATACAGATTATTTCATCACCCAGGTATTAGCCTCGTATTCATTAGTTATTTTTCCTGATGCTTTCCCTCCTCCCACCCTCAATCCTCTGATAGACCTAAGTGTGTGTTGTTCCCCACTATGCATCCATTTGTTCTCATCATTTTGCTCCTACTTATAAGTGAGAGCATGAGGTATTTGGTTTTCTGTTCCTGTGTTAGTTTGCTAAGGATAGTGGTCTCTATTTCCTCCCATGTTCCTGCAAAGAACATGATCTCACTCTTTGTTATGGTTGCATAGTATTCTGTGGTGTCTATGTACCACGTTTTCTTTATCCAGTCTATCACTCATGGACATTTAGGTTGATTCCATGGCTTCAATATTGTGAATAGTGCTGCAGTGAACATTCGCAGACATGTGTCTTTATGATGAAACAATTTATATTCTTTTGGGTATATACCCAGTAATGGGATTGCTGAGTCAAATGATATTTCTGTTTTTAGGTCTTGGAAAAATCATCACACTGTTTTCTGCAATGGTTGAACTAATTTACACTTCCACCAACAGTGTATAGCATTCCTTTTCTCCACAACCTCACCAACATCTGTTATTTTTTGACTTTCTCATAATAGCCATCCTGACTGGTGTGAGATGGTATTTCATTGTGGTTTTGATTTGCATCTCTAATGACCAGTGATGTCAAGCTTTTTTTTTCATATGAAAAAGCAGCTAAATTTAAATGTAGGTGTACATTTCAATCAATGCAAATATAGATTTTGATTTAAATAAAAAGTAAACTAGATGCTAAAAAAGGTCATGTATTTTAGTCTAATGCCTTACTATTAGAAGAATCCCTTAGGTCTTCATTCAGAACTCATGCATTTTTTCTTAATTTAGGCACAATCTATACAGACTGATTAGTTGGGTTCCCAACTCACACCGGATTAGAATATGAAGTGTTTATTGGCAGCAGGCACACTGACAACAGAGGGAAGTAAGCAAAAAGAAATAAATAAGTGCCACATCCTTAGGGAGTAGAGTGACTACCTCAGTAACCCTTGAGATTGCATGTACTTCTGTAAACAACTGCATGTTTTAAATGACTCTCTGTTCTCTGACCTTAGTTTAATTAAAGAAAAAAGGAAATACTTTATATTTAAGCAAAAGTCCCATTAAAGAATGGTCAAGTAACAACTTTTGGCCTTTAGCATGGTAACGGATACAGATCAAACAGCTCAGTCACAGATTATAACGAGTAAATTAAGTGTAGTTGTAATCTGTTTCCCCGAATTGTTGGATGCAAACTGTACACATCTGTATGAGTACTTGGATGATATGATTACATTAGATTTTTTCTGCTATTCCTAATGTTCAGTAATTTACCTAGGTTGTTTCCATCTACTGAAATTCTATTTATGAATATTCATTTTTATAGGGAGGAATACACAAGCATATGGGGAATGCATTCTTGGCTGCAGAACCAGAATTCCCTGTAATTTGTTTCATAGGAATATTCAGTTTGGATAAATTTTTGCTTTTTTTTTTTATTTTGTCATGAGAGAATGGTTTCAGCTTCCTTGCTTGTTGATTCCTTTCATTGCTCCTATATAAACATTAAAGGCACTTCGCAGCTATAGTTTTTTGTTTTTTGTTTTTTGTTTTCCAGGACTTCTGGGAAGATTCACTTTTAACAGCTTCTTTCAAGTCATCTTAGGAGTATTTCAAAAATGGTAGGGTAGAGGTTGGTGAACAAAAAGTAGACAATTCAAAGAAAAGCAATGCCCATACAAATAATAGATGCCATGCTTTCAGGGCTATTTTGGGAAAGGTTGAATTTTTGTGTTTCTCTCCACAATTTTACTTCCTTAAAACCCCCCTTTTCTTTACCCTGTATCCTTACCTAACCTCAGAAATTACTTAAAAATGCTCCTTAATACTGTGACAGTCAGGCTAATGGGACTTAGGACAAAATAATTGATCCTGAAGACAAGGAAATCTACCCAAATCCTATCTTTATGTTCTTAATTTCATTACAGGCTTTGCAGACAGTCAAAACTGGGTTCAGAAATAGCAACTATTACACAGCACTTAAACCCATGTGCCTCCTACAGGTCTGTTCTATCAGAAATAAAATATTTCACAAACATACTTTTATAATTCTCTTCCTTCTCTCCTACAGAGGTTAAAACATAAAAGAAGAAGAGAGGAACAAAAATAATTGGTCAATATAAATATGAGAGATATTTGTTAATGTTGACATAGTACTGCTTATTCTACTGCAATGTGAAGAATGAAGTGATAAAAAGATGATGGTAAATTATTTCTATAGCATAGAAACACATCATAAAACAAAATAGTGTAAAAATAGCAAAATTAACTAATTATAGCTGTGCAATTTTGTATTTCTAAAATATCAGAGAACTCCCACATACTAACATGTATGTGTGTGTATGCATATATATATATATTATATATATATATATACATGTGTTATATATGTATATATAAAATTATTTTAGAGTCATGGAAAATAGAAAACAATTTCTTACAGACCATAAGAAATACGGTAAAAATTAAGACATTGCCCTATCTCATTTATTTATTTAATAAATAGTTAGAAAATTCTTACTATGTTTTAGGTGTTACCCTAGGAAACAAATATAGCAGTGAACCTGCTTCCCATAGGAGTTTATACTCCAATAGGGAAAAGAAGATGATAAACAAATCAATGCATAAAATGTATAATTTGCTAAATGATAAAATATGTTGTGGACAAAAAGACAGAAAACTAAAACAGAGAAGAGGTTTGCAATTTCAGATAAGTTGGTGAGGGAAGACCTTACTTGAGAAAGAAACATTTGAGAAATCTAAAGGGAGTTAAAGGAATGAACCATGCAGCTGTCTTAAGCAAGAATGTCCCAGATAGAGGCAGCCGTGTATTGGTGTAATATCAGGGCAGCCTGCAGTGACTGGGCAGAATAAAGGAGGAGGACAGTGTAGCATATGATGCCAGAGGACAGAGCAAAGAAAATTGAAGAGCAGTCAGTGAAGGTAGAAGGAACACCAGAGAAGTGTGCAGAGGAGCCAAGGGAAGAAAGTGTTCCAAGAAGATACTACGCCAAATTTTGCTGATATTCAAGTAAGACAAGGTCCAAAATGACCCTTGGATTTAGCAGCGTCTTTGATGACACTGAAAAGATCAGTTTCCATGTAGTTGTGAAACTGAGCGCCTATTAGGAAGTCTGATTGGCGATACCAAGCAGAAAGTTTTTCAATGAGTTTTGCTTTTAATGCAGCAGATAAATGAGAGCTGGGAGGTTTTTACTTTGCTGTTGTTTAAGATCAAGAAATTATAGTATATTGCCATGCTGTTGGAGATGACCCAGTTGAGGCTGAAACACTGATGTTTGCAGGAAAGAGGTAGAGCATCTAACACCCAGGTGAGCGGAGCAAAGTTGGCACATCCGTGGTCATAGATGTCAGGGCAGAGTAGATGGACACAGGCACATGTGTTTGTGTTGATGTGGGAGTGGAAACTAAGTTCTGTTTTGATTGCTACAATTTTCTTAGTGGATAAGGAGGCATGGTTGAGAGAGAATGGATGGGGAATTGGTGCTGGAGTTGGATAGGGAAATGTATGATTGCTGGAAAACAATACTGAACCATTTACTGTTATTGGTCATGAATGTAAAATGAGATAGGATTGCTTTGTGTTTTCCTTCAGCTAGTGCACTGCCAGTTGTAAATACAAAGTAGGCACGAAGTTGGAATGAACAAGATACAGGTTTTGCCAGACTACTAAAATGAAGGAAGAAGGGGTGAGGGAATTGAGAATATTTTCAAGGAAGGGCTTATGATGAGGGACACAGTGTTGAAGCTGGATAAACAGGGAAGTAGGGATATGCGGAGGTGAAGGACAGTGGTTAAAAGGTGATAATATTGGATTTGAGGTCCTAGTGAAGTTAAAGAATGTTGGAAACTGGGTGTGGTGGCTCATACCAATAATCCCAGCACTTTGGGAGGCCAAGGCAGGATTGGATGGAGGCCAAGGCAAGATGGATTGGATGGAGGCCAAGGAGGATCCACTTGAAGTCAAGGGTTCAAGACCAGCCTGGGCAAAATAGTGAGACTCTCCACAAAACAAAAAAATTTAAAAAGCTGTGCATGGTGGCGCATGCTTATAGTCCCAGCTACTTGGGATGCTGAGGTGGGAAGATCACTTGAGCCCAGTAGTTCAAGGCTGCACTGAACTATGATCATACCATTGCACTCCAGCTTAGGCAACAGAGTGAGATCCTGTCTCTTAAAAAAAAAAAAAAAAAAAAGGTGTTGGAGTAAAAGTTCTAGAAAGAGTGAATTAGAACAATAGGAGGTATAGTTTGAGAATGGGATGGTGAGATGTGAAATTAGATAAGAGAGGGTCGTGATTCCGAGCAATAAAAAGGCCTAGAGAGTGAGTGGTTGTAGATAGGGTAGAAAGCAAGTTCCTTGGCTGAGAAGAGGTCAAGGAACTGGGAGTTCAAATGATCATCCAAGGCTGGGTGTGGTGGCTCACACCTGTAATCCCAGCATTTTAGGAGGCTGAGTTGGGCCAGTCACCTGAGGTTAGGAGTTCAAGACCAGCCTGACCAACATGGTGAAATCCTGTCTCTACTAAAAATACAAAAATTAGCCAAGTGTGGTGGCAGGTTGCCTGTGATCCCAGCCACTCTGGAGGCTGAGGCAGGAGAATTGCTTGAGGCAGAAGTTGCAGTGAGCCAAGATCGTGCCATTGCACTCCAGCCTAGGCAACAAGAGTGAAACTCCATCTCAGACAAACAAACGATCATCCATATGGGTGTGATGAATTTTGAAATCACCAAGAATTAAATCAGGAGCAAATTGGGAGAGAATACAGGAGATAATGTTTCAAGAGATGATGACAAATGATCTAGAAGTCTTGAAATGACCATCACAAGCAGTGATAGTATGGTAATATGATATTCAAACAGATTTTTAGAGTAGGGGAAAGAAAATACTCCACAATGAGGAGTAAGGAAAACGATTCCCCTTTCAGGTCAAGTCATGTACAGTTCATAAGAGTAAAGTCAGCATCTATTCTTGAGAGTAACAGCTAGTGGGGCAAAGGGAATGGGCATAGAGGAAGGTGAAGATATTTTGCTGGTAAGTCCCTTTGAGTGATAGTGGAAAGGTTTGGGGCAACTGGTGGAGAATGGGAGAGAGAATTTCAGTCAGACCTGTATGAGGATCAGACCATGGGGGTGAGGGCCATGGGAATCTTGGACTCCTAGGAATGACTGAATTTTTTTAAAAAAGAGAGATAAAGGTCATAATAAGATTAGTTCTGATGTCTCAGAACTTGGAGAATGGATGTGAGGCTATGCATGTCGGGAAAGAATAGTGTGGACTCACCAGGTATATGCAGGGGTGCAGGGTCCTGATCTCTTCACTCCTCTATGGATAATATGGAAGCTGGTGGGGGTGTTGGAGCATGGCAGGGAGTCTCACATGAATCACCCAGATCTCTAAGATTGTCTTGACTCTCTTTGCCAAACAGTGAACTACTCCTTAATGAACCAGTCATCTGGCCCCTTTGTGCCTATCATTCTTCAGTTCTGGTGCTTTGTATACCAAGTCTCTTTTGGAGAAGGGCTCACAACAAATGCTCTTCCTTTAAGTTAGTTTTCCTTCTGCCGTAAAATGAGAATGAACACATCATAATGCTGTCCTTCAAGGATGTATATTTAATGCATGCACTCTACAAGAATGCATTTTCTTCCATCAGCCTAGGTGTCACGTGTTCATAGATTTCTCTTATCACTCTTTATTTAGTTCAAATTGTATTTTTCTGCAGGGTAGCTATGAAAAATAATAATAAATATTTGAATTATTATTTGAAAGTGCCTGTGTACTTTTGTACTCTTCAACCTATGTGATCATTTTTAAGTCAAATTAAGTAAACCTTAAATCTTAAAAACATTAAAAACATCATAAATATGCATGTTGTAGACATGCAAATAGGCAAACCGTGAAAATGATATCCTAATAACTGTGTTATTTTCTTTTCCAACACGGCTAAAGAGCTTGGATTGGGTCCATGGAGGAACTCTGTTTTCCTCTCTCTCAACTCTTTATCATTCTTTTTATAGCTCCCTGTGGAAGTTTATACTCTTAAACAGTAAAACCATGGTGCACAAAATATGTGTGAGCACTTTCACTGATATTAGTTAAGCAGCACTCCTTCCCAGTCTATCATATTCCCAGGATTAGGAACCATGGTCTCACCTTTACCTTTGGATGACCAGCACATCTCTTGCTTATCACATATGCATTGAGCCCATTGGTGTTGTACTGACTAGATGCTGAGAAAGTCATGGGATCCAAAATAGAATTAAATCCCTGTTGACATGTAGGTTACAGTTTAGTGAGAAAGGCAGATACTAATGACTGTATAATCACAAACTGAAAAAGGTCCACCATAGGAAAAATGAGTTTTTTTAATGGTATATAACTGGGGAAACACATCCAAACTAGGTGTGAGTTTCTTTGTGTGTATGTATATTAGAAGAGGACAAAAAAAGCTTCCTTGAAGAGTGATGCCTACATCAGCTCTATTTGAAGGATAAACTTAGATAAGCGTAGGGTGAAGTTTTCTAGCCGGAAAAACAGCATGTGCAAAAGGCCTGTGGCAAGTAGTGCATGGCACATTTGAAAAGCTTAAAGGAGGCCAGTTTGGCTAGAATAAGGACAGGAAAATGATTTGGAGGCAGCCTGAGCTGTGTCGCTATACATACACCATGGTATCCCTGTGATCTCACAACTTCATGTAGGAATTGTTTGCTTCTCTTCTGTGGCAATTCTTGACAAAGTAAATCCCAATTCTCTCAAAGATTTTGCAGGAGCAGTAACGGTTATAGAAACGCTATATCTTCTGCATTCATAGAATATTATGCACATCACAAGCTCTAGCTCTTCTTCTCATATCCAACTTGAATGTCACATTTTACCCCATCTCAGCTCTGTAGCTTTTAATGTGTCTTTATACCGGATAACCCTATGCAAACTGTATTACAGTATTGGCTATCTATAGTGTCCTTCCATACAGAAGCTATATTGTATCATCATCTAACCAGTACCTCACAGAATTACTGCCTGATAGTAAATTAGGTCAGTTTAGCACTTCTCAATAAATGTTTGTTGAATTGAATTGTCTTAAATGTTTCAGTTCTTCAGATAAAGGCATCATATAGAACATCTTGTTAGTACATGTGCATGGAGACTATTCATGCATGTATTTACTGAAGTAAAAGAAATAAACATGTTGTAACTGTACTTAATCAGAGAACACATATAAAATATTTTTGAAAAAATTAAAGCAAAACAACTTACTAATATTATCTTTAACCTATGTGTTACACATTATAGTAAAACAGTTATCGTGATCACTTCAGAGCTGTGCTTTCAGGATAGGATATGTTTTATTTCCCAGAATTTGTCATTTGTTAGGAATATTTTAGCTTGCTTCACTTTTGAGAAATATAATAAGAATAATTTTTGAAAAAAGGCTTAATGTTTTAGAATTATCACCAGCTTTTTCTTTGTTCATCCCAGTTGTGATTTTAATGTCCAATTATGCACAGGAGAATGGCAGTTCCTTCTGCTGAGTTGGATAAATGCCTAAATAACAGAGTTTCTTTCGTTTTGAGACAGGATCTTGCTCTGTCGCCCAGGCTGGAGTGCAGCGGTGCAATCTTGGCTCACTGTAACCTCTGCCTCTGGGGTTCAAGTGATTCTCATGCCTCAGCCTCCTGAGTAGCTGGAATTACAAGTGGGCACCACCACATCCAGCTAATTTTTGTATTTTTTTGTTGTTGTTGTAGAGACAGTGTTGTTCACCATGTTGCCAAGGCTGGTCTCAAACTCCTGGCCTCAATTGATCCTCCTGCCTCAGCCTCCCAAAGTGCTGGGATTATAGACCCGAACCACCACTCCTGCCCAACAATGCTTATTTCAAAAAGAAACTTTTGAAGTGTAGGGAATGTGTACTGAAAACATCCTTTCTCCCCTTTGGAGTGTCTGGGTAAATAGGTGGTCTGTGGCTTATTCGAGGAAAGTCTTAGAGCCCCACTACAAAATAAAGCTAAGGAGTATCTAGTGTGTCAAATAGAGACTGTTTGATCCAGTCATTAGGACTTTTACAGCTCCTTTTAAAACAACACTGAGTCATGGTAGAAAGATAACGATTCCCAGTGTCTTTATGTAAGGGATATTTGAATAAAATATGCCAATGATAACTGCTATTATTTAATGATAACTGTCTAAATTTGATTGTTTCAATTGGAAGGTTAAATATTTTCTAGTGGGTATTCCCTGTTGCATAAAATACCACAGCAATAGCAAATGCTCATTTGAAATATGCTTGTTTTATTAGCATGCAGTTACTAGTTACAAATTTTTGCTTATAAGAAAAGCTATAAATATACGTGACAATAATCTGTATTTTCTTAGCAGATATGTGCAAAAGAAATGTAACTATGGGAGAGTTTTGTTTTCTTGCGTTTTCTTGTTCTGTTTTTAAAAATTTTTTTTTTTTTTTTTTTTTTGGTGAATTTTGATCAGTGGGGACAGGGAATCCTTTCCCAAATCTCTGTTCTTCTGCAAAAAACATTCAAATGTAAGTGAAAAACAGTTGCCTCTGTTTCTCTTGTTAAGGCCGATGCGGTTTTTAAATGGACTGAAGGAAACCATGCTTGTTGCAGGTGCCAGATACCACCTGAAGACATTCTCAATTTGCCCTGCCATTCCTGGAATAGAACCAAAAGTTCTATGACACAACTACTGGTTTACTAAACGATGTTAATTCAAAACATTTTGTTATTTTCCTCTGAAATATATGGGTGCTTAAATGAACTCAGAGGGTCTGTAACACTGGGGGAAAAAAACTTCAAATAGCAATTAAGTATTTTTTTTCTTATTTCAGCATATAAACACAAGGAAATATAATGGTTTTAATAATTAAGGATGCAGACTAATGCACACATTTTGCAATACTAATAAAAACTTCTTGTTATCATCTTTATTTTTAAGAATGAAGAAGGCATTTCCTTAATGCACTTCACTGCTCCCCTTGCCAGCTCTGTTCAGGCTCAGAATTTGATAATAACATTTCCAAATTGTAAAAATAAAAAATAGCATTAAAAATGTAGTTAACTCCAAATTTCCAAGTCAGTTAACTCGAAGGTTAAGTGGTACAGCACTTGACCTTAGAGAGAGTTTGGTCCTCTTTTGTAAGACCTGAGTGTAAAGAATAAAGACAGCATTTTCCTTCCTCTCTTTTTTAAAGAAGCCACATGTAATGTTCTCTGAGTTAAGTTTTACCATTCATAATGAATGCAGTCTCGCCATTCAAATGCAACCATAAGTACACAGAAGATAAGAATTTAATTAAATGTAGATTAAAACCAAACAGGAAAACACACTAGCTGATAATTTTATCCCATCCTCTGGCCATATTTTTTATACTTCCTTCTTGTTCTTCTTTGGGCTATAGCTTATCAACATGCCGATAGTACCATAACTCATTACATCTGATGGTGCTGTGGAAATGTGCAGGCTCTGTGCTTGGATTTTCAAGGCACTTAAAATGCAAAGCATGTAAATGTCTCTGTTAAATATACTAGTGTGGAAACACTGGTGAAAAGGAAGTGATTCAGAAGAAATCCTTAAACCTCTCACATGATGCATTAGTATTGCATAGTAGCAAATGACATTTTCAAAGTGGAACCAATTAATGCATTCACACGTGTGGTATGGCTTAATATTTCGTGGTTGAGCTGTTTTAGCAGTTGGCAAGTTGAAGTGACAATCAACTTTCTTAGTTTACTTCAATGTATGTAGCGTTTGGTATATAGGCATTTGTATCTTTTTGTAGGAGAACAAATTTTTTTCCATTGTTGACCATAATGTCTTAACAGAATATCTTTGTGCTTGAACAATGCTTTCATTGACTTTATATAAAATTATATATTATCATTCAACATGAATCTATTGGGATTACAAAGTAGAGACCACACACACCTATGATAAAAGTTGGAAAGGATAAAAGGCTTTAGTTATTAAGACAGTTTGTATGTTATTTGTGCTTAATCAGTTTATCTACTTCTTTGCCAAAAATTATTTATCATCATTGTAGAATAGGCAAAAAATAGTTTAAAACAGTCCTGGTCAGGGTAAAGGAAAGCTCTAGACCAAGCATGTAATTTTAAATCTGAAAGAGAATACATATTGAGGCTGTTAATTAAATATTAGGCTAAGGTTTAGAATGTAAATGCATTCTTCAACATGCAATCTTGATTTCTTAGGCATTAGTAAACCGTAAATGAAGCATGTATACATTTGCATTCCCTGTGCCTAAAATTAAGTGCCGTAAGAAGAATAGGATGCTGAGTTTGTTTTGTTTTGCTTTCCCCAGCAGACAAAATATTGAGGGTCGTTTGAAAGGTACATTGATGATTTGCTTTTGTTTTGTTTTGTCTTTGCGATAGGTTATGTGGCTCACCTCAATGAATAGGGTTTTCCAATTAAAATATCTCCGAAAAAAATGATTTGGATTTTTGCTCCTTAATGTAATTTTGAGGTTCTTGCTGGTTTGAAGTACTAAACTGATAGCACCACTTTCTCTGCATTTGTTGTCATGTGATCACTTTGCACTCAAATGGATATAATATGCATTGACAAAGCTGCAGATTTTGCCTTTAGGAAAAAAATAAAAAGAATTGACTAAATTTTTAAAGATTTCAAAAATCTCATCATCTAAGAGAACAATGTTTAATGGGATGAACCTATATTTTCCTACCATTAAATCACTTGGGAAATTGAAAGTCACAATATAGACATGAACTGAAGTGCCATTGCTAGCTGCACTGGCTCTATCCATACTGTTGGAGACATTCCTGAGGCATCAACAACATTCTTTATTAACTCACTTTCCTTTAGTTCTCTTTTCCAGTATAAATTACTTTCCATGGTGATATTAATAATGAAGGAGCAAAATAAAATATGGAAGTAAAACTGAAGTGCAAAATGGAGAAACATATTTGGGATTTTAAAAGATTGTGTAAAGATGGTTTCATCACTAAAACATTCCAAATATAAACATGTAAAAAGAAAAGTAGTCTGCCTCTATCTGGGTAATGTACAGTAGGTAAAATTACTAGTCTCTAAGGCATTCTAAGAAAATGATAGATTTAAAAAAAGACTCCCTTGCATGCCATGAGAGCAGAGAAAGATTTCTTTAAATAGTAAGTTTAATAAATAGTTTCCCTTTATCAAACATATATTTGGGGGCAAAAGGACAAAATTGTTTCTGTGAAACCTGCATTACTTCCTCCCCAGGCTCCAAACTCCCTTTGATTCTTTTGCTTTGAGAAGCTGTAGCCCCTTGCGTACTTTGCAGGACACTTTCATGGTATATCCTGGTCATGTTCAGCATTTTCTCCCCTCTAGGACTGGGAGCTCTCTTTGTGAGCTGTCCTCTCCCTACAACTTGCCAAATGACTGTTAGGTCATAACAAACAAATATTGCTTTGTTTTTTTTTAAATGGAAGAGAGTAAGATAAAAGAAGAGAGGTCAAAGAAGAGAAGGAGAATGTAGGAAAGGAAGCAAGTAAGAAAGAAAGGAAAGGTGGAAGGGAAAAGGAGGATAAGAAAGAGGAAAGAAGGAAGAGAGTGGAGGAAGGGGGGCAGAAAGGAATTTAGCTATCCAGGAATATGCTATTCTGTTGTCTCTAGTACTTTGTCATGCTGGAAATACTGCTAGTTACAGAAGAGTTAGGAATTTGAGTATAATGAATATTTTAGGGAGAAAGTATGCAGGTATGAGTACACAAGATTTATCCTGGGCCACAGCAGTGAATCTCAATGACAGCAAACAAAGAACGAAAAAATTGTATTTGATAATCCTTGGTCAAGGGCAAAACCGATAAAAATGAGATTAATATTTATTGAATACCTACTATGTGATGAGACTTTATATGTTACTTTGTGTTACTTTATTGAAATCTTCAAAAACTCCTGCAGACTGAATTACCTACATTTTACAGATTCAGAAACCAAATCTCAGGGAGTTTAAGTAACTTCCCTATCCTCAAAGAACTCATAGATTCCAGAATGGTTGCAAATAGTTATCTGTCTTGGTTACGTATCTATACTTTATAGTTGTTTCTGCAACAAGCCCTGCTGCCTCCAAGGGTGTGGTCTTAGTTAATTGTATGTGTATTTTATCTGTGATAAAATTTAACAAGTTAATTATTTTTTAAAAAATCCTTTACAAACTGCTACTAAAGGGTTTTTAAAACATTTTATAATTAGTAGGTGAAATTGGGTTCTACGTTTTAAAATTAATATCATTCAAGGAAAATGAAATTAGATTAGTATAATATCTTTCAGGAAATTTTAAAAATGTGTATTTCTAAGTTATGTGTTAGGAAAATATTTCTGTCTCTCACAATTTTCAGTGGGATACTTGAGAGATCAGAGATTTTACTCCATGTACTCTGTATGTCTGTTTTGACGATGAAATTTTGGTTACTACACTTTGAACTGTTTTCTTAAGCCTGAAATGAGCAACAGTAATACTCATAGTTTTCCTGACTCAGAGGAAAAACGTTGGCAGAGCACAACCAATTTTGCCAAGGGGAAAATTGGTGAAATCTACCTTAGGAGCAACGATGACATTTTAAATGTAAATGTAAGAAATCCAGTTTGGCGGAAATATACAAAAAGGATTTTCATAAAGACAGGCTTACCCTGGAGCAAAGCTAAAGAGAGTTTTCGTCACCCAGGATATGTTAACACTACCCTTTGTCTGAGGGAGACTGTATTCTCATCAAGACCTGTAATAACTGAATTATCATTTCAGTATGCAGACTTTTAAGTGAATACAAGGTAGATTTTCCAATCAGATTTGTTAATTTCTCCAAAGTATTCTGTATGTTAGCCAGGTGTAAATAGTAGGGAAATGTGAAGAGGAAAAATATTTTTCTACTGCTAATCACACCATGCAGACTACTTTAAACATTTGTACTAATGCTCAAAAATACAAACCTGATTTATTTCTACCTTTACAAACTGTGTTTTGGTTATGTAGGAAATTCAAAATGGATTACAAGAGACTGCATGGCCAGGAAAAGATTAAATGTGTCTCAAATAATTAAATAAAAATAATGATAACTGATACTAGAAACTAAACTACGATTAAAATATTTGGATGGATGGGTAGTGATAGCTCCACAGCAGTGGCAAACTTGAAGTCAGATTGTAACGAATGTTTGTTACCGCATTAAACAATAACACATCCTTCCTGGGAAAACTAAAATGACAGGTGTAGCCATTGATGCTTTAAGCATATACTCTGACCTCATGACTCACAATCTGCTGCAGCCTGTGGAACACATACTGTGGAGTCAGAATTATGCTTAGGGAAAGAAGGGCTAGAAAATGTAGTGTAGGAACTTCATCTTATTTACTGCAAAATATGTTTTTCAATGTCTTATTGAGATAACATTTTAAAAATAAAATGAAAATGAACATCTCCCTGACTGCTTACTTCCCTTTCTCATTTTCTTAAGCAAAAAAGGAGTTTATGAGCGATGGAGGGCTACGTTTATGTAGCTTTTAAAATGGATGGTGCTGTGGTAGATTTGACCTTAGGTAGATTGTTAAAAAAAAAAAAAAAGTTCTTCAGCTGAGTGTGTCTTAGTTATATTTTGAAGCTGCATTCTTGCTGCATTTTTTATTTAAATGGTTTGCCTTAATGATCAGTGCTCATAGGTTTCAGAATTATGCAAAAGATGAAAATAAAACTAGCATTAGTCGAATCCATATTTCTGAAATACATTCGTTATTGCATTGTGTCGTTCTCTACAGATCATTACTTTGTGTGTGGTTTTGCTCATATTTCCAATTTTGTCTAATTCTCAGTCACAGTTTTTACATTATAACCCACTGAAGATTTTATTTTTTTCATTTCAGTAGCCATTATTTGAATCATAAAAAAATGCATTACTGTATTCATAATGTACTGCTCATGTGACAGTTTTTGAACTTTAATATTCTTTTCTGTAATGTGCTGGCTTAGCAGCCTATAAAAGAGACATATTGTTTGTAATGTTTCTTACCCACAACAAATGATGTGATTCTAGGGTTTATGAAATGGCAGTAGTTTTCTAAATTTGTGATTCTTCTGTGTTCCGTCGTCAAGAACAGTTGTACATCTGCTCAGCACAGACTTTCCGAGACTATGAACTTTAATTGAGGAAAAATAATGAGGGTTCAGGGACTACTGATATGGAGTCAGTTGCAAAGCAGGTGCCCTGCTGCCAGATCAATAGATTATTTACTCCTTTGTCATAAACAGGAAACAGTTGGTTGTTTGTGGCAACAGCATGCATATTTTAAAGCCCGTGGACGTTCTCTCCTTCTTTGTCAACGTAGAACACTTAAAATAGTGTTTCGTTCATAATTTATCATAATCGTATAGAATAAACAAACAATACTTAATCTGTTTTTAAAATTAACCACCTTATTTGAAATGAACTTAAGGAGTGATTTCGGGAATTATGCATCATTTGTGCTTCCAACCCTAACCTCTTCAATTCATATGGTTGCAGTCATAACCCTCTATATAATTGTCTAAATATTTTTCTGCCTCTATAGATACTTGAAAATAGAAAACCTTTTTTTCCCTAAGTACATAGGGAAATCTAAAGTATAAATTGTTGATCATTTAGAATTTCATTAGGACACTGGAACAGTTTGTACAAGGTTTTCAAGCCACTTGAGTAGAATTTTCTTATAATTGGGGAGAGGGCCAGGAGCAAAGCTCAGAATCCCTTTCTCACTGCATAAAACAAGCACATCAGGCTTTCAGTCGGCATCTGATTTCTGAGTGTGTTGGAACTATCTCTGACACACCTGAGCAGGATCAACGTGAGAGGCCAGGGTCACCCAAAGGGGGCGTGCTCCTCTCTCAGCACCTCTCATTAGCAAACCAAACAAAGGGGCTGGAGGATGCCTGGAATTAGCTGCAATTTCCACCATGACAAGTGACTTTTTTGTTACATAATGATATGCTGGGAATTTATATCCTAGGTTCCAGAGATCAGTAGCTTAAATTCTAATGATGGATTTTGTGGCATGAAAGTCTGACTTTTAGCACTTGGAGGTTGGAGACCATATAAACCACACCATAAACCTTATACACAAAGCCCACCTATGGACAGCTCCTCTGAGGCCTCAGGCAGTTCACACACCTCACCTTTCAACCAGAAATGTGATAATTGAAGCTGTTCTTGGGAATAGTCTTCAGTTTTACTACAAATCTCTCTAATTCCTTTTGGAACTGAGATTACTACTAGAGCTGAATTATTTTGGAAAGAACTGCCACCAGAGAAAAACAAATTTATGTTTAAGAAAAAGAAAATTGCATTTCTAAAATGCAAATGGTTGAACCTAAATCCATTAAATAGTAGCTTCAAAGTACATGTAACCAAAAAAAAGTTACTTGATAAACCCATTCAACTGCCTTTCAGTTTGAAAACATGTTAGTAAGAAAATAAATTTATATTTGTCTTAACTATATAGTCATTGCAATATGGCATAATAATGTAACAATGCATTTCCTAACCACAAAGTGGTAACAAAAATATCATTAAATGTGGAACTAAAAACAATACCTAATTTCTATTCATACAAAATAATTGCTGCTAGTTAAATGTGTCATTCTTTAAGTGAGGATTGAATTTTGTACTGCTGTTTCAGCAAGTGTGTGCACTCAGTATGGTCCTTGTATCATTGTTAGCATTTCTAGTGTGTTATTTAAAAACAGTTATGTTTAGATTTTTATTTCATGCTTCTTAAATATCAGATGGAAGTATTCGCTGCTTAATATTTTTCCCTAGTTCTAATTACAAAAATAAATGTAGCTATCATGGTAAAGTTAAATTTCTCATCAGTACTGTAGGAATAAGGCACACTGGCAATTCACCTTTTTTCCTAGTGAGATGGGTGGGGTTTGTTGCTTTAGAGTCATTAAATTTCCTTTGAGTCCAAAAGCTAGACTGGAAATTGGGGCAAATTACAGTTATACACGATGAGGGAGGTGGTCCCTTCATTTCTATTGATGAGAGGACTTAAATTAAAAGATACTTTGAAGTTATTTAATTTAAAAGCAAATATTCAACTATAAGTCTATATTCAACTAGTTTTACAAAGAATTTTTTATGTCCACTGTCTTGAAAATATGTAGCGTCAGAAGTAGAATTACCCATTTATAAGCGTGTGCTTTATTCTAGACAGCAGGAAGTAGTAAGTCCAGGCTTCGAAGCTCTGTCATACCATGCAGAGATGAAAAGTTCAAGATGAGGTGACATCAATGGAAATTCTCTGAATAAAAGACGTCAGGAGCAAAGTCTTTGTCTAGGGCCCCTGATCTCAAGATGAATATTGTGCCTCAATTTCTTATTCAACGACCTGCGGTTCTCAGTTGGATCTAATTTCTCAAAAAGAATATAAGAAATGTGAATTGTAAGAGAAAAGTAGTAGCAACCTTTTTTTTTTTTTCTATTGATGGAGGTAAAGCTTGTGATTTTTTCCCCCTTTTTAACACAGATATGTCTGAGGGAAAACAGAGAACAAAACCAGGACATTATTTGTAAGCCCAAACATGACGGTTGCAAAATTGGCCCAAGCTGTAGAAGATTTAAGCAGCTATTGTTAGGAGGTTTTTTGTAGTGGGAGAACAAGTCTGCCATAGATATGACCTTAAATGTGTCTGCTTTCCCACATTTTGTGACGGTCTGGAGAAATTTAATATGTGTGTGTGTGTGTGTGTGTGTGTGTGTGTGTGTGTGCACGTGCGCATGTGCGCATGCGTGTGTGTTGCAGGAATAGTTGTAGCAGCATGAAGTGCAGGGAAGGTTAACCCTGTTTTCAGGAAGTTATTTAGTTGAATGAAAATGTGGCAAAATAGGGAAAACCTTTATTGTTCTGAAAATGAAACTTGATTTTCTAGGAAGTAAAAATCATATAAGAGAAGCATTGGAAAGACTTCATAATGATTTTATTGACATAGTAAAAAATGATTTTCCAACGCAAGTTTTGTGCCTGTAATAAAACCTCTATGTCAAAAATCACCCTTATGCAAGGAGAATAAAGCATGCTGCAAGCCTTTCAGAAATGCCATTTTCAGAATACCTTCTGATGATTATTGGTCTCTTTTTTCTGTAAAGTTCTATGGAGAATATATTTTAATTAGCTTCCACTTGATACCACTTCATGCACACTGCCCAACTCTGACCCAGTGTGTGATCATATAGAATGCATTACAAAAGAACTGGTCATTTGAGTGCTTTAATATAGCTTTGTATTAATGTCAGACATCATTTAGACAAGGCATTAAAAGTGTTATTTTAATGACTGAAGTGTGTTGGGTAGAAGAGGCTTAATCTTTATAGGAAGAACAATTTCAATTAGCTCTAAAATATTAATTTGTTGGTACAACTATATACTCTAATGTATTTGGCTGCAAAACATCTTATGAATAATACATTGCCAGAATCCACTTGTCTTATTATGTAACTAATACTGCCTTTTTTAAAAAAACAAGGGTTTCTAATTTTATAACCACCATGATTCAGTTAAAATTAATAAAAAAGAACCTTGATCATTTTTAATGTTGAAGCTTTTTTCTATTGTGTTTCCCCGAGGTAATTTGTAAGGCTATAAATAAAGTATGCAATCTCTGGCTATTAAGATATTGAATAGGTTTTAAACATGATATGGCTATCTGTCTTAAAAATTTAAGGGCATTTTTATTTATTTGTTTACAAGGTGAGTGTAAGATATTCTCCCTGGAAACAATTTGTCTCACTGTGCAAAGTGTAAAAATATGAGAACAAAAATAACTGCATACCTTAATCCTACTATTGTGTTTCTGGGAGCTAAAAATGCTGCTGTTGTGGCTTTTACTCTCCTTGAATATCTCCCTGTAGCCTTATCTTTCCATTGTGCTGGCTGTTTATTGCAACATCTTGGCTTTGGTTTTCATGACTGTGCATGTGGCCCTACCTTAAGGTGGGTGAGAGCCACACAGGTAAAAACCCTGTAGCCCTTTTGAAAATGTGCTGTTTTTCCCTGCAGCTAACCAGAAATCTGTGATTGCTTCCACAGACTTCTCAGGGGTTGCCTGTACCAGGCGAAATGTAGGTGGCTCTAAATTGCTTGTACATTACACACCAACACGAAGCACTTGTCTGCTGGCTTGGATAGCTTTAATGCTCCTGTTCCACAGCACCAAAGCAGCTGGATGAAAAGCGAAAAAGCTCTGGTGGGCAGTCAAGGCTTTCAAGCATCCTGACAAATGCCCCTAAACAGACTATAATAAAGTAGGAACAATGGCTTTCATGGAGGTAGGCCTAAAAAGCATTCATTATTTTCTATAACTCTCCTAGTTACTTTCATTGTCATCAGTGGCATTGGTCACATTTAGCCTGATTAATTCTGAAATATATGAAAACTAGATTTACTTCAATATAACTCTTGCACAATGTAAGACGGGAGAGGGGGAAAATGCTGAGTTTGGTAGCAAAGCAGAACCACTCAAATGCAGTTTTTAAACTAGGTAGAGGCTTTTGTAGATTTCATGCAGCAGTTGGCATTGGCAGTATTGCAAAAAGAGATGTATTCTGTTGTGCTCTGTTTGATCAAGTGCTAAACCCGTGTGATCAATAGAGAGACAGATGTCGGGTGCAGATGGCGATGCCGTGATACCTGGGGCAGCGCGGGCCTGCCAGAATGACAGAATGGGAACAGGGAAGAGCAGCAATGCAACAGAATGTGACAAATGAAATTAGGGTTTATACTAGTCGATAATTTACAGCTAATACAAAGTGACAGAATTTTTCACTACCCAGTATATTTTACTTCCAGTAATGCTATAGCCAATAAAGGCATATTTCATGCAACATAATAAAATGAAAGCTGTGGGGAAATATAGTCCAACCATTTTTTATTATGTTACAACTTTTAAAATTGCTCCCTGAGAGAATACTAATAGCATGCAAGTCTTGTTAGAGTGACGTCTAAAGGCATTTTATCTCCAAATTTATAGCAGCCCAATCACTTACTCTGATTGCATATTAGACTCACAAGTTGAAGACAGATAACTCTGTAATGACCAAAATGCATATGCTTTGCTTTAAAAGATATATTTTTAAAGACTCATTCAGTCTGTGTGTAAAATTATAAAAACAATTATTAATTTCAACTTATTAGAAAACATTTTAATTTCCTATATTAAAGGGAATGTTTAAGCAGTCACCTGTGTAATTAAAAATGAAAATCTAAACACATATTAAAAATTTGCTTCCACATCCAGGACAAAACGCGTAGTTATTATATTTGGAATATACTTTATGACTCCATAATTCAAAATAAATTTGCAAACACTTTGGCTATTTTACCAATCATGGATAATGAATCTATTGATTTTTTTAAAGACTTAATTAAATTTTCCATATTCTTGAACATATACTTACACACCTACCAACAATCTGGAATGGTATTGTGTGGATGAGCAGGGCCATCCCTAAACAAAACTATGTAGTGGGTTCTTTTTATTCTACTTTCACCTCCTTTGATTCTCCTCCTCGTTCTGGGCTTCTGGTGTTGTGAAATTATGTCATGTGTGCAGAAAATAAATCCATAGAACTGTTAATTAGCCTGGGACCTCTCTCAGTACCCACTTTCCTCATTGTTCAAATAGTCACCAAGCAACTGAATCCTAGAATGTCTCCCAAAGCTTTTATAACCATATCCACATGAAACTCCAAAGATGAATGCCTACAATCAGGAATCACCTCATGGAAGGCATATTGGAGAGTAAAGGAATTTCCTTACATTTATACAGGCAGAGTAATAGCGAGCAGGACCCACAACCTGTGACAATGACAACCTGTGACAATGACAATTGCTTATTAATAATATAAATAGGAGACAATTCTTGTTTTCAACAAACTTTCCTAAGTACCTGCTTTGTGAACACCAAAGAAGACCCAAGGTATATGCTTCAGCGGAAATAATCACGACTATCATTCACTGGCTCTGGTGGGAGCATTCACAAATTATGGGATCAATGAAGGAGGACAAGATCATGATGTCACTGCAGTTCTGAAAATTTGGAGAATCTTGCCTATCCAAGAGAATACTTGACAGTTGAAAATCTCTCCCTCTCTTTATTCCACACACAATAGTAGGTATTTTTATATAATAGCTTGGCTAAGTTATACCTATCATCTATAGTTGTGCCATATCTCAAGTTAATCCAAATTTAATTAGAAAAACATTCTATACATGAACCCAAGGCTCTACAATGAATATTTATAATTACTAGAAGTAATGTAGCAATAATGTTCTGGATACTTCAATGGACTGTATGCTTTTGGACTTTTTATTTCAGTCATTTGATTTTTTTTAACAGAAAACTTATTGCTTCATTTTTAGGAGTCTTATTGGGAAATTTTAGTAATCAATTGATTGAAAACCTTAAATAGATCTTTAATAATTAGTCCAGCTTCCACATGCATTACTGAGTTATTCCAATCCACCAAATATAAGAGTGTTATAGAAAGCTAGGGCCCTGTTAACTCTGAACGCTCATACAGAAATCATGCCTCAGGTAGTTGGCATGTTATGATATGAATGGATTATTCATTTAGGAAGACATCCACAGCAGGACCCAGAGTCATTATAGGAAACTCATGCCTGATGGTAAAGTGCTTCCTGGCCTGTGTTAACAAGCATCTATTTAGATCATGACACTCCCTTCCAAAGACATTTTAATATGCCATTTGATAGGGGCTAGTTGGAGTTTAGGTAGGTGGAGTTATAAAGTATTTGCTGAATCCTTACCTTTATATAACTCCATATCACATATAACAATGAGTAAGCTTAGGCTCATAGAATACCATTTTATTTGCAGGCTCTAAAACCTCACCTGGACTTGCCTAATCGTGGCAGTTATCTGTTGGCATGACATTATTACTTTATCTCATTCGCCAAGTTCAGGCTTTGAATGATTTGAAAGAAACCAGTGTACTAGCCTTTTAATTTTAAAGATGAACAAAATGGGGCCCAGGGAAATTAAATGGATTTTCCACATTCACAGTATTGCATGCCATATGCTGGAAAAGAATCATGTTTTCTTGACTTTGCCATTATGGCCAAAGGTAAACAGAATACTAGCAGACCTGGGTTCCTTTATTAGGGCAAGATGCCTTTCCACAATATCCGCTTCACAGACATTCTTCCTGAGCCAGCTCAAATCCCATCTCTTTTTCTAAGGCTCCCAATTATTGTTGGCATAATGATTTTTCTACTCCCCTAAAACTCTTACAGCAAGTGATGTCATGTGATTCCGGTTGATGCATGGACTGTCTCTTGATAATCCTTGTGTGTGTGTGTGTGTGTGTGTGTGTGTGTATGCACATGTGTGTATTCATTATTCAAATGGATAATAACTTGCTAGGGTTAAGGAACTTGACTTTATTATTATCTTGAACTGCAATCTAGTAGGCATGGTGAAATGATGGATGCAATTATGCATGAATGAATTCAGCCATGAATTCTTTTCATTCACCATGACCCTCTCTACCTTTATATCTTGCTTACTGGTGCATGCAAAGAGGAGGCCTCCTTAATGTTCCTGACCATTGCCAGGGATAATGATATCCCTACATTTAACAAATATTTATTGTTTGCCTACATGTGTTGGCCATTCTGATATTTAAAGGCTATGCTAGTGAACGAAACAGACAGAACTTACTTTTCTACAGCTCTAGAAGGTAAGACAGTAGATTAGGTTAATTCAGAGGTCAGCCGATGAGTGGATATTATCCTGAGAGAGTTCAGGGGCTTATCCAAAGAGAGTAAGAGTGTTGAACAATGGAATTTGGCCTGTGGTAATTGCTCAGGGAAGACTTCTTGGTGGATATGAATGACTTGGAGTAGGGGAGAGTATTGGCCAGACAGAGGGAACAGCAGGGGTTAAGGCCCTGGACCAAAAAGAGCTTTACCAATGTGCCTGGAGCATAATTAAAGAGGAAAAATCACATGTAGGGGCAAGTGGCTGATGAGTTAGTTAGGGGGTTGTATCTTTTAGAGCCTTGGCCAGGTAGGTCACATGCAATATACATATTTAAAAGAAATTTAAAAGAATGCAAAGCTGCATGGTGTTTCAGTAGCACTAAGACTTCCCTTAACCAACTCTGCACTTAAAACATTTTCAGTCATTATGGACATATCCAAAGTCTAACTTTTGTAAGTTTCATAATATTTAATTAACAGTGATTTATGTGTAAAATCAAAGCAAACATAAACTTAAATGTACTTCCTGTCTAAAGACTTTGGGTTCAAAAAAATTATGCAGGAAATGATATGAGGGAGATTATAGTGTTTAGACCAAGGCAAGGATGTGTGGATTTAAATCATGATATGGTTTTGACATTTGTCCTTTTTTCTTAAGCAAGCAACTGTGACATCTTTAGGGATAGAATTATAAGAAGATATATTTGAAAAAGGAATAAGCCCAGTTTTGAAAGGTTGTAGCCTACTTCAGATGACATTTTCAAATAGGTGATAGACTTCAACTAAAACGAAAACAAGTAATGGGGTATATTATTTATGTCTGAATCACACTACCTTGATGAATGATTGAACTAATATTGTTGAGTCCCTTTTCTGTGCTAGATATTTTATATGCACAGATTGTATATTTATATACAATCCTTGGAACAACCATAGGAAGTATGAGATATTGTGTCATCTTACAGAGAAATCCATGGAGTTTCAGAGAGAATAAGCAATTATGCAAAATCACATAGCCTAAAAAGGACCAAGTTATAATAGAACACACAACAAAGGTATATCATCTTGACAACTTAAAAATGTACTAAGCTGAGTCATGTTATCTCAGTCTTTGGGGATATATTTCTATGGGCATCATGAATATTTCATCTGCAGAGATCCGCTGACATCTCAGTACACAGATCCAATGGAATGTAAGGCCTACTAAGGGACCAGTGTCGCAGGACAGTAGAGGAGAAATCTACACCTTTCTTTTAAGAGCACAGAGTAAGCACTTTGAGGGAATGCTCTATGTATTCTTTCACCCTCTGTGCTCCACATTTCCTTGACCACTGTGTGTTCTATGAATACAGGTTGAGTAACTAAATGAATTAATGATGAAAATTATCTCTTATTTGCCACCTTATGTTTTGTGCTACCTAATCTAACCAGGCAATGCTAACCCATGAATTACAAAGTCAAGACTAGATAAAATCAATTTTAGACTATTTTCTGAAAGCTTTCTTTGTCTTCTTATTTCTCTTTTTTTAAGTACATAGACTATGTATTTATCTGGGAAGGAACTAAGGATAATTTCATGATGCCCCAAGAATATCAGGATGGGTATTTCTACTTTTGTCCTTCTAACGTCTCTTTAGACACAAGATGATTTGACGCACGGGCTTGTCTCAAGATATTTCTTTGAGTTCCCTTACAGACTTTTGTGTATTGCTTCCCTCCTGAAAAAAATACATTTAACTCAGAAAACTGCAGGACAATGGAAAGAAGGCTGCTTTACATATTTTAACAGTATAACATTTTGTAAAAAGTTATGCGAGTTTGATAAAACAATAGTCTCAAAAATAAAAATTTTTTTATTCCCCAGCAATAGAGTAGAAACTCAATATATTAGCATAAGGACTGAAGCACATAAATACAATGAAATTGATGGATATGCTTTAGGAAAAGCATTTAAGAAACTTTTTGATCAATAAAAGTTGCAGATTCTTTTTGTACTGCTCTTTCCCATAAAACATATATGTATTATATATGTTAATTCATAGCATAAGTTAATTCATAATTCATAGCTATAGGAAAAGCATTTAAGAAACTTTTTGACAAATAATTTAAGTTTCGGATTCTTTTTGTACTGCTCCTTCCCATAAAGCATATGTATTATATATGTTAATTCATAGTCCCTTTGAAAATCAATGATCAATGCTTACGATGCTCTTGACCTACTCAAGAATATATGTACTGATAGTATTAGTTCCAAGATGGTGCAAGGTTTTAGACTACAGTATTTGATTTTCCTCACTTTGGTAACATTTTTAATATTCTGAGTGACAGCACACTGAATTTTTTGGTGGGGAATGAAGTTTTTGGTAACACAGAGTCCATAGAGTTAACACAAATCCTCCACTCCAATAAAGACAGCCACCAAGGGTCCTGATTACAGGAGGGTTCATAGCTCACTCCGCTATCTGTCCTCTCAAACCTTCATTTTGGTGTCACCTATATCATGTTAAGCTGGCATAACTCCTTGTGAGTGGGCACAATGCCAGTGTAACAGATGGCTCTGAGCTGGGGATGCCAAGAGACCAGTATGTGCATCAAGTTTGACTATTAGAAATGGAGTTTCTATTCAGGAGTGTCGTTCATATAAATATTTTTGCACATTTATAGTTTTTATTTTTAAAATTAATGCCCCAAACAATGCTATACCACACACACACACAAACACACACATCATTTCACAATTGCTTTACAATTTTATAATTAACCACTTAGCCAGATTTTGGATATAAACAAATCCAGACTCAATGGCACAGTACTGATAACACATGATATAATCTTTAACCTTATGATAATGTTTCCCATCTAGCTACCTTGTTAAAGTTGAGTAGATCTTTATTGGTAAAACTAGTATTTGTCATGTTAATTTATGTATTGAAAGAGATTTTTTAAAATTCCTCGTCAAATTTGTCTAAATAGATGAGAATTATATGTAAGAAATAGACATATTTATAGAATATATAGAGAAAAAATAAAAATAACATATCAATCATGATGACTTTATTTCTTTCTTTTTTTTTTTTTTTAGTTTCCCCTAATCTATCCAGCTTTTAAAACTCAATCTGTGATCTGACAAACAAAACAAAACACAATTCTAATAATTTGGGACTCTGTGAAATTTCAAAATTATGTAAGTCTCAAGAGTTTTGGTGTTTTGAAGCCCATAACTATTTTCTAGATTTCTAGCATACAGAATATTAGCAAGTGCATATTTATTCCAAAATTGCAGCGGACAATAGAGGTCTGAAAGCTATACAGGACCAATCTCCTTCCAGAATAACAGTCTGAAATCAATGATATAAATCACTCCCCAGAAGGAGACCAGGGCCAAGAACAGAGTAGCAAACGAAATGTGTTTTCTAGGGCCAATACCTTCTGGGACAATACCTCAAGCAGGTGATTTTTTACAATCTGCCCTAGTTAAAGCTTCCAGGAAAGAGTTCTTGCCATTCCAAGTAAATAATTATGAGAAGAGAGTAGAACTAACATTTTTGAAGTGACTATTCTGTGTTCAACCTTGTGCTATGTCCTTCATGTAAAGTGATCTTATACAACAATCATCTTCCAATACACAGGATAATCCCCATTTTCCAGATGAGGAAACTGTGTCTCAGAAGGATTAAGTAGATTGTCCAAGGTCACATAGATGCTAAATATTTATAGTTGAGTTCCTTACCCAGATCTGTCTGATTTTTAAAAGGCCACTTCTTTGCATTATATGGGGATGATTATCTTTAGTAGCCTGGCAAATGGAGTAAGATCATAAGTGGGCTTGGTGATTTACTAAGGGTTTGGAAGCTGTTTTTCATATCTAAAAAAAGATGGGATCATAAACATCATGGTCCTAAGAACATGTAGAGCCTACCTACCCAGCAGCCAATTAGCATAGCAGAGAAGCTTTTATTAATGCAGAAAATCTGCTCTTCCCAGAAACTGAATAGTAAACTAATTACTTTCAGGATCTGGAAATGGGAGCATACTACAACTTGAGTAGGATATTTATTTTATTGACCACATTTTCAGCCTGTTGTGTTTTTCCAGTCATTTAAAGATTAATTGGTAAGTATCCAGGACTCTCTTTGATCCTTTAGAACTATAATCATGAAACCCAGGGAATAGATAGAAGTGCAATTAATTGCCTTGTGATACATGAACCAAACTTTAAAATTGTAGGATTTTGGTGGTAAAGCTAGATCAAGGTTTAAAACTCTCTCTCTCTTTCTCTCTCTCTCTCTCTGACACACACACACACACACACACACACACACACACACACATATTTGGAAATACTCAAAATCAAATTATTCCAAAAATTAATTTGCAGAAGCAATGTTTGCTGAATACACTCAGGATTTTTATAGAAAATTTTCTTCTATTTTCAGTAGAATGTTAATAGATATTTTCTATTATCCTTATTATGACTTTTTTACTTCCGTTTTTCAATAATTCACTGAATCAATACTTTTATTTAGTCAGTGTTTTCTTTTTAGAAAAAAAAATCTTCCATGGATTCAAAAAATGTTGTAATAAGTTTGATTGTATTCAAGAATGTGAAAGGAGTAACTGTTTCATTCTTAGACCTTGACTCGATTATATTTCCCTTGCAAAGTGAAATGTGTTTTTTCATGATTTTTTTTTCTTTTAGTTTCATGGTTCATTGCTATACTTGATGCGATTTCAGGGTAATTTTATACAATTTTGTAAATGACTTAAGTGATGTAATGTACTGAAATACACAGTAAGGTGTTTTAGAATCTGTCATTTTCATTTAGAAGAAAAAACACCAAGTATTTGATAAGCATTTGAAAAGAAGTCCAATTCAGAACCCCTAGTGTGCAGAGAAGTTTGATTTACCTGTCTCCACCTCTCTTCCTTTCCTTCAGGCAAACATGGGCTCTAGCTTTCAGAATTCATAATGACCTTTGATTTAAAACAGTTAGTACTAAGTCCTCTGTTTCATTTAAGAGCAAAATTCTTAGATTTCAGGACCACGTGGTCAGTGTACAATATGTCACTTTATTTCCCCCACTGAACATAGTTGATAACAGGCTTTATTTTGTTTTTATTTTAGCATAAACTATCCTTTAGAGGTCCTGAATCATTTAATATGAATTTTGCTGTAAAAATCACAGTACTTATCATTTGGGGGTTCTATATTTCTTAGTAAAATCCTAGTTAACTACCAGTGCTTTTAAATTTTGTAAAATAGCACAAATACTAGTTTTAATCTAGTACGTAAAATGGGTTGTTTAGAATCCATATTTCTTTTCATATTTTTTCATATCATTCAAGCCACTGTCAATTTCCCCTTAATAAAGCTGATCTTCAGTTCTGCATTTAGCCACAGTATGCCAGTACAATTTACATTTTGATTCACCGTAAAATTCTAACTTTTCATATTATTTCATTCTAGAGTTCCAGTCGCTTTATTTAATAGATTGTCCTTTGATCTCTGGAGACAATTGCATTTTACTTCTCTAATGAAGCTTGTATGAATATAGCCAAAGTGAGTGTTGCACCAAATGGTAGAAGAAATCCGAAGAGAAGCATGCCCTTCTCTATGGAGGTTGGAAAATGCAGCATAATTCGTTTTTGAGAGTTATCAGGCAGCTCGTCCCCAAATCCCTATTTCATGCCATTATTTTGTTTAGCATTTTAAGGCATTTTGTAATAGTAACATATTTTCAAGGTTCTCTGACTTACTTCTAGCAATCGGTTCAATAAGTTAATATGCTCTTTATACAGCAGATAGATAGGTTTTACAATAGGAAAAGAAAATGGTATGCCAAGTGGCCTCTTGTTTCTGAAATTTTTGGCAAATATTTTTGTCCTCTAATTTGTACTTTAATAATTTGTCACTGGCATTTCTGGAAATTGTTTTTCAAGGGGCCTCATGTAGTTTACTCAACAATAAGTAAAAATTTAGCTAAAATCTCGCTGGTTAAACTGAATGTGAAAACAGTCAGTGATTTAAAACTATACTCTGTTATGTGGTTTGAGTGTTGTATTTATCTTTATGGCCTTTATCTTCATAGTTTTATCTATTTTGAGTAAAAGAAGGGATTAAAGTGCAGAGCATGGAGGGAGAATGAGGAAGTCTAAGCTGTAGATAGAAATTTGGAAGATTTGGTCTATAGTCATAACCAGCAATATTTATGAAAAGTCCTGTTTTTCGTTAACTATGAATGTGAGAAATCGAAGCTTTCCAACCTCTCACTCATCTGTGTTCCCTCTCAAAGCGTTTGCTTGTACCTATAATTACATGTTATCTGTTTAGATCAGTTTGATTCCTCATAATCAAAAGTGATAGCTAGGATGACAATTTACATCTGGGATGTCATCTTAAGTAGCTTGAGTTCCATCCTATAGGCAATGGAGAGCCACTCAAAGATCTTACTTGAGTGGGGAACAGGATCAGACTTGTGTTTCAGCCACACATTCTTGCATAAGTGCGCAGCTCTGGTTGGAAAAATACAAGGCAGGAAGTAAGGGGATTAGGCATTGAGAGGTAGAGTTGATGGGGTCCGAACTTAAGGTCACTAGAGGTGAAGGAAAGGAGATTTGAAAGATGTTTTGGATGTAGAATTGGCAGGGCTTTAGTGATTGATTGGCTATGAAGAGTGAAGACAATGAGGAATCTAATATGATTCCAGGATTTTGAGAAGATAATCAGACTCATTCAGGAAAATCCATTTCTCAGACCTATAAATCTGATCAGAAGATGATTGCTAGACCTTTATAGGTTGGCAATATTGCCAGCCATCTTCTCAGACCAAATTCCTGGCTCTTTGTTAAATTTGTTACTAAAATCAGCCATCCTGCTGAACGCTTAGATACCACACTAAAGGAGGTCAATGATATTGGATTTTCCTGATGGGGGTTATAGTTTAAGAAATAGTCAAGCAAATTATGAAATGATTGATGGTGAAAATAATTTATATCAGATAAGCTTATTCTGCCATCAGTGAGACTTGGCGTCTATTGCTACAACAGAGTAACTATCTACAGGAATTTGAATGCCAGTCAAAGATACAATCTCATGATCACAATAAATATTGTGGTTTTAAAACAGTGGAGATGGAGGGGTTAGGGGTGCAGTCTGGAAGACAAACAGGTGTAAAGATTTCAAATGATGTGCTTTACAAAGCATGGTTTGATTTTACATACCATCCTGTATAGTGACTTTAAAAATTATTAAATGAGAACTGTAGCCAGCAATGCACGCAAAATATTCATTTCATTGTTGTAAACTACAAAAATATTGCTTTTATGCAAAGAGAATGCCATTGTAGAATTTTAAAAGGCACAGAAATAAAAGGCTCAGGATTGGAGCGATTTAAACAAACTCACTAGAATATAGTAGATGATTAAAATACAATCTATAATTACATTACACTGGTATCAGGTAAGGATAAAAGCCTATAAATACACTGGGGTCAGGGTAAGCATAAAAAATGAAACAGTTATTTGAATAATCTGAGATCAAGTTGCAGTAATTAAAAATGAATGTATTATTCAAATGAAGGAATTAGGTTACAACACTCCATATGAAAATATTATTGTGACAGACTGAAGTAAGTTGGAAATGATTTTGATTAGAAAATGGGTAAAGGAATGTAATAACTTTCACTGGGGAAAAATAGACAATCAGGGAATATAAAAAAAATTTTTGGCTGCCAGATGAGAGACTAAGAGAGGCTAGCAGTTCAAATGCTTTTTGATATCTTAAACTTGGAACAGCTAAGCTTCCGTTGCTATTTTACTAAATGATTTAATTTCCAAAATCATTCAAGGGTTTCCATTTCTTTCCAAAATTTAGATGTTTGAAAAAACCCTATTTTTTCCTTCAGAAATGTACACAGAACTGGGACAGGGAGTGAAGGAGGCTGTTATTTATTGCTTTAGCATGTCCTCCAATGAAAGGATGAAAATAATTTTGATTGATCTTATAGCAGGCATCTCCAGTTAAATGTGCAATTGCATATGTTCACATGCTAAGAGAAAATTTACCTTAATGAGGGAACAAACACATATTCCTCTCTCTCTCTCTCTCTCTCTTTCTCTCTCTCTCTCTCCGTCTCTCTTTACTTTTGGGTGACATTAATTTGTACTGTATTTATTGATTTGTGCATTTGTCCTTCATTACCATTTGTAGAAGCTGCAGTTAAATTCACATGTATTATCCAAAAAATAAAATGACCTCCTAGATATAACACTATTAATAAAACTAAGTCCTGGGAATGTAGAAGCATCTGTTAAAAGCAAAATAGATTTTCCACTGTTTTAAGCTGAGAAATGTATAAATATCTCTAGAAGCACAGAATCATCTCTTTATTAATTCACTAGAACTGCCTTGTTGCCTCATTATAATATCTCAGGAACCTACAAGTTTTAGGGGGATATTATAGCCACACTTCACATGTGAATTACACTCCATCATCAAAGCTCTCTCCCAAATGGATAAAGATCCTTTCTTGAAGTTTACAGTTATGAGAGTCTTCTGGGCTTGTTAGACTGCTGACTTGATTCTGTTATATTCAGCTAATTGAGAGGTTGCATAACTGAGAACTTTGGAGTGGGCAGACTTGGGTTCCATTCACACAATTTAGAATCTCTATATATGTGGATGATTTATCCCTTGAACTCTTTATTACAATGGATATAATAAAAATACCTACCTTGTAAAATTGTTTGGGAAAAAGTTAGATATCCACAGTTGAAGTCATGAACTACAAAGCAATGAAAAGTTACTGCCATGTGAAAACAAATACATACACACACACACACACGCACGCACACATACATACACACATACTATATAACCTTTGGCACATCACCCAACTCCTTGGAGCTTGATTTTCTTCATCTCTAACAGATCCAGAAACCCCCCCATGGTTCCTATCAGGCATAAATACTTACAATCTCATGAGAAACATTGAATGGAGTAAGATAAAAATGTACCTAGAGATTTGCAAGTCCTGTCTTATTTCAAAAGCTTTTATTTGGAAGTTTGAAGAAAACGTTTTAGCTCAGGTTTCTTTCTGCAAGGATAGTTTGCTGTCTATCAGGATGTTCATGTTTTGGGTGGATTTTCATACTTTTGTTTACTGTCTATCCTCCAAAACACATATTCACCTACAAAGGAAACACGATCATTTATGAAACACCCATTATCTTACATTTATATGAAAATAAAAGTAGACCTCTTGCATTTCTGCTGAGCTAGACTTAGCTACTCAAGCTACTCAAGATAAAAATCAGGATCTATGATTGTATTTTATCCACCGTTTTCCTTTGATTGACTCTGTGATCCTTGCAGGTCCCTTCGAGGCTTTACTGGGACATTTCTGGGCCATGGCCAACTTCCTACTATGGGATACTTCAAAGATTCTGATAAATGTTCTTCTCTAGCATAAGAATCGTGTCTTTTTCACCTCTCCTAGACTTCCCACTCTTCTCTGACTTTTTATTTTGGAAAGATGGGAGAGGGCTTGGGAGGGGGGCTTAGGTTTCTCACTTTACTATCATTTTCTTTATGTCAGAGCTTAGTTGGTTCTCCAAGACCACAATCATATAATGAGCCTTGATCATGAACTTGTGTTTTTTATGCTGTATCTCCTTTGTCTGTCTTTCCTCTTATCACTGCTTATAAAACATAACCACAATTTGTCCTTAGCCTGACCCTACCTCTGTTGAAATCCTTTTCAAGCCTTAATTATATCCTGTCTTGACTTTTTCAGTTTCTTCTTCAGCAATCTTCCACTCCCTAATTTCTTGGCTATAACCGAAGGCATCAACTAGATCATTCTGGTGGACCCTTTATGTACGAAGGGAAAAAAATACCATAACCTCAGCAAGACGTTGCCTTGTTTCACCTCCATTTTAATGTGATTTAAAGAAAGATCATCTGTTGTACTTTTCTTATATGTGTTAAAAACATTCTCTTTTTCCCTTCATAATTCCACCTTCATTTTTTGTTTCCTTTTTTATTTATTTATATTTTAATTTTCTCAGGCTATAGGCAGAAGAGATAGCAGACTGATCTTTTTACTCTCCTTGATCTAGTGAGCTTAGAGCTAAAAGTGAATCATGAGAATACTGGAAAAAAATTGCAGCAGAGATTTGCACAATTCTAACATATTGCCCTTAGCTTATCCTAGGTGTCAGTAACAGTGTTCCCCTCACAAGTACCCTGTACTAGTTCTCCTATGATGTGGAGTTGACTATGTAACACAACACTCTGGAAGACAGCCAGAGAGATGAGCTATGGCAATGATGCACTATTGTAACACCCAGAGTGTGGGTCTTTGAACTTACAAATGCTTTTATAAAAGAAGAAGAAGGTTTTTATCTCACGAAAGTTAACTGAAAACAAAGTCATGTGAGTTTATGCTCAAAAATTTATTTCTCTTCTGTTTCTAAATTTTGTTAATATGGCAGCTCATGACCAAGGATTCCGCCCCCAACCCCCACATTATCGTGAATAAAATAAGACCTCACAGTAAGTGTTTAAACAATATTGCACAATAATTTATAATTTCAGTTCTTCCCATTTATAACTCAACCTTAGAGGGCACATTATTTTGTTATTTAGATAGTAAGTAAACTCTTCTGTTCTGCTGAATAATACCTTGGCTACTCTACGCTATTAAACCACAAAGCTTCATTTAGTAATTCAAGACCAAAATGCAATAGTAAAGCATTCTAGGCATCTGTTTGCCAAAACAAACATCAAGCAATCAAAGGAGCAAATATAGCAAAACAAACAACTCACAGAGAGGAAGGTGCAGCTTAGACATAGACTTAGGTAGCTGTGGAGAATTGAAAAGAATATCACCCACTAAGAAAGGCATAAAGCAATGCCAATCTCCTTATCTTTCCTCTAGGGAGCTATATCTAGATGACTTTCCTGCTTCTTGCTCTGCTCACTCCTGGCCTTCCTAGGATGCAGATGCTCAGGTGTGAAGTATATTTTTGGCCTGGGCCCTGAGTGTTGATAAAGGAAGAGAAATATGTTGAAGTAACAGTCATAATTTTGTCCAAGTCAGTGTTTCCTGTGAACTTTTTGATAATCTTTATGACTGAATGTAAAATTATTCTCTGTCACTCCTTCCTGTACCCTGATTTTTTTTCGCCCAACTTGTTATGCTGTATTTGAAGAGAACTTCCTCTGAAGAGGATCCCCACTGTCTTCTTCTTTTTCCTTTACTTAACACTCATACCTAGAGGCAACTAATGATATGGGATATAAAACATGGACCTGTTTTACAAAATCCTATCACAACACCATCCAAATAACAGGAATCTGTGAAACAGTGAAAAGAATTCTCTCTTTATTCTTAAAGGTAGTGATAACAGCACATTTTTTCTATAGCTGTTTGTATCTATTTCAGGATGAAGACAATATATCTTTGTTAATCCTATTGGAAACAATGGTGTGCTCTTAAGTATAGCACTGACCCTTTTGTGCAAATTAATGCATAGTAAAATTTATCCTTCCAAACTGCACAATGATGTGCAACAGAAGGCCATACAAGTCTTAGAAAAATTAGCTGGCTCTGGTTTTATCATCACACGAGCAAAAATTTGAGATTTTGCCGTTCATTCCCCTAAGATCACCCACTCATCTGCAACAGCGTTGGCAGAAAGCCACCCTGCCTTCCAAGCTGCCCTTCCTAACTGAACTGTGAAGGGCCGACCTTGAAAGACAGATTTTCAAAGCACAGGGCAGAGCGAGGACTCCCTTTTTCTGTTTGTGGAGTTACAATGACTTGGAGCCCCATTTCTTCCTTTGAAATTAGATGATGTGCTATTATGTTGACTGAGCACTTGTTTTTAACTTCCTTTGTTTTACTAATGCTAATATAATTTGTGAGAGATGCTAATGTTCTTAAATGGTAATAAGATTATGGAGTAACTATATTGTGCATCTTCAACAAATACATGCTTTAAGTGGTCCTCACAAGTGATGGTGGAATACAACATGTTTATTACACACAATCCCATGGAGGTTTTCAAGATCACTTTCCATTTGCTTTCATGGAACTTTGCCTAGAAATTCAACAACTGAAACCTTAAAGGTTAAGACCACTGTTAAGCAGCCATATAATTGGGACTGTGGCCCAGAACTTCCACTTAAGAATGGCAAGGGTTGAGGGTTGAGAATGTAGTGTGATGATGACTACCTTTGTAATATGCAAGGCAGAGTTAAATTCAAGTGGGGAAAAGCACTCAGTCCGTGACAAAATCACAGTAACAGATGGGAGAAGGTGAGCATACAGGGATTTATAAGGATGCTCAGGTAAAATTTCTTACACTCTTTGTCATTAGAGGAAATGAAATACTGCTAGTTATAGACACACCCAGAGATGACTGAAGAATAATAAAGTTTTAAAATTCAGAGCAAAGACTTTCCCTGCTTGAAGGAGGAGAAAGCAGGCAGGGGTAAAGAGGAAGGAAAACAGAAGAATGTAACTTCAGATACTTTGTAAAGGGTTACCTCAGTTTTCTATGTATGATAGTCTCAACCATTCAAACCTGTTGTTGTTTTCCTCCTCAGCACACATAATTCCCCTTAAAATTTAGAAGCAGTATATGTGTGTTGGTGCAAATATCTGTTCAAAGAGTTTTATTATAAGAAGACTTTAAAATATCTGTGATGCAGGTTATGAATCCATTCAAAAATAAGATTTTTGCATCCTTCATTTAATAAAGCAAGGTGGTAAAAAGTAAAGGAATGGAAACTGCCTTATTTTCACCAGAAAATTTAGCCCTAGTCACTTGGTGAGTTTATGTTATACTTCAGGAACCCAGGCTTCTGTTCTTACCCTGTTTCAGAGGGGAAAGTTACATCTTTATGCTTTGTTATCTTGACATGGGCACGTGAGTTGAATGCAGTGCCATTTAGTTGAGCATTGGAGGATAGTCTGTAAATTACGACGAAGTTGTTTAGTCAGTTAACATAAATCTTTGGGGATTATAAACCTTGGTGTAGCAACTTAACATTTAAGGTAGAATAGAATTAAATAAATAAAGCCCACATTCTCTTTTCTTCTGGCTGACTTCAAGGAATGCACTGAGCGCCATCTGCTGGTTGTTACTTTTTCAAAACTATTTTCTTACCAAACCACTGTCATTTGAAATTGACTCTAGGTATATATACCAACATATAAAGGCAGCTTTATGAAGAGAAGGAAAGGGCATCTATGTACTATAAATAGCCCTTATATCACATGACAGTGTTTTATTTTAAACTGTCATATAATAATTCAAAATTTGCCTTAGGATAGAAATCTAGTAACCTTTCAGATAAGGAAAGGGTTGAATTTCCATATTTTAGAATAGACCATTATGAAAGTTTTAGATGTAGAAGTAATAAGCACAGTATTAAAGTTTTCTGGTTTTACCTAAATCATGATATGAAAATATTCATTTGGAGTAAAAAAATAGTTTTTAAAAATAAAATAAATCCTTTCAGCTAAGGAATGAATTTTCATATTTTAGAATAGACTATCATAAAAGTTTTAGAAATAGAACTAATTAACTACACTATTAAATTTTCTAGTTTTATCTAAATCATGACATGAAAATATCTATTTAGAGAAAAAAGATAAATAAAATAAAAATAAATAAAAAAGATAAATAAAAATAAAATAAATAAAATAAACAAAACCCCCCACCACCATTTCTTTGTGAATATTTTGAAGCAGCCATTGAACATGGAAGTTTGATCTTAGTCATCTTTAAACCTTAAATTATGAGTTAAATCATATTGTAGATTTTTGGTTACTTTTTGTAAAAGACATGATAAGTCAACACAATGAAACACACTCACTCATACTCCATATCTTCTTTATTAATTAAAAATAATCTCTATGACTGAAGAATTTCAAAGCCTGGAAAGCTAGGATGAGAAGGAAACAAAATGTTTCTAGAAAGAATTAGACTTCACATAATTAGCGTCTGACAGTTTTCATGTTGTTTAAAATCCACGGCAAATCTTTGTCCTAATATGTCTCTGAAATTCAAGGAACATAGTCACGTGTGATTTTGCCTGCATTTCAGGTCCTTCCATAATCTATGCAGAAAATTAGACCCATTGTTCCCCATTAGCTTTCCTCTCTAGACCAGGCACAATAAGAAAATGGTGCCTGTGTGCCACTCCCACTGTTCCTCCAGTAGGCAATTACTAGTTCTCTTATATTTAACCGTAGATTGTAAAGAAAAATAATTACTTATGCAGAATCTCTTAGAAAAATGAAATAAAAAACACAAACATCAATTTATAATTATATGTTATAATTAAAAAGCTTGACACCTATTGTTATCCCCAGAATTTGAACCTTAATAACAGGTCTTGGTCATTGTTCATCATAATAACGTATCCCGTGGTCTCCATCAGTGGAATTACTGAGCTCTGCTGGAGAGATAACATGTTCCCTGAAAACAGGAATAACTTGACAAAAGGAACATTGTCTGGGCAGCAAAGGGACATGAAAACAAGTATAGTATTTTTAGTTTTAAAATGTCAATGTCAGAGAAATTTGTGTGTTTAATATTGTGGTTTGTAAAAATAAGTAGGATATTTTGTAAAGAAAAAATTCAGATAAATATACTTAAAACTTAGTAAACCTTTATGAAGGCATAAAATGATGTTGGTTGTTCAGAGATGGTTTCCAGAAAAATACAAAGCACAGAATTTAACCCTTTTCCTAGTTTCTTTCTTCTGTAGCAGCATCTGGTCAGCAGCAAAGGGGCAGAATTTCTTCTAAGAAAAGAATTTCTGGCTGTTTGAACTTACTGATGCTAAAATCCAGCTTTTGGGAGGAGAAACCTCTAAGTGCTTGAGGGGGACGCGAAGATGGAAGCCACCCATCTGTGGTGGCAAACTGAGGCCTGCAAACACAGGGTCCTGCCAGCTACTTAGCACTTCCATCCCTTGGATCCACCCAGCCCTTCACTCTCCCTCTGTAGCAGTCAACACTTTTAAACTGACTCCCTAGAGAAGTTTAATGAGCCTCTTGGAATTAAAAAAAAAAAAAAAAAAAGCAAAACAAGAGTAATAGAAATGGACAAGCTGACAAAGGAATAGAGAGGTTCATTTTCAGCTTGGTGCTTGGGGGGTTTTCATCAGGATACCGCAATGGATATTGCACAGAGAAGTGGAAGGAGAAAGAAAGAAATTAGAAACAGCCTCCTATGATGAACTTGTATAATTTATTCCTCTGCAGAGCAGCAGGCAGAGTGTTTCATTTCCCCCCCTCCCCTCTTCTTTTTCCCTCCACCTAATTTCAGTGCATTCCCAGGCTAGGCAAGAATGAAAATTAAGCATACCCAACACACAAGTCGTAATGAAAGTGTGGAATGCAATCAGATTATTCATAAGCTTACAAGTTGTGTATTTTGGTGGAGATTTCCTCCCTTCTGCTCCTGATTGCTGATGAAGAATGGTATTTTAATAGGCAGATGGTAAAGACAATTACAGTTAGGGGCTCAGCTGGGAGTTACATCAGTTTATTGCAAATTATTAGTTGATAAATGCTTTTGTTTACAAGCAGAGTCTTAAGCAGCTTTGTAATCAGTTTATCAGCTGCAAGCGAAATTTTGACAGCTCGCCTTTGGGGTGTATGTCACCTCTTGGCTGGTCATTTAAAATCATGTTGGTCAGGGAGCCAGACAGTCAGATGGCTACCTCAGTGCCCCACCGCAAGTTTCCGCAAAGCACTCAGGGCACAAACCCCAGAATGCTGATGAGACTTCATGCACAGGCCTTTTCCTGTTGAAATCCCATAAAAACAGCTTTTCTGTTTGACTAAACCCAAGGTAGGATACCTGAGCCCCATGGCCTCCAACACATTAATTCAGGTTTTCCAGAAAGCTCTGAGTGCTTTTATATTCACGGGACAAAACTTTCTGAGCTTATGCTTCAGTAGAAATCCGGGCCTGATGACAATGACTCTGTTTACTTTCCCGAAAGAGGCATCATGAGCTTCTTAAAAAAGAAAGGAAATTATCTTAATAGGAGACATTTTCTTACAAGGAAAAAAAAAAAAAGTACTGTGGAAAGAATACAAGCCACGAAGCAAAACTCTAGCGGGGATCTGTTACAAGCTTGGGCCAGAGAATGCCCTCTTTGAGAAGAGGGGAGTTTAGGGAATGCACCGGTTTAACCAGTCTGGCTTTGCTTTCCTTTTCTGTGAAATGGAATGATAGTACTTCCTGTTTGCCACAGCTAATTATATAGATTAATGAGGCTGTTCATGTTTCTTTGTTTCTAAGTTCCGATCAGACCTATATATTATCTGTTGAATTTACATTAAGTAATAAAGGATATAATATTTGAAATGACACATAAATCACAGATTCTACTTTAAGCTCATTTTCAACATATTTGCTAAAAGAGGATACTGTAATTTAGTAGTTTTACAATATAGCATGGCCAACATTTACTAGTTTTTTACATTGGTGTAAGGACATGGTTTATAACCTGATGTGTTCAAAGATATGTATACTTGAAGAGTTCTCTTCATTATTCATAGGCTATAAACAATTCTTATTTATCTACTTTTACTTTCCATTCTAACCAAGTAACTTTTGTGAGCCTAGTCAAGACAAAAATAGTCACATAAGTAATCATATACCGTAGCTCCTAAACTAGTTATTTTTGTTTGTAGCTACTGACTATTTATATGCTTTTATTTCCTGGTATTCAAGGAAAACTTACTAAGTGAATAGGGAACTAACTACTGAAGTTGGAAGCCAGGTTTCATACCCAGAAATAGATATTCCATATCCTATAAAATATTGACATAATACAGAAAGTTCTTTGGAAATATGACTTCAGCTGATACATTTTAAATTATATATAACATATGTGTAAAAGCAGAATCTTCTCTTAGTCCAGAAGTATGGCTGAGCATCTCTATCCATTTATCTCCCTGCTTCCTCTTTCTGATTCTGTCTTGGTTACTCAATTAAAGTCTTGAAATCATCAGAATAGAAACTGACCACATGGGTTAGTCAAGTTTGTAATTTTAAAGTTGGGTTGACATAAGCTTATGGAAAAGCATTTGGGAGAAAACCAGAGTGCAGTTTTTATCGAACTCCAGCATTCAGCACAAGTATTTAGGTCCCAATTTTCCAGTTCTTAAGCAATTAAATGTTCTATTGACATCAGAGGAAAGGCTGCTTACAGAAGAGCTGAAGAACAAAAGCCTTGATATCTTAAATTGTAAAATGTGTTTTAACATAAAGAGCATAAAAAGTTTGCGTTTTCATTTTCTATAATCAAGTTAATGAAGGATAAATAGTGTATTTGGCAAATAGTTTCTACCATTTGTCCATTCCTCTTGATTGGAAAAGGCAAAGAATAATTTTTTAAAAAAATCTGTCCTCTCCTTTGGTCCAAATGCAAAAGGCACACTCCAGAGTTGCTGGTCAGGTCTGACTTTCTCCCTTCTCCCAAGAAGTTCTAGGATGTTCTATAAAAAGCTGTCAGGAGTGCCAGCATGGGAAAGTTGAATGCCCCCAAATGCCCTGCATTGCCTATATAGTACAAATGAAAAAAGTTAAAGATCATTTAAAAACAGGAAAGACCTTTTGCAAAATGCTTTGATTTATTGCTGTGTATTGTGCAGATCTTTATCAATTATTTTACTCTATTTTATTCAAAAACTATTGTAAACTATGAGTTGGCATGTTGCTGCATACGAAAAAAAGGCATTAATCAACTCTAAATAAACAAGTGGATAGATCTATCTAACAACTATGAAGTAGTTAATACATTTATAAGCAATTTTATTATAGAAAGGAAGGCTAAAAGAGTAGTGCTTAATTATCTGGACTTCTCTGTGCTGGGCTCCCTTTTGATTGTATTAATGAAGCAGCTGGCCCATTGTTTCCCTTTAATTCCTCTATTGTTTTAAGAATATGTCACAGCTCTTTATTCTTTTATCAGGTGCTGTGCAGGAGGATCCACACAATACCTCATATTCCTACTGTATTTGCCAAGGCACAAAGAAACCTCCAAAGCGGTTTTCAAAGAAGGGGCACCCATAATTTATAAGTTCTATTCCTTCCACTACTCCACTGTCAAGAATTTCAACAGTATTGGATTTGAATTCATTATAAAATTTGTATTAAGCAATGTGGTTACGTATAGATATATGTCCTGTGTTCATGCCTAGACCCTGAGATCTAGGCATTACCACATGCGATGTTGAAATGGGACAGTTATTTAGCTTTTAAGGAATTTTTCTGACCAATCACTTCTCAGTTATGAAAAAAACAGATTTCAGAGGGAGGTATCATGTGAGATTTTTTCTAATTATTTATTTAGTAAAAATGAAAGAAGTTAATGACCAAACAAGTAAGTATTCCGCTTTTCTCCACCTCCAGAAACATGATACTCTGTGTATGTCTGCATGTGTCTGAGTGCATGCGTGTGTGTGTGTGTGTGTGCGTGTGTGTGTTTGTTTGCTAAATGGCCTATTCCCCCAGAGAATGGCTTTAATTTTACTTGAATGTGCCTACAAGAGATCATGATTTACTTCACAGGCCAATGTGTAATCGTCATTAACTAAGTGCTTGTCATCAGTTGACCATCTTTTTCCATGGTATGTGGAGGAGATAGACTTTTTAGATCAATGCAGAAATATCAGTCTACATCTTAAGGAAGCAAAATGCTGTAGCAATTTAGTATATGGTATAGCATATTTTATGCAAGAGCTATTTAAAAATGCTGGTTCCGTTATGCATAATTACTTTTTCTCCAAATTTTTATGAAAACCACAAAAATTACCCATGGTAAAATAATCTTGAGAGCCTGATTCACAGAAACTGTCATCTTTTTTTTTTTTTTTTTACGCATACGTCTTTTTTCTTTGTTTTTTCCCTATTAAATATCTGAATTTTGGAAGATGTTTTATTGATTTTCTTCCCCCAGAATTTCTAGTCTAAAAAAAGAGAAATGAGACTTAATGGCGATGCTATGCAGTAAAAGTCATTAACTAACTTTTAAATGTCTTTAGAAAAGGCATTAGAATAACTTGTTATTTTAAACCATCTATTTCCTTTTGTATTGTTAGTGAGGATGTATGCGGTTTGTTTGCTTGTTTGTTTTTAGCTTAAAGTTTCACACTGATATTCCTATCTATTGCCTAAGGCTCCTTATCCTACTTTATATTGAGGCAGAGTAATACAAAATCTAAATGTGATTTAATTGGTTCAATTTGCTATATATTTTTATGCTAAGCTTAGGTCCATATCTTGATGAGCCCCCGTAGCTGTGCTAGAGGTTTACAGCTTCACATTCCTTGCATTTCCTTATTTTTAGAAAGCAAGCGTCTATCAATCACACAGATAAATTAGAAAGAAACATGTATAGACATAACACATGGAAAATATTTTTCAGCGTGCTATGTAATTATTAACCTGATTTTTACCATTGTAAGAAGCCATGAATTGCAGATAGCATGGATGAAGTTAAAAGCTTTTATTCTGGATACATTTTGCTTATACAGAACTCTATAGGTATGGTCGAACAATATAATTGAAGCTTTGTCAGCTCTGTAACCTAGCAACAGATAATACTGTTAGGTTACTGAATTGCTCCTGGTTGACAAGTAGGGAGTATTTTTGTGTTTATCATGTTTGCTAATGATGGGATCCTTTCCAAAAGGCTTGTCTTAATCTTAATTAGAGTTTATCAGCAGAGGTCTGCATGACATTGTGCAGAGACTGATTTCATAAATAATAAAAAGTGCAAGTGAAAAATTTGGCAGGATGGGAAGATATTTAAGGCCACTGCTTCTAGTAACAGGCGCATGAATTTCCAAAATATAATCGAGTTTGAACTGTGACTTTATTCTTTATTATCAAAACTTGTAGTACACGTCACTGCGGTTTTGACAGCAATTATAAGAAAAATTTATAAGCTTCCTGTTAGAAACCGTATCTGGTTGCACAAGAACCTTGATCATAAACATTACTTAGAACAGCAAATATATGCTTTTTCAAGAATGTCAAGGTCTTAGTAGTTATTCCTTTTCACAGAACCTTGAATAAGTATTTGTCCTTTATTTGTGAAGGGAGTGGTATTGTGAGTATGAAGACTGAGGAGAGTGACTATGTTTGCAGCATAAGAGACAGACAAAGAGAGAATCCTAAAATAACCTTTCCATTTGGTGGAAGCGAGGAAGGTATCAGATAGCTGCTTCAGTGCCTGATGTCATTTGATAAAGATTTCATGCCCATGCAAGAGGAATGTGATTTTTTGCTCTAGTTTGCGCAATATGATCTTTCCACAGTTTTGGAAGATGCATTACTATTGATCATTCCTAATAATAAAATAAATCACTTCAAAATAATAAAGAATTAAACATTGTAAAACTAAATATAATCAACAAATTTACCAAGTTCCTCACTGGCTTATTCAGTTGCAAGATGACGCTCAGTCGTTACATCATTGTTTATCCACTTCCTTCACCATTTCACTCATCATTCCTATATTCTTCAAACGCTGCAGGAAAAGGAAACATTCAAAGCTAGTTTCGCCGGGCGCGGTGGCTCATGCCTGTAATCCCAGCACTTTGGGAGGCCGAGGTGGGTGGATCACCCGAGGTCAGGAGTTTGAGACCAGCCTGGCCAACATGGTGAAACCCCGTCCCTACTAAGAATACAAAAAATTAGCCAGGTGTGATCCCAGCCTGTAATCCCAGCAACTTGGGAGGCTGAGGCAGGAGAATCGCTTGAACCTGGGAGGTGGAGGTTGCAGTAAGCCGAGATCGTGCCATTGCACTCTAGCCTGGGCAACAAGAGCAAAACTCCGTCTCAAATAAATAAAAGCTATTTTCAAGTGTCATTTTCTGAGTTTCAAAATGGACGTCTTCTCTACTGAATTGTCTGAACACTCCTGTGAAACATTTGATCATCAAGACACTTTTTTGTTCATAGAGCTTAACTCTTTCTACACTATGTAAAATGCAGATAGTTTACTCCTATGGCAGTTATTCTTAACTAAGGAAGCAAACCAAGCCCTCCAGAGAGCTTCTAAAATATACTGAAGCCCAAACTTCAGTCCCAGAGACTGATTTGATGGCTCTTGGGTAGGGTCCAAAATCAGTGTGGGTTCCAAGTTCCCCTCCTAACTGTATTGTGCAGTCAAGATCGCCAGTCAGTGCTTGATGGTTAGGTCGAATCTTGATGCCCTTTTTAATGTCCAGCTAAACTTGCAATTTAAGGAATTGGGAAAGTGCTGCATTTGTATTTTATATTAATAATTGAGCTTAATGTATGTGAAGTGCTTAGAACAGTGCCTGGCACATAGTAAGTGCTTTCTAAGTGTTAGCTATTTTAATGAGGTTAGTCACATTATGAGATAACTTGGAGTCAGCCAGGCATGGTGGCTCACACCTGTAATCCCAGCACTTTGGGAGGCTGAAGCAGGAGGATCCCTTGAGCTCAGGAGTTCGATACCAGCCTGGGCAACATGGCAAAACCCCATCTCTACTAAAAATACAAAAGTTAGCTGGGAGTGGTAGCACATGCCTGTAATTCCAGCTACTCGGGAGGCTGTAGTGGGGATCTCCTGAGCTGGGAGACAGAGGTTGCAGTGAGCTGAGCGGTGACTGCCACTGCACTCCAGCCTGGGTGACAGAGTGAGACCCTATCTTAAAATAAAATAATAAAATAACTTGGAGTCACTTCCACATCACACATAAATTTTATTCTCCATATTGTAGCTATGCATTTAAAAACTCTATCTAATAACTAACTATGTAACCTGCCTAATGCTGCTTCATAAATTGAACCACCGTATTCTTCCTTCAGAGAGATAATTGTGCCAATTATTCAAACTTAGTAATGAAAGTAGGAGTGTTACAGAGTGAACACCAGATGGCGCCATGGCTTGGGACACCTAGTTTTTCACATAAAATCTGCCTTATTCAAATGCCATCTCCCATATTTCCTTCTCCTCCTCCAGTTCCCCTCTAGCTGTGTGACTTTGAACAACTTACACTTCCAGCATCATGATCCCACAGTAAAATGAGAATCAATAAAAGCCACCTCACTGCTTTCTTGGGGGAAATCAATAAGATAATTCATGCAAAGCTTTTAGCACAGTGCAGGTGTGTAGCACATGGTAACCACTTAATAAATGTGTGATTATTACTATTATTAGCACATGATGATGGAAGCATAAAAAGATGCTCACAACTGGATGATGATAAATATTTAGTCTAAGGCTGTCATTTGAAGTGATGTGGGTAATGTGATTTTCCAAGCTCACACAGTAATAACGAAGTCAGGACTAAACTAAACTAAACTTTCTTACTCACCAATAAAGTGCTCTTCATAGTTCATCTTTGCATTGAGGACAAATAAATTTTCTGTGATTTCAGGTGCCACCTGTTCTTCACTATTAGTGTGTAATTCCTTAAAATAAGAACATTTACCCTTGAATGGCAGTGTAAACAAAGTAGTAACAGTTTTATCAATGAAGCATATAGTTGTCCCTCAGTATCCATTGTGGATTGGTTTCAAGATCTTCCTCAAACACCAAAATCTGAGGATGCTCAAGTACCTGATATAAAACTTTATGGGTTTTTTACTTGTATTATTCTTCATTATTGTAATTTTGGGTAATATTTATATCTGAGTTTGATTGAATCCAAGGATGCAGAACCCAACCATATGGAGCATATATTTACATTGCCATATGTCCACCCAATACTTTTACAGAATTCCATTTGTTTTCATATTAATATACCATTAATATGGATTAGTGTATTGAAAATGCACTTCGTTTAAATTTGGGGCATATTAAGCATACTGCTTCTTATGAAAGCCACAGAAAACATGTTTAGATTCCTTAAATTTCACCTCTATAGAGAGTCAACAGGAACACTCCACTGGCACTGGAAACACAGGCAGAAACTCAGATCAATCAAGTAACCAGGAACTAAATTGTTCAAAAATGTTCAGATCTACACAGGTCTCCCGAGTTCATTCAAATGAAAAGACTTAATATGGCCAAATAAAGTGAACTCCTTCTTAGCAGCAACTTCATTTCACTAGGTACTTGAATTTCAAATGGGGTTTGTTAAGTAGCTTTGCTAGGAAAGTCGAGAAGGAAGATCTTATCCCTTGTGTTTCTTTATGGTTTTTTTTTTTTTTTTTTTTTTTTGGTTTTCCTAAAATCATCTCATATGAAGCCACTTTATAAAAGTTATATTCTTATTCTTAGTTATGGCTAAAAATTTCATGCCAATGTTCTAGGTTCACAGAGGATGTTTTGTAGTGAAAAAAAAAATGTAACCTCATTTTTTCTCAATTTTTAAAATTCTGATAAAATACACATAAGATGTAGTATCTTAACCATTCTCAAGTGTATAGTTCAGTGGCATTCACATTGTTGTGCAACTATTACCACCATCCATCTCTAGAGCTCTTTATCTTGCCAAACTGAAATTCTATTTATGCTAAACCTAAATCCTCATCCCCGTATCCCAGCCCCTGGCAACCACCATTCTACTTTCTGTCTGTATGATTTGGGATACCTTAAGTACTTCATGTAAGTGGAATCATACACTGTTTGTCTTTTTGTGACACTCATTTCACTCAGTACAATGTCCTCAAGCTTCATCCATGTTGTAGCATATGTCAGAGTTTCTTTTCAAGGCGGAATAATATTCAGTTGTATGTGTAGATCACATGTTTCTTATCCATTCCTCTATCAATGGATACTTCCATGGGTTGTTTCCATGTTTTAGCTATTGTGAACCATGCCACTATGAGCCTGGCTGTTCAAATATCTCTTTGAGATTCTGCTTTCCTTTCTTTTGAATATATATCCAAAAGTAGAATTGCTAAAATCATAGGTAATTCTAGTCTTAATTTTTGGATAACTCATCATTTTGTACAATTTTACATACCCTCCAGCAGTGCACAAGGGTTCCAGTTTCTCTACATCCTTAACAACACTTTTTTTTATAATGATGCCCTCATTTTAAAGCCAAATGTAATATCCTGTGGTTTGTTTCTATTAAACATAAGGTCAAAGGGTACAAGATACCAACATAGCTAAATATCAACATGACTTAGCATTTTCATGTGCTTGGATAGCTTCTTAATTTACATAAATACTACTACCCTCCACTCAATTGTAAATTAAAGCGGGCCATATTTATCTAAGCTCTGAAGCATTAAAATAGGAAACTGGCTCTCCTGCCCCTTCAGATCCACATAGATTGCTAGAAACTATGTCTGTTTTTAACTGGTCCACAATAGTTGGTGATCCATAAACAAATGCAACCTTATTCTTCTTTTCTAAAATGAGTTATCTGCCTCCAGTGAAGTGTAGACAGATTTGTTCATTGAATTCATAGGTGTGCCTTTTCTTTCTGGTGAGATTTCTTTCCTCTTGGATTTAGCAGGGCAGTAAGAAATGAGAAATGAGACTAATAACAGCCCCAAGTGGATGAAACCAAAACGATAATGGCTAACAATTATATAAACATTTATTATATGTTATTTATTATATGATTATATGTCAGGTGCTGTTCTTAAGCTTTCACATATATTAGCTCATTTAATCCTCATAATAACATCATGAGTTCAGCACTATCATCTTCTGCATTTTCAGGAATGAGGAAACTGATAGGTAGAATGCTTAGGTGACAAGTTCTAAGTCACATAATAAGTGACTTGCACCCAGGCAGCCTGGTTCCATTGCCCAAACATCCGCCAAGAGTGATCACACTCTGAAAATTTTATTAGCATCAGTAATTGAAGTTACGTTACAATATTTGGGTTATCACTTCCTATAAATGACTCCCTCAAGTTGTACGTTCTAAGTTCACCATCTAAAAACTCAGCCAAACAATTATAAAGAAGTCCAACCCTTGATTTTTGTGGTGCCATTCTTTTGATTTCCCTCTAACATTTAAATATAACCTCTTGGTACATTTTAATGATCTCATCTTCTCTGCACACTTCCTAAATGTTGAGATACCCCAAGTTTCTTTGGTGATCCTCTTTTCACTCCATACTCTCCCTGGGTTACCACATGAATGCAGAGAGCATCCATGGTCAATTAGAATGTGCTGATCACTTCCAAAATATTTTTTTTTCTTCAGCCTGTATGTCTTCTCCAAGTTCCATCTTCCTCCTAGATAAATTCACCAGAAGTCTGTCAGGTACCCCAAACTTTACATTTTCAAAACAGAATTCATTATTTCTGTGCATACACATATACACACATACAACAGACACACAACACACACACACGCACACGCACACTTGGACTTTGCAGTTGGACAGACAAAAGTGTAAGTCACAGTTCTGCCACTGACCCTGTGTTTGGACTTTGCAGTTGGACAGACAAAAGTGTAAGTCACAGTTCTGCCACTGACCCTAAGTTTCCTTTGGGAAACTTAGTTATCCTCTCTAAGCTTCTGTTTTCTCAAGTCTAAAGTTAGGGAAATATTACCTACCTCACAGAGTAATTGACAGGATTAAAATAGATGAATTACATAAACCACTTAGCTTATCAGGCCCAAAGAAAGAACTCCTGGCTGGACACCATGGCTCACGCCTGCAATCCCAGCACTTTGGGAGGCCAAGGCAAGAGGATTGCTTGAGCCCGGGAGTTCTAGACCAGCCTGGGCAACATAGTGAGACTCCATCTCTACAAAAAATATTTTAAAAAATTGGCCGGGCTTGGTGGCTCACGCCTGCAATCCGAACACTTTGGGAGGCCGAGGCGGGTGGATCACGATGTCAGGAGATTGAGACCATCCTGGCTAACACGGTGAAACCCCATCTCTACTAAAAATACAAAAAATTAGCTGCGCGTGGTGGCAGGTGCCTGTAGTCCCAGCTACTCGGGAGGCTGAGTCAGGAGAATGGCATGAAACCCAGAGGCAGAGCTTGCAGTGAGCGGAGATGGCGCCACTGCACTCCAGCCTGGGCGACAGAGGGAGACTCCGTCTCAAAAAAAAAAAAAAAAAAAAAAAAAAAAATTAGCCAAGAGTGATGTTCACGCCTGTAGTCCCAACTACTCACTGGGGTGACTTTTCTATAATTCTTAACTTTCACACCTCCTCATTTATAGGGCAATAATGATGTACCTGCCTGGTCCTGCCTACACATGTTTTTGCTGTTTTACCTCTATTTGTTCTTCATGAACTAATAAAAACATCACCTTGGATAGCTTGTCTAACTTCTCCAAGAAGTGTCAGTTACTCAGTCCTCTTACATTTTCTTTAGCATGAAGGAATGACACTCTTAATGTGATATTGTAATATATTTGCATATATGTGTGTATTCTAATTGTAGAGCTGCATGTGAAGCCATAGCGCCCAGCCTAGCATGCAGCAGAGATTTCAATGAATAGCCAATTAACGAATGATTTGAAAGATTAAATCCAAAGATAACTGACTTTCTTTTCAAGTCCAACAGTACATTTTCAGTCCAATTTAGCCGTTTAGAATGATACGCTCTGACTAAACCATCAAATGAGATAAAGTGATAAAGATAATAAATGTGAAACATTATTGGGTACATCTGAAAACAAATATATATTACAACTGCTGAGTCATTTAATGATGCACACAAATGATTTTTTGTTCACTTTTATTTGAAGTTAGTATTTTTGAATTTAATTTTACTTATTTACTAAATCTTTTGGTTCAGAATTTGAGCATAAATACTCTTGAGTCGTCCTATCTTATAGCTTACCACAGTGATAAAGATTATTTTTGGCTGGGCATCTTCTCTAAAACCTCAATTTCTCTTGGGCACCTGAGTCCAACTCTTTCTTTGCTTTTGTGAAAGGTACACATAGCTGGACTTACCAATAATGTAAAGTTAATGACTGAAGTCTAGTGACTCTGAAACACCATATGAACTAAACCTGAATTGTGGTTTCTTGTTGTGTCTCCCCTAGCTCTCCGTTACACAGCCTCAATAAACTGTATTTCAGTGGAAAGATAAGATGCAAATGATTAAATGATTACCTTGTCTACAGTTGCAAGTAGTTTGGATCTGAATGCCCATAAGGGAAGGAAGGCATAGAAGCTAATCGCAGAAGCCTTCAGGGGGGAGAACAGCAGAAATACCACCACTCACACTTTCATCGCTCCTCTGATTTCGACATGATATGGTTTAGCTTCTATTATTTGAAAAGAAGTAAATCAAAGCAAAATGAATCTGTTTTATTCAACTGTGGTAAACTTGTATGCTTTCAGATACATTCGTGAAAAGTAGTTGTTTTACTTTTCTAGCATTTTAGTGTATTTGTTTGTTACTTTGAAACTTTCACACAAATTTGGGGTCTGTAGTCTTAACTTTATTTTTTAACAATCATATACTCTCACAGATGGTGTTTTGTTTCCTTACCTTTAAAACTTAATCAGCTGGCTTAATTAATTGCCCAACGTTTCTCTAAAACAATGTTCTGATTCTTCTGTGCAACTCTGCCATATCATATACTGTTGTTATCTTTTCCACCAGATTTTTACCACAAGTTGTTTAAAAACCATGAGCTCTAAGGGTGGAAAAAATGAAGTGCAGTTGAAAAGACAGTTATGTTGAAAGATAAACAGAGCAATATGACTTATCAAAGTGGGTACAAGTTTTGGCTGCTTAATGAGTGCAATACACAGCCTTCCAATCTATACACAATGAAAAAAAAAAGAGCTTTATAACATATCAAGTATGCTGCATTATTTCAGGCATAACTGTATAGGATACATATCTAGGCCTGAGAGTGTAGATAACAAAATATAAGTGCTTTGCCTGTCTAAACATGTTAAATAAACGAGCATTCGCTATCACATTCCAATACATTAGATGTACTTGCATAGTTAATTTTTCTTTTTAATGCACAACATGTGATCGTTGACATGCAGTGCCAGAGTATATCTCAGTGTTTGAAGAGACATTTCTTTTCATCTAAACAAATCTTTATTTAAATGAGCCTTTTTGAAAAGGATTTTTGGCATATCTTCATTTCAGGAAGTTCAATCAGGGTAAATGGAGATGAAGAAGCTACATTATACGGAATATTATATAAGTAAAGATTATTCAGCCAGAAAATGGTAGCAGACATAGCAGAGTACAACTACCTGAATTTCATTTTAATTTTCTAGATTTTAGGAGTTTTTGTTTACTTGTTCTGTAGTTTGGGCATTGGTATTGATAGGATGGAAGTATTTCATGGGGGGAAAAGAAGGAGAGAGATAAATAACTTTTTACTTTCATAAAATATAGAAAGAATAACTCCAAATGCTCATATGAAATAAATTTCAGCAGTTGGGTCTCTACTATGCTGGTTTTTAGGTACTGTCTCAATCTACTGGTAAGGTTACTGATTCAGGCAAGCCCCAGAAAGCAAACAATTGACAAAAATCTCTACAAATTATGTTTATACTGTACTTGATTCTTAGTCTCCTCCTACTTCTGGTCACTAAATCGTTCATTTAATGCAAGGAGTACAATTTTCCACACAGGAAGCAAGAGGAACACAGCTGTTGCCTTGATCAAACACTCCACTCCAGTAGAAACCAGTGTGAAAAACATGAGAAGGTGCTATGGACATCAATCTAGTTTACAACAGACTCAAGCATCCTATGTCAATTTTATCTTTTTCTTTTTTCTTCTTAATAGGGGGTCAGCTTTGGTGTACAACTACGAAGGCCATCTCTGAGGGTGAAGAGCTAATTGCCTTTGTGGTGGATTTTGACTCAAGGCTACAAGCTGCCAGTCAGATGACTCTCACAGAAGGGATGTACCCTGCACGCCTGCTGGACTCAATTCAGCTGCTTCCTCAGCAAGCTGCCATGGCTTCTATTTTGCCCACAGCTATTGTCAATAGTAAGTGCTCAGTGCTGTGTAGCCCAGCTTTAGAGGTGATGGGAATTTATGGGAGAAAAAAATGTCTACTGACAAGAAACCAGGAACAGACCTTTTTCCTTCAGTGTTGTGGTTTCATTTTATCTTTTTTCTTTTTAAATATTTAATTTGAGAAAATGATGTTACTTTTTTTTTTTATACTTTAAGTTTTAGGATACATGTGCACAATGTGCAGGTTAGTTACATATGTATACATGTGACATGCTGGTGCGCGGCACCCACTAACTCGTCATCTAGCATTGGGTATATCTCCCAATGCTATCCTTCCCCGCTCCCCCCACCCCACAACAGTCCCCAGAGTGTGATGTTCCCCTTCCTGTGTCCATGTGTTCTCATTGTTCAATTCCCACCTATGAGTGAGAATATGCGGTGTTTGGTTTTTGTTCTTGCGATAGTTTACTGAGAATGATGATTTCCAATTTCATCCATGTCCCTACAAAGGACATGAACTCATCCTTTTTTATGGCTACATAGTATTCCATGGTGTATATGTGCCACATTTTCTTAATCCAGTCTATCATTGTTGGACATTTGGGTTGGTTCCAAGTCTTTCCTATTGTGAATAGTGCTGCAATAAACATACGTGTGCATGTGTCTTTATAGCAGCATGATTTATAGTCCTTTGGGTATATACCCAGTAATGGGATGGCTGGGTCAAATGGTATTTCTAGTTCTAGATCCCTGAGGAATCGCCACACTGACTTCCACAATGGTTGAACTAGTTTACAGTCCCCCCAACAGTGTAAAAGTGTTCCTATTTCTCCACATCCTCTGCAGCACCTGTTGTTTCCTGACTTTTTAATGATTGCCATTCTAACTGGGGTGAGATGATATCTCATTGTGGTTTTGATTTGCATTTCTCTGATGGCCAGTGATGGTGAGCATTTTTTCATGTGTTTTTTGGCTGCATAAATGTCTTCTTTTGAGAAGTGTCTGTTCATGTCCTTCGCCCACTTTTTGATGGGGTTGTTTGTTTTTTTCTTGTAAATTTGTTGGAGTTCATTGTAGATTCTGGATATTAGCCCTTTGTCAGATGAGTAGCTTGCGAAAATTTTCTCCCATTTTGTAGGTTGCCTGTTCACTCTGATGGTAGTTTCTTTTGCTGTGCAGAAGCTCTTTAGTTTAATTAGATCCCATTTGTCAATTTTGGCTTTTGTAGCCATTGCTTTTGGTGTTTTAGACATGAAGTCCTTGCCCATGCCTATGTCCTGAATGGTAATGCCTAGGTTTTCTTCTAGGGTTTTTATGGTTTTAGGTCTAACATTTAAGTCTTTAATCCATCTTGAATTGATTTTTGTATAAGGTGTAAGGAAGGGATCCAGTTTCAGCTTTCTACATATGGCTAGCCAGTTTTCCCAGCACCATTTATTAAATAGGGAATCCTTTCCCCATTGCTTGTTTTTCTGAGGTTTGTCAAAGATCAGATAGATAGTTGTAGATATGCGGCATTATTTCTGAGGGCTCTGTTCTGTTCCATTGATCTATATCTATCTCTATTTTGGTACCAGTACCATGCTGTTTTGGTTACTGTAGCCTTGTAGTATAGTTTGAAGTCAGGTAGCGTGATGCCTCCAGCTTTGTTCTTTTGGCTTAGGATTGACTTGGTGATGCGGGCTCTTTTTTGGTTCCATATGAACTTTAAAGTAGTTTTTTCCAATTCTGTGAAGGAAGTCATTGGTAGCTTGATGGGGATGGCATTGAATCTATAAATTACCTTGGGCAGTATGGCCATTTTCACTATATTGATTCTTCCTACCCATGAGCATGGAGTGTTCTTCCATTTGTTTGTATCCTCTTTTATTTCATTGAGCAGTGGTTTGTAGTTCTCCTTGAAGAGGTCCTTCACATCCCTTGTAAGTTGGATTCCTAAGTATTTTATTCTCTTTGAAGCAATTGTGAATGGGAGTTCACTCATGATTTGGCTCTCTGTTTGTTATTGGTGTATAAGAATGCTTGTGATTTTTGTACATTGATTTTGTGTCCTGAGACTTTGCTGAAGTTGCTTATCAGCTTAAGGAGATTTGGGGCTGAGACAGTGGGGTTTTCTAGATATACAATCATGTCGTCTGCAAACAGGGACAATTTGACTTCCTCTTTTCCTAATTGAATAATCTTTATTTCCTTCTCCTGCCTAATTGCCCTGGCCAGAACTTCCAACACTGTGTTGAATAGGAGTGGTGAGACAGGGCATCCCTGTCTTGTGCCAGTTTTCAAAGGGAATGCTTCCAGTTTTTGCCCATTCAGTATGATATTGGCTGTGGGTTTGTCATAGATAGCTCTTATTATTTTGAGATACGTCCCATCAATACCTAATTTATTGAGAGTTTTTAGCATGAAGGTTGTTGAATTTTGTCAAAGGCCTTTTCTGCATCTATTGAGATAATCATGTGGTTTTTGTCTTTGGTTCTGTTTATATGCTGGATTACATTTACTGATTTGCGTATATTGAACCAGCCTTGCATCCCAGGGATGAAGCCCACTTGATCATGGTGGATAAGCTTTTTGATGTGCTGCTGGATTCAGTTTGCCAGTATTTTATTGAGGATTTTTGCATCAATGTTCATCAAGGATATTGGTCTAAAATTCTCTTTTTTGGTTGTATCTCTGCCCGGCTTTGGTATCAGGATGATGCTGGCCTCATAAAATGAGTTAGGGAGGATTCTTTCTTTTTCTATTGATTGGAATAGTTTCAGAAGGAATGGTACCAGTTCCTCCTTGTACCTCTGGTAGAATTCGGCTATGAATCCATCTGGTCCTGGACTCTTTTTCATTGGTAAGCTATTGATTATTGCCACAATTTCAGCTCCTGTTATTGGTCTATTCAGAGATTCAACTTCTTCCTGGTTTAGTCTTGGGAGAGTGTATGTGTCGAGGAATTTATCCATTTCTTCTAGATTTTCTAGTTTATTTGCATAGAGGTGTTTGTAGTATTCTCTGATGGTAGTTTATATTTCTGTGGGATCGCTGGTGATATCCCCTTTATCATTTTTTATTGCGTCTATTTGATTCTTCTCTCTTTTTTTCTTTATTAGTCTTGCTAGCGGTCTATCAATTTTGTTGATCCTTTCAAAAAACCAGTTCCTGGATTCATTAATTTTTGAAGGGTTTTTTGTGTCTCTATTTCCTTCAGTTCTGCTCTGATTTTAGTTATTTCTTGCCTTCTGCTAGTTTTTGAGTGTGTTTGCTCTTGCTTTTCTAGTTCTTTTAATTGTGATGTTAGAGTGTCAATTTTGGATCTTTCCTGCTTTCTCTTGTGGGCATTTAGTGCTGTAAATTTCCCTCTACACACTGCTTTGAATGTGTCCCAGAGATTCAGGTATGCTGTGTCTTTGTTCTCATTGGTTTCAAAGAACATCTTTATTTCTGCCTTCATTTCGTTACGTACCCAGTAGTCATTCAGGAGCAGGTTGTTCAGTTTCCATGTAGTTGAGCGGTTTTCAGTGAGTTTCTTAATCCTGAGTTCTAGTTTGATTGCACTGTGGTCAGAGATATAGTTTGTTATAATTTCTGTTCTTTTACATTTGCTGAGTAGAGCTTTACTTCCAACTGTGTAGTCAATTTTGGAATTGGTGTGGTGCTGAAAAAAATGTATATTCTGTTGATTTGGTGTGGAGAGTTCTGTAGATGTCTATTAGGTCTGCTTGGTGCAGAGATGAGTTCAATTCCTGGGTATCCTTGTTGACTTTCTGTCTCGTTGATCTGTCTAATGTTGACAGTGGGGTGTTAAAGTCTCCCATTATTAACGTGTGGGAGTCTAAGTCTCTTTGTAGGTCACTCACGACTTGCTTTATGAATCTGGGTGCTCCTGTATTGGGTGCATATATATTTAGGATAGTTAGCTCTTCTTGTTGAATTCATCCCTTTACCATTATGTAATGGCCTTCTTTGTCTCTTTTGATCTTTGTTGGTTTAAAGTCTGTTTTATCAGAGACTAGGATTGCAATCCCTGCCTTTTTTTGTTTTCCATTTGCTTGGTAGATCTTCCTCCATCCTTTTATTTTGAGCCTGTGTGTGTCTCTGCATGTGAGATGGGTTTCCTGAATACAACACACTGATGAGTCTTGACTCTTTATCCAATTTGCCAGTCTGTGTCTTTTAATTGGAGCATTTAGTCCATTGACATTTAAAGTTAATATAGTTTTGTGTGAATTTGAACCTGTCATTATGATGTTAGCTGGTTATTTTGCTCGTTAGTTGATGCAGTTTCTTCCTAGTCTCGATGGTCTTTACGTTTTGGCATGATTTTGCAGCAGCTGGTACCAGTTGTTCCTTTCCATGTTTAGTGCTTCCTTCAGGAGCTGTTTTAGGGCAGGCCTGGTGGTGACAAAATCTCTCAGCATTTGCTTGTCTGTAAAGTATTTTATTTCTCTTTCACTTATGAAGCTTAGTTTGGCTGGATATGAAATTCTGGGTTGAAAATTCTTTTCTTTAAGAATGTTGAATATTGGCTCCCACTCTCTTCTGGCTTGTAGAGTTTCTGCCGAGAGATCCGCTGTTAGTCTGATGGGCTTCCCTTTGTGGGTAACCCGTCCTTTCTCTCTGGCTGCCCTTAACATTTTTTCCTTCATTTCAACTTTGGTGAATCTGATAATTATGTGTCTTGGAGTTGCTCTTCTCAAGGAGAATCTTTGTGGTGTTCTCTGTATTTCCTGAATCTGAATGTTGGCCTGCCTTGCTAGATTGGGGAAGTTCTCCTGGATAATATCCTGCAGAGTGTTTTCCAACTTGGTTCCATTCTCCCCATCACTTTCAGATACACCAATCAGACGTAGATTTGGTCTTTTCACATAGTCCCATATTTCTTGGAGGCTTTGTTTGTTTCTTTTTATTCTTTTTTCTCTAAACTTCCCTTCTCGCTTCATTTCATCTTCCATCGCTGATACCCTTTCTTCTAGTTGATCACATCGGCTCCTGAGGCTTCTGCATTCTTCACGTAGTTCTCGAGCCTTGGCTTTCAGCTCCAACAGCTCCTTTAAGCACTTCTCTGTATTGGTTATTCTAGTTATACATTCGTCTAAATTTTTTTCAAAGATTTTAACTTCTTTGCCTTTGGTTTTAATTTCCTCCTGTAGCTCGTAGTTTGATTGTCTGAAGCCTTCTTCTCTCAACTCGTCGAAGTCCTTCTCCGTCCAGCTTTGTTCCATTGCTGGTGAGGAACTGTGATCCTTTGGAGGAGGAGAGGTGCTCTGCTTTTTAGAGTTTCCAGTTTTTCTGCTTTGTTTTTTCCCCATCTTTGTGGTTTTATCTACTTTTGGTCTTTGATGATGGTGATGTACAGATGGGTTTTTGGTGTGGATGTCCTTTCTGTTTGTTAGTTTTCCTTCTAACAAACAGACAGGACCCTCAGCTGCAGGTCTGTTGGAGTTTGCTAGAGGTCCACTCCAGATGCTGTTTGCCTAGGTAGCAGCAGCGGTGTCTGCAGAACAGTGGTTTTTCATGAACCGTGAATGCTGCTGTCTCATCGTTCCTCTGGAAGTTTTGTCTCAGAGGAGTATCTGGCTGTGTGAGGTGTCAGTCTGCCCCTACTGGGGGGTGCGTCCCAGTTAGGCTGCTCAGGGGTCAGGGGTCAGGGACCCACTTGAGGAGGCAGTCTGCGGGTTCTCAGATCTCCAGCTGCATGCTGGGAGAACCACTGCTCTCTTCAAAGCTGTCAGACAGGGACATTTAAGTCTGCAGAGGTTACTGCTGTCTTTTTGTTTGTCTGTGCCCTGCCCCCAGAGGTGGAGCCTACAGAGGCAGGCAGACCTCCTGGAGCTGTGGTGGGCTCCACCCAGTTGGAGCTTCCCGGCTGCTTTGTTTACCTAAGCAAGCCTGGGCAATGGCTGGCGCCCCTCCCCCAGCCTCGCTGCCGCCTTGCAGTTTGATCTCAGACTGCTGTGCTAGCAATCAGTGAGGGTCCGTGGGCATAGGACCCTCCAAGCCCGGTGCAGGATATAATCTCCTGGTGCGCCATTTTTTAAGCCTGTCGGAAAATCGCAGTATTCGGGTGGGAGTGACCCGATTTTCCAGGTGCCGTCTGTCACCCCTTTCTTTGACTAGGAAAGGGAACTCCTTGACCCCTTGCGCTTCCCGAGTGAGGCAATGCCTCGCCCTGCTTCAGCTCATGCACGGTGCGCTGCACCCACTGACCTGCGCCCACTGTCTGGCACTCCCTAGTGAGATGAACCCAGTACCTCAGATGGAAATGCAAAAATCACCCGTCTTCTGCGTCACTCACGCTGGGAGCTGTAGACTGGAGCTGTTCCTATTCGGCCATCTTGGCTCCTCCCCCTCATTTTATCTTTGTGTGTGTGTGTGTGTGTGTGTGTGTGTGTGTGTGTGGTCAATTGTCCTGGGAGTGTAGAAAGAACCCTTAACTGCAACCATTTCAAGTCAGATTCCTGAATGTCACACACACACACACACACACAAAGCTGATGTTCTACATGAGTTCAATAATATTCAAGGCTACTTAGCTGTGAGAAGGCGAGCACCTTTCATTAATGCTTCTATAGTAGAAAAAATGTGGTATTCTTTAAGGGCCGTAGACTTAAAAACTTGAAAAAAAGAAACAAAATACGAAATCAAAGTTTGATTAGATATACTAACAAACAAAAAAGAAGTGTATCCTGGATAAATCAAGACATCTGCTAATGCAAAAAGGTTAAAAAAAAAAAAAAGAAAGAAATGCATGATAAGCTTAGAACACTTTATATGGAGAATTTTTAAGTACACCCTGGCAAATTTACCTTTGTGATTTTACTTCATAAAAAAGAAATTGAACTTAACTTAGTTTGTATTTTTGTGTCACAGAATGACACTTCATATGACACAAAATCAGTCGTCTGGAGTCCCAAGATCTGTGTTCTAGCCATATCTGATTTTTATCTAGCTCTATGAAAACACATGAGTAGCAGACACATCTTAAGAGGAGAATAGATTCTGAAGTTAGTAGGTAAGCAAAAAATTGCATCTAATCAAAAATATACTTTAAAATCTCTGAGACTCTGAATGAGGCAAAAGAGAAATCCAGAGACACAATGATGTCTTGATATTAAAATAAAATATTTAACTGTAATTAGATTCTTGCTGTAATATCATCCTTTAGATTAAAGAAATTATCAGATGAGTCTGAAATTACTGTGCATTCAATCAATGATATAGTACTTCCCATCTAAGCTAGTATTATTGGATTTCCTTATGGTAAATGTACTTATTTTCTTTCCTGTATCTTTACTTTGATTCTGATAGTGAGGAACTGGAAATAACATGGCCCAACCTGAATTTGAGGCAAAAGAATTTTATTGCCAAAGAAAGATTCTAGGAGTATCTGATGTTAATTCTAATTATAGTGGAGAGTGTACTCTATTTGCTTTCTGTAGCAAGACAGCTATTTATGTCAAATAATTCAGCATAGATGCAGAGAGCTTTTGCTTTCATTCTGAAATTAGTGAGTTAAATTCATCCTGCTTAAATGGACCCTTTACTAAACTGTGTAGCCTCATGAATAGTGTAAATGAAATTAACTTGGAAGGGAAGGGTTAAATAATAAACAGTAGTAGCATATAATTAATTTTAAAATTAAATGTTAATTTGAAACTCTATTATTATACTTACTATCCTTACTTCCCTTTCATTCACTAGAATTTGATCATTAGTTTTTCTCCTTATCGCCTTTAATGTTGTCTCCCTGAGCCATCTCCTTCACTACCATGGGCTCCACCAACAACCATAAATAACAGTTCACAAATTATAAGATCAGCCATTTCTGCAGAGTTTTAGGCCTCTGTTGCCATTTTTCCCATGTTCTTCTGTATTTCTTACAGAAATATCAGATTCCACATGTCTAACGTGAACATGTGCCACTGTTTGCCTGGCTTAGTCCCATTGTACATTTTTATCTGGCATCCCTCTGGATGGTGACTCCTTTCCTCTACGAAAGTCCTGAGTTTGCACAATACAAGGTCAGATTTGGTCACCCTGTACATGCCCTAGCCTGAAGACATCACCTCTCCATCCTCTGTTCCCTGTGTAGATGAATGAAGCCATTACTGACACAGAAGCTTGGGAGCAAAGCAGAGCCTTATTCGTCCATTCTAGAATCTAATCACCAAGCATTGTTCATGACTTCTAGTCAGTTCTACTTCCTCAGCATAATTCTTCCTCTCTGCCACCCTTGCCATGGAGGCATTATGGAAGAGTGATTAAGACCAGATTCCAATCCCATTTCAACCACTGATGCGGTCATGGATGGGCGAGTTACTTAACACCAGTCTCCTCACCTATAAGTGGATGAAGGGGGAAAAAACACACGTGAAGAAATTTACCATGAGTGAACACATGAAAATGACACGTCATAGCATGACCTGATAAATATGGTACCAGTATTAGCTACAGCTCAAACCCTGTTGTGTTTCCCTTAGAGTACTGCAGTTACCTCCCACCAGTCAAAACTCTTTCTTCCAAATTCACTACCTTCAAAACTAGACTCCACTGCTATGATTCTGATTATGCGATAATATCTGATTATGTCAGTGTCTTGCTTAAAATGATTCAGTGATGCTTCGTAATCATTAAGACAAAATCTAAAACTTGTTGAGAGTCTGCAATTCTTTCACAGTCTATCCCTGCCTCCTACAGCCTCTTCTCTCCCAGACCTATCATGCTCCGTGCCTCAACAGTACAGAAAAGCCTCCCAGCCTCCCAGCTCCTCTCTCAGGCTCTCATGGCTTTCCCTGAGCTGCCCATTTGATCAGGATGATCCAACCCCTCTTCTCCACCAAACCAGCTTAATTTCATCCTTCATACCTCAGCTCAGGCTGAGCTCATCATCTTCCCTCTAAACCCATCTCTAATCTCCTCCCTCCACTCCTGCCATCAGCCTCTTTTCCATGCCCTGGGGCATTCCTCAGATACCTCCATCAGAACAGTAATTAGGCTGTAATGTAATTAGCTGACCACATGTCCATCAACCCAAGGAGACTGTATGCTTCCTAAGGGCAGCTGTTTCATCTTTCATTTTGTTTTATACCCAGCCGAACACAGAGTTGGGCACATAGTAGCCACTCCGTATTTACTGTGTTAAAAAAAAATGGTGTCAGGGGTTGACATCAGGGCTAACATTAGTTCAGCCCTTACATCCTTACCTTTTAATCAATCAGATAATTTACATCACTATAAATGAATATTTTTTCTAACCATAAATACAATTTAAAATAAATATCTTAGGCCAGGCAGTGGCTTACACCTGTAACTGCAGCACTTTGGGAGGCTGAGGCAAGGTGGATCACCTGAGGTAAGGAGTTTGAGACCAGCCTAGCCAACATGGAGAAACCTGTTTCTACTAAAAATACAAAAATTAGCCAGGCGTGGTGGCACTCACCTGTAATCCCAGCTACTTGGGAGGCTGAGGCAGGAGAATTGCTTGAACCCAGGAGGTAGAGGTTGCAGTGAGTTGAGATCGCACCACTGCACTGCAGCCTAGGTAACACAGTGAGAATCTGTCGCAAAAAATAAAATAAAATAAAATCAATATCTTGTGTTTTAAATGTTGGAGTCTCCTCTTTCTCTAGAGTCTGTGGGAAGTTAAATTGCAGAGTACAACATTTCTTTAAAAGTCGAGTCCTATGCTGTAGAACAACACCAAAGACTGTTACTCATCTGATTGCCCAATTAAGAACCTGAGAGCGGAGTCTGAGAAAAATTGAACTAAATGCTGCTTTACCCACAGTTGGTTTCAAATGGACAGCAGCAAATGTGTCTCTTGTGTTTTTACCTGCAGAGGATATATTCCCTTGCAAGTCCTGTGGCATCTGGTATCGGAGTGAGCGGAATCTGCAGGCCCATTTGATGTACTACTGCAGTGGGAGGCAAAGAGAAGCTGCTCCGGTGTCAGAGGAAAATGAAGACAGTGCCCATCAGATTTCCAGCCTGTGCCCCTTCCCACAGTGCACCAAGAGCTTTTCAAATGCTCGAGCTCTAGAAATGCACCTGAATTCACACAGTGGTAAATGCCCCTTTTGTTTCTTCTGTTGCTCCAGAAGACTCTGTTATTTTTATAAATATATATGCATTACATGTATACGTCTATATCTGTCTATCTGTAGCTATCTATAACATCAAAATCAAACTTTCTGGGTCAACCAGTGTGATCTTATGCCACTTATACTCAGCATATGTTACTCAAAGGACTTGGGTCTGAATTCTTTTCTTACAAATTCAGAGGCCAAATCATTCTATTTGTTCTCAACTGAGGTTTTAAAAAAGCACATTATTTTAAAAAGAAAATCTCAATACCCTTTGAATATTGCCATTTATTGCTTTAGTGTCAAGCAATCTTTGGAAACTGATCATAGTGTTTCCTATATGGTAGGGAAGAAATAATAGGTACATAAATATAAGTGTGTGCTGAATTGAAATAAAGCTACTCTATTGATAGATCTAATTAAAATTACAGTTCAGGGATGTTTACTTTTAAATATGGATCAGTAAAATATTTCTGACTTCCAAAAGATGCATCATAACAGCTTAGGTGGTTTTTATGACATTAAACTACTTTTAGTACTATGTTTTAAAATCCCTTAAGAAAAAAATAGGCTGAAAAACAAATAAGCTTTTTAAGGCCCTCTCAATAGCAAGGTGGCAACTGTTTCTATTTAATTTGGAATTGTATGCCAGCTATTTTTAGTTTCATTTCATAGCATTCTAATTATCATATTTTTTAAAAAATGAATTTATTCAAATGTACAGAATTCTATTAACTTTAAATAATTTTAGGTACATTCTTACATGGGACAAACTAGGGACTGAGAATCATAGTTTTTCAGCACCTATAATACAAACCTTGTAGGACACCTCTGGGTGACTTTCTTAGTGGTCTTTGCCTAGATTAAATAATTTTAAAATGGAAACACATGTTGAGTTTTAAGCTACTGTTCTAACCTCCAGTGCTCTAGTACAGTTCAAGCTTTTGTCTTTGAACCTGTAAAAGTAGGTCATTTCCTTTCTGCTCATCCTCTTTCCTCTCCTTACAAATGAGCTATCTTCATATAGATAATAAAGCAGGGGAAGCAGAAACATATTGGTTGTCTCAGATGGTGAGTAAGGTCATGTACAAAACAAAAAGAACAGAATACAGGGGTCCTTTAAGCTAAATGGAAAAAAAAATGAGTATTAGATTCATTAAGGAGAAAAAGAGACAAGGATAGGTAGTCCCCTTTTATGACTACAGGACTAGGTACCTCTGCCATGTTTTCAGCTTATGAATATAAAAGGCAGTCTTATTCTAGTCCAGAGTACAGAGGGGATAAGCCAAGCCTGATTTTACCATATGCTGACCAATGGGAGCTAGAGTCAATCTTAGTGATGCTTACCCACCACAGTCAATGGTAATATTCAAAATATTTAATCATGGACTAGAAATAGGCAGTGATCAATCAGCATGGATGCCAATGCAAAATGACTATATTAGTGTACTGGTAGACTATATTAGTCTACCAGCTAAATATCAGCCCTGGATAGAGATAAACTATGTTCAGCAAAACTACTGCATAAAATTTTAAATTTATATTAATATAAATTAAGATTATATTAATTACTTTACAAAATGGTTTCTATTTGGCCTCTTTAGAATATAACCTATATGTAGTGTACTGAGAGTTATTTGATTTGCATTGTTTTCAATAGCAACCCTAATGAATGCTCACTTATTCCTAATGTAGAGGCTAATGTTATAGTGAGGTTATTAGATTAGTAATTATAAAATCCAAGGCTTAGGCATGGCTTCATCACTTAATAGCTTTATTAACATAATCAATTCCTTTAGCCTCCTTCAGCGTGTTTCCTCATCTATAAAATGGAGACACTGACACTTATTCCACTTTGATGCCATAATATTCATGAAAGTACTTTGAAAACTATAAAGTGCTATTAATATTATCATACACAGTAAGAGATGTCACAAGAAAACAGTTAATATCACGAATGAAATTTTGAAAGATTTCATTCCTATTGTGTTGCAAACATTAGGTCATTAGAAAAGGTCCCTGTCATTCAAAAACCAACACACATGTTTCTCATTGTTCTTATTTTGTATGTCTCTCTAGGAGTGAAAATGGAAGAATTCCTGCCCCCTGGTGCTAGTCTAAAATGCACCGTCTGTAGCTACACTGCTGATTCCGTGATCAACTTTCACCAACACCTGTTCTCCCATCTCACTCAAGCTGCCTTCCGATGTAATCACTGCCATTTCGGCTTCCAGACTCAGAGGGAGTTATTGCAGCACCAGGAGCTCCATGTCCCTAGCGGCAAACTTCCCAGAGAAAGTGACATGGAACACTCTCCAAGTGCAACTGAAGACAGCTTACAGCCAGCCACAGACTTATTGACCAGAAGCGAACTTCCCCAGAGCCAAAAGGCCATGCAGACTAAAGATGCGAGCTCTGACACAGAGCTGGACAAGTGTGAGAAAAAGACTCAGCTCTTTCTCACGAACCAGAGACCAGAGATACAGCCTACAACAAATAAACAAAGCTTTTCTTACACAAAAATAAAGTCTGAGCCCTCTAGCCCAAGACTTGCCTCATCTCCAGTTCAGCCTAATATTGGGCCTTCTTTCCCTGTGGGCCCTTTCCTATCTCAGTTTTCTTTCCCCCAAGATATCACCATGGTCCCTCAAGCTTCAGAGATCTTAGCTAAGATGTCTGAACTGGTGCATCGGCGACTGAGGCATGGCAGTAGTAGCTACCCTCCCGTCATTTACAGCCCTTTGATGCCCAAGGGGGCTACTTGTTTTGAGTGTAACATAACATTCAATAATTTGGATAATTATCTAGTGCACAAAAAGCATTATTGCAGCAGCCGATGGCAGCAGATGGCTAAGTCCCCAGAGTTCCCTAGTGTGTCAGAAAAGATGCCTGAAGCTTTGAGTCCCAACACTGGCCAAACCTCCATAAACCTTCTCAACCCAGCTGCTCATTCTGCTGATCCTGAGAATCCACTTCTTCAAACATCTTGCATCAATTCTTCCACTGTCTTAGATTTAATTGGGCCAAATGGGAAGGGCCATGACAAGGACTTTTCCACTCAAACTAAGAAGCTCTCCACCTCCAGTAACAATGATGACAAAATTAATGGAAAACCTGTTGATGTGAAAAATCCCAGTGTCCCCTTAGTGGATGGGGAAAGTGACCCAAATAAGACTACCTGTGAAGCTTGCAACATTACCTTCAGCCGGCACGAAACATACATGGTCCACAAACAGTATTACTGTGCTACACGCCACGACCCTCCACTGAAGAGGTCTGCTTCCAACAAAGTGCCTGCCATGCAGAGAACCATGCGCACACGCAAGCGCAGAAAGATGTATGAGATGTGCCTACCTGAGCAGGAACAAAGGCCTCCACTGGTTCAGCAGAGATTTCTTGACGTAGCCAACCTCAATAATCCTTGTACCTCCACTCAAGAACCCACAGAAGGGCTAGGAGAGTGCTACCACCCAAGATGTGATATCTTTCCAGGAATTGTCTCTAAACACTTGGAAACTTCTCTGACGATCAACAAGTGTGTTCCAGTTTCCAAATGTGATACTACTCATTCCAGTGTTTCCTGCCTAGAGATGGACGTGCCCATAGATCTCAGCAAAAAGTGTTTATCTCAGTCTGAGCGGACGACCACGTCTCCCAAAAGGCTGCTGGACTATCACGAGTGCACTGTGTGCAAGATCAGTTTCAATAAGGTAGAAAACTATCTGGCCCACAAGCAGAATTTCTGCCCGGTTACTGCACATCAGCGTAATGACCTGGGTCAACTGGACGGCAAAGTGTTTCCGAATCCAGAAAGCGAACGAAACAGCCCTGATGTCAGCTACGAAAGAAGCATAATAAAATGTGAGAAAAATGGGAATTTGAAGCAGCCTTCCCCCAATGGAAACTTATTTTCATCCCACCTAGCAACCCTGCAAGGCTTGAAGGTCTTTAGTGAAGCTGCTCAGCTCATTGCTACAAAAGAAGAAAACAGACATTTGTTTCTTCCACAATGCCTTTACCCTGGAGCAATAAAGAAAGCAAAAGGAGCCGACCAGCTTTCTCCATATTATGGAATCAAGCCAAGTGATTATATTTCTGGTTCTCTTGTCATCCATAACACTGACATCGAGCAAAGCAGAAATGCAGAAAATGAATCTCCTAAAGGCCAGGCTTCCTCAAATGGGTGTGCTGCGCTGAAGAAAGATTCTCTGCCATTGTTGCCCAAAAATCGAGGAATGGTAATAGTGAATGGTGGACTGAAACAAGATGAGAGACCTGCTGCCAACCCACAGCAAGAGAACATTTCCCAGAATCCTCAGCACGAAGACGACCACAAATCTCCCTCGTGGATCTCTGAGAACCCATTAGCTGCCAATGAGAATGTCTCACCAGGAATTCCCTCAGCAGAGGAACAGTTGTCTAGTATAGCAAAAGGTGTGAATGGTTCCAGCCAGGCTCCAACCAGTGGGAAATATTGCCGGCTATGTGATATCCAGTTCAACAACCTTTCAAACTTTATAACTCACAAGAAGTTTTATTGCTCATCACATGCAGCAGAACATGTCAAATGAACTAACTAAACATCAGTCACCTTTGGTATCAGTGTTTAGTATGTTGTTCTAACCAGTCCAGAAAAAAAAATAAGCTGTTTGAATTACATCTGGGCAATCAGGAGATAATTCATTATGGCTGAGTTGAAGACTTAAGGTGTAATTTCATTACAGTCCATTAGTAAAGTGTATTATTGGTGCCATTTTCAAAAAAATTAATTTATTTTACCAGCAGTATTCATAGCTGTGGTTATGTTATTTTTTATTTAAAAACTTTATATTAAAGTCATTTGTAATGTTATTGTATAGTTATTGTGTAGCACATATGGTTTGCACTGTATAGTAGCTTTTAAAGAAAATAGTCACAATACAGAAAAGCATTTTAGAAATAGCTTCAAAAGCACTTGTGTATCTTGATTTTTTCTTATATGCTGTTGCAGATATATGTATATGCTAAAATATAACTTGCAAAGATGTTCTAAATACACATGCTATAAGTTCGCCTTAAGATTTCAATTCTTGGATAATCAGGCTCTGTTTGCACTTTATATTTTAGCAGATACAGTCTCTTAGTCACTAGGCTTTGCATTTGTATGTAGCTGTATGTTTCCGTCCATTTTCTTAATCCTGAACCTGTATGTTAAATGAAGATGGCAATTTTTTTCTTGTATAGTACTTGTATTTTCTTTCGCTGATGCAGCTCTGTCTCAATTTTTAAACCTTTGCTGTTAAATGCAATACTTTATAAAGAATGAACAAAATTACTGGAAGCAGTATTGTAAGTAATGAGGTAGTATTAATCAGTTTTATCTTTTGAAAGGCACAGTCTAAATCGAAACCCTAAACTCAATGCTGCAAGTATGAATTTAATTCATATATAAGATCTATTTAAATATAAGAGTAGCAATACTGCACCTGGTGATCACAAAGATAATGTTCTACTTCTGATAGAAATAATTTCTCAACAAATGTTGTTACTATGCATGTATATGGATGGAATAAAATTCCAGATTGTTGGAGAAGTTTGGCACACTTTTTTTCCCTTCAAAATAGAAGAGAAGCCCTAAATCTATTCTTTGTGATGAAAATAGTTTCCAAATGGCACCGAATGGCTGTAATAACACAATGACAAATCAGTAAAGAGAAAGATTGTCCTTTACATACACCTAATTAATATAACTTGCTCTATTAAAATGAACTAGAGGCTCCAGGCCACGAAACTAGAAAAGTTCTTCATTATAACTATGTATAATTAGCAGAATCTCTCTGTCTGCCTTTCCCCATCATCGCTGCAGCACAGATAAAGAGCAATTTCATGCATGTCTACAAAACTTACAAGCCATATGCACAAGAATCAACACAAATGTTGGTCAAATGCACCCAAGATTCAGATGAAATTTACCAGAGAGAGAGGTTTGCATTTTGAGCAATGGTGACGTGGTATGGTAAAGTGACTCTGATGAGTAAAGATGTGCAAATCTAATGCTCAGGATTTGTAAAAGATTGATTTTGTACATCTCATTTGTATAATCCAGGAGTTTGCATATTGAGGGTGAGTGGAGAGCAGAGAATGTGGGCCTAATGGACCAGCCAGAAGCATTGAGAGTGACTTGGCAGGCATGATGGTCTCCTGCAAAATTAGAAATCTCCTGACTTGGAAAGGCAACTACCCACTTGAGGCTAAGAAGATACACTCTTTACAGATAGATAGGTTGTGATGCACTATTGTTCATCCATATTGAATCTGGTAACATAACGAGCATAAATGTTGGCCTTAAGCATAACATACAAATACTGTGACAAAACATAAAAAAAAAATACTATGTTGTCAAAAACATGTCTCCACTTGCTTGTTGAGAATAACTATTTTCAGAATTGAAATCACGGAATTAACTGATGCCTTCCATTTCAGTCAGTGATTAAACAGTGAGGTGAACAGGACTAATGTGCTTAATAGTGTGAAACAGGAATCTCTCAAAGTATGAGATCCTTGGGGATCAATGGAGATGTTCAGAAAGACCTTTGTGGTGCACAGGTTGGAATTGGTAGGGCTGAGTATTCTTAAGAGGACTTTCTTCCCCAATCTCTTTTTCGTCCTCTTTCCTCTTCAAAAAGAAAGAAAGAAAAAAAATTAGCCAAACCGACATATATTTATTGATTACGTGGCTTGTATCCACTATTTAGGGGATGAAGGCAAAGAAATATAACACATGACTATTTCCTCAAAGAGCTTATAATTTGATTCAATTTAGTGCTTCTCAACACTTCTCTCATTAAAATTGCCTAAGGAACATTTAAAAATGCCAGTTATTTATATAGTTTTGTACACTGGGCCTTACCCTAGATCAATTAAAGAAACACTCAAGCCTGTGAGCTCTGAGAATCTGTACCTTATAAAACCTCTCCAGGTGGTTCTAATATGCAAACAGTGTTGGGAAATATTGAAAGGTAAATTAGAAGAAAATATGAAGGGTAAGTGAGACTAAGTCTAGTAAAAGAACAAAAAGATAAAAGGAAGCCAATATGGGATGAAAGAGTTGGGACAGGCTGCACAAATAGGGTAGGTTCTAGAGAGGTGGATACCATGGTAAGGAAGGCTACCTTTAGGTCGCCCTGAGATATTTGTACAGGGTATCCAAAGGGTGTTTATTTCAAGTATCGTTTGTATAGTTGAAAGTAAGTTCTAGTAGCTGTTCACAGAAAAAAGGACATAGCATAGGTTGAAGTAGTGAGGTTTGGATCAGAACTAGACCCTGGAGAGTGTAGAGGAAGAAAATGGTATTTCTACATGTGGCAATCACTGTATGTTACAGTAGAAAAGTGGAATGCAACTGGCATGTGAGGGTGAAAAATGAGTAAAAATTTTTCAAAAGAATAGAGTTTAGATTGGAAAGAAAAGGAAGCTGAAGTGGGAGGATTGCTCGAGCCCAGGAGTTGGAGACTGCAGTCCCTTATGATCACACCTGTGAATAGTCACTGTACTCATGCCGGGCAATGTAGCAATACCCAATCTCTAAAAAATAAAAAATAAATTTAAAAAAGAAAATAAAAGTATAAATAGGGATCTGGTATCACAAGACCTTGAGTGGCAGACTAAGGTTTATGGGCTTGCCTTATACTTTGCCTCTTAAATACATCATCAAATGAAAACTATGTTTAGGAATGGTAATAGAGTAAGTATGAGGTCTAGATGCTACACAGAGGACGCTTATTTAAAAGGCCATAGTGATGTTTTCAAATGAAGGGGGGGAAATGAGAGCCTGTACCAGGTGAATGGAGAAGCACAAGTGTGGGTACAAGATTACATAATGAATTAATGAGTAACCAACAAGACTTGGTACAAGTTAGTGAAGATGAAATCAAACAAGAAGTCAAATATCTTCAACCCACACTGATTAAAAAATGTCCCATGTTCAATAAACATTGAAGTCAAAATATTACCGTCAGTTGAGTAATCTAGTTGAAGGTAGTAAAAAGAACAATGGTTTATATCGGTTCTTCAGATTGTTGTATTTCAATCATCTATAGAATTCTAAAGCCTACTAAATGGGAATAGCCTAGTTTTCAAGTTTTTTTGTTTGTTTGTTTGTTTTTTAACAAAGCAATCCTAGGGTATTCTGTGTTGTTTCCCTTGACCACAATGGAGAACCTTTGAATTAAACAGAGAGAGTGGGAAGTTGTGTGCAAAATTAATTAAGCTGGCAGCAGAATTTAGTATATAATTGGTCTTTCAATTGCTTCTTTCTAATATGTAACACATATGAGTGTTTAAAACTACTATAATTTAAAATAATTCAGCATATGTGTTTTCATATTGAAATTAAAATGGAAAATCAAGTTGTTACGGAATCTGTGAGCACTATTTGAAAACCTTTTAGCCAGTGAGAACGCCCTCATTTTCAGGCAAAACTAAGGGTCAGAGATTTTAAGTGCTCAAAGTTATAAAGCTAATAATTGAGAATCAGATACCTGGGTTTTGCCCTCCGATTACCTGCTGACATCATGTTATTTCCTTCATTAAAACAGAAGGCAAAAACTAAGGCATGTGATGATATCAATGTTAGCCAAATGTCTTGGTCTCCAATCTGTGACTTGAAAGCAAGGCAACGTTTCCCTTTAAATGCCTAAATTTCAATGACTTAAGCCCCCACCAGCTTGTATGCCAGAATATGGACTAATAAGCTATTGAGATTTTCCCAGTGTGGTGGCCCTTATGAGACTGCTCTTGAATGGGCTGAGGGGGGGTCAACACCACCTTCTCCAGGTAAGGACAGCTGCTTTCACACTCAGGTTTCAAGGGAAGAGACACTGCTCTCCCCTTACCACATAATCACCAGCATCAGACATGCCTCACTCTTAATAACACTGTCCATCAGTATTTCCTTAAAGTTCAGGAAAGATAGAAGAGAAAAGCAATGTACAGGATACCCCTCAAGTACTCCAGTGACCTACATCTAACCCCCAGCTTTCTTACAAGATGACCACCTGAACTCTCTGCACCATAAGTGGATCCACACCTCTTGTGCTAAGGTGTCATAAACAATTTCACAGTAGGACCCAAAGGGAAGCAGTTTTTCGCTCCTCCTAGTCACAAGTTCACCTCTGGAATAATCACTTCCTGCCTTAATACTGACTCCTTTAAGATGCCCCCATCTTATCCTTCTAGCCACACCACATTAGATTCCACAAGTCATCAGAGCACTCAGGCCAAGGGCTGCATATCTTAAAAACAGAGGCATCAGTAGTCAGTCCGATATATTTAGAGTGAATTCACTGCCTTTGAGGCCTCTTCTCATTTTCTTTGAGAAAGTGCTTAAAGAAGAAAATATATAAAATAGGTCAATGAGAAAAAGTTGAAAGGACAGGCAAAGGGTAATTTAAATCCATACTTAGAAGGGAAACATTTCTCTAATGAAAACTGTGAAAACAAAGCAAAAACAAAAAGAACTATTCATTTCATAAGCAACTTTTTTCTATTAATTTATAGAATGGTTGAAGTTCTTGAAGTTGCCATATCTCAAACATTTTCATTCAGAAACATGTCTATTTGTTCCTGTCACCCAGTAATGTTAATAAATATAAGTTGACTGAAAATGGTGGTTTTCCCATAACTAAAGATGGTCGTTCCCCACAACAAATTGTCTTTATTCTTAAAAGCCAAAATTCCCTATAGTTTTTTTGAAAGATTTTTTTTTCCCAGTTTCTAATTATCAAAGATTCAAATGATCTTAACTTGGGTCACCTTGTCACATAATAAGGGAAATGTACAAGTAGGAAATATTTTTAGTTTCACAGATGCAAGAATAATTAGCAATCTCCAAAGTATTTCAGCTTTAACTTCAACATTATTCTCTAACACCAAACCTTTATAAGTTTCATTTTGAAAAGTGTCAATATTAAATTATTGACATTTAAGACTCAGAAATTATTTTATACTCACTTGTGCATAGAGCTGAGCTTAGTAATTTTCAGTGGGTTTGAAACACTCCAACTTCTAATTTCATGAACTAATATAAGCCATTTCTGTATTCTGCTCCTGCTGGATTATCGTAAAGTAGTAAACAAAGGACTGGATATTAAAGAGTGAAATAAGTCACAAATTTAGTAACTAGTACCTGGTACAGATTCATTATGGTGACCCTTAATAAGGGTTTCTGAATGGATTTATGAATGAATAATGGAGATACAAAACAGCTGGTATATGAATATATGCGTGAATAATGCATGAAGAAGTAAATGACTAGTTGAGAACCTGATCTAATTAACTAATTAATGAAAAGGGATAATTTGCCAGATAGTCTTCAAACCATTGCTTTTTGATATGGGGATGCATGTTCATCATTTCACTACCATTGCAGGAAAATAAAACCACATGCATATATGAAAATCTCCTTCCTTGTAAAGCCAGTATCTGGCATAAGTATGTCAAACAGACAACCCTATATAGGGAAATAGTTACAAAAGTGTTGGATAGCCTGAGGGAGTTGAAAGGGATTGGGAACCTCAGGAACCCATCATCACTCTGAAGACTGGAGGAGCAAGAGGGAAAATGGTATTTCCAAGAAACAATGATTATCATGTTGCTATTGGATCTACCACACTATAGCTTTGTAGGAAGCCAGGAGGCCAAACTCCTGCTGATAGTGAAGAATCTCAAGAGTCCAAACTAACATCTATGTCACTGATAAATCCAGAGCCCCTGAAGGCTGTACCAGTGAGACTGCTGGAGATGGGGTGGCATTTGCTTCCACTTCTTGGAGTGTACCAGTTTCATAGGAATCTGCTATTGTCCACTGTTGCTGCTGCTGTCACCAGAGGTGCTATCCAAAGCAGAAAACAAGAGCTTCTCCTTTCTTCCTGTCTTTTAATATCCAACCAATAGGCTTCCATAGGCAAAAGCAAGCCAGACATCACCTTGCAAGGGAGTCTGGAAAATGTGACCTGAGCAAAGTAGGAACAGACAATCAACTGGCATAGACTAGCCTTGAGAGCTTAGCTTGAAAGGTGCTGTGTTTTCTTATCACAACTTCTCATCTTCTACTTGTATCTTTCCTTCTAAGATGGAACAGAATAACTCAACTCAATAGCTAAAATTCTAGCCACTTTCACTCGCTCTAGTATATATAAATCTAACATAAACATTTTCTGTAGATAGGGAGAAAGGAACATATTAGTTCTTCATGACTGCTGTGATAACAAATTACCACAAATTTGGTGACTTGAAAAAACAAAACTGTATTCTCTCACAGTTCTGGAGGCCAAGAGTCTGACATCAAGATGTTGGCAGGGCTGTCCTTCCTTCAGTGTCGCAGGGAGATAGTACTTTCTTGCCTTTTCTAGCTTCTGGTGACTGTCAGCATTCCTTGTCTTGTGTCTACATCACTCCAGTCTCTATCTCCATGGTAGCATTATCCCCTGTTCTGTCTGTCATTTCCTCCTGCCTCTCTTATAAGAACATCAATGATTGCCTTTAGGATCCACAAGGATAATCTTGAATAATCCCCCCATGTCAAGATCGTAAATCACATCTGCAAAGATCTTTTTGTCCTACAAGGCAATATTTAGAGGTTCTAGAGATTAGGACCTGATATCTTTGGGGATCATTTTTCAGTCTCCTGTAGGGAAGTATTGAAATACTCTGGCCAATAGGGAGGTAGAGGAGTGGAGACAGACAGAAGCCATATAGAGAGAAGACAGGAGCCATCACCCTTGTCAAAAGTTATGGCTCCCAGCCAGGTTCTACAAACTGTGGCAGCACAGCAGAAATTAAGTTAATCCCAAGCTGGTGAATCTCTTGGAACTTGACTGAGACACAAATGTTATTAACAAATATCAATAATATTCCATAAAAAATATCTAAACCAACAGGTCTCAACTGATCACTCATGACCCAATCATGAAGCATAATTGAGTCTGATGACAGCTCTGCAGCAGGTGGTGTATCTATTTGCAGCTTAATAAACCTTATTAATTCAGAGAATCATGAAAAATCAGACGCAGGCTGGGAAAAAGTTTACTTTGGCACTATCTAGAAAAAGGAGTTTGCTCAGTATATTAATAGAGTAAACAGGATTGAAAGAAAATAAACTGTTTTCAAGAACCTTAGCTGCTCCATTTTGCATACAAATAATATATTAATTTCAAACAGTTTTTATCTACATATTAAAGAAGGATGTCAGAGCTTTTTGCTTGGCAATGCTTCTTTGATCATTCATTCCATTTTCTACATATGATGTAATCTGGTTTCAGATGGTGTAAATGTATAAAATTCACTAAGAACAGAACTTTTTTTTCCCCTATTGGGGTTCATTGACCCTCAAGGAAAACAGTTAATCAAGCAAAATACAATCTTTTTATATTCATAGGAAAATATACACTGATAAAATAGCTTTTCTTTTAAAATTAGAAATAGAGGCATAAAAATTTATAAAAATTCAGTAAATGTAAAAAATACATACTCAATATCATAGCTGGTTTAAAGTAAGAGTCTCATGACAGAAAGAGTAAGTGGTTCAGATGAACAAAGAATGAAGGCAATAAACATGGAAATCATAAGAAAAAATCTTAAGAGGAACAGACAGAAAATTCAAGACAAAGACAGGAAGTAACAGGAAGATGTTCACATCAGAACACTCACAGACATGCCTGTGTGAAGACACAGGCTCCGTCCTCCTGCTACAATGTAAATGGCACCTGATCTTAGTCAAAACCAATCCTACGTAAGCATCCCATTCCTCTAACCAATTTGATGATGTAGCGTCTTCAATTATTCTCTCACTTTCTTGGCACAAAAGCAAGAGATGTATCTTCATCAATTGATGTCAGGACTTGAACTAGAAGCAACAATGCTCCAAATTGAAGTGTGAACCAGAAATGAAAGGGTTTTCTTTATAGGTTCTAGATTCTAATCCTGGGAGGTGGCTAGAGTTCCAATGTTGCTCAGATTAAATTCCTGTTTGTCTAGTGGATGTAGACTTGCAGCAGATTCAATTTAATTTAGAGATCAAAAGAATGTGCTATTACACATACACAGTTTTGAGCAGTAAGTGTTATACCTACTATATGAGTCCTATAATTATTATTTTTTCAATGAGCAAATTGAGCCTTAAAGCAGTTGAATGAGTTCCCCAAATGGCAGAACTAGTGGAGCCAAGTGTTTGAACCCAGTTATTTGTCTAGAAGCCTTTGCCGCTCTTTCTCCTAGGGCCCTAGTTCTCACTGCCTCTACCTCAAGCCAGATGTCTTATTATCTTGTTGCAGTTCTGCCTGATGCCTGTTATACTCAGTGGCATAGGAATTTTCTGAGTTAGGATAACCGTAAGTCACATTCTGCCTGGGAAAGTCCTAGCCTTTTTCAGAATTTGTCTTAAATTTTTCATAAGTATTTTTATCAAGAGTTGCATCAAAATAATTGGATGGTTCCATAGGCTTCCAGTTTTGTTTCCAAATTCTAACATCTTCTACACTGCCAGTGGAGAAGGTGCGTGTCCAGTGAATAGATTGCTCTTTAACATGTGATTAAAGCTGAAAGACAACCAGAGGTAACCTATCTTTTGTTTTCACCCTGTCCAGAGGCACTGTAACTAACACTTTCTTTTCAAAGACAATGCATAAGGTATTTGATGATAAAGCACATATGGACAGAAGCAGTTAAGGACAATTTAACTCTACTCTTCTTTTGCTCAGCAGCTTTTGGAGCTGCTGTGCTTGCCCACTATTTGATATACCTGTGTGTTGACCACAAACATGCACAAAGCCCCACTAAGCAATGAAATCTACAAAAAAAGTGAGAAATTACTGACTAGACTATGGCACATACTAAAAATAGAAGAGTAGTTATTTCATTGTAGAAGTTATAGATAGTCTAATGCTCTGGTTACTCTGGTTTTATCAGGTAGTATATGGTTGTATATGGTATAAATATACAACCAGTTACCTACTTTTGTTGTTTGGTAACACATTTATGTTGCAATATGCCATTTTAGCAAAATGCTTAACATGCTGTATTAGTCCATTTTCACACTACTATGAAGAACTGCCCGAGACTGGGTAATTTATAAAGGAAAGAGGTTTAATTGACTCACAGTTCAGCAAGGGCTGGGGAGGCCTCAGGAAACTTACAATCATGGAAGGTGGTGAAGGGGAAGCAAGGCACCTTCTTCGCAATGCAGCAGGAAGGAGAATGAATGCAGGAGGAACTACCAAACACTTATAAAACCATCAGATCTCATGGGAACTCACTTACTATCATGAGAACAGCATGGGGGGAAACTGCCTCCATGATGCAATTACCTCCACCTGGTCTCTCCCTTGACACGTGGGGATTACAGGGATTGTAATTCAAGATCAGATTTTGGTGGGAATACAAAGCCTAACCATGTCACATACAATGTCACATTTAATAAAAAATTAAGAACTGAAACTTACATTTTTCAAGAAAGTTAGATAATGAATGTGTAACTTAAATTGTTTTATTGACACCTATCATTCACCAAGCAAGTTACAGAGATAAATTAACCAAACAAAGTCAGGTCACATAAATTCATTCAAGAATATTTGGCATGTACTTCAAATTTAGTCATTATTCAGCTAATTGGGCCTGAAGATTATGATTCAATATATGCAGCTGCAGAAGGCGCACATGTATTACTCTGGAAAGCATGACATGCACTTAGATTAAATGACTAATCTCTATAAACTTCACTATTGGAATTGCTATATAGCACACACATAATTCAGAATTTTTCAGAATAAGCTACAACATTCTTTCAATTAAAACAGAAGTCATAGTTGGGAAATTTTAAATACGCATATATTTTAAATTGAATTTTATATGTTATATTTTTAATTAAGTTATGAATTTAATTTTAAGACATTTGTGTCATGTATACATACATACACATAGATTTACTGAACAAAATGCTTGTGATAAAGCTGAAGTTGAAGGTGAAATAATTATTGCATTGCAATACTCACTTTTTCTTCATTTTCCACCAACAGATTTTAGAAATATTTGAATTAGTAATACTCATGTACATGTCTTATAAGGGTATTGAACTTTTTTTTACCATGTCCTCTGAATTTTGGGTACATTTAATTCAAAATCATTTATAAATATTTAATTAATATATTCAACAAATAAAATGTGAAATGGTTTCAAAGAAGCAAACAAATATAAAATTTATCACTAAATTAGGAAATTCCTTATCACTAACATAGGGAATCTAGGTTTATTAAACACTGAGAGTTAAAACAGTGTCTAAGATTTAGTTTTTTCATTTTGTAATTGCATTTTATATTAATTTGGAGGAAAGCTCTTTTGTTGGAGTTTCTATTTGTAATTTGATAGTTTTTTATTGCAATGAAATGAAATAGAAAAGTTTATAATCTTACATTATGTACACAAGTAATACAGATAAATTATTTGATAAATTTTAAAAATATATACTTTACAAAAGAAGCCACTTGTGATTCAACATGTGAAGCAACAAAAAATAGTCTTTCTAAAGATATGTGAACTGAAATTTTTGCACATTTCAATTTTAAAAAAAACAGAAAAATGAAAGGATTTCTCATTTAGCAAGTTATCTCTGGGATTATACTTATGTACTAAAAACAACTATACTGCTTATGCTATATATTTGTATACATATTATAAATGGGATCTTATATTCAGAGTTTGTTTTTTAAACTTTATTTTGAAATAGATTTGCAGAAGATCTGCAAAAATAGTACAGAGTGATCATGTACATTTACCCAATGTCCTTTAATATTAACATTTCATATAACCATGGTACATTTTTTAAAAACTTACATTGGAACAATAATATTAGCTAAACTATATTCCAATTTCATCGACCTTTTTCTGTTTCAGTAACCAACCCAGGATACCATGTTGCATTTAGCCATAATGCTTCCTTAGTCTCCTTCAAGGTATGTTTCTACTTTACTTTTTATGACCTTAACGTCAGATATTTTGTAGAATATCTATCAATGTGAGGTTGTCTGTTTTTTTTTTTTTCTTCTGGTTGGCCTACAGTTAGAGACTTGGGAGAACAGCATAGAGGTGAAATGCTTCTCACTACATTTTATCAGGGCATAGATACATGATAACAACATAACTTATCACTTGTGATATTAACCCTGATCACTTAGGTAAGTTGGTATCTGTCAGGTTGTCTACTGTAAAATTATCTCTTTTTTTCCTTTCTGTACCCTATTCATTAGAAGTAAGTCACTAAATCTGGCCAACATTCAAGGAATGGGGTATTAAGTTCCACTTCCTGGAGGGAAGGGAATCAAAAATTTCATGTCTTAAAACCATTATAGTAATTAATAAATATTTGTGGGGAGATTTTTTAACTTTAAAAAACATTTTAGTGGGTAAATAGTATGTGTATACATTTATGGAGTACATAAGATGTTTTGATACAGGCATGAAATGTGAAATAAGCACACCATGGAGAACGGGGTGTCCATCCCCTGAAGCATTTATCATTTGAGTTACAAACAATCCAATTACACACTTTGAGTTACTTAAAAATGTACAATTAGGTTATTATTTTATTATTGACTATTGTCACCCTGTTGTGCTATCAAACAGTATGTGTTTTTTTTTTTTAAGATGGTGTCTTACTCTCCCACCCAAGCTGGAGTGCAGCGGTGTGATCATGACTCACTGCAGCCTCAACCTCCTGGGCTTAAGCAATCCTCCCACCTCAGCCTTCTGAGTAGCTGGGACTACAGATGCATACCACCATGCCCAGCTAATTTTTGTATTTTTTGTAGAGACGAGGTTTCACCATGTTGCCCAGGCTGGGTCTTGAACTCCTGGGCTCAAGCAACATAGCCTCCTCAGCCCCCCAAAAGTGCTGGGATTACAAGAGTGAGCCACTGTGCCCAGCCTCAAATAGTATGTCTTACTCATTATTTCTAACTATTTTTTGTACCCATTAAGCATCCCCACCCCACCCCCAGCCACCCACTAACTTTCCCAGCCTCTGGCAACCATCGTTCTACTCTCTATGTCTATGAATTGAATTGTTTTGATTTTTAGATCCTACAAATACATGAGAACAAAGATATTTTTCTTTCTGTGCCTGGCTTATTTCACTTAACATAATGATCTCCAGTTCCAAACATGTTGTTGTAAATGACTGGATCTCATTATTTTTTATGGCTGAAGAGTACTCCATTGGGTATTCGTCTATTGATGGACACTTAGATTGCTTCCAAATCTTGGCTATTGTGAACAGTACTGAAACAAATATGAGAGAGCAGATACCTTTTCAATATACTGATTTCTTTTCTTTGGGTTATACACCAATCCCTCAATGGGATTGTAGGATTGTATTGTAGCTCTACCTTTTAGTTTTTTAGAAACCTTCATACTCTTCTCCATAGTGATTGTACTAATTTACATTCCCACCAACACTGTACAAGGGTTCCCTTTTCTCCAAATCCTCACCAGCATTTGTTATTGCCTATCTTTTGGATATAAACCATTTTAACAGGGGTGAAACAATATCTCCTTGTAGTTTTTGATTTACATTCTCTAGTGATCAACGATGTTCAGCACCTTTTCATATGCCTGTTTGCCATTTGTATGTCTTCTTAAGAAATGTTTATTCAAATCTTTTGCCCATTTTTTGATAGGATCATTACATTTTTCCTATAGAGTTGTCTAAGTTCCTTGTCTATTCTGATTATTAATCTCTTGTCAGATGGGCAGTTTGGAAATATTTTCTCCCATTTTGTGGGTTGTCTCTTCACTTTGTTGATTGCATCATTTGCTGTGCAGAAGGTTTTTAACTTGATGCGATCCCATTTGTCTATTTTTGCTTTGGTTGCCTGTGCTTGTGGGGTATTACTCAAGACATGTCCTGGAGAGTTTCCCCAATGTTTTCTTGCAGTAGTTTCATAGTTTGAGGTCTTAGATTTAAGTCTTCAATCCATTTTAATTTTTGTATATGGCAAGAGATAGAGGTCAGGTTTCATTCTTTTGCATAAAGATATCCCGTTATCCAAGCACCATTTATTGAAGAGATTGTCTTCTCCGCAGTGTACTTTCTTGGCACCTTTGTTGAAAACGAGTGGGCTATAAATACATGGATTTGTTTCTGGGTTATCTATTCTGTTCCATTGGTCTATGTGTCTGTTTTTATGCCAGTTGCATGCTATTTTGGTTATGATAGCTCTGTAGTGTAATTTGAAGTCAGGTAATGTGATTCATCCAGTTTTGTTCTCTTTGCTTAGGATAGCTTTGGCTATTTTGAATCTTTTGTGGTTCCATATAACTTTTAGGATCATTTTTTTCTATTTTTCTGAAGAATGCCATTGGTATTTTGACAGTGATTGCATTGAATCTGTAAATTGCTCTGAGTAATATGGACATTTTAACAATATTGATTCTTCCAATCCATGAACATTGACTATCTTTCCATTATTTAGTGTCCTCTTCAATTTATCTCATCAGAGTTTTATAGCTTTCATTATAGAGATCTTTCACTTCTTTGGTTAATTCTTAGGTATTTAATTTTATTTGTGGTTATTGTAAATGGGATTACTTTTTCACAGTGTTCATGGTTGGCAGATAAAAATCCTACTTATTTTTGTATGTTGATCTTGTATCCTGCAATTTTACTGAATTTATTTATCAGTTCTAATGGTTTTTTTGTGTTTAGGCATTTAGGTTTTTCCAAAAATAAGATTATATCATCTGCAAACAAAGATAATTTGACTTCTTCCTTTGCAATTTGAATGCCCTTTATCTTTCTCTTGTTTGATTGCTGTAGCTAGGACTTCCAGTACTACAATGAATAACAGTGGTGACAAGGGGCATCCTTGTGTTCCAGATCTTAAAGAAAAGGCTTTCAGTAACCCCTGACTCCACTCAGTATGATACTGGCTGTGGATCTGTCATATACAGCTTCTATTATGTTGAAGTATGTTCCATCTATCTCCAGTTTTCTGAGGACTTTTATCATGAAAGGATGTTGGATTTTATCCACTGCTTTTTCAGAACCAATTGAAATGACCATATGATTTGTATCCTTCATTCTGTTGATATGCTGTATCAAACTTATTGATTTGCAGACGTTGAAGCATCCTTGCATTCCAGGGATAAATTCCACTTGGTCATGATGTATTATCTTTCTAATGCATTGTTGAATTTGGTTTGCTAGTGTTTTGTTGAGGATTTTTGCATCAATGTTCATCAGAGATATTGGCCTGTAGTTTACTTTCTTAAAATGTGTCTTTGTCTGGTTTTGGTACCAAGGTAATACTGGCCTCATAGAATGAGTTTGGAAGTATTCCCTCCTCTATTTTTCAGAATAGTTTGAATAAATTGGTATTAGCTCTTCTTCAAAAGTTTAGTAGAATTCAGAAGTGAAGCCATTGGGTCCTGGGCTTTTCTTTCCTGGAAGACTTTTTATTATGGTTTTGATCCCATTACTTGTTATTGGTCTATTTGGCTTTCGGATTTCTTCATGGTTCAATCTTGGTAGGTTGTATGTTTCTAGGAATTTGTCCATTTCTTCTAGAATTTCCAGTTTATCGGAATATATTTGCTCATAGTAGCCATTAATGATTCTTTGAATTTCTGCAGTATCAGTTGTAGTGTCTCCCTTTTCAGTTCTGATTGTATTTTTTTGTATCTTCTTTCTTTTTTTCTTAGTTATTCTGGCCAAAGGTTTGTCAATTTTGTTTATTTTCAAAAAATCAACTTTTTGTTTTATTGATCTTTTGTGATTTTTGTCATGTTAAATTCATTTATTTCTGTTCTAATCTTTATTATTTCTTTTCTTCTACTAATTTTGGATTTGGTTTACTCTTGCTTTTCTAATTCTTTAAGATGCACTATTAGATTGTTTATTTGAAATTTTTCCTCTTTTTTGATGTAAGTGCTTATAGCAAAACTTCTCTCTTAGTTTTTCTTTTTCTGTATCCTACAGGTTTTGGTATGTTGTGTTTTTATTATCATGTGTTCAAAAATTTTTTTGATTTCCTTAATTTCTTCATTGACCACTGGTTATTTGGGACCATATTGTTTAATTTCTATGTATTTGTATATTTTCCAAAATTCATCTTGTTATTAATTTCTAATTTTATTCCATTGTGGTCAAAGAAGATGCTTGATATTATTTTTATTTTTTGAATATTTGAAGACTTATTTTGTGACCTAACACATGGTCTAACCTTAAGAAAGATCTATGTGCTGAGAAAAATAAAGTATATTCTGCAGCCATTGGATGAAACGGTCTGTACGTATCTATTAGATCCATTTGATGTACAGTGCAGATTAAGTCTGATTTTTTGATTTTCTGTCTGAAGATCCGTCTAATGTTGAAAGTGGGGTGTTGAAGTCTCCGGCTATTATTTATTGGGGCGCATCACTTTCTCTTTAGCTCTAACAATATTTCCTTTATATATCTGGATACTCCAGTTTTGGGGTACATATATTCTTAAAATTGTTACATCCTCTTGCTAAATTGACCTCTTTATCATTATATAGTGACTTTCTTTGTCCCTTCTTATAGTTTTTGTTTTGAAATAAATTTTGTCTTATACAAGTATAGTGACTTCTGCTCTTTTTTTGGTTCGCATTGTCATGGAATATCTTTTTCCATAGCTTTATTTTCAGTCTACGTGTGTTTTTATAGGTAAAGCATGTTTCTTGTAGGCAACAGATAAATAGTTCTTGTTTTTTCATCCATTCAGCCATTTTATGTCTTCTGATTGGAAAGTTTAGTACATTTACTTTCAATGTTATTATTGACATGTAAGGACTTACTCCTGCTATTTTTAAAATTTGTTTTCTGGTTGTTTTGTGGTCTTCTCTTCCTTGTTTTTTTCCCTGCCTGTCTTCCTTTAGGTAATTTTCTCTGGTGATATAATTTAGGTTTTTTTTGCTTTTTATTTTTTGCATATGGTATATTTTTTGTTTGATGTTACTAAGAGGCTTGCAAATACTATCTTATAACCCATTATATTAACCTGATAACAACTTAACACTATTTGCATGAACAAACAAGCAAAAAGAAAACTATTAAAAAAATCTACACCTTAACTTCATCTCCTACTTTTTAACTTTTTGTTGTTTCTGTTTATATCTTTTTGTACTATATCTTAAAAAGTTGTTGATTGATATTTTTGATTGGTTCATTGTATAGTCATTCTAGTTAGGATAAGAGTAGTTTACACACAACAGTTACAGTGTTATAATAGTTTAATAATATATAAAATATATAATTATATAATAATAGTTTTCCTGTGTATTTAATATTACCAGCGAGTTTTGTACACTCAGGTGATTACTTTTTGCTCATTAATGTCCTTTTCCTTCTGACTGAAGTACTCCCTTTAGTGTTTCTTGTAGGACAGGTCTGATGTTAATAAAATCAGTCAATTTTGTTTGTTTGGGAAAGTCTTTATTTCTCCTTCATGTTTGAAGGATATTTTCACCAGATGTACCATTCTGGGGTATACATTTTTTCCTTCAGCACTTTAAATATGTCATGTCACTCTCTCCTGGCATCTAAGGTTTCCATGGAAGAGTCTGCTGCCAGAGGTATTGGAGTACCATTGTATGTTGTTTCTTTCCTATTGTTGCTTTTAGGATTCTTTCTTTATTGTTGACCTTTAGGAGTTTAATTATTAAATGCTGTGAGGTAGTCTTCTTTGGATCAAATCTTCTTGGTGTTCTATAACATTCCTGTATTTAAATATTGATATCTTCCTCTAGGATTGGGAAGTTCTCTGTTATTATCCCTTTGAATAAATTTCTACCCTTATCTCTTTCTCTAACTCCTCTTTAAGGCCAAGAACTCTTAGATCTGGTCTTTTGAGGCTATTTTGTACGTCGTATAGGAGTGCTGCATTGTTTTAAGTCCTTTTTTTTTCATTTCCTTGATCAATTCTGCTACTAAAAGACTCTGACACATTCTTCAGTATGCCAATTGCATTTTCAGCTCTGGAATTTTGGTGTAATTTTTTTTTAATTTCAATCTCTATTAAGTTAATCTGATAGAATTCTGAATTCTTTCTCTGTGTTATCTTGAATTTCTTTGAGTTTCCTCAACACAGTTATTTTGAATTCTCTGTCTGAAAGTTCACATATCTCTGTTTCCAGAATTGGTCCCTGGTGCCTTATTTAGTTCACTCGGTGAGGTTATGTTTTCCTGGATGGTGTTTATGCTAATAGGTGTTCTTCTGTGTCTGGGGTTTGAAGAGTTATTTATCATCATCTTCGCTATATGTGCTTCTTTGTACTTGTCCTTCTTGGGAAGACTTTCCAGATATTTGAAAGGACTTGTGTGTTGTGATCTAATCTATATCTGCTTTAAGGGGTACCCCAAGCCCAGTAATGCTGTAGTTCTTGCAGACCTGTAGAGGTACTGCCTTGATGGTCTTGGACAAGATCTGAGAGAATTCTCTGGACTACCAGGCAGAGACTCTTGTTCTCTCATCTACTTCCTCCCAAACAAAGTAAGTCTCTCTCTTTATTCTGAGCCACCTAAAGATGGGGGTAGAATGACACAAGCACCCCTGTGGCCACCACCACGATGACTACACTGGGTCAGACCTAAAGCCAGCACAGCTGTAACCACTTATACACACAAGTCCTGCTGTAACCACCCCCTGGCTACTGTCTGTGTTTTCTCAAGGCCCTGGGCTCTACAATCAGCTGATGGCAAAGCCAGCCAGGCCTGTGTTCTTTCCTTCAGCAGGGTGAGGTCCTCCAGGCCCCAGGTGGGTCCAAAGGTGCCGTCTGGGTGTCAAGATCTAGAGTCAAAAACTTTGGAAGTCTACCTGGCTCTCAAACCACTCTTCCCTCCCCTTTCCAAATTCAGAGGAGCCTCACTCCTTAGCCACTGCCACCCCAGTCCATGAGGAGTATTGCTAGATTACTGCTGATAATCCCTTAAGGCCCAAGGACTCTTAAGTCAGCTCGTGGTGAATACTTCCTGGCTTGTGACTCATCCTTGAGGTCAATTAGCTTGTGGGGAGATATTTTAAGGCTATGCAAATGTTCTGTTTCTCTTAAAAGTTTTACCTACTGGTTTTAGCACTCAGTAATAGATCCTGCCCAAAGCAAGAGTTACTGTTGTTTATACTTTAAATAATTTGCTTTCTTCATTCCTTCCTTCTGTATTTGTTATTGACATTCTACTTTAAGGAAAATTTGTCCTTTATTCTCAATTTATTTATTCAGTCATTTATTTTTATCAGTATGGACTCATGGATATTTACTTTATTGCCCATGTTATAATCCAATACTATCATTATTTGGTTTCGCAAATTATTCCCACTTTGGCCCTTAGAAGATCTTTCAGTTTGGCTCCTATGTTTTTTGACATCTCTATTTTTTTTCCTCAGAATATTCTGTCTTTGTGGCTCTACAATATATTTCAAGCTCCATAATGCCTCATTTTCACAATCCATTCTTACTGAACTCATCTTGTAATTTCTTTAACCCACTGCTAAAATTAAAGCGGCATCGTTCATCTGGGGCAATACCCAAGGTTCGTTGCCTACGCCAAGGATATCAAGGATGCAGGCACACAAGGTGTAAGTTTAAGAGCAGAGGTTTAATAGGCGAGAGAAAGAGAAAAGCTGTCTCTCCTGCAGAGAGAGGGGGGCTCCCAAGTGGGTCTTCTGGTTTTGTGGTGAAATGCACAGGGTTTTTATACACGAGCTTGAGGAGGCAGTGTCTGATTTACACAGGGCCCAAAAGATTGGTCAGACCAGGTTTGCCATTTACGTAGCACATGAAGAAGCTGGCCACCCCATCCTAATCTTTTATTATGCAGATGGGTTCTCTACCTGGCTGGTGCCATGTTTCCTGTTCCTTTATTGTACACATGGTTGACAAAGAAAAGGTAAGATGGAGCCTCCATATTGAACATGTCTGGCCCCAGGTAGCTTTTTCCTATTGGCACAGCTGCCGGCGTTCACCTGTGCAAGCTTCTAGCTTGCTTTTCTATGTCTGCATCTTGATTTTTCAGGCTATTCTTTGTTAGAAAAGAAAAATTATTTGGGGGCTACTTTTTATTAAAAGGGAAACCTTGCTGAGGGCTCTCTTACCCTTACTAACTGCCTAAATAATTTCTTTCTAGCTCCTGTTTCAGAATCATTCATTTATTCAAAGACCTCAATTCTTTCTATTGGAGAATGGTATTTAGAACCCAAGATATTGACATGAGGTATGTATGTTGCCACTGGATGTCATTGATTCTAGGCCATCTCAACAGAAAGAGTTAAGATGTATGTATATATGACAACCAATGTATGCATATATTTCTATAATTATTTTTGTATGTATCAATCTACATTTAAAATTAACATGTATTCATATTATTCTAGCACTTATTTTAAATTTAATGTTCAGATCAATATAAATAATATTTTCTTTAATATACATTGATGTTTTATTTCTATTTCTATAAACAATTGTATTTTTAAAGATAGTTTATGATTAGAACTATTTTTAATCTACTTATTTGAGAACTGATTTATTTCTTAATAACTACATCTTTCAAAAACATGCAATTATAATTATTATACCATTCCTTTCACCCTTAAATGTCTTAATCTGGATAATAAACTACATAGTAACCCCAAATGAGTTAATCTGAGCTCAGTACGCTCTTTGAATACTGTTATTTAGATCATAGCCTCTCAAGCCTTAATGTTGCTACAAATCATCTGAGGATGCTGTTAAACTGCAGACTGATTCAGTAGGAGTGGGGAGGGGCCTGAGAGTCTGCATTTTTATGCGGCTCCCAGGTGATACCAATGCTGCAGATGCACAGACCACACTTTGAGTGGTAAGACTGAAGACTACATAGTTGTCATTGTGTGAGCTCTTTTTTTTTTTTTTTTTTTTTGAGATGGAGTCTTGCTCTGTCAGCAGGCTGGAGTGCAGTGGCATGATCTCAGCTCACTGCAACCTCCACTTCCCAGGTTCAAGCAATTCTCCTGCCTCAGCCCCCGAGTAGCTGGGATTACAGGCGCATGCCACCACGCCCAGCTAATTTTTCTATTTTTACTAGAGATGGGGTTTCACCATATTGGTCAGGCTGGTCTCGATCTCGTGACCTCATGATCTACCCGCCTTGGCCTCCCAAAGTGCTGGGATTACAGGCATGAGCCACCGTGCCCGGCCCATTGTGTGAGCTTTCTATGCAGTTGTTCTGTGTCCTCAATCCTATAGTGCTGGTTCCTTCCTTTATTCCAGAGTCCAAATGCCTCATTTCAAAACCCATTTCTACTGAACTCAGTAACCTTTAAAGTTCCATTCAAATCTGTAGCTCTTTTTTACATTTCTACACCTATTTCAGTTTAGAGGCTTTGTCTATCATACACACAAGGTAAGTTTACATCAGTTAGTAAATTAGACTAGCTGTATTTGACAAGTGGGAATGGGAAAATGTCCTTTTCCACCTCTTTTCATTCTTTAGTAGTTTGGTGAATAGAGCAGACCTTATAACATATTATTTGCCAGACTATATTCAGGTCTCACTTATACACAATAGCTACCTCACTGTGAACTTTCTCATTTTCAATTTTCTATTTATTTTGATTTTTTTAACCCAACGAAAACACTTGTGGAGTCTATTACAAAATTGGTGGGTTCACACTGTGATCAGAGACAAATGCTTAAGGGAATAGTGGAGCCATTCTATGATTTATGACCATTCCTGGTAGGGGGTAGGGTGGGAGTGTGGGGAGAGAAGGTGAGAGTGGGGAAGGAATAGAATAAATATAAAAAGAGTATTGCAGTCTGGTGGCCATCTGTGCTAACTGCATGCTGCATATCTCAAACAGAAATAGACAGGATATCAGCAAATATTATTAGTTGTTTTTAATTTTGTGCTCTTCAAAATTATTTGTGTTACATCCATTCATTCATTTACTCATCCATCATGATTGCACTATAGTTCTGAATTCTTACTCTGACATAGACTTATGATGGGCACTGGGGACCACATATTAAGAGACAGTCTCTGTCTTTGATTGGCTTTAGGTAGAGAAGTGTGGAATGAAAAGCACACAGGTGAATACAAAACATTATGATAAATGCTACATTGTGGCTCAGAGTACTGGAGGCACATAAGCAAGCACCTTATCTAGTCTTGGGGATCCTGGAAGTTTCCTACAGGCAACAGGCTCTAATTTGAGGTGTAATATGAATAGGAGTAATTCAGGTAAAGAAAAGCAAGGACAAAAGGCAAAGAGGAGGCAGCAGGTGGAAATGTGGTATTTTTAGAACACTCTAAGAAAAGAGATTACAATATGCAAAACCCAAATGTTGAGAATACAACTTCTCCCAATTTTTCCTTCTCCCGGACTCCCCATTTTAGTGATGTCAGCACCACCCACTTGGTTACACTGTCCACAAATTAGGAGTAATCCTTGCCTTCTCCCACTCACTCATTCTGCTGTTTCACACTAGACAATCACTCAGTCCTGTCAGTTCTTCCTTCTAGCTACATCTTAAATGCATTTTCTAGTCTCCATTCATGAGGCCGCTGAAATATTACATTGTCCGACATTATGGACAATTATCGCTTACCTAGATTACTACAAGAGTCTCCAAAATGATATTCTTAGTTCCAGCTTCAAACATCTTTCAGGTTGAAAAACTTTTATTTTCACTATAGTGATCTTTCCAAAGATAAAACACAACTCCTGTCGCTCCATTCTTAAATCCTCCAGTGGCTCCTCATTGCCTTCAGGATCAAGTACAAATTCCTTAACATGATTAACAAGGCCTTAAGTCACTGGGCTCCTGCCTACCTCTCCACCTTGCTGATCCAATACTTAACACATTTCATGTACAGTATATTTTTTGGTCACCTAGATATGACAGTCACTATACAAGGCACTCTAAATAAAATGATGAATAAGATAAACAGTCTCGCTTATATTCCGTCAAAGGAGACTTTTAAACAAATCATCAAGTTATTAGCAACTGTTGTAAGAACACTTTTCCATCATCACTTTTATGATGCGAGTACCCTAGACATTCTAAACATAGTATTTGGCATTTTGGGGGGGCTTCACCTATTTTGGAGTAGAAATTTTTCCAGATATTCATTTTTAAAGAAGATTATTATTTTAATAAAAGACATTGCCACTCTATTAGTTACACTAATGCTAGCTACTGTATCAGATGAAGCGTGAAATTTCAGTAGTTTAAGACAGTGGAACTTATTTCTAACCCTCAATATGTTCCTTAAGCAAGAGAAACAAAGCAATTGTTCAGGTATTCAAGCTGTTGGAAGTTCTTTCCTTATTAGTTCAGGATTTCTAAGTTCCCTCAACACTGACATCTTGTTGACAATCAGGGAAAGAGAGGAGGACTTGAAGGTAGGTTTCAAAAGACCAGACCTGGAAACAACATATATCCCTTCTGACCACATTCCATTGACTAGAATTCTTTCACATAGTGTTGCCCAAGTGAAGGGGACTTGGGGGAAGTATAGAATAGATCTGAGCCCAGAGACAGAAGGAAGAGAGTTCAAGGAACTAATAGCTGGTGTTTACCACACTCACAAAAATATACAAATGAATGAAAATGGTTATGACCCACCCATGACTGCAGTGGGTTCACTGTCATCTGATGTGATCTATACCACCTGTTCCTATGTGACTGAGAGGACCACTGGCCATCCATAGCCTGGGAGGTTACATCATCACTTTGCACCTCACACTCTAGTGAGTTTTTCTTCAATTATCATAAATGTATAGGCAGATAATAAATCTAAATATCTTTTAAAAATAATTCTGCTTTTAGGTGCTTATGGTGTTAAGACTAAAACAGAGTTACTAGTACGCTAGTCACTGTGGAAACCTTCCCTCCTGTGCCTGTCTTTCCCCCTTCCCTGCCTGTTCTCTAGCAACCTGGCATTTGGTAAATCTTAGTTGTCTTTTAGATCTTAGCTAAAAATTACTTTTAATATTATGTTCTCAAAGACCTCCGTAAATCTGGTTAAGAGTTTTTTCCATAACTTCTAGAAGCAATTCATGATTTCTATGTATGTATACTTATGAAAATGCATGAATTAATGCCTGGTTAATTCTTATATCCTTGGAACTTAGCACAAGACCATAATGGGTAATACATACTTATGGACTGAATTGATTGGCATTTTTCAATAATGGCTGGCATGCAGGACTTGAAGTGAGATAAATGTAGAAGTCATTATAAAAAAATAATAAGTCATTATCCTGAAAATAACCTATCACAGTAGTTCTCAAAGCGTGGTCACAGGCCCAGCAACATCAGAATCCCTTGGGATCTTTTTAGAAATGCATATTCCCAGGCCCTGCCCCAGACAATTCTGAATTAGAATCTATGAGGTTTAGAGCCCAGAAATCTGTCTTTTACCAAGACCTCCAAGTAATTCTGATCCATATTACAGTTTGAGAACCACTAGGAGTGTAGATAAATCTGAAAGAAGTTTCAAAAAAAAAAGAAAAACAAAGAAAGGAAGAAAGAAAGAAAGAAAATGGCAACACTGATAATCTAATAATAACAGCTGCTATTCCTGAAGTACTGATGTCAAGGAGTTGACCTTAGGAGTTGTGACACTAAAATGGTCTTGTGACTCGAATAATCCAATTACATGTGGCTTAACTATAAGCATAGTAGTAACATATGGGAAGAATGTCATGAGAATTCAGAAGATAATAAAGTAGTAAATAAATAGTAAATAGAGTGATATAATTGAGACAAGCAGTACAACCACTTGACTAGGAATTACTAACTGACACAAGTAATAACTTGAACTATAAGTAATGTGTAAATTGAGACCAACGTACCAAACCCCTTTAGAAGGCTTTGCCACAACATCAGTATGAAAAAGCCAAGCCTGTCAATCAGAGTTGCATCCTAGCCCATATTCCTCTGATTCCTAAGAGATCTCAACAAGCTGAGGAGTTGGTTCTAAACAATCCTTGAAAAAGTAATGCCCCAATATTGTTTAGGATGACATAAAGGTTTAGAATTGATATGTGAAGTGTGTGACTTTGGCTTAAAATATATATTTGACTTTTAAATTTAGATTTCTGACTTTAAGTTGAATTTGTACTATGTTTGTGAACAGTGTCAAAATATTACAAGAACTTCAGGTTTGTCATATTTTATATGTTTAATTTATTAGATTTATCAAACTTATATACATATTTAGGAGTGTTTGTCAATGTGAAACTAAAAACTTTAAAAATATGTAAATACATTAGGTTTGTTGGTGAAATGTAAAAGTTTCTGAATGTTTATCTAAGTTGTAAATGAAACCAATATTTCAATGTCCCTTAGAAGTGATTAATAAATTTGTTACATAAATAAATATAATGAGTCATAAATTAAACTTAAAAGCTTTAGAAAAACTAATTTTTAAAATTTACAACTTTAAACCCTAAGTAACTTCATAACTATCTTCTCTGTGTATAAAAATGTTCTTGAGAACATTGTACAGAAAGGAATTCACATTTAACACAAAGGGCTTTAGGTGAATTGACTCATTTAATCCAACCTCCTACTGTGAGGTAGGCAATGTTTTTACCCTTCTTTTATCATGAGCAACAGGTTAAATAAAATGCCCAATCATACAGCTTGGGAGAGGCAGAGCTAGGATTCAAACCCAGCACATGGGATTCTAAAGCCCATCTTCTGATTGCTCCATGCTGCTCCCTCCTCCTGTAGTACTGTTTGGAGCCGAAGGGAGAGAGAGACAATGAGGCTTGAGGGAAGTATTCAACTGTGGCTTGGATAGAATCCTGCTGAAGAGAATATGAGTCATATTATTCTATTTCTATACCTAACAAATTTATTTATCACTTCTAAGGGACATTGCAATATTGGTTTTATTTAAAACTTAGATAAACATTCAGCAACTTTTACATCTTATCAACAAACCTAATGTATTTTTATCTTTTTAAAGTTCTGCAGTTTCACATTGCCAAGTACACATTCGTAAATATATATGAATGAGACTGGGAAGACACCTGAATTTTGCTTCCTTTCTCATCTCCCACTGGCACCCACTCTCACTCATCTTCACTCTTCTGGTTACTCTAAGGAAGGATCTCAATGAAAGGACCTTTAAGATGGTGGATGGATTCCCAATTGGGTATCTTTGCTGGGGAGATGGAGAGTTGGAATCCATACTTGACTACATTTTGACCATAACTCTTTTCCTATATTTGAGCCTCTGCTTTCTGGCCATGATCAGCCAATCTGTCTCTTCCATGACCCTGATACTTAATGCCACCTATTTGCTATTTGCTACTTCTTTTTCATTTTGCTCTTATCGGTAACACATTTATTCAAGAAGTGAATCTCCAGTACATACTTAATTTCAGGGTCTGAGCTGGGAACATAAATTCCAAGAGGTAAGATAGTATAGAAACAATAATAATTTCAACAGTGAAGCACGTGGGAATCCTCACTCCTAAGGAAGGTATGAGTAGGTTTTTGACAGATGAAGAAGGTAGGTAAGAATGTTCCAGGAAGAGAAAACACATATTAATAGGCTTGGAACCAGAGGGAGTTTGACTCTTTAAAGGAATTGAAAGAAGTAATGAAAGTTGTTTTTGGAACAAGAAAAGGAAACTGGTCCCAAATGAGCCTGTGTAGTTACTGTGCCAAGTATTGACATTATCACACAATCAGTATGATAGAGAAATATTGTTCAAGGGATCTTGTGTGTTGTGAGTTGACCAAAGAACACCAAAGTCATCAGGCAGGAGACCCAAGAGTGTTTTAAGACAGTTAGACCTATGTCTCTACAAGTAAAAATCTGCTAGCGGAAATGAGGAGAAGTGATTGTTGAGAGTTCATCTTTGTTCAGTTCACCGGACAGTGAATTCATTGAATCTACTTATAGAATTTATATCCTGAGACAAAAGAGTGAAGGAATCCTGGCCTTGAAAGACTTCTTGTCATAAACACACATATTTATACAACAAATATACAGTTGGCCCTTGTCTGTCGAGGATTTGTTCCAAGTCATTGATATAAAATGGCATAGTATTGGTGTATAATCTAAGCACATCCTCCTGTATACTTTGAATCATCTCTATGTTACTTATAATTCATAATACAATGTAAATGTTATGTAAATAGTTGTCATACTGTATTGTTTTTAAAATTTGTATTATTTTAATAGTTACATTGTTATTTTTTATTGGTTTTTATTTTTCCAAATATTTTTGACCCACATTTGGTGGAATCCACAGACACGTAATCCATGGAGATGTAGGACTCACTGTATATATGTGTGTGTGTATGTTTATAATATATATTCTGTATATCTGGCACATATGTGTATATATAATATATATTAGTATATATATTTGATATATATTTACTATATGTGACAAATATTATACACACATACACATATATTCAAAGATAATGAATATGAAGGGATCCTGGCCCTTAGGACCTACAGTTTAGTTTAGCTCTATATTTGTGTATATATGTACATGTATTTAGTATATATGTGACATATATGTACACAGTATATGTATCTGCATTAATATATTTATGCATATCTGTATCTTTATGTGTGTGTATATATGTATATTTGTTCTACTACAGTGTGTATATATACGTGTGTGTATATAAGTGTATATATATGTGTGTATATATATATATACACACACACTGTAGTAGAACAAATCATGGGCCAGTAATTAACTGGAGAGAGGATGAGAGGCCTATGAGCCGCCTCATAAAGAAAGAAAGCTGTTTCCCAATGGTCAAGAAAAGAAGGGAAATGCTCTCTGTGTTGTCAATGAAACATATCCCATAGCCTCATGACCCTGGGAACATGTTTGAATTTTACAATAAAGTTTCTGTCTTTAAGTAGATCAGAAAAGTCAGGAGGACTGACCCAAGGAGAACTCTATAGCTCTAAAGACCTAAACTACAGCAAGCTTGGCTAACATCTGTAATAGAATATCTACCAACACAGCCAGAGGCAACTGCGCTGGAAATAAGAAGGCTTACAACACCTTTATTACAAGAAAGGCCTTATTTTGCACAAAATTGTTATGACTATAATAAAAGAGAATGAGAGAGGCTTGTCTGAGAACATCACTCTCTTCTCAGTACCTCACTGAGAAATGTGAGTAATGACAGAGTTGCCACCACTTGAAAGCTGATTTGGAAATGGAAGGGCTTACTTATCTCAGGCCCCATGACTCATGGAAGAATCACTGAAATCTATTTCTCTTAATATTTTCCAAAGAGAATTACTGATCAAAGTTGTTTTCTTCCCAGAGGTCTGTTCCTTCTAGCACAGGGATGAGGCATATCTCTGGGACACCCAGAAGACATTTATAGTCACTTCCCAAGTGGCTCTTGTTCTCTGGATTAAAAATGAAAATTATCTCTCGACTGTCAATGTAACATCTTCCAGCAGCATGAAATTCTGTCAAACAGAAATTGAAGCTGAATAAAAAGAAGATACACACTCAGGATTATACCTATTGTGAAGCAGCAGTGCTCTGCACTGACGATTCTACTCCCTAATAGTAGATTTAGGGAAATAGAGACATACTGGTTTTCTAAACGCCCCTGTACAGTTTGCCATGGGAAGTAGCAGTGATTGAACAGCCTGACAAACACTGTCAGCATATGCAATGAGCCAACTATACTGCACTCCAGGGCAGGATTACAAAGGGTTTGTGTGCATTTTGGGGGGTAATCAGTTATCAAAATTCCATTTGTAATTTATGTTTGCATGAAAATGCAGTTTTTAACCATTGCTAGGATTTGAGGAGCAAATGTAACCTGTTTTCATTTTGTCAAACTCCAGGGAAATTCAGCATGTCAGCTCAGAAATAATGCACATCTACATTATTGGATGGCTGGTTTCTCAGAATAAATAACTACCATTTATAGGAGCCATATTTATAGAACATGTCTGGTACATGCACGCAAAGCTGCTTATTACCCATCAGGTTCCATTCTAAATTGACACATACCTACATTCAGGTCAAAGAAAAGAAAGGCAAATGAATAAGAGGTCAATTTCAAATCTTTCAATTTTGATGTCAGCAACCCCTAAGAGACAGACTTTTTAAGAATATCCGAGGGGGAAATTCTACAGCGCTCCAGCCAGATGACTTGAATCTGAAAATTTTCTTATTCTTGGAATAGCAAGGACGTGGTTAAGATAAGAAGGAGAGAAGGCATGGGAGACAGAAACAATATATCATATTAAATGGTTACATGTCAGAATGTATGATCTAAAATGGCAGGTGTGGAGTAAAATGAAACTTTCAATAATTTGAAAACAAGTTCCAAACTATTATACAATCGTTACAATTAGGCAGCATCCTTAATCCTTATATAAAGAATACTCTAATATTTATTTTGAGCCTGTGATCCCATACATGTTTCTGGAGGAAAGAGACATAATTTTACAAGATTTGAAAAGAGGTCTGTGTATGAAAGTTCAAAATCCATTGATACTATCTGTTAGAAGATTTGAGAAACTTAAAACCCCTTTTGTGGAATGCAGCAGAGGTGATACCCTAGTCCCTGAATTTCAACTCAGTGTTTTTCAAATGTTTTTACCCATGACCAATGGTAAGAAAAATATTTTACCTTGAGACCTCTCTCTCATATCTAAAAAAAATAGTTTTATAGTATAGTTGGTACCCTTATTGTTAGATGCACTCTGATATTTTCTATTATATTCCAGGCAATTCTATTTCATTTATAAAGTGCTATTCATAATCCACTAAATTGATTCTATGATCCATTTATGGGCTGGATTCTGCAGTTTGGAAAACACTGTTTTAGCTGACCAAAAGGTGACAAGTGCAAAGGAAAAAAAATGAGGTAATGCACAGTTTCAATAGACAAAGTGAGTCCTACTTTAAGCATTGACAAAGGTTAGAGTCAAAAAGAGGGACAGTTGGCATTAAGAAAACTGACATAAGAGGAATTGGAAGGAAGAGGATAAGAATGTCCTGGTGAGATGGAGGGAACATTGAAAACTGTGTCTAGACTAAATGATCAGAAATGTCCTGTTAATTCAGAGGAAAAAGCTATTAATTCATTACACAAAATAAAAGACAATTTTAATAACTTTTCAGTATCTGGATTTGTTGTTTTACAGGCAGAGCCAAAGATGTGCTGTTTGATTGCTAAGAGAGCTCTCACCCTCTGTGGAAAGAAAGGAAGAGGCAGGAGAAGAAAAAGATTTAGAGAAAATATTGATAACTTTACTTTTGGCTTCTGACAATATCTACCTTTCTGGGAGCTTCAATTTTTCCTAAAGCTTTCATACTTTAAGCCTCCAAGGACGATAAACAATATTTCAATAACTAAACTAAAACCAAGGACAATAAATAATATTTCAATAACTAAACAAATGTGACTTTTAGTGTATCTTCTTAATAAGAAGGTTTAGTTTAGAAGGGTAACTGCCAAATTGGATGGACAAATTACTCATGTATTTTTTTCTTCAAAATTAATAGGAATGACTATAGGTCAAGACTAGCTTGAAGGGAGACACGGTTATTCAAGTTGAAAATCTTTCTCAAGGTGGCATCAAGTGCCTTGGAACAATTCAATTAACTAATCACAGATGGTTGCCAGATATGCAGTCTACAACTTTCATTTCACTAACAAATGTCACCGTTAAGAAAATCTGAACTTTGGGAAATTGGGGACGATTCCATGTGAAGGATAACTTCTGTTCTTGTCGTGATTTTATAGGAACCAGATAAGGAAGAACAGTGTCACATGAGGGAAAACTTCCTAGCAGTTGGAGATGCCCAACAATGAGTGATCACATTGTTTTAAAAGTGAGACTCCCATTGCTGATCACCCTGGAGATTTCTGCATGGGGGCACCCTGAACTTGAAAATCTCTGAAGTGCCTCGCAAGATTCAGGGCACTAAGGTCCAAAGGAGTGAAGATTGGCAAACTGATAATAACTCCCCAAATCTATTACACTGACATGTATCATCAAATTAATAAATTCCATAAAAATACTCTACAGTGTCTAGCTCTCTAGCTCTTCTCTAATCAGAGTGCAATCTGATTTTTTTTTCATACTCTGGAATTGCCTAGTGATATGATAGGAATGTTTGCTATTGTGCCAGTGGTTCTTATTGATTTTTGAGTAATATAATTCTTTGATAAACTGAATAAAATTTCTTCAGAAATGTGGACATGTATACAATCACATGATTGCAAGCAATTAGAGGATTCAGAAACCCTGTGATAAATCCGTAGAGATCTAGAACATAAACCAAGGTTGTGAGACAGCTTGCAGTATTTGATCTAGGATGAAAACCCAGCTTTTCTACTATTTTAACTGCATAACAACTAATAACACACTTGAGACTCTCAGGGAGAAGGGGTAATAGTATTTGGAAATGTTCCCTGTAGCTGTCATTACATCCTACTGGCCCACATAATTTGCTTTTCACAGTTAAAAACATGCAGGTCAAATTTAATCTAACTGCCAAGAAAATCCTCTCCGTATATTTCTCTCCATGTATGTTTTCTTTATTTTAAGTTAAAATTTTTGACAGAAAATGTTTCTTTAACCCAAGCCAATTTATATTAGCCCAAGGTAGGTGCCTCTGGTGGGATCCAAAGTAGTTTTTGATAGGAAGATGAGCAAGTAAATGATTTTGATATCTCTGTAATGAGGAATAAAGTGATTATTAGTTATCCAATAAATCATGCCCAAGAAGCTCCATTACGTTTTGTTAAAGTCTTCAGAATATTTTTTCCTGAAGGAAGCAGAAGACAAAGTACTGCTTAGAGAACTTTGGGCTTGGTAGTTCAAGATAAAAATGTCCATCAGATATAGTATACATAGTTGCCTTTCTTTCTTACTAAGAGCAGAAACCCTTTCCATGACATCGTCTGATCCTGTATCACAGAAGAGGTGTTTGGATTGAGTAATCCCTGACCAAAGATAGCAGCTCCATTTACCTTGGATTCCAGAGACAATAAATTTCCATCCTCACCTCCCCAATAGTGGACTGGTTTTGATATTGCATCTACACAGTACCATTATGAGTATGATATGGTGTGGCTCTGTGTCTCCACCCAAATCTCATGTTTAATTGTAATTTCCAATGTTGCCAGGGGTACCTGGTGGGAGATGTGGGGGAGATCTGGATCATGGGGACAGATATCCCCCTTGCTGTTCTCATAGTAGTGAATGAGTTCTCATGAGATCTGATGGTTTAAAAGTGTGTGGCACTTCCCTCTTCACTCTCTCTCTCTCTGTCTCCCACTCTGCCATGTGAAGAAAATGTTTGCTTCCCCTTTGGCCATGATTGTAAGTTCCTGAGGCCTCCCCAACCATGCTTCCTGTACATCCCATGGAAGTCTGAGTCAATTAAGCCTCTTTTCTTCATAAATTACCCAGTCTCGGGTAGTTCTTTGTAGCAATGTGAGAATGGGCTAGTACAAGGTGTGGTTCCCATTCTTCACTATCAGTAATCAACACTCACAGTAAAAACCTTGTGCTAGTCTGAATAAGTCCACTCTCACACTGCTATAAAGACATACTAGAGATCAGAAAATTTATAAAGAAAAGCAGTTTAATCAACTGATGGTTGTGTGGGCTGTACAGTCTTCTGCTTCTGGGAGACTTCAGGAAACTTACAATCATGGCAGAAGGTGAAAGGGAAGCTGGAATATCTTCACATGGCCAGCAGGAGAGAGAGAAAGAGAGAAGGAGGAGTTGCTATACACTTTCAAACAACCAGTTCTCATGAGAACTCTATCAAGAGAACAGAAAGGGGGAAGTCTGCTTCCATGATTCAATTGCCTCCCACCAGGCCCCTCCTCCAACACTGGGAATTACAATTTGACATGAGACTTGGGTGGGGACACAGAGCCAAACTACATCATAGCCTTAAAACCTGAATTAGTAGATCCAGGTAGATCCAAACACGAAAATTCCTTTGAGACTTTTTAAGACAACTTTATAAGTTTCTACCTAAAAAGAAGCAGCAAAAGAGAGAAAGTGTGTCAATGCCCTTCCTCACTGTCTGGACCTGTTAATATTTAGGAATCTTGAGACCCCTATATTCATGATAGTATATAGGCATATACCATATATGTATATTATATTGATATATAAAAGTATAGATAATAAAAAAATTAAATCACTTGTTTTTTCATGTTGCATACCCAATAGCATCAGCTAAGTTTAGCACAAAGCCCCTTTACTTACTTATAAATTTTGACCTTTAAAGAGTATATCTACCATAATAAAAAAAGAAATACTAAAACAACGAATAAAGCGTTTTCTTGTCCCTACTACTAGAAAATTGTTTTAGTGGAAAGTGATGAACAAGTAAGTTCATAGTAACCATTTGCCATTTAATTGTGATCTTTTTTGCAAACATACCTATCAATACCAAGAAATAAATATGCTTAGCATAATTTACATGGTTTCTTTCTCAAAGCGAGATGCAGAGCTGAGTCAGAAGCATTTCCATTATACCAAGTGAAGTTCACTTAAAGGAATATAATGGCCATAACCCTGGTAAATTACTACTTCTGACAGAGTAATTAGGCAAAAAGACACAAGGAAATATTTTCCTTTTTTCAGCATTTTATGAAGGTAGGAAAACAAAAATTTGTCTGGGGACTCTTGGTGTCCTTCAAAAGACAAACTGCCAAGCTTGGAGGTGACAGGAAACTGTAGAGTTCAAGCCCATTTTGGAGATGCTCCCAACTGTCAGCTTCAGGAGAGACGTGATGTAGTCTCTGATAAGAATAACGGATTTGGCTCATTACCTACTGAAAACATTCTGTTGTGAGATGGAGTATCCTCAAAGCAACAGGAAAATTTTCAACTTCCTTTAACATTGGCAAGGAGGCGGTTGGTGATGTGAATACCTATTACCCATGGGTACTAAAAATGATCAAACATAAAAGCCATTTTCTAGAGGATTACCTAGTTTTTAAATCAACCATAAAAATTCAGGTCAGCCTTCCAAGAGAGGCAACTAATATCAACAAACACCCATTGAAATGAATCATGGAATCATTCTCTTCTACAGTAACTTCCGTGAATGAAAGAAAGAAAATGACATGGTGACCTTTCAGAGTTTCAGTCCTTTTCTGTCCTGTATGAATTGCCACACAGGTTTTTGCTTCTTTGATAAATAGTCTTCAAGTCACCATTTAAAATATGCAATGCATTCCTAGAAATACCCTCATCAAAATTCAGTGTGATAAGATTGTAAGATAGTTTCCTAGATAGAAATAGATGAGAATTTCAAAAGTTGTCTGCTAAAATCCAAAAATAGCAAATTGAAAGTTCTAGCTCAGACTTTATATACCCATTTAGTAATGGGAATGATTCTGCTTAGGTACTATTTCTGACACAGTGACTATAATTTTATCCCACTCATTTAATGAATTTATGCACATTAAAATAAGAGCTTTTTGATTAAATTCATTAAGCTCAATTTGCATTTTAAAGTAGTAGTTTCAGGCATAAGATAACAGTGAATCTAAAAGACAACTGGTAAAGGCACTTGAGGAATATGCCTCTATTATTTGGATGAGCTGGTTTTCTTCTTGTTTTTAATAAATTAACACACCAGAGTTTCCAGGAAACTCTATATTCCTGAATGTGATTGAATTGTAAGTCAATCACAAGTCACTTACACTAGCAAAAGTTACACATATTAGCAAATAAATATTTTTATGTGTAAATTGCCTGCTTCTAAAGGGATAAAAACAAAGTTTTTGTCTTCTTTCAAATTGAAAGAGTCTTAGAAATCTTGCTGGTACTGTAAATTTACTTAGTAAATCAGCTTTCACAACAATAAGAAAAGAGAAAGATGTTGAAGCAGATACTTATGAGTTCTAAATTTCAAGTTAATATGTCCTAAATTCCACAGAATCAATGCTTCACTTTCAGAAGCCACTTTAAATAAATGGGCTACAAAGTTTCTGAAATCTAAGGCAAACCAAGATTGTCTTCAGTATCTTTCATTTCTTCATTTTCTGGACCCCATTAACAATCATGTAATTAACAATCACAAAGTCAACCAGAGATCACTTTGCAATGGAGCAGATTAATTTTCTGTAACATATTTCCATCTACTGCTGTGCTCTGGGTTCACTTGTCAGCTGAATGGTGTGCAACGAAAATGTTGCAGTCAGCACAGACACTGAACGGTTAGGAAAAATTTATCTATATCAACCCTCCTTTATTTTGTTTGCATAATTTTCCTTTTATACTTCTATGTTAGTGATTTACTGTTACATAATAAATGATTCCAAAACTTAATAGCATAAAGCTGGGGCCAGCAAACTTCTGTAAAGGGCCAGATAATAAATATTATTAGGCTTTGGAAACCGCAAGAGAGGCAAAATTAAAATTAAATACTTACATACTTATATAACAATAGAAAAAACATATTTCCACAAAATTTTGTTAACAAAATTAGGAAATATAACTTGCACTCACGTCTGTGTGAAGAGACCACCAAACAGGCTTTGTGTGAGCAATAAAGCTTTTTAATCACCTGGGTGCAGGTGGGCTGAGTCTGAAAAGAGAGTCAGCAAAGGGAGATAGGGGTGGGGCCGTTTTATAAGATTTGGGTAGGTAGTGCAAAATTACAGTCAAAGGGGGTTGTTCTCTGACTGGCAGAGGTGGGTGGTCACAACGTGCTCAGTGGGGGAGCTTTTGAGCCAAGATGAGCAAGGAGAAGGAATTTCACAAGGTAATGTCATCAGTTAAGGCAGGGACCGGCCATTTTCACTTCTGTGATTCTTCACTTGCTTCAGGCCATCTGGACATATACATGCAGGTCACAGAGGATACGATGGCTTAGCTTGGGCTCAGAGGCCTGACAATAACAATAATAGCTGAATACATCTGCTATGGTCTGAATGTTTGTGTGTTCCCAAAATTCATATGTCAAAATCCTAACCTCCACAGTGATGATATTAGGAAATGGGACCATTTGGGAGGTGATTAGGTCATAAGGGCAGAGCCATCATGACTGAGATTAGTGCCCTTATAAAAGAGCCCCAGAGAGCTGTCTTGCCCCTTCCACTAAGTCAGGTTACAATGAGAAGACATCTGTCTATGAAGGAAAAGGCCTTCACACCAGACACTGAATCTGCTAGTACCTTGACCTTGGACTTCTCAGCCTCCAGAACTGTGACAAATAAATTTCCGTTGTTTATGGTATTTTGTCATAGCAGCCTGACTAGACTAAGATAATATAGTTTTTTTGGAATATGGTTCTATAAATGAGAAGAATGAAACAGTTTTGTCTTTTTTGATTAATGGGGATCAAGGTTGAAATTGCCTATCATTATAGTAGAAACATGGCCTCATTCTTCAGCAAAGCTTTCACTTGCTTCTCTGAAACATAGTGTCCTTTTTGGAAATTACCAGAATGTGTTGCCTGAATCTCTGCATTTGGCACCTATGCACTCCTCTCAATCTGCTGGACAATTTATCAAATGGATAAGTAGGTTAAAAGAACAGACCGGGGTAAGCCTGCTTGGGTTTGAATTCTAGCTGCACTACTCATTAAATGTGTGATCTTTGACTACTCACTGAACCTATTTAGTAACATCATTTTTTCCACCATAAAATGAGTAACAGTATCATAGAGTTGTTGTAAAGATTAAATGCGCTAATAAATGCAAAGTTTTAGAACAGTGTGGAACATATTACAAATCACTCGATATAAATGCTTTTCTTTGATTTGTTTCCCCAACCATTTAAAGAAATAAAACCATGCTTAGCTTGCTGGCTGTACAAAAACAGTCTGCAAGCCAGATTTGACCGTAATCCATAGTTTGCAAACCCCCTTTCTTAAAGCTGCAACAATTTATTACTTCTTACTACTCTGTGGGTTGTCTGGGTGGTTTCTGTACTGATGTTGCCTAGGCTGGGTCATGCTGCAGCATTCGGCTAGAGGCTTGGCTGGGCAGGCTCATCTTAGAAGGCCTGTTTTACAAATTCAAAAGCATCCTAGTTCTCCTCCATGAAGCCTCTCAACCTTCATTAGGCTGGACTATCAATAGCAGTTTCAAAGTCATCTTCCAAGAAGAGGAAGGAATGCTGCAAGTTCACTTGAGGCATAAAGTATAAAACTAACATCATTTCTGCTAAAGTCACAAGGCCAGCCCAGATTTTAGGCATGGAAAGGCAGACTCTATCACTTTATGGAAGGAGCTACAAAATACTGTGTGGCCTTATTTTTTCCATCTACCACAACTTCCCCCTACACCAAGACTATCTAAACCCAAGAAACTATTGACTAGGTGTTAACATCAAAAGAAGCCACTCTCTGCACCTTGACACCCAGTTGTACTTACTGTAGAACGTGGTTGATCTCCCTTGCACCATAATTATCAGTGTACAAGACTTAATTGCTCTCCTAGATTGTGATGCCTTTGAGGAAAGGTGTCATGTATCCTTCAAATGAGACCACAGATTAAAAACTGTTCTGGAAGCTGCAAAGCATTCTAGAAATACAAGATATTTTAATGACTATTGTCATAGTCCTTGCATTACTAGCATTTGACAATGCCTCTTCTTAGCTAATGTGAATAATTATTTGCTTCTGGCTATTTGTGGTTGGCAGTTTCAAATATCAGAGTTTATATATACCAATGAGTAATATTTTCCTCAACAAATATTTTGTTTTCAAATTATTTGGGAATGGAGGGCAAGGGAAAGATAATAAATTTCAGCTATTAACTATTTTACTAAAACTATTTCTTGAGAACCTATATGCTAGGCGCTATGCTAACGTGGAAAATACAAAATTTATTTTGTGTGTGTGTCTCCTGGAAGAGTGAAAGTTCAGCAGCAGTAGGGTTAGAAGAAGATAAAACTGTAATCCCAAAATTTGATGTAACACAATAAGTTTAATAATGCAGATTTGATACATCCTTTCTTTCTTACCCCCATTGTTCTTTTTAACTTTAGTTCTTAAATATCTCACAACATGTACTTTCTCTCCCTCTCAGCGGCCATCATACTAGTGCAAACTTCCCTAGGCTTTTTGCAATAACATTCCATTTATTCAGTGTCACCCCTGAACCCGCCAATCCATTCTCCTCTACTCTGCAATCTAAATCACTTTTAAAGATGGAAATCTGATTAAAACATCCCTACTTAAACGTTTTTGAGTGCTTCACCTCGTTTTTAGAATAAAGATAAAATCTTCCAAAATATCCTCCTTCATTCCCCTTCTCCTTTGCACTATGCCCTCCAATAATATGAAACATCTTTTGGTTCTTCAAACTCATTGATAATCCCTTTGCCAAAAAAGCATTCTTTAGATCTCAGTTTAAGTGTCACTTCTAAGAAATCTCTGATCCACTAAACCAAGGTAAGTGTTTCTGCCATCCTATGTCATTGCATGTGTCAAATTCTACATTGTTTAATAATCTTCCCCAGGAAAAGAGCAGTCTCTTTCTTGCTTGCCATCAGGGCTGGCTTCTTGGGCATGCAAACTGTGCAGTAACACAGAACTCTACACTCAGAAGACTCCTGCCTTCGTTTTAATTATCTGCTGTCCCTGCATTAAAATCATTGATACATTTTGAGCAAAGAGTGCCACATTTCTATTTTTCACTGGGTCCTGCAAATTGCATAACTGATTCTGCTTGTCATTTTATCTACAGCTTTTAACACAGCGCCTAAAACATAATAGGCACTTAATAAATGTGTATATAGGTTGAATAGAAAATCAACTGAACTACTCATCTTTCAACTACTTTTATTCCTTTGGAAATACAACATCCTGTAGCATTAATTGATTTAGTCATTAATTAACAAGTTTATACTATTAACCATATTTCAAATCTTAAAAATACAGGTTACATCATCAACTACTGCATGGTGTGTTTTCTGTTTTTCCCTGCTTCTCTATGTTGACTTGCTGATCTCCCTAAAGCCATTTCCCCCTACCTAAGCCCACATAGCAATAGAAACAAAAATTTGAAGGTGTCATTAGCATAAGTGAGTAATAGATTAAATGCAAATTTTCAGAGGTAGATTTTTCTTCCCAAAGACTGAATAAAACTGGAGCTGGAGAAAAGATGAAGAAAAAAGTTGTTTCTTTGCTTGGGAAAAAGGAATGAAGGGAGTGGAGACCTGAAAGTGGAAAGAGGATAAAGGACCTTCTCTCTGAAAGATCATGAAGAACCTGGAAAGGATTTAGTGCCAAGCTGTTCTAAACTCTGCAACCTGTAAAACCTACAGGATTTAAAGGTGGAAGTAGAGAAGTGGAGACAGACTGCTTTATGTGGATGAGAATCTGAAGGAAGAAACTTACTTCTGGACAAAGTAGAGAACAGAATAGAACAATTAAGGAAACAATTAGGGAAATTTTATATAACCTGGGTAAATAGTGGCCACACTGCCACTATTGATGAAAAGACTTAGCCTTTTCACTCAAGCTCTAGAACTGTGTCAAGTGTAGTCTGTGGACAGCTGCCCATCCATGGTTTGTTACTGGTTCAGGATAACATAAGGGTCTTGTGCCAGATGTAAATCAGCAACATCAATAAGCACATTCCTTATCTGAGCAAAGTCTTTTTTTAAAGAAAGACTTTCTCAATGAAGGGAGCACTTATATTCATGTGCAAACTTCTTAACACATCCATACTGGTAACAAACACCTTAGAAATCTGCTGCATTTGATTAGCACAAGTCTAGAAAACCATAGACTTTGCTGGGTACCTTCTTTCTAGATTCTACTTGGAACATAGCCATTGATTGCCCAAGCAATTTTTCTTTGTCTATGTCTCTTTTATTGCTAATCAACCTGCATTTATGATTGGCATAGCTCTCTTTAGAAATCTTACACTGAATCAGGTTGTACCATAAATACTGATTTTTTATTTAATATTGTGCTGCTTTTTTTTGTTCCAATACACTACGTATTGATTTTTCAGTTTAACTGCTTGAAGGCAAACTTTCTCTATGATCAAGTGTTTAAATATGAATGTGTGTATGTACACATATGGAGGTGTATTAGTCCATTTTCACACTGCTCTAAAGAAATCCTCAAGACTGGGCAATTTATAAAGGAAGGAGTTTAATTGACTCACAGTTCTGCCTTGCTGGGGAGGCCAGGCTTTGGTATCAAGATGATGGTGGCCTCATAAAATGAGTTAGGGAGGATTCCCTCTTTTTCTATTGATTGGAATAGTTTCAGAAGGAATAGTACCATCTCCTCTTTGTACCTCTGGTAGAATTCAGCTGTGAATCCATCTGGTCCTGGACTTTTTTTGGTTGGTAGGCTATTACTTATTGCCTCAATTTCAGAACCTGTTATTGGTCTATTCAGAGATTCAACTTCTTCCTGCTTTAGTCTTGGGAGGGTGTATGTGTTGAGGAATTTATCCATTTCTTCTAGATTTTCTAGTTTATTTGCGTAGAGGTGTTTATAGTATTCTCTGATGGTAGCATTTTTGTGGGATCAGTGGTGATATCCCCTTTATCATTTTTTATTGCATCTATTTGATTCTTCTCTCTTTTCGTTTTTATTAGTCTTGCTAGTAGTCTATTTTGTTGATCTTTTAAATAAACCAGCTCCTGGATTCATTGCTTTTTTGAAGGGTTTTTGTGTCTCTATCTTCTGCAGTTCTGCCCTGATCTTAGTTATTTCTTGCCTTCTGCTAGCTCTTGAATGTGTTTGCTCTTGCTTCTCTAGTTGTTTTAATTGTGATGTTAGGGTGATGATTTTAGATCTTTCTTGCTTTCTCTTGTGAGCATTTAGTGCTATCAATTTCCCTCTACACACTGCTTAAATGTGTCCCAGAGATTCTGGTACATTATGTCTGTGCTCTCATTGGTTTTGAAGAACATCTTTATTTCTGCCTTCTTTTCGTTATTTAACCAGTAGTCATTCAGGAGCAGGTTGTTCAGTTTCCATGTAGTTGAGTGGTTTTGAGTGAGTTTCTTAATCCTGAGTTCTAATTTGATTGCACTGTGGTCTGAGAGACAGTTTGTTGTGATTTCTATTCTTTAACATTTGCTGAGGGTGCTTTACTTCCAATTATGTGGTCAATTTTAGAATAAGGGTTATGTGGTGCTGAGAAGAATGTACATTCTGTTGATTTGGGGTGGAGAGTTCTGTAGATGTCTATTAGGTCCACTTGGTGCAGAGCTGAGTTCAAATCCTAGATATCCTTGTTAATCTTCTGTCTTGTTGATCTGTCTAATATTGACAGTGGGGTGTTAGTCTCCCATTATTATTGTGAGAGAGTCTAAGTCTCTTTGTAGGTCTCTAAGGACTTACTTTATGAATCTGGGTGCTCCTGTATTGGGTGCATATATATTTAGGATAGTTAGCTCTTCTTCTTCAATTGGTCCCTTTACCATTATGTAATGGCCTTCTTTGTCTCTCTTGCTCTTTTTTGGTTTAAAGTCTGTTTTATCAGACAGTAGGATTGCAACTCCTGCCTTTTTTTGCTTTCCATTTGCTTGGTAGGTCATCCTCCATCCCTTTATTTTGAGCCTATGTGTGTCTCTGCACGTGAGATATGTCTCCTGAATACAGCACACTGATGGGTCTTGACGCTTTATCCAATTTGCCAGTCTGTGTCTTTTAATTGGGGCATTTAGCCCATTTACAGTTATGGTTAGTATTGTTATGTGTGAATTTGATCCTGTCATTATGATGTTAGCTGGTTATTTTGCCCATGAATTGATGCAGTTTCTTCATAGCATCGATGGTCTTTACAATTTGGCATGTTTTTGCAGTGGCTGGTACTGGTTGTTCCTTTCCATGTTTAGTGCTTCCTTCAGGAGGTCTTATAAGGCAGGCCTGGTGGTGACAAAATCTCTCAGCATTTGCTTGTCTGTAAAGCATTTTATTTCCCCTTCACTTATGAAGCTTAGTTTGGTTGGATATGAAATTCTGGGTTGAAAATTCTTTTCTTTAAGAATGTTGAATATTGGCCCCCACTCTCTTCTGGCTTGTAGGATTTCTGCCGAGAGACCTGCTATTAGTCTGATGGGCTTCCCTTTGTGGGTAACCCAACCTTTCTGGCTGCCCTTCACATTTTTTCCTTCATTTCAACCTTGGTGAATCTGACAATTATATGTCTTGGTGTTGCTTTCTCAAGGAGTATCTGTGGTATTCTCTGCATTTCCTGAATTTGAATGTTGGCCTGCCTTGCTAGGCTGAGGAAGTTCTCCTGGATAAAACCCTGAAGAGTGTTTTCTAACTTGATTTCATTCTCCCTGTCACTTTCAGGTACACCAATCAGACGTAGATTTGGTCTTTTCACATAGTCCCATATTTCTTGGAGGCTTTGTTCATTTCTTTTACTCCTTTTTCTCTAATCTTGTGTTCTGGCTTCATTTCATTAATTTGATCTTCAATCACTGATATCCTTTCTTCCACTTGATCGAATCGGCTATTGAAGCTTGTGCATATGTCACAAAGTTCTCATGCTGTGGTTTTCAAATCCATCAGGTCATTTAAGGTCTTCTCTATGTTGTTTATTCCAGTTAGCCATTTGCCTAACTTTTTTCAAGGTTTTTAGCTTCTTTGAAATGGGTTAGACATGCTCCTTTAGATCAGAGAAGTTTGTTACTACCGACCTTCTGAAGCCTACTTTTGTCAAGTCATCAAACTAATTCGCCGTCCGGTTTTGTTCCGCTGCTGGCGAGGAGCTGCGACCCTTTGGGGGAGAAGAGGCACTCTGGTTTTTGGAATTTTCAGCTTTTCTGCTCTGGTTTCTCCCCATTTTGTGGTTTTATCTACCTTCGGTCTTTGATGTTGGTGACCTAAAGATGAGGTTTTGGTGTGGATTTCCTTTTTGTTGATGTGATGCTATTTATTTTTGTTTGTTAGTTTTCCTTCTAACAGTCAGGCTCCTCAGTTGCAGGTCTGTTGGAGTTTGCTGGAGGTCTACTCCAGACCCTTTTTGCCTGGGTATCACCAGCAGAGGCTGCAGAACAGCAAATATTGTTGCCTGATCCTTCCTCTGGAAGCTTAGTCCCAGAGGGGCACCCACCTGTGTGAAGTGTCTGTCAGCCCCTACTGGGAGATGTCTCCCAGTCAGGCTACACAGGGGTCAGGGACCCACTTGAAGAGGCAGTCTGTCCATTCTCAGAGCTCGAACACTGTGCTGGGAGAACCACTGCTCTCTTCAGAGCTGTCAGACAGGGACATTTAAGTCTGCAGAAGTTGAGCAGACTGTACTTTTATTCACTCATTTCTGGTCTCTCTACCAGAAGGATTAAACTCTCCTCGACCATTTATGTCAGATTCATGTGACTTCAATTAGATGATAACATTTGAACAATAAGGGATATTACTTTCAGTTAAAAGCTTTAAGAGACCTGCCCAAATCTTGCCATACTCTTTTATCCTCCGTCTGTAAATAAGCAAATAGTAGACATTTTAGACTTTGTAGGTAACATATAGTTTCTACTGGTTATTTGTCTTTTTAAACCCTAACCATTAAAAAGCAATCCTTAGCTTATTGGCCATACAAAAGCATGTGGCAGGCTATATTTCACCACAAAGTTTGACAAACTCTGTCCTAGATAGTGACTGTGAAGAATGATGGCATGGAAGAGAAATCTCAGGGGCTCATGAACATGTGGCGTGAGCAATAAGTAAAGCTTTCTTGTGATGGGCCACTGAGATTTCAGCATCATTTGTTACTGTATAACCTAACCTATACCAACAGACACCAAATCCTGAAAAACTCAACCTGGAGAAATTCAGAAAGATTTTTATCAAATGTGACATTTTAGCTAAATCTTGAAAGATGTGCAACATTTTGCCAAGGTGAGAAAAGGAGATAGGCATTTAAACAGAGAATACAGGTTGGAAAAATATCTGAATACCTCGTATGTGTGTGTGTGTCTGTTTGTGTGTGTGTGTGTGTGTGTGTGTGTGTGTGTGTGTGTGTGTGTGTGATGGAGGCGGAAAAAGCCAGGTGGGAATGCTGCCTGAGGGGGCAGCATAACTGTATTATTGTTTGAGGATGCAAGTGTGCTTTATAAAAGCCTATCACTCACATGTATTTGTAGAAGTTGTATCCATTCATTGAAAAAAGTCATAACAGGGAATAACCAATGCTGCAATCTAAAGGGAAAAAAGTTATCTAAGTCAATTTTGTAGAAGCTAAATATCTAAGAAAATACCTGCATCAAAACAAGTAGGGAAAGCTAAGACACACTCGCACCACAAAACCCACCCCAGGCACAGTATCTTACATTTCAGAGGGAACCCCTACTCCCTGCTTTTCACTGAGAAGTGGAGGGTTTGTATCAGACATATAGTGCCCCAACTTTTCCAGCTCTTATCTAAGAGACTGGCTCATAAATCACCTATCTCTGAGAGAGGAGAGTGCTCAGCATTCCAAGGTCCCTCAGGACCAAAGAGAGCAAAGAGGTGGTTTTAAATGGGTGTGGGAGTGCTCCTTCCTGCAATGCCCCCAGGCTCAGAGCAGAATGAACAGACAAAGAACCTCCTAGTTTCTCCCTGAAATAGGGTTGACTGCACACCTTCCCAGCTGCTGTCTGAGAATCAGGCCTGTAACTAGCTTGCATCTGGCAGCCACCAAGGCAAAGAATTATTGAGACCTTGAGGAGCCTGAATGAACAAATATGTAGGCACTTCTTATGCCCCACTCCCAGGTTGATTCAGCAATAAAACCAAGTCTCTAGCCTCTCCTGGGAAGAGTTGGTCCACGCACTGAGTGTCTCAACTTTTATAGCTTCCACTTGAGGGGCTGTCTCCTAACCCACCTAGCTCTGGGTGCAGACAGACTTCAGCATTTGCAAGACCTCAGGATCGCAGAGAATAGACAGGCATTTATTAATGGGCATAGGAACACTATCAGCAGCTATTTTCCCTAGCTCAGGACAGAGCAAGCAGGCAAAAATACCCAGTTCACAGTTCCTGACAGGAAGGGATTTGACCACACACCTAATATCTCAACTTTCCCACCTGCTGCCCATGGGTCAGACTTTTAATCAGGCTGCATCCAGGTGTTAATAGGGCAGGCCCTTAGTAGTCCTTTGGGAACCTGAATGGTCATGTGTGTACTTTCTACAGCTCCTCCCCCTGGCTCACCCCAGAAACAGAATCTAGCCTTCAGCTAACCTGCTTGTCTCTAAGAGCTGATGGGACTCAGCCTTCACTAGGCCCCTTGGGATAACAAAGAGCAAAGCAATGGGTTCAGGGAACATTAGCCACAGATTATTTGTCCAGCTTAGTGCAGAGTAAGTGGTAGATAAACTCCAGCTCCTGGCTTATCCCCAAAGAGAGAAGGAACTCGGCCACACACCTAACACCTCAACTTCTATAGCTTCATCTTGTGGTACTGGCTTCTATCTTACCTGCCTTAGGGCACTGATGGGACTTGGCACAGCCTACTCTCCTGGAGAGCTACCAAAAACAAAGGCAGTGGTTTGGACAAGCACAAAGGATTAAGCAGCACTCAGGGTGCATGGCTGGGCTTGATCGTGATGTTCAGCTCTTATACAGGGCCAGTCTGACAAGGCTGAAAAAGGTGGCTGTTTTCTCTAATGCATAGAGAATCAAGAAAAATAAAGAGACAGAGAAATATGCTCCAAACAAAAGAACCAGATAAACCCTTAATAACTGACCCTAATGAAATATAAGTAATTAATTTAGCCAATAGAAAGTTCAAATTATCAGTCATAAGCATATTCACTGAGGTCAGGAAAGCAATGCATGGACAAAGATAATTTTAACAAAGGGATAGAAAATATTTAAAAGTACCAAACAGAAATTATTAAGCTAAAGAATATAATAATTGAACTAGAAAATTCAACAATAAATAAAAAGGAAGAAGGGACCAGAAAATTCAAAGAAAGGACATTGGAAATCATCCAATAAGACAGGCAAAAAGAAAAAGAAATTTGAAAAGTGAGGATAGTAGTCTTGATTTAGATCATCGTGGTGGACGGGAGGCAGGACTAGACTGCAGCTCTGGACAGATCAGCATTTGGAGGCTTGCATTGTGAATTTTAGCTCCAGATCAACTGCAAGAACAAACCAGCAATCCTGAGAGGATCCACAGACCCTTTGAAGGAAATGGATTGCTCCTGCAGAACCCAGGAGACACCCCAAATACTGTGAGCGCCCCAACTGCAGAAGTGAGAAAGGGAGACCCTCCTCCCCAAAACACACACCCCCACTGGAGAAGCTGAAGTTCTGATTGCGGGAGAAGTTTCTGACTTTACGTGGAGCTGAGTCAATTTGGATAGCCCAGTGAAATACAAGGGTAGAGACAGCAGCAGAAAGGCCCTGGGAGCTCGCTGGGTCCCCTAGTAGGCCATTCCTGCCTGGCACCACAGGGATCCATTGGGAGGGTGTCCAGAGGAGCAGAGGGTAAAACTCCACAGGGAGAAGGAAATCTTTAGCTGAACTGTGTAACAATTTGAACGGTCAAGAAGACTTGCTGGCTAGAACTTGGGGGAAGCTGCAAATCTGGTGTGCCGACTCTACTGACAGGGGAAGAACCAAACCCTTTTCTTTCACAGTTGGCAGGTGGGTAGCCTGGGGCAAGTTTTCAAGCCTGTCTCGCCCTATGCCTAGAAACAGACTTGGGGCTGTTTGGGGAAGCACAGTGGGAGTGAGACCAACTCTTTGGTTTGTGTGGGAACAGGGTGAGGCCTGTGACTGCTGGCTTTCCCCACTTTCCTGACAACCTACATGACTCAGCAGAAGCAGCCATAAGCCTCCTAGGTACACAACTCCAGTGACCTGGGAATCTCACCCCCAACCCCCATAGCAGCAGCAGCAAGACCCGACCAAGGAGAGTCTGAGCTCAGACACGCCTAGCCCCACCCCCACCTGATGGTGGTTCCCTATCCACACTGGTAGCGGAAGACAAAGGGCATATAATCTTGGGAGTTCTAGGGCCCCACCCACTGCCAATCCCTCTCCATACTACACTACAGCTGATGCTTTCTGGAAAGCACCACCTCCTGGCAGGAGGCCAACCAGCACAAAAATAGAGCATTAAACCACCAAAGCTAAGAAGCTTAATGGAGTCCATTGCATCCTCCACCACCTCCACTGGAACAGGCACTGGTATCCACAGCTGAGAGACCCATAGATGGTTCACATCACAGGACTGTGCAGACAACCCCCAGTACCAGCCTGGAGCCAGGTAGACTTGCTGTGTGGCTAGACCCAGAGGAAAGACAACAATCACTGTAGTTCAGCTCACAGGAAGCCACATCCATAGGAAAAGAGGGAGAGTGCTATATCAAGGGAACACCCTGTGGGACAAAAGAATCTGAACAACAGCTTTGAGTCCTAGACCTTCCCTCTGACAGAGCCTACCAAAATGAAAAGGAACCAGAAAACCAACCCCGGTAATATGACCAAACAACGCTCTTCAACATCCCCCAAAATCACACTAGTTCACCAGCAATGGATCCAAACGCAGAAGAAATCCCTGATTTACCTGAAAAAGAATTCAGGAGATTGGTTATTAATCAGGGAGGGAACAGAGAAAGGCAAAGCCCAATGCAAGGAAATAAACAAAAACAAAAACAAAAACAAAACAAAACAAAAAAACAATTATACAAGAAGCGAAGGGAGAAATATTCAAGGAAATAGATAGCTTAAAGAAAAAACAATTAAAAATTCAGGAAACTTTGGACACACTTTTAGAAATGCGAAATGCTCTGGAAAGTCTGAGCAATAGAATTGAACAGGTAGAAGAAAGAAATTCAGAGCTCAAAGACAAAGTCTTTGAATTAACCCAATCCAACAAAGACAAAGAAAAAAGAATAAGAAAATATGAACAAAGCCCCCAAGAATTCTGGGATTATGTTAAATGACCAAACTTAAGAATAATCAGTGTTCCTGAGGAAGAAGCTAATTCTAAAAGCTTGAGAAACACATTTGGGGGAATAATTGAGGAAAACTTCTTCAGCCTTGCTAGAGACTTAGACATCCGAATACAAGAAGCACAAACAATGTCTGGGAAATTCATTATAAAAATATCTTCACCTAGGCACATTGCCATCAGGTTATTCAAAGTTAAGATGAAGGAAAGAATCTAAAGAGCTGTGAGACAGAAGCACCAGGTAACCTATAAAGGAAAACCTATCAGATTAACAGCAGATTTCTCAGCAGAAACCCTACAAGCTAGAAGGGATTGGGGCCCTATCTTCAGCTTCCTCAAACAAAACAATTATTAGCTAAGAATTTTGTATGCAGTGAAATCAATCATCATATATGAAGGAAAGATACAGTCGCTTTCAGACAAACAGATGTTGAGAGAATTCACCATTACCAAGCCACCACTACAAGAACTGCTAAAAGGAGCTCTAAATCTTGAAACAAATCCTGGAAACACATCAAAACAGAGCTTTGAAGCATAAATCACACAGGACCCAAAAAATAAAAATACAAGTTAAAAAGCAAAAACAAGAAACAAAAGTACCTAGGAAACAAAGAGCACAATGAATGCAAGAGTACCTCACAATTCAATACTAGCATTCAATGTAAATGGCCTAAATGCTCCACTTGGAAGATACAGTACTGTAGAATGGATAAGAACTCACCAACCAACCATCTGCTGCCTTCAGGAGACTCACATAACCCATAAGAACTCACATAAACTTAAAGTAAAGGGATGGAAAAAAGCATTTCATGTGAAGGAACACTAAAAGCAGGCCGGGATATCTATTCTTATATCAGACATAACAAACTTTAAAGCAACAGCAGTTAAAAGAGACAAAGAGGGACATTACATAATTGTAAAAGGCCTTGTCCAACAGGAAAATATCACAATCCTAAACATATATGCACCTAACACTGGAGTTCCCAAACTTATAAAACAATCACTAATAGACCTAAGAAGTGAGATAGACAGCAACACCATAATGGTTGGGGACTTCAATACTCCACTGACAGCACTAGACAGGTCATCAAGACAGAAAGTCAACAAAGAAACAATGGATTTAAACTATACCTTGGAAAAAATGGACTTAGCGGATATATATAGAACATTTCATCCAACAACCATCCAACATTTCATCCAACAGAATACACATTCTATTCAAAAGCACATGGAACTTCCTCGAAGATAGATCATATGATAGGCCATAAAACAAGCCTCAAAAAAATTTAAGAAAATTGAAATTATATCAAGCACTCTCTCTCTGACCACAGCTGCATAAAACTGGAAATCAACTCCAAAAGGAACCTTCAAAACCATGCAAATACATGGAAATTAAATAACCTGCTCCTGAATGAGCATGGGTCAAAAGCCAAATCAAGATGGAAATTTAAAAATTATTTGAACTGAATGACAATAATGACACAACCTATCAAAACCTCTGGGATACAGCAAAGGTGGTGCTAAGAGGAAAGTTCATAGCCCTAAATGCCTACATCAAAAAGACTGAAAAAGCACAAAATGACAATCCAAGGTCACATCTCAAGGAAATGAAGAAACAAGAGTGAACCAAATTCAAACCCAGCAGAAGAAAGGAAAAAACCAAGATTAGAGCAGAACTAAATGAAATTAAAACAAAAAAAAATAACAATACAAAACATAAATGAAACAAAATGTTAGTTCTTTGAAAAGATAAATAAAATGGATAGACCATTAGCAAGAATAACCAAGAAAAGAAGAGAGAAAATCCAAATAACTTCACTAAGAAATGAAACAGGAGATACTACAACTGACACCACTGAAATACAAAAGATCATTCAAGTCTACTATGAATACCTTTACACACCTAAACTGGAAAACCTAGAAGAGATAGATACATTCCTGGAAAAATGCAACCCTCTTAGCTTAAATCAGGAAGAATTAGATACCCTGAACAGAACAATAACAAGCAGCAAGATTGAAATGGTAATTAAAAAATCACCAACAAAAATTCCGAGACAAGACAGATTAACAGCAAAATTCTACCAGACATTCAAAGAAGAATTGTTATCAATCCTTTTGACACTATTCCACAAGATAGACAAAGAAGGAACCCTCTCTAATTCATTCTATGAAGCCAGCATCACCCTAATACCAAAACCAGGAAAGGACATAACCAAAAAAGAAAACTACAGACCAATTTCCTTGATGAACATAGATGCTAAAATCCTTAACAAAATAATAGCTAACTGAATCCAACAACATATCACAAAGATAATCCACCATGATCAAGTGGGTTTCATATCAGGGATGCAGGGATGGTTTAACATACACAAGTCAATAAATGTGATATATCACATAAACAGAATTAAAAACAAAAATCACATGATCATCTCAATAGATGCAGAAAAAGCATCTGACAACATGCGGCATCCCTTTATGATTAAAACTCCCAGCAAAATCAGCATACAAGGGACATACCTTAATGTAATAAAAGCCTTCTATGACTAACCCACAGCCAACATAATACTGAATGGGGAAAAGTTGAAAGCATTCCTCTGAGAATGGGAACAAGACAAGGATGCCCACTCTCACCACTCCTCTTCAACGTAGTACTGGAAGTCCTAGCCAGAGCAATCAGACAAGAGAAAGAAATAAAGAGCATCCAAATCAGTAAAGAAGAAGTCACTGTTTGCTGACAGTGATTGTTTACCTTGAAAACCCTAAGGATTCCTCTAGAAAGCTCCTAGAACTGATGCAAAAATTCAGAAAAGTTTCCAGATACAAGATTAATGTACACAAGGCCAGGCACGGTGGCTCATTCCTGGAATCCCAGCACTTTGGGAGGCCGAGGCAGGTGGATCACCTGAGGTCAGGAGTTCATGGCCAGCCTGGCCAACATGGCAAAACCCTGTCTCTACAAAATAATACAAAAAGTAGCTGGGTATGGTGGTGGGCGCCTGTAATACCTGCTATTTGGGAGGCTGAGGCAGGAGAATTCCTTGAATCCAGGAGGCAGAGGTTGCAGTGAGCCGAGATCACACCACTGCACTCCAGCCTGGGTGACAGAGTGAGACTCTGTCTCAAAAAAAAAAAAAAGTACACAAGTCAGTAGCTCTTCTATACACCAATAGCAACCAAGCAAAGAATCAAATCAAGAACTCAACCCCTTTTACAATAGCTGCAAAAAAAACAAAAAACAAAAAACAAAAAAACAAAAAAACAAAAAAAAACTTAGGAATATACCTAACTAAGTAGTCGAAAGACCTCTGCAAGGAAAACTGCAAAACACTACTGAAAAGAATCATAGATGACACAAACAAATGGAAACACATTCCACACCCATGGATGGGTAGAATCAATATTGTGAAAATGACCATACTGCCAAAAGCAACCTACAAATTAATGCAATCGCCATCAAAATACCACCATTATGCTTCACAGAGTTAGAAAAAAAAATTCTAAAATTCATATGGAACCAAAAAAGAGCCCACATAGCCAAAGCAAGGCTAAACAATAAGAACAAATCTGGAGGCATCACACCAACTGATTTCAAATTATAAGGCCATAGTCACCAAAACAGCATGGTACTGGTATAAAAATAAGTACATAGACCAATGGAACAGAATAGAGAATCCAGAAATAAACCCAAATACTTACAGCTAACTGATCTACAACAAAGCAAACAAAAACCTAAAGTAGGGAAACAACACCCTCTTCAACAAATGATGCTGGGATAATTGGCTAGCCACGTGTAGGAGAATGAAACTGGATCCTCCTCTCTCACCTTATACTAAAATGAGCTCATGGTGGATTAAGGACTAAAACCTAAGACCTGAAACTATAAAAATTCTAGAAGATAACATTGGAAAAACCCTTCTAGACATTGGCTTAGGCAAAGATTTCATGACCAAGAACCCAAAAGCAAATGCAATAAAAACAAAGATAAATAGCTGGGACCTAATTAAACTAAAGAACTTTTTTTTTTTTTTTTGAGATAGAGTCTTGCTCTGTCACCCAGGCTGGAATGCAATGATGTAATCTCAGTTCACTGCAACCTCCATCTCCCAGGTTCAAGCAATTCTCCTGCCTCAGCCTCCCTAGTAGCTGGGATTACAGTCATGCACCACCATGCCCAGCTAATTTTTATTTTTAATAGAGATGGGGTTTCACCGTGTTGGCCAGGCTGGTCTCAAACTCCTGACCTCAGATGATCCACCTGCCTTGGCCTCCCAAAGTGCTAGAATTACAGGCATGAGCCACCATATCAGGCCAAACTAAAGAGCTTTTGCACAGTGAAAGGAATAGTCAGCAGAGTAAACAGACAACCCACAGAGTAAGAGAAAATCTTCACAATTTATACTTCTGACAAAAGACTATTATCCAGAATCTACAGCGAACTCAAATCAGAAAAAAAAATAAAATCCCATCAAAATGTGGACTAAGGACATGAATAGACAATTCTCAAAAGAAGATATACAAAAGGCCAACACACATATGAAAAAATGCTCAGCATCACTAATAATCAGGGAAATACAAATCAAAACCACAATGCAATACAAACTTACTCCTGCAAGAATGGTCGGAATAAAAAAATTAAAAAACAGTAGGTGGTGTGGGTGCAGTGAACAGGGAACACTTCTACACTGCTGGTGGGAATGTAAACTAGTACAATCACTGTGGAAAACAGTGTGGAGATTCCTTAAAGAATTAAAAGTAGAACTACCATTTGATCCAGCAATCCCACTACTGGGTATCTACCCAGAGGAAAATGAGTCATTATTTGAAAAAGATACTTGCACACGCAGGTTTATAGCAGCACAATTCACAATTGTGAAATCGTGGAACTAACCCAAATGCCAATCAATCAATAAGTGGATAAAGAAACTGTGGTATATATATATGATGGAATACTATGCAGCCATAAAAAGGAATAAATTAACAGCATTGGCAGTGACCTGGATGAGATTGGAGACTGTTATTCTAAGTGAAGTAACTCAGGAATGGAAAACCCAACATCGTATGTTCTTACTGATATATGGGAGCTAAGCCGTGAAGATGCAAAAGCATAAGAATGATACAATGGACTTTGGAAACTTGGGGGGAAGAGTGGGAGGGGGGCAAGGGATGAAAGACTACAAATATGGTGCAGTGTATACGGCTTGGTTGATGGGTGCGCCAACATCTCACAAATCACCACTGAAGAACTTACTCATGTAACCAAATACCACCTGTACCCCAGTAACTCATAGAAAGAAATTAAATTAAAAAATTAAAAAATTAAAAGTGAAGGTAGATTAAAGGATTTATGAAACACCATCAAAAGGACAAATTATACATTATGGGACTCTCAGCAAGAGAAGATGGAGAGAAAGAAATGGAAATCTCATTCATAAAAATAATGGCTGAAAGCTTCTCAAACCTGTGGAAGGGAATAAACTTCCTAAGTCAGTAAGCCCAAAGGACAAAAATAAGATAAATACACAAAGATTCACACCAAGACAAATTATAATGAAATAGTCAAAAGTTAAAGACAAAAAGATAATTTTGAAAGTAGCAAGAGACAATTGACTTATTAAATGAAAGAGAACTGCCTTAAGATTATTACTGGATTTTTCAGCAGAAACCTAACAGGCCAGAAGGAAGTGGAATGATATATTTAAAGTGCTGGAAGAAAAAAAAGTCAAGAATACTACACCCAGCAAAATTTGTCCTTCAAAAATGAACGGAAGATAAAATCTTTCTCTATAAACAAAAGCTGAGGGAATTTATCGTCACTAGAAATAGCACCACTATGCCTTACAAGAAATGCTAACGGGAGTGCTTCAAGCTGAAAGAAAATGATGCTAAACAACAAAAAAGAGAGCATAAAAAGTAGGAAATTCATTGGTAAAGGTAAATATAAAGACAGTATTACTATAAAAGTGGTAGGTAATTGCTTTTTATTCTACTATAAAAGTTAAAAGACAAAAGTGTTGAAACAGCTATAATTGAATTCTGTTAATGGATACATAATATAAATAGATGTAAATTGGGACATCAGTAGCATATAATATGAGGAGAAGAAAGGTAAAACCTGAGAGTGTTTTTTTTTTTTTTACTACAAATGAAGTTGCTATCAGTTTAAAATAAAATGTTATAACTATAAGATACTTTCTGTAAGCCTCTGGGTAACCACACACACAAAATACCTATAGAAGTTATGTAATAGAAAAAAAAAAGAATCAAAGCCTATTAATAAAGAAACAGTTGAGCGTGGTGGCTGACTAATCCCAGCACTTTGAGAGGTGAAGGCAAAAAAATGGCGTGGGCTCAGAAGTTTGAGACCACCTTGGGCAATATAGTGAGACCTCATCTGTACTTAAAAACAAAACAAACAAACAAACAAAAACCCAAACCTTAGCTAGGTATGGTGCTTGTAGTCCTAGCTTCTTGGTACTTGGGAGGCTGAGGTGGGAAGACTGCTTGAGCCTGGGAGGTCAAGGCTGCAGTGCACTATTGATTGTCCCACTGCACTCCAGCCTAGCCAACAGAATAAAACAGGAAGGGAAAAAAAGAGGGACAAAAGAACTATAAGACAAACAGAAAACAGTTAACAAAATGGCAATAGTAAATCCTTCCCTATCAAAAATTGCTTTAAATATAAATGGACTAAACTCCCCACTATAAAGATACAGAGTAGATGAGTGAATTTTAGAAAAACAGGATGCAGCTGTATACCATCTATAAGAAACTCACTTTTTATCCAAGGACACACATAGGCAGAAAGTGAAGGGATGAAAGAAGATATTTTGTGCAATTGACAACTAAAAGGAAGCCAGAGTGTCTGTATGGTAAAATTTAAGTCAAAAATTGTCTCTAGAGACAAAAAATTTTATTACATAATGATGAAAGGCTCATTTCAGCAGGAAGATATAGCAACAATAAATATATATGCACCCAATGTCCAAGCACCTGAGAATATGATTTTAAATTGAGAAAATTGAATGGGGAAATTGATAGAAATATAATAATAGTAGGAGACTTCAATAGTTAACCTTCAATAATGAATAGACTATCTAGACAGAAAATTAATAAAGAAAATGGAGACTTGTACAAAACTATAGTACAAATGGCCCTAATAGATATATACAGAATTTTCTACCCTACATCAGGAGAGTATACAGTCTTCTCTAGGGCCCATGGGACAGTCTCGAGAATAGCTGACAGGTTGGGTAATGAAACAAATCTTAACAATTTATTTTTTTACCCCATCTGAGATTAGTCTTTAAATAAGAAAAGAAGCATTTGTCCTACTCATGTATGAGTTCTGCTATTGTTATTAATTTTTAAAAAGTAATCCCTACCTGTTCAATTATCAGAATCATAAAAACATGCTATCCTTAGAGATTTTCTTGTTTCATATGTGTACTTTTTTTTCTCTTCCTATTTATGTGCCCTGGAAGATTGAGAATTGCTTTTCAGTAGGTATAGCCTAAGTGGCATTTCTACAATAATATGGATTAACAGTTGTAACTTTTTAGTCTAGTTTCCTGGTTTTGGCTAATATTTCTGTAATTCAGTTTTTCACTAACCAGGAGGTATCTGTATTAGTTTGTTCTCATGTTGCTATAAAGAACTGCCTGAGACTGGATACTTTGTAAAGGAAAGAGGTTTAATTGGCTCACACTTCTGCATGGCTTGGGAGGCCTCAGGAAACTTAAAATCATGACAGAAGGGGAAGCAAACATGTTCTTATTCACATGGCAGCAGGAGAGAGAAGTGTCAGCAGGGGAAATGCCAGACACTTATAAAGCCATCATGAGAGCTCACTCACTATTATGAGAACAGCATGGAGGAAACCACCCTCATGATCCAATCACTTCCCACTGGGTCCCTCCCATGACACATGGGGATTATGGGAACTATAATTCAAGATGAGATTTGGGTGGGGATACAGCCAAAACATATCAGTATCTTTACCTCAAACTCCCTACTTCTTCTCATCTGATGGAATCCATCATAATTATAATCCTAGAATATATTTTTTTTCCAGAGTTCTTTCTGTTTCAGATCCTGGCTATAACAGTAATAAAAATGAGGATCCCAGGGTACCACTGTCATTTCCTGGTTTTGCTTCCCTTAATCTATCTTCATTTGCCTTGAGTTTCTCCTCCAGATATGTGATATGAGCTATCTAGAAGATTTCATTTTCAGTTGTGATTTTTTAGTCTTTTTTTTTCTGTATTGCCACAAGTGTTTTTGTTTACAGGTAGGAAATGATTTTATCTGGCTGTTAGCCAAAAGCTAGTTTAAGCCTAAAGTCATCTTCAGCTATTTTGTCTGGCAATAATTTGAGAGTAATGGCTATAACATAATTTTTAAAACTCCATTTTTTAAAGAATCACAGAAAAATCAAAGAGGTTATCACCCCTCAGAAGCATTCTGATGTTAGCAAAGCTCAGAATAAAAATCTCCTCATTGTTTATAACCTAATATTTTCAGGCTATTTGAAACCCAGTTCTTGCATTGTCTCTAATGTTTCTGAGTATTTTTTGAGACTGTATCAAAGAAGAGTATACCATTTTAGTCATCTGCATTAGGAGGCTTGCCTTGAGCTTCTATTCAATAACAAAAATGGTTTAAATAGATGAGAAATGACCTCCAAAATGGTAAGGGCTGAATGTGCAAATACATCATTGAGTAAGCATGAGAAATTTGACTGTGTTTGGAAGAACCATAGTAGGATGGCTTCTCAGGATGCATGGGGAAGACATGTGTATTTTGCATGTTCATCCCACTGAAAATCACATGTGATGCCTAAAAAAGAATTTACTCACAGAGAACTTACTGCTTCCATTCAATGCCCCAGCTCCTCCAGATCTTACTGAGCAACAGTTACATGTTAGAAGTTCGTGGTAGGGATTACTTAACCAGAAATTGGGAAGGTGGACAGAGCCATTTTGGGGCTACCCACAGAATCTCTTTTCACACTTGCTCAAGGTTGTTGAAGTCATAAAATAATGTAAGTTACACAACTTCTTTTTATATATGCATGTGAGTATCTGAGCAGAGAATGTCACATTTCCTTTAAACCAGTGAAAAATGTCCACTGGAAAAGTACCTCTGAAACAGTGACATTGGGGTTATGGCTCCATAGCTAAGAAATCAGTTGGATAAGAAAAAGTATGTTTCCATGTTGTGGGGATCTAATAATGTGAAAGCGAAAAGGATTCCATCAAGCTTAAAAATCTTTAGAATTAGATGGTAAGGCATTTCCATTTACTAAAAAACACAGAAATGCACAATCCAACGGAGTGATATGGGGATAAAGAATTGTATGGGTCCCGTTAGAACACTTCCATCTTGATGTTATGTCATCCATGACATAGTGTTCAGTGAATCCCCCAGGACCATATCAGCCTTTTGAAAACAAAATGTTTTGTCCTTAAAATGATTGCTTTAAACATTATAATAAAATAACCTTGAAATTGCATGGAACAATATCCTCCTAATAGTATGAAATTATATAATAGTTTCCTGGTGGGTGAGCATCTTTTAAATCTGGGAATATTTAGGATTAAATGTGTAAGTGTTTAAGATAATAAAATTCTTAGCATTTATGTAGGTTGGTTAAGCAGTCTGTGTATATTTGTGATCTTATATGCCATTAATATTGTAGTAGTTTTGGCATATTAGAATAATAGATTAGCTGTATGTTTCATATTGAATTACACTTGTGATTTATATGGAGTTTTGAAGCACTTAAGAGAACTCAAGTTTCACCATATATATTCAAATTATCAGATATATACAAGCCATTTAAGTGCTTGGAAATAGTTTGTTTATTAATTCAGACAACCCAAGTACTTGGAAAGAAAGTATAAATTTAATGAAATTGTAAATTAAATCAAATATTTTCCAAAGGCAATTAGGTGGTTGGTAAAATTTGCTAGAATTTTAAATAGAATTATATGGAATGTAACTCAAACAAAAGCTTCTTGAAAGAGAAGACAAGTTCTTTCTTATATTTGTAACTATAATGGAATAAGAATTTTAAAACAAAGTAAAAACATGAATTGACTTTTCTGCATAGAAAAAACATCCTAGGAGTCACCACAAAACTCTGTTTTAATGTTTAAGTAGCAAATGTAACCCAGTTTTAGGAAAAGTTTTCTATTTTACTTAGTATGATGTCTATTTAAGCCTTAAAGCATGTGTTCAATCTTTCAAATTCCCTGTGCATGGACAGTGTTTTGTCTTAAAAGATTTGGAGTGTTGATGATTAAGTTTTGATAAGTCTCATGTACAAAAATCAGAGAGGAGGATACCAGCTGATTGGCATAACCAATGGTAGGATCCCTTCATGCTTAATACTGTTTCAGCATATAGTCTACTGTACATTTTTCCCCTAAAACAGATACATATTTAGCTTCAAATTTAGATTGCAGAATGTGGTTCTGAAGTGCTGCCAAACTATTGGATGCAATGCAAGAAAACTCAATAGAGTTCTCAATTACTATTCCAAGAAATTCTTCCCAAATAGCTCCTCCTCAAGGAACCAAAGCTATACTAATAAACATGTTGCAGGCTTCACTGACACTCATGCAAAGGACATTTGTTGGGTGCCCAATACGTGCCAAGCTCTAAAAGTGCTTGAGGATGAGAATGATATAAATGCACCCCTGCCCTCTGCCACCAACCTCTTAGTCCAGGTAGTAAGTAAACGCTTAGAGAAGCACTTTATATTATACAGTGATAGGAGCATACCTAGGGCTGAAGGAACACATTGTAGGGATCCCTACTTTAGTCTGGAAGGATGGAGAAAAAAATATGAAAGTTGAAGAATAAGAGGAGTTGTGTATGTTTATTTTATTTTATTTTATTTTTTTGAGACGGAGTCTCGCTCTGTCACCCAGGCTGGAGTGCAGTGGCTTGATCTCCGCTCACTGCAAGCTCCGCCTCCTGGGTTCGCACCATTCTCCTGCCTCAGCCTCCCGAGTAGCTGGGACCACAGGCGCCTGCCACCATGCCTGGTTAATTTTTTGTATTTTTGGTAGAGACGGGGTTTCACAGTGTTAGCCAGGATGGCTCGATCTCCTGACCTCGTGATCTGCCGGCCTCAGCCTCCCAAAGTGCTGGGATTACAGGCGTGAGCCACCGCACCCGGCCATGTTTATTTTATTTTACAAAAAATGTTAAATATGACTTTTCAATGAATTCCAAGGTTGCTTTGGATACTGAAGAGCAGAAGAAAAACAAGCCAGAAATAAAATCCTCCTTTGGCGTTATGGTAAAAATAAAATTAAGTTTATTTGCATCATTGGACTGACAAAGCTCAAATTTTAAATTTCAAGGGGATAGTAAACTAGCTGTAACTTTCCATTCATTATAACTGAGTAGGATAAATTTTGCTGGGGAGAGGAGGTGGTGGGACTGGGCAGAGATATAGAGAACCCGAGTATAACAACCAGTGTCCCAGTTTTTCAGAAACTTGGAAGCCCATTGTTAGGTGATGATCCAAACTAGACAAGTAGTACAATGTGAAACTGCTCCCTGACAGTGTGGTATGCTCTGGTGGAAATGCTACAGAACAACACAGTCATGTCAGAGCCTGGCAAAACTGATCAGGTTTTTGGACACAAAACTATGACGTATCAAAGCTTAGCAGTTAAAGGGCTAACTTTAACATCTTCTATTGTCACTAGATTCAAAACATAAAAGACCAAATAAATAATCAACATCCCAAAGATCAACTAATGATTGAACCACATATGTCTGGAACTTTGCACTTGGACCACAATTTTTCAAACTTTGATTTTTTAAAATTCATTTAAAAATTTTTTAATTCTGAAAAATCAAACTTTTTTGTATATGTAGAAAAATTAATATATAATTTAAGGCATTTTTATTTTTAATATGGTGTTTCTATGTCAATAATAGCAGCATTTTTTTCCTAATCACCAAAACTTGAGATGACTTTTAAGATTCTTAAAAGTCAGCATGCTCTATAATGTCCTAATCATTGTTTCACTAAAGATGCATATTTTCCAAGTGGTTTTATTAAAATCTTGAGATACATTGCATGTTTCCTCTCTTAGGCCAGTTTTTGATATATATGACATGCTCAATTAAAGTCTGTTTAATTGAATATAATTGTATGTACTGAATTGAATTGCATTATTTTGCATTTAATGGGATTGGACTAAGTTGAGTTGAATTGGGAATTAGTTGAGTTGGCTTGGGTTGCAGTCAATGAGTTGAACTGAGTTGGGTTGCATTGAAATGCATTGAATGAAATTGGCTATACTAAAAAAGATACACCCTTGTTCATATGATGAGGGATCTTGCATCTTTGATTCATTCCATTATTCCCAGGATCTAGCACAATTTTAGTACAACACACACACACTCAATACATTCTTGAGGAATAAACAAAAAATAGAGTTATTAGCAGTAGCGCTTGTACATTCAACAATATTTTTGGTCATATATATGCAGGTATGCCTTTTGCTAGGAATACAGTGATGGATAAGAAAGATCCTGTCCTCAAGAAGAGTGGAGTTTATTGATAAGCATCAAACAAGTAAATAGGCAATTAAACTACAGTATAAAATAGTATCAGTTTTGCAACAACTGGAGAGCCATTTATTGTGTACTATGAAATTAGTACCTCCTAAAACTGTGCATTGCAGTGGGCTTAGCAAGTGATAGGAATAAATACCAAGTCCTATGCCAGGACAACCACATATGGTTGTATCCTGTAAAAAGGTCACTGATCTGCAATGGAGTAAATAGTAATTCTCTTTGTGTTCTTCTAACCAAGCTGTCTGCCTTCTGTGATATGTCTGCTGAAATTCCCAGAAAGGATTTTCCAACTCAGTTATATCATTAATGTAGCTCAAGGAGTCAAATTATGAAGGGTGTTGACTGTAATATTACTTTATGCAAAGGCGTGACCAAATCACATTTTATTTTTAAAATATCTTTCTAGTTACAATGTGAGGAATAGTTTGGAGGATTTGAGACCATCTAAGAGGGTATACAATAATCTTTTCCAAAGGAACGACGGTAGATGTCTACATCAGGACATTTTTCCCTCCCATTTCACTGGTTGCTAATTTCTGTTTTTATTTGCCTGGTCTTCCTCTCACAGTCAATCCTATTTGTTTTAAATGTAATTTAAATATTTTTTTCAGAGATGTAATCCCTCTGTGTTGTCCAGGCCAGGCTCAAACTCCTTGGGCTAAATGATCCTCCCACCTCAGCCTCCTGAGTAACTGGACTACAGATGCACACTACTGCAGCTGGCTTACACATCCCACCTTTCAAAGGCTGGGATTCCTCAAGAAGCCATATGAAATAACCTTATATTCTTTCTCTACACTTACTCCCAGTTAGTCTTTCATTCTCCTAATTTTAAATACCATCTAGTGGTATTTATGTCGCTGACTCTAACCTCCTCCCTATGCTCCAATCTCATTTATCCAATTACCAACTCATCTTCACTTAAATGTGTTTCAAGAAGCTCAGTATGTCCCAAATTGAAGTCTTGATTTATTTTCTCTTTGAATCTCTTTCTTCCTGTGTCTTCCCTGTTGCATTAAATGGCATTACCATGTGTCTAATTCCTCAAGGTTTCTCCTGACCCTACCCTTCTCTCCAACCCTTGCTCCCCACTTCCAGCCCCCATCTAGACAAGTGGGTGGGGTCTGAGAACTCCTGTGCTGGGCAGCTCTTTAAAAATGAAGATGCCGGCCTGGCGCAGTGGCTCACGCCTGTAATCCCAAACCTCTGGGAGGCCGAGCAGGCGAATCACCTGAGGTCAGGAGTTTGAGACTAGCCTAGCCAACATACAAAACCCGGTCTCTACAAAAAAATACAAAAAGTTAGCCGGGCGTGGTGGCGGGGGGCTTAGGCAGGAGAATCTCTTGAACTCCAGAGGCGGAGGTTGCAGTGAGCCGAAATCGTGCCACTGCACTCCAGTCTGGGCGAAAGAAAGAGAATCCATCTCAGAAAACAAAAATGAAGATGCCAAGGTCTTCCTCTCCAACCTACCTCCCCTCAAACTACTTAATAAAATCTCTGTTTGTAGTGGTCAAGCATCTCCTTTTGGGGCACATTCCCTGTTGACTCACACCAAGTTTAAGAACCACTGATGACAATCATAGCTTAAAAACATATCTTGGCTGGGCATGGTGGCTCATGCCTGTAATCCCAACACTTTGGGAGGCCAAGGTGGGCAGATCATGAGGTCAGGAGTTCAAGACCACCCTGGCCAATATGGTGAAACCCCATCTTTACTAAAACTACAAAAATTAGCCGGGCATGGTGGTGGGTGCCTGTAATCCCAGCTACTGGGGAGGCTGAGGCAGGAGAATTGCTTGAACCTGGGAGGCGGAAGTTGCAGTGTGCCGATAATGCCATTGCACTTCAGCCTTGGTGACAAGGGTGACAAGAGCAAGACTCCATCTCAAAAAAAACAAAAAGAAAGAAAAGAAAAAAACCATATCTTAAATAAGTCCTCTCTTCACCTCCGCAGCCATCCCCCTATTATCTCTTCACTGTGTGCATTTAAATAGCTTCTTAAATGGTCTCTCTCGACTTTATCCTCTACCCTCTGAGGTCCACAAATTTTCCTACAAAGTTCCAGATAGCCAATAGTTTAGGCTTTCTGGGCCATCCTGTCTCTATTTCTACTACTCACCTCTGCCATGATAGCATGAAAGCAGCCATGGACAATATGTAAACAAACAGATGTGCCTGTGTTTCTATAAAATCTATTTACAAAAAGAAGCAGACAGCCCATTTTCCACATAACTGCATGAGTCATCTTTTAAAATTGAGAAATGGTGGTTTCCTATTTTTCTGAGAGCAACATCTAAATTCCTTATCATAATCTTTAAAGCCCCGAATTATTTGATCCCAGTTTCCATTCCAATCTTACCGGCATACGCACTTTACCCTTGTTCTAGGAATTAAATGGAGACCAGTGTGTCTTGCACTCTAGACATTTTTCTCCATTTAGGTTCTAGAACTCACCATTTTTTTCCCCAGATTAGGGTTTTTTTTTTTAACCTGCTATTCCATTTCTGAAATGCCATTCTCCTTTTTGCATGTAGTTTAGGAGCATGAACAAAGATATTAGCCTGGATTCTAATGGCAGATCTACCATTTATTTGCCTTTTAATACCACTGTTTCTTCATCTTAAAAATGAGAATAATAACAGACCCTATCTCACCAGGTTGTTAGGGGGATTGCACATAAAAGCCTTAAAACTTAGTAAAGATTTAGTAATATTAGATATTACTATGAGCACAATGGCAGGTATATGTGCACAAAGAAGGTATTTGAAAAATGGGTAGTTATTGCAAAATCAAAAGTTCTCTCATAGTCTATGCAGAAATCTGTGTTATCCTTCTATAGCCTAAGAAGATACTGAGTTTCTCAAGGAGACATATGAGCATCTGCCAATTTTAGAAAAATAACTAGGTCAGCACACTTACTACACAAAGTACTTGAAAAGCCTCCCTTCCCACTGCAGAAAATGTTGACATATGCATTTTCCATCATTCGATCCAAAGATGATAGTGGCAAATATCTGGCAGAGCTTTAAGTTACAGCAGAATAACTACCATGAAGAGGCCATGGTTAATTGCTCAGTTCTCAAGCTCTACCAGGCTACTGTTGTGTTTTTATGATGCTTCCTGCGCATTGCTACTAAGAAAAAAGAATGCTGCTTTAGTACAACCATCCCCAGAGAGCAGATTCTCATTCCTCTAACACAGCATGTGGTCAATAGAAAGTAAATGTTAAATTCTCTGGCTAACAATTCAATTAACTAGTGAGGCCTGAAATGCTGTAATTAACATTTCACATAAAAGTACTGGAGACTATTTACTGAGATCTGAACTGTCAGCCCTGTTAATTATTCAAAGACTAGTTAACAGTGACGTTGGTCTCCTTGCCCTTTATTGAGACACAACATATTCTAGGTCAGAAAATGGGTCACAGAGTGTGGTTTAGGAAAAATGAAAGGCATTAAATTTCTCTGTGGACTGCTCTAATGTCGTATTACTGTTTATACATTGGTTGTGTCCCCACGTGTCATGTAACAATCATCAGCTGCGCAGAAAAACACTATCATTCTGGGTAAGATCTGTTCTGTTCACTGATCAATATGTCTATTCTTAGTTCAACATGACGCTGTTTTCATTGTTACCTAGGATCTATCATAGCATTAAGACTTATAACATCTTAATATCTCGTAGGCTAGCTTCTCTTTTCTTTATCCTGTTCTTTTCTTCCACATTTTATTAAGAAATGGGTCAAATTTTCTTATTTCTTTTCATGCCCCATAATTTTGGATTGACTACTAGGCACTGTGTGTAAAAGAACAGTAGAGAATGAAGTAAATCACATTTATATGCAAAAAAAGAAATGCTCCTTCTGTTAGGCTACTAGTATGGGGTCTGAATCCACTTAGACTGTAGTTGACTAGCAAGATCTCTCATGCTTGTGCCAGCAGGAGTCCTGAGGTCTCTCTCAACTCACCTGCTCCCTCACCTCAATCTTTCTCCTGAGATTCCATAAAGGACTGTGAAAACAGAGGGGCACAGAGAGCCTCTCTGTGTCTGAGGATCCTAGAGATACTAAATCATCATATAATACCAGCTCACACTTGGGCTTTAACATCTGTTAACATTTCAACAGATTTCTTTTTCCCTGTGTCTCAGGCAGATTCTTCCTCTTCCTGCTACATGCCAAGGATGAGAGCAGTTTGTGGATCTCATCTTTCCTATGAAGGGCTCATCACTTTCTGGATTTCTGTTCATTAGTTTGTTTGTTTGTTTGTTGTTGTTTTCTTTTTCAGCTATCAATTGGGTTTAAAAACAACATGATTTCTCAGATTGTTCTTATTATTAGGATGAGAGTGGCATATTCTTGCAAGTTTCTCAATCTTAAGCTGAAGTAGACGTCCTTTACTTGGGATTCACAATTAACATGGGTCCATAGACTCCTTTTCCTATCTGGTTTTGGAATCATGATCATGCTAGGCTCATTTTACATTTTCTGCAACAACATGGAAAGCAATAGAAACTCATTGTTCCTTGAAAGTCTGTTAGAGCTCATCCTTAAAACTATAAAGACACTGATATTTGAGGGACAAGATACCTGACTACCATTCTAATTTCTTTAATGCTTATTGACCATTTAAACTTCTTGGTTGTGTGTGTGTGTGTCAATTTGGTTTTTTCTTTGTTTGTTTTACATATTTATCCATTTTGCCTAATGTTTTAACTTATTGGTGTAATTTTCTTAAGCCTTTGTTTTGGAATATTGGAAAACACAGATAGATAAAACCCAGTTCCTGACCTCAAAGAGCTAATAATTGAGAGGCAGATATAAAAGTTATATATAACTACAAAGAAAGGTGATTAGTTGGCTTCCCAGAGGTAGCACAAAAATTTGATGGTAGTACATTCATATTTGATGAATTTACTCAAATCTAGGGTCTCTTTTGTACACAAGAAATATAATCTTAATTGGACTCAGAGAGATTGACTGTCCAGTAAACAAAGTCGTAAGAGACTAATCTGTGAGCATGCATAACAATTTCCTAGAGTGAAGGATCTCCTTTTCAGTGACTAGATGTCTGCTATCTGCCATCCAGGTCGCATCCTTTCCTAGTGCTGAAGCAAAACAGAAAGATAAATTAGCAATTGGCTTATCGGGACAATGTGGTAAAACAAAACAAAACAAAAACACAAAATATATGTTTAAAAATATTTGTTTCATCTATAGTTATTTCTCCTTTTTAATGTTTTATATTGTTTCATTGCATTTTCTCTTTGTTTTTTCTTAGTCTTTCCAGAAGCCTATCTTTCTAATCCAAAGCACCAGTTAATTTTCTCTATTAATTTTTAGTTGTTTCTTTGATTTCTGCACTTATTAATTATTTCCTTTTCTTGTTTCTTTGGGTTTGTTTTGTGACTGTTTTCCAACTTCCTGTGTTGAATACTTAGCACATATTAAATTTAATTATGAAAAAATTAAACACATTTAAATTTAAAACACAGTGTATTAGTCAGGGTTCCCTAGAGGGACAGAACTAATAGGATAGATAAATATATCTGTATCTATATATATTTATATCTCCATATATCTCTCTATATCTGTATTTATAGATCTTGTGATTGTGTAAGTTAATACTTATTGAACTCTCATATATATGATATATATATACAGATAGATAGATATAGATAGCTATAGATATATGTATATATATAGGGGAGTTCAATAATTATTAACTTATACCGTCACAAGATCCCACAGTAGGCTGTCTGCAAGCTTGAGGAGCAAGGAGTGCCAGTCCAAGTCTCAAAACTGAAGAACTTGGAGTCCAGTGTTTGAGGGCAGGAATCATCCAGCACGAGAGAAAGATGTAGGCTGGGAGGTTAGGCCAGTCTCTCTCCTTTTCACATTTTTCTGCCTGCTTTATATTTGCTGGCAGCTGATTAGATTGTGCCCACCAAATTAAGGGTGGATCTGCCGTCCCCAGTCCACTGATTGAAATGTTAATCTTTTTTGGCAACACTCTCACAGACACACCCAGGATCAACACTTTGTATAATTCTATTCAATCAAGTTGACACTCAGTATAAACCATCACACATATAAATAGAGAGAATAGTACAATGTGCCTTAATGTGCTCATCAACCAAGTTCAACTATGCTCAAGTCATGGCCTATCTTATTTCTTCTGTATCTCCATTTCTCTTCCCTTTACTATTTGGAGGGAAATCCTAGACAGTATATCATTCATAAATATTTTAGTGTCAGATGTGAAAGATAAGATTTTAAACACTTAATCAAACTGCCATTATTATATCTTTGAAAATAAAGAAGTAACACCTTAGTATTATTAAATAAATATTCAGTCCATATTCAAATTTCAATGATTATCTCCCATTAGTCTGAATCCATACACTGTACTTGGTTGGCTAATATGTCTTTTAAATCTCCTTCAATTTATAAATTCTTTCCTCTCTTTTTTTTTGTTTCTTGCAATTTATTTGTTGAGGAAATCAGTTTATTTGTCCTGTAGCATGTCCTACAGCCTAGAATTTGCTATCTGCATTCCTGTGCTGTCAGCTAACATGTTCTTTCATCACCTGTGCTGCTTGCTTTTTGTAGTTGAAGTCAAATCAGACTTCGAGTTGCTTTTCTGGCAAGACTATTGCATTTTTAATATTGTATGTTTCCATTGAGAGGCTCATAATGTCTAGCTGTCTTTCTTTTTTGTGATATTGGCGGCCACCAATAATCACTGCCTAGATTCACTAATGCTTTGGAGTTTTTAAAGTGATGAGATTCTAACTTCTTAATTTTTTCTTCTTTTGGTAGCTCAAATGCTTTTACAAAAAGAAACTTCCACTACTAGCTATTTGGTTAGATTGAACATAATTCAGTTTGGAAAGAAACGATGGGTGCTTTGTTTTGTTTTCTCTTTTTATTTACATGATAGCTTTCAAAATAATAAGTTGATTCCTCCACTATTCCTCAAAGATGAGTAATCAAGATTTTGTGTCCTTATGAACTCATGGATTTAAACATATGATACATTTAAACTTATATTTCTATTATTATTCGTATTGATGCTCAAATTATCCCATCTGTGGCCAGTGGGAGCCTTTCAAGTTAGTTTTTGAGTCTAATTTGTATGATCTTAGTAGTCTCTGATAGAATTTTTGTTCACTTTTTAATTTATTTCTGTTTTCTGCAAAGAAGCTCTCAAGACAACTATGTCTTGAGAAAATATTCTAGATTTACCTTGTATATATCGTCCCCATATCTGTAATCAGGCATTTCCTCCAGGAACTGTGTTTCCATTTAAAGGAAAATGGCATTTGGAAACCCTGAAGCTGAACACTACAGAATTGGTCATTGTCTCTAGATATTGTTAATGGACAGTTTTTTTAAAAAAATCATTTTTATAACCTGATAAAGTTATTTAAACTACACATTTACTTCTAAGTTCTGTTTCAGCCACACACTACACATTTTGACTACCATTTTTATTATAATTCCATTGTAAATATTTCCTAATTTTCCTTACAATTTCCTTTTAATTTAAGTGTTATTTGGTAATATGTTATTTAATTTCTAAATATACGGGGGTTTTTTAAGCTTTATGTTTTTATTTTATAATTTTGTTTCCTATGGTCACAGAACATAGTCAGTGTGATATTGATCCTTTGCAACACACAGAGGTTTCTGTTATGGCCTAATAATTACCCACATTTGTAAAAGTTTTCTATTTTATATATAAAAATGTAGAATCCTTTGGTCCTAAGAATTTGGAGAAGTCTAGTGTGAATTTCCAAGAATTTCTTCTCAGGCTTCATCTGTTTTTGTTATTTTTCAGCCCAGTAGGGCTTTTGTGCTGCTCAGATGTTACCAGTGGATGCAGGCTTCAGTGACCAAGACCATCAAGGCTACCGATATTATCAGTAAAAGGGCAGGCAACTATTCTCCCAAGGTAAGGCCAGAAGAAAGCATTCTTTCAATCAAACATTTCCCTGCTGTCTCCAGCTCCCATCTGTCCTGGAATCCAGCTGCTCACATATGCAAACACCACACACACACACACACACAGACACACACACACACACACACACACACACAAGTTCAATATAGATTTCAATCTGGCCTGAAGTTTTTCACGGTTTATTGATTCTCTCTGACTTCTGTATATCCTCCAGATTTGATTTCGATCCAGTAACTTATGCTAGTTCACTATCATGGTAGGAACCAGAAGCTTCCTGTCTATTCTTAGGTTAAGTTATAGGATTAACAGCATTCGAAAATTAATTCATAGATAGCATCTAAGACATCACCTCCAAACTTGAATGTGATGTGAAATGGTCTTTAAAGCACACTAGCCTCAGTTCTCCTAATTTTGGGGAGTAAGGGTACTCAGACTTCTGTAAAGTCATCAACATCCTCAAGTAATAATATCTCCAGAAGATTTTAAGCAGAAAAGAAGAAGATTGGAAAATTGAGATAAATGTGCGTGCTCAAGGCAAGACGTTTTATTTAATGGGGGAAAAGATGAAGACAGGGAGAAACAAGTCTCAAACATGCTCTAACATAATGTTAAAGCAAGCAAAGGTGATATTCCCCCAAGGCAGCTAATTATATTGTAGCAAGCATTCCCATGAAATAATGGATAACTTTCATCTGATCTTTGAGTACCTCTGATCTCAGGAAAACACAGGGCTATATGTATACAGAAGTGAATATTTTTAAATCACCCTTTAAAAAGGAGCATATTCATTTTTATGGGTGTTTATTTTTTTCTGTTTGTGGAAGTATCAAATGTCTTTTATAGAAAATGCAGAAAATTATTTTAAAGTGAAAATATAATTTCAAGCACCATAGAAAATTATTGTTCTTCATTACCATAGCATTTTGCTATAGCAGTGTCCAATCTTTAAAAATGTGTATGAATAATTAAATATGAATTGTATATATGTACACACCTTTATGTAATATGCATAATGTATGTAGATTTAATAACCTTTATAAAATTGATAACATTCTTTCTTACAGTTTTGTGTTATATAGTATAGTGGTTAGAATATATAAATTTAATATCCAGCTATACTAGTCATTAACTGTGGGATCTTGGACAAGCTACTGAACCTCTCCAATATTTTATCATTGATGCATATTTTCAGCCTGGAATTTAAAGATCTAGCTGCGTTTTTATTAATATATAGCTATATTTCCTATAATCATCTATTTAACAATGTATTCCTTTCTAACTAGACTGTAGTCCTTCCTTTACCATAGAGTGAGTTCTTATGTCTATACTAAAATTTGTTTTAGTCTATTTAGCTGATACATATATATATATATATATATATATATATATATAATCATTAGTGAATACCCCTGTTTAGATCAGCTATAAAATGTATTTTAATATCTAGTATGGCAATCTTCACCACTGTATTATTTGCAATATAACATTAGTTTTTTTTCTCATCCATTTATTATTATAGAAGAAGAACATTAGGAATATTTTGTCTTAAAAACTCTCCTTAAAATAATGTATATCTTTATAGTATTCGTAGTACTTTCTGTAACTGTTCACATTGTGCCTACCAGTTTTAGGCTAGAAGATGTTGCAGGTGTTTCCTGTGCATTATATTTCATCCCTTCAAAAACCAGTTCAGATAGATAAAATTATAGCCATTTTTAAGTGAAGAAACTAAAGTTCAGGCAAATAAGTAACATGGTCAAGGTCACAAAATTAGTAAGTAGCAGAAATAAAATTTGAATCCAGATATACGTATTTTTTATTTCAACAATGTTACAGTCTTCTTTGCATAGTGTCACACTGCTCTTTTCAACCGGGAAAGTGAATAATTGCTTTACTTATATATTTGGTAAGGCACATTTGGAAAAAAGGAAGAACATTCCACCTACAAGAAAAGAGAAAGAAAGACAGTTGCAGGAAGGACTGACTGGAGAGGAAGTGTCTGGAAATGGGGTCTGAGTTCAATGCCACGAACAAGCAAATGCTAGGCATGTTGCGAACAAGAAGCAAGCATATTAGGTCATCCAGCTGTCACCATACTTTATTTCCTGCTCAGAGTTCAATGGTCCTTGTGTTTTGCTCCCAAATTCTATTTAAGTATGCTGGGTTTTATGTGAAAATGCCATGATAAATAAACATAAGAATAAAAAGAATAAGAGCTATCATTTTGTCAGTCATATCATGTACTAACTCGTCATCTGATTACTTAATCTAATTCTGATTTTTCTTAATTTATGCATGTGGAAACTGAGCCTCAGAGACATTATCTAATTTGGCAAAACACACGTACACACACACACACACACACACACACACACACAAATAAATTAATTAAGAAAATACAAACCTTCAAAACTTATAGCTATTAAGTTATAGAGATGGAATCCAAACCAACATCTGAGTATGTCACTGACTTACCACAATAAAGTTGGGGTAAGATTGCGAGGTTATCAACTGCAAGTAAGGCTGTAAAGACATATCTAACCTGTCAACTGATTTTACGACCTCCAGCCACAAGTAGTGACAAAGCCAGGCTAGATGCTGAGTTTTTCTTTATTGTTTCCAGCCAAAAACAGAGGCCAAATCCACAACTGTCCCTGATTAATAAATGAGAAGCAAAGGGAGCAATCTGGTACCACTGTGAGAAACTAGCTTATGACTCATGTATCTGGAAGTAGAACATGATGTTTCCTTATGCTCTCAGGAGGACCTTGCCTTTATTTGCCCTACAGCACTTTCCCCTCTGTTTCATTTAAACTCTAGAAATGCTGGATATGGTCAGCGTAAGTTGTATTTGTAATTTCTTAAAGAAGTACAAAAGTTAGACAATTACCAAGGTGGTAGGAAAAGTACCACTCCAGCTGGTTACAAGTATACATATCTCCTATAGATCCAGAAATAATTGCTCAACATCCCTTCTTCATTAGACTGCAAGGTCCTTAAGGGCAGCAGTAATAATAATTAACAGTTGTTCATTTAGTGTTTTCTCAAGATAAGCTATCATACTTGAGTCCTCACAACAACTGTAGAGGTAGAATGTATTATCATAGACTTTTCAAGCTGTTCCAAATGCAAAACAGGGAATTCAAAGCAAACTGTCTGTAGTAACACTGGTAGTGGATGATGGGTTGAGTTGGAATGCAGCAAATGAGCTGTGGGACATGCTAGGGTCTCAGTGACACAGACTAGTAATAAAGAGAGGGAAGCACTAACTGAAAAGCCATCAACACAGCTACTAGTTGTGAGAAGATTGGCTCTTGGCAAGGTATGACAATCACTGTGCGGGGAGGAGGTTATTAACATGATTAACATGGATATAGTTTGGGTCATCTTTTGTGCAATAAAATATTTATTAAACATTTTAAATCATGTTGTGTAGTGATTAGCATAGTATCTGGAACATGGTAGGGACAAAATAAATGTTTAATGAGTAAATCAACTTGGATATTTCCAATGACACAGACTTACCTCCTGGTAGAGCCTATATTGCTGAAACTGGTCTTCATGAGAGCCATGTCTGTCTTTGGCCTTGTTGAGCCAATAGTAGAATAGAGTTTTGCTTTTAGGAAGATACATGACGAGACTTCAAAAACTTCATGGAAATGGAATTAAAAGATAAAAATAAAAATAAAAACTTTATTTTCCAGCCTAAGCTTCACCAAGGTCAGGACACCTTGGAAGCAATGATAACAGCTATTTAGTCCATCCCTAAGGAACTGAGGGTTCTAGGAATTTAATCATGTCAATTCAGCCTTTTTTACATTGTTAACTGAATAAAAATGGATGTGTTTTAAATAATTTTTTTTTTTTTTTTTTGAGATGGAGTCTCACCCTGTTGCCTGGGCTGGAGTGCAGTGGCACCATCTTGGCTCACTGCAAGCTCCGCCTCCCGGGTTCACGCCATTCTCCTGCCTCAGCCTCCTGAGTAGCTGGGACTACAGGCACCCGCCACCACACCTGGCTAATTTTTTGTATTTTTAGTAGAGATGGGGTTTCACCGTGTTAGCTAGGATGGTCTCGATCTCCTGACCTCGTGAACCGCCCGCCTCGGCCTCCCAAAGTGCTGGGATTACAGGCGTGAGCCACCATGCCGAGCCTAAATAATTTTTTTTAAGACTAAGAAACAAAAAAAGTAGGAGCCAAATCAGAACTGTGAGGTGGATGCCTAATGATTTCCCACTGAAACTCTCATAAAATTGCATTTGTTTGATAAGAGGAATGAGCAGCAGCACTGCCATGGTGGAGAAGGACTCTGGTGAAGTGTTCCAGGCATGTTCCTGCTCAAACTTTGGCTAACTTTCTCAAAACCCTCTCACAATAAGTAGATGTTATCATTCTTTGGCCCTCCAAAAAGTCAACAAACAAAATGCCTCGAGCATCCCCAAAAACTGTTGCCATGACCTTTGCTCTTGACTAGTTGGCTTTTGCTTTTTGATTGGACCCCTTCTACTTCTTGGTAGCCATTGCTTTGATTGTGTTTTGTCTTCAGGATCATACTGGTAAAGCCATTTTTCATTTCCTATTATAATTCCTCGAAGAAATGCTTCAGGATCTTGATCCCACTTGTTTAAAATTTCCATTGAAAGCTCTGCTTTCATCTGCAGCTGACTTGGCTGCAACGGTTTTGGCACCCATTGAATAGAAAGTTTGCTCAACTTTAAATTTTTCAGTCAGAATTGTGTAAGTTGAGCCAGTTGAGATGTCTGTGGTGTTGGCTATTATTTGTGCTGTTAATAATTTGTCCTCTTCAATTAAGTCATGGACAAGATGAATTTTTTCCATGAAAACTGATATGGATGATTAGTGGCTGCAGGTTTCATTTCAACATTGTCTTGTCCCTTCTTAAAATGAGTTATCTACTTACAAACTAGTGACTTTGTTACCATAGACTCCTTGTAAAGCATCAATGATTTCACTATTTTTCCATCCAAGTTTCATCAGAAAAATTTGATGTTTCCTCAGCAGAATCCATGTTGCTATGATAGGGGCTCTTTTCAAACTGATGTCTTATTCTTCTTCTTAGTATTCCAAAGTAGATCCTGCTCACACTTGTTATACCTAGTTAATATAAGTTTATGTTGGTGCAAAAAACTTTTGAGATTTATGCATAGTTTTTTGTTGTTGTTGTTTGTTTGTTTTGAGATGGAGTCTTGCTCTGTCACCCAGGCTGGAGTGCAGTGACACAAACTCGGCTCACTGCAACCTCCACCTCCAGGGTTCAAGCAATTCTCCTGCCTCAGCCTCCCGAGTAGCTGGGATTACAGGTACCCACCACCACACCCAGCTAATTTTTGTATTTTAGTAGAGACGGGGTTTCACAATGCTGGCCAGGCTGATCTTGAACTCCTGACTTCAGGTGATCTGCCTGCCTCAGCCTCCCAAAGGGCTGGGATTACATGTGTGAGCCACTGAACCTGGCCAGTATATGTATGTATTATATGTATTTATTATATATTTATATATAATAAATATATAAATATATAATATATTTATAAATTTAATATATATAATAAATAAATATATAAATATAATATAAAATATATAATATATAGTTATATATATTATAATATATATAAATATAATATATATAATAAATATATAAATATAAAAAATATAAAAAATATATAAATATAATATAAAATATATACTCTATAATATACATTATATATTATTAAATATATATAATATATATTATTAAATATATATAATATATATTATTAAATGTATATAACATATATTATTAAATATATATAATATATTATTAATATATATAATATATATTATTAAATATATATTATATGTATTTATTAAATATATATAATATGTATTTATTAAATATATATTATATGTATTTAATAAATATATATAATATATATTATACATTATATATTATATAATATATATTTATTATATATTATATATTACATATTATATATTATATATTACATATTATATATTTATTGTATATTATATATTACATATTATATTACATATATTATAATATTACATATTATTATATAATTATATATTATATATAATATAATTATAGAATATTATATATTACATATTATATATTTATTATATATCATATAATACATATATAATATATATTATAATTTATTATATATTATATATTATATAACATAATTTATTATATATTTTATATAATATAATTTACTATATATTATATAATATAATTTACTATATATTATATAATTTACTATATATTATATAATATAATTTACTATATATTATATAATATAATTTACTATATATTATATAATATAATTTACTATATATTATATATTATATAATTTACTATATATTATATATTATATAATTTACTATATATTATATATTATATAATTTACTATATATTATATATTATATAATATAATTTACTATATATTATATATTATATAATTTACTATATATTATATATTATATAATATAATTTACTATATATTATATATTATATAATATAATTTACTATATATTATATATTATATAATACAATTTATTATATATTATATATTATATAATATAATTTATTATACTTTCCATGAACTTTTTGAAGTCACCCTGTAGTTTACATATGAATAGGAATTAGGAAAAGAGCTGGTGCAAATGCCAAGCTGGGAATACATTACTATACACTGTCAATTAGCAAATGGAAAAAGAAAGAGCAGAAAATATCATCATCAATTTTACGCTTTTCCTAAGGTTCAAGAGAAGAAAAGAGGAGTAGCTGAAAAACAGGAGATTTTGAATATAGGAGAGAATAAAAGAAAAAAAGCAAGACTTAACAGTATCTCTGTTTCCTGTGATGGTTGTAACAAAGTACCGAAGTTGTGCTTTAACATTAGACATTTATTCTTTCACAGTTTTCGAGGCTAGAAGTAAAAAATCAAGGTGTTATCAGGGTCATGCTGCCTCCAAAGGGCTTATGGAAGAATCTTTCCTCACTTTTAGCTTCTGATTGTTGCTGGCAATTCCTAATGCTCCTTGTCTTGTAGATGCGTCTCTCCAATCTCTGCCTCCATTGTTTCCTAGTTTTCAGTACTTAGTTATGGTAGCTCTAAGACCCTAATACAGGCTTTGTACAGAAAAATGGGATGTTGCTCTTATAAATACTTTAAAATATGGAAGGTTAATGGGTAGAGTCTAGAAGAATTTTAAGGCACTTAATACAGAAAAAGGCTAAATTATCTGGAAGAGGCATCTAACGTACTGAATAATGGAATAAAAATGTCTATCTTGGCCGGGTGCAGTGGCTCATGCCTGTAATCCCAGGACTTTGGGAGGCCAAGGCGGGTGGATCATAGGGTCAGGAGATCAAGACCATCCTGGCTAACATGGTGAAACCCTGTCTCTACTAAAAATATAAAAAATTAGCTAGCCAGGCGTGGTGGCGGGCGCCTGTAGTCCCAGCTACTCAGGAGGCTGAGGCAGGAGAATAGCGTGAACCCAGGAGTCGGAGTTTGCAGTGAGCCGAGATCACGCCACTGCACTCCAGCCTGGGCGACAGAGCAAGACTCCATCTCAATTAAAAAAAAAAAAATGTCTGTCCTGTCCTGTCCTGTCCTGTCCTGTCCTGTCCTGTCCTATCCTATCCTATCCTATCCTACCCTATCCTATCCTGTTCAACTATTGTATTTTGGAAGCAGATAACTTATCTTCTAGTTTTACAGGTCTACAGATAGAGAAGTCCTGTCCAAAGATTGCAGCATCAACTCTTGCCTGCTGATCTGTCCTACAGATTTCAGATGTGCTGCCCCACAATCACACGAGCTATTTAAAACCTAAAATATCTTTATATGTATATATATATATATGTATTTACATATATATTCACACATATATGTATTTACATATATATTCACACATATATGTATTTACATATATATTCACACATATATGTATTTACATATATATTCACACATATATATGTATTTACATATATATTCACACATATATATGTATTTACATATATATTCACACATATATATGTATTTACATATATATTCACACATATATATGTATTTACATATATATTCACACATATATATGTATTTACATATATATTCACACATATATATGTATTTACATATATATTCACACATATATATGTATTTACATATATATTCACACATATATATGTATTTACATATATATTCACACATATATATGTATTTACATATATATTCACACATATATGTATTTACATATATATTCACACATATATGTATTTACATATATATTCACATATATATTTAAAAAATCTGATTTTGATTTTGTTCTGTGGAGAACACTGACTGATGTAAACAGCAATAAAAATCTCTCTCAATATGCTGCATACATAAATTAGCTTTATACTGAAGTTAGATCATTGAGTAATGCTAGAATTGATCATTTAGCTGGTTTGATTTCTTCAAAGCTTCAAGATATGCAGGAAGCCATGTTAATTGATAGCATAAAATGTTTTTGTAAGAATCATGGAAAATAAATATAAAGGTTAATTACATTTTATCAAATCTTAACCATATATGCTATTATGTTTCCTTGATCTGATAAGAAGGCAGCTGGTTGGAGATATATATATATGGTTTGCCTTATACATGCACAGGTGATATTTGGAGATATACACATATATATACACACACACATATTATATGTAGATAAAGAATTTAGGATATGGGAGTCTAGGTCAGAGCTTCAATATATATTTAAATATAAACATGAAACAATGAGGTTGATGATGATATGATGATCAGCTGACTACACACAATACAGTATTTCCTCTCTTCCCTTTGACTATGTCAAATCTCTCCTTACAAGACTTTTAAATTATTTTTAAATTTCTAGTAAAGGAAGATCCAGTTACATGCTGTGATTGGAGACTCCATGTTATGCTAAGGAACTTATTCATAAACATAAATATATTAAGCTCCTAATATTATACACAGTGAACACCTATTATACTGATACATTGTTCTCTTAAAGCTAAATTCAGGCATCCATTGAAAAGTTTAAAAAGTTTAAAGCTAAATTAAGCATTGACAAAACACTAAAGGAAAAAACTTGGTATTTGAAACTACAGACAATATATGATATGCATTAAAAAGGCCTCCCCTGAAATATATATAGCTCTTTGTGATAGTTTTACAAGGGTATCTTTATATGTTCTATTTACCTGCATTCTTTTGTTCTTATTTTAAGCTTATGTCTGACAATGGCAATGGGATTTGGCGCATCAAAAGTGAATGTGGAAGAAATTAACAGTTGCTATTGCCTCTTGTGTTGCAAAAGGTTTACGTCTTTTTTTTTTTTTTCGACCGAGTCTCACTCTGTCACCCAGTCTGGAATGCAGTGGGGCAATCTCGGCTCACTGCAAGCTCCGCCTCCCGGGTTCACGCCAGTCTCCTGCCTCAGCCTCCTGAGTAGCTGGGACTACAGGCGCCCGCCACCATACCTGGCTAATTTTTTGTATTTTTAGTAGAGACGAAGTTTCACCATGTTAGCCAGGATGGTCTCGATCTCCTGACCTCGTGATCAGCCCGCCTCGGCCTCCCAAAGTGCTGGGATTACAGGCGTGAGCCACCGCGCCTGGCCACAAAAGGTTTATGTCTTAAGTGATCACCTCACTTGAAGTTGTGTGAAAAACGTGGTACTCTCATGCCCAGCGGTCATAGCTTAACTTTGTATTATCAGAAAATCCAATGAGATGTGACTAAAAGGAAGAACTTCTACCAATATTCGTGGTTGTCAGACTGCTGAGAATAATTATGACTAAATATATGTGACATGGAAAGACTGGTCATAAATGCATAAAATTCTCATTTATGGTATCTATTTTTAGAAAGCAAACTAGGTCCACACTTGGGTGTCTTCTCTTGTTCTCATTTAAATTCCGTGATTGAAGGGTACTGTGGATTGAGTGGGAATTACTCTGCTCTACTAAGTTCCTTGTGGGTTCATTGAGGTTTCTCCATATTGTCTGATATCTCGAAGGTCTCCAGCCCTGTGTGGTCTCTAATAGCTGTTTAGCTCGAAACTCCTCTTACTTGTTCTTTTTCTTATAGATAGATATTCACTGACTGACTTCATGGAGGAGGTTTGCCTTATGCATGCACAGCTGATATTTTAGAACAAAACTCAAGGGGTCACTTACACAAGTTTTGGCAGCTGTTTTTCTGCAAGCTCTGTTCTCTCTGTTATCGTGTTTCACAAATCCTAGCTACCCCAATAGTGTCTCACTTCATCTCTACCTTCTGACTTCAGCAGAACCATAGTGCTGTGTTTGTGATTCCCCACCTGTGCAGCCACTGACAGTGCTCCCAGAGAGAAGAATCACATCATCTGGGGCTCACCTCGCTTGAACTTATTCTCAGAAATCACAGACCTGCACTGCCAGTTTTCCAATATCTGAAAATAGTTATTTTGTATATTTTGTTCGGTTTTACAGTTGTTTTTGGTTGGTCCATTACAAGCTACTTTATCACGGCCAGAAGCAGGAGTCTCTAGGAACACATGTTTTATGTGTGTGTGTGTTTTTCCCCTTGGGAGTAACTGGACCATCCAGATAGTATAAACACAAATCTCAACCTGGAAATCATTGAAATTGTCTTCTACTCTAGACTAAAAGAGGATACTACCTTGTCCTCTCCCTGTGTTAACTGGTAAATTGTTTCTAGATTGCCAGCCTTTCACTGAATATATAAACCCTTCATTAAGAGGGGTCTTTTTCTTAATTATTTCATGAGGGTCGAAATTTAAATTCCTAGATTAATGAGTTTGAATTGCCCTTCCACGATAGTCACAATTTCATTACATAGCTCTTGCCCTGATTTTGTTTCCTTCTCATTTCTGGCTCCTGGTTATTTCCCTTATTGGCCTTTGAGCTGAACTATACATTTAAAAGAATATTTATTACATTGGGTTGGTCAGGGTGTGGCGTAAGAGGGACTCTCATGAATAGCTTGTGGAAGTGTCAATTGTATAACTCTTTGGAAGAAATTTGCAGATTCTATTAACCTTCCAAAGGTACATACATGCCTTACGACCCCAAAATTCCTCATAGAGGAATTTAGTTTACAATTATACATATTTAAAGTAACAAATGCACAAAGAATATTAATTGCAGTATAATTTGTAATGGCAAACTTTTGAAACAACTTAAAAGCCATCATTAGGGCTAAAATACAACGTATTTTATAGTCAAACAACACAGTTTAGAGGAAAAAATGAAGCTCTCATGTTTAGAAGTAAAACTATCTCTAAAATATATTAAATTAAATAGCAAAATAAATTATAGCATGTATATTATATATTCTTTATATAAGCATAATATATATTTTCCTTATATATAATGTAAAATGGTATATATAATCATATATAAATATATGATCATATATGTGATATACAATCATATAAAATATATCTTACATGATATATAGTATACAAATATATATGATATAAGATACATATCATATATAAACATATGTGATATAAGATATATATCATACATGATATATCATATATAAACATATGTGATATATGATATATATCATATATGATATATAATATATAAATATATGTGATATATGATATATATCATATATAAATATATATGAAATATATATTTCTTTTATATATTATACATAAAAATATTTATTATACTTAAATATCCTATAATTTATATATATCACATATATGATATATATCTCATAGCTTCAGCAACTTACATGATGAGCTGGTGATTTTTATGATTTCTGTGTAAGAAAGCAGAGCCACTGCACACCGAGATTGGGGAAAGAGTTCATCATAAATACTTTTTTGCATCTTATGGTTATACCATGCAAATATATTACCTCTTGAAAAATAAAATACTAAAAAGCAAAAAAAAGATTTTGTTTGCAGCATTTTGTCTAGCAAATCTATGTGTTGTGGAAGAGTTTTTGACTTATTAAATCTACAATATGTTCAGAACTGGAAGTCTGACTATGACTAATATAATTGCATATTTCCATATTAGTAAACTCAATAATTGTTAAGAGTTACGAAAGCAAAAACAAAATATAAGTACTATATTCTTTATAACTTCAGGCCTACTGAAGGGGTTCTACTTTTTTAATAGCCCATGCAGAAAATCCTGTTAGGGGTTTGATTGGCAGTAATAGCAATCCATGGTATGGTATGGTTGACTAAACGTAGAATTCAAACATAGGCTATGCCAGTAGGAATACAGTGCCTAGAATAAACTAGAAGTTGTTTCTATTTTACTGTATACTGATAAGACCATTCATGAAATAATGTTTGCTTTGACTGCAAAACACTAAGAGGAAGATACATTGTCTTAAGTACCAAGAAACAGACTCAGAAATGAGGACTTATATAAAAGTGGTTTTTTAAGGAAGTAGTTGGAGAAAGATTGCCCTGAAGCAGGGCAGGGGAGGAGAAAAAGCCAAGCAGGGCATAATTCTGTGTCAACCTGATTCTACAGGAAACCTCTCAAATGGAAGATACACCTCAAAGTTGTCCAGAACAGAGGCAAGGGAATCAGGTTTTCAAACTTCCCCATTAGTACTCTTGGCTCAAAGTTCCTGGCCTTGGGGAATAAATTTCCAGGCATGCTAGCTGTCTGCTTCCCTGCTAAAGAGTCTCCAGGAGGCCAATGACAGTCCTAAAAAAAACAGACCAGGCAAAGCACACCTAAAAAAGAAATACGCAAGCTATGGCATATGACTCATTGAGCTATACAATATTTATCTAAGATGCCACAATATTCTCAGGAAGGAATGAACATAGTCTTTAAGTAATCTCTTGTGGAAAAGGGTTAAATGTGTTCTGTATGGCCTCCAGAAATTAAATAAAACTTCTGGGTAGAAGGAACATCAGGAAGGATGGAGTTGCCCTGAACATTTTAACAGAGTTCCTTATAAATGTGATAGCCTATGTCAGGATGTGGGAGTCCATAATTCTTAGGTGTTTGGGATCATCCAACCAAAATAGTAGAGAATTAAGATGTGATTTCCATAGCTCCAAATGTAGCTCCTAATTTGTGATCAGACTAGACAATCAGTTGTCGTATTTGATTCTCTGAATATATTTTAAGAAGATGGTAATATCCTACTAACTACAAAATTTTAAACTTCTTTCCAAAAAATTGCACTTGTATGAAAATAAGGTTTTTCTTATTAATTTTTTATTTTCCCTGCAACTCCTCACATTACATAGCCATCTTCTGGAAAAGTTTATGTCCAAGGTAATTTGGAGCTAAAAGAATGAAAACAAAACAAAAAAAAAGCACGTCCATATCTTCCTGCTTTTTTGTTTGCAGGGCTATGAAATAAGAAAATAAAATTTAATTAAATCCCAGAAGGAGATCATGACCCTATGTGGAGACCTTCTGAGAAAAAAACTTTCATTCTTTTACTGCTCTTTCCTCTGTCTTTCGTGTTAATTTTTAAATAGCTTTGTATACTTAGGATCCTAGAAACATAAACATTTAGGTGTGGAGAATGGGCCTGTAAAGAAGAACTTGAGGGACTATCGTAAAATGTAAGTAAAGTTAAATTCCCTGACTGATCAAAGACACGGAGCACCACATCTCTTAGGAGATTTTACGTTTAAGAATTATGCAAATAGGACAGTCAGAAATTGAGAGAGATGGGACAACCATTTTCTGTTTCTAATAGTCCATGTCCAATCCTTCAAACTGAGGCTTTATCAACTTTTTTTTTTCTAGAGAGCAGAAAATCCTCACTAGCAGGAGCTATTTAAACTCTCTGGCCTTGCACTGAAACTGCAGATTTGGCAGTAGCAGGTTTCAGCTGGATTTTCTGGGCAGTAAGTAATGCAGCAGCAAATTTACTCTTTTTAATATAATGGCAACAGTCCTTGGAAGGAATGGGAATGACTTCAGGCAGTGCCAAATTTTAAATGAAAAAATCTAACTATAGCTTTTCTTTAGCTCTCTGGGAGCGCTCTGAATGATTGTGCGGGAAACCAAGGTTAAGGGTGACCTCAGCGGACTGCTTCGGTGAATCGCTCAAGGTATAGCTTAGGTCAGCTCACCCACACCTGGCCCCTGTGGAGGATTTGCAGTTCTGTGACAATGTGAGAAATACGAAATTTAAAAGCAACTTAGCTGGGTTGAACCAGTGTAGAGCTGGTATCAACTGAAGAAGGTTTACTCTGATCTCTGAGCCCTTGAGCTACTGCAGGAGAAATAATCAGAGTTATAAAGTATATACCTAACTTACTGTGTAAGCCAGGCAGCTAGCTCTTGTGGGCCTTTCTGAATCCCATACCAGGCAGGGGTGAGTCACTGAAGAAGCAAAGGAGACATCATGATACACATTCATCATTGTGTGGGTGTCAGAGGAAAACAGCTGCTTATTTCTGATTTCTTTTCTCACTCTGCAACCTTCTATCCCTTGACCTTCCCATCTCCACTACACCTTAAGAATGAATCTTTTTATAAAAGCAGACTCATTTGCATATAATAAAGTATATCTCAGGTAATCGCTACCAATTTGAAAGTATATTTTTGGAGCAGATGGCATAATCTGGACCTAACTATTCTTAACACATGCCAGAGGATGTCCAGAAAATTCATGGGATAGGGTAGCAAAAGATCTCTTTGTAAAGGGGATGGAACTCTAAGTGAACAGGAAGCAAGAACAGAATTAAAATGCTAGTAAACTTGAAGGCAATGTACAACACATGCACATACAACTCTGCCTTGGGACTCCCATCAAAAACTGTAAGAGAAAAGGGGAAAGTGGCTTTCCCCTCCCTTGTTTTCAGGCAGTCTTTCAGTTTTGCACCTCGAGGGCTCAGTGCATCAGTGACGTGCCCAATCGGAGACTTCAGTAATTGTTATTAGAAGGTGACAGAGCTGGCGTCCATCTGGTGAAACAGTATCCAGAAAAAGGATCTGTGCTTCCAAGAAGATGCAGCAATACCCAGCCGGAACAAGAGCAGAGCTCAAGATGCATGGCAGTTGCACAGAGGCAACAATGTCCGCTGGAGGCTGCAGCAGTGGTACCGTCTCTGCAAGGGAGCTGATCTAAAGTGATGTAGACAATTCTCTAATGGATATGCATGCTAAAACTTGGGCAAAAGGAGCTTTTCAGGGCTTTGAAGTATGGCATAAATGATGGCAGCCGCAGCCCGTCTGGAGCAGCTGCTGCCATGATGCTGGCTGCAGTGGGAGGTGCGGCCGGGGTTGCATGCTCCATGGAGTGCCAGCCATGGAAGCTGCTTGCGGTACAAGTGGTCCAGCCGCAGCCTCACAGGGAGCCAGAGCCCATATCAGCGGCTGGAGCTGCCCACCCTGCCACAGCTGGTGTGCCTGGCTGTGCGCAGTGGCCGGACCCCACATTTGTTCGCTCACACACCCCTCAATGCTCCGTGCCTGGCTCGTCCTTGGCAGGCGTGAGATTCGGGCTGGTACCACGAGCAGAGCACAGCCTGCCAGGCTGAGTGGGCAGAACGAGCCCGGCAGGCCCAAGTAAAAACTCAGGCAAAGGCGTCACTGGCCACAGAGATTTCTAGCTGATGAAGTGACATCCCCAAATATCCTGTGACATAAACAAATAGAGGAAAGAGTCAAAAAGTAATATGTTGTTCTTCTTATCAACATGAATTCATGGATATGCACTGGTGGATTAGGACTATGAAAACAAAACAATGTTCCCTAGTCACCAGGTAAACACAAATTAAAGCCACCATGAGATAGCACTACTCATTTGCAAAAACTGAGAAAACTGAACACCAAAACAAAGAGTGGCCCTTGCTTTACTTTGCACAGTTTGACTAGGTGACCTGGGATTCCTTTCTTTCACACAGGCTTCCATGAACAATGGGAAATGGTACAGAATCTAATCACAGAAAAAGAGCCATGGGAGGAAGCCAAGCGCACAGACCTCGCAGCAATTCCCTTTAACAGGCTACTGGAGCAAAATAGCAAGAGAGGATCACTAGCATACCATGCCAAGGTGGAAGCCCCTCTAGTTCCAAACTCTACAAGGAATAAAGTGATTGAAATGGTTACTAACCTGGTCAATATCAACACAAACAAACAGAACAGAGCTAGCAGTCACCACCAACAAAGTGTCCGTATTCTGTGTGTATCAGTGCTGCTTATTCCAGGCAAACCTTCTAGATACCCCAGGTTTTACTACCCCAATGCTTTCCCAGGAAATGCAACACTGTACCAGGTAACATCAAAGAAAAATTCCTAAAGATTGTTTCCTCAAGAAAAAGAAATAAAATATCTTTGGAAGCAGAAAATAAAATATGTAAGCATTTGGCCTACATTTTTTAAGTTCTTTCCATGAATAATATATTTATCAGTAAAATAAAAGATGTCAAATATTGTTTCATCATTCTAGGTAGACTATAAAAATGATCTCATCTTATTTCTCCTGTCAGATATAAAATGTCACTTCTATGTCTAAGTATGAACATAGTAGACTCACTAGATACGCAGTGGGAAATGGCTACTGTTGCCCTTTTCTGAGAACTCTTGAAGTACTTTTTGTTGACCTTAAAGTGACCTTATTTTCCTCATTTTATAGATATTATAGATGAAGACATTATAGATGAAGCTTAGAAGGGTTAATATTCCAATAGACAATTTAATAATTAACAGGGAAAAGGGAGACCATGAAAAATAAATTTCAAAATACTGAAATAAAACAATGGATCAGCCTCCAAATGGCTTTTAAAGAAAAATTGTTTTTTTCCCATGATAAAGATACATTTGCTTTATTTTCTGATTGTGAAAGTAATGTTTGCCCATTGTTACATTTTCCAGTAATCCATAAAATTATCCTACAAGGGTTTCATACAGAATTCCCAAAGTGATAACAATGCTGTAAAACTTTGTGGATTTACTTAGAGGAGGGTAAGTGATTGCATAGACTGGAAGCACCAGCCACCCTCTTCCCAAATGCAGCCCCACTGCTGGGCTTTGGGACCTTATGGTGACACAACTCCCAAGTATAGTTTTTTGAGATCTTTTGAGTTTTGCCAAATCTTTTTTCCTCCCTTGAAAGAGCTGGCTTCTTTTACCAAAAGCATAAAATAGTACCTTTAGGGGAGGCAACCACAATGGGGAGCACCATGAGGAATGTGCTTGATTCTGTGCTTGACTCCTCTAGGGTAGGTTGTCCTTCGTCTATCGCTCAGGCCAAGGTGGAAGAGCATTAATGGATGCAGGACAACTATCCCACTACTGATTCCTACAAAACTCCAGAGACACAGGATATTTTTGTTTAACAGTTTGAAAAGTAAAAGGATTTTACGAAATGAATTCAGCTCACCTATGAAATTCCTTTTTGTGGTGAAAATTGTCCCAGGTGAATTTATTAAACAAAAATTACCTCAAAGAGAGTATAAATTGATTACATTATTTTACATTGTAGAATTAGCTTTCTAAAAATGAGATCATCATCTAAGCAAACTTGCAAGCAACATACAACCTTAAAAGACTCGTATAAGATTAATATCCTATGATTCAACTATGTATATTGATGCCAAACAAATTTACTGTGCTCTAGGCAGTGTACTCAGCACTCCACATGGTTGTTCATCGAATCTGCACAGCAACTCTACTGGGCAGGTAGGACTAACTTCACTTTAGATGTGGAAACCTGAGACTTGGAGAAGTGAAACAAAATGTGTCTGAAATCACAAAACCAGTAGGTGGAAAGACCAGAATTCAAACCCAATATGACTCTGCAGCTCACATACTTGATCACTGGGCCATTCAATGCAATATTAGACAAAGATGATCAGTAATTTTTAATTTTGTCTTTTTAAATTTTTTGTATTTTTAACAAATTAACATGACTTAATTATATATTTCTAAATCAAATTTTATATATCTACTTTAATTAGACATTTAATGTAAGTATATATCCTTTTAAGAAATGAAATATTAGAGTTAATTCTCCCATTTGACTATCTATTGAGAAACCTCAAGCTGTGTTCAGTGTGGGCTTATTATGGGAAAAAGTGGCAATAAACAGTCTTTTGCAAGATTTTTGTAGATGTATACTTTCATTTCCATTGACTAAATACCTAGAACTGGAATTACTGGGATAGAAAATGTATGTGATTAGTCTGAGAAGAAACTGCCAGATTGTTTTCCAATGTGACAGCACCTTTTATGAAACCAACAATAACGTGTGAGAGTTCTGACTGCTCTACACACTTTCTTGCATGTGGCATTCAGTTTTTTCAGTCTTAGCCATTATGGTGAATGAATGGTACCTCATTATGGTCTTTATTTGCATTTCCCTGGTGATCAATAACTTTGAGCATTACTATAAAGCTACTGTAATCAAGACAGCTTGGTATTGGTGAAAATATAGACACCGATCAATGAAACAGAATAGGCCTAGAAAAATACCCCCATAAGGATATTCAACTGATTTTTTATAACAGTGCATGGGTAATCAATAGAGAAAGTGTAGTCTTTTCAATAAATACTACTGAACAATTGGACATCCATATGTAGAAAAACAAAAAACAGAAAACTTGGATCCATACCTTGCATGACATTAATATATAAAAATATACTTAAAATGAATTAAAGATCTAAATATAAAACCTAACACCAGAAACCTTCTGTTAAAAATTAGAGGATAAAATACTTATGACTTTGACTAGGCAAAGAGTTTTAAATATAACACCTGAAGCATGATGTATGAGAGGAAAAAAAAGATAAATCGGACTTTAGTATAAGTTAAAATATTTATTATACAAGAGACCCTTTTAAGAGAATGGAAAGACAAGCTATATATTGGAAGAAAGTATTTGCAAATCACATTTTTGCGGAGAACTTTTAACCAGAAAACATATCAAGAATTCTTAGGCCAACATGGTGGCTCATGCCTGTCATCTCAGCACTTTTGGGAGGCCCAGGCAGGAGGATTGTTTGAGCCCACAAATTTGAGACTAGCCAGGGCAACATAGCGAAACCTGGTCTCTACAAAAAATACACACAAAAAATTAGCTGGGTGTGGTGGCACATGTCTGTTGTCCCAGCCACTCAGGAAGCTGAGGCTGGAGGGTTGCTAGAGCCCAGGAAGTCAAGGCTGCAGTGAGCCATAATCACACCATGGCACTCCAGTCCAGGTGACAAATGGAGACCCTGTCCCCACTCCAAAAAAAATTATTGAAATGTAGCAATAAGTAAACAAATAATATACTAATGACATACTTCATTAAAACATTAAAAAGTCCTAAAATTTGTATGGAGCCACAAAATACCCTTAATAGCCAAAATGATCTTGAAGGAAAAGAAAAAATGTTGAAGTATCATACTACCTCACTTCAAAATATACTACAAAGCTATAGTAAGTAAAACAGCACAATATTGGCATAAAAATAAACACATAAAGAACTTAGAAATAAACCCTCATACTTACAGCTGACTGATTTTTGGCAAAAGCACTAAGAACGCACATTGGGGAAAAGACAGTCCTTTCAACTAAAGGTGTTCGGAAAACTGGATATCCACGTATAGAAGAATGAGACTACACCCCTATTTCTCACCATATACAAATATCAAGTCAAAATGGATTAAAGACTTAAATGTAAAACCAGAAACTATAAAACTGCTAGACGAAAGTATAGGGAAAATGCTCCATGATATTGTCTGGACAAGAGTTTTTAGACAAGAACTCAAAAGCAAAAAAAGATAGATGGGATTTCATTAAACTAAAAAGCTTCTGCATAGTGAAGAAAACAATCAATAAAGTAAAGACAAAAACCCACAGAATGGAAGAAAATATTTGCAAACTACACATCTGATTAATAGCACAAGGATTAATATGCAGAATATGTAAGGAACTCGAATAACTCAAGGAAAAGGCAAACAATCTGATTTTTAAAATGAGCAAAAGATCTAAATAGACATCTCTCAAAATAAGCCATACAAACGGCCGATAGATACATAAAAAGATGGTTAACATTGGGAAGCCAAAGTGGGTGGATCTCTTGAGCCCAGGAGTTCAACACCAGCCTGGGCAACATGACAAAATCCTGTCTTCAAAAAATACAAAAAGTAGCCAGGTGTGGTGGCATCCACCATTAGTCCCAGCTTCTTGGAGGCTAAAGTGGGACGATGGCTTGAGCCTGGGAAGTCGAGGATGCGGTGAGCCATGATCACACCACTGCACTCCAGCCTGGGCTACAGAGTGAGACCCTGTCTCAAAATAAATGAATAAATAAATAAAAAGAGGCAGTTAACATCATTAATCATTAGAAAGATGTAAATCAAAACCATAATTATATATTACCTCACCCCATTTAGAATGTTGATTATCAAAACAACAAAAGATAAATATTGGTGAAGATATGAAGAAAGAGGGAGGGAAACTCATATGCTGTTGGTGGGAATGAAAATCAGTACAGCTACTACGAAAAACAGTATGGGGGTTCCTCATAACATTACAAATAGAACTACCATGTGATCCAGCAATACCACTAGTGGGTATATATCCAATCCAAAAGAAATAAAATTGGATTGTTGAAGAGATATCTGCACCCTCATGTTTACTGCAGCACTGTCCACAATAGCCAAGCTATGGAATCAAACCAAGAGTCCATCAACTAATAAATGGATAAAGAAAAGTTGGTTATCTATACACATTGGAATACTATTCAACCATACAAAGAATGAAATTTTGGCATTTGTGGCAACATGACTGAACCTGGAGAACATTATGTTACCTGAAGTGAGCCAGGCACAGAAAGACAAATACCACATGATATCACTCATGTGCTGAATCTAAAAAGGGTGATCTCATAGAAATAGAGTAGGAGAGTGGTTACCAGAGGCTGGGGAAGGGAGGAAGAAGGGGTTGAGAAAAGATTGGTTAATGGGTACAAGGTCCCAGTTTGATACAAGGAAAAAGTTCTGGTGTGCTATTATGGAGAAGACTGATTATAGTTAATGATGTTGTATGGCATATTTAAAAATAGCGAGAATAGAGGATATTGAATGTTCTCACATTCAAAACGATGAATGTTTAAGAGGATGGAAATGCTAAGTACCCTGATTTGATTATTACACCATATATATATTCAAACATTTCACGCTCCTGCATATGTATAATTATTACGTGTTCATTAAAATGAAATTGTACAAACACGTCAATTATTATGTGTTATTGGTAATTGAAGTTTTAGCCATTAAATGTCATGGCAAAAAACGCAATTACTTTTGCACCAACCTAATAGTTAAGAATAATACAAAAATTTAAAAAAGGAAAAAACTCAACTGAAAAAGATGGATGATGAGAACAGATACATCATCAAAGAAGCTATAGAAATCCAAAGAGGTATGTGAAAAGATACTCAACATCACTGGGGAAATATTAGTCACTTTTACGGGAAAATAATTTAAAACCATAATGAGATACCCTTTGCAAATCTTTTGCAATGGCTTAAAAAATTAAATTTTAAGTGCTGGTGAGGATGCAGAGCAACTGGAACTTGCCTATATTGGTCAGAGTGCAAAATGGTACAATAGTGTAGAATACTATTTTTTTATTTTTTATTATTTTATTTTATTTTATTTACTATTTTTTATAGATTGTTTTTTCTATGAAGTTACAAATATACTTACCACGTCAGCAATTCCCCTTGTAGGTATTTAAGCAAGTGAAATAAAACCTTATACAAAAATCCGTATACAAATGATTATAGTAGATTTATTCATATTTGCCAAAATTTTGAAAGAACTTGAATATTATTCAGTTGGTTAATGCATAAACAAACTGTGTCACATCCACATAATGTAATGCAAAATACTATTTAGCAGTTAAAAAATGGATAAAATAATAAAATGCATTTTGCAAAATTTAAGAAGTTATAGTCAAAAGACTGCACATTGTATGGCATTGCTTGTATGTCATTCTAGAGAAGGCAAAGCTATTGGGAGGAAAAATAGATCAATGGTTGACAGGAGTTTGGTGTGAAAAGGTTTGTTAACTACATGACTTCTGTGATAAATATACAATTCATTGCATATATCAAATCCCATAGAACTATCCATCACAAAAAGTAAATTTTAATATGTGCAAATTTTTTAAAAATCAACAACAATATGTGGGGGAAACCACGATGAATATGACTTGTAATAACTGAATCTAATGTATTAAAAATGAATAACAACCATACTAAATGGAATAGGGAGAAAATAATTAGCCTAAATTATTTTGGAAAAGAGTATTTTAACTGGATACCATCAGGCTAAAGACAGAAAACAACATACTCAAATATAAAGACATACCTTGTTAGGACACTTGTATCTCACAGGGATATGATGTACTAATTTTGAAACTACTTTATTTTTATACTAGATCTCATAAATATGTAAATTGTGTATAACAAGAGCCAGGTTTTTCAACTTTAAGATTTACAAATAAGACCCAGGAAAGAGTAGGCTAGAATGAACCAAGAGATATTTGATTGTAATCAGAAGTATCAATATGAACTTACAATCATCATATATCCATTCATGCATGCATGAGTGTGTAGTGTTTGTGTGTATATGTACAGATAAGAAAACAGGTATTTGTATGTGTGTATGAATGGGTTGCTATTTACACACATATTACATGTATTTCCAAGCTCTGTCACTGAGAATACCTGGAGTCACCATTCACTCCAGTAGCAATAAACACATCTAGCACCCAGATTTCGGTTATTATATATCATTCTAGAAAAATAAGGGAACCAAACTAGTTTTAGACATGAAGATTCAATGAGATGTCGGATACTGGATTGGATTCTGAACAGAAAAACATGCTCCTTGAAGTGGCCAATTTCTATTTTGGGGCAGGAAAAAAACAAGATTAACTTGAAACATCTTGTGGTACAAAGAGTAAAATAAATGCAAAGAACCCCCAAAAATGGCGACATTTAAATGTTGCAAAAGAGAAGCGCACCTGAAAGCGTTTCCAATGGTCAAAAGCTAAAACAATTTTTGATAGTATTGGATTACAACTTGTAGAATTTAATAAATATTCATGAGTTCTTACTGATATAAATAATTGAATAAATAAATGTAGAAGGGACATCTCTTCATTACAAAAGAACACCAATTAATAAATGTAGAAGAAATGTGGGAAGTGGAAAATCATCAGTACTACATTATAGTAATAATTGGTGAAGGCAGGATGCCAACATTAGCGGATAAAAGTTTGAAGAAAAAAAAAGGATATTTGCATGGCCTCAAGGGGTCTCCCTCAAGCTATTTATTAATTACAAGGGAAAAGTAGTAACCTTATAATGAATTAGCCCTGAAGGCATCACTTTAACCAAGTTTTTATTGTTAACATCACCAGTAATAAGACATCAGGGTTATAAACCTCTTGATATTCTGCAATGAGAAAAGTACATCAGTTCTCTTGTATTCTTGCCAAAATACAAGCCCCCAATCCAATCTTGAGAAAACTTCAGCAAACTGAAACTGAGATATTCTACAAAGTAACTGCCCAGGACTCTTTCAAAGTGTCAAGGTCGTGAAAAACAAGGAGAAATTAAGGAAAGATGATCATAGATTGGAGGAGACTAGGGGCATGTGAATACCAAATGCAATGTGGGTTGGAACTTGGAACAGTAAAAGGACATTAGTGAAATTACTGGTGACATCCAGTTGCATTCTTTAGTCTGGGCAATAGTATTTTACAAATGTAATTTCTTAATTTTTGTAGTTGTACAGCAGTTACATAAGATGTTAACATGAGGGCAACCTGGGTGAAAGTTACATGGAAATTGTACTATTTTCATAACTTTTCTGTAAGTCTAAAATTATTTCAATATTTAAAAAACTCTGATCCAATATGAAAACTTCAATTTCATGTAATTTAAAACCTCTTGTCCCTTCTTTCCCAATCCAGTATGAAGCCTTTGGTTTCTCCAGAGTTAGAAGAGGAAAGGAGAAAACGTAAGACTCTGAAAAGTATTTACTTGAGAGGTATGGTTGTAGTATCGCCTTAATAACACCGGGCTGTGGCAGATGACATCCAAATGCCATTTCCTTTTTCTCAATTACTTTTCTGCCAAAAAAAAAAAAAAAAATTCCCCTTGCTGGGGATCTCGTTTCTTTTGGCATGCGTGGATATAACTATTTATGGCTACTACCCTCAGTGGCCACATCTGACAGTTCATCTCTAGCCTCTTTCAGCTGATATGAACTTGCTCCTGGCAGGAAACAAGCCCTGCTGGAGGGCTCCTTCCCAGGATAGCTCATTGCAAACTCTCTTTCCTTCTCTGGGAGATTTCCATTTTGCAGCCCCATTCCCAGGTGTAAGACCAGAATGGCATCAGGATTGTGTCTAGAGGACCAGCCCTAAATATTAAAAAGTGTCTTTTTTCTTATGCATCTTATCTCTAACAACAATAAAAAACCTTTAAAAGCTAGTAAGAGGTAGTAAATAGAATTAATTGTAACATACATATGAAAAATTATATTAATAGGCTTTTAGTGTATTGTGCTATTTTCAGGGTCTTATTTTAGGAAGCATAAAGAATCTTTATGCTCATTCTTGGCCCTCGTCCCTCTAAGCCAAGTTTCTGTATTAATGCATGGGAGTTCTCAGATGCATTACCTGAAAATATGTGACCAAAGAGCCTGCTGCTTCCTATCTCTCTGCCCCGTGGAGTCCTGACCACCCGTACCTTTGCTCAGAGGTGCTTCCCCCATCATGAATGCACGCCTGACTGCTGCTGTTTCTCAAACATCTATGCTTAGAGCTTACTGCTTGATGCCTTATTTCAGGAGCCCCGTCATGAATTTTTAACCATCTTTTACAAAATGAAAAACAGCCAGGCGTGATGGCTCACACCTGTAATTCCAGCACTTTGGGGGGTTGAGGCAAGTGAATCACCTGAGATCAGGAGTTCAAGACCAGACTGGCCAACATGATGAAACCCCATCTCTAATAAAAACACAAAAATTAGCCAGGCGTGGTGGCAGATGCCTGTAATCCCAGCTACTCAGGAGGCTGAGGCAGGAGAATTGCTTGAACCTGGGAGGCAGAGGTTGCAGTAAGCCAAAATCACGCCACTGAACTCCAGCCTTGGCAACAGAGCAAGACTACATCTAAAAAAATTTAAAAAAGAGAAAAAACAAAACTAGATGGGTGGCTGGCAAGATGGCCGAATAGGAACAGCTCCGGTATGCAGCTCCCAGTAAGATCAACGCAGAATGCAGGTGATTTCTGCATTTCCAACAGAGGTACCCGGTTCATCTCACTGGGACTGGCTAGACAGTGGGTGCAGCCCATGGAGAGCAAGCCAAAGCAGGGTGAGGCATCGCCTCACCCAGGAAGTGCAAGGGGTCAATGAACTCCCTCCCCTAGCCAAGAGAAGCCGTGAGGGACTGTGCCATGAGGAACAGAGCATCCCAGCCTAGACACTATGCTTTTCCCATGGTCTTCACAAACCAAAGAACAGGAGATTCATTTGGGTGCCTACACCACCAGGGCCCCGCGTTTCAAGCACAAAACTGGGTGGCTGTTTGGGCAGACACCAAGCTAGCTGCAGGAGTTTTTTTTCATACCCCAGTGGCACCTGGAATGCCAGCAAGACAGAACCATTCACTCCCCTGGAAAGGGGGCAGAAGCCAGGGAGCCAAATTGTCTACCTCAATGGATAGCAACCCCAGGGAGCCCAGCAAGCTAAGATCCACTGGCTTGAAATTCTCACTGCCATCACAGCGGTCTGAAGTCGACCTGGGACATTCATTTGGTGGGGGGAGGGGAATCCACCATTGCTGAGGCTTGAGTAGGCGATTTTCCCCTCACAGTGTAAACAAAGCCACTGAGAAGTTCAAACTGGGCAGAGTCCACGGCAGCTTATCAAAGCCACTGTAGCCAGACAGCCTTTCTACATTCCTCCTCTCTGAGAAGGGCATCTCTGAAAGAAAGGCAGGAACCCCAGTCAGGGGCTTATAGATAAAACTCCCATCTCCCTGGGACAGAGCACCTGGGGGAAGGGGCGGCTGTGGGCACAGCTTCAGCTGACTTAAACATTCCTGCCTGTCAGTTCTTAAGAGAGCAGCAGATCTCCCAGCACAGTGCTCAAGCTCTGCTAAGGGACAGACTGCCTCCTCAAGTGGTTCCCTGACCCCCGTGTCTCCTGACTGGGAGATACTTCCCAGCAGGGGTCGACAGACACCTCATGCAGGAGAGCTCCGGCTGGCATCTGGCGGATGCCCCTCTGGGATGAAGTTTCCAGAGGAAGGAACAGGCAGCAATCTTTGCTATTTTGCAGCCTCTGCTGGTGATACCCAGGCAAACAGTGTCTGGAGTGGACATCCAGCAAACTCCAGCAGACCTGCAGCAGAGGGGCCTGACTGTTAGAAGGAAAACTAACAAACAGAAAGGAATAGCATCAATACCAACAAAAAGGACGTCCACACAAAAACCCCATCCGAAGGTGACTAACATCAAAGACAAAAGGTAGATAAATCCACGAAGATGAGGAAAAACCAGTGCAAAAAGGCTGAAAATTCCAAAATGCAGAATGCCTCTTCTCCTCCAAAGGATCACAACTCCTCACCAGCAAGGGAACAAAACTGAACTGAGAATGAGCTTGACGAATTGACAGAAGTAGGCCTCAGAAGGTGGGTAATAACAAACACCTCCAAGCTAAAAGAGCATGTTCTAACCCAATGCAAGGAAGCTAAGAACCTTGAAAAAAAGGTTAGAGAAATTGCTAACTAGAATAACCAGTTTAGAGAAGAATATAAATGACCTGATGGAGCTGAAAAACACGTGAGAACTTCGTGAAGCATACACAAGTATCAAGTGTGGCATACACAAGTATTCATGAATATTTCGTGAAGCATACACAAGTATTCGTGAAGCCGAATTGATCAAGTGAAAGAAAGGATATCAGAGTTTAAAGATCAACTTAATGAAATAAAGCATGAAGACAAGATTAGAGAAAAAAGAATAAAAAGGAATGAACAAAGCCTCCAAGAAACATGGGACTATGTGAAAAGACCAAACCTATGTTTGATTGGCATACCTGAAAGTGATGGGGAGAATGGAACCAAGTTGGAAATCACTCTTCAGGATATTATCCAGGAGAACTTCCCCAACCTAGCAAGACTGGCCAACATTCAAATTCAGGAAATACTGAGAACACAACAAATTTACTCCTCGAGAAGAGCTACCCCAAGACACATAATTGTCAGATTCACCAAGGTTGAAATGAAGGAAAAAATGTTAAGAACAGTCAGAGAGAAAGGCCAGGTTACCCATAAAGCGAAGCCCATCAGACTAACAGCAGATCTCTCGGGAGAAACCCTACAAACCAGAAGAGAGTGGGGGCCAATATTCAACATTCTTAAAGAAAAAAATTTTCAACCCAGATTTTCATGTCCAGCCAAACTAAGCTTCATAAGTGAAGGAGAAATAAAATCATTTACAGACAAGCTAATGCTAAGATAGTCTGTCACCACCAGGCCTGCCTTACAAGAACTCCTGAAGGAAGCACTAAATATGGAAAGGAAAATCTGGTACCAGCCACTGCAAAAACATACCAAATTGTAAAGACCATTGACACTATGAAGAAACTGCATCAACTAACGGGCAAAATAACCAGCTAGCATCATAATGACAGGATCAAAAAATTCACACATAACAATATTAACCTTAAATGTAAATGGGCTAAACACCCCAACCAGACTGGCAAATTAGACCCATTGGTGTGCTGTATTCAGGAGACCAATCTCATGTGCAAAGACAAACATAGGCTCAAAATAGAGGGATGGAGGAAGATTTACCATGCAAATGGAAAGAAAAAAATAAAAAGCAGGGATTGCAATCCTAGTCTCTGATAAAACAGAAAAGTCTCTGATAAAACAGAAAACTAACACAGATAAAAAAAGACAAAGAAGGGCATTACATAATGGTAAAGGGATCAATGCAAAAAGAAGAGCTAACTATCCTAAATATACATGCGCCCAACACGGGAGCACCTAGATTCATAAAGCACGCTCTTAGAGACCTACAAAGAGACTTAGACTACCACACATAATAGTGGGAGACTTTAAAACCCCACTGTCAATATTAGACAGATCAACAAGACAGAAAACAAGGATATTCAGGACTTGAACTCAGCTCTGGACCAAGTGGACCTAATAGGCATCTACAGAACTCTCCACCCCAAATCAACAGAATATACATTCTTTTCAGCACGACATGGCACTTATTCTAAAATTGACCACATAATTGGAAGTAAACACTCCTCAGCAAATGCAAAAGAATGAAAATCATAACAAACAGTCTCTCAGACCACAGTGCAATCAAATTAGAACTCAAGATTAAGAAACTCACTCAAAACCGCACACCTACATGGAAACTGAACAACTTGCTTCTGAATGACTACTGGGTAAATAATGATATTAAGGCAGAAATAATTAAGTTTTTTGAAACCAAAGAGAACAAAGACACAATGTACCAGAATCTCTGGGACACATATAAAGCATAGTTTAGAGGGAAATTTATAGTACTAAACGCCCACAGGAGAAAGCAGGAAAGATCTAAAACCGACACCCTAACATCACTATTAAAGGAACTAGAGAAGCAAGAGCAAACAAATTCAAAAGCTAGCAGAAGACAAGAAATAACTAAGGTCAGAGCAAAACTGAAGGAGATAGAGACATGAAAAACCCTTCAAAATAACAATGAATTCAGGAGCTGGTTTTTTGAAAAAGATTAACAAAATAGATAGACTGCTAGCCAGACTAATAAAGATGAAAAGAGAGAAGAATCAAACAGACACAATAAAAACTAATGAAGGGGAAATCACCACTGAACCCAAAGAAATACAAACTACCATCAGAGAATACTATAAACAGCTCTATACAAATAAACTAGGAAATCTAGAAGAAATGGATAAATTCCTGGACACATACACCCTCCCAAGACTAAACCAGGAAGAATTCTAATCCCTGAATAGGCCAATAACAAGTTCTAAAATTGAGGCAGTAATTAATAGCCTATCAACCAAAAAAAGCCCAGGACAAGATGGATTGACAGCCAAATTCTACCAGAGGTACAAAGAAGAGCTGGTACCATTCCTTCTGAAACTGTTCCAAGCAATAGTAAAAGAGGGACTTCTCCCTAACTCATTTATGAGGCCAGCATCATCCTGATACCAAAACCTGGTAGAGACACAACCAAAAAAAGAGAATTTCAGGCCAATATGCCTGATGAACATCAATGCAAAAATCCTCAATAAAACACTGGCAAACCGAATCCAGCAACACATCAAAAAGCTTATCCACTGTGATCAAGTCGGCTTCATCCCTGGGATGCAAGGCTGGTTCAACATATGCAAATCAATAAACGTAATCCATCACATAAGCAGAACCAATGACAAAAACCACATGATTATGTCAATAGATGCAAAAAAGGCCTTCAATAAAATTCAACACTCCTTCATGCTAAAAACTCTCAATAAACTAGGTATTGATGGAATGTATCTCAAAATAGTAAGAGCTATTTATGATATAGCTCTTACCATTTACTCAGTTTCACAGGGTAATATCACTGTGGGGATGGGGGCATTCAGCTATTGTGTTTCATTGCCTCCCAGGTGTACCCACAGAGACTATGATTTGCTTTAGCCAATGCCTCCCCCTTGCAACTGGAGCAAAAGGAAGATGTCACCAGTAATTTCACTAATGTCCTTTTACTGTTCCAAGTTCCAACCCACATTGCATTTGGTATTCACATGCCCCTAGTCTCCTCCAATCTATGATCATCTTTCCTTAATTTCTCCTTGTTTTCCACGACCTTGACACTTTGAAAGAATCCTGGGCAGTTGCTTTGTAGAATATCTGGGTTTGAACCATGTTGCCCAGGCTGCTATGGAACTCCTGGGTTAAAGGGATCCACTTGCCTTGGCCTCCCAAAGTGCGGGGATTATAGACATGGCCAGCACACCCAGTCTTATATGTAACTTTAAAGTGAAATTATAGACCAGGCCTGGTGGTTTATACCTGTATTCCCAGCCCTTTGGGAAGCTGAGGCTAGAGGATCACTTGAGCCTGAGAGAGAGAGTTCCAGACCAACCTGGGAAATGTGGCAAGACCTTGTCTCTATAAAAATCTTTTTTAAAAATTAGCAGGGTGTGGTGGTGTGTGCTTATAGTCTTTATTAGTCCTTTGTCATACTGCTATAAAGAATTACCTGAGACTGGGTAATTTATAAAAGAAAGAGGCTTAATTAACTCACAGTTCCACAGGCTGTACAGGAAGCATGGCTGAGAGGCCTTAGGAAACTTACAATAATGGTGGAAGGCAAAGGGAAAGCAAGCATGTCTTACCATGGTAAAGCAAGACAGAGAGAGAGAGAGAAGGGGGAGTTTCCACACACTTTTAAATGATCAGGTCTCCTGAGAATTAGCTCACTATCACCAGAATAGCAAGAAGGAAATCTGCTCCCATGATCCAATCACCTCTCACCAGGCCCCTCCTCAGACATATGGTGATTACAATTTGAGATGAGATTTGGGTGGGGACACAGAACCAAACCATATCATTCTGCCCCAGCCCCTCCCAAATCTCATGTCCTTCTCACATTTCAAAACTAATCATGCCTTCTAAACAGATCCAAAAGTCTTAACTCATTCCAGTATTAACTCAAAAGTTCTAGTCCAAAGCCCCATGTGAAACAAGGCAAGACCTTTCCACCTATAAGCCTGTAAAATAAAAAACAATTTAGTTAGTTCCAAGGTACAATGGGGGTACAGCATTGGGTAAATGCTCCCATTCCAAAAGGGAGAAATTGGCCAAAACAAAGGGTGTACAGGCCCCATGCAAGTCCAAAACCCAGCAAGGCAGTCATTAAATGTTAAAGCTCCAAAATAATCTCTTTTGACTCTATGTCTCACATCCAGGGCATGCTGATGCAAGGGGTGAGCTCACAAGGATTTGGGCACCTTTGCTCCTGTGGCTCTGCAGGATACAGCCACCACGGCTGTTTTCATAGGCTGGCATTGAGTGTCTGCAGCCTTTTCAGAACATAGTGCCCCAGTAGGGATGCTGTGTGGGGGCTCCAACCCCACATATCCCCTCCACACTGCCCTAGTAGAGGTTCTCCATGAGGGCTCCGCCCCAGCAGCAGACTTTTGCATGGATATCCAGGCCTTTCCATACATCCTCTGATATCTAGGTGGAGGCTTCCAAGCCTCAACTCTTAATTTCTGCACATCTGCAGGCCCAACACCAAGTGGAAGCTACCAAGGCTTGGGACTTGCATCCTCTGAAGCAATGGCCCAATTTATATCTTGGCCGCTTTTAGCCAAGGCTGAAGCTGGAGTGGCTGGGAATGTCTCGAGGCTGCAGAAAGTGGCACGGTCCTGGTCTTGGCCCATGAAACCATTTGTTTCTCCTACGCTTCCAGGTCTGTGATGGGACAGGCTGTGGTGAAGATCTCTGATATGCCCTGGAGACTTTTTCCCCATTTTCTCAGCTATTAACATTTGGCTCCTCATCACTGATGCCAATTTCTGCAACCAGCTTTAATTTCTCCCCAGAAAATGAGTTTTCCTTTTCTAGATATAAGTTCCAACTTCAGACCATCTCTTTCTTCATGCATATTACTGTACACTTTAGAAACAACCAGATCAATTTTTGAATGCTTTGCTGATTAGAAACCTCTTCTACCAGATACCCCAAATCATCTCTCTCAAGTTCAAAGTTCCACAGATCTCTAGGTCAGGGGCACAATGCTGCCAGTCTGTTTGCTAAAGCATAGCAAGAGCGACATTTACTCCGGCTCCCGATAAGTTCCTCATCTCCATCTGAGACCTCTTCAGCCTGGACTTCACTGTTCATATCACTATCAGCATTTTGGTCAAAACCATTCAATAAGTTGCTAGGAAGTTCCAAACTTTCCCACATCTTCCTATTTTCTTCTGAGCCCCCTACTGTTCCAAACTCCACCTGTTACCCAGTTCTAAACCTGCTTCCATATTTTCAGGTGTCTTTATGGCAATGCCCCACTCTCCCAGTACCAATTTTCTATATAAGTTCATTCTCACACTGCTATAAAGTGGGTAATTTATCAATGAATGAGGTTTAATTGACTCACAGTTCCACAGGCTGTACAGGAAGCATGGCTGAGAGGCCTTAGGAAACATACAATCATGGCAGAAGGTGAGAAGGAAGCAAGCACATCTTACCATGGCAAAGAAGGACAGACAGAGAGAAGCAGGAGGTGCCACACACATTTAAATGATCAGATCTTGTGAGATATCACTCTATCATGAGAACAGCAAGGACGAAATTTTCCCCCATAATGGAATCATATCTCACCAGGCCTCTTCTTCAACACACGACAATTACAATTTGAGATGAGATTTGGGTGGGGACCTAGAGCCAAACCATATCATAGTCCTAGGTACTTGGGAGGCTGAGAAAGGAGGAGCCTAGCTACTCGGGTGGCTGAAGAAGGAGGATCACTTGAGCCCAGGAGTTCAAGGTTGCAGTGAGCCCTGTACTCCAGCCTGGGTGACAGGGCAAGACACTGTCTTAAAGAAAAAAAGAAAAACAAAAGTAATTATAAAGTAAAACTCTGTGTTCCCCCAGAGAAGTTACAAAACAAATTTTTAACAGGATCTTAGAAATACCCTGTGAGCCCTTTCACTGAAATCTTGTCTCTCCCTTCTTAGGTAACTCCTGCTACCCTATGCACCGACTATTTCTTATCCCTAAACAATGTATTATTGACTTTCAAAATCAGTATCAGCAACAACCTAGCTTTGTAAGGAAAGAGCAATCTTGGCACTGTAAATGAAGACTCCCAGGGGAAGAGAGGCAGAAAAGTACCTGGTCTTGCTTCATCTCACCTGAGGTCTGTAAGAGCCCCTTCTGAGAAGGGACCCGAGTGAATTCTGGGAAGTGTAGGACTCACTAGAGCTCAGGCATGTGGCAGAATTACATACAGGTCAGGAAGTAGCTGTGCAATCGAAATGTATTCAAGGTGTGAGCTGCTCAGTTTTTGCTGCTACATTTTTACCATGTTGTATCACTCATTGTCAAGAGGAGGCCAGAACAGAAGACAACTGTGCAGCAAAATGAGTGTCTTCATGTAGCAAAGTATAGAGGACCAAGAACAGCTTCTTCAGCGGATGGCCAAGACATGCCAAGTACGGATAAGACTCTGAGCCAGGTAATGTGAGCCCTTCTCTCTCCTCTTGCAGATACTGCTTTCAAGTTAAACCTAAAGGAATTGGCATGGAGATCTTTGAAAAACAACCTTGGACATGTTGAGTTGCATGACCCCTTAGTCCCTTGCTGTCATTTCTTGCTTCTTCCTGAAGACAAGACTGTTAATGGCATGCTAGATAAATCCTAGACATGTACCCAGGAAAAAATAAAAAACAAAGGAAATGCTACCTCATCAAAGAAAACCACTTGGGTGAAGGCCTGTGTTAAAAGGCCCCGGTGGGGACAGCAGCATACCAAGATCATGGGAGGCATAGGAATGCCAGGCCAGGTGCCAGAGTGGTACCTTGCACCAACCACCCCCTTTTGCTGTTGACTCTGCTTGTTTTCTCTGTAGCTAAATAAATGAAAGCAGAATATAAGTGATCGCTTTAGTTTTTCCCTCTTCTCAATAATAACAAAATCCTATTTTCTAAATGGAAGTGCATCACAAGCTTTCGCAGAGAAGGGAGTAGCCAAAGGAAATTTCAGACAGTTGGAAAATAAACTCTTGCCCTACAGTGCCTGGAGTTTTAGCAAAGGCAGAATCATCCCTCTTTGTTTCCTCCTTGTTGTCCTTTAATCCATGATAACACTCCCAATCCAAGGTGAGAGATGTAAACGCAGAGCCAGAGCACGCTCTTGGAGAATTAGTTCTGTTCATATGGAGAAATCTGAAAGGCATCATTCTTTTCTAGCAGCAGAGCCAGCGTGACAAGGAAAAGCTTGGCTGCTGCATTTGGAATGTGTGTCTAAAGCTTGTTTTCCATTCAGTGCCACAATTGCAAGGGGCCAAAAAGTGTTTCAGCAAGGTAAATGCATGCTCTGGACCTTGGAAAAGGCTTCTGAACTCATCCCAGGTGAAAACAGAAGCAAAATGAGGAAGGATTTTTTTTTGTTTGTTTTTAAGTGGTTTGAAGCCGTTTATTCTTCACCTAACATAAGGAAAGTAAATTAATTATACCAGTATTAATTGGAGGGTGTTAGTTTCCTATAGAATTTGCAAAATCTATATTATGGAACTGGTGAAAGATGCTAAAAGTTAGGTGAGAAGGGATTTTTGTGGTTAATTGCACTCACCAAACGAGGGTAAAATAAGTTAATCACTAACTTTCTATTAATCATGATACTAAAATTACTAGACATTCTAATCTTCATCTATGGTAGTTAATGGATTATTTACTGTATGTCTGTGGACAAATGTGAAAGTAGTTCATACTCCGTTTTCTCATTAAATATCAAAATTATTATTTATTTGGATACTGTATCTTTATTTCCAGAGGGAAATATGCATTTTAAACCACAAGAGGGCAGTAGCATTACATTTTGAATTAAATGCCTCTTCTGAAGCTCAATATTGGGTCTAAAACTATAATTACAGTGTAACAATTACATGTCTTTTTCTGAATAGTTCTTATTAATTCTGTTGGTGTTTTATGAGTAAAGTTTTATAGTAAGTTCCTGTGACTGTGGTTTGTTAGAAATGAGACTACTTTCAAAGAAAACTGCAAGAAGATAATTTTAATGAGTGAATTAAAGTGCCTCCTGAGGATGATTTTCTCAAAAGTTGTTTAAACTTTACTTTAAATATCACATTATTAAAATTATACAAGTGATTTTTTCAATTATATTAACAGCTAGTATAGAAAATAAGTATAATTAGCAATGGATAAAACTTCATGGTTTAGATGTATGCATTTTAAAAACTAGACGTTATTTAAAGAAGAAACTTATGATGAGCAACCCAAATTTAATGTAAAAAATAATTAAATATTTTTCCTCTGCTGAATCTACATTTTTCCATATTCAGGATGTAAAAAATTTCAGTTGTTTTATTTAGCCACCAGGTGGTGCTGCCTATTTAAACAATGAAGTAGAGAAAAATGATCTAAGAATACATGTTCAAAGCATATTTATATATTCACCAGATTTTTTGAATGTATAAATTGAGTTTAATTTCTGTGAGGCAGGCCTTTCAAAAAATACATTAGAAAGTCCAGGGGAGGAAAATGCACTCTCTGGAACAGCTACTTTACAGAACTACATGAAATTCATGAAATTTATCTAATGGTGAAATTTAAACATAGGTAGTAACCTTTTCACAAAAGAATAAAATGGCCTAGTCTAATAAAATCTCAGTGCATGAGAGCTACTTATTTTTATCCATGAAATTGTTTCTTTTGTTTTGCAGGCAATGAAAAACAATTGCATTTCATTACTTTTCACATTGATTAAAGGTAAAAGAAAATTTTTCCCTATTCAACAAAACATGGATAAATCAAATAAATTGCATTTAATCTGTGTTATCTGTAGATGCTGAAGTAATTATATGTGTGGAAAAGTCAAACGTCATCCATATTCATTCATTCACCAAAAATAGGTTCATTTACATTTAGGTGGGGATAAATAACATGACTATAGATTTTCTGCTATAGCATGAATGCATTTGGAATGTGTTTACCTTTCCTAAAGAAATCTGTTTCACAATGGTTAACTTTTATATAATTGATCAAACCATGACAACATTATGAAATATGACAAAGATGAACACAATTATAGGCTTATACACTGTAGTGAAACTAATTTAGAGGAAAAGGAACAATTAACATTTACTGGCTTCCGCAGAGACAGTAAGAATGTTTCATTTCTTTAATTTAATCCTCACAATAACCATTTGAGGTATTATTACTTCCAATCTCAGCTTTGTATAGAAACCAGACATTTAATTCTGTTTTGACCCTGGAAACCGTACTCTTTCTTCTAATGTTGATAAAATCAAGAGGAAGACAGGAGTGCCACAAATGCACTCTCCCATGCCTGATGCTGAGATTGCTAAATGATCCTCAACTTTTTGCTTCTGGACCCACAGGGAGCCTCAGACTCCTCAACTCAGCTTTCCAGGCAGCCACCACCAATCAGTAGTAGACAGTCATGCAGATATTCGCTATCCTGGCTTTTGTAGTCATGTCGCTTAAGCAGAAGCTCTCTTTTCTGAAAGTATTTAGGAGGTTCTAGAAATAATAATCAGCTATAGAATGTTAAGTGTTAACAGGAGGTTGAGATACTTGATTTTAGTTAATGAAGACGTAGAATAATTCATATTTATTTGTAGGTGTTATATTGGCACTGAGCAAACACCTGAATTTTTTCCTAAGTTTCATTAATTTCCTGAATAGGAATAGATAGGCCCTGAAACATGTTGTTAATTCTTGAACTTTTAATTATCCAATAAAACAAAATAGTAATAAAATAATAACTAATATAACTAACAACTTAGTCCATGTGACCTACTGTTCTAAGTACTTTTCATGTGTCCTCACAACAACTCTGTGAGGTACTTATTATTTGCATACCCATTTTATAGATAAAGAAATAAAGGCAATAATTTATACATCAGTAACTCCACAAATCTAGGAATTGTGTGACACCTATTGGGTCAAAAAATGTGGGTTTGTAGCTGAGAAAGAATAAATTAGTAATTGGCACACTTTTTACTCTAATTTGAATGAGTCAAGATCAGCAAATGACCCAGAGAAAAACAGAGAAAGCTGTCCAAGGCTGTGGTCCTCCAAACACTTTTTTCTACTTTATTTTGTGATGCTAGCTAGGGCTGGCACTGCAGAAACCAATTTTTGCTTTACCAGCTGCTTCTACAAGGCTCTACCAATAGGGGGTGCCAGAGGCTGAAGGAGGCTGAAGGACTTGCAGATTCTGTGGGTTTGCCGCTCCTATGATAATTACTCCTATAAGATGTCACTCTAGCAGGGGCAGTTGCTTCTTGTAGCAGCACCTGGGCACCGTTTGTAGTTTGCTCAATGTTTGCAGTTTTTTGCACGCTTGCAGAAGTAGCCTCGTTGAGCCCTCCGTCAGAGACACTAGGACCACCTGAGCATAAATGCCCCTGTCCCAGGTGTCTGGGTTTCAGCTCCTTGAAGCCGTTTTTCCAAGTTTCTATGATTTGATCATTTTAGCCACATCCCTTTGCTCCTGCAGCGCTGGAGGTGGTAGCTCTTTCTACAGTTACTACCTCTGTGAAAACATTTTGCTTTTTAGGTTACCTAAAATTATGGGTTGAATTGTGGACACCTGTATTAGTCTGCTTTCACACTACTGTAAATACCTGAGACTGGGTAATTTATAAAGGAAAGAGGTTTACTCATAGTTGTTGACTCACGGTTCTACATGACTGGGGAGGCCTCAGGAAACTTACAGTCATGGCGGAAGACAAAAGAGAAGCAAATATCTTCTTCACAAGGCAGTAAGAAAAAGAGAGCAAGCAGGGGAAACCTCCACTTATAAAACCATCAGATCTCACGGGAACTCACTCATTATCATGAGAACAGCATGAGGAAAACTGCCCCCATGATCTAATCCCCTCCACTAGGTCCCTCCCTTGACATGTGGGGATTACAGTTCAAGATGAGATTTGGGTGGAGACACTGAGCCTAAACCATGTCAGCCCCACAAAATCTCCATGTTCTAACTCCTCAGTACCTGTAAATGTGACCTTATTTGGAATAGGGTCTTTGCAGATGAGATAATTAGGTGGACTCTAATCCAATAAGATTGTGTACTTATAAAAAGGAGAAACTGGGACAGACATGCACACAGGGGGAATGCCATGTGAAGAATGAAGGCAGAGATCAGGGTGACATACTACAAGCCAAGGAGTGCCAAAGACTGCATCAAACCACCAAAAGCTAGGAAAGATGCATGAAGCAGATTCTCCCTCCCAACCCTCAGAAGGAAGAAATACTGCTGAAATACTGCAAGAAATACTCCTTGATCTCAAACTTCTAGCTTCCAGAACTATTATTGATTTATTGTGAATAGATTTTGCTTTACTTATTTTTTTAACAAATATTTTTTCAAAAAGAAATTTATTTATAACCAATTGATTTCTGTTGTTTGAGGCACCTAGTTTATCAAACTATGTTATGCCAGCCCCAGAAAACAAATATACCTAGTTAACAATTTTTAAAATTAAATTCTCTGTTTAAATAAATGGTGTGACTTCTTTCTCCTGACTGGATACAGAGAATCATGGAACCTGTTTTTATTGTGGCAATCTTAATGGTCACTCTGAGCACATCACTGCCATATGATTATTTAGCCTTAGCAGGAATGTGTCTAATCATGAAAAGTTAATGCCTTCTGGAGTAGCCCCTCCCACTTTTAGTGGTTCTTAGGAAGGCTGCATAGCAACCCTTCAAATATTCCTTTTGTAGAAGATCACAAATCATCCCTTTAGTAATCTATTCCAGTATGATGCCCAAGGTCAAGTTCAAGCTGACAAGTCTATGGAATTTACTCCCTGCACCCCTGAGAAATTAAAACTCTCTTTGCCAAACATTTGGTATCTCTTCTGGTCTTTAGCAGTGCTCAGAGTTCATAGAGAAGGGATTAGCAGGCTGATCACAGGCTCTCTGAAAACCCTGGGAGATGGTCCAATCATAAGAATACTTTACTCATTAAAAGAGCAAAGTGTCCTCTTAGGAAATGCCTCATTCTTGTAGACACATTGAGTTGTCCCATGTGATTTTTGTTATTCCTTATCAAGACTCTATGTACTCCATACTATTTTAGTGCTTTTGTTTGCAGTGTAACTTAGCAATCCTCTTAATTGGCTTTAATAATATTTATCTTACATTGAGTTCTAGAATTACTAACAAAATTCCATCAAATCTGAGCCACTTTCCTTAATTTATTGTTGGTAGCCTATTTTTTACCTCTATGAAAATATTATCTTCTGAACCCTGAGATTTTCAGAAAGCACTGTGTAGGGGTTCCATTCATGACACATCCTAATCCCTTCTCACTTTCCTCCTCAAATAAAGCATTACTAATCAAGATCTGGTTTTAAGATTAGACATGTCTTTTCAACAATTTTATGCAGTGCGGGGTGCATTTCTACCCTTCATTTACACAGCTATTGTAGAATCCTAAGATGATAATTCCAGAACTGAAAGGCCACTTGGACAACGGCATTACCAGGCACAATTCATGTAAATCCTCATTATTAGCCAATTTGAATGGATCTAAAAATAGTGTGAGTTGATTGGGAACCCTGGAAAGGATGATTGTAGGTAAATAATATTCATCTCACTAGGAAGGAATTTTAAACATTTTCCAGGTGGCACAACTGGTCCTTATCCTCCACTAACTGCAACTTCAAAATTTTCAAGGCCAGCAAGGTAATTTTTCCTGCCAGAACTCTTCCCATATTGGTAAGTTAGAAATAGTGATAATAACTAATGAAATATGAAAATCCTCACTTAAAACAGAACCTCGACTTGGAAAACCAGAGGATGATCATAATGCACCACTGTGAAAATCACTGTTCTTATTTCCAGAAACATTTCCTCTGGTGAAAAATAACTATGATGTGTATTTTCCTTATTGGAAGTGACTTCCATATAAAAGTGAACACATTTGCTTCTATATAAAAGGGAATACATGAAGGTTTTGAGCCTTCACTCTGAAGTAAAGTATATCTGTGGTCTGACAAGTGAGCAAGGTTTAGTTTTAAGAAAGTTACAAATCAAAGCTAAAATGAAGCAAAAATGCACTTAGGGGTTTCAGTGTCTATACTTAGGTAATCATGTTAAACAATTAAATGTTCTAAAATATATTGTTTCCTCCACTTTCTGCCTTACCATAATTCTCTGCAATACAGAGAATGTTCTACTTGATGAATAAAACTCACAGACATGCAAGCTTTAGATTATAAGCCCATCTTGGTCATGACTTATCTGCTCCCAAATATTAGACTGTAATAAGGATAATTCAAAGAGCAAAACAGACAATTCTTAAAGTGCAGTTTCACATACAGGTGGTGAGGATGCATGCCTCCATAGAAACAGTATTGTCTAAAAGAACCAAAAGTAGTGGTCAATATAGATGAATAGTACAGAAATATATAAATGCCCATGTATTAGTTCGTTCTCACACTGCTATGAAGAAATACCCAAGATTGGGTAATTTATAAATGAAAGAGGTTTAATTGACTCACGGTTCTGCATTGCTGGGGAGGCCTCCACAAACTTACAATCATGACAGAAGGCAAAAGAGAAACAGGCACCTCTTCACAGGGTGGCAGGATGGAGTGAGTGCAAGTAGGGGAAATGCCAGATGCTTACAAAACCATCAGATCCCATGAGACTTACTCACTATCATGAGAACAGCATGGGGGAAACCACCCCCATGATCTGATTACTTCCACCTCATCCTGCCCTTGACATGTGGGGGTTATGGGAATTAAAATTCAAGAGGAGATTTTGGGTGGAGACACAGCCAAGCCATATCAGCTAAAGTTTTTAAAAAAGTTATTGATATTCATGGACTGAATTGTCTGCAGAGAATCCAGGAATAATTACCACTCCTCTGGCTTCTTTAGATGCCTGCATATCTGCTCAACCATCCACTGGTTTAGAAGGTAAAAGTCAAAATGTGTTTCTAGAATTCCTCCAAGTCAATTTTTTTCTTTCATTACTTTTCCCTATTTCATCGGTTTTCTTCCTCTTCTTTTTACCTTTTTTTGTTTCAGTTATATCTACCACTGAGTAAAAGATACCTCACTCCTGAAACTCAGGCCAATCCCCACCAAAGAGGAGAGGTGGATTATACAAAGTGAAAAAAAAAAAAAGAAATTTAGAGGTTATATATGTGAGACAACAGTTACTGACTATGTCACTTATTCTTATATCTACTGTCATACTATTTATTTAGATCTTACAAATATAAAAAAAGATAATTAAACACCTTTCTAAAAAAAATTGACCATTCTTAAAAAAGTATAAGCTTGGCAATTTATAGGAAAAAGACTGCAAATAATCCCAAAAGATATATATCTTCCCTAATAATCAGAATCATCTCATGGGATATTAGCAATGGAATATAATTTCCTCACTCCTGGTTTCCATGAAGAGGCACATTCTCACATTCCTTGCACCTCTCTGTTCTTTATTTTCCTTTCCCCGGGGGAGTGGAAGTGAGTTGTTTGCAAAGTAAACTCGTGAAGGGTTACCTCCTTTGCTTAGCTGAGCTCCAACCTCCTTCGCCACCATTTCCATCTTCTCCCTGCTCTGCTCACAGGAAGGGAGGTAAAGGTTGGTAGAAGACCAATGCTGCTGTGACTGATGAGTCAATCTTCTTATTCTGGGGCTTGCATAACATAAAAGTAGTGCATTTGGATCCCACGTTAATCCATCACCTTCTAAACTGGCCTATATCAATTGTATAGATGTTAGTTTGGACTTGTCTTTATATTTACCTATTTGTTTATTGGAAAAGATGGATGCAGTTTATTGTCTTGTAGATCCTAACATATTGGTCATAATTTACATGCATGCTCCATTAACAGTCAATACATAGAGAGTTAAATATAATTATCACTGAGAGCTTGGATTTACAAAATTGAGCTTAACCAATCAGGATCTTAAAAACAGTTAAATAGAAATAAAAATCTCTTTAAATTGAAATATGGGTGTTGATCACCCTTTAAGACTTTAATACTTCATGTTCCCTTATATTTCCTCATTGGAGGGTTTCCAGAGCACTTAAGTTTGAATTAAATATTTTCTTTCCCAGTTCCTCTATTACATGTTATACTGTTAGTGTAGTGCTTGCCAAAATCCACCTTGTCATACAAGCATTTGTGTATTGTTTTCACTGGAAATCAGGGGCCCATGGGTTATTGTAATGATATGCTTCCAGTTTCTAGGTACATGCCCTGCATACCCAATAAGCATTTATAGAAATCAATTAAATCACAGTTTCCTTGGAAGATAACAAACAGCAAATAGTTGGATAATAAAATCACATTTGTTCCACTTTACGAAATAGTTTTAGTTAGATTAGATGACTTTGCATTTTTTTTAACTCTGTAATGACCTATATCTCTATGACGTTTTACGGAAATTTAATTTGTATAAATTAAAGTTCATCTAATGAATATTATTTAATGGAGCCGGCAGTGAATCATTCTATACATGAACAAATACTTGGTAATTGGAATAATTACTTCCTGTATCCCTTTTTCTGATATTCCTCTTAACATACGTGTTTCTTAAGTCTATTTTTTCCTATTATTCTTTTAAGAACTGCAGTGTAGATATTATTTTTAGAGTGGCAGATAATTGACATAATGTGACTATCTCAATTTGTTGAAATTCTGTCCTTTAGGAACTGATGATCATAAGATCATAAGATGTAGGAACCTCCATTTAGTCAAGCATTTTATAAAGAACAAGTGATAACATAGAAGCCTCGATACTATGGAAAGAACTAAAGGTTTATAATGAGAGAATCTGGCATATAACCCTGGACCAACCACTTATTAGTTGTAACTTTTGGCAAATAACTTATTGTGGATGATTTTCACATATGAAATTGGATGATTATTTCACTAGGTAATTGAGAAGATCAAGTAAGATTATTTATGTAAATATGCATTGCAAATTTAAAGCTTTATATAAACATTAATTGTTAACATTATTTTTAAAATATCACATTTGTAGATGTCTTTCTCTGGTCTCATTGTTACTACAAAGATGTTCATCTACTTGATGAATTCCCTCCCACATGGGCCTACTTCTCTGTTTATATATTATCTTAGGAAACACTTGTTTTAAAAGAACAAAAATGTACTCAAACTAGTATAAGTTAAAAAAAGCAATTAAATTATTAGGAAGATTGATACCAATCCTTAAGCAAGAATTTCTTATACTTTTTAAGAACTTTAATACTATCAGCAGACTCCATCAGTGTCCCGACATTAATTCTGAGGCAAAAAGAAAAATCTGATTGGAACCTTGTTTTACCAATGTTTGTACGCAAACTCACCTGGAAAAATTCATGAGCACCTTATTTCTACCAGTTAGAGGGAGTGCAGAATGGAAGCAAATACTCAAAGATTGTGATGAACATGGGAATGGACATGGACATTTTCACTCATGCTGTCTTAATTAACAGGATTATTGTTTATGGTCAGACTCTGGAGGCCTAACTTGATTAACAGCGTAAATATGTATGTAGAATATCTCACCCAATATTAGCACACAATAGTCATTCAATAAATGGTAGCTTTTATCCCTGGTTTCACATATACTTAAAGGTAGGTATTTCAAAAACATCTATTGAGTAAATGAATTAGTGATTAATAAAAATTTAATAAAATCAAGTGAATGTACTAAAAGCAACTCAGTTTCCACTTATCTTCTTTTTTGTCCATAACTTAGGTCTCAGGATTAGAAGAGCTAATTTTCTGTAAAATCTGTCCTTATTACCAGTCTGTACCATCTTAGAGGAAATATAATACTATTGAATATAATCATACTAAGAAGCTAAGGAAGCTATATTGAGTTTGGGAGGCTTTTGTGGACTTTCCTAAATAATCAGGTTTAAGTGTTCAAAGTGAGAAAATTCTGAAAAGCATAACGTTTTCATATATGTTACCCTGATTGTGTTGCTAAATGCTTTGCATTTTTCATCAGGTGATAAATATTTTTTGGGAAAGAACTTGGAAAAGATAATGAAGACCAGTCAAAGTACAAATAACATGAACTAGGAAACTCAGGGGATTCTTCCCAGCTCTGTCATATGAGAAGATGACCAAAAAACTTGGTCTCACTGAATCTTGGTTTCTTAACCTATAAAATAGTTATACAAAAAGTTCTTTCTCTATTCATTGTCAGGGCACATATACACTGAATACACAATAAATTTCCTAGATCGCACTCAAAATTCCACTATTTTTTAAATCACTTTCCTCAGGAGATCTACCACTTGGTATGGACCACCTTTAAGGGAAGGGAAACACAGCCTGCCAAAGATCCCCTTGGGATAAGGAAACACAGGAGGAGGGCTGACCATTGAAAGTTAGCACTGATGCCTGGGGACAAAGGAGAGGGTGTCTTCTCCCCCTACCCTAAAACACTATTGTGGAATGTTCCCGATGTAGCCACAGTTCTTCCTACCAGGGGCTGCTACGTAATCAAAGAAAGTGCTTTTCATACTTTTCATGGTGGCTCCATCCCTCTGAATGTGAGCCTGTGCACACTTGGACTTTCGAGAAGGGTGGGGCCCTTCTCACCCTCCTTACACAGAGTGGTAGCACCTTGGCAATGGAGGACATACCATGGAGTTGCCTGCCCAAGCCCCATTTGGAGTTGGGCTCTGTCCCAAGCCCCATTTTAATGGTAGCTGACACGGGTAACCATGGCCTGCAGCAGCTACACTCAGGCAGGGTGCAGGTGAATGAACAAAAGGAAAAGCCTTTATAAATAGAAGGTCATGAGCCCAATGAGAGAGGTGTGATAGAGAAGTGGATTATGTTTCTGCCAGCTCAGGATGAGGAGCTGTTGTACCCTACCCTATCCCTTATCCCAAGACCTCAGTGTACGCCCCCCCATTAAAATCTCTTCCCACAACCCCCATCAGGGTGGGCAAGTACACTCAGCACCAGTCTACCTGCAAGCTCTCACTCTTAAAGCACCATATACTGGACTGCAGCCTACATTGCACCACCAAACAAAAATCCTGCTACCAGAGGGCTTAGTGATAGTCCATGAGATAAGCCTCCTGAGACTTCCACACCCTTAGCCTCACAGGGTTGGCCCTTATATCCAAAACACCATTATAACAAACAGCATATGAGAAAGCCACTGCACAGAAGCTACCTGCAACCAAGGAACCCATACAGAGCCTTGACCCACTGAAAATGCATAGAAATTAAGCCAAAAAACCATACACAACATAAAACACATTTATACACTCAAGAAAAAAAGAATTTTTAAAAATAATCCAAACAATATCAAATTTAAAAAAAGAAGTAACAGCTCTCTGAGATGAAAAGGAATCAGCAAAAGAACGCTGGCAGTACAAAAAGGCAGAGTGTTGTGACACCACCAAAGGATCACACTAGCTCTGTAGCAATAACAGATCCTAACCCAATTGAAATATCTGAAGTGATAGATAAAGAATTCAAATATGAATGGCAAAGAAACTCAATTAGATCCAAGAGAAAGTTGGAATCTAACACAAAGAAAGCAGGAAAACAATTCAGGTTATGAAAGATGGCATAGCTATATTAAGAAAAATCAACCAAAAGAACTTCTGGAACTGAAAAATTCACTAGAGCAGTTTCAAAATTCAGTTGAAAGCTTTAACTCTAGACTAGACCAAGCAGAATAAAGAATTTCAGAACTTGAGGACTAATCTTTCAAATTAACTCAGTCAGACAAAAATAAAGAAAAAAAATTAAAAGAATAAACAAAGCCTTCGAGAAATATAGGATTATGTAAAGTGACAAAACCTATGACTTTTTGTCATTTCTGAGAGAGTAGGATAAAAAGTAAGCAACTTGGAAAATATATCTAAGGAAATAATTCAGGAAAACTTCCCTAATCTTGCTAGAGAGTCAATATTCAGATAGAAGAAATCCAGATAATGCCTATGAGATACTGTGTTATACAACAATCCCCAAGGCATATAGTCATCACACTATCCAAGGTCCAAGCAAAAGACAAAAAATTTAAAGTTAGCTAGAGAAAAGGGCCAAATTACATATAAAGGAATTCTCATCAGACTTACAGTGTACTTCTCAGAACAAACCTTACAAGCCAGAAAAAATTGGGGGCCTATTTTTAGCCTTCTTTAAAAAAAAAGCCAACCAAGATGATATGCTTTGACTGTGTCCCCACCAAAATCTCATCTTGAATTGTAGTTCTCATAATCCCCATGTGTCATGGGAGGGACCTGGTGGCAGGTAATGGAATCATGGGGGTGGTTACACCAGTGCTGCTGTTCTCATGGTAGTAAGTGAATTCTCTCAAGATGTGATGGTTCTGTAAGGGGCTTTTCCCTGTTTTGCTCGGCACTTCTCCTTGCTGCTGCCACGTGAAGAAGTACATGTTTGCTTCCCCTTCTACCATGATTTTAAGTTTCCTGAGGCCTTCCCAGCCCTGCAGAATTGTGAGTCAATTAAACCTCTTTCCTTTATACATTACCCAGTCTCAGGTATGTCTTTATTAGCAGAGTGAGAATGAACTAATACGGTAAGTTGGTACCTGGAATGGGGTGCTGCTGTAAAGATACCTGAAAATGTGGACGCAACTTTGAAACTGGGTAACAGGCAGAGATTGGAACAGTTTAGAAGACTCAGAAGAAGATAGGAAAATGTGGGAAAATTTGGAACTTCCTAGATATTTGTTGAATGGCTTTGACCAAAATGCTAATAGTGATATGGACAATAAGGTCCAGGCTGAGGTGGTCTCAAATGGAGATGAGGAACTTATTGGGAACTGGAGTAAAGGTCACTCTTGCTATGCAAAGAAACTGGAGGCATTTTGCCCCTGGTCCAGAGATCTGTGGAATTTTGAACTTGAGAGAGATGAGTATCTGGGAGAAGAAATTTCTAAGCAGCAAAGCATTAGACAGGGAAAAGAGCATAAAAGTTTGGAAAATTTGCAGCCTGATGATGCAATAGAAAAGAAAACCCCATTTTCTGGGAAGAAATTCAAGCTGGCTGCAAACATTTGCATAAGTAACAAGAAGCCAAATGTTAACCACCAAGATATTGGGGAAAATGTCTCCAGGATATGTCAGAGACTTTCACAGCAACCCCTCCTATCACAGGCCCAGAGGCCTAGGAGGGAAAAATGGTTTCCTGGACCAGGTCCAGGGCCACCCTGCTGTGTGCAGCCTTGAGACTTGCTGTCCTGTGTCCCAGCTGCTCCAGCTGGGGCTAAATAGGGCCAAAGTGCAACTCAGGCCATTGCTTCAGAGGGGGCAAGCCCCAAGCCTTGGAGGCTTCCATGTGGTGGTGGGCCTACAGGTGCACAGAAGTCAAGAATTAAGGTTGGGGAACCTCCAGCTAGATTTCAAAGAATGTATGGAAATGCCTGGATATCCAGGAAAAAGCTTGCTACAGAGGTGGAGCCCTCATGGAGAACATCTGCGAGGGCAGTGCACAAAAGAAATAGGGGATTGGAGCCCCACATAGAGTCCCCACTGAGGAACTGCCTAGTGGAGCTATGAGAAGAGGGCTGCCATCCTTCAGACCCCAGAATGGTAGATCCACTGACAACTTGCACTGTGTACTTGTAAAAGCTGTAGACACTCAATGCCACCCCATGAAAAAAGCCAGGAGGGGGCTGTACCTTGCAAAGCCACAGGGGCAGAGCTGCTCAAGGCTGTGGGATCCCACCTCCTGCATCAGCATGATCTGGATGTGAGACATGGAGTCAAAGGAGATCATTTTGGAGCTTTAATATTTGACTGCCCTGCTATATTTTGGACTTGCATGGGGCCTGTATCCCCTTCATTTGAGTCAATTTCTCCCATTTGGAATAAGTGTATTTACCCAATGCCTGTACCATCACTGTATATGGGAAGTAACTAACTTGCTTTTGATTTTACAGGCTCATAGGTGAAAGGGATTTGCTTTGTCTCAGATGAGACTTTGGAGTTTTGTGTTAATGCTGGAATGAGTTAAAACTTTGGGGGACTGTTGGGAGGATATGAGAATTGGTGCCAGGGGAAGAATTATAAGGCTTGGCTGTGTTCCCACCCAAATCTCATCTTGAATTGTAGTTCCCATAATCCCCACATATCGTGGGAAGAACCCACTGTGAGGTAATTGAATCATGGGGACAATTACTCCCATTCTGCTGTTCTTGTGATAGTGAGTTCTCACAAGTTCTGGTAGTTTTACAAGGAGCTTTTCCCCCTTTTGCTTGGCACTTCTCCTTGCTGTCACCATGTGAAGAACGACTTGTATGCTTCCCCTTCTACCCATTATTGTAAGTTGCCTGAGGCCTTCTCCTCCCTGCAGAACTGTGAGTCTATTAAATGTCTTTCCTTTTTAAATTACCCAGTCTCAGATATGTCTTTATTAGACATGAGAACAGACTAATACATACAAATTTTATATTCCTGGCAAATGAAGCTTCATAATGAAAGTGAAATAAAGTCTTTCCCAGAAAAACAAACACCAAGGGAATTAATCACATCAAAATTGGCCCTACAAGGAATGCTTAAGGAAGTTTTAAACATGGAAACAAAAGAACAATACTTGCTATTATAAAAGCACACATAAATACGAAGCCTCAGACCCTATAAAGTCATCACACAATGAAGACTACAAAGCAACTAACTAATAGCAATAAGACAGGAACAAAACCATGCATATCAATATTAACCATGAACACGAACAGTATAAATGCTCTACTCAAAAGAAAGAGTGGCAAATCGAATGAAAACAACAACGACGACAACAACAAGAACCTATCTGCTGCCTTGAAGAGTAACATCTTCCATATAATGCTACCCATAGGCTCAAAGTAGAGGGAAGTCTAAAGATATTTAAGCAAATGGTAAACAAAAAAGCCCAGAGTTTACAATCTTTGTGTCAGATGAAAGAGACTTTAAACCAACAACAGTGAAAGAAAAAAAAAAAAGACAAAGATGGGTGTTATATAATGATAAGGTGTTCACGTTAACAAGAAAATCTAACCATCCTAAATATATATGCACCCAACATCAGAGCACTCGATTTATAAAATAAATACTACTAGATCTAAGGAAAGAAACAGACAGCCATACAGTAATAGTGGGGGTCTTTAACACCTCACTTAGAGCATTAGACAGTATGAAGCAGAAAAATTACAAAGAGATTCTGGACTTAAATTGGACTCTGGACCAAACACACCTAAAAGATATCTACAGAATAGTCCACTCAACAACCACAGAGTATTTCTTCTTCTCATCTGCCCTTGAAACATTCTCTAAGATTGACCACATGCTCAGTCATAAAGCAAACCTCAATAAAAAAATAAATAAAAATAAAAATCATATCAAGCCTCTTATTGGATCACAGTGGAATAAAATTAGAAATTAATACCAAGAGGAACACTTTAAACCACACAAATACCTGGAAACCAAACAACTTGCTGCTGAATGACCTTTGGATAAACAACAAAATTAAGGCAGAAATCACAACATATTTCAAAACAAAACAGAGACACAACATACGAAAGCCTCTGGGATGCAGCTAAAGCAGTGTTGAGAAGAATGTTTTTAGTGCTAAATGCCTACATTAAAAAGATAGAAAGATCAAATTAACAATCTAACCTGGCGCCTAAAGGAACTAGAAAAACAAGAACAAACTAAACTTAAAGTTAGCACAAGAAAAAAAAAAACTAAATGGAACTGAGACCAAGAAAAACATACAAAGGATCAACAAAATGAAAAGTTGGTTCTTTGAAGTAATAAACAAGGTTGATAGATTGCTGGTTACATTAACCAAGAAAAAAAAAAGAGAGAAAAGATCCAAACAAATATAATGAGAAATGACAAAGTTGACATTAGAAATGAAACTACCATTGCAAAATTATAACTGAGACAGTAGAAGAGATCTGACCTAACCATCTCTATCTTGCTTCTAATCTCCATGCTGTTCTCATTCATTCCTGGGAGCCAGCTGAACTAACTTTCACAGGAACTTAATTTATAACTTATAGTTTAAAACAAAGACAATAATAGCCATTAACCAAAACAAACCTCCTTCTTGCCTGGGGACTAGATTGCCTTTGTAGGACTAACAGATTAACCAGAAGATTGGAAATAATGGCTTAGGAGTCATGCAGCTGGAGTCTACAAGATTCTGACCCTCTCAAAACTGCTCCTAAGATCAGTGCTTGAGATATTTTGCAGATCCTGCACTTGATGGATTAGCTGGCACCACCCAGATCAATAAACTGGCTCTTCTGATCTTTTGGCCCCCACCCAGGAACTGACTCAGTGCAAGAGGATCAACTCCCTATGATTTCATCTCCAATCCAACCAATCAGCACTCTCGACTCACTGTCCTTCATCCACTCACTAAATTATCCTTAAAAACTCTGATCCCCAAATACTCGAATATTTGATTGGAGTAATAATAAAACTCTGGTCTCTCACACAGCTGGCTCTGTGTGAATTATTTTCTTCATTGCAATTCCCATGTTTTGATCAGTCAGCTCTGTCTGGGGAATGGGCAAGATGTACACGTTGGACAGTTACATAAAGGTTACCACAGAAATACCAAAGATCCTCAGAGACTACTATGAACATCTCTATGCACAGAGACTAGAAAACCTAGATGAAATGGATAATTTCCCAAAAACACACAATGTCCCAAGACTGAACCAGGAAGAAACTGGAATCCTGAATAGACTAATAACAAATTATGAGATTGAATCAGTAATAAAAAAAGATTATGAGACTGAATCAGTAAATAAAAAAATCTACCAACCAGAAAAAGCCCTGGACCAAATGGATTCATGGCCTAATTCTACCAAACATACAAAGAAGTGGTATCAATCTTAATTAAACTATTCCAAAAAAAAAAAAAAATCAAGGAGGAGGGACTCCTTTCTCACTCATTCTATGAAACTAGTATCATTCTAATACAAAAATCCAGCAAGGACAAAACAAAAAGAAAACTACAAGCCAATATCCCTGATGGACCTAGATGCAAAAGTCCTCAACAAAATACTAGCAATCTAAATCCAGCATCACATCAAAAAAAGTAACTTACCACTACCAGGTGGTAAGTTTATTCCTGTAATGTAAGGATAATTCAATGTATACAAATCAATAAATGTGCTTCAACACATAAACAAAATTAAAAACAAAACCTATATAATCATCTCAACAGACACAAAAAGGATTTGATAAAATCTGACATCTCTTCAAGAATGGAACCCTCAACACTAGATATAGAAGGAATATACCTCAAAATAATAAGAGCCATCTATGACAAACCTACGGCCAACATCATACTGAGTGGGCAAAGTTGGAAGCAGAACCAGAGCAAAACAAGGATATCCATTCTCACCACTCATATTCAACATAGTACTGGATGTTCTAGCCAGAGCAATCAGACAAGTAAAAGAAACGAAAGGCATCCAAATAGGGAGAGAAAGTCAAATTTTCTCTTTGCTAGTGGTATGATTTCATATGTAGGATACCCTAAAGATTCCTCCAAAAGACTCATAGATCTAATCAATGACTTCAGTGAAGTTTCAGGGTACAAAATCAATGTACAAAAATCAGTAGCATTTTGATACATCAATAATGTCTAAGCTGAGAAACAAATAAATAATGCAATCCCATTTACAATAGCCACAAAAAATAAAATATCTAGGAATACCTTTAACCAAGGAGGTAAAATATCTCTACAAGAAGAACTACAAAACACTGCTTAAAGAAATCACAGATGACACAAAGAAATGGAAAACATTTCATGTGTGGATTGGAAGAATCAATATCACTAAAATGACCATACTCCCCAAAGCAATCTACAGATTCAACAATCTACAGATTCAAGACAATTTCTATCAAATCACCAATGCCACTTTTCACAGTCAGGAAAAACAATTCTAAAATTTATATGAAACCAAAGAATAGCTTAAATAGCCAAAGCAATCCTAAATAAAAAGAACAGAACTGGAGGCATCACATTACTTGACTTCAAACTATTCTGCAAGGTTATAGTAACCAAAACAGCATGGTATTTGTACAACCAAATAGAGAAATACATCAATGGAACAGAATAGATAACCCAGACATAAAGTGACACACCTACAACCAACTCAGGTTTGACAAAGTTGACCCAAATAAATCACGGGCAAAGGACACCTTATTCAATAAATGGTGCTGGGAAAACTGGCTAGCCATATGCAGAAAAAAGAAACTGGGCACCTACCTCTCACCATGCAAAAATTAAGTCAAGATGGATTAAAGATTTCAATATAATTCCTCAAACCATAAAAATCCTAGAGGTAAATCCAGGAAAAACTTTCTCAACATTGGCCTAGGCAATAAATTTATGACTAAGACCTCAAAAGCAAATGTAACAAAACAAAAAATTGACAGTTGGGACTTAACTAAAGAGCATCTGCACAGCAAAATAAACAATCAACAGAATAAACAGACAACCTACAGAATGGCAGAAAATATTTGCAAAGTACACATCCAACAAAGGACTAATATCAAGAATCTATAAGAAACTTAAACAAATTAATAAGAAAAAAACACTGATAAGCCCATTAAAAAGTGGGCAAAGGACATGAACAGATAATTCCCAAAGGAAGTCATATAAGCAGTCAACAAACATATGAAAAAATACTCAACATCACTTTTCATCAGAGAAATGCAAATTAAAACCACAATGAGATACCATCTTACACCAGTCAGAATGACTATTACTAAACAGTAGAAAAATAACAAATGTTGGTGAGGATATGGAGAAAAGGGAGCACTAATACACTGTTGGTGGGATGTAAATTAGTTCAACCCCTATGGAAAACAGTATGCAGATTTCTCAAAGACCTAAAAACAGAATTACCATTTGATCTAGAAATCCCACTACCAGTAATTGCCCAAAGAAAAAGAAATCCTTCTAACAAAAAGACACCTGCTTTTTCTCAACATGTTTATCTCAGCACTATTCGCAATAGCAAAGTCATGGAATCAACCTAAGTGCCTATCAATGGTGAATTGGATCAAGAAAATGTGGTACATATACCCCATCAAATATTACACAGCCGTAATAAAGAATGGAATTCTGTCCTTTGCAGCAACATAGATGCAACTGGAGGCCATTATCCTAAGTGATCTAATGGAGAAACAGAAAAGCAAATACCCCATGTTCTCTGTTATACCTGGGAGCTAAACAATGGGTACACATGGACATAAACATGGGAACAATAGACACTGGGTACTGCTAGAGTGGGGAGGGAGAGAGAGGGTCAATGGTTGAAAAACTATTGGGTACTACGCTCACTACCTGAGTGATGGGTTCAATAGAAGCCCAAACCCCAGAATTATGCAATGCACCCTTGTAACAAACCTGCACATGTACCCCTTGAATCTAAAATAAATAATGTAAATAAAAAGTAATAAAAACAAAAACTATTAAATGAATCAAGAAAATATCTGTGACTTCAAAACAGAAATGTAAAGAAAACCTGTTACAGGTGGTAAATTTGGACGAAATAGCTCTGAGAGTTAACCCTCAACTTTCAGTGCTCAGTGAATATAGTGTATGTGAGACAGTTTTAAAAACTCATCTAACAATTCTTGACTTCAAGTGATGAATTCACAAGTTTGGACGGGCTACAGCAAAAACAAAGGATATTCCCTAAGGCCCCGGACCCACATATCAGATCTATAGGATAATTGGACCTGACAGGGAAAGAACCACACATGCATGCTCTTGTTACTTTATATTCCTTAAACTTTTTGCCCAGGAAGATGCCCCAAAGTGAGATAGAAATGAAGGAGAAGGAGAAAGCAGCCAGACTATTTCTACAGAGAGAGGCATAGGCATTTAATCCTGAGCCTTCACTGTGAAGCCCAATAGCTTTCACAACAACAAAATTGAGAGAAACATTACTCCAAAGTGGAAAACAATAACATGGGGAGAAGATAATTGATGTTTTAAAAACATACCATTTTGGGTCCAAATGCAGCAGCTAATTCTCTTTTATTCCATGCCATACAGACTTCTTCAGAAATTCCGTAAGATCTCCCAATCAAGATTGGGAAAATCTAAATAGAAGCTAGCTGTGATTGTTAATACTGAGTGTCAACTTGATTGGATTGAAGGATACAAAGTATTGATCCCGGGTGTGTCTGCCAGGATGTTGCCAAAGGAGATTAACATTTGAGTCAGTGGATTGGGAAAGGCAGATCCACCCTTAATCTGGGTAGGCAAAATCTAATCAACTGCCAGTGCAGCTAGAATATAAGCAGGTAGAAAAATGTGAAAAGAGAGACTGGCCTAGCCACCCAGCCTACATCTTTCTCCCGTGCTGGATGCTTCCTGCCCTCAAATATTGGACTTCAAATTCTTCAGCTTTGGAACTCAGATTGGCTCTCCTTGCTCCTCAGCCTGCAGATAGCCTATTGTGGGAAGTTGTGATCATGTGAGTTAATAACTTAATAAATTCCCATATATATATTCCATTAGTTCTGTCCCTGTAGAGAACCCTGACTAATAAACTAACATCGAAGTTACATTTGGCTATTACCAAAACAAACAAACAAACAAAACTGCAGCAAAAGTTAAAGGGAAATAATTATCAGTAAAAATTAGACTAATAATGTATAAAGAACTGAGATCACACTAAGAAATACATGAGAAAGTGTTTGGGAAAATATTTTTTAATAATAAGAGATAAATGACTCTATGATTTTTTAAGAAAATACCTCGAAGGAGAAATGTAGAATGTGTAAATAAAGGAGGTTAAAATAAAATGTCACAGTTCAGTAATAAATAGAAAAGTAAAATAAAGAAACTTCTGAGCACAAGCACTTTATAATCAACAACAACAACAAAATAGAAAAACTTGGCTGCAAATACAGGACAAGAAACCTCACAAAATTAGTCAGAATACAAAAAGCACACAAAAGAAAAAATTGATAAAATTGAACATCAAAAATTAAGTATTCTGTACATCAAAAATATAGATTAAAAATGATAAGCAAGCCATAGACTGGAAAAAATATTTCTAATATTTATATCTAACATAATTATATCTTCTATAGATCAATAATAAAGACAACCCAATTTTTGAAAAAAAGAAAGGACTTGAACCAATGCCTCAGAAAAGAATATATGCAATTGCAAAAAACATACATGAAAAATTGTTTGGCATTATTGGTCATCAGGGAAATTAAAATAATATCATTACTTTAATTTTCATACTATCTGATATGGTTTGATTGTGTCCCCACCCAAATCTCAACTTGAATTGTACCTCCCAGAATTCCCACATGTTGTGGGAAGGAACCAGTGGGAAGTAATTCAATCATGGGGGCCAGCCTTTCCCATGCTATTCTTGTGATAGTGAATAAGTCTTATGAGATCTGATGGATTTATCACAGGTTTCCATTTTTGCTTCTCTCTCATTTTTTCTCTTGTTGCTGTCATGTAAGAAGTGCCTTTCACCTCCCACCATGATTCTGAGGCCTCCCCAGCCATGTGGAACTATAAGTCCAATTAAACCTCTTTTTCTTCCCAGTCTCAGGTATGTCTTTATCAGCAATGTGAAAATGGATTAATACACTATCTATAGCATGAGATACTATTTCATGACCACAAGAATGGGTAAAGTAAAACATTAATAATATCAAATGTTGGTGAGAATATGGAATAATCATTACTCTTATTCATTTTTGGTGGGATCATAAAATGGTGTAATTACTTTGGAGAATAGTAGTACAGATGCCTTACTGATAGAAATATATCTACTGCATGATCCAAACATGGATGGTTTGCCTGACAGCACCCCCAGAGGACTCAGACAACAGTCAGTAACAACTACTGGACAAGTGAATAAATACTCCTCCAGAGGATTCTAGCGCTCACTCATTAAAAGCCAACAATTTTTTAGTCTTCCCAGAAGAGACCCTAGACATCATTGAGCAAGAGAAAGTCATTTCTGTATCCTTACTGTGCTTTGTTTGAATCTCTGTTCCACAAATTTGTGAAAATCATAAAGCAGTTGGTTTAAGCCAGTACAATAACTAGACCAGTAAACTTGGGGTCATCGTTATTTAGTAATAATAAGTGGGACAGAAATTTGGGAGCTGGAAGTAGGAAGCTAACATGACAAAAACATGGCATTGGCTCTGAAACTGGATTAGATGGGAGCCAGAAGAGCCTTGGGAAGGCTGTCAGTAAAGGCCAGATGATACCGAGGGAGACAATTATGCAAGCTGGAAGGACAGGGAGATAAGTGTTATTGGAAGCTGGGGTAAAAAAGATTTTTTTTAAAGTATTACAAAATTTAGCAAAATTGTTCCATGTGACAACATAAAAATAGAAAATATACACCTGACAAACCTGATGATCTAGACAAGGAGATCTCCAATAAAAGTGTTGAAGGTGCCTCCTGACCTCTTTGAGCCACCTGTAATAGAATGAGAGACGAAAGAGTTTTTGAGTAAAATTTGGAGGAAGGTACAGGAAACTATCCTGTACACTTTACAGGATAGTTTCAGCAGCAAACTATTCTCAAAGAAAGAGCCTTAAGCCAAAAATCATATCAAAGGTGGATATCCTATACTTGCAGGTGATTCCAGTTTCTTAGTCTTTCCTTCTGAGGCCCCAGACATCTTGGAACAGAAAAAAAACAAAAAGCAGAAGCAAAACAAAACAAAATAACCTATCCCTGTGGCACTCTGTCTAGAGTCCTGACCCAGAGAATTGGTGAACGTGAAAAAATGATTGCTTGAAACCCCTGAGTTTTGGGGTGGTTTGTTATGCAGCAATGGTAGCAAGAACAGTAAGAAAAACAAAAATGACCCCTTTTATCTAAGTTGTCAAATTTTCTGGAATCTGAAATGAATATAGCAGAAGTGAAGCTGACTGACTTTGAGTGTACTTCAGAAAGTGATACAGCTTCTTCCTTGTGGGTAGAACGGTACCTTTGGAGACCAGAGCTTCCATGTATGAAATGCAATTACTCTGAAGTTGCCATGCTGTGAGGAAGCCCACGGCACATGGAGATGTCACATGTGGGTTCCCAGTTAACAGCCCACTTCTCAGGGGCCAGCCAGCAGCCAGGCTCATCTTCCAAACATGTGAGTGAAAATACTTGCAGAAGATTCCCAGCTCCAGCTTTAAATTTGCCCTCAGTTTTTTAGTCTTTCCTGCTGAGGCTCCAGGCATCTTGGAACAGAAAAAAAAAACTATCCCTGTTGTGCCCTTTCTGGAGTCCTGACCCAGAGAACTGTTGAATGTGATACCACTGAGTTTTGAGGTGGTTTGTTATGCAGCAATGGTAGCAAGAACAGTATGAAAGACAAAAAATGGTCTCTTTTATCTAAGATGTCAAATGTGCTGACCTAAATTTGCTCACACTCTTTATTTATTATCCTTTTAATATCTGTAGGATCTGTGGTGCAGATTCTATCATATTATGTTACAGGAAAGCTTTTTCTTTCCTGCTATTGATGATTTTTATTTCCTCTCTTTTTTACTTAAGTCTACCTAGAAGCTTGTGAATTTTGCTTACTTTTTCAAGGAGTTAGCTTTTGGCTTTCTTAATTTTTTCCATTGTCTCTATGTTTTCTACTTTCTTGATTTCTGCCCTTTATTATTTCCTCCTACCTACTTACTTTAAGTTTATTTTTGCTTTTTTTTTCTAGCTTTGTGAAGTGCAACCTTAAGTCGTTGAATTTAGATCTTTCTTCTTTTCCAATATAAGTACATAAAATTCTGTTTCCATCCAAGCACTGCTCTGTGTGTATCCCACAAATTTTGACACAGATTTGAATTATCTATTTGTAGTCAATTTCTACTTCAATGTGTTTATTTTAAGACTAGTTGAGTGCAGTAGTGAGAAGCAGGGAAAAAGTAGAACAAGGAGTTCAATGTATAACTGACTGTGAACAATCAATTGAGATAATTCACTACCTTTGGGCCTAACTGCAATGCATTTTTATTTTTACTTTATCAGACACTACATTTCAGAGAAGAGGAGAACCATGTTAGCAAAACATGGTCTTTTCATACAATAATGCCTAAAAATCCTGCTGTATAATTTTCACTTAAATTAATGGTCATTTCACCTCCATGTGAAATAAAGTGGAGAAATTTAAAAATTGCAGATTTTAGTAAAAAATCATTGAAAATAATGATGAAAGCAATAGGATATTTTATCTGATTGCATCATCATGTCTATATTTAAAAGGGAATAAAAAACAGACATACCAGCTTTAGTGAATACAAATGACAGGAAAGAACAGCTGGTGCTACAGTGCACTTAGAACACATGACACATAATTCTCTTATATTATTACCCTGTGAGCCCTACATAGGTAAGCAGCCCCTTCAGTGTATGAGAACACCTGTGATTAGCTCCAACCAGGGAAGTAGCAGCAATGGGTGTTCAGCTAATCAAGAACAGATTGATATTTACAGTTGATCACTGGGTTTTCTTTTTGACCAGTTTCTAATACAATTATTCTGAAGCCAGTGGCATTTCATATTACAAGGGTAAAAGTATTTTATTTAATTTATACTACTATTCTTTTTAAAGTCATTAATCTACAAAATCTATGAGGTTTTAAGTCATATATATGTGATTCATATGTGATTTGGTGTAGGAGGTTTGACATTTGCTTACTATTGGCTAATTATCATTTGTTTTATATGTACTCGTTCATTTATTATTTTCATCCCATAAAGAGAGTTTTTCTCTTTTCAAATATCCTGTCTTTAAATGAAGAAATAGAAAATTTCATAGAGATTAAATAATTTGCCTAAAGTAACATAATAATTAGTTTACACAAGGTTCTAACCTAGGTCTGTTTTCATCAGTTGCATTATGTTGGAGATTTATTTATACTAGACAACAAGCCCTTTTTTCCATTTCAACTGTAATATTAATTCCTCTTTGTCACTTTTGTTGACAATTAAATGGCAAACTAATTACCTGGATGGCCAAAATATGCTGTTATTATTTATTATTAATCAGTGTGGTGTTGTCATGAAAGCCAGGGAGAAACAAGTGAGGACTGGCCCTCTCTCTCATCTCAAATTTAGTTATACTTGAATTGCACTTGAAAAAGCACACTGCATCCCATTACTGGGTATATACCCAAAGGAATATAAATAATTCTATTACAAAGACACATTCATGCACATGTTCACTGCAACACTATTCATGATAGCAAAGACATGGAATCAACCTAAATGTTCATCAGTGACAGGCTGGATAAAGAAAATGTGGTACATATACACCATGGAATACTATGCAGCCATAACAAACAATGAGATCATGTACTTTGCAGAGACATGTTTGGAGCTGGAGGCCATTATCTTTAGCAAACTAACACAGGAACAGAAAACCAAGTGCCAACATGTTCTCACTTATAAGTGGCAGCTAAATGATGAGAACCCATGGTCATACAGAGGGGAACAAGAAACATGGGAGCCTCTGGGAGGGTAGAGGTGGGAGGAGGGAGAGGATCAGGAGAAATAATTAATGGGTACTAGGCTGAATACCTGGGCAATGAAATAATCTGTACAATAAACTCCCTTGACACAAGTTTACCCATGTTAGAAACATTCACATGTACTCCTGAACTTAAAATAAAAGTTAAAAAAAGTATACTGCTGTAAGTTTGGGGTCCATAATCTTAGAAAGGTAACATTAATAAAGAAAACGGTTAGGCAGGTAGGTATTTTACTTATCAGTGTTATGTTCAAAATAATTTTTCATTGATGCTTGTTGATATTTTCAGAATTTTTAAAATAAAAGATGTTTGAGAAAATTTGCAAATCAAGATAAATAAATGGATTTATTAGGATACGATATTGTGGATTAAGTGGACTATGAGGTTTTATAGCCTGTAAGAAGGAGTTTAATACACCTTTCACGGGGCTAAGAGCCTGCAACACAGAGGAAACTGTCAGTTTTGGATGTGTAATTCTGAAGGAACAATATTAAGGATTTTTAACTTTTTCCTAAGGATAATTGGAAGCCAATAAGGATTTTAGGCAGAGTGGAGACATCATAATATACTGGGTAGAGAATGACATAGAAGAGGTGTGGACAGAGTGAACAAAACAGAAGTCAAACATAGATCAATTATAATGCTCTAAGTGAGCAATAATAGTGGCTTGGACATATATGGTAAAAAGGGGTCTGGGTTAACGTAGATAAAAATAATTTGATAATAAAAATAATTTGATAAACAATAGCATTTGGTGATTGATTAGGGGTATAGTGTATTAGAGAGGAAGATGTAAAGGAAAATGTAGAGAAGAATTTTCAGACACATGAAATTGGATAAGAGGTGGTACCATTTACCAAAATAGGGATCACAATAAAAAGAGCAGATTTGAATACTAGGAGTGAAGATCATGAACTCATCTTTGGGGTAAATGAAGCATAAGAGGCCTGTGAGGTGTGTGCATGCAGGGATTTAATAGAAAAGTCTGGTATAATTTGAACTATCATCTTTTATTTCTTGTTGATCTTTAATCTTCTACCATCATGCTAGTTTATATCCCACATTGGTTCATGTTGCATTGTTCTTTGCTTTAATATGTCAAAAGCATTCAAATATTCAGTGTATATTTTAATGAAAAGCAAAATACTCAGCCAGGTAATAATGCATAGTACTTGTATGCCAGAATTCTGAGTCAGCAATGATCTCATTAACTTTATTAATATCTGTAGATGAACTATAATAGAACAGCTGAAAAATTATGCCCATTCATCTTCTAGCCAAGCCTAACAAGGGGAAGAATATTCAGGAAAAAAGGCTGGGATGGGATAGTGGCTTCAGGATTACAACAGCTTGAGGGTGGTAGTATGAGATGTTCCTCTACTTATCAATGATAATACCTGAATATATTCCCGCATGTCAAACATTTCTATTCATTGTAACCAATAGCTTCCCTTCTCCTCCCTGTGTTCCTTCTTTGTCCCAAATCCTTCTGATGACTTATTTTCTCATGCAGAGGAAAGGCCAATTTCTTACTCTGACCTAAAGACCCCAGAGTCTGTCCCCTTACTGCCAGTCCACTGTCATGTTCCACTGTTTCTACTTTAATTCAGTTCCATAGTCTTCCTTGATGGTCCTCAAATCAGTCAAAACCTTGATGGTACTCAAATTTTGCCTGTTTCAGGGCTTTGCACTTGCTGTTCTGTCTATCCAGAACACTCTTCCCCTACTGCATGGCTCACTTGTACCCCTACATGTACTTCACATCTCCACTCAAATGTCTCTTATAAGGGAGGATTTCCCTGCTTACCTATATGAAGGAGTGCCTCTCCTCATGACTCTGTCCCCTGTCTGCTTCTTTATCCCTATATCACTTAGTGCCAGATGATGTAAATTTACTCATTTATTTTCCCCGTTCCCAGCCCACCCCAATCTAGAAAGTAAGCTCCATTAAGGAAAGGTCTTGCTTTGTTCATTATTGTATTTCCAGCACTCAGAAAAATTATAACACAGAGTAGGTGCTCAATAAATAATTGTTGGAAGAGTGAGTGGATGAGTGGGTTACTGGAAACTGCAGGGTACAGGTTGCAGGTAACCCGAGAACCACTGTATGCTCATTCTGATCATTAGAATGTTCTGTGTGTATTTGTTTTAATCACTGTCATATAGAAGCCTAATTTTTTCATTCATTCATTTTTTAATTTAGCTTTAGGTTTTTGGGTTCTACTCTTCGTTGATCTGTTTTTTTTATGTCAGTGTAAATAAAGTGTGTCTCTGTTCTGAAACACCACCTTTTATTCGTCCAACAGCCCACTGATTCTCCCTATTTGCACCCCCACAATACTCATGCTCCATTACTGTGTGTACTGTAGCCCATAAATCAAAGTCCAGCAACTCATTTAAAGAAAACTGTCACTAGGAAAAAATCTTTTTCAGTTGGTTTGTGTAATTTTACAAAAATACCAGCAGATGTTGCTATTGCAACATCTTGATTCTTAGTCTTTACCTGTCCTGAGAGGCACAATAATACTGTCACAGAGAGATATCAAGATTTTCTAGGAATGATCCTACTTTTTGGGTTTTAGACACTTCAGTGCTAAAGAAAGGGACATCCTTAGTTCTGTTTCTTGTTCATAGTGACAATTGCTTAAGGTGTAGGTCTAGCAGAATGTATATGCCCCAGATTAGGTATCTCATTTTCTCAGATATTGTGGAATTGACTACTCAAGGCCCATCATTCTTGAGCTTAAGGAAATGCCAATTCAGCTTTGGCCTAATTCACTAGATAGGGTCGTCACCTTTAAATTGTTTCTGCCTATGTGGCCACTCGGGCTGCTTCTACTTTAAAACCTTTAAATTATGTTCCTCTGTTGAAACGTCTCTGGGCAAAACCATACAATGATAATAAATAAAAGTAGTACAGGGCTTTATACTATGCACAATTTCTTCAAGCATATTTTTTTCATATACATCTTCATAACAACCCTCAGGGTGACACATTATAAATAACTTCAAAATAGAAAATTCATAAATTAGTCAAAAAGTTCTGTCACTGTAGGCAACAACATATAGAATTACACATAAAGTTATTTATAAATTTTGAATTCAAATGTAGAGACCATGTGGAGCCCAGGAAAATGCACAGTCTCTGAAAACGGACAAACTGAAATTTTTATCCTGACTTCATGGCTTTGTAACTCTGACTTTTGGCAATATACTTAGCTTCTCTGACCCTCAACTTCCTTATTTTTTTTTATATATATATATTTTTATTACACTTTAAGTTCTAGGGTACATGTGCACAACGCACAGGTTTGTTACATATGTATACATGTGCCATGTTGGTGTGCTGCACCCATTATCTCGTCATTTACATTAGGTATATCTCCTAATGCTATCCCTCCCCCCTCCCCCCTCCCCCAACCCCACAACAGACCCCTGTGTGTGATGTTCCCCTTCCTGTGTCCAAGTGTTCTCATTGTTCAATTCCCACCTATGAGTGAGAACATGCGGTGTTTGGTTTTTTGTCCTTGCGACAGTTTGCTGAGAATGATGGTTTCCAGCTTCATCCATGTCCCTACAAAGGACATGAACTCATCAAAAGCTGGAGGCATCATGCTACCTGACCTCAAACTATACTACAAGGCTACAGTAACCAAAACAGGATGATACTGCTACCAAAATAGAGAGATATAGACCAATGGAACAGAACAGAGACCTCAGAAATAATACCACACATCTACAACTATCTGATCTTTGATGAACCTGACAAAAACAAGAAATAGGGAAAGGATTCCCTATTTAACAAATGGTGCTGGGAAAACTGGCTAGCCATATGTAGAAAGCTGAAACTGGAACCCTTCCTTACACCTTATACAAAAATTAATTCAAGATGGATTAAAGACTTAAATGTTAGACCTAAAACCATAAAAACCCTAGAAGAAAACCTAGACAATACCATTCAGGACATACGCATGGGCAAGGACTTCATGTCTAAAACACCAAAAGCAATGGCAACAAAAGCCAAAATTGACAAATGGGATCTAATTAAACTAAAGAGCTTCTGCACAGCAAAAGAAACTACCATCAGAGTGAAGAGGCAACCTACAGAATGGGAGAAAATTTTTGCAATCTACTCATCTGACAAAGGGCTAATATCCAGAATCTACAAAGAACTCAAACAAATTTGCAAGAAAAAAACAAACAACCCCATCAAAAAGTGGGTGAAGGATATGAATAGATACTTCTGAAAAGAAGACATTTATGCAGCCAACAGACACATGAAAAAATGCTCATCAACTTCCTTATTTTTAAAATGTCAAGAAGGAAATCCACTTTTCAGAGTGGTTGCAAATGCTAATAACTCAAGGAGCTGTTACTATAGTAGTTTGTGTCTTTTTTCACATATGTATGTCATACCGAGTACTGTGTATTAACCCAGGAGCCCCAAACTCATATTTCTACAACCTGTTTGAGAAGTCACTGCGCTTGGGACTTTTTGTGTGGGGTCAGATAGATCTAATTTGGATAGGCTTAGAAGAGAGGAATTATTGTGAATTAATTTAATCTAATTTATTTTATTTTTTAAAGACAGAGTCTCACTATGTTGCCAAGGCTGGAGTGCAGTGTGACCAAGGCTGGTGCGACCTTGGCTCACCGCAGCTTCTGCCTCCCAGGTTCAAACAATTCTCATGTGCCAGCCTCCCGAGTAGCTGGGATTACAGGTGTGCACCTCTATACCTGGCTAATTTTTGTATTTTTAGTAGAGATGGGGTTTTGCCATGTTGGCCAGGCTGGTCTTGATCTCCTGACCTCAAGTGATCCACCTGCCTTGGCCTACCTAAGTGCTAGGATTACAGGTGTGAGCCACCATGCCCAGCCGAATTATTGTTAATTTATACAGAAGGATCTGGCCTAGAAAAAAAGAGAGATGTCAATGATTAAGAACAGCTTGCTAGTTAGCAGCACCTGTACGATGTGATGATGGCAATACTTAAATTATTCTGGCCAGTCCGGTGAACTCAGTGGCTTAGATTGGCCAAGTACTCAAAAAATGAGCAAAATAATCTGGACATTACAAAAAGATATCATAAAATTCATGCACTTAATTCATAGGAATGCCCATGACATTTTACATGTGATCTGAAGTGTTGAATGATCTAGTTTAGAAACTCAAAAAACATGAAAGGCCAGCAATAATAAGAGGACAAATGAATGCTTCTAAAGACAGATACCTTTTGCAACAAACAGTAAGTGCTTTCAGCCTAAGTGTGATGGGGAAGACAAAAATAAAATCTAAAAATTGGTGGTAAGAAATTTTAGACTGGACAACGTAGCAAGACCCAGCCTCTACAAAAAATTTAAAACCTTAGCTGGGCATGTTGGTGTATGCCTGTGGTCCCTGCTACTTGGGATGCTGAGATGGAAGGATCTGTTGAGCCCAGGATGTCTAGGTTGTTATTAGCCATGATTGTGCCATTGCACTTTAGTCTTGGCAAAAGAGCAAGACCTTGTCTCCAAAAAGCAAAATAACAAAAAAGGAAACCTGAATATCCAATATTCCATGACTAAGTCCTACCTGTTGGATTAGCCCTGGGAGCCTCGTTGTATAAAATTACAATACAGTCATTTACACTGAGAATGGTGACCCCCTCAGCTTGAATAGTGTATAATCAATTTTGGAAATAATACCATTTTCAACATGCTTAGGGTTATAAGTGGTCAGCTTCATTTTTTTTTGATTGAATGCTTAATGAAACACTTCATTTTTCTCATGATACTGAATTTTTAATGTTTTCTGAACTATAGAAATAATATTTTTAGGAAAAGATCATAGATTCTTAAATAACATATTTAAACATTCTGATTCATTCATCTATTCATTTTTATATTAACCAACTGCTTATTGAGTTTATTCCCTGTGTGAGACACTCTTCAGAATGCGTTGAAGAGTCTGATCTTTCTCTGTTTTTAATAACCTTTCTCCTTGTGAGAAAAGAAAGAAAGCATATCAGTGCAGTTACAATTTATGCAAGACTCTGAAGCATTTTTTAATGCTTTGGGACAACTACTCAGAGAAAGCTGTAAGAGTACAAATTACCAAACAAATCCTATTATTCCTTTCCTCCTCCTTTATAACTGATGCAACAAATGAGAAAATGTAAATGTAGCATATTGCAAATCGGTGGCTTATAAGAAATACACAAGTAAATGAGATAAATATTTGCCCAATGAACAAAAATGTAAATATGTTTTTTCCTAAGAGGATACGATCAAAGGTAGATGATAAATAACTTCTTAATAAAAGTGTATAAGAAGCTAGTTCTTTTTACTTGATCCAAATGTACCATTTCAAATATTTGTAATGCTGCTCTGGAAATGCATACTTACAATATCTAAGTCTAAGTTTATCCAATTGAAACCAAGAGCAGGTCTATTGATATGACACGGTTTGGCTGTGTCCCCACCCAAATCTCATCTTGAATTGTAATCCTCATAATCCTCATGTGTTTAGGGAAAGACCCAGTGGAAGGTGATTGGATCATGGGAGCAGTTTCCCCCATGCTGTTCTCATGATAGTGAGTTCGTTCTCACGACATCTGATGGTTTTATAAGGGGATCTTCCCCCTTCGCTACTCAATCTTCTCTCTCCTGCCACCATGTGAAAAGGTGTTTGCTTTCCCTTCACCTTCTGCCATGTTTATAGGTTTCCTGAGGCCTCCTCTAGCCATGTGGAAGAGGTCAATTAACCTCTTTCCTTTATAAATTACCCATTCTTGGGTACTTCTTTATAGCAGTGTGAAAATAGACTAATACATGAGATAACATATGAAAATACAAATCCAAACCCCGCTTGGCAGTTTTTTCCTCATTTTTGTTTCTGTACTTAATGAGGACTCCAAAATTTACAGAAGGTTCTTAAACAGAATCAAATATGTTGGCTTGTCAATGCCTAGAAATACATTCCACAGTGCAGGTCCTGCTCCTTTGTTGATTTTCACTTTCCTCAAAATGCTTTTGTGGTTGGAGTTGTGTTCTCTTGAAATATGTTTTTTAATAGTAAACAACTAAAGAGGGAATTGTATCATTGAGTCAGTGAGCATTTTATGAACATAGAATCTACATCACCAGGAGACAATCAGATGTGTTAAAAAAAAAAAAAAAAGAAAAAACTAAGAAAATGTTGAAGGACTCAATCAGTGCTTTCGTCAGAAAAGTTCTAAATCCAAAAATTGGCCCCACTCAATGAGTACTTGTACACAGTACAAAAAACAACAATTTTGTCTTGAGATGTGTGTGAGATGCTGATGGCAATTACATTCAGACTCCAATTTAATATTATGCAGGCAATTTATTGATTACATGTCAGATCCTCAGTTGTTTTGCATATATTTTCCATTAATGGCCTCAATGATCTTCTGAGATATTACAGTCATCTTTTTATAAATGATTAAACTATCATTCAAATGATTTTGAATGGCTTTTCCAAAGCCACCCAGTGGGTAAATGACAAAAGTAAGGATTTAAACTCTTTTGTATGATTTTCTTTTTTCTTTTTTTTTTTTCTTTTCTTTTCTTTATAGATAGGGTCTTGCTCTGTTGCCCAAGCTGGAGTGCAGTGGCACAATCTCAGCTCACTGCACCCTCGACCTCCTAGATTCAAGCTATTTCTCCTACCTCAGTCTCCCAAGTAGCTGGGACCACAGGTGTGAGCCACCTGGCCCAGCTGGTTTTATTTTATTTTATTATTTTTTGTAGAGATGGGGTTTTGCCACGTTGTCCAGGCTAGTTTTGAACTCCTGGGCTCAAGCAATTTGCCCGCCATGAACACCCAAAGTGCTGGGATTACAGGTGTGAGCCACCAGTTCTGGCCTCTTTGGTATGAGTTCAAGGCCCATACCCTTTCCACAACTACCATCTAACTTTATATATATATATATATATATATATATATATATATATATATATATATATATATATACATATACATAGATGAAGTCTCGCTCTTGTTGCCCAGGCTGGAGTGCAATGGCGCAATCTCGGCTCAAGCCACTTCTGCCTCCCCGGTTCAAGCAATTATCTTGCCTTAGCCTCCTGAATAGCTGGGATTACAGGTGCCTGCCACCACACCTGGCTAATTTTTGTATTTTTAGTAGAGACGGGGTTTCACCATGTTGGCCAGGCTGGTCTCGAACTCCTGACCTCAGGGGATCTGCCCGCCTCAACCTCCCAAAGTGTTGGGATTAGAGGCATGAGCCACCACACCCAACCTATCTAAATTTTTATAATGTTGAATTGCTTCCAAGTTGAACATGAATATGACAAAGCTCCACTATCTTTCAGTATGCCCTTCTGTGCCCAGCATCAGCTCTAGGAAAAAACTAGTTAGATTAGTTGGCCATTCTACACTTGTTCCTAACATACCTTCCATCTTGCTGCCTACCCCCGTGTCCACACAATTGAGGTTCCCATCTAGTTGCCCACCAGCTTATCTCTACTCCCTTCGTCTTTTCATCCATTGTATATTTCACTTAACTCAAGTCTCCTCTCCACATCCAAATTTGGGGTACTGTGACATTTCAGACAGGGAGAAATTCTTGCACCAAAGGCCTTCTGTTTCCCTATGAGGAGGCTAAATCTGTTGAGCATTATACCTATCATTTCATACATATTTGAACATTAAAACTAATCATCTGTGGGAAATTAAGATTCCTTTTAATAAGGAAACGAAATTTCTGGTAATTCATTAGTTGCCCCAATGTGAAAAACACATCACAATATTTGTTTTAAACTTTCTTGTGTCATCATTTCAGAATTCTATCATTTGGTTTAAATTGTGTTTTGAGCCCATGTGCAATATATTGATATTGGCTAAATTTTTATTATTATCTACACTTTAAAAATGGCCCCCAAAGCTTGCAAACTTTTCTTATGAGAGTCATACTGAGAGGAGAAGACTCAACTTTTTATGCCTATCTTGTACCCTAGATATTTAGATCATTTGTTATCTGTTTTCCCTTGTAAAATATACACTCCATGAGACAGAAATGCTTATGTTTCATTCATGGCAATAAAGTCCAATCCTAAAACAGTGCCTGATACATACGTTTTCAACAAATATTTGTTAAATAAATGAATGTCCCTTGCATCATTTGGCTGTTTCCTAATAAAGCATGGTTTGTTAATATCTTGCCATAATGGCTTTCATCCTCTGGCAGTACATTAGCTTGTCAATCATCTTTTTAAAATGTGGTTACCTTGTTAAAAATGCTGAAGCACATAGAACTGGTTCAAACTTGATGTTAGTTTACCCACGACGTCTCTTCACTAAGAGTTCGTGTTCTGTTTTCATTTAAAATTCTTTTCAAGTATTGGCTGGAATTTGGCCACAAGATGGAGTGGCAGCACAAAGTAGATAGAGTTATTTAAATAGATTTGGCCATCGTTGTTGCAATGAAGTGGCTTGAATGATTATTTTTGTCTTAAAAGCTTGGGGGCATTTTAACTATTTATATTAGTTATCTACTTTAATTTGGTGATCTTTATTTGGTGATCTTCATCCATTGAGAGAAAGAGATGACAACCAAAACCACAAATCCTCTGATCCCAAGAATACACCACTTTATATTTACCTATTGACTTTCTTTACTTACACCTTCATTTTAAAGGATATCTTTTATAGTTTATCACTTGTCATTTTGGTCATGTGTTTAATAACTGGTTAAGCCTCTTAGAGACACTTGAATCAGGAGTCTGGAGATATCGGTAGGGTATATGATCATTTATGTGAAAATCCTACTCCATTTCATCTTATCTCTAATCCCCAATGCTATAGGGTCATCAACTGTCCGTCTCAAAGTCCCAGTAGAACATAATTTGTTCCTGTAGTAATTAAATGAGGACAAAACTCAATATAATGAACACCCGTGCATAAGATAAAATTCATGATTTGGACAGACCTAAAAGAGCCTCTGACTCTTCAATGCACTCGACAGAAATTACTCTGATGTCTTTACTACACTTCAATCAAACCATCGATGGATTTTGTTTACGTCTATGCTGTTTTCATTTTGGCAACTAAACTGTTTGTATCTAATAAAATGAATATAGTCTAGAATTCAGATAAACTTAGCCATCTTCAATTACTAGTTATTTGCTGAAAGCATGTAAATACATATTTTTAGGCCAACTCTTTTTATTTCAAAAGTTTTTATTTCGGCCAGGCGCAGTGGCTCATGCCTGTAATCCCAGCACTTTAGGAGGCCGAGGTGGGTGGATCGCTTGAGGTCAGGAGTTCAAGACCAGCCTGGCCAACATGGCAAAACCCCGTCTCTACTAAAACACAAAAATTAGCTGGGTGTGGTGGCACACGCCTGTAATCCCAGCTACTCAGGAGGCTGAGGCAGGAGAATCACTTGAACTTGGGAGGTGGAGGTTGCAGTGAGCTGAGATCATACCACTGCACTCCAGCCTGGGCAATAGAGCCAGACTCTGTCTCAAAAAAAAAAAAAAAAAAAATTCTTTATTTTAAAATGAGAAAAATTTCTTAGGTGTAAACAGATTACCACAATTTTTGATTTGTCCAACAAAATAAAGAATTAATATTTATTAAGTATTATATAAACACTGTCAATATAACTTAGCTTCAGCATAAAATAACAAAATGTACGATCTTAAAAATAAAAAAGAATTTTTTCACCGTGCTCTTCTAATCTTCACTCTAAAAGAAGCTTATAAAAGGAGAAATAAAAAGACTTGAATTTGTTTTAATTTTTTAGAAAAGTCCTATATTTGGATTTGTCAAAAATTTACCTTTTTATGCAGTCTTATACCTCCAAATGCTAACTTTTTCTTTGAGATATATGAAGATTCAAAGCTAAAATAAAATGAAGTAAAAATTAAATAGCTTTTCTTCAATATGAAAAAGAGTAAGTCGTACTTCTCTAAAGTCCATTTTCGGATAACTAATAAGGTTATGAATTTTGAGCTAGTGCAATTATGTACAATTACGCTCCCTTTCTTTCCTTCCAAACTTCAGTTACATTTTAAACGAATTTGTTTCTTTTTAAATGTTTCAAAATTTTGTACATATTTTTAAAATCATTGCTAAATTATCCCTCCAGAAGGCAGTATGATCATGTCAGTGGACATGAACAGAGCAGGACTTTCCAGAAAATAGAACAGATAAAATCAAATGCTATTAAATAACAACAGAGTAATGGCTGAACGTATTTCTAATTTTCTTTCCTTTCCTTTCACTCTCAAAGGAAAAACCACAACATAAGATCCCAAAAGGGGAGCACAGAGAAGTGAAAACAGGCATTTTGTTAGGATAGTAGTGAAAGGAAGCTAAAAGATGGAGGGAAAAAAGCTTTAAAGGGAATGCATTTTTTCCAAATAATGTTAGATGTCATTTTCTTCTGGAAGCCTTTCCTAACTAATCCTCAAGGTCTGAGGCAATGTTCTTCTTAGGCACTCCTGGAACCTCCTGTATTTCCTATGCCATACTATTTCTCACACTGAATTGTTATTACTGTTTACTTATCTATATCACACACTACACAGTAAGATCCATGAGAGCCTCTATCAGCTTTATATGTCCCGGGCCCATTAAAGTATTTGTCACATAGTGGCTTCTCAATAAATATTTTATGAAGGGAGGAAATATTTTACTAATACATGGATTTAATTACACACACACACACATTATTCGGCAATTATAATATAAGGTGTCTGGACAGCATTTCTGGTATCAACAGCTAAAATTTCTGGATAAAAAAACTTTAAAAATATTTTCAACTGCATGGCTGAGTTGGCATAAAAGTAAGAGTAATTCCAGAAGTTCAGATAGAATGAGGGCACCCAAATCTGGAGAGAAAAGGATTGGCTGGAGCTGCTATTCTCCTCCTAGCACCTGCTGATACCTGGCAGTGCACAGACTGGACTCAAACATACTTTGCCCAAAAAGGAGAAAAGACAAAATCTTGTTGTAACTTGAGAGTTCAGATCAGAGACTCTTGTATAAAATCAATATACCTCCAATGGAAACCACACAACATAAAACACAAAAACGGGAAAATACAAAAGAAGACAGTGAAGTTATTTATTTGTTATATTTTAACTCTCTGCAGAGAAGAAATAGAAAATACATGTCTCTACAGTGAAAGCCATTATGGGTCATTAGTTTAATGTTGATCCTAGATGACTTGAAAAACCAATGCAAATCCTTTCTGGGAGAGGGCATCTTAAACCCGAGTATAAAAAAATAAAATGAAATAAGGCTGGGTGCAGTGGCATGAGCCTGTAGTCCCAGTTATTTGAGAGGCTGAGGTGGGAAGATCACTTGAGCCTAGGAGTTCAAGGCTGCAATGACCTAGGATTGCAACATTGTACCCCACTCTGAGCAACAGAATGGGACCTTGCCTCAAAAATAAATAATTAATTAATAAAATGAAAGAACCATGTTCCAAGCAATCCGATGTAATAATTTTAAAAATTGAATCTCACTTAAACTGCAGGTATTTAAATTTAAATTACCAAATATGGAACATAAAAATAGTAATTTTTTAATCTTTAAAGAAATCAAAGTAGATACTAAAATTATAATACATAAATAAAAGACTTTTAAAAATAACTAGGAAGCTTTAACAATAAAGTAATCTGAAAGGGAAAAAATTAATGATTGCTACTAGAGACTCAATGGATGTGTTGCCTAGCAGATTAATCTGAGATGAAGAAAGAATTTCTCAACTAGTGATAACTCTCAAGCAAACTGCTTAGAATGCAGACAATGAGATGTACTGATAGGAAATATAAAAAGGTAAAATGAGAAGAAAAATATTGAATATACATTTAATTATTTCAGGAGGAAAAAAGAGATTATGGTGAAGAAGCAATATTTGAAGAGTTAGTGGCTCAGAACTTTCTAGAATCAATGAAAAACCTCATTCTTTATATTTAACAGAACCTAACAAACACTAAACATAATAATAAAAAGAAATCCATATCACACATATTGTATTTCAACTGCAGAACATTAAAGATAAAGAGAAGATTTTTTTAATTTAAATTTAAATTTTATTTTATTTTAAGGTTATTTCTGTATAACAACCCCGGCTGGAGTTGAAGGGACAGAGGGAGGTGGTAAGAGGACACTTTACCTACAAAAGAATAATAATTTCCACAGGGCTAATTTCTAAACAGCAATAAAAGTCAGAAGATGGTGTATTAATATCTTCAAAATACTGACAAAAAATAACTCTCAACCTAGATTTTTATAAACAGTGTAACTACCGTTTAAGAAAAAGAATGAAATGAAGATATCTTCAAGCCAAGATGAAGAGTATAAAGTTGTGAGAGAGGCTAAAATGGTGAACGAATTATTCTGCCTTATCAATTCTAAAGGAACTAGGGAGGAAAAATGAAGAAAACCGGAAGAAACCCCTGGAGTGATGCTGGGGATAGGAAGCTATTTTTAACTAGTGTGTATGGAGGGGTGTGGATTTGGCCTAGGATAGGAGATAGCCTGTCAAGATTATAAACATATATAAAGATTTAAAGAAAATAAAATAGAGAGGTGAGCTGTTTGGAAAGCTGCTTTTGCTTCTTCCAGCTATTGCCTTGGGGAATAATGCCTGACCCACACCTACCTGTTTCCTGGTCCCCTCAAGGATAAAACCAGACAAGCTCAGAAGTGGTTCGCCTGTGAGATGCTGAGAAAAATGGGTGGAGAAGAGTGGTTGTAGTTTCATGGTTCACAGAGCTCTTCATCTATATTAGTTTTCTCTTGCTGTCAAACAATATTACCATTAAGACAACATACATTTCTTACTACAGGACAGGAGTCTGGGCATGATTTAGCTGGGTTCTCTGGGAAGCCATAATCAAAGTGTTGCTTGGTGCTGTGGTCTCATAGGAGGCTTAACTAAGCAAGGCTCCACTTCCAAGCTCACTCTAGTTCTTCACAGAATTTAGATGATTAAATAAATTAATATATTAATATTATTTATTAAATATTAATGATTTAATAAATCATTAGAATGATTAAAATAAATTAGTTTAGCTAGCTGGTTGAATATAAACTGAATTTCAACTTCATTGAATTTCCACAAAACAGCAACAGCTCAAATATTTGATTTAAGGCAGATATTATTTAAAGTAGCAACAAAAATGTTTGTAGGACTGAGGGCTTTAGTTCTTTGCAGTTTGTCAGCTGTGGGCCTCCCCAGACACTAGAGATCACCTACTTGACCATGTGCAGTTTCCCAGCATGACTTGTGGCTTCCTTAGAGACAACAGCGGAGGAAGAGACTCCAGGAAGATGGTTACTATAAATGTATGCATGTAGTCACACACATGTAATCACATACATCCTGTCACCTTTCCTGTATTCTATTGGTTAGGAGCAAGTCACATGTCATGTCTGCACTCAAGGGTAAGGTACAATGCAAGGGTACAAACATTGAAAGGCAGGAATCATGGGGGAGAGCACTCTAGCATATGTGCAGACTGTCTCAAGGGTCCCTCAAGCCTCCTCTCTCTCCATCCCAGCCTCTGAGCTCTTTGGGATTGACAGGAACGGGTGCTGGACTTTCCTCTGTATATTCCCTGACAGAGTAGCTGATAACTCTAAAGAAAATGAACCCAGATGCCAAAATTACTAGGCAGCTGGAGAACCTAACCATTCCAAAAGAAAATATTTTCATAAGAACAAGAAATGAAAAAGTTGACTACCAACAGAACCTCTCTAAACATATGTCTCAAGAATGTACTCCAGAAGAAGGAAAATAATCTCAGAAGGAAGGTGTGTGAGAATCCACTGATGTAGTCCATACAGGCTTGCCTTCTGGGGCAGTAAATTAGCTGGATAAGTATGAAGAAAAGACATAAAAGTTATCTTGCAAAACCCAAATTTTAGTCTTTTGCTGCTTTTATGCAATACACTTAAAACATAACAATACAGAATGTTTGAAAGGAAATGTATTGCATAACATACCAGAAAAATGTTAATCCATCAAATCAAATAGACTTCCAGGCCAAATAAACAAATGCTAAAGAAAATCACTGACTATTACTAAAAGGCTTATATAATTCTAAACTAATATAAAATTTTTAAAATGGTTTCAAAATATATAAGCAAAAACGCATATAAGTACATGAAGAAATTGACAACTTTTCATTACAATGGGCTGTCTCTGAGCAATTGATAAATCAAGCAGAAAAAGAAATCAGAAAGGATGCCACAGATTTGGAGCACACAATTAACTTTATCTAATGGATATAGAAAAAATATTGCATTCAACATCTGAAGAATACATATTGTCTTCAAGCACATGTAATGTATATAAAAACTGTCAGTGTACTAAGTAAACAAGCAATTTTCAACACTTAAAAAAATCAGTTTCTTTCAAACTACATTCTCTGACTACATTACAATTAAGTTTGAAATTAAGCAGAAAAACATAATAGAAAACTTGATACATCTAAAATGCTTAAAAACTTGACTGTAATTAATTACTTCAATTACTTAATTTATTTGACCTCATAGGTCAAAATTAAAATTGAACTGAATCATAATTAAAATGATACGTGTTGAAACGTGACTTTTTGTGAAAAATCATTACAAGAAAGATACTTATAACATAAAATGTACATTTTAAAAAAAGAAGAAATACTGAATAGTTGTACATTAACCATCAAACTTGAAAGATCAGAAAAGGAACAATAGAAAAACCTCCCAAAAAGTTGAAAGAAAGGAATAATAATGCTAGCACTAGAAATTAATGAAATAGAAAAGAGTCATAAAGAAAGAGAGGAATGAAAATACTAAAGTTAGTTCTTTAGCAAGACTAATAAAATTGAAAAACATCTAGAACTATTGCTAAAAGAAAAAGAGAGGGACCAAATAAATAATATAAGGAAGCAAAAAGGACATACAAATAGATATAGCTGAGATTAAAAAGATAATGAACCTATTAAAATAAGAATACTAGTAAATTGAAACCATTAGGAGAATGAAAGTCTTAAAAATCTCATAGGAGGAAAATAGAAAATCTAAATGATTTTTGTAATGTTACAAAATGGAGCTATAGAAATTGATGCAATCGAATATTTTTATATTCCAACCCCCCGCCACACACACACACAAAGACAAGGCCCAAATGTTCACAGACAGGTTCTATTCAATGTTCAAATAACAGAAATAGTCTTATGGTTTTATTTCAAAAAACATATAAGAAAAAATTCCATTTCACATGTCTAGTATTACCTTAATATCAAAAATCCATCAAGAATAATAAGTAAATAAGAAACTATAATTGTATATAACACATGAATCTGGAACAAAATTTTAGCTAACAAAATCAGTAATCAAACTCAAAAATGTATTTAAAATAACACACTAATATCAAGTATGATTTATTCTATAAATAAAAGTTTACATCTAAAAACTATTAATATTATTTCATATATTAAAAATTATCACATAAATATTAAATCATCTCAGATTTAAAGAATTAACTTTGATAATATCTAAAGTCAATTCATTATATAAACTCTTAGTATTCTGGGAAAAGAAGAAATGTCATCACAGAATGAAGACCACATATCCTACACAGTAGAGAAACATTAAAAGCTTTCCCCTCAAAATCAGAAGCAAGAAAAAAAAATGCATAATTACATTCCTTATTTTCAACTAGCACAATATGCCAGGAAAAACAAATAAAAGGTAAAATACTAGAAAAGGAAAAAATTAAACTGTTATTCTCAAATGATGATAGTCTATCTGGAAGACACAGAACTTAAAGACAAATGATTAAAATAAATTAGTTTAGCTAGCTGGCTGAATATAAACTTAATTTCAACTTCAGTTGAATTTCCACAAAAGAGCAACAGCTCAAATATTTGATTTAAGGCAGATATTTTTTAAAGTAGCAACAAAAATATGAAAATCAAGAATAAATTATAAAAGATGGGTCAGACCTTATGGGATAAATTATAAAACTTCATTGTGTGATATTAAGATAAACCAATTAATGAAAAAATTTACTGTAACCAAGTTAAGGAGGACTCAGTATTGAAAAGATATCAATTATCCCCAAGTTAATCAAAATAATTTATATAGAATTTGACAAAATTAGTCTAAGTTCATATGTAAAGGCAAAATGGCCGAAGTTAATCAAGATGAACAGGAAGGAGAATGCAATAATGTAGAGAAGACTGATCATGCAGTAGTATAGATCCCAGAAACATAAATGAAAACTTAGTGCATATACAGGTTATACTGCATATCAGTGAGGAATTGATAGGATATTCAATAAATGATTTGTAGACATATAGGGAAAAATAAAAAGAATACCTACCCCACCATATCCTCAGTTACTCCAGATGGATTCAAGACTAAATGTTAAAATTTCAATAAGAAATTTCCTAGAGAATACACTCATAATTTTTGAAAGAGCTTTTAAAAACAAGCTCCAATCTTAAATAAAAGATTAGTAAATTAAATTATATTGAAATTAAGAAATTCATCACAAGATACCATAAAGACAGGAAAATGATAAGCAGAAACTTAGAGACAATATTGGCAACACAAAAAAAACTAAAAAGAATTAGCATTGAGAGCACACTGTAAATAAAGAACTCCTAAGTAAGAATAAGAAGAAAAAACAATAACAATAAGCAATGGATCTAAACGTATAAATAGGTGTTTCAAAGGACAGAAAATACAAACTGACAGTAAGTACAGTATATGAAAAGATGCTTAACCTCAGTAATAAAAGAGGCTGAAAGGATTAGCCATCTTATTTGGCTTTATGAAGAGTAGCAAATAAAAATCTCCCATTGTTTGTTGAAAGTGAAAGAGGCCCAGAATATAGACTTCTTCCTGTCTGCAAGAAGAAGACAGGGCCATGGAGCTTCAGTGACTCAAAGTAGCCATTTGCAGTAGGTTCTTGACATGATACTGGGCGTACCTGAACAAGGCTTACAAAGCAAAATGATCTAGAGCCAAAGTGCAGGAGTCAGAAAAATCTGAGTTGAATCCCAGTGCTGTTGCTTATTATCTGTGTAACCCTAAATATCTGTACTTCATCTTTTGGATCCTCAATCTTCTCACTGAAAATGATGATAATCAGTGCTAACTTCATAGCATTGTTATCAGGAGTAAATGAGAGTATATGTAAGACAAAAGTACAGCATCTAACACACAAAAAACCACTCAAATATTAGATTTTATTATTTTAATCTGCACAAAGTTCTAGAGTTTACAAAAACACTTTTATCTTTTTATCTATTATTTTATAGTTCAAAAATATGAGAGGGCATTATTCTTTTTGAGTCATTATGTTTACTTATTTTTGAATAGGCAATATAAAACTGCAGTAAAATTACATAACATGAAGACTCCTTTTATATTCTTCCATGTTTTTCTTAATATTTAAATAAATGTAAACATAGATTGTTATTCCCCCTTTTTTGTACAAATGATTGCATCTTATATCACTGTCTAAACTTACTTTTTCACGTAATTTATCTTGCAAATATTTTCATAAATGTACATAAAATTGGAAATAGTAACTAATATTAATTATGTGCAAGGCTTCTATTCTAACTGCTTTATGTATTTTAACAGCCTCAATCTTTTCTGTCAAACCCTCTGAGATGGTACTCTTGTTAACCTCATTTTAAAGGTGAGTACACTAAGGCTCAGAGACTGTACACAAGCTGCCCAAGGTTGTACAGATATTCAAATGACAGAACCAAGATTTGATCTCATGTAGTCAATATTCGTATATTCCTCTTCTTTAACAAATTGTATAGTCTTCCATTTTACACTTTCACCATGATCTATTCAACCAGTTTCATACTGATGGATATTTACGTTTTTTTCTCTTTTGCTATTACTAACAACATGGGAATGGATACCATTTTATGTCAGTCATTTTAAACATATGTGAGTTTATTTTTGTAGAATAAATTTATACAAATGAAACTATCAGATCAAAGAGAATGTACATTTGTAATTTGGATAGATCTTACTAAATATACTTTTGTATATTTTTATATTCCACCAGTATTAAAGCATCTATACACCACAATTTTTTCACAGAAGTGGGTCAGCAAACTTTTAAGTTTTTCCTATTTAGGAGGTAAAAATGGTATCATTATGTAACTTTTAAGCATTTCTTTTTTAATAAATGAGTTTGAGCACTTCAAAATATTGTATAAGTTTTTGTACTTACTTTTCCTTGAACCCTCTGTTGATATTCTTACTCTAATTTTTTGTTGATATTTTAGTCTTCTATGAAGTAATTTGAGTTCTTTTTACATTAGAAAAATTATTTACTATCTGGATATGAAGCACAAAAGTTTTTTACCTCTTTGTTATTTATGTTTTGACTTTACTTTCACGTTTTGCCATGCAGAAATGTTTTACTCTTGTGTAGAAAATGTATTAATTTTCTCTTTCATGGCATCTGGATTTCAAACCATATTATGAAAGCCCTTTACTACCCCAAGCATATAAAATAATTAATTCACATTACATATATGGTTTATGTTTTATATTTAAAATTTTAATTTATTTGGAATTTTACTGGTATGTACTCTAAAGTATGGGTTCGGATGTATTTTTTAGAAAGTTGTCCAATTGTGCCAACAATATTTACTGGGTAAAGCACTAATGTTTTTAGTGATTTTAGATGTCATTTTCGTATGCTAAACTCTTGAGTATATTTTTATCTGTTTTCTGATGTTTTTGCTCTTTCTGTGTCACCTTGTGTTAATTATGGGATGTATATGATGTTGTAATATGCAACATGACTCGTTTCTCTCATTGCCCTTCTTTTTTTCAGTTTCCATTTCTATTTGTGTTTGCTCATTTTCCAATAAAAATTTAGAATTAGTTCTTCTAGTTAAAAAAGGCTCTTGGTGAATTTTTTGAGATCACATTATATTTTTATTAGGATCTCATTTTATTATATTGTATGTATTCATCCAAATTTTCCTTTGTATAATTCAGAAGTAATTTAAAGTTTTTCATATGTCTTTAATATGTCTTAGCTTTATTTCTAGCTATTTGATCTTTTCTTTTGATATTGCAAATTATTTTTTCAATTGTATTTTCTAACAGTTTATGCTAATGATTTTTATGTCATTATGAAAATTATACTAGTTATATATCAAGGTCATACTATTTTTGTATATTCTATATATTACCACCTTACTCAAATACCATATTGCATGTACCAGTTTTAAACTAGATTTTTGGCATGTTGTGGCTCACACCTTGTAATCCCAGCACTTAAGGAAGCTGAGGTGGGAGGATACCTTGAGGCCAGGAATTGGAAACCAGCCTGGTTAACTTAGTGAGACCCCATCTCTACAAAAAATTAAGGAATCAGCTGGACATTGAGGCACATTCCTGTAGTTCTAACTACTTGGGAGGCTGAGGCAGGAGAATCACTTGAGCCTAGGAGTTTGAGGCTGCAGTGAGCTATGATAGTGCCACTGCAGTTAGCCTGAGCAAGAGCAAAACCCAATCTCAGAAAAAAAACCCAGATTTTTGTGGTTTATTAAATGATACAATCTGCATATACTGATAGTCTGAATTTATTATCTCTGATTTTCATACTTATAATGTATTTTTGTCTAATTTTATTGTCTAGTAATTCTTGAACAATGTTAAATAATAATGTGGATAGAGGATAATCTTGTTTGTTTTTGACTTTAGTAGAGAAATATCTGGTATTTGCCATTAAGAATGTTGGTCTTTGGATTGAGATAGTTATCATGTTAAGGAAAAGTCTGCATTTTAAAATTTATTAACTGCTTTTGCCAAGAATTTTTATTGAATGTTGTCAAATGACTTTACAACCTCTATTGACATGATCAAAGAATTGTTTTTCATCTGTGATATGATTAATATATCACTTAATATTCAACTGTTTCTGCACTATTAGAATAAGTAAATCTTGCCTTTTCAAGATATATTATTTTTTAGTATGCTGCTGGATTCTGCTTCCTCATTTAGAATTTTTTCATTGATAGGCACAAGTGGTATTGGTCTGTAGTCTCCTGTTGAAGACTAACATCATCACATATTGATATACTCATTTTGTAAAATTATTTCTCTTACTAGTCTGTGAAGCAACCTAAGTAACATTTGAATTTTGGCTCATGGAAGGTTTGGTAAAATTTCTCTGTGAAGCCACCTGACCTTGTAATTTGGTGGAACACTGTGACAAGTTGATCTCCTATGGGAATTCGTCCGGTAAAATGTTCTAATTCTTTAAGAGTCTGTTTTTGTAAATTCAAAATTTGCCAAAAAATTATATGTATTTATCCTTGTTTTCAAATTTACTTTGCATAGAATTATGTAAAGTTTCTTGTGGTTCATTAAAATTTGAAATATCATTATTAACACCATATCTGAGATCAGAAAACTGAATCTGATACAACATTGAGGTCCAATTTACACAATTAGGAGATAGATCTCTCCTTCAAAACCAGGCCTTTTGACTCATTTTTGCTCCATTCCCCTGAACCTCATTGCATGTCCTCCCCACCCACCCTCCCAGCCCCACCTACCCTTTCCCAGCAGCCTGACTTGGCAGGGCACTGAAATGTAAAGTTGTTATCAGGAGCTGATAAGAGTCCCCTTAAAATAATGCTACTTTTGTTACTACAGCATTACATGTCCTGTCAGATTTCCTCACTGAAGATAAATTCTGTCCAACCTGTATCAAAATTAAGCAGCCTCAGTGTAGCTAAGGGGACATTGATCAAAATGACATCCTGTCATATATCGAACTAAAGGAATTGATTTCTTCTTTAAAATTAAAAAAATCAAATTAGACTCTATTACTTTGTTGCAACCTTTGCAATAGAGCAACTGGAGGTAGAGAGTACAACTCAATACAACTAGCTAAAAATGTACTTAAGAAAAAGCATCTCGCAGAAACATTTGCTAGCTCATGTTATTCTTCACCCAAAGTGGAAGGGTGTATTGCAATTAAATTCTGATTAAAAATAATAAATATAACCAATATATAATTTAGAGGAGACATTCTTGGAAACAAGAATGTTTATGGCATGGATTTTGACATATCAATTTATTTTAGTTTTTAGACTGACATAAAAAATTGACTCCAGGAAGAAAAGTATAACTGAGTATCTTTTATAAGTATAATAAAATGACCAATTCTGCTCCACTATTGATCCCAGGCAATTTCTAATCTGGCAACCAACGACATTGAGCACAGGACACAGTATAGTCTCTTATGAACTTGAACTTGCCATCATTCATCATGGGTTTAATTTATGAAGCTGAATAGAATGACACCATAGGGAGTCTACATTATCTGTCCCTTGTTTACCTCTTCAACTCCACTGCAGACTGCTCCTGCTTGCTTACTAAGTTTCAGCCACTCTGGCTGGTTTTTCAGTTCCTTGAACCTATTCAATTTTACCTGCCTCAGGACCTCTGTCTTCTCTGTCTTTTTCTCACTACGGCAAGATTTTTAAAGATCTTCGTATGGTTGGCTCTTTGTCATAATTCAGATCTCAGCTAAAATTCCACCTTCTCAGAGATGTATTCCCCAGCCACACTCATTATTGTCCTGAATAAAAGCTAAGTGACAACAATCTACGGTGGGTATTGGACTTCTAAAGAGTACTTAAGATGAAGGTAAAGGAAGTTTTAAATACACAGTAGAGGATCTAAAAGTCCCTGGTTTTGTAATGTGTTTGAAATGATAGAGATTTATGATTGAGAAGAGCGTATTTCAAATGGCTTTAACAAAAGTACTGGGTTCTTTCATAAAAATTAATCTCATAAAAACTTAGTATTTGAAAGCATCAATTTAAAAGGCTTTTTTGTATTCATATTGAAATAGTAATATGTTGGCTTTTCCCATTTTAACTAGAGCTTTTTAAATTTTTTTATTATTATTATACTTTAAGTTCTGGGATATATGTGCAGAACGTGCAGGTTTGTTACATAGGTATACACAGGCCATGGTGGTTTGCTGCACCCATCAACCTGTCATCTTCATTAGGTAGTTCTCCTAATGCTATCCCTCCCTAGTCCCCCACCCCCCAACAGGCCCTGGTGTGTGATGTTCCCCTCCCTGTGTCCATGGGTTCTCATTGTTCAGCTCCCACTTATGAGTGAGAACATGCAGTATTTGATTTTCTGTTCCTGTTTCAGTTTGCTGAGAATGATGGTTTCCAGCTTTATCCATGTCTCTGCAAAGAACATGAACTCATCCTTTTTATGGCTGCATAGTAAGAACAATTATGTCTTTAATTTAAAAAACTTTATCATTGTTATTACAAATGTTTCTACATTCATACTGCATACATTTTCATGTATTTTACAGTCTTGCATTGGAAATGCACTTCACTCATCTGCAGAGATTTTGATGAGGACTTCAAAAGCCATCTTATTCATCTAAACATGATCCAATCAGGCAAAAGATTGCATCATAATCTGTATGTAGTATTAGCTTTTCTAATAGAATATAAACTACATCATAAAGATCATGTTTTCTCTTTTGTCAATAATCCTAGTGCCACAAAAATTATTGTGATGTGCCACAAAAGTATGATAGGGTTATCATCCATAATATTATTGTTGTTTTATAATAGAAATAAGAAATACATACATAAAAGAATTAATGACTTAGCCTCATGTTCAGAAATAAATGCTAATGACATTAGAGAAGTTGTCATAAGAAAACATTTTAATTGTGTAAAGAACAAAATCCCAGACTGAGGAGGAAGCAACATGGGTTAAACTTATCAGAGAAAATTTCAGGGGATTGTTGGGACTTTACTAGAGATATTTAATGAGGATGAGATATGGATAAGATGAAAAAAGAAGAAATTTGCTTCCTAGATTTTTAGAGTTTGTGTATACTCATAAAGTTACATATTAATATATTCTAACTATAGATTTAAATGTTGATGATGTGTACACAAATATACAGGAACTCACCTATCTGGTTGACTTTGTTTCTATTAGAAGCAATAAATCGCTAAATTTGGAAGCAGCGCAAAATTCAACTCAACCAATTACCTACTCTCTTATAGAAGTCAATGGGTTCTGTAAAGGGGGGCGGTTCCAAAATGGTCGAACAGGAACAGCTCCAGTCTATAGCTCCCAGCATAAGCGATGCAGAAGACAGGTGATTTCTGCATTTCCAACTGAGGTACCGGGTTCATCTCACTGGGGCTCGTCAGACAGTGGGGGCAGGAGCAGGATGGTGTGTGTAGTCCACCGAGCGTGAGCCGAAGCAGGGAGAGGCATTGCCTCACCGTAGAAGTGCAAGGGGTCAGGAAATTCCCTTTCCTAGCCAAGGGGAGGGGTGACAGACGGCACCTGGAAAAATGGGTCACTCCCACCCTAATGTTACCGGGGGTCCTTGCTCCCAGAGCTCCCAAGATGGTGGTGGAACACTTCAAAGATGGTGGCGGGCCACTTCCAAGATGGTGGCAAGCCTCGTGTTCTCTGACCTGTGGTTCTTGGCCTCACAGATTCCAAGGAATGGAATCTTGGGCCATGCGGTGAATGTCATAGCTCTATTAGAAGTCATGGGTAACAGAAGAGAACCATGGAACCCAGTGACTAGTGTCCAGCTCGATTAGGACAAACCCAGGCACTTAGCTGTGCAGAACTATTGCAAGCCTTTAGCCCGATCAGGAGTGGCAATGGGCACCTCATTGGATCAGGAGCACAGTGGACACCCTGCCAGATCTGGAGGGATAGGAGTCAGTGGTGAGTCTGTGACGGCGGCAAACAGCAGTGGTGGATGGTGAGTGAAAGCTCAGCTCGAGCCGTAACAGACATAGACCAGAAGAGTGCAGTTGCAAGATTTAATAGAGTGAAATAGAGTAAAAACAGAGCTACCATACAAAGGGAGGGGACCCAAAGGGTGTTGCTGTTGCCGGCTTGAATGCCTGGGTTTATATCCTGATCTTTGTCCCTCCTGCTGTGCTCTCAGGCAATAGATGATTGGCTATTTCTTTACCTCCTGTTTTTGCCTAATTAGCATTTTAGTGAACTCTCTGATTGGTTGGGTGTGAGCTAAGTTGCAAGCCCTGTGTTTAAAGGTGGATGCGGTCACCTTCCCAGCTAGGCTTAGGGATTCTTAGTCATCCTAGGAAATCCAGCTAGTCCTGTCTCTCAGAAATACTGCACTTTTCCAATGGTCTTAGCAAACGGCACACTAGCAGATTATATCTCACGCCTGGCTTGGAGGGTCCCACGCCCATGGACCTTCGCTTATTGCTAGCACAGCAGTCTGAGATTGAACTGCAAGGCAGCAGCAAGGCTGGGGGAGGGGCGCCCGCCATTGCTGAGGCTTGAGTAGGTAAACAAAGCGGCTGGGAAGCTCAAACTGGGTGGAGCCCACCCCAGCTCAAGGAGGCCTGCCTGCCTCTGTAGTCTCCACCTCTGGGGGCAGGGCATAGCCAAACAAAAGGCAGCAGAAACCTCTGCAGAATTAAATGTCCCTGTCTAACAGCTTTGAAGAGAGTAGTGGTTCTCCCAGCACGGAGTATGAGATCTGAGAACGGACAGACTGCCTCCTCAATTGGGTCCCTGACCCCTGAGTAGCCTAACTGGGAGGCATCCCCCAGTAGGGGCAGACTGACACCTGACACAGCCGGGTACCCCTATGAGATGAAGCTTCCAGAGGAACGATCACGCAGCAACACTTGCTGTTCAGCAATATTTGCTGTTCTGCAGCCTCCGCTGCTGATACCCAGGCAAACAGGGTCTGGAGTGGACCTCCAGCAAACTCCAACAGACGCACCTGAGGGTCCTGACTGTTAGAAGGAAAACTAACAAACAGAAGGGATATCCACATCAAAACCCCATCTGTACGTCACCATCATCAAAGACCAAAGGTAGATAAAACCACAAAGATGGGGAAAAAACAGAGCAGAAAAGCTGAAGATTCTAAAAATCAGAGCACCTCTCCTCCAAAGGAATGCAGCTCCTTGCCAGCAATGGAACAAAGCTGGACAGAGAATGACTTTGACAAGTTGAGAGAAGAAGGCTTCAGATGATCAAACTTCTCCAAGCTAAAGCAGGAAGTTTGAACCCATCAAAAAGAAGCTAAAAACCTTGAGAAAAGATTAGACAAATGGCTAACTAGAATAACCAGTGTAGGGAAGTCCTTAAATTACCTGATGGAGCTGAAAACCATGGCACGAGAACTATGTGACAAATGCACAAGCTTCAGTAGCCGATTCGATCAACTGGAAGAAAGGGTATCAGTGATTGAAGATCAAATGAATGAAATGAAGCAAGATGAGAAGTTTAGAGAAAAAAGAGTAAAAAGAAACAAACAAAGCCTCCAAGAAATATGGCACTATGTGGAAAGACCAAATCTACGTCTGATTGGTATACCTGAAACTGACGGGGACAATGGAACCAAGTTGGAAAACATTCTGCAGGATATTACCCAGGAGAACTTCCCCAACCTAGCAAGGCAGGCCAACATTCAAATTCAGGAAATTCAGAGAATGCCACAAAGATTCTCCTCAAGAAGAACAACTCCAGGACACATAATTGTCAGATCACCAAAGTTGAAGTGAAGGAAAAAATGTTGGAGAGAAAGGTCGGGTTTCCCACAAAGGGCAGCCCATCAGACTAATACCTGATCTCTCAGCAGAAATGCTACAAGCCAGAAGAGAGTGGGGGCCAATATTCAACATTCTTAAAGAAAATAATTTTCAACTCAGAATTTCATATCCAGCCAAACTATGCAAATAAACAAGAAAATAAGTGAAGGAGAAATAAAATCCTTTACAGACAAGCAAATGCTGACAGATTTTGTCACCACCAGGCCTGCCCTACAAGAGCTCCTGAAGGAAGCACTAAACATGGAAAGGAAAAACCGGTACCAGCCACTGCAAAAACATGACAAATTGTGAAGACGATTGATGCTAGGAAGAAACTGCATCAACTAACGAGCAAAATAACCAGCTAACATCATAATGACGGGATCAAATTCACACATAACAATATTAACCTTAAATGTAAATGGGCTAAATGCTCCAATTAAAAGACACAGACTGGCAAATTGGATGAAGAGTCAAGACCCATCAGTGTGCTGTATTCAGGAGACTCATCTCACGTGCAGAGACACACATAGGCTCAAAATAAAGGGATGGAGGAAGACCTACCAGGCAAATGGAAAACAAAAAAAGGCAGGGGTTGCAATCCTAGTCTCTGATAAAACAGACTTTAAACCAACAAAGAGCAAAAGAGACAAAGAAGGCCATTACATAATGGTAAAGGGATCAATTCAACAAGAAGAGCTAACTATCCTAAATATATATGCACCTAATACAGGAGCACCCAGATTCATAAAGCAAGTCCTTAGAGATCTATAAAGAGACTTAGACTCCCACACAATAAAAATGGGAGACTTTAATACCCCACTGTCAACATTAGACAGATCAATGAGACAGAAAGTTAATAAGGATATCCAGGAATCAAACTCAGTTCTGCACTAAGTGGACGTAACAGACATCTACAGAACTCTCCACCACAAATCAACAGAATATACATTCTCAGCACCACATCACCACTTATTCCAAAATTGACCACATAGTTGGAAGTAAAGCACTCCTCAGCAAATGTAAAATAACAGAATTTATAACAAGCTGTCTCTCAGACCACAGTGCAATCAAACTAGAACTCAGGATTACCATCAGAGTGAACAGGCATCCTACAGAATGGGAGAAGATTTTTGCAATCTACTCATCTGACAAAGGGCTAATATCCTGAATCTACAAAGAACTCAAACAAATTTACAAGAAAAAAACAACCCCATCAAAAAGTGGGCAAAGGATATGAATAGATACTTCTCAAAAGAAGACATTTATGCAGCCAAAAGACACATGAAAAAATGCTCATCATCACTAGCCATCAGAGACATGCAAATCAAAACCACAATGAGATACCATCTCACAACAGTTAGAATGGCGATCATTAAGAAGTCAGGAAACAACAGGTGCTGGAGAGGATGTGGAAAAATAGGAACACTTTTACACTGTTGGTGGGACTGTAAACTAGTTCAACCTTTGTGGAAGACAGTGTGGTGATTCCTCAAGGATCTAGAACTAGAAATACCATCTGACCCAGCCATGCCATTACTGAGTATATACCCAAAGGATTATAAATCATGCTGCTATAAAGACACATGCACACGTATGTTTATTGAGGCACTATTCACAATAGCAAAGACTTGGAACCAACCCAAATGTCCAACAATGATAGACTGGATTAAGAAAATGTGGCACATATACACCATGGAATACAATGCAGCCATAAAAAGAATGAGTTCATGTCCTTTGTAGGGACATGGATGAAGCTGGAAACCATCATTCTCAGCAAACTATCACAAGGACAAAAAACCAAACACCGCATGTTCTCACTCATAGGTGGGAATTGAACAATGAGAACACTTGGACACAGGAAGGGGAATATCATGCACTGGGGCCTGTTGTGGGGCAGGGGGAGGGGGGGAGGGAAAGCATTAGGAGATATACCTAATGTAAATGACGACTTAATGGGTGCAGCACACCAACATGACACATGTATACATATGTAACAAACCTGCACGTTGTGCACATGTACCCTACAACTTAAAGTATAACAACAACAACAACAAAAACAAAAACAACTAAAGACAACAAATTTGGAAGAAAAAGAAAAAAATAAGAAGTCAATGAGTTCTGATCTGAGTTATGCTTTCCTCTGGTTCAAAGTGCTTAAAGCAGTTAATTTCCTGTTAACCAGAGGTTATGATTTTAATGTCTCTATTTGGAACTATGCTCATATCTTTGTGCTTGGCAGAAGTCTACCAGCTGGACAAGTGGGACTTTATTATATAACAAAAGTAAAGTGTTAATTAGTCTTAGAAATAAAATACATAGATTTTATCATCTTATAAATATTCATCTTTAATAGCATAATTCAAGGATTGCAGTTTTTGAGTACCTTCATAAGATCACGGTTAAAGAGATTACTAAACCACCAACACAAATGAGAAATGTACATGAAGGGTCTTCTGAGTAAATCTTTTCAAATGGTTAATATTTTAATTCTGATATTTTTGTATCTTTTGTTATTCATAATTCAATCAGAAAATATATGTACCTTTTAATTCTATAATTTGGACTTTAAATTTCCTGCCTGCATATAAGTGGAATTTTTTTTGTTCTAGTAGTCCATAAAATAGAGATTATATTCCCCTTCTCTCACTTCTCTACGAATATGTTAATGTACGCTATAATTTTTAGACAAAGCTAAACTGCTTAGACTGAAAATAAGTATATTTGAAAACTTACTGGTATTTTAAATAACCTTCAGTTATAGATATAAAGCTTTTTCTTAACTGTATGAAAATGAGATTCAGATCTAAACTTGTATTAATAGGTGCAGTCCTTTATTATTATACTATGTAATTAAAAATTTATTTAACCTTATAAATGAAATTCCCAAATAAACAGATATTTATGAAAAACTTTTCTCTGAAAACAAATATATTTTTATCTTTGATAATTTGCAAATATAACAAAGTCCTTACTTGATCTCGTAAGAATGGTTTTTTTTGCTGTCCTTGTTCATAACTACAATATAGCAGTTTATATACATATCTAATTAATATATAGTATTGGATGTAATATATTATTTTCACTATTATATATCCAATTTAGCAGCTAAATTTGATTATATTTAAACTTAAAGCTTCTCTTGCCAAAACCTAATGTACAGTATTATGGCTATTATTCATGTTGTTTGAACAAATGTGTAATCTTGGTATGTATCTATTTTATTGTTTAAATTAATATCATCTTAAATGCAAAGCATAATGCAAAGAAACCCAACTAATTGAATGATTTAATTAGTTTAGTTCAACTCACATTTTTGAGCTATGTCATGTAGCCTATACTGGGCTACAGTAAGAGATAGATACATATGTTTTTATTACCCTCAGGTTGTTCATGGTCTAGGGAAGGAGAATGAAACATCAGAAATAACTGCAATTCCCCACAGTACGTGTCATGATAGATGTGTGCCCATGGCTGCACATAGGGGTCCCATTTTGTCAAGACTGAGTGAGGGTTGCAGGGAGTGGAGATGCTCTCAAGTGAGTGTTAAAGGGTGGCAAAGACTGGAACAATTCATTCTGGTTTGTGTGGTGTGGGGAAAGGAAGGGAATGAATAAACAAGAATGAGTGAGAAACTTGGAGAAAAGACTGGAGGCAACAAACAACTTGAGGTGTGCTGAGAATTGTAGGAGTTCCACGTTGCTGAAGCATCACTTTCATGGCTCTTGAATTTTTATTTCCGAATCTGGAAGGCCATATGGCAATTAAGCTTTGGAATCAGACAAACCTGTAATCAAATCATACTAGTTGTCTGACATATTCATGATCTGACTTGGGGCAAGCTATATATTTTTGCTAAGCCTCACTTGCCTCATCCATAAACAGGGATAAGAATTCCTGATTCCCAAGGTGATTGTGTGGATTAAAAGAGACAAAGTGATGTTTATGATGTGTTAAGACAGTGTCTAAAACACAATGGGTTCAAATAATAGTATCCTTGACCTTATTCATGTTAGTATTCTATATGGTTGATGCCTAAGTAGGGTATTTTAGGGTTCCTTAGAGGATCTTGATAGCAAGATCAAAATCATGATACTTGTATCATGTAAACCAGGATTTTTTCTCTTTCATGATTATGGCAGATATCCCTAAGCCTACCGGGTAAACATGTGATTTTTAACTTGAAAAAGACTGCAAGTTATTATTCTTGCTAGAAAAGAAAAGTAATGTTACCTACCTTTGTATTTTACTTTTTTAAGGCACTTTCACATAAAACCTCTGAAAAATATGTGATAAAGTACCACTGAAATTAGTCCTATTTGGTACGTAGTAAACTAATCAAGTAAGATCAGTAAATTACTAAAAACCTACATATGTTGGCTCACTCTGAAGTCTCACTCTATGTACATCAATCATATCACCTTAGTACATGAGAAACTTAATATTATTTGGATTTACAATTCTTGTTTGGCACTATGATGCTGCCAACATAAGGTAATATACATTATGCAAATTCATCCCATTATGTATAACAGATCACTGGTTTGTGGTGACTAAATTATATTAAAGGTACATCACGTGCAGATATGCCCACCAATGCTAACAGACAAACACAAGCAACAGCAGCTAAAAGATTAGAAAACAAGCAAGTTTCATTTGTGTTTGCTTTAAAGTAGCAGCCTGTCTTTAATTTCCACTACAACAAATATTTATGGAGCTCCTGTTTTATGTAAGACACTATACTAAGTAGCAATGGGACATACAAATATGATTGTCAGTCTTAAGCAACAGAGAGATGTTACGGATTTAGACAGGAAAACAAATAACTATACAAGCTATATACAATTTATACAGCTTTACAGCTATATAAAAATGCTGTAAAGCTAACGCTATAGCATGGAAAAACCAGAAACCTAGGAAAAGTAGAGTTGTTTTTGAAGAAGAGAGAACAGACATACATGAAACCTACCCACAAACAAGCAGAAAACAGTATTTGCATTATTGAAGATATATCCACTCATATGCATCAATTGACACAAATACAATGCTGAGACAATTTCCCTGGGACAATAGTAATTATTTTTAAAACGCACCACATTTTACACTCTATTACCAGTCTCACTGAACCTTAATTGGCAGTCTAGTGGTAACTCAGCAAGCTACTTAGAGGCTGAGATTGTTCCAAGGTTAAAGAGTCAGAATCTCCAGGTGCTGAGATTGTCTCAGGAAATAATTCTAGATCCAATTAACTTCCAGATGTAAGGCACTCATGTGTATTTGTTCTAAATTTCTAAGTAAAATTGTTTATAATGTTTGACCTTTTTCCATCGGTGAAGTGGCCCCAACAAGACCGGGAGATTATGATATAATCCCCACTTGGGCTATTTAATGTCACAAAGTATCAAAGAAGGAAAAAATTCGAAACCCTGGCTAGCCCTTGTGGTTAATGTACTTTTGAGTTCTTATCCAGCCCCACTGCCCAAACAATATGTTTCCCTGTGTTTGAGTAAGTGCATCTAAAATAATGCCCTGGAATCATCAGCAAGACAATTAGCAGTAGTTTCTGTTTTTCAAGTCCTGCAGAAAATGTCAGGGAAGATATGAAGGTGTGGGTTCTTTAAAATTCAGTGCCTTTCCTAGACTTTGGATCCATGGAGTTGGAAATATTTTATTCTTTCAGTTTTTCTGCAGATACTTGTTGAATTAGACACAGCACATACATAAAACATACACAAGTCCCAAGGGCAGATGTTGACTCTCAAAAACAGTAATTTCTAAACAGGATTTCATCCCATCAAGAGGCAAAGAAACACTTTCCTAGCTATCCCTTAATTTGCAAAGTGGTATTTTTCATTGTGATAATTCCGCATGAGGATATGAATGAATACTGTGTTCAGATTTCTTCTCCAATTCTTTCCAACTTTGCCTTGTAAAGCCTGCGAGGCATAAGAAGCATCTTCATTGTGCTAAGCTACATACATGATGATTCTTGCTTTCTTAACTCCACATAGACCCAGTTGAAATGTTGAGTTTTAGGCTTTGGAGCATCTAATCAAATTCATAAACAGAACCACCTTCCTCCCTGTCTTAGAGTTGTAGAATGGTGTTATTCGTTTGGTTACTCCTTCATTCGTTGGCTTTCCTTCTATTATTGCCTTCCAATTTTTTCTAACCTATGACGTTATGATATAGTTCCCAATGCACTTAGAGTCAGTCTACTCTGTTTTGTCATGTAACTGTCCACTTATCTGCACTGCAGGCCTATTGCTTTGTGTATGTTAGTCTTGTTCTCTTAACCGAACAAAGCAATATTTAAAGACAGGAACTGAAATTAATACTTTTAGAATTCCGCAGAGCATCTAGGAGCATCAGCACCTAGTGCTGCCCAATAAAGCTTTCTCTGATGATGGAAATGTCCTCTATCTCCATGGTCCAATACTACAGCCTCTAGTCACGTATGACTACTGAGCACTTGAAATGGGGCTAGGTCAACTGAGGAATTTTAGTTTTATTCCATTTGAATAGCTCCATGTAATTAGTAGCTAAAATAGTGCCCAGTTCAAATTGAATACATAGTAAGTGCTCCCTGAACACTGGCCAATGAACACATAGATTTTTAGGCTACTTCCATTTTTATGCACAGAATGTTGACTCCCATTTGAAATTTTAGTGGAAATGTGGGGGTAATACTTTATCAAGAAAAGGAAGGGAGGGAGGGAAGAAGGGAAGGAGGGAAGGAGGGAGGGAGGGAGAAGGAAGGAAGGGAGGGAGGGAGGGGGGGAAAGAAACTGGAATGAGATGTTTTAGAGAAAGTACCTTAACAGATGCTCTTGAAAATCAATTCATATTGGTAGTTACTCTGTCCAGTTAGAGCTTGACGTAGCTGTCTTATAATCATGTTTCAAAGACTTCTTAGTGGAGCTCAAAATTTTAAGTGTATCTCACACTGATCATGGTGAAGCTGTTATCAGCCATTTGAGGACAAATAATTTCATTCCAGAGTGTCCAATCAAATTTAATCAACTGGAATCAAAAAGCATTCATGAACATTTTCACCAAATGTGTACCTGAATTGACTCAGAATTTTATCGTGTTCCTCTGAAACTTATGTGTTGGCATTTTTTGACCAGAATTTTAGTGTATCAACTCATTAATTTTCTTCATAAAATATTGATGGGATTTTAAATACATTGAGTTTTTTTTTTTGGTAAATATTACCATACCCCTTGAGATTCATGTAATGTTGTAGAAAGTACATGAGCTAGCTAGAGGGAGATATTTGTTCTAATTCTGTCCCTGTGATGCAACTCTCAATAGAGGAGGATGGACATCATCTATAATTTTCATATTATATTCAGAAGAATGTGTAAGAATATTTAATTTAATTTTCATAAATACAAAAGCTGACATGCTTAAAACTGTTATCTATCATCCTCCACATCAAATGTGTCTTCACTCAAACAGGCTCATTATGCTTATTATCTGTCTTCACAAAAAGAAAATGTTAACAATTTGAATTTACAAATGAATGTATATTAAAGAAATATCATCTGTAACTATTTTAGATAAAGGTTATTATTATATTTCATTTGGACACTTGTTCCATTGCTAAAAAATCTTTGACAACCATTGGCCTGTAAGATACTTTGAGTTGATCATTCTTTATAACATGTTTCCTTCCTTTGAGCTGGTGCCCTGTTCCATCCCGTGCACCTTAGGAACTTCAGGCCTGAATTTATGATTTCTGAAAGCACTTTTTGGCCACAGAAATTGCTTGACTTTCTCTTATCCTCTTCATCTCTCCTCTGCATTTTTAAGGTATCTTTGGTTATAAGAGATAAAAACCTGTCAAATTAAGCAAGAAAAAAAGGAAACTTTTGAAATGATGCTACAGTATGTAACTAAATGATCAAATTTCAGGAAGGCCAATAATGCAGACAGACTTAGGGACAACTGGATCCAGGTACTGAATGCCACTAGGGAGTCCCTGGCAATTATAACCACTCAGTATATATTTATCACATGACTGAATGAGCCCTTCATCTCTCCCTTTGCTCAGTGGCTTAATTTGCCTCTTTCCCTATTGTGCAGCTTCCTTGATACTGAAAATGCAATTACTGATGTCTGTTGGATTCTATTAATCAGTTATTTTTCACTCTTATATCCACTACCATAACTGATCCTTCTTACACATCTACAGAAAGAAGATATGGCCAATGAGATTGCCCTGTTTTATACATTGACACACTGATTGCATAACTGATTATAAACTGGAACACTGGCTGAATAACCACCATGTTAAATGATATATCCAAAATTAGATCCTGGGTCTTCTGACTGCTATTCAAGTTTCCTTTCCACAGAATGTCTCTATATTGCAATGTAATTTAGATTGAAGATTTTCCTCTCCACGTTGTCCACCCTCTAATACTACAGGGAGCTGTGGTCTACTTAGGAGGTACAGAGTACTCTAGTGTAAGGCAGTTTTTTTTTTTTTTCCTACTCTCAGGTCTTTAATAGTGCTACTGAAATAGCACTATTAGTTATTGGGGATTGGAGCAAGAATCGTAACATGAAAGAAGGAGAGTTAACATAGATGGTGTAGATTCCTGTTTCCCAACTCCCACAACTTTGCACTCAAAATTATGATGCACTCAGCCCAGCGAATCCTACAGATAGTCTGTCTGATGTACGAGTTCAATTGCATTCCTCCAGGTACACAGTTTGTTACCTAATTTGATTTGCACAAAGAAGCTTCCTTCATGCTGTGTTCCTGCAAGTTCAGAGGAGATAATTTTTAACTATGGACTAGAACAAGTACAGGTTCAGGTAATACACACACAAAAAATTGCATCCTTTAGATGTCATGTCTGGAGGTGCGATTATGGGGGTCAATCATATCTGAGTTAGATGAGGAACTGAAGTACAAAGGAGTGGTACAAAAAGATCTCAGACCTCAATTACACCTAGAAAACCATGATCTCTGAATCCTTATCATGTATGCAGGAGAGAATACCCTAGAAAGCATGTTTCTGACCATCAGGCCAGGTTTACAGCTTAAGAGGGTGAATGTTTCCTCTCAATCCAACTCTTGTTTGCCCTCAAGTTTTGGAATTTCATATATCATATATTCAGCCTCCTTGGAGGCATTAGCTTGACTCTTTGGTCATACAATGCTAACTTCTGCAGAAGGATCCTAGAGGTCCAGCTTGGGTCAGGAACTTACTCTTCAGCTAGTCATCTCTGTCAAAAGATGACATAATGTATTTGACTTAATATGGATAAGATGCTAATATTTTGTCCAACCCGTTGAGGCAAGGGGAACAAGGTTAAATAACAATATGTTGAATATATGCCTCTTTCCTCAAGCTTGAGCCCTTTCAGGGTAAAGACTATGTTCTATTCCCTGTACACAGTAGGTGTCAAATGAAATGTTATGACTTGATTGTTAAGTTGTACATTTTGCATTTTGGTTAGTATTTCAGCAAATATAAGAGTTTATTATTCAGTTTCACATTTATTTCAAAGGTAGAAGACCTCACAATGATTTCTATTTGTATCCAAGTTAAGGCTGAACCCCCATCACACTCTCTAAAGAATATGTACCATGGCTTACTTGTGTAGTTATGCTCCCTGATGCTATAATTTTAATTGCATCTCCCCAGGAGCCCAGTTTGACATTCAATTTGATTTGTACATAGAAGCTTCCCTAAGGGAAGCAACTTTAATGAATTTTAAAATCTATCTTTCTAGTCTAGTCGATGGAACAATTTTTTCTTCTAGCAAAGAGAACTTTTAAATTTTTTTTAGAAAATGCCTTACTCTGCTTATATTTTCTTTACTAATTCATATATGTTATGTATTAATTCTGAGAAAGATCTGTTGATTATTTTCAATATGTGTTTATGAATGTGTGATTTGTCATATTAATACTTTTATATTTGTTGGTTTTTTTTCCATGTGCTCTTACCCTTCTCTTTAAAAAGCATGATGTTTATAGGTAAGAGAGTAGTCATTGTGTGAGAAGGCAATCCAATGAAAATCACAACTGCCAAATGAAATTCAGTTCTTTCTAAAAGCTTGGAGACAAATGGGATCTAATTAAACTAAAGAGCTTCTGCACAGCAAAAGAAACTACCATCAGAGTGAACAGGCAACCTACAGAATGGGAGAAAATTTTTGCAACCTACTCATCTGACAAAGGGCTAATATCCAGAATCTATAATGAACTCAAACAAATTTACAAGAAAAAAACAAACAACCCCATCAAAAAGTGGGCAAAGGATATGAACAGACACTTCTCAAAAGAAGACATTTATGCAGCCAAAAAACATGAAAAAATGCTCATCATCCCTGGTCATCAGAGAAATGCAAATCAAAACCACAATGAGATATCATCTCACACCAGTTAGAATGGCAATCATTAAAAAGTCAGGAAACAACAGGTGCTGGAGAGGATGTGGAGAAATAAGAACACTTTTACACTGTTGGTGGGACTGTAAACTAGTTCAACCATTGTGGAAGTCAATGTGGCGATTACTCAGGGATCTAGAACTAGAAATACCATTTGACCCAGCCATCCCATTACTGGGTATATACCCAAAGGATTATAAATCATGCTGCTATAAAGACACATGCACACGTATGTTTACTGAGGCACTATTCACAATAGCAAAGACTTGGAACCAACCCAAATGTCCAACAATGATAGACTGGATTAAGAAAATGTGGCACATATACACCATGGAATACTATGCAGCCATAAAAAAGGATGAGTTCATGTCCTTTGTAGGGACATGGATGAAGCTGGAAACCATCATTCTCAGCAAACTATCAGAAGGACAAAAAACCAAACACCGCATGTTCTCACTCATAGGTGGGAAATGAACAATGAGAACACTTGGACACAAGAAGGGGAACATCACACACCGGGGACTGTTGTGGGGCAGGGGGAGGGGGGAGGGATAGCATTAGGAGAGATACCTAATGCTAAATGATGAGTTAATGGGTGCAGCACACCAACATGGCATATGTATACATATGTAACAAACGTGCACATTGTGCACATGTACCCTAAAACTTAAAGTATAACAATAATAAAAAATAATAATAAAACTAAAAAAAAAAACAAAAAACAAATCTGTACTTGTACCCCCTAAATCTATAAATAAATAAATAAATAAATATTTTAAATAACAACAACAAAAAAAAAAGAAGTCAAAAGTGGTACATTTTAAGGATTATATCTTTCATTTCCTATTTAGGATGATTCAAGAAATAGTTCTTGTTGTTGCTGTTATTTTTCCCCAGACAATCTACGTGTCATTTTGAACTAAAATCCTACCCTTCCAGTTTGGTGTTATTTGGCAGCGTTGCAGATGAAAATCAAGCATTCTGTTAATTTGTATAATTCACCAGGTTTTACTCTTGTGACTGAATAGGGACCTGTAAACTGCGAACAAGAAATTGTCCATGGATTTAAAACTACACTTATGAGTGAGGTTTTTAAAAAGGGTTACCTTTCTAGGTGAAATTAACAGTAGGCCAATGTAAAATGATGAGATTATTTCTCTGCAATGATGGTTAACCCCTTTATAAAATTAACTATGTACCTGTATTATAATTTATGTACTTTTTCACTTGCTCTTATGACAAACATAGAGCAGCTAATCTTTTTGTGCTTCAGTTTCCTCATCTTTAAAGTAATAGTAGTAACAACTTCATAGGATTGCTCTGAAGATTAAATTAATTATACAATATGATGTTCTTAGAGTAACCCCTAGCAAGTGCTCAGAAGTATTTGCCATTCTTACTGGACTTTAGGGAAAAAAATGTCATTAGATTTCCACCACTATTCAGAATAAGAACAATAAGTCTAATGATTGCTACTGACCATATAAAAATTTGTATAGAGTGATGACAAGCCATTACAATCCCGTAACTTGATAATAATTTTTCTTAAGTACATTAGCCTTTAATTCTATGCCCACCAAGCAATGTTTGAGAGTTGCCACATTTTGGGAAATTCACAAATACTCATATGTGGAAATAAAACTGCATACTTCTGAACAACCAATGAGTCAATGAAGAAATTAAAAGGTAAAAGAAAAATATCTTGAGACAATACCTAGTTTGTTAAGTTTTTAACATGAGGAGATGCTGAATTTTATCAAAAGCCTTTTCTGCATCTACTGAGATAATCATATTGTTTCTGTCTTTAGTTCTGTATACAGAAATAAATGAATTATATTTATGTATACAGAAATAAATGAATCACATTTATTGATTTGCTTGTGTTAAATCAGCCTTGCATCCAAGAGATAAAGTCTACTTGATCGTGATGAATTAGCTTTTTGATGTGCTACTGGATTCAGTTTGCAAGTATTTTGTTGAGGATTTTTGCATCATTTCATCAAGGATGTTGGCCTGAAGTTTTCTTTTTTTGTTGTGTCTCTGCCAAGTCTTGGTATCAGAATGATGCTTGCCTCATAGACTGAGTTGGGGAGAAGTCACTCCCTCCTCAATTGTTTGGAACAGTTTCAGCAGGAATGGTACCAGCTCTTCTTTGTATATCTGGTAGAATTCAGCTGTGAATCCTTCTGGTCCTGGGCTTCTTCTGGTTGGTAGGCTATTTATTACTGATTCAATTTCAGAGCTTGTTATTGGTCTGTTCAGGGAATCAATTTCTTCCTGGTTCAGTCTTGGGAGATTTTATGTATCCAGAAATGTATTCATTTCTTTTAGGTTTTCTAGTTTGTGTGCATAGAGGTTTTTGTAGTAGTCTCTGACTAGATTTTGAAGAAACATACCTCAAAATGATAAAAGCCACCCATCACAAACCCACAGTTAACATCATCTGAATGGACAAAAGCTGGAAGCACTCCCCTTGAAAATCAGCACAAGACAAGTATGCCCTCTCTCACCACTCCTATTCAAAATAGTATTGGAAGTCCTGGCCAGAGCAACCAAGTGAGAGAAAGAAATAAAGGGCATACAAATATTAGAAGAGGAAGTCAAACTATTCCTGTTTGCAGATGACACTATTCTATGTCTTGAAAACCCCACAGTCTCTGCTCAAAAGCAACTTCAGAAAAGTCTCAGAATACAAAATCAGTGTAAAAAATACTAGCATTGCTACACATCAACAACAGCCAAGCCGAGAGCCAATCAGGAATGCAATCTGATCACAACTGCCACAAAAAGAAGAAAGTACCTGGAATTACAGCTAACCAGGGAGGTAAAATATCTCTACAATAAGAATTAGAAAACACTGCTCAAAGAAATCAGAGATGATACAAACAAATGGAAAAACATTACATGCTCATGGATAGGAAGAATTAATATTGTTAAAATGGCCATACTGCCCAAAGAAATTTACGGATTCAACACTATTCCTATCAAACTATCAATGACATTCTTCACAGAATTGGAAAAAACTATTTTAAAATTCATATGGAACCAAAAAAGAGACTGAATAGCCAAGGCAATCCTAAGCAAAATGAACAAAGCTGGAGGCATCACATTACCAAACTTCAAACTATACTACAGAGCTACAGTAACCAAAACAGCATGGTACTGGTACAAAAAACAGATACATAGACCAACAGAACAGGATACAGAGCCCAGAAGTAGCCCCCTACACCTACAATTATCTGATCTTCAACAAAGCTGACAAAAACAAACAATGGGGAAAGAACTCCCTTTTAAATAAATGGTGCTGGGTAAAGTGACTAGCCATACACAGAAGACTGAAACTGTACCCATTCCTTACATCATATATAAAAATCAACTCAAGATGGATTAAAGACTTAAATGTAAAACCCAAAGCTATAAAATCCCTGGAAGACAACTTAGCCAATACCATTCTATACATTGGAACTGGCAGAGATTTCATAATAAAGATGGCGAAAGCAATTGCAACAAAAGCAAAACTTGACAAATGGGATCTAATTAAATTTTAAGAGCTTCTGTACAGGAAAAGAAACTATCAACAGAGTACATAGACAACCCACAGAATGGGAGAAAATTTTTGCACATTTTGCATCTGAAAAAGGTCTACTATCCAACAACTATAAGGAAGTTAAACAAACTTACAAGAAAAAAACAACCCCATTAAAAAGTGGACAAAGGACATGAACAGATACTTTTCAAAAAACACTTACATGTGGCCAAGAAGCGTGTGAAAAATAGCTCAATATCAATGATTATTAGATAAATGCAAATTAAAACCCAAAGAAATATCACCTCACACCAGTAAGAATGACTATTATTAAAAAGTCAAAGAAATAACAGATGCTGGAGAGGTTGTGGAGAAAAGCGAATGTTTATACACTGTTGGTGAGAGTGTAAATTAGTTCAACCATTGTGGAAAAGCAGTGTGGCAATTCCTCAAAGAGCTAAAAACAGAACTACCGTTTGACCCAGCAATCCTATTACTGGGTATATTCCCTATTACTGGGAATATAAATCATTCTATTATAAAGACATATGCATGTTTGTGTTCATCACAGCACTATTCACGATAGCAAAGACATAGAATCAACCTTAATGCCCATTCGTGATAGACTGGAGAAAGAAAACGTGGTACATATATACCATGCGATACTGTGCAGCCATAACAAAGAATGAGATCATGTCCTTTGCAGGATCATGGATGGAGTTGGAGGCCATTATCCTTAGCAAACTAACCCAAGAACAGAAAACCAAACACTGAATTTTCTTATTTATAAGTCGAAGCTAAATGATGAGAAAACATGGACAGAAAGAGGGGAATAACAAACACTGGAGCCTATCAGAGAGTGGAGGTTGGGAGGAACAGAAAAAAATAATTATTTAGTACTAGGCTTAGCACCTGGGTGATGAAATAATCTGTACAACAAACCCGTGACATGAATTTACCTATATAACAAACCTGCACATGTACGTACCCCTGAACCGATAATAAAAGTTTTAAATAATAACAATAACAAATACGTTTTATAAACAATATATTGCTATTTTAGAATTTAAAAAATCTTGAGACAAATGAAAATAGACAACATATCAAACCTTATAGGCAGCACAACTCTAAATACATCATTTACATCATAGTCTACGTGAATAAAGTCTGTGTGGATTGTGCAATGAACAACCTGCACACCCGTGTGTGGCAGCCCTGAGTCTCATGCACTCATTTGGAACTCACCCAAAGGTAGAATAACTACTGGGACTTTCTGGTTAATGAGTTTGATTAATGTGATTCAGTCCTCCAAATTCTTACCATTTCTAAATGAGCTGATGAGATAAAGTTACTAAATTTTAAAATGTGAGCAAAGAATTGTTATTTCTTAGTGACTCCACTGAATGAATAATAATACTCTGAGGCCCAGACTGAACATCAAGTCTGGTTCTCACTCTTCATCATTAAAAATGATTTTATTATTATTTTCACAAAGTTATTAGCAAACTTTTACTGAGCCCCACCTATGTACACTCACTGGCTTAGGCCAGGTCTTGGGTTGATGGGCATAGAAAACAAATGTGGAACTTACTGTCTTAAGTGTCATCATCCTTGGTTAAACACATATAACAGAGACTGTGTCTAAGTGGGGCAGGTAACTGCTACCCCTCCAATGTCTCTTAATGGGGACTCTATGGAATCTGGGGTGAGATGATTCTTCACCATATAAGAATGTTCCACATGCAGGGATAGGATCCCTAGCCTTCTGACTGTAAGTTCAAGTAGCAAGCCTAGTAATGGAGACAACTAGAGTGCCCCTAATGATTTTCCAAACATTCCAGTTGGGAGGGGAATGGTACCATTTTCCTTGAGCCCTCATCCTCTACCCACTGAGAACTTATGGGCTAGAAATTCATTCATAGTCTGCAATAACTTAATTCTCAAATGCACAGAGAAAAGGAGAAAACCATGATTCTTTTTCAGTATCTTCCCCTTGGGTGATTTGATAATAAGGCTGGATCATAATGTAGTTTTTTTGCTTTTCCCACTAAGTGAAGTGTTTTACCACAGTTTTGAACTTGTATGGTTAAAGCAATGTTAAGACTTTCTTTTCTGCATTCAAAATCTTCCATATTTACTTCTTTGCTTAATTTTTATGTACAATCATTAAATTTAATGTCAAATATGATGTGATAGAAAATATAAGTAATGGTGTTGATTGGTATTTAAGGTTATTTAATTCTATGACAAACAATGCTTATTGGGGGCATACTATTATTTATTGATCATTCATCTGTTTTCCAAGTAAAGATTACATTTTATTTTATTAACATATGGCTTTATACCAATGTTCTTCATGACTCTTTGCCTTTTCATTTTCTCTTCCTATTTTTTCTTTTATTATATTTTCTTTTTGCTTTTTTGATTATTTTTTCATTAAACTTTTAAAAAAGTATGAGCCAAATGTATTGATAAAATTGAGCAAAGATAAATAATTATGTGAAATATTAAATATTTGGGTCCTTTTTCACTTATTCAGAATACCAAGTTGGTAACCCTGAGATAAAGCACTTAATCTTATTTTGTTTCATCAATAAGCAAATATCTTAATTTGTATCTGCCAAATGGGGATATTAATACCTGTACCAAGATTTGTTCCTTGGGATAAAGAACTTAATCCCAATATTGTGCTTTGACCATTGAATAGACAAATTCTGCATATAGTAAACTTACATTTATAAAAATGAGTTAAACATAATTGTATTTATCCTTGCACCATAGATTGTTTGCATAAATTGTTTGAATCAGATGCATGGTTGCTCTGTCAGCCACAATTTAATGCACAAACTGAAAAGATAACGTTGAAAAGATACACATATATAAACTACCACTGCTTCGTGCTTTTCTTTGTCAGCTTTCTAATTACTTGGCTATTGCTGAATGAGCAAATGCTTAAAGACCATTAATTTTCTTCTGCTATTACTTTCTAATACATTTCAGTAAAGCTTATAATTTTCTTGTCTAAATGTTTCAAGTATTAGGAACTGCTGCTGAAATTGGAATGATAACATAAATAGCTGGGAAAATTATCGCAGTAACCGGAGCTCATTTGTACTTACTAGCATTCATCACAAGCAATTTTGTTCTAACAGCTAACAAATGTCAGTGACCAAAAACTAAAGCATATTATGTTCCTTTAATTCTTTGCTTTCAATTCCTGGTGTGCTAAGGAAATTGCACTAGCTTCAATTTTAGCTTTTCATTGGTTTTATGAGATATATTAAATTTGGAGCTAATTACAGGTATTTTTAAACAACTCATGTAAACTATTCAAATTATAGTTAATGTGGATTATCACAGTTTACGAGATAACACTTTCTTTGTTATTTTGATATTTTCCAAATATGAGATGGGCTGTAGCAATTTTCAAAGTGCCTTGTTCCTTCCTGAAGGATGTTGTTATGTAAATCTCTGTCTAATTTGTCACCATGCATCTAAACTTTATCCTCAGATTGGTTTCTGTTCTTTTGTAATCTGTCTTGTGGTTTAGAATTAAGGAAAGTGTCTTTCATTGAGTACAGGGTAAGGGTGTTTTAAAGAAAATTTACCTGTTTGATTTCCAGATTTCAGACAAATCACAGGGAAATCAAATATTTGGATGAATAAAACTGGTACACTTTTCCTAAATACCTACACGATAACTTCTTAGAACTGAGTGGCTTGGATGAAAAATCCAGGGATTCTAAAAGCATTTTCAAGCATACAGGTGTGCATGTTTTTACTCTCTTAAATTCATCTGCCACTTAGCAGTCATCTAATTTGTATTTGCAGAGGGAGAAGATATAATTGAATAGGTAAAATATAGGCTCTGGATTTGTTCAGTGTTTCTATTGTTTACTAGCTGTAGAATATGTGACCATTTATTTAACCTCGCCTAACAGGTTTCTTTTTATATATAATATACAGAAGGTGTGCACCTACCTCGCTGGGTTGTTGAAAGAAGTAAATTACCCAATGCTCAGTAATGACTTAGCACAGCTCTTAGCACAATAGTGCTAAAAAATATTAGAACAGGCCAGGCGCGGTAGCTCACGCCTGTAATCCCAGCACTTTGGGAGGCCGAGGCAGGCGGATCACGAGGTCAGGAGATCGAGACCATCCTGGCTAACATGGTGAAACTCCGTCTCTACTAAAAATACAAAAAAACTAGCCGGGCGAGGTGGCGGAAGCCTGTAGTCCCAGCTACTCAGGAGGCTGAGGCAGGAGAAAGGCGTGAACCCGGGAGGCGGAGCTTGCAGTGAGCCGAGATCAGGCCACTGCCCTCCAGCCGGGGCGACAGAGCGAGACTCTGTCTCAAAAAAAAAAAAAAAAAAAAAAAAAAAAAAAAAAAAAATATATATATATATATATATATATATATATATATAAACATAGATAATCATAATCATAATGCTCATAACAGAATACTCAAAGGGCAGAGAGAGGGTGGAAGTTTTTTCTTTCTCTATCAGTCTGTAACATTGACATGATTCAGCTCTAAATGATTCTAGTGTACGAGTCTCTTCACCCTAAGCTTCTAGGTTTTCAGAAAGGGAGTATTATCAGCCCAGTAAAGGTCAGGGATGTACCCGAGTCCATCAGCTACGGCCAAAGGACAGAGTCACGGACTACTTTCCTTACTGCTGCAGTTCTGCTCCTATGTTTCAAGACTATTTCCATAAAAAGCAGGAAGGATTGACAACTCAGTTGCCACCCCTAGAGAACTATCTATTTCTTTTTGTTGTGGTGTTAATTTTAGGTAGCAATCCTATATTTTATTTGGCTTTGGACTAATTCTTGTTTAATGTTTTAAATTAATAACCTAAAAGAGGGCACATATTAGCTTTTGCACTTGGTGACAGGTTATGGGTTGGTATAAAGGAGGGTTGCAAAATGACAGAACTGAAAAATAAGGTTAAAATACATTTTATATTACTGAGTTAAAGAATTGGGACAAACCAATGTATTATAAAACACGTGTTGTCATAGTAACATCATTAGAAAAAAAAATAGGGTGGATTAGGATTTTTATAAAATGTGGCCTAAAAATTTCATGTTCCCATCTGTTTCAGATATAATATTTAATGCTTATATTAAATATACTTGTTTACAGTATTCTAGGAAATTATTTTAAGTAAAATAATGAATTTAAGTTATGAAAACAACTCAGTAAGAGTTGAGAAGCAGCCCATTGATCCAATCTACTTCCTTGATTAATATTCAAACAAATCACCTCTGTCTCAAAATTTTGTAAGGTCTCCAAGTTTCAAACATTTCATAGATTGACATGGTGATATATTTGAATTTGAAAATTCTCTTGCCAGTAAAATAAATAAAAAGAGTAATAACATTAACGAAAAACTATGATTTTATTCTATCAATGTAGAATTAGTTTTATGTCAACCAAGAAATTCTTAAAAGTAATAAAAGTTTCAATAAAGATTGAAAATTATGTTTATCAGTTAGATTAAACCTGAATTCAGATAATTAGCATCAAAATGGTATATCTCTATAGCTATACCTAGCTATTGCTAAGCAATTGGCCATGATGGTCATTAACAATGATAAATATCATTAAAATGGCTAATTAATGACAAGCAGAATAAAAAGTACAGACATATAAACATATCAAATAAGTATAAAAACTTTTTTTCTGATTTGCAAGAAGTAAAGTCAAATAGCATGGAAAAATGAGGTCAAATATTTTTGGTAATGGATTTGTCAAGTTCTTATTACTGCAGACTATAAATAATAATAAACACTTAGCACTTGATCTCTGCTTAGCACTGTGCAGGTCTTAATGCTTTTACACAATTGTATGTTACCATTTTACATGAGAGGAATATGAGGCACATAAAGGTTAAATAGCTTGCCTTTGACCACATTACAAGAGAAGAAGGTACTATTTGTGTCCAGGACATCTTTCTCCATAGCCTATTCATGTAACTTCATCTTTTAAGATTATTCAGAATATACTCAACCAAATTAAAATAACACACATCCAGCAAATGTCAGCAAGATGGCAGAATAGGCTTTCCAAAACTTGACTCCAGAACAAACATCAATTTGAACAACTATCCATGTTTGAAATACCTTAATAAGAGTTAAGGAAACCAGATGAGAAATTACAAGCACATGGGTGCAGCAACAAAATAAGAAAAGATTCACACTGAACAGGGTAGAAGGAAGATTTACCTAATCCATATCACTCCTCACCCAACCACAGACAGTACAGGGTGGAGAGAAAAACCCCTCACTTGTGGGTAGGAGAGAGATGTAAGCAATAGATTTTGCCTCAGACCCCACCAACAAGCTCACCCCAGTAAAACCCAGTACCAAGAATACCCATGGCCCCAAACATCAGGCTGGTACCCATGGACTGAGCCTCCAGGCCTGCCCCAGCACCAGGCCAGACCATGCAGCTCCAGACCCCAGGCCCATCTGACAGACTCAGTCTCCTAGCCTCCCACCACCAAACCAATGCGAGCCATTAGACCAGCCCCAGTGCAAAGCCTGCCCCAGACCTTCCCAACCCTCACATATTCAGGATCTAGGCCTGCCCTAGTTTCCAGAAAATCCCAGAACCAGGTCATTCCACATAGCTCCAGCACCAGGTTAGCACCCATACCCTCAGGCATCAGATTAGCATCCATGGACATAGACTCCAGGCCTGCCCAGTGTCAGGCCAGTCCCTGTAGACCTATCCTTTATGCCAGCCCCTGAGACTCCACCATCCATCAGACCCAGAGTCAATGTCCTTCCCAGGAGGGCCCAGAACTGAGCCAGCTCCCATTAACCTAGGACCCTGGGTCTGCTCCTATAAACCCAGGACCCAAGCCAGCATTCACAGACCTAGCCTCCAGGCCAGCATGTGCACACTCAGCCTCCAGGTTGGCCCCTGCTGACCCAGGATGGTTCCCACAACCCCAGTCTCCAGGAAAGCTTACCTAGCTCCAGACACCAGGCCATCACTCATGAACAGGGTCAAGAGCATTCTGCATGGACCCAGGCTCTACACCAGCCCCAGTGTACCATGCCAGCCCAGGATACAGGCCAGTCTCAATAACCCAATAATTCAGTGACCCCCCAAGGACAATGTCTGCTTCAGCAGAGCCAGGGCACAGGTTCACCCCAACAGACCTTGATGCCAGGGTAGGCCTCCTAGACTGCTGCTTCAGGACTACCCCTGAGACTGAGCCTCCAGGTCAGCCCCCATGAACCCAGAACCCAGTGGACTCAGGTTCTAAGTCTCTCCCACTGACCTCTGGTGCAAGGGACATTGCAGCACATAGTTGACCACTACAGACTCAGGCTCAAAGTATACCCAGTGCCAGATTAGCCCCTGGAGAACTAGGCTTCCAGACAGCTTCCACTGATATAGCCTCAATACTACTGCTATGGACCAATCCACAAGTCCACCCTAGGGCAGCTGAACTCTAGGGCAAACTCTGCGGACTCAGGTAACAGGCCTACCCACCTGCCGAATGCATCACCAGGCCAACCTGCTCAAGGACTCCGGAAGCAAGCTTTCCCATAGATCACGTTAGACAGCCTACCCAGAATGTCTGGATGGGCAAATGGGGAAGGGCTTTCCCACAGAAAGCCAGCATGCAAAGACTGAAATAAGTACCTGATATTTCAAATGCACAGACATCAACACAAAGCCACAAGGATCAAGAGCAATCAGAAAAATATGAGACCACTAAAGTGATTTCAGGCAAAATAAAGTACCTAACTGATCCTAAAGAAATAGTGAAATATGAAGTGTCTGACAAAAATTATTAAAAATAATTACTTTAAAGAAGCATAGTGAACTTCAATAAAATACAAAGAAAAGATTAAACAAAATCAGTAACACAATAAATGACCAAAACTAGATATTTAACAGAGAAATAAAAATTACACACACACACACATGCACACACACCCCAGATAATCTGGAATTAAAACATACAATTAACAAAATGAAAAGTGTAATAGAGAGCATCAATAGCAGAATGAATAAAGCAGAAGAACAAAGCTGAGAACTATTTCAAAATATACAATCAGAGGAGAAAAATAAAAAGGAATGAGGAAAACTTATAAGAATTATGAGATATAATCAAAAAAGCAAATATTTGAATTATAGGAGCTCAAAAAGAAAAAGAGAAAAACAAAGCTTTTTTAAAGAAATAATTTTCTACAGAAAACATTCTAAATCTGGGCAAAGTTACAAATTCCAGGTATAAGAAGGTCAAAGATCTCCAAACCAATTCAATCCAAATAAGATGACATCAACATATTTGATAATCAAACTGCCAAATATCAACAACAGAGAGAATATCCTGAAAGTAGCAAGAGAAAAAAAATACATATGAGGGAGTTCAATAAACATGTATTTTATAAGAGATATTATAGGCCAGAAGAGAGTGGCATTATATATGTGAAGTGCTAAAAGAAAAAAATACCAACCAATACTGTATCTAGCAAATATATTCTTCAGAAATGAAGGCAATATAAAGACTTTTGTAAACAGACAAAAGCTTAGAGTATGTTACCACTAGACCTGTCATACAATAAATGCAAAAAGAGATTTTTCAAGCTGAAAGAAAAGGATGCTAATTAGTAACAAGAAAACATGTAAAAGTATAAGACTAGTAAAAGGAAATACACAAATTCAGAAGACTTTAATCCTGTAAATGGTGGTGTGTAAATCACTTATGTTTTTAGTATGAAGGTTAAAAGACAAAACTATTAAAAGCAATGATAGCTGTAATAATTTGTTAAGGGATTCCCAATATAAAACAATGTAAATTGTGACATCAAAAACATAAAATGTGGAATAAAGTTGGGTAAAAATATTGAGTTTTAAAAATGCAACCAAAGTTAAGTTATGAGCTTAAAATACCCTGTTATAAGATGTTTCATGCAAGCTTCACCTTAATCACATATAAAAACCTATAATAGATGCACAAAGAAAAAGGTAAAGAATCAAATCATACTACTAGAGAAAAATCACCTAATCATAAAGACAGCAAGAGAGGAAAAAGGGAAGAAATGATTTACAAAACAATCAGAGAACAATTAACAAAATGGCAGTAGTCTTTACCTATGAATACCTACCTTGAATATAAATGAACTAAATTGTCTACTCAAAAGACATAGAGTGGCTGAATGGATAAGGAGAGAAAAGACCCGACTATGTGAAGTTTACAACAGACTTATTTCATGTTTAAGGGCATAGACTGAAAGTGAAGGGATAGAATATTATATTCCAGGTAAATGAAAACCAAAAGAGAGCAGGGGGAGCTATACTTATGTCAAATAAAATACTTTTTAAATAAAAAACTATAAAGAAAGACAAAGAAGACCATTATATAATGATAAAAGGATTAATTCATAAAAAGGATATAACAACTATAAATATTTATACATCCAATATCAGAGCACTTAGATATATAAATCAAATATTCATAGATTTGTATGCAGAGATCAACGGCAATACAATAACAATAGGGGGCTTCAATATCCCGCCTTCAGCAATGGACAGATGATCCAGACAGAAAATCATTAAGAAAACATAAGACTTGGCCGGGTTCGGTGGCTCATGCCTGTAATCCCAGCATTTTGGGAGGCCGAGGTGGGTGGATCACCTGAGGTCAGGAGTTAAAGACCAGCCTGACCAACATGGTGAAACTCCATCTCTACTAAAAATACAAAAATTAGCCAGGCATGGTGGTGCATGCCTGTAATCCTAGCTATTCGGGAGGCTGAGGCAGGAGAATTGCTTGAACCTGGGAGGTGGAGGTTGCAGTGAGCTGAGATCGCACCACTGCACTCCAGCCTGGGCAACAGAGCAAGACTCCATCTCAAACAACAACAACAAAAACAACAACAACGACAACAAAAAGAAACCATAAGACTTAAACTATTCTTTAAACCAGATGAATCTAATAGACATATGTAGATTATTCCATCCAACAGCAGCAGATATGCATTCTTCTTAACAGTCCCAGAACTTTTCCAAGGATAGGTCATATGCTAGGTCACAAAACAAGTCTGAACAAACTTAAGAAGACTGGAATAATATCAAGTATATTTCTAACCACACTGGTATGAAACTAGAAATCAGTGACAGGAGGAATTTCAGAAAATTTACAAGTATGTGAAAATTAAACTGCATGTTTTCAAATAACCAATGATTTAATGAAGAAATCAAAAGCAAAATTAAGAATATATTTAGAAGAATGAAAATAGACATACAATACACCAAAACTTATGAAATGCGGCACAAAGAGTTTTAGAGGGAAGTACATACAAATAAAAACCTATATCAAAAAAGTAGAAAGATTTCAAATAAATAACTTAACATTGTACCTGAAGGAGATGGGAAAAAGACCCGAAGGTAGTACAAGAAAGGAAATGATAAATATTAGAGCATGAATAAATAAAATAGAAACTATAAAAACAATATGAAGATCAATGAAACTAAAAGTTGGTTTTTTGAAAAGATAAAATTCACAAACCTTTAGCTGGGACTAAGAAAAAAAGAGAGAAGCATCAGGTAAATAAAATTAGAAAAGAAAGAGGATACATTATAACTGACACCACAGAAATACAAAGGATCTTAAGAGACTATTGTGGACAATTATATGCCAACAAATTGGATAATCTAGAAGAAATGGATAAATTCCTGGACACATAAAACCTACCAGGACTGTATCATTAATAAATGGAAAATCTGAAGTGATCAATAATTAATAAAGAGATTGAATCAGTAATAATTCTTCCATCGAAGAAAAACCCAGGACCTTAGAGCTTCACTGCTAAACATTTAAAGAAGTAATACTAATTTTTCTCAAACTCTTCCAAAAATCAAAGAAGAGATAATGCTTCCAAACTCAATTGATGAATCCTGCATTACCCTGATAATAAGTCAGACAAGAACAATAGAGTAATAAAAATTACAGGCCAATATCCCTGATAAACATAGATGCAAAAATTCTTAACAAAATATTAGCAAACTGAATTCAACAGTACATTAAACAAACCATTCATCATGATCAAGTGGGATTTAATCTAGGAATACAAAGATGTTTCAACATATGCAAATCTATAAAGGTGATACCCTACATTAACAGAATGAAGAAGAAAAACAATACGATTATCTTAATAGATGCAGAAAAAGCTTTGTCAAAATTCAAAATACTTTTATTATAAAAACTTTCACCAAATTAAGTATAGAAGTAATGTGCCTCAGCACAATAAAGGCCATATATGGCAAACTAACAGCTGACATCATACTCAATGTTGAAAAGTTGAAAAGTTTTCCTCTAAGATCAGGAACAACAGTCCCCATTCTCATAACTTTTAATCAAAATAGTACTGGAAGCCCTAGTCAGAGCAATTGGGCAAGAGGAAAAAACAAAGACATCTCACTTGGAAAGGAAAAAGTTTAAATTGTCTCTGTTTGTAGATAACATAATTTTCTATATAGAAAACCCTAAAAACTGCAACAAAAACTGTTAGAACTAGTAAACAAATTAAATAAAATCACAGAATAGAAAATCAACCTAGAAAGATTAGTAGCATTTTTATACACTAAACTTTATTTCTTAAGAAACCATTAACAATAGCTACCAAAGAAATGCTTAGGAATACATTTCCCCTAGGTGAAAGACCTGTGTATACAGAAAGCTATAAAGCATTGACGAAAAAAATTGAAGACACGAATAAATGGAAAACATCTCATTTTCATGGATTGGAAGAATCAATATTGTTAAAATGTCAATGGTATTCAAAGAGATCTATATGTTCAGTTCAATCCCTATCAAAATTCCAATGTCATTTTTCACAGAGATTTTTTTTTTTGAGATGGAGTCTCACTGTGTTGCCCAGGCTGGAGTGCAGTGGCACAATCTCAGATCACTGTAACCTCTGCCTCCTGGGTTCAAGCGATTCTCCCACCTCAGCCTCCTGAATAGCTGAGACTGAAGGTATGCGCCACCACTATTTTTTGTATTTTTAGTAGAGAGAGGGTTTCACCATGTTGGTGAGGCTGGTCTCGAACTCCTGATCTCAAGTTATACACCTGCCTTGGCCTCCCAAAGCGCTGGGATAACAGGTATAAGCCACTGTGCCTGGCCCACAGAGATTTCTTTTTAAAAAGATCAAAATTCGTATGAATCACAAAAGACCATCTTATACTTATAACAGGCTATTTTAAGCTCATAACTTAGCCAAAGCAGTAGCCAAAGCAATCCTGAATAAGAAGAACAAAGTTGAAGGCATCACACTACCTGACTTCTTAAATATATTATGAAGCTATAATTTCAAAAACCAGCACGTTCCTAGCATAAAGGCATATTCATAAGCCAATGGAATAGAACAGAGAACCCAGAAATAAATCCATGCATTTACAGTCAAATGATTTTTGACAGTGGTGCCAAGAATACACTTCAGGAAATAATAGTCTTTTAAATAAATGGTCTTGGGAAAACCAGATATACGCATGCATAAGAATATAAACACAAAATGGGTTAAAGACTTAAATATAAGGCCTGAAGCTGTAAGAAGACTACTAGAAGAAAACATGGAAAAAGCTCCATCACATTAGCCTGGGCAATGATTTTTTTGGATATGACCTCAAAATCATAGGTAGCAAAAGCAAAAATAGACAAATGGAATTACATCAAACTAAAAAACTTCCACACAGCAAAGGAAACAACCCCCAGAGTGAATAGATAACCTATGGAATGAAATAAAATATTCACAAATCATACATCTGATAAGAGGTATATATTTATTTTATTGTGGCACTATTCACAATAGCAAAGACTTGGAACCAACCCAAATGTCCATCAATGATAGACTGGATTAAGAAAATGTGGCACATATACACCATGAAATACTAAGCAGCCATTAAAAAGGATGAGTTCATGTCTCTCGTGGGGACATGGATGAAGCTGGAAACCATCATTCTCAGCAAACTATCTCAAGGACAAAAAACCAAACACCGCGTGTTCTCACTCATAGGTGGGAATTGAACAATGAGAACACATGGACACAGCAAGGGGGAACATCACACACCGAGGTCTGTTGTGGCATGGGGGCAGTGGGGAGGGATAGCATTAGGAGATATACCTAATGTAAATGACCAGTTAATGGGTGCAGCACACCAACATGGCACATGTATACATATGTAACAAACCTGCACATTGTGCACATGTACCCTAGAACTTAAAGTATAAGAAAACTATATATATATATATAAAGAGGTATAAATTTATATATATATGAATCAGACAATTTAATACCAAAAACCCCAAATAATTTGATTTTAAAATAGGCACACAAAAAAGCTGAAGAGACATCTCTCAAAAGAAGACATACAAATGACCAAAAGACATGTTAAAGAAATACCCAGCATGATTAATCATCAAGGAAATGCAAGTTCTGCAAAATGAAACCACGCTAGGATATCACCTCACACCATTAGAATGGCTACTATTAAAATAAAAAGAATGATAAGTTTTGATGCAGATGTGGAAAAAGGGGAACCCTTGCATACTGTTAGTGGGAATGTAAATTAGTACAGTCATTACAGAAAACTTCATAGTGATTCCTCAAGATATTAAAAATACAAGTACCATATGATCCAGCAATCCCACCACTGGAATATATCCAAAGGAATGAAATTAGTATGTCAAAAAGATATCTGCATGGCTATATTTCTTGCAGTACTATTCACAATAAACAAGGCATGGAGTTAACCTGAGTATCCATCAACAGATAAATGGATAAAGTAAATGTGGTACGTATGGAATACTATTTAAACTTTAGAAAGAAGAAAATCCTGTCATGTGCAACAACATCAATGAACCTGGATGACATTATATTAAGTAAAATAAGCCAGGCACAGAAAGACAAATACTGTATGATCTGACTTACATGTGGGATCTAAAGATGTTGAATTAGTAGAAGCGGACAGTAGAATGATGGTTACCAGAGGATGGTGGTTGGAGGGACTGGGGAGATGTTAGATGACACAAAATTTAAGCTACATAAGAAGAGTAATTTCAAGAGATCTACTGTAAAACATGGTGACTATAGTCAATATGTTGTATTCTTGAAAAAAGAAGAGATATGTGCTATAAATAAATTTAAACAAGGTTGTTTTTTTTTTTTTTTCAGACGGAGTCTCACTCTTTCACCCAGGCTGGAGTGCTGTGGTGCAATCTCAGCTCACTGCAGCCTCCACCTTCTAGGTTCAAGCAATTCTCCTGCCTCAGCCTCAGCTACCCTCCTGTAGCTGGGACTACAGGCACGCACCGCCATGCCTGGCTAATTTTTTTGTATTTTTAGTAGAGAAGGTATTTTTAGTAGAGACAGCATGTTGGCCAGGATGGTCTTGATCTCCTGACCTCACGATCAGCATGCCTCAGCCTTCCAAAGTTCTGGGATTACAGGCGTGAGCCACCACGCCCGGCCTAAATGAGGTAATTTTAAAAAGTACCGGACCTTGGACAGCATTTTGCTTTAGATTAGTATAATACACTTATATAATATAATGTACAATTTGTAATTGCTAAATAAAGAGACAATAGCAATAAAAAGAATAAGAAGAATGAATGAACAAATTTCCAAAAAAAAAAAAAAATGCCTTAAGATCTTGGCAAAAAAAAAAAGGCTTTTGCTATTGGGAGATTAATGTTTATCCCAACACTATAATCCAAGGCTTCAGTCTTTCCTTTTAGATCAATTTAAAGACCATTTTGAAATGTGTGTAAAGCATGCTAAATTTACTCAGAATATTATTCAAGAGTTGATTGTTATTGCAATGTCTGTTTCCAGTTTTGTGTCAACCAAGGCCTTTTGCTTTAATATTACAAACCTCAAATTGATGACTCACACATCTAACATGATTTCAGCTCAATCTCACTCAGCTGCCACAGATCCTGGAAACTATGCCCTGCCCAGATACTCAGTTTTTATTCTGTTATTATTTGAATAGCCAAGTGTCTTACAAGAAAAATCACATTAGGAAAAAAATTATTGGGAAAAAAGCATTAATTAATAATTTCAGCACAGTTTCTTAACAGATGCTATCAGTTGCTTCATATCTATGTGATTCTCAGTGCTCAAAAGAGTTTGCTACATTTTTCTAATCCTGATGTTGGTCAAACTACGTAATAATTTCAATCAATTTACATTCCTGCAAAATCAGAAAAATCTCAAAACTTCAGTAAAATATAGGGTGTGAGCCATAAGCCATTTCTTTTAAATAATATTAAGCAGAATGAAATTCAAACCCACAATGAAAGGAGATAGATACAGATATAGACAAATATATAGATCTAGATATATAGCTAGTATGATGTGTTTGAACTAAAAAAATTCCTAGAGGTCTTTCATTATTGTTTTTAGCTGCAGTGATATAGTTTGGATTTCCCCTCCAAATCTCATGATGAGATATAATTCCCAGTGTTGAAGGTGGGGCCTGGTGGGAGGTGATTGGATCATGAGGGTGGATCCCTCATGGCTTGGTGCTGTCCTCACCATAGTGAGTGAGCTCTCACCAGGTCTGGTTGTGTAAAAGTAAACCTCCCCCTGCCCTATTGCTCCTGTTCTTCCATGTGAGATGCTTGCTCCTGATTCATCTTCTGTCATGAGTAAAAGCTTCTGGAGGCCTCACCAGAGGCTGAGGAGATGCCAGCTCCACACTTGGACATGCTCCATGTCCTGTACAGCCTGCAGAAATGTGAGCCAATTAAATCTCTTTTCTTTATTAATTAGCCAGCCTCGGGAATTTCTTTATAGCAATGTAAGAAAGCCCTATCATAGAAAATTGGTACTAGAGTGTTGGTATAAAGATATCTGAAAATATGGAAGTGATTTTGGAACTAACACTCAGAGGTTAGAAGAATTCAGAGGGCTTAAAAGACAGGATGATGAGGGAAATTTGGAACTTCTTAGAGTTTGGTTAAATGGTTGTGACTATGGTTGATTTTGGTTGGAAATGAGAAACTTATTGGGAACTGAAGCAAAGGTCATCTTTGTTATGCCTTAGCAAAGAACTTGGCTGCATTGTGTTCATGTCCTAGGGATCTGTGGAAGTTTGAACTTAAGAGTGATGACTTAGAGTATCTGGCAGAAGAAATTTCTAAGCAGCAAAGCATTCAACATGTGGCCTGGCTGCTTCTAACAACCTATGCTCAGATGTGGGAGCAAAGAAATGACTTAAAGTAGGAAATTATATTCAAAGGGGAAGCAGAGTGTAAAAGTTTGGAAAATTTTCAGGCTAACCATGTGGCAAAGAAAGTAAAAGCTTTTTAGGAAGGAGAATTGAAGCAGGGTGTGGAGCAACCAATTGCTAGAGATAGTTGCATGGCTGAAAATAAAAGCCAGTGCTTGTAGCCAAGACAATGGGGAAAAGGCCATGGAGGCATTTCAGAGATCTTTGAGGCAGCCTCTCCCATCACACTCTGAGAGGCCTAGGAGGACTGAATGGTTTCATGGACCAAGACCAGGGCCTGGTGCCCTACACAGCCTCAGGACTCTACTCCCTGTATTCTGGCCACTCCAGGTCCAGCCATGGCTCAAAGGGGTCCAGGTACCTCTTAGGCTGCTGCTTTGGAGAGTGCAAGCTGCTGTAAGCCTTGGCACCTTTCATGTGGTGTTAAGCCTGTGGGAACACAGAGTGCAAGAGCGAAGGGAGCTTGGCTGCATTTGCCTAGATTTCAGAGGATGTATGTAAAAGCCTGCATGGCCAGGCGGAAGCCTGCCTCAGAGACAGAACACACACAGAGAACTTTCACTAGGACAATGCTGAGGGGAAATGTGAGGTTGGAAGCCCCATACAGAGTCCCCACTGGGGTACCACCTACTGGAGCTATGGGAAGGGGTCACCATCCTCCAGACCCCAGGATGCTAGATCCACTGGCAGTTTGCACCCTCAGCAGGGAGAAGCTGAAGGCACTCAAGTCCAACCTATGAGAGCAACCACATGTGTTGAGCCCTACAGAGCCACAGGAGTGGAGCTGCCCAAGGCCTTGGGAGCCCTCTCCTTGCAGCAGTGTGTCCTGAATGTGGGACATGGAGTCAGAGGAGATTATTTTTAAGCATTAAGATGTAGTCACTGCCATGCTGCATTTCAAACTTGCATGGGGGTCTGTATCCCCTTTCTTTTGGCCAACTTCTCCCTTTTGGAACAGAAATGTTAACCCCAATGCCTCTACTCCATTGTATCTTGAAAGCAAATAATTTCTTTTTACTTTACAGGCTGATAGGTAGAAGGAACTCATTTCCAGATGAGACTTTGGTCGTTGGACTTGGGACCTTGGAGTTATGCTGGAATGAATTAAAACTTTCAGGGACCATTGAGAAAGGATGATTACATTTTGAAATGTGAGAAGGACATAAGACTTAGGGGGCCAGGAGCAGAATGATATAGTTTGGATGTCCCCTCCAAATTTCATGATGAGATGTAATCCCAAGTGTTGGTGGTAGGGCCTAATAGTAGATGTTTGGGTCATGGGGGTGGATCCCCCATGGTGGTGCTGTCATTCATTACCATAGTGGGTTAGCTCTCATGAGGTCTGGTTGTTTAAAAATGTGTGGCACTTCCCTGTCTCTCCATTGCTCTCACTTTGCCATGTGAGACACCTGCTCCTGCTTAACGTTCTGCCATGAGTAAAATCTTCCTGAGATCTCACCAGAGGCTGAGCAGATGCTTGCACCATGCTTCCTGTACAGCCTGCAGAATGATGAGCCAATTAAATATCTTTTCTTTATAAATTACTCAGCCTCAGAAATTTCTTTAGAGCAAAGCAAGAATGGCTTAATACATGCAGAAATAAAATTATGTACTACATACAAGATCTTAAGATTCCTTTATTACTCTCTTTCTACTTCCTTTCATGCCTTCCCTATCAAAGAAGAGTTATTAATGCAAAAATGGATTAATGCATATTTGCTAATAAGCAGAGTTATTAATAAAGCAGGTATGTGACTTTCTGTCACTTCTTTCTCTGCTCTAATCTATGCATCTTCTGCTAGAATAATAGATCATTCAGCCACCTTGACAGCATTCACTTCTCACCAGTTTCTCCTTTCCTTGCTGGGGTGTGGAAAGTTTGGGTTTAGGCTTAAGGGAAGGAGTGAAGCCTTATGCTCTAGGCTACTTTATCTATGTTCTGCATTATGATGTAGGGGAAAAGCCCAGCTAAATTAGGCTGTTTTGCTTTATTTTATGACTGCTCCTTGTGGGAGGCAGTGGGGAGAGCTTCCTCCGATTTAGGTCAGGATCCTTTATTTCCTGCAGGCCCTAGCCAACATACCATTAACCAAGAAAGAGTTAACATTTTCTTTAGCTTGACTTCAAGTTCAGAGAGACTTTTTTTCTGACTCTAGGTCCTGACCTCCATTTTTATAGAGCATTTACTTTAGAAAACTTTGTGATTGTAAATTCTTTCTGTCCCTTTGAGATATAAATCTTTTAAATAGCCTCTTGCCACTTTTACAACCCAGGAATGTCTTTTTTGAAAGACCTGGGAACCATCTCTTTGAAATGTAAACATGAACGGACATTACACCCCTATCTCCCGAGTCTCCATGGGAGGGTGGAAGCCTAACTTCAATGAGCAGCAATTAGCAAACACAGATGGCCTAATCACAGAGAAAAACATTAGCGAATTTAGGAATAACTCAATGTACTCAACACATCCCATTGATCAACCCCCCTGCTAATAGGTTAGAAGAGGGCAATGGTTATCCCTCAGTACTTTTCCACTAGCTCACCCTGTGCTTAAAACCCCTCTAACTTTTGTTTTGGTGGAATTGAGTTGTCCCTCTCTCTTATTGCAGCAGGCTGCATAAAGTCATTCTTGCCTGTTTAACTTTGTCCACTGCAATTTCTGCTTGGACACCCTCTGACAACATTCTAAATCTTACATTTTCTTATGCTGCTTTGGCTGTGAGGATAGGGTGGTCTAGTTCATTTTCCAAATTGTCCCTTAAGCAAACTCCAGAAAATTTTCTGAACCTTAGGACTACAAATAACATAATTTGAAAACTATCAAATTCTACCTTCCTCAAATGGAAAAGGAGAGATTTATCAGCATCCTCTTAATGCCACTCCTGCCCCCTACCTCCAGTCTAACACTGGTTTTACTGTATAAGCTATCATTCCCAACACATCTTCCAAACTCTTTGGATCTAGGGCCATTTCTTGTAGGTATTGCATGCCTCCAGCCTCTTCCTTAGTTGGTATCCATTGTGGCTTAATATGGAGTCTCCAAGTCTCCACAGAGGGGATATTCTCATTGAAACATCAAATTTGTCAAAGGTGGTGAAAGAGCGTAGTGTGGATATTAGCTGAGCCTAAAGTCATTCTTAAACTCTCTAGGTGATCTGTTGAGAAGAATGAGCCAGAGTCCTATATGTGTCTATCAATATGAACTGATTTGTTGGGAAGGAAGAACAAGGATTAGTGCTTCTAGAAAAACAGAGAACAGCATGGCATCTATTCCCCAGGCTGGTCCAGGATGTCTGCCTGAGCTCCAGAGGAAAGCTGTGGTAAGAATTACTAGGAAAAATCAGGCTTCTCGGAATACAAACCTTACCAATTTATAATAAAATAGTCTTTATGAAAAAGTATGACAGAAGTAAGAGATGTCCATAAAACTGAAGTTCTTATTCTTAATGTAATAATAACATCAAAAAATTTGGAATAAACTCAATTATAGTGGTAAGAAGGAATGATTCCACTGAGCAGCTGGAAAAACAAATTTTTTATAATGATACTCAACTTAGTATGATTTGACCTTTAATAAAGTCACCTTAATAAGATTTCTGTGTGTATAGAGGAATAGCAGGAGGGAAGGAGAAGCAGATGAAAATGAACAGAAATTCAAATGTATTTGTTGTACATGTGGCTTACTTCCACCTGGGTTAGCATTTCTCAGAATGTGTTTTTTGGAACACCAGTGTTTTCAATCATGTTGGGACATAATACATGCTGTATACATTTTCCTTATGGCTATGTACAATGGCATTTAAAGGATGCCCCCCATGAGCTCTGTCTCCTGGTGTTCATGGCCTTGTGTCTCTTCCTGCTGAGTATGAGTGGGACCTGTAACTTGCTTCTAATCAATAAAATATGAGAAAAGTGATAGCATGTCACTTCCATGATTCTATAACATTGTATAAGATTCCACCTTACTAGCCACTCTAGAGATTCTCCCTCTTGTCTTGACAAATTAAGCAGACATACTTGAAAAGCCAAATGGCAAGGAATTGCAGCCAGCACCTAGGAACTGCATGTAGCCTCTAGGAACTGCAGCCAGCCCTTAGAAACTGCAGGCAGTTTTGTTGTTGTTGTTGCTGGTTTTTTTTTTTTTTTTTTTTGAGATGGAGTCTCGCTCTGTCACCCAGGCTGGAGTGCAGTGGCCTGATCTGGGCTTACTGCAAGCTCCGCCTCCCGGGTTCATGCCATTCCCTGCCTTAGCCTCCCGAGTACCTGGGACTACAGGCATCCATCACCACACCCGGCTAATTTTTGTATTTTTTAGTAGAGACGGGGTTTCACCGTGTTAGCCAGGATGGTCTCGATCTCCTGACATAGTGATCCACCTGCCTCAGCCTCCCAAAGTGGGCAGTTTTTAGGAATTGCAGGCAGCCTCTGAAGTTGAAGGCACCCTCCACCTGTGAGCCAGTAACTAGCCAACTCCTTGGTCCTACAACTGCAGGGAAGAAAAAGCTGGCAACAACCTGAGTTAGCTTGGAAGTTGATTCCTCCCCAGTTCACCCTTGAGATGAGAATGCAGCCTAGCTAATAACTTGGTTGTAGCTTTGTGAGATCCTGACCAGAGGGCCCAGCTATGATGTGTCCATATTCCTGACCCACAGAAATTGTAACATGATAAAAGTGTAGAGCATTCTTTTAAGCCACTAAGTATGTATTAACTTTTTATGTTGCAAACATAAATAAATATTGGAACAGACCAATTCTGATTGTAGAAATCTGTTTGTTAACTAAACATTCCATAAACTTAGTTGGGAGGTGTGAAGTACATTTGACTAAGAGTTGACAATTGTGTATTTAGCGCCCAGTACAGTGCTTAGATTACAAGGAGTACATGTACTTGAGTGAATGAATGAGTGGCTACCTGAATGAACATAGTTACAATGCTTTAGATACTCAATAAGGATGTTTACTAACATATGGCTCTCTCCCTGAGAAATTTTTATGTTTTCCCATATTTTCAATGATACCTTATACTCAGTGGCTCCCAAATCCATACCTCTGGTGATCTTTCTCATGAGATGCCAGTATTAGAAATCAAGTTTCACTTGACTATCTTGCAGGCATCTCAAACCTAACACTTCTCCCAAGGAAATTGTTGTCATCTCCGCACTACTGTCCATACAAAGCAAATCCTAGGAATTATCTCAGACTCTCTTCTGCCATGCATCTCTTGTATTCGTTTACCAAGTCATATTGTCTGTAATCTCTTGCAGCCTGATTATCTGCCTATTCTATTTCTGAGTCTAAACAACTTAATGGAGAAAATGCACAGTTTTACCATCTGGCCTCATTTTAAATTCATCCTCTGCCTCATGCATATCAGGCTCATCCTAAGACAAGGACAATGCCCACATACTGAGTTAGCGGAGCCCTTCCTCCTGCTTTCTCCTCTCCAGGACTCCCTCAGCTGGTCTGGAGTTTGGCTATGTCTGCCCAGGGTCCCTTCCCTCATGCCTCTGGCAAAGAGATTCTATCAGATTTATAGCCTCCTGAGCTGTGGTCTGCTTTCAAGGTAAAGTTGCAAATAATTGAGAAAATTACTTCTGATCCTGCCTCTTCTCCAAGTTTAGACTCTTCTCCCCATCACATGCTTTGATTTACTCTTCAGGAATATTAGATGGTGTTTCATTGTTGTTGTTGTTTTAGTCTTTTGTGCAGAGTTGATATTTGTTATCAGTGGTAGGGTTTGTGTGTGAGAGCTTACATCACTATTCCAGAAGTGGAACTCTGAGAGATTTTTAATATATGAATTATGTTTGGGACTTTTTTTTACTTTGTTATTTACTTCTGGTTATATAGCATTGTATTTAAATTGTGTGGTTTACATAGTTTCAGAAATCTATTCAGATAGACTTATATGCTTATATGGCATCAATTCATAAAATGATGACTGAAATGAAAGTTATATATTATATAGAATATACTAGAATATATTACATACAATGCACTAGAATAATATACACTATATTGTATTAGAGTACACTAGAATAATTTATATAACATATACAAAGAAATACTCACTATCCTTATATTTTGTCTACTTGGTGTGTCAAAGATTGAAAAAATAAAATACAAGTATTGCAACATTACTCTATTTTGTATTTTTGTTTGTATAACTGAAGATTTTTGCTTTATATATTTTATGCAATATTTTTAGAAACATAAAGATACATGACACCTATAACTCCATTGTGAATTTAAACCCTCATCAATATAGTTATATTTATATAAAATATAAATATAACTCCATTGTGAATTTAAACTCTCATCAATATATCACTTTCTTTGATATCGACATTGTAAGCCTTTACTCTTTGTTAACATTTACTTAGTGTATGCATGTGTGTGTGTGTGTATGCTGTATATCAAAAAGTATCTAAGGTAAGTCTTAATCTATTTAGAAGTTTATTTTGTCAAGGTTAAGGACAGGCCCATAACACAGCCTCAGAAGGTCCTAGAACATGTACTCAAAGTGACTGGGTTACAGCCTGGTTTTATGTGTTTTAGGAAGACATGTGACATCAATCAATACATGTGAGGTATACACATTGGTTTGCTCCGGAAAAGGCAGGGCAACTTGAAGCAGGGACTTATATGTCATAGGTGGATACAACGATTTTCTGATCAGCAATTGGTTGAAAGAGTTCTATTATCTAAAAGACTGGAATCGATAGAAAGGGTGTTTGGGTTAAGACAAGGAGGTGTGGAGACTAGAGTTCTTATTATGTAGATGAAGCCTCATAGGTGGCTGCACCCAGATGCAATAGATAGCAAATATTTCCTATTCAGACCCATAAAAGGTGCTAGACTCTCAGCTAATGTCTTCAGTATCAGAAGAAGACCTGGAACAGGAAGGGGGATGTAAATTTCACCCACAAGAGACACCTTTGCAGGACCATTTCAAAATATGTCAAATATATTTTGGGGTAAAATACTTTGATTTCCTTCAGGGCTTGCTATCTGTCATGTGATACTATACCATTGGAATTTAGTAACTCATTGCTACAGAGTCTGTTTTGTCAGTCTTAAGATCTCTATTTTAATGTGAATGCTAGTCAAATGTTTCTAAACTCTAAAACGGAGAAGGTATAATGAGGCATGTCTAACCCTGTCACCCCCACTGTGGCCTGAACTAGTTTCTCAAGTTTCTTTGGAATCTGTTGGCTGAGAAGAGGGTCCATTCATTTGGTTGGGAGACTTAGAATTTTATTTTGGTTTACAATGCCTAGAACTTAACTTCCTTTTGTGGATTCATTTTATTTATTTTTAAAACATATCACAAGTCAGGTACATATAGGTAGGTTACTCCTCCCTAGACAAATAAGTTTGATCAGGACTTTTTTTTTGACTCGTGTTGACAAAAAGAGTCAAACCTCTGTAAAATATTTGAAGAGATTCATTCTAAGCCAAATATAAGTGACCATGGCTCATGACACAGCCTTCAGGTGGTCTTAAGAACATGTGCCCAAGTGGCTGGGGTCCAGCTTCATTTTATACATTTTTAGGGAGGCACAAGACATCAATCAAATACATTTAAGAAATACATTGGTTTGGTCCAGAAAGGTGGGACAACTCAAAGCAGGGGTAGGGGGTTGGGGTGACTCCCAGGCTATAGGTAAATTTAAACATTTTCTGATTGACAGTTGATTGTTTGTCTAAAGACCTGGTATCTATAGAAAAGAAATGTCTGGTTAAGATAAAAGATTGTGGATACCAAGGTTCTTTTGAAGTCTTACAGTGGCTGCCCTTAGAGACAACAGATGACAAATGTTTCCTATTCAGATCTTTAAAAGGTAGACTAGACTCTTAGTTAATCTCTTCAGGATTGGGAGGGCCTGGAAGAAAAAGATCTAGCTATGTTAATAGAGATTCTTTACAGATGCAAATTCCCCCCCCCCCACCTCCCCCTCCCCCTCCCACAAAGGCTTTCCAGGGCCATTTCAAAATATGGCAAAGAAACATGTTTTGGGGTAAAATATTTTTACTTTCTTCTTTGTCATGTAATGGTATGCTGGAGTCAGGTTGGAACGTAAGTCACAATATATAGGATTAAATAAAACCCCCATCTGATAAGAATTTATGGTTTGTAGGGTATGACTCCCCAGACCCCTTAGATAGGAATTTGGGCAGATAAAAAAATCAGAGCCTAGTCCTCACTAGAATAGCTATTATTAGACAATTTTTTTGATATTATGATGTAATTATATTTTATTTTTATTGCATTTCTCCAATTTTTAAATGAGTTTATTTTCTCCTTTATAATTTGTAAAGTATATAACTTTAAATAACATCTTTATAACCTGTGATTTTCAATGTATATACTTTCCATCTTGCAACGGAAGCAGTGTGATTGTCTGGGGGGTAAATACCCGGGGTTCATCGTCTGACACCAAGAAGATTAAGGACGTGGACACACAGGAGGAGTGGGTTTAGGAGTGGAGGTTTAATAGGCAAAAGAAACAGAAAGGAGAATAGCTTTCTCCCTGGCAAAAGAGAGGGGCTTCCAAGAGGAAAATCCGGCCTGTGGCTGACCACAGCAGATTTTCTAAACAGGCTTGAGGAGACAGTGTCTGATTTACATAGGTCCCATAGATTGGTCTAACCAAATGTGACATTTACATAGCACATGGGGAAGGCTGGCCACTCCACCCTAATATTATGCAAATGGGCTTTCCACTTGGCCAGCACCATCTTGTCTGCTCCTTACTGTACATGTGGCTGGCAACAAGAAGGGAACATGGAGTCACCATTTTGAACATGCCTAGTCTCAGGTAGCCTTTTCCCATTGGCACAACTGCTGGCATTCACCCTTGCAAGCTTCCAGCTTGCTTGTCTATGTCTGCAGTTCGATTTTACAGGCTGCTCTTTGTTAGAAAAGAAAATGATCTGGGGGCTGATTTTCATTAAAAGGAAAACCTTACCTAGGACTCCCATATCCTCACTATCTGCCTAAATGATTTCTTCTTAACTCCTGTATCACAATGAGAGGTGAAGCCAGCTGGGCTTCTGGGTTGGGTGGGGACTTGGAGAACTTTTCTGTCTAGCTAAAGGTTTGTAAACGCACCAATCAGCACTCTGTGTCTAGCTAAAGATTTGTAAATGCACCAATCAGCACTCTGTAAAAAATGCACCAATCAGCGCTCTGTGTCTAACTAAAGGTTTGTAAATGCACCAATCAGCACTCTGTAAAAACTTGCCAATTGGTGCTCTGTGTCTAGCTAATGGTTTGTAAACGCACCAATCAGCATGCTGTGTCTAGCTAAAGTTTTGTAAACACACCAATCAGCACTCTGTTAAAAACAGACCAATCAGTGCTGTGTAAAATGGACCAATCAGCAAGACATGGGCGGGGCCAAATAAGGCAATAAAAGCTGGCCACCTCAGCCTGCAGAGGCAACCTGCTTGGGTCCCCTTCCACACTGTGGAAGCTTTGTTCTTTCGCTCTACACAGTAAATCTTGCTGCTGCTCACTCTCTGGGTCCGCACTACATTTATGAGCTGTAACACTCACTGCGAAGGTCTGCAGCTTCACTCCTGAAGCCAGAGAGACCATGAACCCACCGGGAGGAAGAAACCGCGGACACATCTGAACATCTGGAGGAACAAACTCTGGACACACCATCTTTAAGAACTGTAACAGTCACCGTGAGGGTCCGTGGCTTCATTCTTGAAGTCAGCAAGACCAAGAACCCACTGGAAGGAACCAATTCTGGACACAACAACAATATCTAATTAATCTCCTACTTAATGAGGTACGAAAAAATCAAGATATTTAAACTTGCCAGTTTTAATCTCCTTCCTTCTGGGGGGTTTTCTTACTGTACTGTAGGATTTTGGTCTCCATTGTATTATTATCGTGTATAGATTTTTCATCTTAGCAAGAAAGAATAGGTAGATAGATGATAGATAGGAATAATTATGTATATAATCTGTAGTCATAACCATTTAGGTATAAGTATGTGTTCAAATATATACATAGCACAACTTTCATGAAGTTTACATTTTACTTTTCATTGCACTAATTATATATTCAAGTAGATTCATCAGGAAAGATAAATGGATTCTATATTCCTAAATCTTCACATAACTGACAGTCTCTCTGTTGTCTTTGCATTGACAAGACTGTATAGACCCCTAGTGTATGCACCTTCTATACAAATTGCTCCACTTCCATCTGTCAGCTATTTGGCTGACAATTTAAAGCTAGACTAATTTTTTTACTTGTAGGTGACCTCTTGTTGTCTAGATATTTGAAGTGTTCTTTCCTTATTCTTAGAGTTCAATAAATTCACTAGGATGTTTCTGAATGTTGGTTGTTCTTTAATACAGTTTTTTCTATATGATAAACCCTGATCTATAGTTTCAGGTCCTCATTCAATTCAGGAATGGTTTATTCTATTTTATCTTTGAATATTTGTCTGTTGCATGTGTTCTTCTTTTCCTATTCCAGCATGACTATTATCTCAATGATGGATTTCTATTACTTTCTATAATTTTGATTATCGTCTATTCAGTCACATTCTTTGAATGGTATGATATTCTCAAGCCTGTTCTCCATTCATAGGCTTTTACATTGTTATTTCTCTTTCTTGCTTCCAATGCAGTTTTAAGATCATCAGTGTCATTTCCCCCCCTTAATTTATTTCATGCTAACTTCCCTTTTGTTGCAGCCTGTCTCTTTCTCATCTTCTTATCATCTCCAACTTCATAGAGCTAATATTTTATTTAATTTCCTTTAAGAAGGTGAAGTCATCCAATCTTTCTTCTGTTATCTTCTTTGAACATATGCTTTTTATCAAGCAAACATAGCATATCATGCTTTCCTTTATGCTCCATACTTACTGCATAGAGACCTTCTTGTTTTTCCTTTATCCATTTTTAAATGTGACTCTTTCTTAAATTCTGAAAATTGACACAGATTAGTTGCCTTACTTCTCTGGTATACACTTGAATTCCCTAGTTAGAAGTTAGTTGGAGCCTGGATGTTGGTGTTTATGTTGTTTCTATCATTCAGGTGCTATGATGAGAGGGGATTAAGAGGGGCTATGAGCAGCGACAGTCAGGATGCTTAACTCTGTGCCTCCCTTGGTAATATGTTCACGAGGAGGGGTTGGGTTGACAGCTTTCTGATTGATATAGCGGCCCATTCTCCTTTCTTTGCCATATTTGGTGCTCAACTACAGCAGTAATCCCCAGCTAAAACAATGGCCAGAGGCAACAGAGCAAGACACTCTCAAAAAAAAAAAAAAAAAAAAAAACTAAATCAATAAATAAAACAATGGCCAGTCTCTAAGGTCCACTGGTGGGCCTTTAGGAGCAGCAACTCCAAGTGAGGTGTTCCCCACTTTACCCTGACCTGCCAATGAGCCCAACTTTGCAAGACAGTGGTATAAGTGTCCAACAGCTTCAAAGCATGTGGGAGGAATATATGATGAATGCATGTCATGGATTGGTGAACTGATCAAAATACAATGGCTCACAGATTGAATAAGAAAAAAATGGGGGAATAAATAAATACCTTATTTCACAACAAAGAACTAATGGAATTCTAAGTGTATTTTCATAAAATGAAGTTCTGCATTTTTAAAGTATCATTTACATGTGTTAAAAATAATGAGAATATACTTTAGAATTATCTGTTGTGAAACTATTATAAAAGTGGCAACTATTTTAACATACTTTTTTTAAAAAGCTTTTATTGTTTAAAAAAAGGCAGCTTAGAGTTTTTATTTTTGTATGATGCCTCATTACAATTTTATTTTTCAAAAAGTTGTCAGTATAAATAAACATATCAATTTCAACTGTAAAAAGATACTTTAAAAATCTAATGCATCACTATTTTCTAGAGATGACAATTCAATTCCTTATGTATACATTCGTTTAAAATTCCTGGAAAAGAAGAAAGGATATGTGGAAGATTTTGAGGTGAATAATGAAATAATTTGATGATTCTTAGAGGCAACAAGTCAAGAGTCTTTGTTTAACCTTAAAACTGTCTGCCACTCAAACTAGGTAAAAAGCATTATGAATCTACTTGGTTATCTAATACATAATTTCTCAAGATTCTCTAGTTGAAAATGCTTTTTAAGATTTTTATAACATGAAATTATTGCTGCTGGAAACATTATCTCAATATTCCTCTTACTATTTTGTTTATAAATAAACTAATAACTAAGAAAGTTTCTACCAGCTTAGTATCTTTTCTATTATCCAGCAAGAAAACAAAAACAATGCCAGATTAATCACTTTTTTGAAGTTACTAGAGAAATTTTATATTTCCAATATCATTTTGGAAAAGAAAGGAGCTGACTTCTCTGCAGAATAATAAAACTGATTTTTAAATTTCTATCTAAAGTTTAAGTTCCTCTTTTGTTTCTCAATATTAAATGCAAAATCACACCTGTCCATTAATCATACATATGTCTCCACATCTCTAGATAATAGTCAATAATTGAAGTAAAATTTGTCCAATAGGAGGAAAAACCATTTGTTAAAGGAAACAATGACTAGGTAGAGACATCATGTTTCTGAATTTCTGATTTAAACAATATTATCTTTGAAAACAACACCCAACAATGATGACATCTTGGCTGATTTTTGACATTGGAATATTCTAAACTCTCTACCATCACTACTGGAAGCTAGAAGACATCACAGAAAAAAAATGATGATATTCAACTCACAAAACAATTTTCAAGGTCAATCTATTAAAAAGTGTTATTATGCAATAAATTATGAAGCAAATTTTAGAATTTTTATCGCTTTGTTGGTTTTTTCCCTTCTCTTGCCCACTGGGGTGTCCAATCAATAATTTATTAAAATTGTTAAAGCTCCCCTCCCAGGGAGGGGACCTTTGGTATCTCGCTGGACGTCTCTGCATTTCAAAGCCTGTCTGATGTCATGTAGGTGACTAATCATCACTTTTTTTGTTGACTTAAGACATAATTCTCAAATGACCAAATGAAACCATCTATATAAAGTCCTTAGCATCATGCCAGCAAAGAGTGAATACACCATAAATCTTAGCTGTCATTACGTATGGTTAATATCATCATCATTATATTGTTACCTCTTAGTAAACATTCTTAAATATATGAATTATGAAAACCTCTCCATATTAGATTCATCAAAATTTTTTGTTGCTCTCCATCAATATCTTTATTTACTTTGAAAAAGTTAGTTTCTCTCTTACTTGTTCTATTTTTTTAAATTTCTGCTTATCCCTGACCCTGTCTTTGTCTTCCCCTGTTTTTCTCCTCTTTCACTTCCTCTGCTCCTTTTCTTCTATATTTAAATGTATTGTTCTTTAAATATATTTTACAGTATATATTATGTACCTAGTTTTCTTTTATCTACACATGCTCTGAATTTTCTATTTGGAGAAGTTGGCACAGAAAGGCAAACTACAGTAAGTGACTCTTCTTCTTCTGAAGATCCTTTAAAATTTAGAATTTCCTAGTTTTCTTCTTCTTCTTCTTCTTTTTTTTTTTTTTTTTTTTTTTTTTTTTTTTTTTTTTTTGAGAAGGAGTCTTGCTCTGTCACCCAGGCTGGAGTGATGTGGCGCAGTCTCGGCTCACTGCAAACTTCGCCTCCCAGGTTCAAGTGATTCTTCTGCCTCAGCCTCCCGGGTGGCTGGGATTACAGGCGTGCACCACCAGACCCAGCTAATTTTTGTATTTTTAGTAGAGACGGGGTTTCACCATCTCAGCCTGACTGGTCTTGAACTCCTGACCTTGTGATCCACCCGCCTCGGCTTCCCAAAGTGCTGGGATTACAGGCATGAGCCACTGCGCCCAGCCCCTAGATTTCTTAAATCAAGTTTTTCATCTCATGATCTGGCAAGGGTCACAAATTTAGTGCCTCCAAATTCAGGAAGGCAAATTAAAAAGTGACGCTGGCAAAATGCTCCCTCTGGCAAACTGGGGAGAATGCAGGCAGCTGCAAACAATTGCTGCCCAGGGGAACTATAAATCCATTTTGTCCAAATCTTCTGATTTTTCAAGAGAAGGTAGAATTATGAAAGATTTTTGTAAAATCTACAAACTATTAAATGTTAATATTCAATTTGTAAGTCTTTAAAACACTGTACAAGACCCTCAAAATATGTAAAATCTTTGACACTTAGGTGTGTCAAAGATGTTGAGCTCAGCACAGAATATGCTTCCCATTCTGCTGGGCACAGTTGTTGCTTCTAAGAGGCTGCTCAGCAGAAAATAAATTTCCCAGTATCCATTGCAGTTAGGTGAAGCCAAAAAATGGAGTTTTCGCCAAAAACATGTGAATGGAAGTGATGGGTCCATAGAAACTACCCATGTAAGCCTCCTCCATGTGCTCTTTCCTTTCTGGCTGGGTTGAATGGAAAGAAGCACAAAGCCATCATCATTTTGGGACCTCATATGATTGCATGAAGATGGACTATCATACCCACCAGCTCATTCAAAGAGGATTGTTCTGTCTGCAAGATTGTGATTAAGACACATGTTTGTAGATCCAATTATTACAAAGTTAGCCTCCACTAACTCAGTAAATTTAGATTTTAAAAGATAAGTTGATCTTCTAGCTTTAGAGTTTTTAATATGCAACGAATTACTGAACCCAGATTTTTGTCCACCATTTCACTGACCAGAGGAAATTCTAAATTTTAAGAGACATTTAGAAGAAGGCGTCATTAAGTATAGTTTACCTCTCTATGCCAACTTCTCCAGTACAAAATTCAGAGCATGTGTAGGGAAAAATAACAAGCATAGAATGTCCACTTTAAAATGCACTTAAAGATAAACTACACTACTGTGAAATTTTATATAACGTAAATTTATATTAATTTAGTTCTTCTTATACTTTGAAAGTTTATTTTTTATTGTAACACCTCTATGAAGTAGGTATCTTGTATCCATTTTACAGATGAGGAAACTGAGGCACAGAGAATTTAAGTGACACGATCAAGGTCATATAACTAGTAATTGACAAAGCTAGGATATTGGAACCAGGCAATTTGGCTCCAGAGTCTATATCCTCAGCCACTAAATTATATTACTCTCCCAGAGTTTGTTTGGCTTTTTAAAAATTCCCTTTCAGAATTTCTCGAAAGTTTATTTTAGTTGATGCTTTTACTCTACACTGCTATGCATATTCTTTGTGTCATAATAGTGGGGAGCAATGATGGACCCAAAAGAAACCATCATGAGAAAAATTCTCAAGCCAATTTGGGTGACTTTTCCACCGATTAACAATTATGTCAACTCTTCAGCTTCCTCCAATTTGAATTTATTACATTTTTAAATATGAATATGCTGGTTCTCAAATTCTGCTAATAAAAAGTATAAAAGTTAACATGCAGACAGTTTTTTATGGCAGCCTGCTTTAGGTAAAATTTATCACAAAAATGTTTAGATGTTTTTAGATAGTGATTATAATATTGTATTCATTTATAAACTACTTTGTAGTTTATAAAGCATACGCATACTCAAGGAAATGAGATAATCATCTCATAAAGAGATCGGCACCCTCATGTTCACTGAGACATTCTTCACAGTAGCCAGCATATGGGAACAACGCAAGTGTCCATGGGTGAAAAAACAGATAAAGAATCTGTGGTAGATGTACAGATAATCTCTAACTTATGAGGGTTGTACTTATGATTTTTCAAATCTATGATGGCGTGAAAGTGATATACATTCAGTATAAAACGTACTTTAAGTGCTTATACAATCATTCTGTTTTTCACTTTCAGAATTCAATGAATTACATGAGGTACTCAACACTTTGCTATAAAATAGGCTTTCTGTTAGATGATTCTGTCCAACTGTAGGCTAATGTAAATGTTCTGAGAATGTTTAAGGTAGCCTATGCTAAGCTACGATGTTTGGTAGGTTGGATGTATTAAATACATTTTTCCACTTAGGATATTTTTAGTTTATGATTGGTTTATTGGGCCTTAACCCGCTGTCAAGGAGCATCTGTATAGAATGGAATATTATTTATCCAAAAAAAGAATGGCATCTTGCCATTTGCCAAAACATGGATAATCCAGTTAAGTGAAATCAGTAAGGCACAGAAAAAAAATTGCACAATCTCACTTATATGTCAAACACACAAAAAATTCAGATATACAGAGATAGAAAAAATAGTGCTTACTAGAAATGGGGGTGGGAAGAAACGAAGAGATGTAGCTCAAAGGATACAAATGAGCAGGTATGTGTGATGAACAAGTCTAGAGATCCTAATGTACAACATGAGAACTACAGGTAACGAAATTGTATTGGAGATTCATGCTAAATGAGTAGATTTAAATGAAAAGAAAGGCTATGTTAGATGATAGATAGATAGATAGATAGATAGATAGATAGATAGATAGATAGATAGGTAGACAGATAGATATGTTCATTTGCTTCACTATGGTAACATTTTTACTGTTTATATGTATCCCACAACATCATGTTGTATACATTAAGTGTACATGATAAAATGTATTTTTAAAAAATCAATGAAAATAAGAAAAATGAAAAATAAAAAGCATGCAAAGAGAAATAAGCCATCTAATCATTCTGATTTTGATATAATCCAATCGTTGACCCCAGTACTCCTGTCTTCCACCCAGTCTCTTACGCCTTCCAACTGTGACAGACAAAACCTCTTATCTTCAGGCGTGGGGGTGGGGAGAAGGGGAAAAGAAAGATGGAGTAGAAAGCTATCAGAAGAAGATGAGGGGGTACAGTTGAGTCTCCCATTCCCACTATTATCTGTTCCTAATATCCTCAATATGAATGGAGGAAATACCAACAACCAGGAGATTTCTGAAATCCCTGCTGCACTCTTAGACTTCCCAAGCAGCAGTAGAACCCGGGATTGCTTCCACTAATATTTGAGCCAGAAAACAAAACTGCCAACAGGTGGCACTAAACGATAAATAAGAAATGGACAACTTTGGATGGAATTCCTTGGGGGCTAGCTGGGCTCACCTAGTCAGTTCACTAACCTTGAAAAAATGCAGCTCCTTATTTTATGGAATTTAATTGTGTTGTTTCCTACATATTAACTAATGGCAGGAGTGTAAAGTACTTTCCAGTACACTATCTTATTTGATATAATGACCCTAAGAAATGGGTATGGTTTATATATTATTATTGTACCTTTGGTAGAAGAAATTGAAGCACAGAGATTAAACGTGATGTTGATTAATACAGAAAATCGTATTATTGATTGCTGATTTTGAAAATAAATTCAAAAAATAATTTTAAATGGAGGTTTTTTAATTACTCTATTATAAAAGCTCTGAGTATAACACTGTACCTTAACTCAGGTAAATGGTTTCCATGGCAGCCACTGTAATACAGCTCACATATGTTATTCTCTTGCCATGTAACATCCAACATACAAGATGCTAAGGTCTGAGAACAGTTGCTACTTACATGCCCTTTACACTGTGTTCCTCAAATAGCAGCTGTCTTAATCAAGCTATTGGCATCATTATAACACTATCCATCAGCTTAGACAAGGGAGCAAGTCTTAGTGCTTTGCTATATATAGCCAGCAGACATAGATCCAATTTACGGGATAACTATCTCATATTTTTAAAATATAAGTTTTAAAGAAGCAACATGCAGAAGAACTTCTTCCAGTTTTACACTAATTAGAATTAGATTTTCACTTTTTTAAGCTACTTTAAAGAAGCATTAATAATCTGAGAAAGAAGCATTAACAATCTTGTATCCATACTGTAGTTTAAAGAAGCATTAATAACATGAGATCCATACTATAATTTAAAAATTAGGATTATAACTCAGAGCTGTCAATACATACAAGGCTGTCATGCTATTAATGAGACTTACAGAAAACCTTATACTGGCTTTGACTGTTTTTTTTCTCTTAAAGTCTTAAATTAATATTTAGCATTGGTTAGGAAAGGAATAATAATAGTTGTACCTAAAATATGTGTCTATATCATAGAGAGATACTAGATTGCACTGTTTAATTGTGTAATAGTAAAAAAAAAAAAAGCCATAAGAATTTGAAAAGAATGTTCAACTAAGAATCCCGTTAATTTGAGTAAGGTAGATGCATTTGCTTTGAAAACTAATGAGTTTGTTAAAGGGTTCTATAATGGAGGGAAAATTAGTCTAATAATAGAGACTTGCACTTCAAACATTAGTCTAGGAGAAATAAAAATAGACAAACTCATTCTCAGTTCTGCATTACTAATTCAGATTGTTGAGCCCATAAGGCTCCAGGCACTTAATAATAAAACTCACTTGTATCAAATCTATGACTTGTTCTTTTGCAGGGCAAATCTTTTCCTTATGAATGGGGCACTAAACACGCTTTAGATTTCAGAAGTAACTCATGGAAAAAGGAAATGTTTACAGCCTGTTAGCATTCTCATTTACCATTTCAGTTACTTGGAAGTAAAACTTAACGTTAATGTTAATCTGAAATATTAATATTAAGAATGGGTACTTTAAAAGGAAGATAGCCCCTCAAAATAAAAGAAAGATGAAAAACATTAAGTACATGTTTCATCAATTTAAAAAACTTTTTCACACGTTAGTACTGCAGAAATTAAGATGCATCTTCTCATCAATAATGTGTCATAGTATAATTGGAAGCATTTTTTTCTTTCTTGGTGGTACAAGAAAAACTGTTCATCTTAAAATGAATGGTTTTTAGATTCAATGAAATATGTTATCTGGTTTCTGCCTCTCTGCTGAAACGGAATGAATATGTTTTCCCTACTTATGTTGCCTTTACCTCCTTTTTCTTGCTTTTAAAATGTATTTTAAAGAGTCTCCTGCTTTTCCCTAATATTTTCATGGTGATGGTTCAAGCTTTGTGTGTGTACGTACATGACTATTTTGCATATATTATGTATATATACAATTCTTTAGCTAGACAAATTATGGAATACACTGAAAGTAAGGAATTTGAAGTTATTATATTGGGGGGGAGAAGACAATAGAGACCTCATATAAGGTTGGGAAACTCATGCAGTAGTGAGATAGTCATGTTTTAGCAATAGCTTGTTGCACAATGACTTGGAGACATTTGCTTTGACATTGACAATGACACAAACATACACATTAAAAACATTCTAGGATATTATAATAATGCCAATTTCCCTAAACTAAACCTTTCTGCCTAAATCTTATTTTTATAATATCAAGTGATATATACTTTTTCTATACCATTGCAGTAAGCAATTATTTTTCTTATTTATTGTTACAACTTGGTGGCTTCGTTTTTGTATGTGTGTCACTTGTATTTCAAAATTATATGCAAATGCTATTGAAATAGAATAAGTCATAGAGAATTATGCTGTATTCTTCTTTTCTTTTCTTTTCTTTTTTTGAGACGGAGTCTCGCTGTCACCAAGGCTGGAGTGCAGTGGCGCGATCTCGGCTCACTGCAGGCTCCGCCCCTCGGGCTTCACGCCATTCTCCTGCCTCAGCCTCCCGAGTAGCTGGGACTACAAGCGCCCGCCACCTCGCCCGGATAATTTTTTTGTATTTTTAGTAGAGCCGGGGTTTCACTGTGTTAGCCAGGATGGTCTCGATCTCCTGACCTCGTGATCCGCCCGCCTCGGCCTCCCAAAGTGCTGTGATTACAGGCGTGAGCCACCGCGCCCGGCCTGCTGTATTTTTCTCTTGTAATTTCTCACTTTTCCTGATACAGTTCAAATAATGTTATTTAAAGGACTGATTAACTGGGAGCATTCATCTCCTCAGCCTGCTTGTAAATAATATAAAAATGCATAATATAAAAATGCACATTTTAGGTAATGAAAATAGATGTACAATATTTTAGGTGTTACTTTCATAATCACATTCTAGCTATTATTGCATGCCTTGACTGAGGTTCAATACAGAATCATCAGCCACTTTCTTATAGAAGAAATAAGTCAATAAGTAACATTATGAAGTTGAACAAATGTGAATAAAGCAGCATTGGTGCATCTAACTTACACTTTATTATTTGGACTAAATTAGGTGAAGTCTATAAAATTTACATTTCTTACTGTGGTAATAGTTTGCAGTTATTCCTTTCTTGGTGCTTCTGATAGTTTATTTTGCGGAACAAACATAACTCTGTTGAATATTGTAACAGATATTCCATATACTTCTTCAAAATGGTCTTCTATTGTCTTTACTCACACTAAAATTACAGTATAGAATTTTTAAATGTGAATATAAATAATTACCCAGTAATTGTCAGATGTATATATATTAAACACATGTATATGTGATCTGTATACACAAACACACACACAAACCATTCATATTTCATGTTGTTCTCATCAAAATTTACAAAGCGGCAATTCACCTGTGTTGAAATCTTAGCAATGGGAATGTTGTTAGTTAAAATTTTAAATCTTCTAGCCTTGTCTTTCCCATTTGACAGTGGTAAGCATAGAGTGTACTGAACTGTATAGACCAGTACAAATCTTCTGAGTCTTTGGGGACTCTTTCTGGCCTGAAATAAAAATGTTTTAGACACAAATGATTCAGCCAGGAATAAACCTCTGCTCCTGAACTTCAATGTCTCATTAATTCTTGAACATTTCAAGGTTTTTAACATCCAAACTCAATAAAAAAGCTGTTATTTTCTGTTATTTTCAGGTCAAGACATAAATGATAATACTAGTTCCAAAGAGCTTTCCAATTTGAAACTATTTATAGTTCAAATTTTTATTTTCATAAGAAATTCTGAATTTCAAATTGCATGATAAATTCACAGGTAATATCTGCTTCACAGATAAGTCATAATACGAGAGGGTTCAGCTTATTGGATGTGATCTTAGCAACTCAGACTGCCTAACACTAAAGCAAACAAAATATGGTTGCAAAATTTGATCCAAAATAAGACGCTTATACAGCTCAAAACATAGTATTCAATGTCAGAGCAAGCTTGGCTCTGGTCTGGCAATTATCAATTTTTGAAATGTATGAGGACAGATAAGGTTACTCCAGTGCTGTAAGTAACAGTCAGCAAGAAGTTCACGTCTAGGAGACTAGGAGTACTTAGAGCTAGGTAAGTTAATGACCGCATTGTAAAGTGTGACAATCTGCTCATTCACTACACAACTCCAGTCTTTGGCTGTGAAGTGTCATCCTTCATACCTTCACTGGCTGAAATGATCCATTCCTCTAGGAGGACACTGACAAGAATTAGGCCATATCAGTCCTAATATCAGATCCTTATTCAAATAGGTTAATACTTAAGCAATCCTCTAGTCCTGGAGGAGACTATGTTAGGGAAAGAAAATGAGTTCTCAAGACTAAGTAGGTATTTCAGGATACCAAAATGCTCAGGTGCTAAGCCCTAATCTCTTGGGAGCCGGAGTTACTGGAAGGCCTTGGAACAAAAGCACATAGTAGCTTAACCAAATGTGGCTTAGTTTTTATGCTTCACATGAAGTTAGGAAGTACATAGTCCAGGCTTGGTGCATCTGCTCACGTGTGCCCTCAAAAATTCAGTTGCCTTCCATCTTTCTAATCTGCCGTTCCCAAAGTGGATCTTTTCTCCTCATGGTCACAAAATGCCTGCCTATTCTATCCATATTCCTGGCAGGATGACTGGCTTTTTTATTCATGAACAAAAAGCCATCTCCAATATTTTATTATCTGTACTTCAAATATGGCTCTATTATCCTATTTTCCTTAACAATGATACGTAGTCTAATTATAGATATTATTTTACATTTTTCAAAATGTAGCCTAATTATATTATTTATTTTCTATATTAGAAAACATATATATATATATATATATTTTGAGACGGAGTCTTGCTCTGTTGCCCAGACTGGAGCGCAGTGGCGCAGTCTGGGCTCACTGCAAGCTCTGCCTCCCGGGTTCATGCCATTCTCCTGCCTCAGCCTCCCGAGTAGCTGGGACTACATTAAGCACTTTTTTTTTAAGGTTGACTTCAGATGTTTTTGTTTTACTGATTACAATCATTTCTAACACACTTTTCGTTATAAAGCCACATGTATATGAATTACATCAATACAGTAAATGGTGGGGGGCTGAGAGCTTAAGATTTTATCAGTGTGCTGAAAGCAGATTTTTGTTTTATTTGTTACGTATTTGTTTTATTCTGTTTTTTTATTTGTCAAGCTATTGCTTCATTGCTCACAGAAATTTGATAGCTCTAATTTTGTTTATTATGTGATTAATAAACAGGAAGAAAAGAAAGGCAAATGCTACCATTTCGTGTGGGATATTCATGATGAAAAGTCACCTTCAAATATGGCATTCAAGAAAAGTGATAGTAGCATATGGTAACTCTTCTAGGCTAATGTGTGATTTAAAATTCAGGGTTTAAAGGTATATTGGTTTGAGGACAAAGAGAATCCTTTTGGAACATTGAGACACTGGAAAAACAATACGACTCCCCTCTGCTTCCAGAAGAGTGGATTACAGAATGGAAACAGAGGAAACAAAATTATTCAACACTATCCTTAGTCACTTTGCCATAAACGGTAGGAGAAGACAAAACAAAACATCCAGTCTTGTATTCATAGCTGTTTCCCTCACAGGTGGTATCCTTTGATTTAGCTTTATTGAGAGTTAGAGGAGACATTGGCTGCACAGTCGAGCAGCAGTGCTGATCCAGTCAGCTCTGGAGGCCAAGGCCATATGATAGCCAACAAAATGGAAAATATGGTAAGAGTGTTTCTGCTGAAAGCAACCAACCTGATGAAATAAATGTTTCAAGACATAAGCTAGTTAACATAAGAATCACATAGCAGCAAATGTGAAGGACATATTCCATGAGGCAAAGATAAAACACTATTAGCTAAATGGTAGAACATTTTAGGGATGAAAATTTTATACATGTCATATTTTTCATTGGACTGACTAAAAAATGTTATATCAAGATAGTTCAAGTTAATGTAAACTTATAGTTTTATTGTGATGTTTTGAATGAAATAGCATGTATAAGACAATTATATACAATCTTTGACTATTAGTGAATATACAACAAACGGCGGTTATAATTAATATTTTATAGAGTAGAAATTATAAGCATCTTTATAAAGTTTTTCACATCCATTCTGATTACTTAAACTGGTCCTCTTCTCTTGTTTATTTTAAATCAGCTTTATTGAATGTACCTTATGTATGATATGATGTACATATTTTAAGTGAGTGAACAGTCCAGTGAGCTTTGACAAATGTATATAACCTATAACTCCCACCCGAATCAAGATACAAAATATTTTCACCACCAGCTCTTTTTCATTCAATTCCTCACCCTCAAAACCACTAATTTTGGCCGGGCTCGGTGGCTTACACCTATAATCCCAGCACTTTGGAAGGCCGAGGCAGGAAGATCACGAGGTCAAGAGATGGAGACCATCCTGGCCAACATGGTGAAACCCCATCTCCACTAAAAATACAAAAATTAGCTGGGTGTGGTGGCAGGTGCCTGTAATCCCAGCTACTAAGGAGGCTGAGGCAGGAGAATCATTTGAACCTGGGAGGTGGAGATTGCATTGAGCCGAGATCGCGCCACCGCACTCCAGCCAGGCAACAGAGCAAGATTCTGTCAAAACAAAAAAACAAAAACAAAAACAAAAAAACCCACTAATTTTATTTCTACCACCATTTTGAAGTGGTAGAATTTCAAATAATTGGAATAGGATTATATGATCCTATTTGTGTCTGACTTATTCCCCCAATATTTTCAGATTCATTCCTGTTGTGTGTATCAGTTGTCTGTTCATTTTTATTGCAGGGGAGCATTCCATTGTATGATTATTCCACAGTTTCACTCCCATGAGCATTGGGGTCATTTCCTGTTTGGAAAGTGAATGAAATTGAAATGCACACTGATAAATCTTTTTGCGGGCCCCTATTTTTACTTCTCTCGGATAAACACCTATGAATGGAAATGCTGAGTCATAGGGTAGATACATGTTTAACTTTATGACAAAATGTGGTTTTCCACAGAGGCTGGGCTATTTAACTCCCACCAGCAAAGTATGAAAGTTTAATTTGCTCTATGTATTTTTCAGTACTTGGTACTGTCATTTTTTTTTTACTTATGATTGGCTTACTGGCCATTCACATATCTACTTTTTGTGAAGTTTGTTCTTGAATGTTTTGCCCATTTTTGTTGGATTGCTTTTCTCATATAATTGTTATATATATTTGGATATGAGTCAGTTGACAGATAAATGTTTCGCAAATATTTTCATTTTGTGGCTTAACTCATTTTCTTAACAGTGTAGTTTGAGAACATTTTCTAATTTTGATGAGGTCTAACCTATTTTTCTGTTTCTTTCTTTTATGATTACTGTTTTCTGTGTCCCATTTAAGAAATCTTTGCCTGTCCTAATTTCATTATTTTTCCTTTTTTTTCTTTCTATACTACAGTTTTGACTTCTATTAACCTATATTTAAGTTTACTGATTTTCCTGCTATTCTGTGAAATATGTTTCATAGTAGCTGCCTAAGACATTGTATTTGTCAGCCCAGTCTCCATTTTCTATGCTGCCAGAGGGCTGATGGTTTTGACTATATCGTAAGTTGGATTGTGTCAGGATTTGGTCACAATAGCTCCCAAAGCATTATGATAGTGAATTTAGGCTCTTCCTTCAGGAGAGTCCTAGAACCAGACACTATGATATTGCTAGATCTCAAAACTGCTTGACCTTGAGCCTGTTAGACCTTGAACTTGTGAGATCCTGAGATTCTGAGACCATCTGTTTAACAGGCTGAGATTTCCATATTACAAGGTGTGGGATTTCAAGACCGGAAGGCTGTGAGACTGTGAGATCTTGTTACTATGAGACTGCAAGACAACAGCCTTTGTAATTAAGGAGTCAAGGACTGAGAGACTTAGTGACAGCGAGAAGATCAAACAAGAGACTTTGACATCTCCAGGTATCAAAATTGTGATACTGTGAAGACAGAGAGCTCTTTCTGCTTTCCAATCTTGTCCCTAGCCTCTGATTATTCAGCAAATTTTTAAAAACTAATTATTTTGCAGAGAGCATTATCTTTGAGTTTCAGCTTCCTCCAGATTAAAACCTGACACATTAGCCCACAGGTTTGTCACAAGTTTGACTGTTTCCTCTGAAGTAAAACCAAGATTTTGTTCTCCAGAAGCCTAGTTCACTGCTTGCCCCCACCTTCTCCCACATCCCCAACTTCACCAGTGGATCTTCAGTGTGAAAATTTCCTCTATCTTTTCCATCTTCATTGCCAAAGAGCCCATCCTCTGAGTTCAATGCCTTTAGGTTTTAGGTATCTTTATGCCCAGATCGCTTTAAAGAAAATATGTATATGAATATCTACATGTACATCTATATCTATTTATCAATCTGTCTTTCTGCATATACAGATATTTAAGCAATAATTTCTTGTTGTTTCAATGGGAGTAAAGGTATTTCATATTGTCTACATCCTAACTAGATGTGGAAATCTAGAAGTTATTAGATTAGAACTACCGACCTGTTTGGAAAATGTGTCTATTTGTTCCCAGGCTTTCAGAGGGAGTCCCATTATATTAATAGTTGAGACAGATTTCATCAGAGAAAATGACAGATACTTTTTGGTTATTTAAGTTGGGCTTCCCTTGTCTATGTAGTGAATGATGACTGATCAGTAAGCCCACTCTGCACTTCAAGCATAAGAATTTTAGCATTGTAGTTCTGTCAATGGAATCGATCTCTAATTTAAAACCCAGGCTAGTATATTTCCTACGTCATTTCTTCTGTCATTTCAACTGATCATTGGATAAAAAGAAAAACTCAAAACGTATGCTCAGAATATAGGAAATGAGCACTGTGTTGTTGAGAAAAGAGAGAAATTTAATTCCTGCATCTGGACAGAGCTATTAGTGTAATTACTGACAGGGAAAGACTTTAGAAAGGTAATAGGAGAAAATAGAAGGTCATTCCTGAGATTTCTTATAAATCATTTTTCAATTCACAGCATAAAATATTGTATTATGTATCTTTTGGACATGACAAAATATCAGAGTCAGATGTCCGCAAGAGGCCATGCTAAACAATTTAATTCTCACTCTCCTCTGCTTATCATTTTCAATGTCCATAATAGTGACATCCAAGAAGAAAAATTACAGGTTTATGTTGAGTATCCCCTAAATATTAGTTCCAGAAGCAATATGGCATATCCAGTGTCCTAGACTTTATTTTAGGGTGTCAATTTATGTATAGTCTTTTCTGTTTCTAATTTACTAAAATTTCTGAAAAAAAAAATCCAATTTTAAGACTGCCAGCTGGGCACAGTGGCTCACGCCTGTAATCCCAGCACTTTGGGAGGCTGAGGCGGGCAGATCATCCTGAGGTCAGAAGTTCAAGACCAGCCTGGCCAACATGGTGAAACTCGTCTCTACTAAAAATACAAAAATTAGCCGGGGGTGGTGGCATGCTCCTGTAATCCCAGCTACTTAGAAGGCTGAGGCAGGAGAATCACTTGAACCCAGGAGGCAGAGATTGCAGTGAACTGAGATCGTGCCACTGCACTCCTGCCTGGGCAACAGAAGGAGATTCCATCTCAAGAAAAAAAAAAAAATTGTCGACAAGGACAGCTTTTTAATATACAGAAGCTATCAACAGTCTAATATATTCATTAAATATTGGAACATTTAAGACTTATATTCCTAAAATTAAAACATATGATAGACATTTTGACTTTTAAATTGGCTGTAGAGTAGGCTAATGCACATGAAACTTTCCCCACCCCAACCCTTTCAGGTTTAAGGAAAGATACAAACATGCACAAATAAATCAGTCTTCTGGGGATAAATTCAGATTTTCTAATGATTTGGGATTTTCAACCTTCTACAGTTTGACTTTTTGACAAATACTAGGCATACTTTTTTTTCTAAGTAAAACTACTTGATTTCTGAATTTTCATAGTTGTAGAATATCGTTACAAATGAAACACATACAAAAAAAGAAAATATTATTTTATTATTATATCTTATCCTTGAAGGATAAATGTAATGACAAAAGCATCTCTTAACTTCTGAGAAAAGGTAAGTGAATTTGAGAAAAATGGAAAACATAGGTGATAGAATTTCACTGACAAATATTTGGTGAGTCAGGTTTTATTCTGAAATAATTTGACATAATGTCTGACAACTGAGCTGAATGATGTTTCAGTTGTATTTAATGTAATCTGGAGGCATAACTGTTTAATTTAAGGTGAATGAACAAGGAAAAAATATCCAAAATCAAAAGTCTTGGGTCTGGGCAAGATGGAATTACAAAGGCTGGATATAGTACCCCACTGAATCAACTAAAAGAAGAAAAATAATAGCTAAAATATAAGTAGTAATGTTTTCTAAGACACTGAACATTAGACAGTGGAGGACAGTGATGTTGAAAAATGGGAAACAAATGAGTCACACACTACTATTGGCCAACTCATTGCCATGAGTTTCCAGTCAATAGCACAGAAGCAGAAACCCACTGGGAGTCAGGCAGACTTTCTTAGCTGTGTAGAGGTAATCAGGAATCCAGGAGACCAAGTTTTTAGACTTCCTAAGACAGAGTAACAGAGAGGAGAGAGTTGCACACAGATAGAACTCTGAAGATCTACAGAAGCTTCCTCTTTAGTATTCAGTAGAGGGCTGATTTGGCTCATGAATGAAATGAAATTACCTAAGATTGGGAAAAGAACCATGTAAATAGATTAGAAATAATCTATTATTATCTTTGTGGGCATAGAGCTTACAAAGGCCAGGAATACATGTCTGTTCCTATCAGCCAAAAAGGAAAAAAAAAAACAAACTGTTTTCAAGAAGTTAAATGCATCCCCAAAGTTCAAGAATATTAATTAGAATACAAATATGCCAAGCACCTAACAAGGTAAAGTTCATAATGCCTGGTGTCCAGCAAAAGATTACTGGCCACGCAAAGAAGCAGGAAAACATGGTCCATGATGAGGAAAAATAATAAATCAAAAATGACCCTGATCTGACACAGATGTTAGAATTAGCAGACAAGGAATTTAAAATAGTCACAAAACTGTATTTCATAGGTTACAAAAGTTAGGTAAAGACATGGAAAATATTAAAAGACTGAAATAGAACTTCTGCAAATGAAAATTACTATCTCAGAGACAGAAATAAACACATTAATGGCAAATTAGATATTATAGAAGAAAAGAGTAATGATCTTGAACACAAGACAATAGAAATTATCAAAAACAGCAAGGAAAAAACATTAAAAATTTAAAAAGCATCAGTAAGTTGAGGCCTAATATATGCATAATTGGAAGCCTAATATATACATAATCGGAATCCAGAAAGGAAAGGAGAGTGGGACAATAATGTTAATCGAATACTTTTACAAAATTCTAAAAAGTCTAAATTTGGTGAAAACTATAAATCAGAGATCCATAAATCTTAATCTCAAGCGCAAGAAATATGAGGAAACTACACTATGGCACTTTATAATCAAGTTGCACAAAACTACTAAAAATAAGACAATCTTAAAATCAATTAAAAAATTGTGTATATGAAGGAACCAAGATAAGTATAGCAGTTTTTCATCCTAAGTAATACAAATACAAAGAGAGTGGAACAACTTATTTAAAGTGTGAAAAGGATTATCAATCTAGAATTATATGCCCAATGAATTTATCCTTCAAAAACAAAGGTGATACTGTTGCATCACGAGGTCCAAAAAAAAGGAAGTGGAATAAGAACTTTGACAGACATGCAACAGCTCAAAGAATTCATCACCAGCATACCCACACTATAAGAAACTTTAAAGTAAAAAAATATATAACTTCAAGTAAAAGTAAATCTAAATTAGAGCTGGATATTTCAATAACCCTCCCTAAAAAATTGATAGCACAAGTAGACATGTAGTATAGATGTGAATAACACTATCAATGGCCTAAATCTAACTGATATTCATAGAACACTCTACTAAACAAGAGAGTATATATTATCTCTAGCACACATGGAATGTTTCCCAAGATAAACTATATACTAGGCCAAAAATAAGCATAAAAGTGTAAAAGGATTCAATTCACATAAAGTACATTTTCTGATTACAATAAAATCAGAAAAAAGTAACAGAAAGATCACTAGAAAATCCCTAACTATGTGAACTAAATAACATATTGCTGACAAAACACAATAGCTCAAAGAAGAAATCAAAAGGAAAATAGAAGGTATTTTGAACTGAAGAAAGATACAACATATTAAAAGTGTGAGTTACTGCTAATACAGTACTTAAATGGGACATGTTGTCACTAAATCCCACATTATAAAAGAAGAAAGATCTTAAATCAATATTAGCTTCCACTCTAAGAAACTAATGAAGGAAGAGCAACAGAAGTCCAAAGTAAGCAGACAAAGGGAAATAATAGAAAGTACAGTGGAAATTAATGAAATAGAAACAGAAAATCAGTAGAGAAAGATAAACAAACCTTAATGCTCATTCTTTGAGAATATCAATGAAACTGATAAACCTTGAAGTGGAATGAGAGAGAGAGAGAATGAGTGCAAATTAGCAATATCAAGAATAGCAGTAATCACTACAGATTCTAAAGATTTGAAGATCATTAACAACTTCATACCTATAAATTTGACAACTCAGATGAAATGGATAAAATATGTGATAGACACAAGTTATAAGGCTAACTCAGAAAATTTAGGTAGCTTTATAAACATGTATCTATATCAATTTTGAAAATTGAGTTGGTAGTTAAAACTTCCCTTAAAGAAAATGCAATGCCCACATCGATATATTGGTAAATTCTACCAGACATTTAAAGAAGAAATAACATAAATCCTACACATCCTCTATATTAGTCTGTTTTCACGCTGCTGATAAAGACATACCCAAATACGAGATTGTGTCATATTTATAAAGGAAAAGAGGTTTAATGAACTCACAGTTCCACATGGATGGGAGGCCTCACAATCATGGCAGAAGGTGAAAAGCACATCCGTCTTACAGAGCGGCAGGCAAGAGAGAATGAGAGCCAAGCCGAATGGGAAATCCCTTATAAAACCATCAGATCTCATGAGACTTATTCACTACCATGAGAACAGTATGGGGCAAACTGCCCCCATGATTCAATTATCTCCCACTGGGTCCCTCCCACAACACATGGGAATTATGGGAGCTACAATTAAAGATGAGATTTGGGTGGGGACACAGCCAAACCATATCATACTCCTTGAAAAAAGTAAAGGGAATATTCCCAACTCATTTCATGAGGCCAGTATTACTCTGATACCAAAACTAGGCTATACTGCAAGGGGGAAAAACAGTAATAGATTAATAACCCTCAGGAACATGAATGTAAACAAACAAAATTTTAGCAGATTGAAATCAAAGACATACTAAAAGCATAATACATCATGTCTAAGAGGGATTTATCACAAGAATGCATGGTTAGTTTATCATTGAAAAGCAATCAGTGTAATGAACTACATTAACCACAGAAGAAAGAAAAACATATGATTATCTCAAGATGAAAAAAAGAGCGTTTCACAAAACACAAAATTCATTCCTTAGAAAATAACCCTTAGCAAACTACGAATATAAAAAAGTTTCCTCGGCTTTACAAAGGATATAAATGAAATGCCTACAGCCAACATCATATTTAATTATGAAAGACTGAATAGGGCCGAGCAAGGTGGTTCACGCCTGTAATCCCAGCACTTTGGGAGGCTGAGGTGGGTGGATCACAAGGTCAGGAGATCGAGACCATCCTGGCTAACACGGTGAAACCCTGTCTCTACTAAAAATACAAAAAATTAGCCAGGCGTGGTGGTGGGTGCCTGTAGTCCCAGCTACTCAGAAGACTGAGGCAGGGGAATTGCTTGAACTGGGAGGCAGAGGTTGCAGTGAGCCGAGATCATGCAACTGCACTCCAGCCTGGGCGACAGAGCAAGACTCTGTCTCAAAAAAAAAAAAAAAAAGACTGAATAGTTTTCCCCTAAAATGAGAAATGAGATGATGACATCCACTCACAACATCGCTAATCAACATTTTTTTGAGATTCTAGCAAGTACAACAAGTAAAGATGAAGAAATGAAAGGCATATAGTTAAAAAGGCAGAAGTGGCTGGGTGTAGTGGCTCACAGCTGTAATCCCAGCACTTTGGGAGGCCAAGGTGGGCAGATCCCTTGATCTCAGGAGTTCGAGACCAGCCTGGGCAACATGATAAAACCTCTTTTCTACAAAAAATACAAAAAATTAGCCGGATGTGGTGCTGCATGTCTATGATCTCAGCTACTCAGGAGACTAAGGTGAGAGGATCACCTGTGCCCTGGAGGTCAAGGCTGTAGTGAGCCATGATTATGCTCTTGTACTCTAACCTGGGCAACAGAGCAAGATCCTGACTCAAAAAAACAAAAGGAAGAAATAAAACTGTTGTTATTCATAGACAACCTAACCATCTAAATAGAAAATCCAATGGAATCTACCAAAACCTACTAGAACTGATAGGTATTTTAGCAGCTTGCAGGATATGAAATCAGTATATGAAATAATTATATTTTTATATCCTAGCAATGAACAATCAGGAATTAAATTAAATAGACAATACTAATTTAAATAGCATCAAAAATGAAACGCCTGAGGATAAAATCTGACAAAGTTGTGCTACCCCTGTATGCTGAAAACAAGAAAACATTGAGAGTAATTAAAGAAAACCTAACCAAATAGTTAAAAAAATATGTAGTATTTGTGAGTCAAAAGATGCAACATTATTAAATTGTAATTATTTCCAACTTGATCTATAAACCAAATTTAATCCCAATAAAAGTCCCAGAAGGTCTTTTTGTAGCAACTTAGTAAACTGATTCTAAAACGTATGTGGAAGAGCAAAGAATATACAAAAAGTAAAACAACTCTGATAAAGAAAAACAAAGTTGGAGAACTAAGACTATCTGATTTAAGTTTTAGTATAAAGTTACAGTAATTAAAGTAATATTAGTATAAATATAAGCAAATTGATAAATCAGATACAATCAAGAGTCCAGAAAATAGAGCCACAAACATATGGACAAATGATTTCAAGAAATGTAACAAAGATCATATAGGCAGACAGGATTGTCTTTTCTATAAATGTTGCTAAAATAATTGGATATTCACATAAAAATGAATTTTTCACCATATGTCATAAGATATGTAAAAAAACCCAAATATATTGTGAACCTAAAGGAAATGCTGAACACATTAAAACATTTAGAAGAAAGTATAAAATAAAATGTGACTTTGGGTTAGGCAAAGATTTCTTAGATATGCCATTGAAAGTAAAACTTATAAAATAAAAAATTGATAAACTGGACAACCAAATTTTCTGACTTCTTTTCTTTGAAAGATGCCATTAGGACAATGAAAGGAAAACCAGACTGAAAAAATTTGCAAAGCATGTATCTGATTAAAGTTTAATGTTATATACTGATTTGTGTTCTCCCCAAAATTTCATGTTGAAATCCTAATCCCCAATATGACTGTATTTGGAGATACAGCCTTTAAAAAGGTAACTGGCTGGGCACAGTAGCTCACTCCTGTAATCCCAGCACTTTGGGAGGCTGAGTGGGAAGGATCATTTGAGCTCAAGAATTTGAGACCAGCCTGGACAACAAAGTGAGACTTCATCTCTACTAAAAAAAACTAAAAAATATATATAGCTGGGCACCATGCCTGTAGTTCCAGCTACTCAGGAGGCTGTGGTGGTGGATCACTTTAGCCCCAGAGATGGAGGCCTCAGTGAGCTGTGTGGTACACTCCAGCCTTGGCAACAGAGGGAGGCCCTGTCTCAAAATTAATTAATTAAAGAGGTAAAGTTAAATGAGGTCTTAATGGGGAAGGCTAATCCAGTAGAACTGGTGTCCTTATAAGAAGAGGAAGAAACACCAAGAGAAAAAGCCATATCAGGACATAATAAGAAGTACTGTCTGCAAGATGGGGAGAGATGCTTAACCAGAAACCAACCCTGATTACACTTTGACCTTGGCATTCTAGCCTCAAGAACAGTAAGAAAATAAATTTCTATTGGTTCTCATTCCATCCCTAGGTATCTACCTGGGAATTTCAAATCCCTTAAAGACGGTGAGAATGGGTGGGAGCAGGGTGGAGAGTAGGAGCTGTGAGAATGCTCTCTCAGGTCTTTCTATCTGGCACATTATTCAGTCATTTCTATTCCAACATCTGGGCACCGTGTTAACCTTGTTGCCATATAGACTCAGGTATCTCTAAAAGGCATGAGTGCTGAGAGGCAAAGAATAAAAATCCTGCTTTGTAATACCCTGATATTCTAAGAAGAAGCGCCTACTTTGTGATTCCCCTCTCCCTAACAAAGAGGAGGAGACACCAGAGTTGCACATGTCCAGAGGAAAAGCAATGTGAAGACACAGTGAGAAGGCGGCCATCTGCACACCAAGGAGAGGGACCTCAGCAGAGACCAACATGCCCAATACCTTGATCATTGACTTCCCTCTCCACAACGAAGAGAAAATGAATTCCTCTTTTTTAGGCTACCCAGTCTGTTATGGTAGCAGCCAGAACATGTAAAGAACTCTTAAAAGTCAATAATAAAAAAGAAATAACCCATTTTTTAAATGGGCCAAAGATTTGAATAATTTACCAAAGAAGATATAGGATGGCAAATAAGCATGTTTTTAAAAACCTTCAATATCATTAGTCATTAGAGAAATGCAAATTAGAACTATAGTGAAATACTACTACAAATTCATTAGAATGGCTAAACATTAAAAATACTCACCATACCAAATTTTGATGAGGATGTAGACAAAATGGAACTTGCATACACTACTGGTGGGTATATAAAATGTTACAATCACTTTGGAAAACAGCTTGGCAACCTCTTGAAAAATTAAACACCTAACATATGATCCTGGCATTTCACTTCTATGTATTTACTCAGAAGAAATAACGCCTATGTTCATACAAACACCTGATGTAATTTTTTAAAATATCAGCTTTATTTGTAATGGCCCTGTGATGGACTAAATGTTTGTGCCCCGCTAAAATTCATATGCTGAACCTCTAATCCCAATGTGACAGTACATGGAGGTAGGGCTTTTGGAAGGTAATTAGGTCATGAGAGTGGAGTCTAGATTAATGGGATTAGTGACCTTAGAAGAGGGCAGAGAGCTGGCTAACTCTCCTGTAATTGAGTATATGACAAGAAGTCAGCAGTCTGTAGCCAAGAAGAGGTCCCTGGTCAGAACTCTAGCCCTTTATTCTTATACAGAGTTTTAAAAAATACTTTACCATTGACCCCACTATTTATTTTTGTTGCTCTTCTCATTTATAGTACCAAAGATTTAAAATTAATTTTAAAATAATTGTTTTGAAATACAGTTAAATGAGAAGCTATCATTATAATGTCTCATATCTCCTCCAGGTTTGACCAGCAACTTGTCACTTCTTTTTACAGTCTGCTAATCCCACTATATGTTATGATATGTGAAACTGGTAAGTGCTAATATAATGTCACAAGGTGCTTTGTAGCAATGAAAGTGAACGATGCATGAACCAGAGCTCATATAGATATGAGACTTTTTCCACAGGTGCTATATATATATATATATATATATATATATATATGAGCACAGATAATTCATTCTCTTAACTAAAACATGAGACACCATGAAATAACTTTATTCATTCTGTCCTCTATCCATTTACTAAACAAAACCAATTGAACCAACAGTAGCTAACTAACCAACTAATCACACACACACACACACACAGTCACACAGACACACACACACACCCACACACAAATTGTATTTTACTGTGGTATCACAGTGATTGTGAAGATGCAGAGATAAATGGCAATTATTTTGGTTTTAAAATTAATGTAATCTATTGGGTGTCTTGAGACAATTATCTCATATACATAATTCAAAAATCCTTCCAAGAGAGGACCAGAGCTACATGGAATTTTGAAAAAAAACATTTGAACAGCACAAACAAGCAAATAAAGATTTTATTGGATTTATTGACTCTTTTAAAAGTTAACTTGAAGTCCTATTGTATAAATTTTTTTACATGTTCTTCTTATACTCTGTTAAAGAAATGTTTGTTAATTCTTAATTTTCTCTTAGAGGATGAATGTATAGAACATTTTTTCAATGTAATTTTTAGAATTCAGTGTGATTTTGCCCTGTTTTTTATTATAATTCACAAATGAAAGTAAAAATTCAACACACATTAAGATTAGGCCACATTCAAGTTATTAACATTATTAAGCAAGCAGGATACTATCAGACTCATTAATTACTCCCTTCTTATTGAGATTAATCAGTTCAATCTGGGAATTGTATTCCAGGGAGGACTGCTGGCTTTTTCACACTTGATTGTATGAAACAGTTTATGTGAGCTAAGACTTTATGTAAAGAGTCCATGAAAATTGTATTATTTAAAAATCCCAACAAATAAGTTTAAAGAAAAATTAAAAGCTGACTTAAATACCACCATCCCAAATCCCAAAGTAACTATTTTAAATATTGAACATTAAATCATGAACACCATTTACATGTTTCATATATAAGTAAATATGTATATTCTTACATATGTGCATATTTTCTATATCTGTTATCAGTAGATGAATATATATACTTGATATTTGTTCATATACACATATAGAAAAAAAGATAAAGTAAAACTACTTTTAAAAAATGGAAGGTGGCTGTTCCAAGATGGCCGGATAGGAACAGCTCCAGTCTACAGCTCCCAGTGTGAGCAATGCAGAAGAGGGGTGATTTCTGCATTTCCAACTGAGGTACCGGGTTCATCTCACTGGGGCTTGTCAGACAGTGGGCGCAGGAGAGTAGGTGCAGCGCACCGAGCATGAGCCGAAGCAGGGTGAGGCATCGCCTCACCTGGGAAGCGCAAGGGGTCAGGGAATTCCCTTTCATAGCCAAGCAAAGCTGTGACAGACAGCACCTGGAAAATCGGATCACTCCCACCCTAATACTGTGCTTTTCCAATGGTCTTAGCAAATGGCACACCAGGAGATTATATCCTGCACCTGGCTCGGAGGGACCCACACCCAGGGAGCTTCGCTCATTGCTAGCACAGCAGTCTGAGATCGAACTGCAAGGTGGCAGCGAGGCTGGGGGAGGGGTGCCCACCATTGCCGAGGTTGAGTAGGTAAACAAAGTGGCCAGGAAACTTGAACTGGGTGGAACCCACCGCAGCTCAAGGAGGCCTGCCTGCCACTGTAGACTCCATCTCTGGGGGCAGGGCATAGCCAAACAAAAGGCAGCAGAAACCTCTGCAGACTTAAATGTCCCTGTCTGACAGCTTTGAAGAGAGTAGTGGTTCTCCCAGCATGAAGTTTGAGATCTGAGAATGGGCAGACTGCCTCCTCAAGTAGGTCCTGACCCCCGAGTAGCCTACCTAGGAGGCATCCCCCAGCAGGGGCAGACTGACACCTCACATGGCCGGGTAACCCTCTGAGACGAAGCTCCCAGAGGAACGATTAGGCAGCAACATTTGCTGTTCAGCAATATTCACTGTTCTGCAGCCCCCGCTGGTGATACCCAGGAAAACAGGGTCTGGAGTGGACCTCCAGCAAACTCCAACAGACCTTCACCTGAGGGTCCTGACTGTTAAAAGGAAAACTAGCAAACAGAAAGGACATCCACACCAAAACCCCATCAGAATGTCACCATCATCAAAGACCAAAGGTAGATAAACCACAAAGATGGGGAAAAAACAGAATAGAAAAAATGAAAATTCTAAAAATCAGAGCACCTCTCCTCCTCCAAAGGAACGCAGCTCCTCACCATTAACGGAAGAAAGCTGGAAGGAGAATGACTTTGATGAGTTGAGAGAAGAAGGTTTCAGACGACCAAACTTCTCTTAGCTAAAGGAGGAAGTTCAAACCCATCACAAAGAAGTTAAAAACCCTGAAAAAAGATTAGATGAATGGCTAACTAGAATAACCAATGCAGAGAAGTCCTTAAATGACCTGATGGAGCTGAAAACCAGAGCACGAGAACTACATGACGAATGCACAAGCTTCAGTAGCCAATTTGATCAACTAGAAGAAAGGGTATCAGTGATTGAAGATCAAATGAATGAAATGAAGCGAGAAGAGAAGTTTAGTGAAAAAAGAATAAAAAGAAATGAACAAAGCCTCCAAGAAATATGGGACTATGTGAAAAGATCAAATCTACATCTGATTAGTGTACCTGAAAGTGATGGGGAGAATGGAACCAAGTTGGAAAACACTCTGCAGGATATTATCCAGGAGAACTTCCCCAACCTAGCAAGGCAGGCCAACATTCAAATTCAGGAAATACAGAGAAAGCCACAAAGATACTCCTCGAGAAGAGCAACTCCAAGACACATAATTGTAAGATTCCCAAAGTTGAAATGAAGGAAAAAATGTTAAGGGTAGCCAGAAAGAATGGTCAGGTTACCCACCAAGGGCAGCCCATCAGACTAACAGGTGATCTCTCGGCAGAAACTCTACAAGCCAGAAGAGAGTGGCGGCCAATATTCAACATTCTTAAAGAAAAGAATTTTCAACCCAGAATTTCATATCCAGCCAAACTAAGCTTCAAAAGTGAAGGAGAAATAAAGTCCTTTACAGACAAGCAAATGCTGAGAGATTCTGTCACCACCAGTCCTGCCCTACAAGAGCTTCTGAAGGAAGCACTAAACATGGAAAGGAACAACCAGTACCAGCCACTGAAAAAAGATGCCAAATTGTAAAGACCATCGATGCCAGGAAGAAACTGCATCAACTAACGAGCAAAATAACCAGCTAACATCATAATGACATGATAAAATTCACACATAAAAATACTAACCATAACTGTAAATGGGCTAAATGATCCAATTAAAAGACACAGACTGGCATATTAGATAAAGAATCAAGACCCATCAGTGTGCTGTATTCAGGAGACTCATCTCACATGCAGAGACACACATAGGCTCAAAATAAAGGGATGGAGGAAGACCTACCAGGCAAATGGAAAACAAAAAAGGCAGGGGTTGCAATCCTAGTCTCTGATAAAACAGACTTTAAACCAACAAAGAGCAAAAGAGACAAAGAAGGCCATTACATAATGGTAAAGGGATCAATTCAACAAGAAGAGCTAACTATCCTAAATACATATGCATCTAATACAGGAGCACCCAGATTCATAAAGCAAGTTCTTAGAGACTTACAAAGAGACTTAGACTCCCACACAAAATAATGGGAGACTGTAACACCCCACTGTCAACATTAGACAGATCAACGAGATAGAAAGTTAATAAGGATATCCAGGAATTGAACTCAGCTCTGCACCAAGCGGACCTAATAGACATCTACAGAACTCTCCACCTCAAATCAACAGAATATACATTCTTCTCAGTACCACATCACACTTATTCCAAAATGGACCACATAGTTGGAAGTAAAGCACTCCTCAGCAAATGTAAAAGAACAGAAATTATAACAAGCTGTCTCTCAGACCACAGTGCAATCAAACTAGAACTCAGGATTAAGAAACTCACTCAAAACTGCTCAACTACATGGAAACTGAACAACCTGCTCCTGAATGACTACTGGGTACATAACGAAATGAAGGCAGAAATAAAGATGTTCTTTGAAACCAACGAGAACAAAGACACAACATACAAGAATCTCTGGGACACATTTAAAGTAGTGTGTAGAGGGAAACTGATAGCACTAAATGCCCAAAAGAGAAAGCAGGAAAGATCTAAAATTGACACCCTAACATCACAATTTAAAGACCTAGAGAAGCAAGAGCAAACACATTCAAAAGCTAGAAGAAGGCAAGAAATAACTAAGATCAGAGCAGAACTGAAGGAAGTAGAGACACAAAAAACCCTTCAAAAAATCAATGAATCCAGGAGCTGGTTTTTTGAAAAGATCAACAAAATTGATAGACTGCTAGAAAGACTAATAAAGAAGAAAGAAGAATCAAATAGATGCAATAAAAAATAATAAAGGGGAAATCATCACCAATCCCACAGAAATACAAACTACCATCAGAGAATACTACAAACAGCTCTACAGAAATAAACTAGAAAATCTAGAAGAAATGGAGAAATTCCTGGACACATACACCCTCCCAAGACTAAACCAGGAAGAAGTTGAATCCCTGAATAGACCAATAACAGGCTCTGAAATTGAGGCAATAATTAATAGCTTACCAATTAAAAAAAGTCCAGGACCAGATGGATTCACAGCTGAATTCTACCAGAGGTACAAAGAGGAACTGGTATCATGCTTTCTGAAACAATTCCAATCAATAGAAAAAGAGGGAATCCTCCCTAACTCATTTCATTAGGCCAGCATCATCCTGATACCAAAGCCTGGCAGAGACACAACAAAGAAAGAGAATTTTAGACCAATATCCCTGATGAACATCAGTGCAAAAATCCTCAATAATATTCTGGCAAACCGAATCCAGCAGCCCATCAAAAAGCTTATCCACCATGATCAAGTGGGCTTCATCCCTGGGATGCAAGTCTGATTCAACATATGCAAATCAATAAATGTAATCCAGCATATAAACAGAACCAAAGACAAACACCACATGATTATCTCAATAGATGCAGAAAAGGCCTTTGACAAAATTCAGCAGCCCTTCATGTTAAAAATTCTCAATAAATTTTGTATTGATGGGATGTATCTCCAAATAATAAGAGCTATTTATGACAAACCCATGGCCAATATCATACTGAATGGGCAAAAACTGGAAGCATTCCCTTTGAAAACTGGCACAAGACAGGGATGCCCTCTCTCACCACTCCTATTCAACATAGTGTTGGAAGTTCTGGCCAGGGCAATTAGGCAGGAGAAAGAAATAAAGGGTATTCAATTAGGAAAAGAGGAAGTCAAACTGTTCCTGTTTACAAGTGACATGATTGTATACCTAGAAAACCCCATCATCTCAGTCCAAAATCTCCTTAAGCTGATAAGTAACTTCAGCAAAGTTTCAGGATACAAAATCAATGTGCAAAAATCAAGCATTCTTATACACTAATAACAGACGAACAGAGAGCCAAATCATGAGTGAACTCCCATTCACAATTGCTTCAAAGAGAATAAAATACCTAGGAATCCAACTTACAAGGGATGTGAAGGACCTCTTCAAGGAGAACTACAAACTACTGCTCAATGAAATAAAAGAGGATACAAAGAAATGGAAGAACATTCCATGCTCATGGATAGGAAGAATCAATATCGTGAAAATGGCCATACTGCCCAAGGTAATTTATAGATTCAATGCCATCCCCATCAAGCTACCAATGACTTTCTTCACAGAATTGGACAAAACTACTTTAAAGTTCATATGGAACCAAAAAAGAGCCCGCCTTGCCATGTCAATCCTAAGCCAAAAGAACAAAGCTGGAGGCATCACGCTACCTGACTTCAAATCACACTACAAGTCTACAGTAACGAAAACAGCATGGTACTGGTACCAAAACAGAGATATAGACCAATGGAACAGAACAGAGCCCTCAGAAATAATACCACACATATACAACCAACTGATCTTTGACAAACCTGGCAAAAACAAGAAATGGGGAAACGATTCCCTATTTAACAAATGGTGCTGGGAAAACTGGCTAGCCATATGTAGAAAGCTGAAACTGGATCCCTTCCTTACACCTTATACAAAAATTAATTCAAGATGGATTAAAGACTTAAATGTTACACCTAAAACCATAAAAGCCCTAGAATAAAACCTAAGCAATACCATTCAGGACATAGGCATGGGCAAGGACTTCATGTCTAAAACACCAAAAGCAATGGCAACAAAAGCCAAAATTGACAAATGGGATCTAATTAAACTCAAGAGCTTCTGCACAGCAAAAGAAACTACCATCAGAGTGAACAGGCAACCTACAGAATGGGAGAAAATATTTGCAATCTACTCATCTGACAAAGGGCTAATATCCAGAATCTACAAAGAACTCAAACAAATTTACAAGAAAAAAACAAACAACCCCACCAAAAAGCAGGCAAAGGATATGAACAGACACTTCTCAAAAGAAGACATTTATGCAGCCAACAGACACATGAAAAAATGCTCATCATCACTGGCCGTCAGAGAAATGCAGATCAAAACCACAATGAGATAGCATCTCACACCAGTTAGAATGGTGATCATTAAAAAGTCAGGAAACAACAGGTGCTGGAGAGGATGTGGAGAAATAGGAACACTTTTACACTGTTGGTGGGACTGTAAACTAGTTCAACCATTGTGGAAGACTGTGTGGCGATTCCTCAAGGATCTAGAACTAGAAATACCATTTGACCCAGCCATCCCATTACTGGGTTTATACCCAAAGGATTATAAGTCATGCTGCTATAAAGACACATGCACACATATGTTTATTGAGGCTCTATTCACAATAGCAAAGACTTAGAACCAACCCAAATGCCCATGAATGATAGACTGGATTAAGAAAATGTGGCACATATACACCATGGAATACTATGCAGCCATAAAAAATGATGAGTTCATGTCCTTTGTAGGGACATGGACGAAGCTGGAAACCATTATTCTCAGCAAACTATTGCAAGGACAAAAAACCAAGCACTGCATGTTCTCACTCATTGGTGGGAATTGAACAATGAGAACACTTGGACACGGGAAGGCCTGTTGTGGGGTGGGGGGAGTGGGGAGGGATAGTATTAGGAGATATACCTAATGTAAATGACGAGTTAATGGGTGCAGCACACTACCATGGCACATGTATACATATATAACAAACCTGTACGTTGTGCACATGTACCCTAGAACTTAAAGTATAATAAAAAAAATGGAATCAACTTGAAATGGAATGTTAAAATACATGTTTTAAAAGTAACTTTTAATGACTTTAATATTAAAAAAACTAAAGCTGAAGGACCTGCTTAACTTCCAGTATTCATTCCTTTACCATAATAGAATAAGCTTTTTAGAGATAACTCTGAAGTTGAGAATAAAAAGGATTTTAAAAATTAAAATCCTAGAGTTGTTAAAATTACATTTCAAATTTTGAAAGTATCTAATTACTACTTAAAGGATGAGAAAGTTGACGCATTTCATTTCCTTTTATCTAAGCTATTATAGAATAGATTCTATAACATCAGAATTTATAAGATGAATATTTTTAAATTATAAACCCCGCACTATTAGTTCTATATTTGAATTGATTCAATTTTCATCGACTATATTTTGTATTATATTGAAGTGGCACTGTTGTCTGGGGTAAATACCTGGGGTAATCTCATGCCAAGAAGATTGAGGACATAGACACACAGGAGGAGTGAGTTTGGGAGCAGAGGTTTAATAGGCAAAAGAAAGAGAAAGGAGAGCAGTTCTCTCTTTCATGGGGTGGGGTTGGGGTAGAGGCATCTGAAAGAGAAAAGCTGGTTTGCAACAGATTTTATAGGCAGGATTGAGGAGGTGGCGTCTGATTTATGTAGGGCCCACAGATTTGTTCAACCAGGTGTGACATTTACATAAAGCCCTGGGAAAGCTGGTTGTCCCATCCTAATCTTATTATGTAAACTGGCATTCCACTTGGCCAGCGCCATCCTGTCTGCTCCTTACTGTACATGTGGCTGGCAAAGAGAAGGGATGATGGAGCCACCATTTTGATCATGCCTAGTCCCAGGTAGCCTTTTCCTAATGGCACAACAGACAGTATTTACCTGCGTAAGCTTCCAGCCTTCTTGTTTATGTCTGCAGCTAACTTTTACAGGCTGCTCTTTGTTAGAAAAGAAAATGATCTGGAGGCTGCTTTTCATTAAAAGGAAAACCTTACTGAGGACCTCCTTATCCTCACTATCTGCCTAAATAATTTCTTTTTAACTCCTATATCAATATTCAACACGTCAAAAGAGCTTTGAAGTATCTTTTTTAGTTCACAGGTAGGAATACACATTCATGCATGTGTATACTTATTAATTTATTTATTCTAAAGTGTTGAGTGTCTGCCATATACCAAGCACCATACACTGAGGTTCCAATGCTAAATGAAACCAGAAAGCACCCCTCCTTGCATGAGGCTACATTAGAGTCTGGGAGCAGATGTAATGTTAGATGACAGATCAAAAACACAAGCATGTATACTCAGCCCTCAAGAAATGTCAATTTCCTACCTATCTTGATCTTTTTCCACCCCTATTTCATTTTGAAAACTCCATTGCAGACCTCCCTTACTCCAATCTCTTAGGTTCTCCTCTTAGCATCCATCAATAGCTCAGTCCTCATTTATCACCCTTCATCCTGCGCTGAAGTCTTTATAACTATCTCTGATGCAGGGACCTAATCTTATCAATCTACTTTTCTCTACCATTTCTCACAGCCTGCCTTGTAATACATATTTTTAACATGTTAGCAAATGTGGTGAGGGAATCTTTCACTGATTAACTAAACAGATAGCTTTGAGAAAGCAATAATTTGTTAAATGGCAAAGGGCATTAAGTCAGCAAAAGAAGACCTACATAGGTTAATGTGGCTTTATCTGAGAATAAAAATAGTAACAGTCTCTAACATTTACTGCATTCACTATTTGCTAGGCACTATACCACGTATGCAAATGATTTAATTTAAATCTTATAGCAATCCTGTGAGGCAGGTGTCTATTTTACTAATGGGAAAACTGGGACATAGTTCCTTGCCCAAGGTAACAAAGCTAATGGTGAAGTTTTTACTCTAACTATGATATCAGAAGGACTTAATGAGCTTCTAAGTATGACATGAAACTTAGTATGGCCAACAACAAAAGAAACACAATTTTAAAAGCTTTAAAGCAGTTTCTAAGAAGACAATGTTAGCATAGAATTGTAGACTATAGGGGCTTGAAGGGACTTTAAAAAGATGTAATCCAACTCCTACATCTTGTAGATTCAAAAAACACTTCAGATTCTGATAGGTCCTTTGACTTGCCTACATATTATAACTAATGTGTATAAAACTTGAGCTCCCTCCCACCAATAGCTAATGCTTACACTGTGTTCTGAATTTCATTTCTTCTTGACTTCCTCAAAAACTTTGTTTCATTTCTCTTTGCATCATCCATCTATCCTTCTGTTTTGGTTACTTTTCAACAGCAGAAATATACTCAAATAGTTCTCATCCTTAAAAGTCCCTCTAGCTATGGCTTCACATATATATGAAGTATATATATTTGCAACACACTACACCAAGAATTGCAAGCCCAGTGCCTTAGTATCTATGGTTAAACTGAAAACTAAAGAGTATACTCTCTCACTGCAAAACTGTCCCTTGTTCCTGCTAAACTCAAATCCACAATATGTACTTTTGTTGGCTTGCATCTCCATGGGCCATCTATTTCTGAGAAATAAAAACAGAACATTTGCAGGAGGCTATATATATAATCTTTCTCTTTGTTGTTCCATTTTGATGGTCTTTTATTTTTATTTATTTATTTTTTTGAGACGGAGTCTCACTCTGTCACCCAGGCTGGAGTACAGTGGTGTGATCTCGGCTCACTGCAAGCTCCACCTCCCGGGTTCACACCATTCTCCTGCCTCAGCCTCCCAAGAAGCTGGGACCGCCACCACGTAGGTGGTGTCCGCCACCATGCCCCGCTAATATTTTTTTTTGTATTTTTAGTAGAGACGGGGTTTCACCATGTTAGCCAGGATGGTCTTGATCTCCTGACCTCGGGATCCACCCGCCTTGGCCTCCCAAAGTGTTGGGATTACAGGCGTGAGCCACCGCACCCAGCCTTGATGGTCTTTGTTTCAAGACCCTACACCTCCACAGTCATACTTCTTGAAATGCATATGCACTAGAGATTGCTGCCTTCTCAACCCTCCGTTCTTCCACAACTCATTCCATCCAGTTTCCAACCCCATCAATCCTCCAAAATTGTTCTCATCATTTTAAATCCTTCCATGTTATCAATTCCAATAGGCCCTTCTTGTCCTTACCTTATCCAACATCTAAACGGCTTTTAGTACTATAGATCACACTGTTCAAAACACTCTCTTCTCTTGGTGTTCCTTATACAGGGAGTTTTGAATACCAGCTCTGCTATTTTCTAGCTGGGTTATTTGGAGTAAACTATTTAATCTCTCTGAGACTTGATTTCCTAATTCATAGAAGAGATCTAAAAATACCCCTATTTCACTCAATTTCTCTAGAAACATACAGTATAATTTTTGGAATTTTTTTCTCCATTTATGAATTAAATTCAGCAGGCATTATAGTTCTGCATTAACTGTATGCATCTGCAAGAAGATCCAAAAGCTATACTATAAATGTAAGATTATTGCATTTAATATGACTATTATTAGTTTCTTTATGTTCAACAGACTCAGGTTCTGATTAGTTCACATTTGTTCACAGTAAACAGCAGTGTTTATATGAGAAAGGCAGGACTCCCCACAAAAAATTTTGATAAAGGATATTTAGCAAATAATGAAATTGTCATAAGTGCTATAAACTACTAAATACTTAGTCAAAGCTTACTTAGCATTATGACCAAACTTTCAAAGCCGTGGAAAGCTACTATAACATTAAATACTACAAAGCTTGCTTCTTCCACTCTCAAGAGAAAAGCAATTATAATTTGTAAATGGCCAACTCAGTTGGTTTTGAAAAGTCACTTTGTAATTACATTCAGCACAGGGTTAATTGGAGGACTGTTTCCCTGATTTAACTTAAATGTTCATGTAATTAGCTAATTGTTGTATGTGTAATCAATATTAAGAAAGCCATTTGTTTGAATATAATTCCATTTTTATGACTGAACAACACTCTACTGAAAACAAATCTATGTAAACGATATTATTTGGAAAGAAAAAAAAAGCTTTTGAATTAACTCATGAAGTATGTAATTTATCCAATGGTAAAGATGCCTCTCTGGACTTTCCTGATGTATAAGCATGTTTTTCAATGGAAGCATTACCAGGTTGATAGCCCAAACGTGTCTGTTGGAAATACAGATGCTTTAAGCATTATCTCACATGCATGTGGTTAAGAGACTTCTACACATGGAAAGCACAGTCTTAATTAGTTACCTCTCAAACAGGGGCACATTGCCCTCTTGTAGTTGTACCAGCTGAGCACACAGACTGGCTTTCAGCCATTTTCCATTGCCCTGGTGTTCTGAGACGATTTTAAGTGGAACCATGAGAGTTACCACTCAGAGACCAGCATAAGCAGTCAGAGAATCTCATCACATTCCTATGAGTATGTATTTGGTTAAGTCTCTCCTGCATTGTTTTGTTGCGTTTCATAATGTTTTTCCAATTGAAAGTGGCTATAATTGTGGTACTATGAAAATAATTTAGGTTTCACTATGAGCATAAAACTTCAGCTAAACTGCCCACTCAATAATTTGTATGCAAATAAAAAGATTAATCAGCAATTATTTGCAATGCACTTACCACCTGTAATGTACTAGGCCAGTTGTTCTAACAAATAGATGGATATTACTGTGAATGAAACATATGTCTAATTTAACTATCATATTCATGTGCTGCAGAATCACTTAACCTATATATTCAGAAGCCATTATCCTTATAATTTCAGGGCATCATTTACAATCCAGATGGCAAGAAAAAGTAGAGATACTTTATTACCTTTAAAACTTTGCTGGATTTTAAAAATGGTTTCTTCTATCATAGCACAGTATTAGCACTGCATTTCAAAGACTTATAAATGCAAAGAAAATACATTTAAAAATGGGAAAGATTCAAAATAACTGCTGCTTTTAAAATATATCAACACAGAAATGAGCATTACATCATAAAGTAACTTGGATAGAATAATTTTATTAGAAATATTATTTCTAAAAGACATCACAAAATGTTTTACAAAGATGATCATTGGTGTAGAGGGAAAATGAAAAGGTATGTCAGAGACCTATTTCGAATAAAAAATGTTACAGAACTTTGATGGCAAGCCAATTCAACCAAGCATAGAAGAACCCAATGCTAGAAAAGAGTAAGCAAAATGTTAGAATTAAAGAGCTCAATAGTCATCATCACTTGAGTTCTTTTATAAGCCAAACACTATTTCAGTCCACAGAACAAACCTGCAAAGTAGACTTCATTTTTCTATTTTATAGGTAAGAGAATGGTGATCTACTTGATCTGCAGATCAAGATCACAGAAGAGAAAATAGTAGGGCTTGGAACCAAGCCTTATTTTATATCTGACCACACACATTTCTAAATGTTAAATTGCTGTCTTTAAGGGTTCCTTGAAGCAAAGCTCAATGTGTGGGAAGACTGGGTATCCCCCAGTGTCACATTCTGTGCCTTTATGAGAGGATATGAGCTCTAAAGTAGAAACACATAATAGTTTCTCACTATTGTTCATGAGTTAAAACCACACTTGATCAAAGTAGGCCCTGAGAAGTTTATTTATTTTAGATATACTCTAAATGTTAGGTATATTTGTACCATCATTGTGAGGTCTAACATGAAATCTAGATGTAATAACATGTCTTAAGAAGAATGAAAATTATTTTTTGGCAATGAAGAATAATTCTTGCTATCAAAATTCTGAGGACTGAAAACAATTACTGAAGAGTAAGTTAGAAACTATCATATTGACAAAGTTAATTTTAATAGCTAGTGTCATAATTACTGTGATTTTTCATTTATCATCACAGTAGTGTGTCTTAGCTCCACCAGTAAAATTTAACACAGTAGACAGAACAAAATGGTAATTTGCCTGAAGATATCCTAATATGGGATGAATAACAGCAGTAATGAGAGTTAGAGAGAAAAATTAATCTAAATAAAATAATTTTATTGTAAACTACCTTACGACATAAAATATGGTGAACATTTGAGACTTCCTTTAATGGTGACCTAGAAATTTTTATATTGAGACAATCTAATAAGGGGAGCTTCAATAATTAAACTTCTTGCATAAGCTAAACAAACTTGATTTATGTGATTTAAGGACAGAATGGTCCTGACTTTGACACCAACAGAAAATGAGACAATAAAGAGAAGCAAGTTGTAATCAAATACAGCTCAGGGCAATTAAAGAGATGACCACCAAATAGGATATAGTCATTAGCAATAATATATATTCTAGTGTAAAAACAGATGAAGGCCCTGAGAGACACTGAATCCATTCCTTCAAAGGAGTGTAACAGTATAACAACAACAAAAATCTATAATCGTATATGTGACTTTTACCATCCTGTTTAGTCTCTTCTTCCCTTCTTGCCCCAGTACACGTAGAACCTGACCTAGTTCTTAAAAAAACGTCCCTTGTAATTCCTCTAGCGCATAAGAAGACACCCTCAGGGAAATACACATGATTAACTAGATTGACATCAGTGCATAAAGATGTGTTGCTTGCACAGGAACTAGGGGCAAGGAAAAAGAGAAGAACGAAGAAAACATCTATATTAGAACTCTGATTTTCCATTGCTCACCTTTTCAAATGTAGGAACCCTTGAAATACTTGTACATGTCTCCGGTGGATTATCTCAGCAAAGATGGGAATTAGTGGTTAAGAATGTGGAGGATGCAATTCAAGAACATTACCTGCATCTTCCCACTGTTAGAATTACTTGTAATGAGGTAGAAATAGAAAAAATATCAGCAAGTTTTCAGGTCCATATTGTCTTTGATATATTTCACAAAGCTGAAATTGATCAATCAAAATAGTTCCCAAATTTGTCAAAGCATAAATATTTGCATGCATATACAAACATGTACACACATACACACAATGTTTACTTGCTTAAAGTAGGCTGCATACAGAGTTATTACATATGTATTCTCTTTTCCAAGGACAGCACAGTAAGGCAGATTTTGTGACGTCCTTATTAACAAGCCTAAACTGAAATCCTCACCTTTTTTTTCTTTGCATTTACAACTCATTCAAAAATAGAAAATGTCCACTTGAGGGCAAGATATGAATGATGGTACTTGCAGCAATGGCAGATTCTTCTTTCCACATCTTTTAAATGTCTTCATACCTACATGTACCCAGCGTATTATGTCCACCATTCTCAAACATGGCAACACATTAGAGTCATGGGCAGAGGTTTTTGAAAGTAGTGATACACTGGTCTCACCCTGAACTGTTGGAATTAGAATGTCTGAGTTGCAGCCTGAGGCAGGAAACCACGGTGCTATGTGATTCAGCAGTCAAGTTTAAATCACACATACAGAACCTTGTTATTACTTAATATTGGTAGGTATTGTCATGGACTTGGTGTCTTTATAATAGTTGCTGAAGCTCATACCACCCTTTATTTCCTTCTTTCCCAGACATCTCCTATAGCCATTTTTTGCCCTTTGAGATATTTAAAATAGTATCTTCTGATCTAGTGACCCCAGACTTCTATTGTTTCTTCATTTATGATCACCTTGCCTCCCAGTGGGACATTATTCAAGTTTCAAATCAATTCTACAGAAACAGGAACAATCGTCCCCCGAGGCTGTGGACTCATTATGGTAAATCCAGAGAATAATTCTAGCTTTTTCTCCTAAATAAAATTTTATATATACTTTGCAATCACCAAAGCCTAAAATGAATGTCTAAGGCTTCAGTCTTCTTAGACAGAAATTGATTAGTCCTAACTTTAGGTTCTATCTCTTCATCCAGCTGTCATATTTATTGACATTAAATCCTGGTATTAGGACATAAATCAAGCCAGGACTAAAATAGAAGTTTTGCACATCATAGTCTGCTGCAGGTCTTAATCAACTCTCACTCTTCCTCCGCCTCTCCCTCCTGCCCACCCCCAATTTAAATTAAATGAAATTGCTAGTGTTTTTCCTTTGTCTGTTTGTCTCTCAACTTCACCTCCAAATATCCTTACAGCAGTTTATAAAGATCTTATTTGCTTAAATTTGGTGGCCTCTCTATGGGTTATATACCAGGTGATCCAAGGCCACTCTAATTTTTCCTATTTATTTATTTGAGATAGAGTCTCACTCTGTCACCCAGGCTGGAGTGCAGTGGCATGAGCTCGGCCCACTGCAACCTCCACCTCCCAGGTCCAAGCAATTCTCCTGCCTCAGCCTCCCAAGTAGCTGGGACTACAGACACGTCACCACGCCCAGCTAATTTTTTGTATTTTTAGTAGAGATGGGGCGTCAGCCAGGCTGACCGTGTCAGCCAGGCTGGTCTTGAACTCCTGACCTTGTAATCTGCCCGCCTCAGCCTCCCAAAGTGCTGGGATTACAAGCATGAGCTACCATGCCCCGCCAATTTTTCCGTTTATTAAAAAAAATTTAACTTATTTTAGAAGACTTACTCTATGCCTGGCATTCTACTTTTCTTTTCTTTTTTTTTTTTAAGCTTATAAATGTAAGGATTTTTTTATTATTATTATACTTTAAGTTTTAGGGTATATGTGCACAATGTGCAGGTTAGTTACATATGTATACATGTGCCATGCTGGTGCACTGCACCCACTAACTCGTCATCTAGCATTAGGTATATCTCCCAATGCTATCCCTCCCCCCTCCCCCCACCCCACAACAGTCCCCAGAGTGTGATATTCCCCTTCCTGTGTCCATGTGTTCTCATTGTTCAATTCCCACCTATGAGTGAGAATATGTGGTGTTTGGTTTTTTGTTCTTGCGACAGTTTACTGAGAATGATGATTTCCAATTTCATCCATGTCCCTACAAAGGACATGAACTCATCATTTTTATGGCTGCATAGTATTTCATGGTGTATATGTGCCACATTTTCTTAATCCAGTCTATCATTGTTGGACATTTGGGTTGGTTCCAAGTCTTTGCTATTGTGAATAATGCCGCAATAAACATACGTGTGCATGTGTCTTTATAGCAGCATGATTTATAGTCCTTTGGGTATATACCCAGTAATGAGATGGCTGGGTCAAATGGTATTTCTAGTTCTAGATCCCTGAGGAATCACCACACTGACTTCCACAATGGTTGAACTAGTTTACAGTCCCACCAACAGTGTAAAAGTGTTCCTATTTCTCCACATCCTCTCCAGCACCTGTTGTTTCCTGACTTTTTAATGATTGCCATTCTAACTGGGGTGAGATGGTATCTCATTGTGGTTTTGATTTGCATTTCTCTGATGGCCAGTGATGGTGAGCATTTTTTCATTTGTTTTTTGGCTGCATAAATGTCTTCTTTTGAGAAGTGTCTGTTCATGTCCTTTGCCTACTTTTTGATGGGGTTGTTTGTTTTTTTCTTGTAAATTTGTTTGAGTTCATTGTAGATTCTGGATATTAGCCCTTTGTCAGATGAGTAGGTTGTGAAAATTTTCTCCCATTTTGTAGGTTGCCTGTTCACTCTGGTGGTAGTTTCTTTTGCTGTGCAGAAGCTCTTTAGTTTAATTAGATCCCATTTGTCAATTTTGGCTTTTGTTGCCATTGCTTTTGGTGTTTTAGACATGAAGTCCTTGCCCATGCCTATGTCCTGAATGGTAATGTCTAGACAGAGAGCCAAATCATGAGTGAACTCCCATTCACAATTGCTTCAAAGAGAATAAAATACCTAGGAATCCAACTTACAAGGGATGTGAAGGACCTCTTCAAGGAGAACTACAAACCACTGCTCAAGGAAATAAGAGAGGATACAAACAAATGGAACAACATTCCATGCTCATGGGTAGGAAGAATCAATATCGTGAAAATGGCCACACTGCCCAAGGTAATTTATAGATTCAATGCCATCCCCATCAAGCTACCAATGACTTTCTTCACAGAATTGGAAAAAACTACTTTAAAGTTCATATGGAACAAAAAAAGAGCCCGCATCGCCAAGTCAATCCTAAGCCAAAAGAACAAAGCTGGAGGCATCACATTACCTGACTTCAAACTATACTACAAGGCTACAGTAACCAAAACAGCATGGTACTGGTACCAAAACAGAAATATAGATCAATGTAACAGAACAGAGCCCTCAGAAATAACGCCGCATATCTACAACTATCTGATCTTTGACAAACCTCAGAAAAACAAGCAATGGGGAAAGGATTCCCTATTTAATAAATGGTGCTGGGAAAACTGGCTAGCCATATGTAGAAAGCTGAAACTGGATCCCTTCCTTACACCTTATACAAAAATCAATTCAAGATGGATTAAAGACTTAAACATTAGACCTAAAACCATAGGCATTCTACTTTTCTAAAACTAAACTTTTCTAAAATGACTCCATTCACTAATCTCAGGTGGACATTGAAGATAAGTTTGAAAATACCTTCAAGGGGAAGACAGGGATTGGCAGTTAAAGGATTCTTACACACACATGCTGGGAACTTCAGTGCACTGGGTCCTGTGGTTGTGTGCTGGAGGACCCTGCTGAGTACATACAATGGCTTGTTTCCTCCCTGCACATGTGCCTTTCTGGTGGTTTGAGTTCAGATAATGTGTGTAGGACTCTGTTAAGTAAAAATTAATAGAGAATCCAACACAAATTATTGCAAAAATTGCACTTTTTTTTTACTGTAAAACTTGGCATTGTAGAGATAGAGGGAATAAAGCAAACACCCATAATTTTACATACAGCAATAATGTCTTATAGTCATGATTGAAGTGTACTTTAGGAGAGCAGTATAGGAATCATTATATACTTCTATTAAAAGTCACAAAATAAAATGGAAGATCCTTGAAGGCAAAGGCAACCAACATATTGTTTATCATTGTATTTTATGCTAGGTATCCCATGACGATTTCAAAATATGTTGTTCCTTACTGACAGAAATAAATTAGCTTGAATTTGTTCTTATGAATAAATTAGGATCTAACCCCAAAGATAAAAATATCTGATAAAATAGAACTGACATCCAAATTATTACCCAAACATGTAATCTACCATAGCAGTGGTTCTCAAACTATAGTTTGCATTAATGATCTGAAGTGCTTGTTAAAATACAAATTGTGGCCCCATTTCAAGTTTCTGATTCACTATTGTGGGAAACACTGAAATGCAGCCTCAAAATTGCATTTTCAGGTGATGTGGCTTGTCCTGGGGACCACATTGAGAATCACTGTGCCATAGCAACAGCAATTTTATTAAAAAGTCAGAAGGTCATATTAATCTCATTGATTCCAGGAGTACTATTACATAAACTTCACTAATCTGGTATTAAGATGAGACAGGGAAGAAAAGGAGAACAGTCTCTTAATATCCAAATAGAAAAAAAAAAAATCAGTGAAGGTTTTTAGGGATACTTGTATTTTTATTATCATTATTGTAATCTAATGGACATATACTAAACTGTATATTTAAAGATATAATTTGCTAAGTTTTGACCTGTGAAATCATCCCCATTATCAAGATAATGAACATGGCCATCACCCCAAAAACTTTCCTCATGCTTCTTTGTGATACCTCTGATATGGTTTGGCTGTGTCGCCACCAAAATCTCATCTTGAATTGTAGCTCCCATAATTCCTATGTGTCATGGGAGGGACCCAGTGTGAGGTAAGTGAATGATGGAGGTGGGTCTTTCCATGCTATTCTCATAATAGTGAATAAGTCTCATGAGATCTGATGCTTTTATAAACAGGAGTGCCCCTGTACCCACTCTCTTGTCTGCCACCATGTAAGATATGTCTTTGCTTCTCCTTTGCCTTGATTGTGAGGCTCCCCCAGACATGTGGAACTGTGAGTCCATTAAACCTCTTTCCTTTATAAATTGCCCAGTCTTGATAATGTCTTTATTAGTAGCATGAGAACAGATTAATAAAACCTCTTTCTCACCCATTCCCTGGCAGCCATTCATCCACATTCTGTCACTATAAATGGATTTAATTTTATAGAATTTTGTATAAATTGAATCACATGCTATGCACCCTTTTTTAATCTGGCTTCTTTCACTCAGTGTAATTATTTTGAGAGTCATTAATCTTCTTGCCTATATCAACAGCTCATTCCTTTTCATTGCTGTGTAGTGTTCCATTGTATAGATATATACCATTATTTTTTATCCATTCACTGGTTGATGACCTTTGAGCTGTTTCCAGTTTGGGCTACTATAAATCAAACTGCTATAAATATTCAAGTACATAAATGACATATGCTTTTACTTCTCTCGGGTAAATGCCTAGGAGTGGAATATCTGGACCATATAGTGGATGTACCTTTCACCTTTCAAGAAACTGCTACATTGTTTTCCAAAGAGATTGTACCAGTTTTACATTCCCACCAGCAATGGATGATAGTTTCAGTTTTTTCACAAACTCTCCAAAACTTGGTACATCCAGTCTTTCAAACTTTTAACCATTTTACTAAGTATGAAGTGGTATCTCATTGTGGATTTAATTTTAATTATGAAGTACAGTCTTTTACATACAGTTATACTTTGTGGAAAAGACTATCATTTGCCACCGAATTACGTTTCCATCTTTGAAGAAACTCAGTTGCCAATATATATGTAGGACTACTTCCACGATTGCTGTTCTGTTCCCTTGTTCTATTTGTCCATGTTTACGTCCGTAGCACACTATCTTGATTACTGCAGCTTTACACTAACTCTTGAAATCAGATAATGGTATTTCTCCAACTTTATCTTTCTTTTTTAAACTGGTTTTGATTATTCTGGTTCTTTTGCATTTCCACAAGAACTTAAGGGTCACTTTGTCAGTTTCTACAGATAAATTGGAATTTTGATTGGGACTGAATTTAATCTACAAATCAATTTGGAAAGAATATAATTCTGTCTAATTATATCTAAGTAACTTATATCCCACAGTATTTTAAACTTTCAACAATGTTGATCAATATAATATTTTCTTTAGAAATGTAAAATAGCCTAAACCAGGGGTGAGCGATCTTTTTCTCTAAACATTCAGATAGTAACTCTTTGGGACTTGAGGGCATATGGCCTGTTACTGCTCAGCCATTCCACTGTAATAGAAAGGTAGCCATGGAGAATATGTAAATGAATGGCTTTGGCTATAGTCCAATAAAACTTTATTTACCAAAAGAAGTGGCAAGTCAGATTTGGTCACTGTTCTGAACCATTATTTACTGGCATTTTTTTTTTTACCATGATCCACAGTAAGAAATGTATTTAATATTATGGCACAATATACAACTATATACATATAATTGAAGCTGTCCTTTCATAAAAAAATAATCATTTACCTTGTGTAATGCATTCTGCAACTTTCTATTCTAGTCTATATAATTTTAAAAAAGAAAAATGGCCCTAGTTAAGTAATTAAATTGATTTCACACTCAACCAATGGGTTTTGATCTGCAATTTGAAAAACACGTCAAAACTCTATTGTCAGCTTTATGTTAATCTTCATACATAATTAAAACATTTTGCATATTTTTGCCATACTGCCTTCAAGGCTTCTTTTTCATTATCCACCCTCAGAAAGTTGTTGGTTCCCTGAAGTCATAAATTCAGAACCTGTCTTAATAGCTAGCACAGGTAGATGTTCAATGCATACTTGTAGGCTGAATTAATGAATTTGTGAAACAGTTTAAATCTTTCCACAATAGAGAAAAAAATGAACAGTGTTGCTATGAAAACTCCTTTAAAAAGATAGTCCAGAGCAAATGGCAGAAGAGTTCCTTCATCCTTCACCAATACACATTTCTGACCCTGCTCACTCTTACTGCCTTCTAATCTCAGGGAAAGTTAAGTCCTTCCCTAAGGCTAAGCCAGTTTCACTGATGCCTTCATTTCATACCATCTAAACTTAGAGATCCTGATACTACACTTTCCTTTTCCTGGGTAACCAACTAATGGCCCTACACCCTCCATTCATTGGCAGCCATCCACTCTGTCTCAAACATACAGGTCTTGCTGCTGCTCGTATTAGTAACATTACTTCTATGTTTTGAGCACTAGGTTTTTTGTTTTTTTTTTTAATGAGTGTTCCACTCCAATTGATGCTCTCATTTTCTTTTATTTTTTCCCTTTATTAAATATTTCAAAGCTAACTTCAAATTACGCTTGTGTTTTTCAGAGGCCCTCAGCCATGACTCCATCTTTAATAAATTTCTATAACTCTTTTATTCTATATCTTTTTATCTTGGAATGTTATCATATGTCTTCTGATGCTGATAAAATCCTTTTGGGGCATACATTGTGTTGTGTTATTTATTGTACTCCTTGTACCTAGCTCAATACCTGACACATGGTCTATATATGACAAATACAACTCTTAAAAGTATGTCAATTCATAAGCAGAATGCATTAGGTTTCTTGTTTCTTTGCTGCACCCTCAATGATTAGCATAAGGACAAGTTTCATTGATTTAATGCAGCAGGCTCTGTGATGCCCTGCCATATCTCCATGGTCTATTTCTCTTGCAGATGGTCCCCTTATAGGCCAAAGGCTTCCTGTGTCTTTCTGCCTAGGAGTATTTTCTGGCATCAGATATGGTTAGTACTTTTGCTGGGCAGGCTGGATCTCTGAAGAGTTATTGCTCTTACTGCGCCAATAGAAATCCTTAACCAATGAAGGACAGGAGCTGGCAGATGAATAACCCAGCTTCCTTACTCTCAGTGGAAAAACTCTAAGCCATGTTTTGTACAGCCTCTTAGAGGTCTGCAATTGAGATTTTCCCCATGCTGTACACAGAGATATCCTGCTCAATAAAGCACACTTTATGACCTGTCCACCTTTCCTTCTCCCACTTCCTTACTCTTTCAGAGTACTTCATGGATTTATTTCCAAATAAATTACTTGCACTGAGATCTTTGCATCAAAATCTGCTTTGTGAGACCCCCTAATGACAAATAATGTGCTTATTCTTACTCTTTCTTATTAGCTCAGTAAAGTATCTTCATAAAGTTTAACCCAGCTGTGTTTGACAAATAGTAGAAATTAAAGGCTGTTTGACAAATCGTAGATATTTAATAAAATGTTAATTGCATTCTTTCACTTTTGGAAATGATTTATTTCCTGAGATTAAGCTATATTTGAAGATGAGATAGTGCCTTTTGCATAGTCATTTGTTATTTGTTTGAAACTAGTGCATATTTGTATTTCTAAATTAGAACCTAAATTAATACATTTTTAAATTTTTCCTTTTTTATATTACGTATGTCTCTTTCAACTACTTCCAAGTTTTCTCTTTTGGAATTTTCTTGTGAATGAAATTCAAATATGTAAAGTCTAGCATAACTTTTAATAGAATTATGAGTAAAAAACTCAGATAATATTCACATCAAACTTTGTAACTACTGGTATATGATATGCTTGCAAACCCTAGACTTCCACTGATGTACTTTTTATTCTTGGAAAAATAAAAACAACTCTATATGTGTCCTTGGAAGTAAAAGAGTACAGGGAACTTTACCCCAAAACATGGCTCCTGGTATAATGAGTATTTTGATTTAAAGGCCCTTAGAGATAGACAGACACTGTAAGAAACATTTCCCTTATCTACATAAAGAGCAGACCAGAATGCCAAGGAGAACAATGCATCCTGCCTCCACCTCTCAGCTACGGTCTCTCAATCTTCTACCTTTCCCAAACCACAGGCTGAAGTTCCCTTATCTGCCTAATGTCTGGACCTACCAGAAAAGAAAACAATTAACCTCTGGTTCCCTTTCCTGAGATTAATTGAAATCATATCGCAGGAAAGAAGACTGAAGTCTGTTAACAAACCTGGACAGACTTTTGTCACAAATCATCATCCACTCTGTGGGCCCAACTGTCTTTGCCCCAGACCATTGTGTGTTCTTCAAGTTCCTTTAATTCCCTTAAAAATCAATTCCTATCCCCCTAAAATTATCTACATTTCCCCATCCCCTTTATCCCTAAGAATTAAGGTACATAAGCTTCTGTATCACATTAGGATATTGAACAATCACTCTGATTCTCCCCATGTGCACAGTATTAATAAAATTTTAAAGCTTTTATCAATCTGCCTCTTTGTGAGTTGATTTTTCAACAGAACTTCCGAGGGGAAAGGGGAAGCTTTCCCTTTGTCCCTACAAAAGAAAATGGTGGAAGAGCCTTCAACCTAGATAGTGCACTTTCTGGCTACTTTTATCAGGTTTTATTATAGGTAATTATAAAATTTGTACAGTGAAGAATATGCAGAAGAGATATGGAAACGTCAACGCTAATTCACTTATTACTATTAGTATTTGAACAAGATTTTATCAATTAGTAATTATTTTAAGGTACACAACCTCAACTAATTCTTACAACTACCCTGTAAGTTGGATAGGGTTGTTGTCACTTGCATCCCCATTTTAGAAAAAAGGAAGCTATCTCAGAGTGGATAAGCAATTTGACCAGAGTCGCACAACTAATCAGTAATGCCACTAAGGTCTTCTGAGTCACTCTGAAGCTGTGACATACTGTGACAATAAAGACAAAGAACTTTGGCACGTCAGTGAACTCAGAGTTGTTTTTTTTTTTAAGTCACTCTTATTCCTTAAAAAGGAAAGAATGAAAATCTAGTAGCCTCTAAAGCATGTTTGGAAAAGAATTCCTGTTTTACAAACCTGCTGACCTATCTACATTTTACTCATCATAAATCAGGTTTGATTGCTCTCTTTGTTTAGTTATCCACCAGCTTGCTAAAAAAGGGATTTAAGGTGACTCATCCATCTTGTGTTTGTTTTCCGATAGCCAATTGCCCTTGAATGTGAAGCTAAAAGGTCTGGGAAACAGTAAAGGATTTTGGATAGGCTAGTTACAAGAAAATGGTGCTGCTGATATAGCAGTCCTGTAAACTTCAGAGGGAAAAGAGATTCATGGAAGAGAGATCCATTGGTGTCCTAACCCAGATGTTCTGTTATTTACTGCCTAAAGAGTTGGACTGAGGTGCTAGCAGTGAAAATAAAAAACAATGGCCAGCTGTAAGATAACTTACAAAGGAAGTCAACAGGAGTAGTTCTTGATGCCCAAATGTATGAGATAATAAAAAGTAAATGAGAAGTAGACTTCTGCTTCAATGAGATTTACACACACATATTTACAAATATTTACAATCAATATTTACAAGGAAATTATTCGGCTAACTTTAGGTATATCTACTGTGTACACAAAATAGAATAAGTTGAAATGTGTATGATCAGAGTAAAAGTTTACACAATATTTTGCTTAGTGGTTGTGTTTAATTTAAATCTTAATTTAGTCTTGGTTTGTCAGGAAACAAAGAAGAATACCTGCCTTCAGGAACATAAGGAACTATGTAGCTCATCTTTCCCGGTATATCTGAATCTAGAGTGATCTCTGTATTTCATTGTTCTTTGAGTTATTTTACAACCCTGTAAGTGGTAGAAAACTGATATTAATGTAAATTAGTCCTGTCCAAAGACATGCAAATGAATTTTTTTCCAGTGACAGTACATTGATTTCCTTAAACCTTATGAAAAGAGCCAGTTTTGCATCTGTTAACAAATATTTCAGCGTTGCTTTATTCCCTAGATATGTCTTTCTTTGACTTCTTTGAATCGGTTTCTTAACACCTTCACTGATCCCTCATTAATTAATTAGTGAAATATTTGACATGAGTTTATTTTGTATTTGTATGAGACTCATGATTTTACTGTCATTTAAAAATTTATCTGGCAACATATCTTCATAATATTCAATGAATTATTGCCTCTTGAGAGCATCTAAGTTGAGTACAATGGTAATGGGGGTCAGTATATGTTCCATAGTGACTTAGTGTCAACTTGCTATGGACAAAGAGGGTAAGTCCTACTTTCAAAAGGGTGAAAAAACTGAATGGCTTCCACAAAGAAATAGCATAATTTGTTCCTACACTACATGAGTAATTAGTTCAGGTAAAGAGAGTTCAATGGTTTTGCTCTTTGTTTGATTTTAAACCTAAAACAGTATCGTGATGAGTGTATGTACTGTACATGTAATGGAGTTGCTGCATGACGCAGAACCAACTCAATTAGAAAAAAATGCAATTAAGTGGTTGATTGGCTCTTGATAAAGTCTGTACAATTTTGGATTAGATTTCAGCTACATTCATAAAGCTAAACCTCTTTAAAATGCTGCTTTTATCATAGAACATTGGGTGCTTCGCTTTCAATTTTATTTCAAGTGGGAGCTTGTTCCACGATATTTTTTTCAAAATAAGGACAAGGGGCCAAGATGATTCATTTTACTTTTTACCTCATGTGAGTCATGCTGCAATGGGGATGTGTAAGCCTCCTTCACCAGATGACACAGTCTCAGCTGCAGGCCCCTGGGGTCCAAACCTAATTACTATCTGTTGATACACTGTTGAAGAGGATAGTTTAAAAGTTCTATATATATAACTTTAGCCTGCCAATTGCTAGTTCTAAAGTTAATGAGCTTCTTAAATTCATAGCATTAATATATGTAGATTGGTGACCAGTTTATAACTGGCTTAACCTTCTCAGGTATTTATTTACTTATAATCCTCCAGTTTCCTTTCCTTTGTAAAATCTTCCAGGTTTTAAGGTAAAAATTAAACAGATTTTGACTTGATCATATCTATATTATAGATTAAGTAACACATTTAATAGAATGTTAGTTGCATTGATATAATAGGATAATCTGAATTACTCTCATGCCTTTTTTTGAGGGGTAGCAGGGCACTTTTCTTCTTAGCCCCACTGCTTTTTACATAAACAAAGAAGTCTCCACTTCTCTCCACCATACGGGGAATATCTAGGAGAATCTTTTTTTTCTTTCCATAGATTATTTACCCCAAGGTTGAAAAAAGTGAATCTAATTGGTGACTACTTAATATCTCTTAGGTACTTTTAGCAGTAGGTAGCATTACTGTGTCTCTAAAGTACGGCCTGTTGCACTCTCTCTTGCACCATCTGTCTCATGCATTGTTATGCCATTTCTCCTTCTATATGTTAAATGCACCTTTTGGAAGCCAGCCTAGACACCCAATATACTATCTGGTATAGTTTATTTTGATGGTGACTGGTTTCTGAGGAAGACCATAGCTCTCCATGCATCTTGCCAAATGAATATATTTGAGGTCTGCTTTGAAAAATCACCCATTCACGTAGATGATATCAAAGAGTAGATTTATAGTAAGTAGTAGCAGTTTCACTCCTTAGTCTTAGATCCTAGTATGTTCTCCTATTTGGATTTTTCAGAATGCCCTGTACTTTAGAAATTTAATGCACCACTACTTAAAACATTTATACATTGGTCTCCATTTGGCATCTTGCATCTGTATCTTCATAAAAGAACTTAGAGGAGGGTGCTAATTGGGAGTCAATCAGAAATATTTGGCTTTCAATTTTTTCTATGTCTATAACAAACTAGTTAATCAGAATTAGAACTCCTTTGCAGGGTATCATCTCACTTTAACATTAACTAGTATTGATTAAATATGTATTATTACCCATTAATGTTATGGTTTGACTTGTTTGCTCTATTAATCTGTCTGCAGTTTTCTTTTAGCTTTTTGTGTGTGATGCTCTTACAGATGGGAAACCCTGCCTGCTTTATTAAATAGTGCAGGAATATACTAATTTTGAACCTGAAAAAAATGCTGATAGATGACAAAATTGTCATTCTAGGCATACCCTAATGGGTAATGCAAGTACTTCATCTTGAGTCACTTTTATTAAAATGTTTTTATATTGTCTGCATTTCAAGATGACAAAGTGAGTGCAATAATTTGCCTCCCATACCTCAAAAGACTCCGCTAAATAGATAAAAGAAATTAAAAAGGTCTAACGGGTGAAATAAAAAAGGGCCATTAGTAAATGATACATATCAGCACATTTTTGGAAAATCAAATCAAATGGGAGTGTTGAAAGATGAATTAGTAAAGGAAGCTACAGCTTAAAAGGAGCTGGTCACCTGGGTCAAAACCCAGAGAGACTCTAGATCAGTGTAGGCAAACTACAGCCCACAGGCCAAATCTAGTCACTTTCCATTTTTATAAACAAAGTTTTATTAGAACACAACTACACACACTTATTTATGTATATTCTTTGGTTGTTTTCATGTTAGAATAGCGTAGATAAGTAGTGCATGTGTCAAAACTTAACATGCTTACTACCTGGCCCTTTACAAAAAAGCTTTGCTGACCCCTCCTCTAGATTCAGAAATAGAATGTTGCATAAATGACCAGGGAGAGAAATAGGATTTATTTATTTATTTATTTATTTATTTATTTATTTATTTATTTATTTTGAGACACAATCTCTCTGTCGCCCAGTCTGGAGTGCAGTGGTGCAATCTCAGCTCACTGCAACCTCCACCTCCCGGGGCTCAAGTGTTTCTCCTGCCTCAGCCTCCTGAGTAGCTTCAATTACAGGCATGCACCACCATGTCCAGCTAATTTTTTGTATTTTTAGTAGAGATGGGGTTTTACCATGTTGGCCAGGCTGGTCTCAAACTCCTAACCTCAGGTGATCCACCTGCCTTGACCTCCCAAATTGCTGGAATTACAGGCATGAGCCACCACGCCCAGCCAGAAATAGGATTTAAAAGAGGAGTTAAGTAAAGACACATATACTGTTCAACATTCAGCTCATCTTCCATCTTACACCTTTTTAGGCTGTGAAGGACTAAAATCCTGACCAATGCTAAAATAATTAAAATTAGCTTGAACCGAAGAAGAAAAGATCACCTGGCCATTTTTAAGGCGGTGAAGACAACACACAGACAAAGCCAACTGCAAAATTAACAGAAAACGGTGTTTCTTCTAAGATCATACAGCGGTTATAAAATGTTATAATGGCTACTTTTTGACTGACTACTGCTTTCTTCCCAGTGATGCCCTAGACCTGTTTTGCAATTTTCATTTATTTGAGGGGATACTGAATTACTATCTTCCTCACTTTGCAATGGCACCCAGTGCCTAGTTAATTTCACTTCTTCCAATCCTGCTTCAGAAGGAGCAACCAATCCAGGACTGATTACTACTTCCCTTAGTTCTGCCTCAGAATCCTTCAGTGAAAATCCAACCTTACAAAAGACACTTCCCTCCTCCCTGGGTCCCAGCAGAACTCCTTGGAGTGGACTCTCTTGCTGCAAATCAATAAATCTTATTTTATCAGACTGCAGACTCCTCCCAGATGGTTTGGGGCTGATTAGGCCTTAGCAACTGGTAAAGTATAACATTCAAAAAGGTAAGTCATGATTCTCATATAAATATAAAAGGAACACATGTCAAAGATATTAATTCAATAAATGAAGAAACCAATGAAGTTATAGAAAGGCAATTTAACAAAAACTATCATAGGATAAGAGTGCTAGGTTAGATACAGAGCTGGTTAATGTTTGTAATGGACAGAAACCACCATCTTTAGGATTATCTGTTCTATTAGACAGAAATTATTCACATCTTTACTAAACAAAAATCTAAAAATTAACCAATGCCCCCATAGAGTTATAAATTAGCACAGACAATAAAACATAAATCCCAGAAGTACACTAAAAGAATATTTAATAGTGTCTTTTGCTTTTTTAAGGTTTCAAATAATTTCTCTTATAATGCAAATCACAGTGAGCATAGATTATCTCCATCTCTTGGGGCAAAACATTGTTGTTGTTGTTGCTGTTGTTTTAATAAACTAGAAAAACTGTCCTGGGAGAATGAGGAAAGTTATTTTGTTATTAACATTCAGAGTCAGGGCCACTTGCTTTTTGGTATTTGTAAGGCCTGTGACAAAATGGCTGGATCTTGTCTGCTAACTTTAAAGCAAAACTGACTGGAAATATACTGCCCATGTATGCAGAGACCTCATCAGCATCCTCATGCTCTTTCTGAAAGATAAGTAAATTGTCAGCCCCCACCAGATATTTCAAGAAAGTCTTCAGAAGAAAAGATAAAGGTAGGTAAAATCAACAGAATAAATTTATTTTTTTCTTAATCAAGGGAAAATGTCAAATACCTAATAAGAAACAAAATTATATCCTCATAGATATATAAAATTTAAAAATTTTGCATCATAAGGTGAGAACAGGACACTAAGAAAAAAGGGAATAAAATAAGAAAGAGCTCTTGTACATTTGAAATAAATTGCCAAAACAAGATTCCAAAGAAAATTTGAAGAAAAAGATAAGGAATGTCCAAGAATGTAGAAGAAATCTTCAAGGAGACATAATATATTAGAAAAATAATCATAGAGTTCAACTCTTATCTAAGAGAATTTCTGGGATAATGGAAAAGGAAAAGAGGGAAAAATTATGAAGCAACAATAAACAAAATTTTCCAGAGCTGAAGAGAAATATTCATCTTCAAGTCAGCAAAATCAATATTACAGGGACCAAGCTTATGCTTCTTCTTAGGTTGTAGAAAACAGGACAAAGCACCATTTCCTCCCTAAAAACAGGAAAAAGCTGAAGAATCTACAAACGTAAGTTTTCTTAAAACCATTAGAAAGCTGAGTGTGCAGAACAACCAAGTAGCCTGCAATCTAAGGAAAGAGAGCTGTCTCCAGGAAGAGATGAACTGAACACTGGCTTATCTGTTGCAGAGCACACACAACACACACACACACACACACACACACACACACGCACGCACACACACACAAAAGCTAAGAACCAGCAAATGGATGAGAAGAGTTTGGCTAGTTTTCAAAAATTGCTAAAAGCCAAATTGCTAAAAACTGCTAAACTGTGAGGGTATAGATCCTCCAGGAGCCTCAGGTACTAGGAGAGTTCATGCTTGCTCCATGAACCTCAATAGATGCTCATAAAAAAAAAAATTGAACAGGAGACCCAAGAAAACCTCTCTCAGTAGGGCAAACCTGAGGGATTAAAAAGAAAAATAATCCTGTGGTACTAGGGGAGGAGAAATAATTACCCTAGGCTCAGATCATTAGAAGCCTTTGCTATTTGGGGAAGTATAAAATCACTGAGAAAGCCTCACCCCAAGATTCAGTGACATGAGGTTTACCTAGGATGAGGGCAGGAACAGGACAAAAGAAAACTTTCCAAGTTTTGTAACATGCAAGCAAGCTCCAAGTAACAAGCACAAATAATCACTACTACTGCAGAAGAAAGAGGCTGAACAAATAATCCTGCCATCATGCAGGCACAGAAGGAAGACCAAAAGCTGAGACTGAAGCAGGCACATTGAGAAAAAGACTCCGCTACTTCCACCCCACCCTATACCCCACCCTAATTATAAGATACAGATGCTTCTCAACTTATGATGGGGTTATGCCTACATAAACTCACTGTAAATTGAAAACACCTGAAGTCAAAAATCTATTTCATATACCTAACCTACTGAATATGATAGCTTAGCCTAGACTAGGCTCAGAACATTTACAGTGGCCTACAGCTGGGGAAAAGCATCTCACACAAAAATTATTTTATAATAAAGTGCTGCATATATCATGTAATTTATTGAATACTGTACTGAAAGTGAAACACAGAAGGGTTGTATGGATACTTGAAGTAGTTTTTACTGAATGTGGATCACTTTCACACCACTGCAAAGTCAAAAATTCCAAGTTGAATCATCCTAATTCAGAGATCATCTGTAATTTCAGAGAAATTTGAAGTTGGTGGTATACTAAAGGAGGCATAGCAGCAACAAAACCCAAACCCAGCTCAAGTTCTGAATAGATGGACTCAGTCTCCCCACACTAATAGTCTGGCAGAAAATGGGTATGTGGGCATTCACCCTATAAATAACACCCAAAGTTTAAATTTCAAAATTATGAGATATACAAAACGCAAGAGGAAAAATTTCTATTAAAAGGCAAAGCAAAAATAAAAATAACAGAGCCAGACCCAGGTTTTAGAACTGTCAGAGAGGTTATCTAAAATAACTCTGATTATTATGCAAAAGGCTTTAATCGAATAGGTAGATAACATGCATAAACAGATGAAAATGTTAGTAGAGAAATGGAAAATATACAAAAAAGTCTAATGGAGATTCTGGAAATGAAAATCATAAAAATAGAGGAAGAATGTATTTGACAGAGCCAAAAGGTGAAAAAGTAAAAAGCAGAAAAGAAAAAAGGGGCGTCCAAGAACTATGAGAAAATATCAAAGTCTAATATATAGGTAATGGAATTCTACAGTAGAAGAGAGAGAGATTTGGGTAGAAGAAATACCCGCAGAGAAAGGTCAGAGAATTTTCCAGAACTTCAAATCACAAATCCAAGAAGCTCATAGAACCCCAGATATGATAAAGACAACACACAGAACACCTATACATATCAACTTTAAACTGATGGAAACGGAAGATAGAATAAATCTTTAAGTCAGCCAGAGAGGAAATAAAAGACATATTACATAAAGAAGGATAAAGGTGATAAATACGGTACACATCTTGTCATGAATTATGCGACCCAGAAGATAACATCTTCAAAGTGCCTAAAACAAAAACAGAAACAAAAGCCTATAAATCCAGAATTCAATAACAGTGAAAAGAAATATTTCTCAGACAAACAAAACTAAGAAAATTTATTACCAGCAGACCTGTACCACAAAAAAATTATTGAAGGAATTTTTCAGGTGAAAAACTCTCTAGAATATGATGCCAGATAGAAACTAGAGTCTATACACATATATACAAAAAAGTGAAGATCTTTAGGAATGGTTAAAATAAAGATAAATGCAAAAGACTTTTCTCTCACTTTAAATTACTCAGAAATTTAGGAAATATGATTAGCACACTTTTTTCTAAAGAGCCAGATAGTAAATATTTTAGGCTTTTCAGGTCCCTGTTGCAACTAGTCAAAAGTAGCCATGGAAAATATGTCAACAAATGGATGTTCTGTGTTCCCATAAAACTTTATTCAGAAAAATAAATTGCAACCTGCTATTGGCCCTTGGGCTTTAGTTTGCCAACCTCTGTTCTAAAGGAAAAAAACAGCAATATATTGCATATATATATATATATATATCATATGTAAAATAAAATATAGGATAACAGTAGAAAAAGCAGAAGAGAGGAACTGAGACTATACTCATGTAGGATTCTTACATGAGATAGTGTAAATCTATATATATATATATATCACATGCTATAATAATAATGTAGTATATATAGGGTAAGTATAGAATATTATTTGAAGTTAGGCTGGATGAATTGAAGATGTTTACTGTAAACCCCAATGCTTATTCTTCATCGAGTATCTCTTAGACATGAAATTTGTGATGCTGGCTAGTCAGAGTTGGAGATGTGATTGTGGAGAGGGAAACTTAACATCTGAGCAACTTAACAGCTTTTAGTGTGTAGTCAACAAAAATATATGTCGTATAATTTATGTAAGTATATAATTCATATAAATTCAAGTATTTGACTAATGACTTCAAAGAGGTGACTCACTGCTCTTTATTGTCAGCTTTTTCTCAGTGGATTTTTTCCCAAAGGTTAAAAAGCTCTGAGAAATGAACTAGATTTTCCAAGTACAAAGAAAAGCAGATGCCTGTTTTATGAAAAATCCACCATAAATAATTCAGTATCAATTGCTGATTTGTGGATCATCTCCTTGAAGTGTTTGCAAATGGACATACATTTTGTTGATTTAAATTTGTAGTGTCAATAAGAAATGTTGATGAAATGTTGATTAATTATTCCCTGTATAAGTTTTGCACAACTTGCTCTGTGTGTATTTGGTGGGAGGTGAAATATAAAACAAAACGAATAAAAACTATAAAACATCAGAAACCACTAAACATAGGCATAAAGTATGATCTACATAGTTCAGTGGCCTGCAGTAATCTTTTTTTTTTCCCCTAAAACCAAAGAAATCCATTTCAGGAAAATTAAAGCAAACAAAATATTTCCTACTCTTGCATTAAGTCACAGTGGGATTTAGTCTTCTTCTGAACACTTGGAGGAACTCACAATGCACATAAGACATTGACAGTAATGCCTGCAGGAACTCTGACAATGATGAATAGTAAATCTTTAAATAAATGAGCCTTGGCATGTATGTTGCAGACAGTGTTGTTTGTCATGCACACAGCCTCTTGTTCCTCCAAAAGAGCAACAAGGCAATGCATTAAGATATATTTTCCCCAGCTCAGTCGATGTTTCTGAAAAGCCTTAACATGGACAGGAACATGATGTAAAATTGGTACTAGAAGATAAAGTGCAATGTAATGTCATGATTGCCAGATGAGGCCAAGGGCATACGAAACATGGCTATCTGATAGACACTGAAGGAAGGCTTTTCTCCACTTAGAACTCACACAAAGGGTGCTTTAATTAACATGCCTGGGTTACAGATCTCCTAATCACCATGATTCACAGGTTAAATTAAAATTAACAACACCACACAATTGCTCATCTATTGAGAGAACACAGCTGTCCCCAACGAAAAGGAATAAAAACAGCAAGTCAAAATACGGAAGTGGAAGGCTCGAGGATGCTTCTGGTTTTTCATCTTCCAGTCTCCAGCAGCCTTCCTTTTGCTTTTCTTTAGTGGGCTTGTGGATATTTTTCTCCCTTTTGTTATTATGCGGCATCTGCAGCTGCATCTTCCTTTTGTGAAAGGCCACAAAAGGAGATTCTGGTAGCACTGTGGTATCAGAGTGAATGTTGACTGACCCTCAGCATTTCTCTACCAAAATTTAGCCAAAGAAAGGACTAAAGTCCCGGGAGTGGTGACCTACACCTATAATCTCAACACTTTGGGAGGCTCAGGTGGGTGGATCACTTAAGGTCAGGAGTTCAAGACAAGCCAGGCCAACATGGTGAAACGCTGTCTCTACTGAAAATACAAAAATCAGCCAGGTGTGGTGGCAGGCACCTGTAATCTCAGCTACTTGGGAGGCTGAGGCAGGAGAATCACTGGAACCCAGGAGGCAGAGGTTGCAGTGAGCTGAGATCATGCCACTGTACTCCAGCCTGGGCAACAGAATGAGACTCAGTTTCCACACACACACAAAAAGTACTAAAGCAACTCTTATTATTTTTGTTTCCTAATATGTATAATATATTCATTATATCAATTTAAAATATTACTAAATATGGAAATGAGACAAAAGGCAAATACAAACAAATTCAGCCCTTGGGGACTTAAATTTAACAGTAACCTGGAGTCTAGTAAGTCAGTATGATACATTTTGGATCAAGTAAACAGTGATGTCTAATCCCATTAGGTCAGACAGTTCTGTGAGAACCTAATGAAAAACAGTGAACTCTTACCCCAAACAAATTCACTAAAGATGTTAACACAAAATTGTATTGTACAAATTCAGAAAGTTTTGAACCCACTGAAGTTGATTTGTCAAACAATTAAAAATACTTGGTCAAAACAAATCATCTTCCTTCAATGACTGAAATAATCATCACAGATTCTTCAGTGTGATTATATTCCTTAAGTGATATACACTATTAGAGAAAATAATTAAATATCTTAGCAAAACACAGTTTATATTAAAGAATTCCTAGAGTTTCAGGCTTCCGTTCTCCAAATTTGTTCCCCGTGGTTCAGTCTTCCCAGAGAATTACTTAGTTTTTTATTTATTTATTTTTTACCATGTATCCTGTTCAGATGTTCACAGCCTAAGAACAAAATTATCCATCCTTTTAATCAAATCTTCACCCAGGTTCCTTGCCGTGTGTACAGCTCTCGCAAAGCAAGGCACAAAAGCACCCACAGTGCAAGCTCATGTGATTCCCTTTGCTCAAACCAATGCTTTATTTTTCCTTCCTGATTAACAGCACAAGAAAAAAGTAACCCAGAAAAATCATTTTACATTTTGTTCAGTTGTCACATAACAAAAACAAAACTAAACAAACTAAAGTGACTACATAAGGCTTTTTGTATCTACCACTCTGGTTGATTGGATATTACTTTGGTATATTAAATCAGCAATTTTTGCTCCTGTTTTGTGAATCTCTTTATGTGAAAAAGTATTAAGCTATAACAATTGAGTTGTATCTAGTTACACATAATTTGCACATTTAGCTCCACATTTAATACATTGATTTACTATAAAAGAATAGTTGAAATCAGGACTGTTTCAGAGAACTCTGTATTTGTCCCCTATTACTAAGAATCGTAATAGAAACTACAAATCACTATTTCTCCACCAGATAGATTCCATCCTCAGAAATTCTGATGCAGTTTGTTTGGGGTACAGCCTGAGCATCAAGAGTTTTAAATGCTTGGCCGAGTGCGGTGGAAGCACTTTGGGATCATGAGGTCAGAAGTTAAAGACCGGCCGGGCGCGGTGGCTCACGCCTGTAATCCCAGCACTTTGGGAGGCCGAGGCGGGTGGATCATGAGGTCAGGAGATCGAGACCATCCTGGCTAACAAGGTGAAACCCCGTCTCTACTAAAAATACAAAAAATTAGCCGGGCGCGGTGGCGGGCGCCTGTAGTCCCAGCTACTCGGGAGGCTGAGGCAGGAGAATGGCGTGAACCCGGGAAGCGGAGCTTGCAGTGAGCCGAGATTGCGCCACTGCAGTCCGCAGTCCGGCCTGGGCGACAGAGCGAGACTCCGTCTCAAAAAAAAAAAAAAAAAAAAAAAAAAAAAAAAAAAAAAAAAGAAGTTAAAGACCAGTCTGGCCAACATGGTGAAACCCCATCTCTACTAAAAATACAAAAATTAGCCGGGCATGGTGGCGTGCTCCTGTAGTCCCAGCTACTCGGGAGGCTGAAGCAGGAGAATCACTTGAACCTGGGAGGCAGAGGTTGCAGTGAGCCGAGACTGTGCCATTACATTCCAGCCTGGGCAACAGAGCAAGACTCCATCTCAAAACAAAACAAAAAGAGTTTTTTTTTTTTTATTATTATTATACTTTAAGTTTTAGGGTACATGTGCACAACATGCAGGTTAGTTACATATGTATACATGTGCCATGTTGATGTGCTGCACCCATTAACTCATCATTTAACATTAGGTGTATCTCCTAATGCTATCCCTCCCCCCTCCCCCCACCCCACAGCAGGCCCGTTTTAAAAGCTCCCCAGTTGAACTTAATATGCAACACAGTTTAAAAGCCACAGATATAAATAAATATTTTAAATAAGAATATAATATGCTTGTCTTATAGCAGGTCTATCTGTAGATGGCATTTCTCTTCATTATCACATAGTTTAAGCCAGTGCTTCCCATCATTTTAAAATCACGGTGTACACAGAAAACTGTGATAGATTATATAGCTCACCGAGGGTAAATAGAGCAGGTTGTATGGAGCAGAAGTAACCAGCCCAGAAACCTCAGCTGCTCCAGTTGGAGCCAAGCTTCCCAGGGCAAAAGGTCAGCATCAAGGCCCACGGGTAACCCATTCCTTCCTGCTCAAAGATGGAGGCATTATGCCTGAAATTATACTAAAGTGTAGAGTCAACAAACAACAGAAGGAAGACGTAAGTATACATGAAAACTAATTGCATTGATTTTTCTCTCTTTTTTTATGAGGCTCCTGGGTTTCAGGCCGGTTTAAAAAAGGATTTTCACAGACTAGAATGAGCCTGTGAGTACATAGGCAATCTCAGAGTACTTCAGGAGGCACACGTGACACAAACTCATCCTTCATTCTGAATTAATGGCCAAAGAAACGCAAATTTTGCTTAAATCTAGAGTCATTCCAGCTCAAGTTCCACCAATATTATTCTGACCCTCTTCCTCAAGGCTAGACAAGGTTGGGAATTGTCATTTCCTTTATCTTACCTTAAGCTCCACTATGAGAGAAGTGTGAAGAACTTAATAATCACCAGCACCAGAACCTAATTAAGAATGGATTTGAAAGCTATAAAATCATAGCAATATAAGAAAGGAAGAAAGATCCATTTTTATTAAAAGTACATCTTTTTAATAGAAATAAAGAACATATAGCATATGGAATGAGAATACAAAATAAGACAGAAAAAGCTGATTTTAATTGTGCTTAATTAAGAACTGTACATGTGGGATTATGAAAAAGAAAAGAATAGTTGGCTTCAATTACTTTTTGCCAAAAAACAGATAGGATGAAATGTAGCTTTTAAAGTATAAAATTAAATCATTCAAGAGGGGTTGTACTGAGGTAAATTTCATATTTTAAACTTTTGCAGCTGGTAAATAACAATGTTCAAAGGTTTTACTTAAGTTATTTCAAACTCAAATTTCGGAGATCAGGAGGAGTAATGTGTAAGAACTTTTTCCCCCAAAATATTTATGAAGCATCAACTGTGAGCAGTGCCGTATTTCCTGTCTATACTGACAGTCTAATTCAAAACCAAGATATAGTTACCATGAGTGAAACTGCTCCTGTAAACTTTATAAATTCAATCAGGGAAGAAGGGACGGGGAGAAATGAAAATAAAGCAAGCTTGCAGCACACCCAGCATTAATCATTATGTTAGATGCTCTGTGATCCATTCCTCATAGTTGTTTGCCTATTGCCTCCGAATTACATAGACCCTGTTACAAGATTACCGTTCCCCTTCACTGCTCTACAGATAAAAACTTAAAATACCTCAAAGGGAAAACATAAGTTCTATTCTTTCAAGTCCTGCAAGCCCTGTAAAAGAATGAAACTACTGACATCAGCTAGTCTGAAGGACCCCACAAGAAGCTGACTCACCAAAGAATGCAGTTTCTACATCCTCATGATGTCATCCCCCTTACCCCAAATATCAACAATCTCAATGCTCCAACCTCTCACCCTCCATGATCCCATTAAAAACCCCAGCCAAGTGCTCCTTGGGGAGACGAACTTGAGGGTCTCCTCCCATCTCCTCACTTGGTATCCGGTGAGCATTAAACTCTTTCTCTGCTGTAAACTCTGTTGTCTCAGTGTAACTGATCTGTTACTGTACAGTGGTCCTGTGTACTTGCTAGTCCTATAACAGGAAGAGGAGGAAAAAAGAAGGAAAGAAGTAGGAGAAAGAGGAGCAGGAAAAGAAAACATGTTGAGAAGTATTTACTTGCCTCACTTCAAAGAATATCACAGACATTAACAATCTTACACTCTGGAGAAAGTACTTACTCTTTGAGGTTCAAATTCTTTGTTGATAAGATGTGTACAGGAATTTCTGCTGGTGGATTCATTGTAGGAAAAGGTAGAATGCGTACTACATACTGTAAGGAAAACGGATGTGCTGCGGTCAAGAATAGGTCGAAGCAGACATCCGGTCCAGCATGACTCAGTGAGTTTGGAGCTCACTCACACAACTCAGCTCATTAGGTAACCACGCCACGTGAGGCGCATTAGTAACCAGTCACGTGAGCGCGTGCTTGATTCAGAGCCACTGTCGTCTGTAAAAGTTATAACTACACTGCTGATGCTGTACATATGGCTTATGCGCAGAGAGAGAGAAAAGCCATGTCAAAACTGTCTACGATTCCCCCAGTGTTTTTCCGGCTACCCACCACTCACCCACTGACTCCCCTCGGACCTCAGTTAGAACCTGACACATACCTTGAACAATCCTGGGCACATAGAATGTAGGTTTGTGGTTGAATACCCTCACCACCTCCATCTTAGTATATTTAAAGCTAAAGTCACAGCTTTTCTCCTTACATTAAAGCATCCTTCTCTTTTGAATTGTTGCATTCTATTTTATCTGCCCAATATTTCTTAGAGGCGATGTTTTCACTTCTTACCATCACCTCATGAGTTAAAATTTTGATACTTAACTCTTTAGTTATTGTAGTATCTACCTAATTGATGTTTTTCCTTTCTACCTTTGCAAATTGCCTGTTCCAAATATAAGTAGAAACAAGCAAGAAAGAACTCTGAAGGATAATTCATCTCAGCTGGAACCCATGGCCTCATAGGGGCTTCCTTACAATCAACTAACTGAAGGGGAAAAGCCTGAGCTTGGTCCATGGGATCAGTTGGCTGATAGGTTAGTAAAAGTATAAAATGGTATGCCATCACTCCAGCCCCACCCAGGGACTGCCTGAAGACTGGGGGTAAAGGAACATCCTCTCAATGAGCAGAACTGCAAGCAAACCTGGTTATTCATCTTGGCTGCAAAGAAGAGTAATATGAGGTAAAGATATATGGAACTGCTGGGCTTGTCTTCATGGGCAGAAGCCTGGTAGTGGCAAGACTAGAAGAGAGTAAAAATGAAATTTGTGTTGAGGCAAGTTTATGAACCTATTGGAGTAGTACAAAGGGTGTGGAGGATTGCTGGCACATTAATGCCTGTAGGAGAACATCTGCTACATAAGAAGCACTCAACAGCTAGGGAGGAAGGATGACTTATTCTGTGGATATCAGCCAACCTCCTCAACCACCTAGATTATGCACAGTGGATATATGAGCACAAAGTCAGGAATAGAGTCTATGCACAGACCCAAAGCATGGACCTCCTAATGTTGATCTAGCTACTGCTTCTACTGATTATTCTATAAAGAAAATTACATGTATCCCAGATGTAGAGTTGCATTCCTGCCCCCTGCCAGGGTAAAGACTTACAGAGCTTCTGCTCTATCCAGTGGAAGTTACTCTACCACACAAATAACTTAGATGCAATGACATATTGGCTGAGTATGAGGAAAGTCTAGAATGGGTGGTGGAGAAAAGGGATGAGAAGTATCAGCTATAGCATCAGGACCATTTGCAGCAGTGGGACCTCTACCTTTTTCCACTAACTCTTATGGATTAAATTGCATCCTCCAAAAACATATGTCAAAATCCTAATCTCCAGTGTCTTAGAATGTGACCTTACTTGGAAATACAGTTTTTGCAGATTTAATTAGTTATGATGAAATAATACTGGAGTAGGGTGGGCCCTTGATCCAATATAACTGGTGTCCTTATAAGGAAAGGGAAATGTAGACACAGAGACAGAGACGCATGGAGAGGAGAATGCCACGTGAAGACAGACACAGATGGAAGACAGCCATGTGAAGATGGAGACAGAAATTGGAGTTATGCTACCCAAGCCAAGGAATGCCTAGGAGCGGGAAAAGGAAGGAAGGATCATTCTCTGGAGGCTTCCAGAGACAGCACTTTGATTTTAAGATTTCTAGCCTCCAGAATGGAGAGAGAGTAAGCTTCTGTTTTTTTGTGTGTGGGGTGTGTGTGTGTGTGTGTGTGTGTGTCTGTGTGTCTGTGTGGCTGGGGAGGATTGAGGGTTTTTTGTTTTTTGTTTGTTTGTTTGGTTTTTTGGGGTTTTTTGGTTTTCTTATTTTGCCACTCAGCTTGCAGTAATTTGTTACAGCTGCCCCAGAAAACTAACACGCCTTCAGAATGGTTTTTTTGTCGTTGTTGTTGTTTTGCTTTTTTTGAGACGGAGTCTCACTCTGTTGCCCAGGCTGAAGTACAGTGGCACAATCTTGGCTCACTGCAACCTCTGTGTCCCGGATTCAAGCAATTCTAGAATGGAGTTCTTTTGTAGAGATTGCAGTCAGCTACATATTATAAGGCTATACGATGAGTATGTCCAACCAGCATATGAAGTGGAGCATGAAGATTTCTCATATGTCCTTTTGGAACATATTTTTTTCCAGCTATTGCTGCACCAACTGGCTGCGTGCAGGGGTACCCTTGTAGCACTTTGGGCTGTATATCTCTTACTTGCTGTCCTGGGCTTTTTTTGTTGTTCAACATGAAAATCTGAAAGTGTTCACATAGCCATGCTGTTTACGGTATACCAGGAAGTACAAGGGAGTCATTACACCCTTGGGCAATATTTGATCAATAGAAGATGGAAGCCAGTGGCTAAAATTTCCCACTCCTATGCCTAGGATAGACCATTCAGAGATGCTCTTTACACTGTTCCTCAGAGAGCCTACATGGCAACCAGCTCAATAATGCATCCTTGAATTGCGTTTATTTCTTTCCCTGTTTCTGTGTTCTCTGTCATTTCATTTTAGTTTCCTGGGATCTCTTTCCAAAGAAAACTATCAACAAGCAAGCAGCCTTTACCATCAGAAAGAACCCACGGTGAACTAGCAATGGAGTTCTGCCAGATATTTGTGACTGATTTTTTATCACTATAAGACAAGCCCTAGAATAGTACCTTGCACTTAATAGGACTCAGTAAATATATATTTGTTGAATGAATGAATGCACAATAACATTGATCCTTTAATAATTGTATGTTATATACATTGCAGTTAACTGCATATTCTACTAAGGTAATATCTTTGTAGGGATCCAGACTTTGCATTTCTTTTCCTTGCCTACATGGATATTATGTGTGGTTAAAAAATCAAGATAAGCTGTGTATGTGGAAAGTTATATAATTTTAACCCTAATATCATTATTAAAAATAAAATCAGATTAGTACTGTTTACTTGTTTTCATAGAAGCATGCAGATTGCAGGTACTCAAGTCTAAAAATGACTCCTTGCATGTGTCTTCACATTCTGCTTCTTAAAATATATTATATATATTTAAAATATATTATTAATGATTTTGCAGAGGTTGCTAGGAATGATTATATGAAACAACGCTATCTGTAAGGCTCTTTCAGAATCTAGAGATTAATTCTCTGACCCTGCATACTTGAATTCAGAGAAGAGTAGAATTTCATGACAAATGCTAACTTAAATGCCAGTTTCTAGAGGACACCATGTAAGGAAGCTCATGCTTTAGTGTATGGGATGTTTGGCTAGCTCTCTGACTTTCTAAACAAATGGAATATCTGAGAAACTGCATCAAATGATAACTGCTATGCGTGACCTCCCCGTCTCTGCCCTGCTCCTACTCATGACTAATTCCAACCTATCCCAACTTTCTGTCCTGATGTTTTTCCTGCATTTGCACCTTCTTTATGTAGGAGGAGAAGTAAGATTCTGTTGTGTGATTATCTAAGAAAGAAGAATCCTCATAGTAAAAGAATAGTTTCCCCAGTTTTTTTTGACAGATACTAACATTGCATTAACTAGCCAAGAAAGAAGAGGGATCTTCCTATATATTTTCAGGTTCATATAGCACACATAGCTACAAATTTTATCAGATTATTTACACATCTGAGCATGGCATTCAAGGAGAAAAATGGAGGGGGGAGGATAGAACTACAGCATTTAATAAGGCTTTTTTTTCCTCATTCAATGATGATGAAACAGAAAATATATACCAACTGAATCCATGAAAAGATACTGCAAAACAAAGAGAAATATAAACAATTAAATATCTCTAGAATTTGAAATATAGTTACTGGATAGTCTTATTCATAGACTAATTCCTCAGTACCTGCTCAATTCCCAAATATGACCTATGGTCCTGGATGGTTTGGCCCTTCACTACCTCTTTAATATCATATTGTATCATGATCCCACTGGCTTTTGACAGCAGAGAGTCAGGAAACTGAAATATCAGATGCATTCACACCCTAGAATGTGTGCAGGATCCCAACAGAAGATGATTTCCATTGAAGACCACCTCCAAAGACAAAATTACGCAGCAGATAAAAAACCTAGTTCCATGTGACACAGTCACAAATGTGTGACTATAGAGGAAAAGTTAACCTGAAAAGAAACTATATTTTTATGTATATTAGAAAGGCAATTTGTCAAAATATACTAAAAGTCAATAAAATATAAAGGCTCTCTGACTTGGTGATTTCAATCTTAGAAACTAACCTTAAAAAAGAGAAATAAGGGACTTGCTGGCAAGATGGCTGAATAGGACCAGCTCCGGTCTGCAGCTCCCAGCAAGATCGATGCAGAAGGTGGGTGATTTCTGCATGTTCAACTGAGGTATCCATTTCATCTCACTGGGACTGGTTGGAGAGTGGGTGCAGCCCACAGAGGGTGAGCTGAAGCAGGGTGGGGGATCGCCTCACCCGGGAACCACAAGGGGTCGGGGGATTTCTCGTTCCTAGCCAAGGGAAGCTGTGAGAGACTGTACCGGGAGGAACAGTGCACTCTGGCTCAGATACTGCACTTTTCTCATGGTCTTCACAACGGGCAGACCAGATTACCTCCAGTGCATGGCTCGGCAGGTCCCACCCCCACAGAGCCCAGCAAGCTAAGATCCACTGGCTTGAAATTCTTGCTGCTAGCACAGCATTCTGAGATTGACCCAGGATGCTCGAGCTTGGTGAGGGGAGGGGCGTTCACCATTGCTGAGGCTTGAGTAGGGGGTTTTACCTTCACAGTGTAAACAAAGCTACCAGGAACTTGGAACTCGGCAGAGCCCACTGTAGCTCAGCAAGGCCCCTGCAGCCAGACTGCCTCTCTAGGCAGGGCATCACTGAAAAAAAGGCAGCAGCCCTAGTCAGGGACTTATAAATAAAACCCCCATCTCCCTGGGAAAGAGCACCTGGGGGAAGAGGCAGCTGTGGGCACAGCTTCAGCTGACTTATATGTCCCTGCCTGACAGCTCTTAAGAAAGCAGCAGATCTCCCAGCACAGCATTCAAGCTCTGATAAGGGACAGGCTGCCTCTTCAAGTGGGTCTCTGACCCCCATGTATCCTGACTGGGAGACACTTCCCAGTAGGGGCTGACAGACATCTCATACAGGAGAGCTCTTGCTGGTATTTGGTGGCTGCTCCTCTGGGATGAAGCTTCCAGATGAAGGAACAGGCAGCAATCTTTGCTGTTCTGCAGCCTCTGCTGGTGATACCCAGGCAAACAGGGTCTAGAGTGGACCTCCAGCAAACTCCAGTAGACCTGAAGAAGATGGGCCTGACTGTTAGAAGGAAAACTAACAAACAGAAAGGAATAGTAGCAACAGGAACAAAAAAGACATCCACTCAGAGACTCCATTTGAAGGTAACCAACATCAAAGACCAAAGGTAGATAAATCCACAAAGATGGGGAGAAACCAGAGCAAAAAACTGAAAACTCCAAAAACCAGAATACCTCTCCTCCTCAAGAAGATCACAACTCCTTGCCAGCAAGGGAACAAAACTGGACAGAGAATGAGTTTGATACATTGACAGAAGTAGGCTTCAGGAGGTGGGAAATAACAAACTCCTCTGAACTAAAGGAGCATATTCTAACCCAATGCAAGGAAGCTAAGAACCTTGAAAAAAGGTTAAATGAATTGCTGACTAGAATAATCAGTGTAGAGAAGAACATAAATGACCTGATGGAACTGAAAAACACAGCACGAGAACTCTGTGAAGCATACATAAGTATCAATAGCTAAATCAATCAAGCAGAGGAAAGGATATCAGAGATTGAAGATCAACTTGATGAAATAAAGTGAGAAGACAAGATTAGAGAAAAAAGAATGAAAAGAAATGAACAAAACCTCCAAGAAATACGGGACTATGTGTAAAGACCAATCTATGTTTGATTGGTGTGCCTGAAAGTGACAGGGAGAAGAGAACCAAGTTGGAAAACACTCTTCAGGATATTATCCAGGAGAACTGCCCCAACCTAACAAGGTAAGCCAACATTCAAATCCAGGAAATACAGAGAACACCACAAAGATATTCTTTGAGAAGAGCAACCCCAAGACACATAATCGTCAGATTCACCAAGGTTGAAATGAAGGAAAAAATGTTAAGGGCAGCCAGAGAGAAAGATTGGGTTACCCACAAAGGGAAGCCCCTCAGACTAACAGCGGATCTCTCGGCAAAACCCCTACAAGACAGAAGAGAGTGGGGAGCAATGTTCAACATTCTTAAAGAAAAGAATTTTCAACCCAGAATTTCATATCTAACCAAAATTATCTTCACAAATGACAGAGAAATAAAATCCTTTACAGACAAGCAAATGCTGAGAGATTTTGTCACCGCCAGGACTGCCTTACAAGAGCTCATGAAGGAAGCACTAAACATGGAAAGGAACAACAGGTACCAGCCACTGCAAATTGTAAAAACCATTGATGCTATGAAGAAACTGCATCAACTAACGGGCAAAATAACCAGCTAGCATCATAATGACAGGATCAAATTCACACATAACAATATTAACCTTAAATGTAAATGGGCTAAATGCCCCAATTAAAAGACACAGACTGGCAAATTGGATAAAGAGTCAAGACCCATCAGTGTGCTGTATTCAGGAGACCCATCTCATGTGCAAAGACAAACATAGGCTCAAAATAAAGGGATGGAGGAATATTAAGCAAATGGAAAGCAAAAAGGCAGGGATTGCAATCCTAGTCTCATAACACAGGCATTAAACCAACAAAGATCAAGAGACAAAGAAGGGCATTACATAATAGGAAGGGGATCAATGCAACAAGAAGAGATAACTATCCTAAATATATATGCACCCAATACAGGAGCACCCAGATTCATAAAGCAAGTTCTTAGAGACCTACAAAGAGACTTAGACTACCACACAATAATAATGGAAGACTTCAACACCCCACTGTCAGCACTAGACAGATCAACAAGACAAAATTAACAAGGATATCCAGGACTTGAACTCAGCTCTGGACCAAGCGGACCTAATAGACATCTATAGAACTCTCCACCCCAAATCAAAAGAATATACATTCTTTTCAGCACCACTTCACACTTTTTCTAAAATTGACCACATAATTGGAAGTAAAACAGTCCTCAGCAAATGGAAAAGAATGGAAATCATAAACAGTTTTTCAGACCACAGTGCAATCAAATTAGAACTCAGGATTAAGAAACTCCCTCAAAACTGCACAACCACATTGAAACTGTACAACCTGCTCCTGAATGACTACTGGGTAAATAACGAAATGAAGGCAGAAATAAAGATGTTCTTTGAAACCAATGAGAACAAAGACACATACCAGAATCTCTGGGACACATTTAAAGCAGTATGTACAAGGAAATTTGTAGCACTAAATGCCCACAAGAGAAAGCAGGAAAGATCTAAAATTGACACCCTAACATCACAATTAAAGAACTACAGAAGCAAGAGCAAACAAATTAAAAAGCTAGCAGGAGACAAGAAATAACTAAGATCAGAGCATAGCTGAAGGAGATAGAGACACAAAAAAACTCTTCAAAAAATCAATAAATCCAGGAGCTGGTTTTTTGAAAAGATGAACAAAGTAGATAGATCACTAGCCAGACTAATAAAGAAAAAATAAGAGAAGAATCAAATAGATGCAATAAAAAATGATAAAGGGGATATCACCACCAATCCCAGAGAAATACAAACTACCATCAGAGAATACTCTAAACAACTCTAATCAAATAAACTAGAAAATCTGGAAGAAATGGATAAATTCCTTGACACATACACCCTCCCAAGACTAAATCAGGAAGAAGTCAAATCCTTGAACAGACCAATAACAAGTTCTGAAATTGAGGCAGTAATTAATAGCCTACCAACCAAAAAAGTCCAGGACCAGACGGATTCACAGCCGAATTCTACCAGAGATAAAAAGAGGAGCTGGTACTATTGCTTCTGAAACTATTCCAAACAATAGAAAAAGAGGGAATCCTTGCTAACTCATTTTATGAGGCCAGCATCATCCTGACACCAAAACCTGGCAGAGACACAACATAAAAAGAAAATTTTAGGCCAATATCCCTGATGAACATTGATGTAAACATCCTCAATAAAATACTGCCAAACTGAATCCAGCAGCACATCAAAAAGCTTATCCACCACGATCAAGTCGCCTTCATCCCTGGGATGCAAGGCTGGTTCAACATACGCAAATCAATAAATGTAATCCATCAGATAAACAGAACCAATGACAAAAAACACATGATTATCTCAATAGATGCAGAAAAGGCATTCAACAAAATTCTCCAGCCCTTCATGCCAAAAACACTCAATAAACTAGGTATTGCTGTAGCATATCTCAAAATAATAAGAGCTATTTATGACAAACCCACAGCCAATATCATACTGAATGGACCAAAACTGGAAGCATTCCCTTTGAAAATGGGCACAAGGATGCCCTCTCTCACCACTCCTGTTCAACATAGTATTGGAAGTTCTGGCCAGGGCAATCAGGCAAGAGAAAGAAATAAAGCATATTCAATTAGGAAAAGAGGAAGTCAAATTGTCTCTGTTTGCAGATGACATGATTGTATATTTAGAAAACCCCATCATCTCAGCCCAAAATATCCTTAAGCTAATAAGCAACTTCAGCAAAGTCTCAGGATACAAAATCAATGTGCAAAAATCACAAGCATTCCTATACACCAATAATAGACAGACAGCCAAATCACAAGTGAACTCTCATTCACAATTGCTACAAAGAGAATAAAATACCTATGAATCCAACTTCAAAGGGATGTGAAGGACATCTTCAAGGAGAACTACAAACCACTGCTCAAGGAAATAAGAGCGGACACAAACAAATGTAAAAACACTTTATACTTATGGATAGGAAGAATCAATATCATGAAAATGGCCATACTGCCCAAAGTAATTTATAGAATCAATGCTATTCCCATCAAGCTACCACTGACTTTCTTCACAGAATTGGAAAAAACTACTTTAAATTTCATATGGAACCAAAAAAGTGCCCACATAGCCAAGACAATCCTAAGCAAAAAGAACAAAGCTGGAGGCATCATGCTACCTGACTTCAAACTATGTTACAAGGCTACAGTAATGAAAACTGCATGGTACTAGTACCAAAACAGATATATAGACCAATGGAACAGAACAGAGGCCTCAGAAATAACACCACACATCTACAACCATCTGATCTTTGACAAACCTGACAAAAACAAGAAATGGGGAAAGGGCTCCCTATTTAATAAATGGTGCTGTGAAAACTGGCTAGCCATATGCAGAAAGCTGAAACTGGATCCCTTCTTTACACCTTATACAAAAATTAATTCAAGATGGATTAAAGACTTAAACGTTAGACCTAAAACTATAAAAATCCTAGAAGAAAACCTAGGCAATATCATGCAGGACATAGGCATGGGCAAAGACTTCATGACTAAATGACCAAAAGCAATGGCAACACAAGCCAAAATTGACAAATGAGATCTAATTAAAGTAAAGAGCTTCTGCACAGCAAAAGAAACTATCATCAGAGTGAACTGGCAACCTACAGAATGGGAGAAAATTTTTGCAATCTATCCACCTGACAAAGGGCTACTATCCAGAATCTACAAAGAGTTTAAACAAATTTACAAGAACAAAACAAACAACCCCATCAAAAAGTGGGTGAAGGATATGAACAGACAATTCTCAAAAGAAGACATATATGCAGCCAACAAACATATAAAAAATGCTCATCATCACTGGTCATTAGAGAAATGCAAATCAAAACCACAGTGAGATACCATTTCACACCAGTTAGAATGGCAGTCATTAAAACGTCAGGAAACAACAGATGCTGGAGAGGATGTGGAGAGATAGGAGTGCTTTTACACTGTTGGTGGGATTGTAAATTAGTGCGACCATTGTGGAGATGTGTGACAATTTCTCAAGGGTCTAGAACTAGAAATACCATTTGACCCAGCAATCCCATTACTGGGTATATACCCAAAGGATTATAAAGCATTCTACTATAAAGACACATGCACACATATGTTTATTGTGGCACTGTTCACAATGGCAAAGACATGGAACCAACCCAAATACCCATCACTGATAGACTGGATAAAGAAAATGTGGAACATATATATCTTGGAACACTATGCAGCCATAAAAAAGGATGAGTTCATGTCCTTTGCCCAGACATGGATGAAGCTGGAAATCATCATTCTCAGGACACTAACACAAGAACAGAAAACCAAACACCAAATGTCCTCACTCATAAATGGGAGTTGAACAATGAGAACACATGGACACAGGGAGGGGAACATCACACACTGGGACCTGTCGGGGGGATAGGGGCTAGGGGAGGGATAGCATTAGGAGAAATACCTAATGAAGATGACGGGTTGATAGGTGCAGGAAACTACCATGGCACATGTATACCTATGTAACAAACCTCCACATTCTGCACATGTACCCTAGAACTTAAAGTATAATAAAAAAAGGGAAATAAACACATTTTTAAGCAATGATGTTCATTGCAATATTATTTATAATAAAATGTCACAAACCTACCTACTTAACAATAAGTGATTAGTAAAATAAAGTATGGTTCAACTATATGTGATGCAGTAGGCAGCCATTAAAATGTATGAGAATCATAAAAACATGGTAAATATTTATTATATAATATCAAATGGAAAATTCAAGTTACAAAGTAGAATATGCAAGGAGATTCTAATTTATATATAGACCCAGATATAGAGCCAAATGAAGTGGCTAAGTTAGGTGACAGGATTACAAGTAATTGTCTTCCTTTTTGTTGTTTTTCTGTATTTTCCAAATGTTCTTCAAAGGAATGGTATTGCCTTTATAATAGGAGGAATATCCAATGCACTTCGTAAAAATGATAGTAGTATATTACTTTTGAAAGGAATGAATCAAAATGCAGTTTAATGATATTGTAATCTTTTGTAGAGAGCAGACCTCTATATATCTATAATAAATGGATAACAAAACATATTTTGCTGAACAGAGCCAATACCACTTTGTGGGCTACTGTTGTTTTTTCTGTGACTTTTGATCATAATTTCAGATGATGTAGTGGACATTTGTTGTAAGCCCCAAGAATAATTTTTCCTGAAGATTTTCTGCAAATAACTTTTACACACGAAAAGATTGAAATAGAATCAAAACTTATAAAATCAGGCAAGACAGGGGGAAAAAAGGTTCAAAGGGTCCTACTGTAATTTTTCAAAAGAACACATTGTTCCCTCATTGCTTTGTCTCCATTAAAAAGACCTATGTGCTTTGCTTTAATTTATACCGAAGACAGTTGGAATTTGGAATAAATTAAAGTATAAGATGACTTTCAAGAATAATGTCAGGATAAGAAAGCTTCTATTATACACTAGCTAAACATTTTTAAGTCCATTTTGTCAGATAAAGCTTAAAGCATTCTGGGTCAAGAGAATTTTAATCTAAACTCCTTGCTCATTTCTTTTATTTTCAATGTCAATTGACTACATGTTCATTCCAGCTGATAAAATCCTCAGTAGCAAATGCCTGAGGAATGCCTGTCAGAAGTCATCAGTGTGCCACTGATTGCTCAAATTGAATCAACTTTCCTTTAAAATTATTTTTTAGTATTTAAGTTTGTTCTCATGATTAAGAAAAATTACAACTTCAATTTGTAAATCTCTTAAAATTTCTAGGTCATTTATTCCAACATGATAAAACCTTTTCTTCAAGTGAAAGTGAATATTGAGAATCTTCAGTGCATTTTTAGTTCCTTTGTCTTTATCTTCATTGCCATTCTTTATGCATGGCTTCATTTACCTCCTCATTTGTCTTGTTACAGACAACATTTTTGTCTTCAGATATGTCCTGATAGATGTCTCCTGGAATTCCAGTTTTATTATATCTTCTCTCTTTCTTGCATCTGCAATGACAACCTGTTGACCATGAACTCATATTGACACAACTCAGTCTTACATTAGTGTCCCTCCATGGGGCTACACTATCTACACAATCCCACCTAAAGTACCTCTGAACAGATATTCTCTGCTCTGGAATGGTTGTGCTTCTTTTTGCTACATAGTATGTTATTCTTTTCTTTTTTGTCATTTCTCATGTTTTATCTCCATCTAAAATGTCTTTCTGGTCAGGCATGGTGGTTCATACCAGCACTTAGGCTGAACCAGGAGGATTGCTTGAGCCCAGAAATTTGAGAACAGCCTAGACAACCTGGCAAGGCCCTGTTTCTACAAAAATTTTAAAAATTATCCAAGCATGGTGGTGCACACCTGTGGTCCCAGCTACTCAGGAAGCTGAGGAAGGAGGATTTCTTGAGCCCAGAGGTTGAGGCTGCATAAGTCATGTTTGTACCACTGCACTCCAGTCTGGGCAACAGAACATGACTCTGTTTCAAAATAATAAATAAATAATTAAATAAATAATCTTTCTAGGCCTTTACCTCTCTGCTCGCATCCTGAACAACATTAATGTCCTATCTCTGTTCTTTGAAAATCCTTTGACCATCACTTTTACTTTCCTCAACATTTTACCACCTGATTTAGTTGTCTTGAATAGGTATCTGATTATCTAAGTCGTACATATATAGGTGCTCCTTCCACAAAATTATAAGCTTTTTGTTATTACAGACTGTATCTTACAATGTGTGTAACTCAACTATCAGAATAAAATGGCCCACCAATGAATTGGAGTTAATAAACTTTGGGGAAATTACTTAATTATATTGTCTTTTATTATATCATCCAGAATATGATTACTAGTTTTAGAACTATTTTCTAAAGACATGAAATTTGGCCAATTACTCATAAATGTGTGTAAGGGAATGCCATGGAGATAGAAAGAGATATATGAGCTTATTTATTTCCTAAATCTTCATTGCACCTCCTGTTTATCAGGCACTGAGTAGACATTGATAAAAATGTAATGCCAAAAAGTTTATGCAAACTAAAATGTAATTGAGTTAAAAGATACTACACAAGTTATCAAATACGTGCACAAGAAATATATAAATGATTATAAGTGCTGTGAAAGACAAGATCAGCAATGGAGAAAATTAGAGGGAGGGAGGGAGGGAAAAGTACAAGGTAAACAAGCTGTCTGGAGTGACCTGGAGGAAAGGCGTCAGCTACATGAAGAGGAAGTAAGGGGATTTTGCAGGTTCTGGGAACAGTATATGAAAAAGCTTACAGATGGGAACAAAATAAAGTCATGGTAGCTTTGAAGCATTAAAGAAAGGCCAGTAAGGTGAGGGCAGAGTAACATGAGACAAGGATGGAGAAATTGTCAGGACCGCAGACCACAGACAGCATTATGGGCCATGCAAAAAAATTGTGGATCTGATTTAAACTGAAATGTAAATTGATTTGTTCTTTAAACTCAGCTTAACTGGAATGTAGAAAATGGATTACAGAATATCCAACAATACAAAGTGTTTATGTTTTTTATTTGCCAAATCTATGTTATTCATTGAGCCATATCACCTAAGATAATGAAATAACATAATATCTTCTAAAGGTAGATTGTTTAAAACTTTTACAATTGATCATTAGACAATAGTCAGTTTTTTAAATAATAGTTGTAGAACCTAGAGAAACCTGTTGTTTTATTTATATTTCAGTGGCAATATAAAATGCCTCTAGTTCAGCTTCACTAAGCTCCCTTTCCATTAATACTACGTGGAATGGTTTTCTGTCTGGTCATCCATGTCCAGGCGGGGTATTATGAGACATCTATATAGGATGCCTCACCCCATAACTGATTATATTCAAACCCAAGACTGGAATTTTCTGATAAAAAGCATTTCTATGTAATCTTTGATAATTGTCAAATTCAAAAGCGTCTTTTTACCTCTGTTTAACTAAGATTAAAATGAATTTTAATTGCTTCATCCTTACATTTAAGAAAAACAGTTAATGTATTACCCCACCTAATATCTTAGACTTAATTTGTCAGCTAATATTTTTCTAACCTTCTCAAGGAATGGCTCAAAGTAAGTTAATTATGTTTCTGTGAAGTTGGACATTTGGGAGGAAAGAAAAGTCTTGTATCTACATACCCTAATCTGCAATATCCTTTCCAATTCATGATAAGAAATGACCTAAATCAACCAAATTAGCAGAAGATATGTAGGAGTTTAGCTTACATGGCCCTCATGTGATTGCTGTAGTGAAATCACAGAAAGCATCCAATTTTAAACTGATCTTGATGTGAGATGAGTAGATGCTAAACAATCCTCTATTTCTTCTCAGCGTGTTTCAATAACAAATTCCATTTTCAACAGTTACATGATTACAAGCTCTGAAATTAAATTTCATGATGAATAATTAAGCACCCTTCAGAGTCCCTGGGAGAAATCACCATCGCTGCAGAACAAACACTTGGAATAATCGATTGGGAGTCAATTGGCAAGCACTTCAGTTTTAATTTGCAGTTCAGAAGGATCCTCCTTCTCTTCAGCCATTAGGGAGTGTGTGGCTTCCCCTCCTTGTCCCATTTGGGGGTGGGGGCAGGGAAATAGGACTTTGTCTTGCTCTGGTATTGTTTCACACTGTAATATGTGAGTACTGAGCTTTAAAAGATACCCATACAAGAGAGTTCCACAGTAACCATAAAATCGTAACTGCTATCAAAGTCCTGACAAGTTAATCTTTCTTTTACAGCCACAGGTGAAAACAATGAAAAATGTAAATTTAACATTTTTATTCATTTATTTTTATTCTGGAGTTCAGGGGATAGCCAATGCAGGAGTACTATATAGAACAAGGACCATGACTTTTTTTTTTTTTTGAAAAAAACTATATTCCAACCACTTGATTAGGATTCAGAGCAAATAGATTAAATTATCAGTGTCTCAGTTGCTTTATCTATAAAATGGGTGTGATGGTTAATTTGTCAAGTTGACAGGGACATAGAGTGGCCAGATATTTGGTCAAACACTCTTCTGGGTGTTTCTGTGAGAGTATGTCTGAATGGGATTCACATTTAACTCAGTAGACTGAGTGAAACAGAATGCCCTTTCTAAGGTGGCCATCCATTGAAGGCCTGAATAGAACAAAAGACTAAGAGAGAATTCTCCTGCCTGATGGCCTTCAAACTGAAACATTAGCTCTTCCTGGTTCTGCTGCAGCTTCTGGCCCTCAGACCCAAGCTAGGATGTGGCTTTGCAGATTTTGCACTTGACTGTCTCCATAATCATGTAAGCTAATTCCTTATAATAAATCTCTTTTATTAAAATAAATAATATTTTATTATAAGATAACAAACCATCTTTTTGTTATGAGATTTAAAGAGATAAAATATCTTTTATGATCATTTTTAGTATAAAATAATCTTTTATTACAAGAAATAAGCTCACGATACACACACATACACACACACACACACATATATATATATATATACATCATATATATACATCCTATTGTTTCTGTTTCTCTGGAGAACTCTGACTAATACAATGGCTATAATAACATTTCTCAAAGTTGTTGTGAAGAGTAAATGAGATTATAAATAAAAGATCTCTCACATACACAGTATTTGGCCAAAGTAGACAGTTCTCCCTAAGGATAAAGTCTGGATGATTCCTTATTCACAAACCAGAAGGTTACAGAAATGATATTCAGTTTATTTCCATTTTCAAAAAATTTAACCTGCCTTCAGTACACATAGGACCATGTATACGAGTGAAATATTCATCTGTCCCACAACAATGCTGCTTCCTGAGCCCACTGTGGCCTGGCTGGGCTATGATGTAATGGGAAGGTAGATACTGGTGGTCTGGTATAAAGCAAAATTTCTGTAAAGGACCAGATTATGGGTATCACAGTCTCTGTTGCAACTATTTACCTCTGTTCTTATGGTGAGAAGGCAGCTATAGACAACATGCAAACAAATGAGTATGCTGTTTTCTGATAAAACTTATTTACCGACACTGAAATTTGAAATTTGAATGCTATATAATTTTCACTTTTCACAAAACATTATATTTCAATTGTCTTCAACCATTTAAAAATGGAAAAACAATTTTTAGTTCACAGGTGGTACAAAAATAAGTGGAGTCCTGTATTTGTCCAGTGGGTGTGGATGTGTTGTGGGAAGTCAGGGATCCTGAATGGAGGGACCAGCTGAAGCCATGGCAGAAGAACATAAATTGTGAAGATTTCATGGACATTTATTAGTTCCCCAAATTAATACTTCTATAATTTCTTACACTTGTCTTTACTGCAATCTCTGAACATAAATTGCGAAGATTTCATGGACACTTATCACTTCCCCAATGAATACTCTTGTGATTTCCTATGCCATCTTTACTTTAATCTCTTAATCCCGTTATCTTCATAAGCTGAGGATGACTGTCGCCTCAGGATCCTGTGATGATTGTGTTAACTGCACAAATTGTTTAAACAATATGAAATCTGGGCACCTTGAAAAAAGAACAGGATAAGAGCAATGTTCAGGAACAAGGGAGATAACTTTAAAGTCTGGCTGCCTGTGGGCCGGGTGGAACAGAGCCATATTTCTCTTCTTTCAAAAGCAAATAGGAGAAATATTGCTGAATTCTTTTTCTCAGCAAGGAACATCCCTGAGAAAGAGAATGCGTTCCCAAGGGGAGGTCTCTAAAATGGCCGCTTTGGGAACATCTGTCTTTAATGGTTGTAGATAAGGGATGAAATGAGCCCCAGTCTCCCATAGCACTCCCAGGTTTATGAGGAGGAGGAAATTCCCGCCTAATAAATTTTGGTCAGACCAGTTGTCTGCTCTCAAACCCTGTCTCCTGATAAGATGTTATCAATGACAATGCGTGCCCAAAACTTCATTAGCAATTTTAATTTTCGCCCTGGTCCTGTGATCTTGCCCTGCCTCCATTTGCCCTGTGATATTTTATTACCTTGTGAAGCATGTGCGGCCTGGGGGGCATCATGGAACCTGCCAACATGTGATGTCTCCCCCGGACACCCAGCTTTAAAATTTATCTCTTTTGTACTCTTTCCCTTTATTCTCAGACCAGCCGACACTTAGGGAAAATAGAAAAGGACCCACGTTGAATATCGGGAGCTGGCTTATCCTGATATGGTTGAAAGAGGCTAAGCTGAGAATCCCACACCTGGGCTCCAGATCATCACTATCAGTAACTCTGTGCCACTGAGACCAGCGATATGTTCCCTTCGGCCCTCAGTTTTATCATTTGTAAAATAGAAGGATGAACTTGATCATGTTTAAATTTTCCTCCTGCTCTAAATTATCTGTCTCCAATTCTTAGTGTACTTATTGTTCCCAAGAAAGCAAAGGCAGAGCCATCCAGCCTTCTCTAACCCTGTTCATGTGGTTTTTTAGAGCCCTGGAGTCCCAAAGTTTCCAAACAGACCTGTGCTCTACTCTAAGGAGTAACATTGGCCTGTCCTTTAACTACATCCTGAGGCTTTCTGGGGGAAGGTGAACCAGAAATTCTGCTTCAATTGCTTACCATTGGGGGGAATAGAATCCTTTTCCTTTGTGACTTGGGTGGAAAGGCAAGAGGATATACTGAGAAATCCATAGACTATATAAATGGATGAGACACTGTATCCCTAGAACACTTTATTTATAGACATTGAAATTTGAAATTCATATAATTTTCACTTTTCACACAATATTGCCCTTCTTTTGATTTCATTTCAGTCATTTAAAAATGCAAATATGTTTATTTATTTATTCTGAGATGGACTCTTGCTCTGTCACCCAGGCAGGAGTGCAGTGGCGTGATCTCGGCTCACTGCAACCTCTGCCTCTCAGGATCAAGCAATTCTCCTGCGTCAGCCTCCTGAGTAGCTGGGATTACAGGCACGTGCCACCATGCCCAGCTAATTTTTGTATTTTTAGTAGAGACAGGATTTTACCATGTTGGCCAGGCTGGTCTCAAACTCCTGACTCAAGTGATCTGCCCATCTTGCCTCTAAAAGTGCTGAGATCACAGGCATGAGCCACCATGCCTGGACTAAAAATGTAAACATATTTTAAAAGGAGAGAGTAATGTAGCCTCACTCTTGTCAAAAAGGCAAGAGGCAAGGACATCTGCAGAAAGATAAGGAGTGAAAGATCTGATGGGGAAGAGGTAGAAGTTTGGGGCAAAGCAGAACTGGATTTGAATCCTATTTTTTCCCTTTGTGGGTTCTGTGACTTTAAACATGAAGTTGTCAAACACCTCTTTCACAATTTTCTCATTTATAAATACTGATTAAAATACTTACTTTATTGGGGTATTGTAAAGATAAATGAGTTACTCTAATCATGGTTCCTGTATACAGAAGATACTCAATGTCATTGTAAAACTATTCTATTTGCTACTATGGTATTTACAGAACAATGGCACCCCAAAATGTCCATGTCTTGATCACTGGAACCTGTGAGTATGCTAGGTTATAAGGCAAAGGGAAGGGAAGGTTGCAGATGGAATTAAGGTTGCTAAGGAGCTGATTTCAGATGGGGGGATTATCTTGGATTATCCAGGTAGTCCTGATATCATCACAGGGGAAAAAGTAAGTGGGATACAGACAGCCAGAGAGATGGTGGTGAAGGACTTGGCCTGCGACAAACCAAAGGAGGCCAGCAGCCTCTACATGATGGAAAAGGTGAGAAAATGGCTGCTCCCCTGGAGCCACCAAGAAGGAACATAGTGAGATCCATTTCATACATTTGTCTTCTAGAGTTATAAGACAAGAAATTTGTGTTGTTTTAAGCCACTAAATTTGTGGTGACTTATTAGAGCAGCAATTGGAAACTAATACATACTATTATTATTGTGATTATTATTATTATCCATGCAGAAAAACCCAGCTGTCCACCAAAATATGTGATTCCCCCTTCTGCAGTGTAGAGATTTTGCTCTAAGCAGCTGCCTGGCCAGGAGCTCTATTTTCCAGCTCCTTGCATCTTGTGAAATCATGCAACCAAAATTGGATTGCTTCTGGACCAAAGCACTTAAATAGGTGTGCCTTCCCTTTCTGGGCTACATGCAAAGAATCCCAAGTTACAACATGGAAAATGCCTTGCCCCCTGAATCACTATCTGGATAAAAGTTACCTGCTCACCAGGAATACCTGCCTTGGACCATCACATGAACAAGAACAAAAATTGAATTATGTGAACCCCTGATGTTTTAGGATTTATTTGTGAAAGCTATCATTATTTTAGCTGAGGTATTATCTGCCACTAAATTCCCATTCATTTTATTTCACTGGAAAAGTGGCCAGAAAACATCCTTCCCTTTTGCAATCCTTTTATCTCTTCAGGAAATTGCAAGTGTTTCCTTAGATCTATTTGTGAGAGTAACCCTGGTAGTTACCCTTTTAATATCCTTTAATATTTCTATTGATGTAATCTCCCAATACCCCAATGCCTCAAGGAACTCTATTACTAAATTCTGAGACTACTATATTCAGATCCTTGTCTTGAGACATTGAGAAATACAGTGTTATAGAATTGTATATTTGAGGAGGAACAAACATTGTTCTCACCTCGTCCATGTTCTTATGCACAGAGAGCTTTCCTACATCAGGCCTGGCCTTCTCTACTCCTGGCACCCAGAGCCAGGCCCCCTGTTCCTGCTATCACTCTTAGTCATTCTGGATGTTTTAGAAAGTTTGTAAATGTGAGCACTCATCAAGGGGCTATATTGCGGTTGGGAGAAAACTGGCAGGACATGATAATTATAAACATTTATTTAAAAAAAATGATATGTTCTCAAAGCAAACGGAGTCACCCCATAAGGTGTCATAGCTGGAGTGGTGTGTAAGGCTGCAGAACACACTCTCAGCTTGCTCTCCTTTGGGGCCAAAGTGTGTTGTACAGGACATCCATGGACGTTAAAGGAAGAAAGACAAGTTCTGGGCTCAAATAAGTTTGGGATAGCCTGAATTAAACAAGATAAACATATTTGTTTTCTTTGACATTATTGGTGCTTTCGTTCTATGTTTTAAAATGTGAACTATAGTATGCAAGTTTTCTAATTATATTTGATCATGGACTTACATACACATATATGGAATATATGTATACAAGTAAATACAAATGTACAAGAAATCAACATTTTTAAAAATATTTTCATAAATTACCTTGCTAGCAATGCAGATTTAGGGGCTAAATTTCTAGCTTGTATATTATTCAACTTACTTTCATTTCCTCCTTTAACTGAATGGTTTTGCCCTGTGTGCATATTTTCCAGCTAGTGTCAGTGAACAGGGAGGTAGAAATCTCAGACCATTTCCTGGTTTACTATTTTATTTTGTCCAAGGTTACAAAGAATGTTTTGATTTCAAAGACAATCATACTCATGTTTTCTTAAGTCTAGTGTCTCCGTGGAAAATCCAGGGATAATGTTAAATGGCCTGCCTAGAACCTCCTTCTTTCCCAGCATATGAATACAAGTTTTCAACGACAAAACTTTATCCTGCACAATTTAAAAAAGGATTGAAGCAGCCTGGGACCCCTAGTGGAGAAGCAGTGTAGTACGCGGCTCAAATCTCTGGCTGTGAAATCTGGCAGGCCTGATGCCAGTCTTGAAGCTGTGTGATCTTGGGAAAGTCCTTGTGTCTCAATTCCTCTTCTGTGAAGTAGGGACAACAATACCTACTTTGCAGGCATGTTATGGAATTAAATGAGATAATGTATACCAATCACGATGCCTCTTGATAAACAGTATTATTTATGTCCTCAATTTCACTGGTCTCTATTACCAGTTAGGTCGGTTCTGGTAAAAGATCAATAAAATATGCTGTACCACAGTATCTGATGATGCAGCTGCAACAAAGTGACACAATGTCCTTTAAGCAAAATGACCCTGTTAACACCTTCTTCTCCAAATATTTCCTATCAAGCTCTTCAGTATTACAAGATCAGGATCCAGAAGCAGCGATTCCTGAGTCTCCACTAAAAAAGTCTGTTCCCATTCACACTGCCTTTTGCCCATACCATTTGGAGTTAAAAAATATCCTCCGCTATGAAATTAAACAAATTAACTGCTCAAAGGACCTCACTAATCTAAATTACCATCATCCTTTGAAGCAAGAAGGGGAAGACCCCAAGTCCAATGCAGAAGAGTCATTTCAGTGTTTTATTGTTCTCTTGTCTTGGGCTGTAAGATCAGTAATCCTACTGAAATGAGAAGTGAAAATAGTGAATTTCCAAACTCAGGGTCCTCCTCTATGGGTTTCAGACATCAGTCGGTGTTTCTATCAAAACACTCTTGCAAACTTGCCCACTGGGAAGTTATCCCCAACTAAAATTACCCTTAGGCTTTCTCTCTTCTCTTAACCAATTCTACCGAATATACTTATAAGAGAAAGGTTTTATGCATACCTTGAAATTAGGCCTAATTCATAATTATGGTAGAATCCTAGTTCCTTTGAAGCAAATGTAGTTTTATTGACTTTAGAATAGCAGAACTAAGGCAATGAAATGGCATTTCATGTTAAGATTGGTGGAATTGTAAGAGCATTAGACCACTAGATGATATAAAAGTGATAAAAAGTCAAACCTCTGCTTCAAATAGGCATGCTGAGTTACCCGGAAAATACAATAAGCCTCAGTACCTTCATCTATATGTAGAAATTCTCTTGCTATATCTTTTTGTCAGTCACATAGGACTAAAGTGGGTGTATAAGGATAAAAGAGACTATCAAGGAGCATGCTTGAATGAGGCAGATTTCTGAATACTGATCCAAGGCTGGCATTTCAGCAAACTTCCCTCTGAGTTGCAGATGCAAGCTGTGAGACATTGCTGAATTGCCAAGAACAAAGAGGAAGTTTTCAGAAATTGTGTGGAGCAGAAAAGGAAAAAATAATGTGAAGGATGACACTAGAGAGGGCCCTTTAGAGACAAAAAAGAAAGATACATAATGGGGAATTAAATTATGTTTCTGTGAGTGTGGTTTTAAAGAGAATTTTCTCCTTACTACATCTTAAACAAAACAATCTATTGCTGTGGGTGGGTTATGAATGTTCATTTATTTTGTCTTTGTGATAGTGAGACAATTGGTGACTCAACATAAACAGATCAACCAAAAAGACCTACACATGTGCATACCACAGTATAGATGGAAAGTGCATTAAAGTGGGTGGGAGGCAGGAACTGAGAGTTCTAGTTCACATTTTAAAAACTGGGCATAGTCAATGACTCTAGGTCATGGTTTTCCTTTTCATATCATGGGATCTGCTTCTTTAATATGCAGACATCTTCTGATCCAAAGTAAATGTTTTGGAAAAAGCCTTGAGAAGGAAATAGTAATATTAGCATAAGAATTAGACCCAGAACATATGATAGCACCCAGTTTACTGGCAATCACAGCCTCATCCTAAAGATGGCCTGTTCTAATGAAAATCTGAAAATTCCCTGAGTCATGCAGGTTGTACAGTTGCCAAAACAACTTTTCAGAAAGAGTAGCCATGGAAACAGCACACCAGATTGTCTCAAGGGGTGTATAAAAACATCTAAAAACTGACAGTCAGAAAGAGCACTTTGCAAACACTGGGAGAGGTAAGAGGCTATACTCGCGGGGAAAACAAAGGCCTTTTAACTGTTACTGCTGCTCTGAAAGGTGTAAACATACGGTCTAAAGGCAAGAATCCTGAGCCCAGAGCAGGCTCTGTGGTGACTAACTTCCCAGCTGACATCTGCTAAGTAAAGATCTGATGGCAGAAAATCTTTAGCCTGAGTTTATCAACAGTAACATCTCAGAGAGCTTCCATGATATGCAATGCTCTACTGCCGTTAAATCTGTGATTTGATGGTTAATCTCTTCATCCATTAAGCCCCCAGGAAAGTATACCTCTGCACAGAATGAAGGAAACTGTTCCTAGAACTCTCATTGACATAAGTGAAACCACACTGTTCTCCTTATTACACAGTTACTGAAATCAAAAGAAGTTTATGCATATGTTTATTTGCTTTAATTACATAGGTAACACATGGATTAATTCTTGTGAAAACATTTAAACTATACAGAGTTCAGGGCAAATAGTTCCCTTCTCACCTCGTAATCCCCTTGCCCTGTAAGAGGCAAACTTGGTTACCAGTTTTGTGCACAACATTTTAGTCCTTTCTCTACATGTTTCTACAGTTTGTGTTTGGTTTGAGGTTTACTATTTAATACATGGGTATGTTTTCACCTTCAATATACTTTTTCTCCAACTTAAGTGTATATTTTGAATGTCTTTCCACTTGTGTCCATCTACCTTCAGATATATTGTTCTAAAATTTGCATCAAAACATGTAACAGTTTCCTGAGAAAAAGTACTTTCCTTTCCTAAGCACAGATCCAGAAATAGCCAGGAATAGGAGAGAGAAGAGGCTTTAACATAAAAACAATTCATATTCCATCTCTGCTAGTTAATATTTAGTTGAATTTGGGCAAATTACATATACTTTATAGACCTTAATTTCTGTTTAAGAAGAAGGACAGATAATAAATTTACAATGAATAAGAATAACATAGAACCTCATCCACCATATTGTCTGGCACAAAATATGTTCAAAGTATATGTTAGTTGTCTTTGCTTTGTAAAAATTTATACGAGGGAGTAATATTCTAAAATAGATAGGTACAAGAGTTGGTGATAGTTGGCACATAGTTGGTGTTCAACACATTTTGTTATGGAATAAATGAATGAAGGTGTAGCTCCTGTGTAGCAGATACATGGATCTTCAGAATCATATCAATTCTGATTCTATTGTAATTGTCTTACATCCATTGGATGGGAGTTCTTTGAGAAAAGGACACAGATTAGACTTAACCCTGTAACCTAGATTATGGAAAACCTTGGTCACAGTTTCATATGATCAACACACAAAATACTTTTCAAACAAATAAATGATATATTGTCTCCCAACTGAAGCACTTATTTGACCACAACAAAGAGGTTTCCACTTTTTCCCATCCTTCATTTGCCATTTTTGTTATTGTCTTATCAATCTGATTAAATTATATCTCACTAAATGGAAGAATTCCAGGCCCATATCAGAAGGGCAATAAAAATTTGTTGAACAAATTGTAGCCCTATTGGAAACCCAGGTTTTCAGCCTTTGGGAAGGATAGTATTAAAATTAAAAATAAATTCAACATTGACAGCCATGCGTCTCATCTTTTCTCAAAATCTTATACTCACAGCACATGCTATTTCTCTGTTCCATTCCAGGTAGTTCTTTACCACCACTCTGCTTCTGCTCTTTCTCTTCTTCCTTACATACATTGCCTCCTGAATTGCTCCATGACTTAAAAAGAACAATATCTACTATCTAGAAGACATAAAACAATGTATAATTTGGATATTAATGGCACAACCACTTCCTTCTAGAAATTAAGGGTCCCCACAGCATACTGGTTAACATATCACTGTCCTACTATTTCATGCATATAACCTGACTCCTGTCTATCTGTCCAAAGTCATTTCAATCCATCTTTTCCTTTATGCACTAGCCTTGCTCCAATCTGACCTTCTTGCTATTTCTCAAACTCTTGTATACTTTGAGGCCTTTGCATGTGTAGTTTCCTCTGCTGGAATGCCCCTATTTCTCCTTAATATAGGCTCCTGGGCATCATTCAGGCCTCAGCATAAATGTCATATCCTCTGAAAATACTACCACCCTATCAAAGTTCTACACTCCCATTATCTCTAATCCTACTTTCTTTGTTGTTTTTTTAAACTACAGATGACAGTTTAATTTTTTTTGTTTATTCATTTATTGTTTGCCTGCTTCATTAATGTTTCAGCTTCCCAAAAGCATGTCCTATGTCTGTTTCCTTTAATATTTGAATATATAGCAACTAGTCTGAGTTTTGGCATAAAGTTGGTACTCATATTGTTGAATGAATAAGTCAATAAAGAAAGACGGAATGTTCTATTAACTTTTCTGGATTTAAATTTACAGTTTCTTGGATACAACATTTAACAGAGATTTTAGTTTCTAGTGATCATAATTGAGATTTGGCTGCTTTGAATCCTTGTATATTATGTTTTACAATAACAAAACATTCATTTATTTCCCATTTTTTCAAGTAAGCAGAGTGTTACTCTCTATTGATAAGGGAAGGTGTTTACATTTAACCAAAGGTGTTAACAGTATGTGGTCAGTTATCAGAACCTGCTAAAAAAAACTAATGTGTAAGAAACGCTAAATAATTTTTCCAAGCCAACAATTTTATTATTAGGCACACTATCTTTCCATGCTAGATATGTAGCAATTCCAGTATTTGGTATCATTTTAAAGAGATAGCTGATATTTTATTTCTGGCATTAAAGCAGAACCTTGCAAAATACGGAACTGACACAATCAATATTTTAAATGCACGCACTCAGAATAACAAGGCCTCATTTATATTCACTTCTCCAAAGTTTCGGTAAAGCAGAAAATAATAAGTATTAATGAGAGCTTATTAAAGGTACAACATTAAATTATCATGGGTAAAGGATTAGATTCTATTTCTTCAAAGTTTCTTTCTTCTTGCCAAGAGCTCCTAATTACTTTGAGTTCAAAAACCATTCCATCTGCATCAACATTTCCCTGATGGTATTCCTATTTTCAACATACGATTTGAAATTACTTATTAAGAAGTTGTTTAGAGAAGTAAAATGCAATCTCTATCACAGTATAAGTAAACATCTCTTAAGAATTTTTAGTCACTGAAAATTTTTTTAAAACCATAGGTTTGTAAGAATGCAATATGATTACTACATATCAGCATAAGAATGTATTCTGCAATCAAAAAGAGGAGTGTTCCTGATTAGCAGAAAACTTTACTGATATACCCAACCTTCTGCTCATTATCCCCAGAACTTGAAACCGGAATGCCACCGGATCCATTTGGGAAAGTATTTTACTGAGGAAAGGGAAACAGGATGCTACCAAACTGCTAGAGAGAACAATTGTTAGGATAATAATAATAATAATACTTCTCAGTGCATGCAGTGTGCTAACTAATTTACATGCTTTGTTTAACTTAATCCTCACCACAGTAGGAACAATTATTATGCCAATCTATGACCAAGACAACGAAGGCCATGTGTGGCCAATATGTGCCTCTCAATATTTGCCAGTCAAGTCAGTAGTTTACTGTATCCACCTGTAGCCTTGCCTGGCAGATATTGAGAGGCAAGCATTGGCCACGCATGGAAGTGGGGTGAGGGAAGTGTCTGGGAGAAAAAGAAGCTGTCTCAAATCTCCCTTACTCTGCTGAGGAAGACAGGACTCATGAGGCCATGCCACAGGAAGGAGGGAGCAGTTCCAAAGACATGTGGTCTTTTAGATGAGAAGACAAACGAAAGTACTTGAGGAATTGTAGCAGGAGGAGCCACAGACAAAACCTCCCAGACACCGAGTTGTAGAAGGAGGGCTTTATTCAGCTGGGAGCATCGGCAAGCTACTGCCTTAAAATCCGAGCTCCCTGAGTGCACAATCTCTGTCCCTTTTAAGGGCTCACAACACTAAAGATTTCACATGAAAGGGTCGTGATTGATTTGAGCAAGCAGGGGGGACGTGACAGGGGCTGCATGCACCGGTGGTCAGAGAGAGACAGAACAGAGCAGGGAGTTTCACAATGTTCTTCTATACAATGTCTGGAATCTATGAATAACATTGGTTTCTAAGTCATGAGTTGATTTTTAACTACTGGGTTTAGGCCAGGCAGGCCCAGGCCTGCTTTCGGGCCTGGCGCCGGGCTGCCTGTCTTTGGTTTTACTTCCTTGTTGTTTTTTCTTGAAACAGGTACTGAGTATAAAACAATATAAAATAATATGAGAGGGTCTTTCTCTTCCTTCAGAATAGGAGAAAGATGGTGGACCCCTTGATATTGAGAAAGGTATCCCACCTGAATGTTTAGTATGTGGAAATAGAAGGGGCAGATGAAAAACAAAAAGGGAAGGGCGATTTATACCGTCATCTCGCAATATTGGAAATCAACAGATATCATCTGTCTTAGTTTCTTAGGGCTGCCATAACAGAGGCCACAGGCTAGGTGGCTTAAACAGCTGGAATATATTGTTTCACAGTTCTGGACACTAGAAGTCTGAAATCAATGTGCTGGCAGGGTTGGTTTCTTTGGAGGGCTATGAGAAAATGATCAGTTCTGGGCTACTCTCCATGGCTTGTAGATGGGCATCTTCTCCCCATGTCTTCACATCATCTTCCCTCTGTACAAGACTGTACAAGACAAATGTCCCCTTCTTATAAGGATAGAGATACATTGGATCAGGGCCCACCCTAAAAATATCACTTTACACTTGATTACCTGTGTAAAGACCTCAAATACAGTCACATTCTGAGGTTCTAGGGGTTAGGAGGACTTCAATATATAAATTTGGTGGCGGGGGGATACAATTCAACCCACAACATTATTTGTAATTGAAGGAACAAAAAATAAAGGTGATAAGTATATATTTTTGTAATTGCAAAAGCAACTGAAAACAGTCATGTAAGTGTACTCGGAAGATGACTGGGGAGCGTATAAGTGAGTCTTCTGTGATAGAGTAGGATCTAACAGCAGACAGTCAAGAGACAACACCTGAAATTGACATATTCAAAAAAGTTTATTATTTAGAGATAAGTGGCATCCTCCAGAAAATAAAAAGCTCATTTAAAATTAAAAGCAGTGTTCTTAGACTTCTTATACCTTAGGGAAGGTACAAATGGGTGGGAGATCCAGAGGCTTTTAGCTTTTAGCTGTAAGCACTGCTGAACTATTTAACTTGAAAATTTTAAGTAATAACTTAAAATAACCAAATATGGTAATTGATTGAACATTAACTTAGTTGATGACCTGGCCCTGGCCCAGAATTGAGAATCAAGTATGAATGCAAATATTGGATAATCCTTTACAGAAAAGACATTTTGGCAAATGGTTTCCATTCAGGGAATATTGTAATAGAAAAAGAGGAGGGCTGGGGAGAAAAAATTCCTAGGGCTGCATTCAAACATTATAAACATAGCACTGAAGGAAAAAATTTAAGAGTTTTTTTTTTAAGTTTACATTAAGCATTGAAAATTGTGTAGCAAAGATATCGAATTAACCTAGGTGCCCATCAATGGTGGATTGGATGAAGAAAGTGTGGAATTTTTACACCGTGGAATACTACACAAGTATAAAAAAGGAGGAACTCATCCCCTTCAGAAACATGGAAGCAGCTGGAGGCATTATCCTAAGTGAATTAACAAAGGAACAGAAAACCAAATACCATGTTTTCACTTATAGGTGGGAGCTAAACATTGAGCATGTATGGACATAAAGATGGAAAAAATTGAACACTGGGAACTACAGAGCAGGGAAGGAAGGAAGAAAGGGCTGAAAAACTACCTTTTGGGTACTATGCTCACTACCTGGGTAATGATATCAATTTGGCACCCCAAACCTCAGTGCCACACAATATACCCATGTAACAAACCTGCACATTTTATTTTTCAAAATAAAAATTGGAAAAAAAAAAAGAAGAGGAAGTTATGGATGTAAACTGTTACGGCCTATACTCATATCCACTGTGAACTTTCCTCTCATCCAAAGAGCTCAGTCAAGCCTTTCCAGATTATTCAGATGATTAGGGTTCCTTGGGTCTGACAAAGGTCATTTTTTATTTGTGTCTTTACTTACAGAGTAGAGAGATCTTGAGAACGGCCAGCAGCCTCTTGCAGGTCTTTGCAACCTTTTCACTTTGAAGTATATTTGTAAAAGCCTGATTTTGCTACTACAAATCTGGGAGACTTGGAGAAAGGGAGAGGTAAAGCCCTCCCTTTCCTGCTGAGAATGATTCTATAGGAAAGCGACTGGGGACAGACTATACTGGCATGTCCATGCCTCTGCCCAACCTCTTTCCTTGTCTTGGATGCTCTTTGATTGCTGGAGGAACCTCCTTTAGACTGAGCTCACTGCCATGGAGCTTTCCCCAGACCCCAGCCGAGCTAAGGGCTGTGGTCCTTTTGCCCACTGTGCACACATGCATCCTAACCCTTTTTATTTTGTATTCTTACTCTCATCCTCACCATCAACAACCACCATGAGATTTTGAGTTGCTTGAATAGCATTCAGGAAAAGTTTGTTGAATGGAAGTTTAGCAGTAGTAGGTCTTTGAAAATAAAAACTTGACTAGAATGACAAAAGGAATGGCAAGTTCTAGAAACAGATATATGAGACCCAGCACTAGTGGTTTCTATCTTGATTCTAAAGTGAATTCTGAGAAGCATTCTGATTGGAAATATAAGAGAAAAAAGATAAAATAGGGGAGGCAGATGTTCAGAGTTATAGATAGGAGTCTTTCTTGATTTAGTGACTGAGTAGAAAATAATAATGGTTAAGTCTTACTGTACTATGTGTGAAGTTATTTAATAATCACTATAACTTATGCTGTCAGTACTATAATTGTTGTCAGCATATTTTCTTTTACAATTATTTTTATTTCAACTTTTATTTTAGGTCCAGGGGTTACACGTGCAGATTTGTTACAGGGGTATATTGCAAGATGCTGAGGTTTGGGATACAACTGATCCCATCACTCAAGTAGTGAGCACAGTACATATTAGTTTTTCAACCCTTGACCCCTCCTTCCCTCTCCCCTCTTGTAGCCTCCAGTGTCCATTATTTGCATCTTTTGTGTCCATGTGTGGCCAAGGTTTAATTCCCACTTATAAGTGAACATGTGTTATTGGAATTTCTGTTTCTGTATTAAGTTGCTTAGGATAACGGCCTCCAGATGCACCCAAGTTGCTGCAAAGGGCATTGTTGCACTTTATGCTATACTGTACTATTGGCTGTGTAGGATTCCATAGTGTATATGTACCATATTTTCCTTATCCAATCAACCATTGATAGGCAGCCAGGTTGACTCCATGACTTTGCTCTTGGCTATCAACATTTTATAAAGGAGGAAAGGACAGGTAACTTGCCCATGCAACCACAGTTAGTGTGCAGTAGGGCCAGGAATCAAACCCTGGGAGGCTGACATCACCACAGAACTAGCAGTCACCATATTATATGCTATGTTAGATTTAAGGAAGAGACTGAGAGACGAAAGAAGGATAATTTTCTTGTTTTTAGTATGAGTAAATAGGGAGTGCTTTTATTCAACTGAGAAGAAATTTACTTTCATTTTGTCTTGCCTCTCATTGTTCGTGGTGGGACAGAAGGACCCAAGAGATGAAGTAACTTGCCTGAGGTCACATAAGGAGGTTTCACTGTGTAATAAATAGCAGAATTTTCATCAGTATGCCAGTTGTCTGCAACCTATGTTCATTGCAGTACTATTCACACTAGCTGAGGTATGAAATCAGCCTAAGCACTCAGCAACAGATGAATGGAAAAGAATGGCATATATACACAATGGAATATTATTCAGCCATAAAAAAGAATGAACTCCCGTCACTTGTGGCAAAATGGGTGAGCCTGCAGCACATTATGTTAAGTGAAATAAGCCAGATACAGAAAAATAAATACAGCATGTTCTCATTCATATGTGGGAAGTAAAAAAGTTGATCTGATAGAAGTAGAAAGTAGAATAGTGGTTACCAGAGAAGGGTAAGAAGGCATATAAAGAGGTTGGTTAATAAGTAGAAAATTATAGTTGTATAGAAGGAATAATTCTAGTATTCAATAGCACAGTAGGGATTATAGTTAAAAAAATGTATTCTCTATTTCAATAGCTAGAAGAAATTATTTTGATGTTCCCAACACAAAGAAATGATAAATGTTTGAGGTAATTGATAGGCCAATGATAAATGTTTGAGGTAATGGGTATGCCCTGATTTGATCATTATACATTGTATATCTGCATCAAAAGAACACATATACCCCATAAATATGCATAACTATGTATCAGATAAACATTTAAAAATTAAAAATAGAAAAAGGCAGAGATTTCAGCTCATGAGAACAAATTTAAGGCTTAGCTCTATCTATGTACTAGCCTGAAGCTATTTCTTACCTTCGTATCTCAGCTATGGTCATGTGAGAATTGAAATTCTGATATCTACTTCTAGAAGAGAATTTATAGAAGAGAAGGTGAGAGTACAGTTTAAGCTTCAGGGTTCCTCACTTGCATAGGCCCCCTGCAAAGCTCTATACCTAATTTTCTATTCATAATTTTATCATTTTTCCCCAGAAGGTCCCAGAGATGTATAAGCTTCACGGAAAGATGAGGTGTGCCTTGGATCTATTTCACTTTAGTATTTACAATGGCTTTGTTTATAAACCTGGGGCTAAAATCAAGGTTTCCTGACATCTAAGCCAGAGTTCTCTCCCCTTCACAACAACGAATGCTTTTTTCCTTCCATTTCCAAATTCCTGGACCTTTTCTCATTATCTCTTCCTTTTCATCCCTGTCTATCATTGATGTCCAGACACCCCCAACACCCTCACTGGTAGTGCTGTAAGACTTTAAAATGTATCCTCTCACCCTACTCACCTCTGAAAATAACTACAGGTAGAATCAAAATACCATTCTCTTGGTTACATTTTCTTAATTTTAAATGTTTTTATAAACAAACAAGTGAAGGACAAGTAAATGCTGCAAAGTTGTAACTCTCATCTTTCCAGAGGGCATTTGCATTCTAAGAGAGTCTATTTATTAAGGCAAAGGAAGGAAAAAACAAAGTAGAACTTGCTCCTGTTGGGCTGGCTCCTGACTTCTTGGAAAAGTGGGTTCTACTATGATCCTATTTGGAATCCTGAGGGTGGTAGTCCAGCCCCATGAAGGTTGGTAGAAAGAACTTGAGGAAGCGAGATTGTGGTACCTAAAACTGATTTTCTCCAAAAATCTCAATCTTGAAAAAATGTTTAATCAAGATTGTTAAAATGAAAAATGAAATTACAGACTGTGATGGTTAATATTGGGTGTTAACTTGATTGGATTGAAGGACGCAAAGTATTGTTCCTGGGTGTGTCCATGACAGTGTTGCCAAAGGAGATTAACATTTGAGTTGGTTGAATGGGAAAGGCAGACCCACCCTTAATCTGGGTGGGCACAACCTAATGAGCTGCCAGCGAGGTCAGAATAAAAGCAGGCTGAACATGAAAAGACTAGACTGGCTTAGCCTCCCAGCCTGCATCTTTCTCCCATGCTGGATACTTCCTGCCCTTGAACATCAGACTCCAAGTTCTTCAGCTTTGGGACTCTTGGACCTTCGACCGCAGACTGAATCCTGCACTGTCAGCTTCCCTACTTTTGAGGTTTTGGTACTCAGACTGGCTTTCTTGCTTCTCAGCTTGCACAGAGCCTATTGTGGGACCTCACCTTGTGATTGTGCGTGTCAATACTCCTTAATAAACTCCGCTTTACATATATGTATTAGTTCATTTTCATGCTGCTGATAAAGGCATACCCAAAAGCGGGAACAAAAAGAGGTTTGATTGGACTTACAGTTCTGCATGGCTGGGGAGGCCTCAGAATAATGACAGGAGGTGAAAGGCACTTCTTACATGGCCACGACAATTGAAAAATGAGAAAAAAGCAAAAGCGGAAACCCCTGATAAACCCATCAGATCTCGTGAGACTTATTCACTATCACGAGAATTGCACGGGAAGACTGGCCCCCAAGATTCAATTAACTCCCGCTGGGTCCCTCCCATGACACGTGGGAATTGTGGGAGCACAATTCAAGTTGATATTTGGGTGGGGACACAGTCAAACCGTACCAATATACATCTATCCTATAAGTTCTGTCCCTTTAGAGAATCCTGACTAATACATGGGCTATGTTAGTTTTGTTTTTCGTAATGCCTCAGTTGACTTCAACTGGAGTTAAAAGTTTACACCTTGAAAATATTTGCATATTTCACAAGTATAAATTCAACTCTGGATGCCATGAAGCAGAATGGAGTCTTGCTCTGTCACCCAGGCTGGAGTGCAGTGGCGCAATCTCGGTTCACTGCGAACTCCACCTCCTGGGTTCATGCCATTCTCCTGCCTCAGCCTCCCGAGTAGCTAGGATTATAGGTGCCCACCACCACGCCTGGCTAATTTTTTTGTAGTTTTAGTAGAGACGGGGTTTCACCATGTTAGCCAGGATGGTCTCAATCACCTGACCTCATGATCTGCCCACCTCGGCCTCCCAAAGTGCTGGGATTACAGGTGTGAGCCACCATGCCTGGCCTCCTTATTTTTTAAAATTCATTTTTAATTAATTGTTTTTAAAAATTCAACTTTAAGTTCTGGGATACATGTGCTGAATGTGCAGGTTTGTTACATAGGTATACATGTGCCATGGTGGTTTGCTGCACCCATCAACCTCTCATCTAGGTTTTAAGTTCCATGTGCATTAGGCACATGCCACCATGTCTGGCTAATTTTGATATTTTTAGTAGAGACGGGGTTTTGCCATGTTGGCCAGGCCAGTCTTGAACTCCTGGCCTCAAGTGATCCACCCAGCTTGCCCTCCCAAAATGCTGAGATTACAGGTGTGAGCCACCATGCCTGGACTATCTTCTTATTACTAAAGAAGAAAATAAGGTCAGGCACAGTTGCTCACACCTTCAATCCCAGCATTTTGGGAGGTCGAGGTGGGCAGATGGCTTGAGCTCAGGAGTTCAAGACCAGCCTGGGCAACATGGCAAAACCCCATCTCTACAAAAAATACAAAAATTAGCTCAGCATAGTGGCACAAGCCTGTAGTCCCAGTTACCTGGGAGGCTGTGGTGGGAAGATCGCTTGAGCTCAGGAGGCGGAGGTTGCAGTGATCCAAGATCATGCCATGGCACTTCAGCCTGGGTGACAGAGTGAGACCTTGTCAAAAAAAAAAAAAAAGAAGAAGAAAGAAAGAGAAAGAGAGACAGAGAAGAAAGAAAGAAAGAAAGAAAAAGAAAGAAAGAGAGAGAGAGAGAGAGGGAGGGAGGGAGGGAAGGAAGGGAGAAAGGAAATTCCTTTTGAGTTTTAATCATCATCAAGGATGCTTTCTTGAATATAAATTTTTCACAGATAGTTAAAATCTCTTTTCCCATAATGCCAACACAGCACAAATAGTCTCAAAGTATCTTAATTATTTATATTAATTATTCAAATGTGTTTAGCTCCTAAATAATAATTTACCAAGTATTAGAACAGTTGCTTTGGATTTTCTGCTGCATGTAAATTAGTTATGAATGACTTAATTCCAACTCATTTAACTTCAAGGTGATACTCATAAAGAGTGTCGAGAAGTTTTAAGAAGAACAAAATTTAAGAAACATTCTTGCTGCAGAGAAGATGGGTGCCTAACTAAGAATAGCACCATGCAGACTTAAAGTGGAGTGCTAATAAGAACCTGTGCTAGATGCTTGCTGGCTGTTTGATGCTCCAGAGCAAAAAAACATGTTATCATCAGAGATTCATCTTTGTTCTCACATCTTGGAGTACAAAGACCAAAATGGACCTATGGCCCTCACCTCTCATCAGTGACAACTTCAGGCCCTACTAACATGTGGGGAGGCAGAAAATTTTTGTGTATAGCCCAGTAGATTTTTTTGTTTCAGTTTCAGCCACAAGCCATCTGGCTGGGAGTCTGACCAGAATACAAAGAGAACCCTTTTTTGACCAATCAAACTGTAATACACAAATGAACTCTGGCATTCAGAGATTTCACCTCAAGTCCTCAAATGGGGAAGTCATTACTCTTCTGAATCCCCACCCCTATTCCCAGAGGCATGTGACCTCAATCACAAAAGGTAAGACAGTCTCTCTCCTGTAATCCAGAACCACCACCAACTAGACCAATATTTTTTTAAATGTAAATCTTATTCTATTACTGCTCTCCTTAAAAATCTACTTTGTGCTTAGAATAAAATTTAAACTCCTTCACTGTGTCATAAATCCCTTCCTTAATCAGGCATCTCCAATTCCAATTCCCACCTCTTCTCATCCCACTCACTTCCTTACTTATCATGTTCCAGCTTCATTAGCCTTCTTCTCTACTGTAGAATCAAGCTCTTTCCTTCCCAAGGGTCTTTGTATGGCCACATTCCTTGGTCTGGCATCTACTTTCCCCAGCTTTCCACAGTGCGGCCTGCTCTATCCAGCTTATCTGATCTATTCTCTCTGCCCCATCCCACTAGTCTCCTTATCGTCGTGGCACTTCCTTTCCTGGCATCCACCTCCTATTCCTCACAAACTAAAATTATTTTGTTTATTTGATTTGTTCATTTTTATTGTCCAATCCCCTTTAGGGTTCTCATTAGCACAATGGAAGTGTTCAAAAGTTTTTGTTGAATGAATTAGTTAGTAAACAAAAGAACAATTGCAAATGGAGAGAAAAGAAAGTAGAGCTTCAGTGAGGGACGTGGGGAAAGTTAGCTTTATCCCAAGAAAACTGTAATATGGGGAAAGTTAGCATTATCTCAAGAAAACTGTAATATTGACATGATGACAAAAAAATGCGTTATGAAATTAGAAAATAAATATACAGGACCAGAGAGGAAGCAGACCAAGATGGCCAAATAGAAGCCTCCAGTGATCATCCCCCTGACCCCACTGCAGGAACACTAAACTGAACAACTATTCACAAAGAAAGCGCACCTTCATAAGAACCAAAATCAGATAAGCAATCACAGTAGCTGGCTTTAACAATATATCAGAGAAAGAGGCACTGAAAGAGGTTGAAAAGCCAGTCTTGAATTCCTGACACCACCCCCTCCTGCATCCCTGGCAGCAGCTGTGTGTTGCAGAGAGGGAATGTGCACTTGGGAGAGAGAGCACACAGTGATTCTGAGACTTTGCATTGGAACTTAGTGCTGCCCTGTCACAGCAGAAAGCAATATAGGGCAGAATTCACCCTGTACCCAAAGAGGGAGCATTTAGACCAGCCATAGTCAGAGGGAAATCCACTATCCCAGCAGCTGGAACTTGAAATTTGGCTAGCCGTACCACTACTGGCTAAAGCACTCTGGGTTCCTAAATAAATCTTAAAAGCAGCCTAGGCCACAAGGACTGCAATTCCTGGGCAAGTCCTGGTGCTGTGCTGGGCTAGAGTCAGTGGACTTGGGTTGCATGCAACCTAGTGAGACATCAGCCAGAGCAGCTAAGGGAGTGCTTGCACCACCCCAACCTCAGACAGAATAGCTTGCAGCTCCAGCAGAGATTCTTCCCTCTGCCTAAGGAGAGGAGAAGGAAGAATAAAGAGTACTTTGTCTTGCAACTTGGACACCAGCTCAGCCACAGTAGAACAGAGTACCAGGCAGAGTCCTGAAGACCCCATTTCAGGCACTAGCTTCTGAACAACATTTCGAGACACTTTCGGGGCCAGAAGGGAACCCGCTGCCTTGAAGGGAAGGACTGAATCCTGCAGGATTTATCACCTGCTGACTGAAGAGCCCTTGGGCCTTGAATAAGCATCAGAGGTACCCAGGCAGTACTTGCCTTGGGACTTGGGTGAGACCCAGGATTGTCCTGGCTTCAGGTGTGACCCAGCACATACCCAGCTGTGGTGGTTTTGGGGAGAGATATCTTCTGCTCAAGGAAAGGAGAGGGAAGAGTAAAGGGGATTTTGTTTTGCAGCTTGGGCACCAGCTCAGCCACAGTGGGGTAGACAACCAAGCAAGTTCTTGGGGTCACTGATTCTAGATTTTGGCTCCTGGACAGTATTTCTGGGCCCATCCCAGTCCAGAGGGCCTGCCCTAGGATGTCCTGAAGAGAGATACCCAGGCCACACAGCATTCCACACAAGCCAACTAAAGAGCCCTTGGCCCTTGAGTGAACATCATGAGTAGCCAGGCTGTAGTCACCTCAGGCCTGGGGCAGTGGTGGCCATAGAGAGAGAGTCCTTTTGCTTGAGGAAAGGGGAAGGAAGACTGGAAGGGACTTTGTCTTGCAGCATGGGTGCCAGCTAAGCCACTATAGAACAGAGTGCCTAGTAGATTCCTAAGGTTTCTGACTCCAAGCCCTTGCTCCTTCATACCATTTTAGGACCTACCCTGGGCTGAAGGGGAGCTCACCTTCCTGAAGGATAGGACACAAGCCTGGCTGGATTCACCACCTGCTGACTGAAGAGCCTTTGGGCCTTGAGTGAACCTCGGCAGTAACCAAGCAATGGTCACAGTGGGCCTTGTGCAAGACCCAGAGCTATGCTGGCTTTGGGCCTGGACCCAGTGCATTTCCAGGGGTGGTGGACACAGGGGTGCTTGTGTCACCCTTCCCCTACCTAGCTCCATGCAGCTCAGTATGGAAAGAGACACTGTTTGTTTGGGAGAAAGTAAGTGAAGAGAACAAGAGTCTCTGTCTGGTAATTCAGGAAATTCTCCCAGAAGTTTCAAAAGACCACCAATGTGGCAACACAGCATTACTGGACTTGGGGTGACCCCTAGTGTGGATATGGCAGTGACCAAAGATTTATATCATAACACTCAATTCTCTTTGAATACTTGGAAGACCTTCCCAAGAAGATTGGATACAAATAAGACAAGACTGCAAAGACTGCAGTTAATACATAACTCTTCAATGCTTGGGCATTGACAAATACTCACAAGCACCAGTACCATCCAGGAAAACATGAGCTCCCCAAACAAACTACACGAGGCACCAGTGACCAATGCCAGAGTGACAAATATGTGACCTTTCCAACAGAGAATTCAAAATAGCTGTTTTGAGGAGGCTCAACCAAATTCAAGATAACACAGAGAAGAAATTCAGAATCTTATCAGATACATTTTTACAGAGATTGAAATAGTTTTTTAAAATGGAACAGAAATTCTGAAGCTTAAAAATGCAATTGACATGCAGAAGAAAGCATCAGAGTCCTCCAACCATTGAATTGATCAAGGAGGAGAAAGAATTAGTGAACTTGAAGACAGGTATTTGAAAATACATAGAAGAGTCAACAGAGAAAAGAGTAAGAAAGAATGAAGCACACTGACAAGTTCTAAAAAATAACCTCAAAAGGGCAAATCTAAGGGTTATTGGCCTTAAAGAGAAGGTAGAGAAAGAGATAGAGGTAGAAGGTTTATTCAAAGGGATAATAACAGAGAACTTCCCTTATCTACAGAAATATATCAATATCCAAGTACAAGAAGGTTAGAGACCACCAAGATGATTTAACCCAAAGAACATTACCTCAAGGCATTTAATAATCAAACTCCCAAAGATCAAGGATTAAAAAAGGACCATAAAACCAGCAAGAGAAAGGAAACAAATAGCATAGAAAAGATCTCTAATACATCTGGCAGCAGGCTTCTCAGTGGAAACCTTACAGGCCAGGAGAGAATGGCATGACACATTTAAAATGGTGAAGGGAAAAAAAAATTTTATCCTAGAATAGTACATACAGCAAGTATATCCTTCAAGATGGAAGGGAAATAAAGACTTTCTCAGAAAAACAAAAGCTGAGGGATTTAATCAACACCAGACCTGACCTACAGGAAATACAGGAGAGAATTCTTCAGAAAGGAAAGGATGTTAATGGGCAATAAGAAATCATCTGAAGGTACAAAACTCACTGGTAATTGTAAGTACACAGACAAATGGAATATTATAAACTATAATTATGGTGTGTAAATTACTCATATCTTGAGAAGAAAGACTAAAAGATAAACCTGTAAAAATATTAACTACAATAACTTTTCAAGACATAATATAATAAGATACAAATAAAAGCAACAAAGAGTTAAAACTCAGGGGGATGAAGTTGAAGTGTGGAGTTTCTATTACTTTTTCCTTTGCTTGTTGCCTGTTGTTTTTTGCAATCAGTGTTAAGTTATCATCAAACTAAAATAATGAGATACAAGATGTTATTTGCAAGCCTTATGCTAACCACAAATCAGAATACCTACATCAGATGTGCAAAAAAATAAAAAGCAAAAAATTAAAACATACCACTAGAAAAAAACACCTTCACAAAAAGGAATTCAAGAGGGAAGGAAGAGAAGAATAGAAAACAACAAAATGGCAGAAGTAATCTTTACTTATCAATAATAAACATTGAATTAAGTGGACTAAACTCTTCAAACAAAAAACATAGAGTGGCTGAATGGATTAAAAAATGAGACTCAACAATCTGTTTCCTATAAGAAACACACTTTACCTATAAAGACACACATAGACTAAAAATAAAGGGATGAAAAACTTCCATACAAATACTTAAGAAGGGATAAGGAGTAGCTATACTTATGTCAGACAAAATAGATTTCAAGACGAAAGCTATAAAAAGAGACAAAGAAGGTCATTATGTAATGATAAAGGGATCAATTCAGCAAGAGGATATAACACTTTAAGACATATATGCACCCAACACTGGAGCACCCAGATATAGAAAGCAAATATTATTACAGCAAAAAAGAAAGATATATCCCAATATAATAATAGGTGGAGACTTTAACACCCCATTGTCAGCACTGGGCAGATCATTCAGACAGAAAATTATCAAAGAAACATTGGACTTAATCTGCACTATAGAGCAAAACAGATCCAAGAGATATTTATAGAACGTGTCATCCAATCGCTGCAGAATAAACATTCATTTCCTCAGTGAATGGATTAGTGTCAAGGATAAACCACATGTTAGGTCACAAAACAAATCTTAAAACATTCCAAAAATTGAAATAATATCAAGCATCTTCTCTAACCACAATGGAATAAAACTGGAAATCAATAACAAGAGGAACTTTGGAAACTATAAGAATACATGGAGTTAAACAATATGCTTTTAAATAACCAGTGGGTCAATAAAGAAATTGAAAAGGAAATTGAAAAATTTCTTGAAACATATGATACAATAGCTACAAATAAGTTAGTTAAGACACCTAGGAATAAACTTAATTAAAGAAATGAAAGATCTCTGTAATGAAAACTATAAAATGGTGATGCAAGAAGTTGAAGACACCAAAAATGAAAAGATATTTTATGTTTATTGATTAGAAGAATCAATATTGTTTAAAATGACTACCAAAAGCAGTCCACAGTTTCAACGCAATCCTTGTCAAAATACCAATGGCATTCTTCACAGAAATAGAAAAACAATTCTAAAATTTGTATAGAACTGCAAAAGACCCAGAATAGCCAAAGCCATCCTGAGCAAAAACAAAAACAAAAACAAACAAACAAAAAACTGGAGGAATCACGTTACCTGACTTCAAATTATACTACAGAGCTATAGTAACCAAAACAGCATGGTGCTGGCACAAAAACAGACACATAGACCAGAGGAACACAATAGAGGACCCAGAAACAAATCCACACTCCTACAGTGAATTCATTTTCAACAAAGGTGACCAGAACACACAATGGAGAAAGGACAGTCTCTTCAATAAATTACATTGTGAAAACTGGATATCCATATGCAGAAGAATGAAATTAGACCCCTATCTCTCACCACATAAAAAAATCAAATCAAAATGGATCAAAGGCTTAAATCAAAGACCTCAAACTATGAAACTACTAACAGAAACACTGGAGAAACTCCCCAGGAGATTCGTCTGGGCAAAGATGTCTTAAGTAATGCCCTACAAACACAGGGAACCAAAGCATAAATGGACAAATGGGATCACATCATTGAAAAGCTTCTGCCCAGCAAAGCAAACAATCAACAAAGTAAAGACATAACCCACAAAAGGGGAGAAAATATTTGCAAAATATCGACCTGAAAAAGGGATTAACAACCAAAATATATAAGGAACCCAAACAATTCAATAGGAAATAATCTAATAACCCAATTTAAAAATGGGCAGAAGATCTGAAGAAAATTCTTCAAAAGAAGACATACAAATGGCAAACAGGCATATGAAAAGGTGCTCAACATCGTTTATCATCAGAGAAACGTAAATCAAAAGTACAGTAAGATATCATCTCACCCTAGTAAAAATGGCTTTTATCTATAAGGCAGGCAGTAATGAATGCCAGCTAGGATGTGGAGTAAAGAGAACTCTTGTACAGTGTTGCTGGGAATGTAAATTAGTACAGCCACTATGGAGAACAGTATGGAGGTTTCTGAAAAAAATTAAAGATAGAACTACCATGTGATCCAGAATTCCACTATTGGGTATTTTTCCAAATGAAACAAAATATGTCAAGGAGATTTCTGTACTCCCATGTTTATTGCAACACATTCACAATAGCCAAGATTCAGCAGCAACCTAAGTGTCCATCAACAAACGATAAATAAAATGCCGTGCAGATACACAATGGAGTACCATTCAGCCATTAAAAAAGAATGAGATTCTGTCATTTGCAACAACATGGATAGAACTGGAGGACATTGCATTAAGTGAAATAAGCCAAGCACAGAAAGACATGCTTTGCATGTTCTGATTCATTTGTGGGATCTGAAAATTAAAACAACTGAGCTCATGAAGATAGAGGTTACAACAATGGTTACCAGAGGCTTGGCAGGGTAGTGGGAGGTGGAGGGAGTGCAGATGGTTAATAGGTACAAAAATATAGTTAGCTAGAATGAATAAGATGTAGTATTTGATAGCACAACAGGGTAACTACAGTCAACAATAGCTCATTGTACATTTAAAAATAACTAAAATAGTATAACTGGAATGTTTATAACACAAATAAATGATATATACTTGAGGTAATGAGTACTTCATTTACCCTGATGTGATTATTATGCATTGTATGCCGGTATCAGAATATCTCACGTACCATGTACCCCAAAAATGTATGCAGCTACTATGTATCCATTAAAATTAAAAATAAAAAAGAATATTGAGAAAAAAATATATATAGGTCCATAACAACACAGAGAAATATTTCTTTTTACACATATCAAGTCTTTATATTCACTTCTTCTGAGTATTTGTTAAATATTTATTGAATAAATAAAAATGGACTTTAGAGTAGGTTCTCTGTAATGTTTTTCTAATAAATAAATCATTATATAATTTAGCTGGCCTGAGCCTTAAGATATACACTTATTCATTCTTTGTTTTCCTGTTTCTTAAAAATGTGATTTTAGTCTAAGACTAAATTTATTTATTTATTGAAATTATTGTGTGATGAAATACTGCATGTACTTCTGTGTTTTACTTAGTTTTGACTTTCAGCAAAGTGTAATGTGATAATTTATGCTTACAGGAGGAAAACAAAGTTAAATTTTATATTTTTTGAAAACTTCATTTTGTTCTTCTTCTTAAAGTAGCTTGGCCAAATGGCCCTTGTATTACTTACGACAGTTGAAACCGCTCCAACCAAGAGACATGAAATTCAGCTGCTAAAATAAAGTGAATGTTTATTCTTCTCTCATGTCATGGTCAAGAAGTAGGTGGTACAGCACTGGAAGGGGAAGGGAAGCTCTGCAATCTCCAAAACATCCAAAGCAGCTGCCCCAGTTCTCCTCATTATGAAGCCTGTGTCTTGAGTTAAACAAGCAAGAAAGACCCTATTCAAAACAACTGCAAGATAGAAGAAAAATTGTATTCAGAGTTATTAAAACGAAAGGCAGGAAAGTGTTGAAGTACTAGGGTGAGCTGGTGGAAAAGTCCTGGAGGATATTAGGGGGCAGATTGGTCCATGTGATTAGGCCATTTGTGTTTTCTAATTGGCACTTATGGAAGTTAGTCACCTACCCTCCCAGAGAGACTGAGAGATAGAGGCAATATCTTCCTTGAAGATGAAATTTCTAAGGGATGGGTCCCAGGTCCTTGAGAAAGACATCCCTGGGTTGGAAATCCAGCAAGAAGCTGGGAAACAATTTACATTTTAAAGGGGCAGGAAAATGATTCACAATTGCAAGTTTTCTAAAGCAAATGCTCTAAGAAAAGTCAAGAGCCTGTAATCAAGAAGAAACCTGCCTGAAATAGTCAGTCTGAGGGGAATGCTAAGCCTATCTTGGTCATTTGTAAGAAGGAACAATGGAATTAAGAGAACACACGTTTCTTCTTAGGAACACAAACAGGAGAAGCACACATTATTCCATTCATATCCCATTGGCCAGAACATAGTCACATATTTACACAAACCTTCATAGGAGGCTGGGAAAAGTAGTCTTAGGGCAGTCATGTGCCCATCTAAAACTGGCCTGAATTGGGATTCTTTCACAGGAACTTGCGAAAAACTCCACCCTTCACTTTTTTCCACCACTGAATCCTCCAACACCATAGAGTCTGCCAGGTGGTATGGCTTATGAGGTGGGGCTGTTTGCACACTGCTGCCTTGACCTGTCTCAGCCCTTTCTTGCTCCTGACTCCATTCAAAGCTAGCAGCCTTCTCTGGGTCAGAACAATATTCTTGGATATGGAATGTGTGGCCTCAAAACCCAAAACCCAAAACCCAGTGTATTCTTGCATTATCATAGGAAATGCAAGAAGTATTGATTTGTCTTTAATTTTGGAGGAAATATCCTAGCATACCCCTAATCTCTGGACCCCTAATCATTTTACTGAAATGGCGGGTCCCTGAATCTTCATGGAATTTTATCTTCTACTACCAGGAGCACACATGTCTTACAAGGCTTTCAGCATGCCCGCCACTTCTTGTTCCTCATGTGCAATCAGCATGATGTCATTGACATAATGGATTGATGTAATGTTCCAAGGGACTCTGACAGGCCTAATCTCCTAAGACTTATAGCACTGAGGGAAGGAGAGTTAGCAAAGCTCTGAAGTGAAAATCATAAGTGAATATATTTTGCCATATCTCACGAATGCAAACTGTTTCTGATCCTGTCATCTGACCAGAATACGAAAGAATGCATTCACTAAACCAATGGCCATAGGAAAGTGAGGCTTTATAAATCTGCTCTAGAAATGACACTACATCCAGCATAGCAGCTATGCTGCTACTACTTGTTTGAGCTCACAGTAGTCTATACTACAGTCATCCTCTAGAATCCATCCATTTCTGCAGGAGGCAACCTGGCAAATTTAACAGAGATGAGATAGGGACCACCAACCCTACATCTTTTAGATCTTTAATTATGGCATTACATTTGAGTATATATAATGAGGAAGAAAATGATGTATAGTAATTACAGGAAAAAAAAACCCCAATAAACTGCTGACTCATTCATCAGGGAGACAGAGTAATCTAGGGAAAAAGATAAAGGACAGAGAGCACAAGGTTTGAATATTTTAGCCACATGGCCTGATTACTCTCTGCATGACTCGCTATACATATTTAACTCTCTAAGTCCAAATTCCTCTATCTGTAAATAAGGTTGGTAATATTTTCCTTCAATCTGTCTTGTATGGAAGGCTATTAAGTAAACAGATGAATATAGAATGTTTCTTTAATAATGGTAGATATTCGGTGCTGTAAAAGCACATTCAACAGGCTACCAAATACTTTGAAAGGAAATATAAGCAATTCAGTAGAAGGGAAGTGTTGCTATAATAAAGATTTGCCCTGCTGGATATTGCCAAAGGATGAAATACCATCTGGAACTGTGTGGTCAGTCCAACCACTGAGAAATGTAAGGGGCAACATAAAACTTCCTCTTCGCCCTCTGAAGCTTCACTGAAAAATCAACTGACAGAAGGCAGATTAATAGGAGAAATTGCATACAAATTTATTGACATGAACAGTGGAGAAGCACAGAGTGATTACCCCAAACTCCTGATGGGGTTCAGAAGCTTATGTACCATCTTGAGTTTATGGAAAAAATAAGGGCTCAGCCAGGTGCAGTGGCTCATGCCTGTAATCCCAGCACTTTGGGAGGCCAAGGTGGGTGGATCACCTGAGGTCAGGGGTTCGATACAAGCCTGGCCAACATGGTGAAAGCACGTCTCTACTAAAAATACAGAAAATTAGCCTGGCTAATGGTGGTGGATGCCTGTAATCCCAGCTACTCAGGAGGCTGAGGCAAGAGTATTACTTGAACCCAGGAGGTGGAGGCTGCAGTGAGCCAAGGTCACACCACTGCACTCCAACATGGACAACAAGAGTGAAACTCTGTCTCAAAAATTAAATAAATAAATAGAATAAAAATAAAAATAAGGGCTCAGCGCATCATCAAAACGTTATGGTGGCAGGACAGGCTATGGCACTGAGAGAAGAGGAGGTCTAGCTAGAAAAGGTGGTCTTGTAATGCAGATGAAACCTTACACATAGAGGTCCTCAGAGAGAATAGATGGCAAAGTTTTCTTTCAGACCTTTAAAGATGTCATACTCTCTGTCAAACTTTCCTAGATAGAACAAGCAAAGGGCCACAGAGAAAACCTGGCTACATCAATGAAGATTTTCTCTACACTTACAAATCCCCGGCAACGAAAGACAGCTTTTTAGCTATTCTTGTATTTGTATTTCCAGTCCTTCTATATAGCCACCTTGAACTATGTCAAGGAAATATATTTTGGGGTGAATATTCTCATTTCCTTAAGTCCCTTCCTTTGAAACTTTACTTTTAGGAAGTTTCACATATTAAAAGTCAACTTGATGGCTTTGTAGAGATTTAGATTAGAGGTTGTTAGGTAAGAGATAGGCAAAGGAAGAGAAAAACAAATTGGGATAAATAGAAAATAACAAATTTAAATATATTGCCCCATATCTTCCTGAATCAGTCTTAGTCCTGAGAATAGGTCAGTTAAGTTTAACAGCTGTTTCCCATTCTAGGAGGTGACATTGCAGATGGGCTAGGATCCATCTACATAGAATGTAGGAAAACAGATCTTTAATCAGAGGCATATCTATGGAAACAGGAGAAAAACAAAGGGTAATGTCTGCAGTAGTCTGTACACTGCTTTTTCTTAGAGTCTCTGAGCATCTTCTGATTCCATGGGCAATATGGCAGATTTTGTGTTTCAATGAACTTTCTGAGTAGTCCATATATCAACAAGCATATCTAAGTTGCCATAATAATTTCTCCCAAAGTTTATAGCAAGTTTTCAGGGCTTCAGGAAAAGTACAGTTTTAATTTTTGTTAATTTCAAGTTAGATAAATGGGAGACAAATTTGTAAATGTTAGTTTGGAGACTTGTAGCCAGGAAAGAATTCAGAATTCAGTCCAATCTGTAGGCAAACAGTAAGAATTCGAAAGCAATGATCAGGGCTAGGATCCAATAATAGGTGTGCTGTAGCTTTCTTCTGAAACATACATTTTTTTCTCTCTAGTCCCTCATTTTCACCAAATATAAATCATAGTAGGACCAATTTATTTTCAAAATAAGTTTTACTCTTATTATTCTTGGCCTGAATATTTGTATAAAGTGCAGAAAGAAGAGTGACTGGCCACATAGGACCTTTTTAACTTAAGGTTGCTGGAACTTTTTTGTAAGACATTTTTCATTAGACTTTTAAAAGCTTTTGAGTCTAAGAAGCCAAACCAAGGATTTGACATCAGACTGTGCCTGTAATACCTGTACGAATTGGGTGAATTCCTCTCTTCTTGAGATCCCCAAAATACCCTGAAGTTCCTACATCTGTGACATTCGTTTCTTACTGCAAGGTCAGGAACCTTGTAAGGAAACAGTATAGATGAAGTACCAGGCAAGTCTTCTTTTCCAAGTCTATTGGCTTGAAAGTAAATCTCCATTCTTCAAAGCAATTTGGTCATGTTTGAAAATGTGACATTCCAGTAAAAGCTTTGGTAAAATAACCAGTGTCTCCAATTATGTGTTGTTACAAAAGAAAACAGATTCTTATTGAACTTATACAAATTACTATATTGCCATAAAATAAGAATACTCATGAATAGTTTCTGAACTCTGGAGAAGTTAGATAAAGAAGAAGGTAAATGTTTCCATTTTGCTCATAAAAGTACTTTACTCAATTGTTATAAGTTATAAATAGTTTAAGAAAAAGTTTTCTTGACTCTGGAAAACAAAACATAAAAAGAATAAGCAGTGTTTCAAACAAAAAGTCAAATGATTATTTCAGTCCTTCCTTAGTTCAGTCCCACATAATTAACTCTTTTTCTTCTCATGTTAGGTTAGCAATTTTCATGAACCTATCAGTTTTTAAATTAGAGTTCTGCAAGTTTTTACCTAGTCTAATGGTATGATGTCAAAAGTTATCAGGAACCTGAATTTAAAAGTACTTGTCCTTGAAGAAGCAGCAGATTTTGGACTATAGCTGATTATAAGCTGCTATTTGAGATAAATAAAAATAATAATTGTGGATTACAAAAGATAGAATATCCATGGTTAAAGATGTAATTGAGAAGAAAATTTATCTATTTTTGTGGCATACAATAATTTAACATAATAATTATGACTATTAACATATACCAAGACATGTCAGAATCCTAGGAAGCTCATACAATTTTGGAACACATATTAATAACACATATGTACAAATACAACTCAAAGAAAGTTAAACATCATTTATTTGACAGTGCTTCCCAGATGATATTTTATAAGCCAAATAAGCCTAATATGATTCTCTTGGACTTCCAGGGTTTCCTTTTGGAATTTCCAAAGGTTAGTTCAAGGTCAAAAAGACTTAATTTAGAATTTGAAATTTAATTTTGGGAAGTTTATCATATATCAAATGTTTAAAATACTTGATCAAAATAAGATCACATAGGTCACTGTAAAATAATAACTATTCATTCAGCAAAGTGATAATTAAAAGATTTCAAAAAGCCAAAACCTTTACTCTTTAATTGAAAAGAAACTTAGTTTGCTAAATAATCAAAACTCCTAATAATGATAGCATGAGACAAACTCTCCCTCCTTTTTGCAATTTACTCAAAATGCAAATGAAATATTTTACTGTCTCTTATTAATACTGCATAAAAAATTTGTTCAAATGAGAAAACCAAATTCTTACTTTGTATCAGTGTATTATTATTGAATCCAAATTTAATAAAACCTTATACACATACTGATCCAATCTCAATCAACTTTGACCACATGTGATAAGATTTTCAAAAGCCTTTTATAACCTCTTAGAATTTTTTCCATTATCTGTCCCCAACTTTCCATACCCATTTAGTTTTTATCTATCATTTTCATTTCTTTCTTCAGTTAAGACAACCTCTAAAAACCTCTAAGCCAGACAAAATTACTTTTTCTTTAACAAAAAGCGCATTCTCATGCCTTCTTTATAAACTTTGTTACCAAAAATATATCTTAATTTTCTTATACTCTCTGATATCAAATTTTTTTATGTAGTAGTTTTAATTATGTATACAAGTCCAATGCTAACTCTTAGTTACCCTAATTTTCAATGAAAACTACCTAGGAAGTAAGCAATTTTAATTGTAATATATCAGGTGCAAAGGCTAGGAAAAGGACAGAGGTGTGGAGACAATACCGACAATACCTGGTGGATCCAACCAGCACGGCCAGAAGGCACAGCTGGGTCTGGGAGGACATACTGACTTTGGTTCTGCCCCACAGTTAATAACCCAGGCACTTTGGATACACATATGTCCCCACATCTCAACATAGTCACTTGTCTAGACCCCAGAATCTATAAAGGCTCAAAACCAAAGACAAAGGGTCACTGAAAAATTAAGCAAGTATCAAAATATCAGAAGAAACAGTTTTATGACCTTACACATCTATTGGAGACAGTATAATCCTGTCTGACCAATAGACCCAGGCAAAAAGATATAAATTAAATTCAGAAGATATTTTCATCTCACTTTACCAATCATTTTAAGAACTGGCTTTATCTACCAAATATTATTGAAGTCATATAAACTTGAAAAGAATTTGAGCTTGTTTACTTAATTTATGAATGTTCATTTATTTATAAGTCAATTTGGTCATTTTGGTCCCATGTAGACAATATACAAGCAGACTTGTATACATATATATATATATATGTAAAAAATACAAACAGACACAAATAAGCCTTTATAGTTTTGATTAGAAAATTTTGGCCATGAGACAGGTACAAATAACTAGTTTAAAAGGACAGTTGGATTAAATTATGCCTCTATAAATGGAACGTTAAGTTTATCTGCCTCACATGTCTGAAACCGTTACTCAATTTTGGAGAAAACGGGGTAGCAAATTTATATTTCAAAGCACAGAGAGAAAATTTCAGCTTTTTCAAGAAGGAATTTGGTTGTGTTAGAGGAAGATTAAAAATGGATGCCAGGGTAACAACATTATAGCCATAACAGGATTTTATTAGGAGTCTAATTTGATTTAGATAGGAAGCTTCTAATTTTGTCTCTGCTTTTTAACTGGATCACTGAGATCAGAGAAGATTCCATCAATGAATAGAGCCAATACAGCATTTGTAGTTTTCAGAGCCTAATACTTACATATGTGAAAAGCAGGTGCAGCTGGAAGGCAGAACACCTAGGTGTCCCCAAATCAAAGAACTCCATTTTTTTTACACTGAAACTTGGGTCCCCCCATAGAGGGAGAGCCCGTGGGACAGAGCCATGCAACATTTCCATAGTGCATCCAAACACATTCTCCCAAGGCCAGTAGGCTACCCAGTGCCACTCTGCCCACCCTGTGATCAGTTCATTCTCATGGGAGTCTTTTCCCTTTGTGGTGAGTATTTCCACATCCTCCAAGTGTTCAAACCATGCATTTTATATCTAAACACTCAAAGAATTGAGCAGCCTCCTGCAGTAATAATCTTTATTTACAATTGCAGGCAGCCACATCCAAAACTGCTGCTCCCACTAGTGACTTGCTAGCCATTTCATACACAAAGGTCGAGTTTTCTCTCATAGTATAAAGTAATCCTGGCACCCTCAAATCCAAAGAGATCAGGTAACTCAATGCAAAAAGAGAGCAGAGCTTTAGACCTGAGAGGAACCTGCCCATGACTCTTGGGACTCCACAAGGAAAACAGAAGACCCCCAAAGGAGGGTGTATGTCATCTTTTTCTGTGTTTCTTAAGGGGTCTCAGAGTCATTAGACATTGACTGTAGATAAATTCATATGGTACTGAAGATGGTAAAGAGGATAAAATATGAGGGAATGGTAAAAATAAATGGGAGAACAATTCTTAAAGGAGCCACGTTGGGGAGATTTTAAGCTTTCTAAAAGACCAATATAATTTTACATTTTTTTTTTTTTTTGAGATGGAGTCTGGTTTTGTTGCCCAGGCTGGAGTGCAAGGGCATGATTTGGGCTCACTGCAACCTCCGCCTCCCGGGTTCAAGCAATTCTCTTGCCTCAGCTTCCCAAGTAGCTGGGATTACAGGCACCTGCCACCATGCCCAGCTAATTTTTGTATTTTTAGTAGAGACAGAGTTTCACCATGTTGACCAGGTTGGTCTTGAACTCCCGACCTCAGGCGATCCGCCCGCCTCAGCCTCCCAAAGTGCTGGGATTACAGGCGTGAGCCACCGTGCCCAGCCAATTTTACATTTCTCTCTGCAAAATTATACCAACAAGAAAGGAGGCAAACAAAAAGATCAAAATTAAGCTTTCTGAGCATAGAGATATTTAAATTTTTTTTTTCAAATCTCTTTATATTTTATTTTAGTCAGGACAAACAGTTGATATTTCTGGCTTTCGAACTTAGCATCCCAAATGACTCACCAAAACCAACCAGACTTAACCAAGGTTATGATTTCTGCAAGGATGCATGTGGTATCCACAAAGAAATACAAAGTAGTCCTCACAAGATCCAGAACCACCCAAAGACAGCTCAAAGAAAGAACAGTTTTGCTAGCTGCAAATAGGGCACAACCTACATCTGTCCATTCATATTTTCTAGAGTCTCACCTTCTCAGTGGAGCATCTGCACACAAAGGCCCAAAAGCCCTGTGTGGCCCTTAGGTCCTTGGTTCCCTTGACTGTGGTTTCCAGAAAAACAAAGTGGCTTAGGTATCCTGCTTATGGGACAAAACCTGTATAATGGTAGATACTTGGTGTTGTAAAAGCTGATTAGGCAGGCTACCAAACACTATGAAAAATAAATGTAAGCAATTCAGTAGAAGGGGAATATTGCTGTAATAAAGTTTTGCACTGCTGGATATTGGCAAAGGATGAAAGAGCATCTGTCACTGTGTGGTCAGTCTAACTAGTGAGAAACAACTGCTGAGAATGTATAAATTCTGCCAATGTGTAGCCCTCAGAAACAAAGCTACCCAGAACCTCAAACACTGGTCAACCCTGAATGACAAATGTTCATTCATCCATATTTCAAAGGTGTTGAAAGTGTCAACTCCTAGATTCCTGTTCATCCCTTCTCTTGTAAGTTAACTAGCCATTGGGTAGTAGTGAAAAACAATTCAGAAATTCATTTATTGCTTTTCAACTCCCTTTCCAAATGTTTAATTTTTAAATGGAAATTTGGTTCATTTTAGGTATTTTCATATGAAAATAGGGATTGAGCTTTGCTCACTAGGTAGAACTGTGGAAGTCTAAAATAGCTGTGAACTGGAAAACATTTTGTGATGTTTATAGTCACTTAAGTTCTTTTATGAAAACAAAACAATAAGCACTATAAGTAAAGGACATTTGTTTTGAATGCATACAGGATGTGGTTTTGAACTTGAATTTGTTGCTTACTATGTTTATTCTAAAAACTGACCAGTGTTCTTGATAACCACCTGAGCATTTAAAGCATTTTTTCCCAAAGGAAAGGAGGTCCACTAAAGACATATTAATTTAAAACAATGCTTTAGGCTGGGCATGGTGACTCACGCCTGTAATCCTAGCAAATGGGGAGTTGAGACAGGAGGATCGCCTAAGTCCAGGAGTTCAAGACCAGCCTGGGAAACACGGTGAAACTCCATCTCTACAAAATACAAAAATTAGCCCACATCGTGGCACCTGCCTGTAGTCCCAGCAACTCAGAAGGCTGATGTGAGAGGATCCCGTAAGTCCAGGGAGGTGGAGGCTGCAGCGAACCATGATCCCATCACTACACTTCAGCCAGGGTGACAGAGTGAGATGCTGTCTCAAAAATAAAGAAAGAAAATAAAATAATGCTTTAAGCCGGGCGCAGTGGCTCACGCCTGTAATCCCAGTACTTTGGGAGGTCGAGACGGGCAGATCAGGAGGTCAGGAGATCGAGACCATCCTAGCTAACACGGTGAAACCCCGTCTCTACTAAAAATACAAAAAATTAGCTGGGCGTGTTGGCGGGCGCCTGTAGTCCCAGCTACTCGGGAGGCTGAGGCAGGACAATGGCATGAACCCAAGAGGCGGAGCTTGCAGTGAGCCAAGATTGCGCCACTGCACTCCAGCCTGGGCGACTGAGCGAGACTCCGCCTCAAAAAAAAAAAATGCTTTAAACGCTACATGCCTGTTATTTTGAAGCCTCTTTAAAATTAAGCAGTAGTGAATTATGGAGAGTGTATATTTCTGATTTATTTACTAAGTCAGTTTTCTAGCCAATGAAACTGAAGTTGCAGATATACTCATTTCACTGTGATTAAGTAATCAGTTAAATACCAATTATTCCTTGTTAAAATAACTTTTAATTTATTTGAGGAAAGAAAGAAATATTACCATCTTACAGTTTAATTTGTCAACTATTCCTTTAATTCACAAAGCAAATGTTTAAATAATAAATAAATAAATCTAGCATTCACCTTATAAAAGAATGACAATGATTGATTATAAGTACAGAATAATCACTTCATCAAAACCAAGAGTTCTTTGGTGATACTCAGAAAGTGACGTTGCCAGATAAAACAACCCAAACATAATCTAAGTTCAGGGAATTCATGGCAAACACATTTATTTAAAACCTCTGGGTCAGCTGTTTCAAATATCAGAAACCAGAAAGTATGCCCATTGTCATAGTCTTTTTGTGCTGCTGTAACAAAATACCACAGATTAGGTAATTTATAAAAAATAGAAGTTTATTTCTCACAGTTTGGGAGGCCAAGATGCCCAAGATCAAGGCATTGGCACATGGTGTCTGATAAGAACTTTCTTACCACATCTTCACATGGCAGAAGTTGGAATGGCAAGCCAGCAAATCTCTTTTAAAAAGGCCTTAATCTTGGCAACGTGGGCTCTTTTTTGGTTCCACGGGAACGTTAAAGTAGTTTTTCCAATTCTGTGAAGAAAGTCATTGGTAGCTTGATGGGGATGGCATTGAATCTGTAAATTACCTTGGGCAGTGTGGCCATTTTCACGATATTGATTCTCATGAGCATGGAATGTTCTTCCATTTGCTTGTGTCCTCTTTTATTTCGTTGAGCAGTGGTTTGTAGTTCTCCTTGAAGAGGTCCTTCACATCCCTTGTAAGTTGGATTCCTAGGTATTTTATTCTCTTTGAAGCAATTGTGAATGGGAGTTCACTCATGATTTGGCTCTCTGTTTGTCTGTTATTGGTGTATAGGAATGCTTGTGATTTTTGCACATTGATTTTGTATCCTGAGACTTCACTGAAGTTGCTTATCAGCTTAAGAAGATTTTGGGCTGAGACGATGGGGTTTTTTAGATATACAATCATGTCACCTGCAAACAGGGACAATTTGACTTCCTCTTTTCCTAATTGAATACCCTTTATTTCTTTCTCTTGCCTGATTGCCCTGGCCAAAACTTCCAACACCATCTTGAATAGGAGTGGTGAGAGAGGGTATCCCTGTCTTGTGCCAGTTTTCAAAGGGAATGCTTCCAGTCTTTGCACATTCAGTATGATATTGGCCATGGGTTTGTCATAAACAGCTCTTATTATTTTGAGATATGTCCCATCAATACCTAGTTTATTGAGAGTTTTTAGCATGAAGGGCTGTTGAATTTTGTCAAAAGCCATTTCTGCATCTATTGAGATAATCATGTGGTTTTTGTCTTTGGTTCTGTTTATATGATGGATTACAGTTATTGATTTGCATATGTTGAACTAGCCTTGCATCCCAGGGACGAAGCACACTTGATCATGGTGGATAAGCTTTTTGATATGCTGCTGGATTCGGTTTGCCAGTACTTTATTGAGGATTTTTGCATCAATGTTCATCACGGATATTGGTCTAAAATTCTCTTTTTTTGTTGTGTCTCTGCCAGGCTTTGGTATCAGGATGATGCTGGCCTCATAAAATGAGTTAGGGAGGATTCCCTTTTTCTATTGCTTGGAATAATTTCAGAAGGAATGGTACCAGTTCCTTTTTGTACCTTTGGTAGAATTTGGCTGTGAATCCTTCTGGTCCTGGACTTTTTTTGGTTTGTAGGCCATTAATTATTGTCTCAATTTCAGAGCCTGTTATCGGTCTATTCGGGGATTCAACTTCTTCCTGGTTTAGTCTTGGGAGGGTGTATGTGTCCAGGAATTTCTCCATTTCTTCTAGATTTTCTGGTTTGTTTGCATAGAAGTGTTTATAGTATTCTCTGATGGTAGTTTGTATTTCTTTGGGATCAGTGGTGATATCCCCTTTATCATTTTTTATTGCATCTATTTGATTCTTCTCTCTTTTCTTCTTTATTAGTCTTTCTAGCGGTCTATCAATTTTGTTAATATTTTCAAAAAACCAGCTCCTGGATTCATTGATTTTTTGAAGGGTTTTTTGTGTCTCTATCTCCTTCAGGTCTGCTCTGATCTTAGTTATTTCTTGCCTTCTGCTAGCTCTTGAATGTGTTTGCTCTTGCTTCTGTAGTTCTTTTAATTGTGATGTTAGGGTGTCAATTTTAGATCTTTCCTGCTTTCTCTTGTGGGCATTTAGTGCTATCAATTTCCCTCTACACATTGCTTTAAATGTGTCCCAGAGATTCTGGTATGTTGTCTTTGTTTTCATTGGTTTCAAAGAACATCTTTATTTCTGCTTTCATTTTGTTATGTACCTAGTAGTCATTCAGGAGCAGGTTGGTCAGTTTCCATGTAGTTGAGTGGTTTTGAATGAGTTTCTTAATCCTGAGTTTTGATTTGATTGCACTGTGGTCTGAGAGACAGTTTGTTATAATTTCTGCTCTTTTACATTTGCTGAGGAGTGCTTTATTTCCAACTATGTGGTCAATTTTGGAATAAGTGTGATGTGCTGAGAAGAATGTATATTCTGTTGATTTGGGGTGGAGAGTTCTGTAGAGGTCTATTAGGTCCGCTTGGTGGAGAGCTGAGTTCAATTCCTGGATATCCTTGTTAACTTTCCATCTTGTTGATCTGTCTAATGTTGACAGAGGGGTGTTAAAGTCTCCCACTATTATTGTGTGGGAGTCTAAGTCTCTTTGTAGGTCTCTTAGGACTTGCTTTATGAATCTGGGTGCTCCTGTATTGGGTGCATATATATTTAGGATAGTTAGCTCTTCTTGTTGAATTGATCCCTTTACCATTATGTAATGGCCTTCTTTGTCTCTTTTGATCTTTGTTGGTTTAAAGTCTGTTTTATCAGAGACTAGCATTGCAACCCCTGCTTTTTTGTTGTTTTCCATTTGCTTGGTAGATCTTCCTCCATCCCTTTATTTTGAGCCTATGTGTGTCTCTTCACATGAGATAGGTCTCCTGAATACAGCACACTGATGGGTCTTGACTCTTTATCCAATTTGCCAGTCTGTGTCTTTTAATTGGAGCATTTAGCCCATTTACATTTAAGGTTAGTATTGTTATGTGTGAATTTTATTGTGTCATTATGATGTTAGCTGGTTATTTTGCTCATTAGTTGATGCAGTTTCTTCCTAGCCTCGATGGTCTTTACAATTTGTCATGTTTTTGCAGTGGCTGCTTCCTGTTGTTCCTTTCCATGTTTAGTTCTTCCTTCAGGAACTTTTGTAGGGCAGGCCTGGTGGTGACAAAATCTCTCAGCATTTGCTTGTCTGTAAAGGATTTTGTTTCCCCTTCACTTATGAAGCTTAGTTTGGCTGGATATGAAATTCTGGGTTGAAAATTCTTTTCTTTAAGAATGTTGAATATTAGCCCCCACTCTCTTCTGGCTTGCAGAATTTCTGCCAAGAGATCCGCTGTTAGTTTGATGGGCTTCCCTTTGTGGGTAACCTGACCTTTCTCTCTGGCTGCCCTTAACATTTTTTCCTTCATTTCAACTTTGGTGAATCTGACAATTATGTGTCTTGGAGTTGCTCTTCTCGAGGAGTATCTTTGTGGCATTCTCTGTATTTCCAGAATTTGAATGTTGACCTGCCTTGCTAGGTTTGGGAAGTTTTCCAGGATAACATCCTGAAGAGTGTTTTCCAACTTGGCTCCATTCTTCCCGTCACTTTCAGGTACACTGATCAGATGTAGATTTGGACTTTTCACATAGTCCCATATTTCTTGGAGGCTTTGTTCATTTCTTTCTACTCTTTTTTCTCTAAACTTCACTTCTCACTTCATTTCTTTCATTTGATCTTCAATCACTGATACCCTTTCTTCCAGTTGATTGAATCGGCTACTGAAGCTTGTGCATGCATCACGTAGTTCCCGTGCCATGGCTTTCAGTTCCATCAGGTCATTTAAGGTCTTCTCTACACTGTTTATTCTAGTTAGCCATTTGTCTAATCTTTTTTCAAGGTTTTTAGCTTCTTTGCAATGGGTTCGAACATCCTCCTTTAGCTCAGAGAAGTTTGTTATTACCAATTGTCTGAAGCCTACTTCTGTCAACTTATCAAAGTCATTCTCCATCCACCTTTGTTCCGTTGCTGGCAAGGAGCTGCATTCCTTTGGAGGAGAAGAGGTGCTCTGATTTTTAGAATTTTCAGCTTTTCTGCTCTGGTTTCTCCCCATCTTTGTGGTTTTATCTACCTTTGGTCTTTGATGATGGTGATGTACAGATAGGGTGTTGGTGTGGATGTCCTTTCTGTTTGTTAGTTTTCCTTCTAACAGTCAGGACCCTCAGCTGCAGGTCTGTTGGAGTTTGCTGGAGGTCACTCTAGACCCTGTTTGCCTGGGTATCACCAGCGGAGGCTGCAGAACAGAATATTGCACAACAGCAAATGTTGCTGCCTGATCCTTCCTCTGGAAGCTTTGTTTCAGAGAGGCACCCAGCTCTATGAGGTGTCAGTCAGCCCCTACTGGGGGGTGTCTCCCAGTTAGGCTACTCGGGGGTCAGAAACCCACTTGAGGAGGCAGTCTGTCCGTTCTCAGATTTCAAACTCTGCTGGGAGAACCACTACTCTCTTCAAAGCTGTCAGACAGAGATGTTTAATTCTGCAGAAGTTTCTACTGCCTTTTGTTCAGCTATGCTCTGCCGCCAGAGGTGCAGTCTAGAGGCAGGCAGGCAGGCCTCCTTGCACTGTGGTGGGATCCACCCAGTTCGAGCTTCCTGGCCGCTTTGTTTACCTACTCAAGCGTCAGCAATAGCGGATACCCCTCCCCCAGCCTCGCTGCTGCCTTGCAGTTCGATCTCAGACTGCTGTGCAAGCGGTGAGTGAGGCTCCGTGGGCGTGGGACCCTCCGAGCCAGGCCTGCGATAAAATTGCCTGGTCTGCCATTTGCTAAGACCACTGGAAAAGTGCAGTATTAGGGTTGGCATGTCCCGATTTTCCAGGTACCATCTGTCATGGCTTTCCTTGGCTAGGAAAGGGAATTCCCCAACCCCCTGTGCTTCCCAGGTGAGGCAATGCCCCACCCTGCTTCAGTTCACACTCTATGGGCTGCACCCACTGTCCAACAAGCCCCAGTGAGAAGCTGGAGGCATCATGCTACCTGACTTCAAACTATACTACAAGGCTACAGTAAGCAAAACAGCGTGGTACTGGTACCAAAACAGAGATATAGACCAATGGAACAGAACAGAGCCCTCAGAAATAATACCACACATCTACAACCATCTGATCTTTGACAAACCTGACAAAAACAAGAAATGGTAAAAGGATTCCCTATTTAATAAATGGTGCTGGGAAAACTGGCTAGCCATATGTAGAAAGCTGAAACTGGATCCCATCCTTACTCCTTATACAAAAATTAATTCAAGATGGATTAAAAACTTAAATGTTAGACCTAAAACCATAAAAACCCTAGAAGAAAACCTAGGCAGTACCATTCAGGACATAGGCATGGGCAAGGACTTCATGACTAAAACACCAAAAGCAATGGCAACAAAAGCCAAAATAGACAAATGGGATCTAATTAAACTAAAGAGCTTCTGCACAGCAAAAGATACTACCATCAGAGTGAACAGGCAACCTAAAGAATGGGAGAAAATTTTTACAATCTACCCATCTGACAAAGGGTTAGTATCCAGAATCTATAAAGAACTTAAACAAATTTACAAGAAAAAAATCAAACAACCATATCAAAAAGTTGGTGAAAGATATGAACAGACAATTCTCAAAAGAAGACATTTATGCAGCCAAAAGACACATGAAAAAATGCTCATCATCACTGGTCATCAGAGAAATGCAAATCAAAACCACAATAAGATACTATCTCACACCAGTTAGAATGGCGATCATTAAAAAGTCAGGAAACAACAGGTGCTGGAGAGGATGTGGAGAAGTAGGAACACTTTTACACTGTTGGTGGGACTGTAAACTAGTTCAACCACTGTGGAAGACAGTGTGGCAATTCCTCAAGGATCTAGAACTAGAAACACCATTTGACCCAGCCATCCTAGTACTGGGTATATACCCAGAAGATTACAAATCATGCTGCTCTAAAGACACATGCACATGTATGTTTATTGTGGCCCTATTCACAGTAGCAAATACTTGGAACCAACCGAAATGTCCATCAACGATAGACTAGATTAAGAAAATGTGGCACATATACACCATGGAATACTATGCAGCCATAAAAAGGATGAGTTCATGTCCTTTGTAGGGACATGGATGAAGCTGGAAACCATCATTCTGAGCAAACTAACTCAAGGACAGAAAACCAAACACCGCATGTTCTCACTCATAGGTGGGAATTGAACAATGAGAATACTTGGACACAGGGTGGGGAACATCACACACCGGGGCCTGTCGTGGGGTGGGGGGAAGGGGGAGGGATAGCATTAGGAGATATACATAATGTTAATGGACGAGTTAATGGGTGCAGCACACCAACACGGCACATATATACATAAGTAAAAAATCTGGACATTGTGCACATGTACCCTAGAACTTAAAATATAATTTAAAAAAAGAAAAAAAAAGGCCTTAATTCCATTAATGAGGAAGAAGCCCTCATTGCCAATTCACTTCTTAAAGACCCCAACTTTTAATACTATCCATTGGCAACACCTGAATTTTGGAGGGGACACATTCATACCATAGCACCCGTGTTACTGATTTAATCCCTACCCTTCACAATATACTCTGATATTATTTCACATTCTTTTTAAAAAAATTATATCTTTTTACCTAGAAATATGTTGAAAAAATACATGAAACATAAATGAACAACTTAATTAAAATTATAAGCAAGCATTCATGGAATTACCACCAAGGTGAAGAAATAAAAACGTGCCTTGAACATTGTAATTTTAATTAACACTCTTTACCTAATATATAAGGGACTGTAAACAACTATGGAAAAATACACATTATTTGTAAGTATATATGAAATATTTATGTTTGGCCATAAAGCAAGTCTCAACAAATTTCAAAGACTTAAAATCCTACAGAACATATTATCTAATCACTATAATCAAGCTAGAAATGAGTATAATAGTAACTAAAATATTTTTCTAAAATTGGACATTAAACGATGTTGTCCTAAGTTGTCCATGGTCCAATAAAGGAACCACATGAAAATTAGAAAATAATTTAAAGTGCATGTTAATGAAAATATAGCACCTTAAAACTATGCTTGGAGAAAAATTAATAGTTTTAAGTACGTCTATTAGAAGAGAAAAAAGTCTAAAAACCAACAATGTAAGCATCATTTTCAAGAAGATCAAAAAAGACAGCAAGTAAACCTAATTAGAAGAAAATAATAAAGATAAAATTAGAAATCAGTGCAATAGTTAACAAATATATCTAAACATTTGGCATCTTACATGTCTAATAAATTGATTAATGCCTGGAAACACTAATCAAGAAGAAAGGTTCAATACAAGGACTAAAATGGGAAACATCACAACAGATTCTATAGACATTAAATACAATAACCATGTGTGATATACAAACCATGTTATGATAATAAGTTTTAAAAGTATGAAATGGATACATTCCCTGAAAAGTCAACTTAGCAGAACTGATACAAGAAGAAATTGAGTTATCTTAATACTACTATTTGTATTAAATAAACTGAATCTATCACTAAAAAGTAAACCCATCCACAAGAAAATGCTAGCTCAGATTACTTCACTGAAACATCTTCCAACATTTAAGGAAGAAATAGTACCAGTCTTATAAAAACACTGCTAAAGAACTCTAGTTCCCAAGTCATTTTATGAGGTCAGCATAGTCTTAATACCAACATCTGACAAAGGTACTACAAAAAAAGAATACCATAAATCAAAATATTTCATTAACCTAGATAAGAAATTCTAAACAAATTATTTCAGAAATCAAAATCAGCAATTTTAAAAAAGAGTAATATGTCATTAACAGGGTTTACTACTGATATTTTATCTTCTTGGTCTATGAGTTCTTGAAATTAGTGTTAAAATTTCCAGCCAGATGATTGTGAATATTTATTTTTCTCTTTATACTCTGCCAGTCTTTGCTTTATATATTTTGAGGTTATGTTTTCAGGTACATTCAAATTTAAAATTGCTTTTATCTTCTTACTGAATTGACCTTTTATCATTATGAAATACCTCTTTAAGTTTCTTTATTGTTCTTGCTGTGAAGCGTTCTTTGTCTGGTAGGTATATAGCCACAAAAATCTGTCTTCTCTATAGATAGACAATAAATGTTCTGCCTATCTAGTAATACATCTTGCCTTAAAGTCTACTTTGTCTGATAGTATAATAGGTATACGAGCTATCTTTTGGTTAGTGTCTATATGGTTCATATTTTTCCATCTTTTTTATTTCTTTTACATAAGTACTGATAGATCATGATTTCAATGTACCATACATAAATATTCTATCCATTACCCTTTCCCATATTTCTTGATTTATTTTAAATTAATTATTGTTGTATATTTGTATGTTTTTAGTATATTAGCCTACATTCTTTTTTTTTTTTTGAGACGGAGTCTCGCTCTGTCGCCCAGGCCGGACTGCGGACTGCAGTGGTGCAATCTCGGCTCACTGCAAGCTCCGCTTCCCGGGTTCACGCCATTCTCCTGCCTCAGCCTCCCGAGTAGCTGGGACTACAGGCGCCCGCCACCGCGCCCGGCTAATTTTTTGTATTTTTAGTAGAGACGGGGTTTCACTGTGTTAGCCAGGATGGTCTCGATCTCCTGACCCCATGATCCACCCGCCTCGGCCTCCCAAAGTGCTGGGATTACAGGCGTGAGCCACCGCGCCCGGCCTAGCCTACATTCTTTTATGATTCTTTTCCGTTGTCAACTAACAATTGCAACATGTGTCCTTTCCTTATTAGAATTTCTTTACTACCTTTATCATTTCTTTGAAAATATTAGACATTTAGTCATTTTGGTCCTGTTTCCTGGAAGACATAGTAATTTTGAATTAAATGCCAGACATTTTGGCAGAAAACATTTTAGGGCACTAGACATATTTATCTTCCTCACAATGTGATATACTTTTCTTTGCCAGGAAAATAGAGTACAAACAATCAATCTCTGATGAAATCAGGGTTTGAGATGCTCTGATTATGTGGGGTCTCAAGGCAACTCCTCATCAGTAGGACTTGAAATCTCCAGCACAATGAGATTGCCTAAGCTGCTGTTTAGTTGGTTTCTAGAATCCTGCTCCATACACAAACAGCTTAGGAATCAGGAAATACCCTAACGGGAAATTTTGTGCAGTGCTGGGCTCATTGCTTAGTGATTCATTTTTGTCTAACACCTTCGCTACTCAAATCCTGCCTGCCTTGGTTGCACTGAACTTCAGTTTTGTTGTTGCTCCTGCTATTTTGTTTTGTTTAGGTTGTTTTTTCCTTCTTTGCCCAGTCCAGTGATACTGCAATAGGCTCTAAACAATTTTTTTTGGTGCAAGACATCACATAGTAAATGCACTGGGTGGAAGTGCTGAGATGGAATACAGCCAAACATAAGGCTCTCCTAATCGGATTTTTCTGTTCTCTTGGAGCTTGTGGACTCAGTCTCTGAAGTCCTAGTTGCCTTGTTTGATCACCGATTACTTCAGAGTAGGTACACCAGCACGATAAGCAAATACATTAAAAATAATATGCTTTAACCAATCATGTATCCATTGCAAAAATATTTTGAGGGTACTCTAACATTATAATTTTGATTTTAAATGTTACTAAATAATATAATGTAATGCTACTAAATAACTCTCTCCTAGTCCTAGAACAATAGTTACCTAAAAGCTACACAGTTTGAATGTTAGAAGTTTTGTCCTTCCTAATGCATCATATTGAGGTATAACCTGAGTGGAAAAATTGATAATGGTAGTGATGCAGGAATTTTCTCAGCACCTTCACCCAACTCCCAGCAGAGGCACCCCCTCTACTTGTCCTGAGCTCAACTCCTTGCAGGAGGGAGCACATGAGCCAATGAGTGAGGATCTGGCCAACACAGGAACAAGCTCTGTGTGGGGCCTGCGGCCAGACCAGGTACTAACAAGCGAGTGCAAGACCCGGCTGGCTGTCCTGGGTGCCAACACAGGAGCAAACTCTGTTTGGGACCCATGGCCAAACCGGGTGTGTTGCCTCAAGGAGAATGAAGCAGTGCCCATGTGGGGTTACCCACAACCCTGAAGCCCCAGATGAGGTGTTACAGTGCTCCTTTAGTTCTGCTGTCCATGAATGGTGGTGTGTTAGCAACTCAGTTGGCCTCTTGCCTCATTGCGTGGGGCAGCTGTCCTCCACTGGTGAGGGCAAAGGGCCAGTGTGACAGCTCTTGCATGGCATCCAAGAAGAATGAGGTCAAACAGATAGCTGAAGGATGGTGAAATTGGAGAATTTCACTGAGTGATGAAAACAGCTCTCAGTAGAGAGGGGAGCTGGAGAGAGGACAGGAAGGGCAGGTCACCTTCCCGGAAGTCAGGTTGTCTCTTCCCTGAAGTCAGCCCATCTCTTCAGAGGGGGAGAAGTTAGACCATTTCCCCCTCTAACGACTGAGGTGGGGTCTTTATAGGCACAGGATGGGGAGTGTGTGCTGATTGGTTTGTGAGTATGCAAAAAAAGATTAAAGCGAAGGCATCATTCAAAGGTGGGCACGACAGTGTAGAAAACCAATTAGGAAAGGGTAGATATATGTAAAATAAGTGAAGGGTGGGAATCAATCAGAGGAAAGCATGCCAAAGAGGAAAACAAGTTCTCAATCTGGTCCAAGGATTCAACTTGCAGCTTGGCTTTCAGGTTTTAAACTGTCTTCAGCTTGGAGGTGGGGTTTTATTGGGTACCCACCCCATCTGCCTACGCATTTGGCTGCCTCCTGTCACTATCAGTAGGAATATATGGGAAGCATTACTTCATTGCTAGTATTTATTTCTCATTTGCAAACCACATAGTGGATAAATTTCCTGAGTACCTACATTGTATAGGATGCTGTGTTAGGTGCTTTATATTTATAAGGTCATTTAATCTTTACAATGAACTTTCAGTGTAGATGATATTATGCCAAGTTACAAATAAGGAAACTGAGACTCAAAGATGTTTGGACACACCAGAGCTAAGATAACCCACTAAACTTTAAATTCCATATGTATCAGATTTAACAATTTATTCTTAGCATTTAAATCAGAGCTTCATACAACAGGGATTTAATACGTGTTTGCAAAAGGAAGGGATTCCTTACACTATTGATGCAGAATCAATAGAATACTATTTACAGAAATCCTTAAGGAAGCTTCCTGATGATAACTCATTCTAAGGAAAAGGAGCTCAATGGGACAACCCTAACAAAAGGACAAAACTTTAATCATCAGGATGAAAGTCAGTTCTGAACTTGTGCAGCATGTGCTTGTCATTTGAATTTATCCCTATTCTGGACAAGGCTGATAATAAGTTTTGCTGAGGTTAGGGGCTAGGGATAGAAAGTGAAAAAATGTGTTTTATGAAAAACACTATAAAACACAGTGGCATTAATAACACTGCTTCAAGACCCAGGTGGAAAATTATAATAATAAAATGAGGAGCATGACAGTGTCCTTAATTTTACTTGGAATAGCGTAGTTTCTGCTACCCAGAGGAGTCTAGAGCACAAAATGCTCTTTTGGTGTCCAGAGAACTGCAAGCAATCTTCAGTAGGAGCAGGAATGTTAGCTGCAGGCACTCAGAAGTGTGCCTGGTAGGAAAGTTTATGGTAGAGACCCATCTGGGAAACCAAAGACAATGGTCACATTCATTCATTTATAAATATTTACTGAGCACATATAATGTATAAGTCTGTGTGAGTTGCTGGAGTGGAGCAAATGAATAAAGAAGAAAACATTCCTGTTTCATGGAGCTTCTAGAGGGAAAGAAAGAGAAAAGGTTAGCAAAAACTTAAAGATAATTGCTGACTGTGATAAATGCTGTGTAGGAAATTTTAAAGAGTGCAATGATATACAGAAAGGAATTAGGGGCAACATTAGATTGAATGTCAAGGAATACCTCTCTCCAAGGAGATGAAAGCTAGATAATGAGAAAGTAGCAGCCAATCAAAGATCCAGAAAGAGAGCATTTCCTGTAGAGGGAAGACCAGATGCAAGGAAATTCTTTATGGCAGTAAATTACTAGGCCTGGTCCTGTAATGGGAATAAGGCCTTTGTAGGAAAAGATGTAAATGAGCTAAGGGCAGAATGGCTAGACACGAGTTCAGAGCTAGATAGGACTTAGATTGTAGAGAATAAACAAGAGATCAGCAGATATTTTCCATAAAGGCTCAAATAGCAAATATTATAGGCTTTGCAGCCCAGACATTCCCTGTTGCAATGACTCAATCTGTCATTGTAGTACAGAAGCATCCATACATAATACATAAATGAATGAGCATGGCTGTGTCTAAAAAAATTATTTACAAAAACAGACAGTGAAAACAACACAACCTGCAGGGTATCATTTGCCAACCCGTGGTAAGAACCACGGTAAGGATTGGACGATTCCAAATACATTGGGAAGCCTCTGAAGAGGTATTTTTGTTGCTGCTATTTTTTGTTTGCTTGCTTGTTTGTTTAGCACAAAAGTGTGATATATATTTCCAAGTGATCACTCTGGTTGCTATATGGAGATTGTATAGCAGAGGGGGTGTGAAAGGAGCAGAAAAAACAGAGTTATTACAGTGTTTAGTCAAGACACAGGTCACTTGGACTAGAGCAGCTTAGAGTAGACCTAGAAACCCAACATATAAATTTGTAAAAGAAGAAAAAGGACTAGGTGATTGATTGCATTTTTGAGATAAGGAAAATACATAAATTAAGGATGACTCTTAGATGGTGGCATTGAATAACATAGAGAAAACTTGGACTTGAGCAGATGAATAGGTACATAATTTCCATTTTGAAAGTTTTGTTTCAGATGTCTATTAGACATCCAATAAAGGTGTTGGATAAACAGTTAGATATGTAGTGCAGAGGAGTTGCACTACATATATGTAGTGCAGAGGAGTTGGTTGGAAATATTAGGTTGAATCAATAAATTGCTGCTGTTCACCTGATTTTTACTTACAAAGACATCAGTTTCATGTGGTTCTATTTAACATAAGCTTACTAATCAGGCAGGTGAAAGTTTAAGTGAGAGAAAATAAGTATGAAAAGTACAGAATTTGACCAGAGGTACACTAATCTTTAAATGTCAAAAGTCCTGGTGTTCTACAGCATTATGGAATAACTATAATTAACAACCATTTATTGTGTATTTTCAGATAGCTAGAGTAGATTTTGAATGTTTCAAACATAAAGAAAGGACAGATGTTTAAGGTGATGGATGTGCTAATTACCCTGATTTGATCATTACACATTGTATACATGTATCAAAATATCACACTGTACTCCAAAAATATGTACAATTATTATCTGTCAATTAAAAATAATAGTAAAGCAAAAAAATAAAATAAATTACACCAAATCTCAAAAACTTAGGACAAAAGAAAATTATAAAATAGTTTATTAATTATTAATTATTTTGTATATTGATTATGTTGAAATGATAATACTTTTGTATATTGAGTTAAATAAAATATATTCTAATATTTTATTGAAGAAAGAGGAAAAGCCAGCAAACCAAAGACTAAGAAGGCATGGCCAGTAAGTAGAAACAAAATTTGGAGGGTGGCATGTCACTTAAACACAAAAGACAGTCTTCAAAAGAAACTATTTTGGATGCTGCTGAAAGGTTGGGTAAAAGATGAGAGAGGAATGCCCATTGATTTAGGAAACATTGAGGTCATTGACAAATGAATTGAAGCTAAGAGAAACCAAATTCAAATGAGTTAAAGAATGAATGGGAGGTGAGGAAGTGAACACAATGAGTGACATGAGAATTCTTTTGAGATGTTTTACTGTGACATTCAGAAGCTGGAAGATGTGGGGCTTCATGTTTGACTATTTGTTTTAAGATCAGAGATATAAAAACATAGCTTAATACCACTAGAAATGATCTATTAAAGACAGCAATGTGGATGATGCACCAGCTACTAGATGTCTCAAGGCAGAAGTAGTTAAGGAGGTGAAAGTGCAGGGGACCTGGAGCACACACTAAACAAAGCTGGGACCAGCACACCTGAGTTAGGCATTCTTTAAAATCTGGATTTCAGTTCTTAGTCTTCCAGGCCTGACAGATGACGTTAGATATGTCATAAACAGAAAGGTAAAGCAGCATATTTTTAAGACAGAAAGTAAAAGAATATTATAATTCTGAAAGAGGTTAAAATAAAACCAGGGAACACAGAACGTGAAATGTTTTGTGAACTTGACACCTATACATATTGGCTCCAAGATTAAATAATTAGAGTTCAATGTATTTTCCTCTGTAGGGCTAAACAGGGAAGAATTCCAGGTTCCCCTACTTCGAGACAAGAATATGAATGGATTATTACTAAACAAAAGCCTATTTCATTTGCAATTAAAGAGGAAAAGGAGAGAAATAAGGAGAGAATTTGGGAGTTTTAGAATTCCATTCAGATCACTAATACAAGATGCAACCAATTGAGAATCTTTAGCCAGGACACACTGATAGAGACCTACTGGTTACTTACATCGTTAAATAATGTCATACCCATTGATAACAGACCCTGCCCCAAATTCCTCTACAGCTCCCTTATTTACTCTGGCCCCTCCAATCAAATCCTGTACCTCCTATTATCAAGCAACTAAGGGGTTAATGCCTAGCACAGTAGGGGACATCTGATCCTACCTATCTGATATGGTTTGGATGTGTGTCCCCTCCAAATCTCAGTGTCATGTTGAAATGTGATTGAGGTGGGGAGGATCCCTGATGAATGGCTTAGTGCCGTCCCACTGGTGAAGAGTGAGTTCTCACTCCATCAGTTCATGGGCAAGCTGTTTGTTTAAAGGAGCCTGGCATCTCTCTTGCTCCCACTCTCACCATATGACAGGTCTGCTCCCCCTATGCCTTCTGCCGTGATTGGAAGCTTCGGAGGCCCTCAACAGGAGCAGATGCCAGCACCATGCTTCTTCTACAGCCTGCAGAACCATCAGCCAAGATAAACTTCTTTTCTTTACAAATTACCCGGCCTCAGGTATTCCCTTACAGCAATGCAAACGGACTAACACACTATCTTTACTGTAATTTTTCTCTCTAGTATCCTTCCCCTTAACCATCTGTGCAAACTGAGCAGGCTGATACTAAGGTAAAGAAAAGTAGCTCTAAGGTAAAGAAAAGTAGCTCTTCCTTCTGAATGGCCTCCAAAATGCTTTCCTAGCTACAAAATTTTTCCACAGATCCCCCTCAGTGCCTTAGTTTGAAGGCAGGTAGGCATACATTCCTCACGGAGAAATCAGACAGAGGTACTGCAAGCACAGGAGGCAATGGCAGTGCACAGGAAGGGAATCTAACTTCGAACGGAAAAAATGGGAATGTGTTTGCAGAACTGCAAAGTAGTCCAGTTTGGCTAGAGCACAGATAATACGTAAAGCACCAGGAGGTGATGGCTGGGGTAGGAGAGGGCAAATAGGAGTCAAGGCTATTATGTGGGAAATCTGGCACCAGATTACCTGCTTTAGAACTCCAGTTTCCCTCTGTGAGCCTGAGCAAATTATTCAACCTCTGTGTCTCTGTTTACTCATAAGAAAAATGGGAGTAATAGTAATGTCTAATTCTGTCCAGGTGCAGTGGCTCACACCTATAATCCCAGCACTTTGGGAGGCTGAGGCAGGTGCATTGCTTGAACTCAGGATTTTGAGACAGCCTGGGCAACATGGAGAAACCCCATCTCTACAGTCTCTACAAAAAAAATACAAAAATTAGCCAGCATGGTGGCATGTGCCTATGGTCCCAGCTACCAGGGAGGCTGAGGTGGGAGGATCGCTTGAGCCTGAGGGGGCAGCAGGCAGTGAAAGTTGTAGTGAGCTTTGATCATGCCACTGCACTCTAGCATGGGTGACAGAGAAAGACCCTGTCTCAAAATAATAATAATAATAATCATCATCATCATCATTATCATCATCACCATCATCTACTTCCTAAAGTTACTAAGGATTAAATGAATAGGGTTAATAAGTACTCAGAAAAAGTTAATAGAGTTAATAAGTACTCAGAAAAGTGTCTGACCACAGTGAATGTTCAGTAAAAGCTGCTTGATGGAAAGCGATGTCTTGGTTTGTTAAAAGGGGGTGGTGTGGCTGCTTCCACGCGCAAATGTTTGCATTTTAGTCACTAAATATAACTATCTTTGATGTCATCAAAGCATAAAGGGTGCATACTGCAAGCGATTCCAAAATGGTCCATGACTCTTTTCAACAGAGAGTGGGAGGATTGGCTGAGTCACAGGAAATGCAACAGATTAAGGCCTTAGAAAAGAAGTTCATTAGCATCAAGCTGGCCCAGCATCAGTAAAGGACAGATTATTTATGCCTTATGACTGTAGTTTGACAATGCTTGCAAAGCTCAACGGTAGGATTTCTTCATTTCCTATTACCTATCCCCTAGAACAACTTTTATTTTGGATACAATCCAACCAATACTTAAATTTTGCTTCTTAGAAGATAAATTTTAAAAATTTAGATAATATGGGTGGTTTAATAGAAATGAAATTTGGCCAACTGCTATAGGTTAATAAATATTAGTCTAGAAGTCAGGGACATGGGGTACTTTTTCAGTTTCACTTGAATCTTTTAACCTCCAAGATGATCCAGTGACATTTGAGTGAAAACTTTATACTAAAACTGGTTCAATGCTAGAACTTGAATCTATAAATTGTGGCCAAGATTTTTTTTAAATGTACATACTGTACAGTTATATAGGACTAAAATTAATTCCATAGAAAATCCAAAAGTCAGAAACCACACAGTCATTAGTTTGCTTTTTGACACTGAAACAAAACAGAAATCAATATAATATTTTTCTCACTTTATCCCATATCTTATTTTTAAATTTATGATTGGAATAAGAAATTGGCATACATTAAAGTTCTTCTAAGTTAACTTAAAACAATAAATGACTCATCAAGTTTGTATAATTAAAATATTAAACAAGCACACATAAACACTTATTTTCAGGTAACTCCTTCAAAATTTTTTAGAAAACAAGAAAGGAAAGGAGGGAGAGAGAGTGATGAAGAAAGGGAGAGAAGGAAGAAGGTAAGGAAGACTGGAAGGGAGGAAAGAGATAAAATGAACAAACATATTTACACAACATTTTCTATATCAACTGATTTACATTGTTGTTGGGTGGAAAGTCCTGCTATCATTTGCCATCAGAGTCACATCAGCCTGGCCTGATGTCACATGATTTCTCTGCCATTGCAATCTCCTACACAGAATGTCAGAGGTTAATGACTAGTCCCATGAAATACAAGAAAGAGGAAAATTATTAACTACCTGTCAATATTTGTTAACTTTGAAACACATGGCTTTTTAATATTTTAATGAAGGATCATGCATGTGACCTCTGTCTTGGAACAAACTTGTCGACATTGCTCTAAGAAGGAGATCAATATACTATATTACCATAAACCTTTGCAAAAAATGCACTGAGAGAGACTGCATCATAGCCAGCACTAAGGAGTATCTGCTGTGAATAAATACATTCAGTGCTGGGGCCATAGCATTGTGCCCATGTGTGAGAGAATAGACAGTGAAAGAGAAAAAGAGAAAGGAAATGTTTGTCTAAATCATCCAATTACAAGAACCTAAGCAGATAGCTAGAGGGCACAGCTAAAAGTCTTGCTAAAGTGTACCCTCCATAAATTGCCAGATTTTTTAAAATTTTAAAAGAAATATTATGACATTAAAGATATATAAAATAAAAATATCTGTAAATTTATTACCCTTTTAATTGAATGCATTACTTTTCATATTTTACTTAATTGTTGTCAAGCCCTGAGCAGGCCTAGCATCATCTCAGCTATCTGATGCTCCTGACTCATGTCTTACATTGGCCCTCTCCTGAATCCAATAGGAACAAAATCTGGAAAGCTAGCAGGAGCTTCTAAGGCTCTGGTCAGTAGGATTTAGAGCAGCTTCTACTTCTCCATACTCAAGGATTCTGTAGCTGTTGGGGTTCTACAATTTTAATTGCTCAAAAATTTTGGAAATTACTCCAGTCAAAGGGAGGCCTAACTTCCTATTTGATCTGACTTCCACTCCCATCAACAACTGCTCACCTCTGCTGGAATCTCTTGAGCATTTAGGGTTTCAAAGTGTTTCCTAGTCTTTGACACCAAAAAGAGCCCTGCTCGGCTTTTGAGCCATCAGGCTAGAGCTTGCTCTCCAATCTCTATCTACATAGGGGTAAGGCTCCAGTTTCAATCTCCTGGGACTTTTCTTTGGTTGATATTTCAGGAAAATTCTTCCTGTGTCTCTGACTCGCCCTCCATCTGCATGTCACACTTCTGAAGCTAGGTGTTCTCCATCATTCAGTTCAAATGCCCTTTGAGTGGGAAGCCTATGCAGCATCAGATGGGACTGACTATGTAGATTGCTGTCTTCCTGACCATAGGATTTACTAGTTGTCTAGATCTTATTCCTTGTTTATCTTACTTCAATTATCTCTCAATATTCATGTGCAAGTGGCTGGCCTTGCACATTAGTATATATTAAGCCTTTCATAAGAGCCATCTTTTACAGTTGCAACCATAATGAGTTGACTATACTATATTATTTTGTAGTTTAGTAGAATTTTTCTGAAGTCCAAATTGCTTTATATTCTCCATAATAGTTCATTTGAATCATTATGTAATATTCTGTTCAGTTAAAATCATCATTTACATAACCATTTTTCTATTGCTGTCATAAGTCTTTGCCTCTACTGGTAAGGCTAAATAGTGTATTGATTTAGAGTACAAAATCCACAGTCTGATACCTGTTGCTCAGTGGCAAGTTATTTAAACAATTTGCGCCTCATTTTCCTTATCAATAAGATGAGAAAAGGACATTTGTGAGGATTAAATGAGTATGTCAGCACCGAAAATGCAAACATCTCCGGTGCAGGGTATTATATAAGTGTTGGCTGTTAGGGCTATTATTTCACTTTCACTGCATAGAAAAAGTTCAATGAATATTCTCTCCATGTATATTTTGATTTAGAATAAATTATTTTCTTAAGAATATATTCCACATACTGCATTTGCTCAGTCAAGAGAAGACAAATTTTGTAACTTTTGGCCTATAGCCAAATTGCTTTCCAAAAAGATTATGCTAATTTGTAATATATATTAAAACACTAGTTTTGAAGTTTGACAAAATTGTTAACCATTTTTATTTTGTTGTTGATTAATATTAAATAAAATATTTTATTTTTATTTCTCTGATTATTCACAAGTATAAGGGTTTTTTACAGTATGTTTGCTAAATAATTCATTATGTTTTTTTCTAAGTAAAATGTGCTGTTTATTTAATATTGTGTGAAGTCTTTCATAATATTCTGAGCAATTGTAAAATCAATGCATCCCACTTTTGATAATACAGAAGTAAATCTACAATTCAAGAAATGTAAGATTGGCAGACTCATTCAAAACGGTATTTTTCTTGGTATCTAAAATAGAATTACATGATATACAATCTTCCAAGGTGCCCAGTGAAAGTAAGCACTTGTATAACTATGTGTGTCTCCCTCTGAGTCCATTAAACTTAAGGTACTGATTGATAGATCAATTAATTGCCTGGACTAATCAAGAGCAAGAAGACATGGGAAGGCCATGGCATTTTTGTTTACTATTATCAATATGAATTACTTATTGCATTTTGTGAGTTTAAAATCTGCTTCAAATTTTAAGTAAATTTTTATAATAATGACTCATGATATTGATGATGATGATGATGAAATACCTATTAGTTTTCAAGCATCAAATATGTACCAGACATTGCACTAAATATTTGACATCGATAAACTCTAATCCTCATAAATTCTTCACAAACTGTTTTCAGATGAAGCAACTGAGAATCTGAGACTATAAGTTTCTTGCCCAAGAATGAATGAATAGTACATGTCTATGGAATAACTAGCTATTCAGTAGGAGTAGGAGCTGTCATTTTAAGGTAACCCAGTGCTATGGATTGAGTTTGTCTCCATCAATACTCACGCTGAAATTTGATCACTAATGTGGCAGTTTTGGGGAGATGGAGCCTAGTGGGAGGTGTTTGGATAATGAGGGTGGATCCTTCATGAATAGATTGGTACTCTTCTCCCAGTAATGAGTTCTTGCTCTGGCAAGACTGAATAAGTTCTCATGGGAATGAATTAATCCTGTGAGAGTGGGTTGTTATAAAGCCAGGATGCCCCTGTGGGTTTTGCATCTTTGCATGAGCCTGCTTTCCTTTTGACCTTTTCCACCATGTTGTGATGCGGCACGAAAAGCCTTCACCAGAAGCCGAGCAGAAGGAGGCACCATGCTTCCTGTACTTCCCAGCCTGCAGAACCATGAGCTAAATAAACAATTTTTCTTTATAAATTACCCAGCCTCCGGTATTCTGTTATAGCAACACTAAATGAACTAAAATACCCACAAATATTCATTAATATAAAATAAAAAATGATATGAAATGCTGTCTTGCTGCTGAGGAAGACTGCAGTTCATCTTCTGTCTCTCTAAATACTGAAGGATATTTATACAAGACGCAATATAGACAAAGCTATTTTTCATCATATGAAACAAAATTATCCTTCTGTGGAATTTTGTTTTTTGCTTATATTAGATGAGAGAACTAAAACTAAATTTCCATTAGTACCTCATATTCTGTGTACCTTCAAAATTGTGTCAACTTACTTTCAGGCTTGGGAATTTATTTTCTTTCATAATTTTACCTTGGACTTGGTGCACGGGACAACCAAAAGTGTAGTGTCCGTCACTATTTGCTCTGGACAAATTGGTTTCTAGGAATTACTGGCAGTTTTCCTAGATAAACATGAAGATTCTGAAAATAAACACATATTATCTGTAAAGACACCTAACATGAGAACCTCACAGGAGCTTAGAGTTGGCCAACAATCATATTCATTCATTCATTCACAAACAATTTTAACTATTTTTAAGCATTGTGATGGATTTTAAAGGGAAACAAAGATAAATAAGAAATAGTCCCAGATCCCTAAGATCTCCCTTTCTATTGAATGAGACAGATACCAGATTAAGTAATTATAATAATGAGTTGTTATGAGAGCACTGAGGAAGAAAACCAAACCCAGCCTTTGTTACAACCGTGACCCTCTTCCATAGCTTAAGGCCAAATCACACATGGATTTATTTATTTATTTATTCCCCAAAGACTTATTGAATAGTGTATTAAAAGATGCGGACAAAAAGCTAAACCAGGCATAGACACCAACTCCCTAGCAACACATATTCTTGCGGGGAATACGAATATGTATGCAAAAGACTGATGTACAATGTAAAGAATATAACGATTAAGGCACATACCATTCTTCAATGTTTGATAGCTCACTTGGAAGAAATTCCTCTATTGCCAAACATGAATTCTTCAAAAAGGGCACACCTTTATTTCTTCTTCTGTTATCCAAACTAAAGACACAGAAAAGTTCGTTACCATCCCTCACTTACTTGACCACAATTCTGTGGCTGTAACTAAGGAAACAAATACACTTAGAATTTAAGATTCTAAGGATGGAAACTAACTTGTAGGTACTTTGTCTCTAATAGGAATTCTTATTTCAGGCTTGGAATGTGAATATAGCTTCCATCTCAATGGAATATAAAAAGTGCTTCAGTGTTGAAATTCTCTGCGCACTCCTAGAAAAAGAAAATATATGTATTAAAAAATCTGCAGAGGACTTTCTGACAAAACAACTTACTTGGCCTTTCTTCACTGAAACATTCCAGTTGAATCAGTGTGTTTACATCAACCTATTAATATTTCACGAGTACTTACAATGTTTAAGGTATTCTTCTAAGTATCCTCAGAAGTTCAGGTTATAATATTATAGGACAAAGATGTTCATATGCCTGCTGCACATTAATATACCAATACACTCAAATAGCAGGGTTTGCAACAGAGAAAGAGTTTAATAATCACAGGGTGTTGAGTGAGGAGGTGGGAGGAGACCCTCAAATCCATCTCCCCAGTGGGGTTCTGGGTGGGGGGTTTTAAGAGAATCATGGAGGGTGACAGGTTGAAAATTGGAGTCATTGCTTGGTTGAGGCAAGGGGGATGAAATCATCAGGATATGGAAACTGCATTCTGTCTTCTTTGTTAAGTCAGCACCTCATGGGGTCCTTCAGACCAGCTGGTATCAGTAAAGTCCTTCAGTAGTTTCATCAGAATGCGGTACCTGAAAGAATATTTCAAAGACAAAACTTGACGTTTTATAATGCTCAAGTTGTTATCTTTACAGCAGTTAAGGGGACTATAATCTGGGTCTGTAAGATTCTAGGACAATAAGCACCAAACAACTATGAGGAAGTAGGCCAGAGAGTAAGCTGACCTAATGATTAATGCTGAATGTACTGTACACTTTATTTATTTTTGTTTCTCTTGCTCCTTTCTCCCTGATTGATTTTATAACGTTTATAGAGATGGTTTCAATAATCTAATTTGGGAGGTTATATATATTATATACAGAAAGAGAATTAGATACAAAGGTATAAGTTGCCTATTACCTAATACTAGGTGTGTATGTGTGTGTGTGCGCATGTGTATAACATAGATATATATAACGTATATATGCTATGTATGTATGTGAGATATGATATATTTATTTTTATATTTTAAATAATTCTATTTATAAAGTTTGATTTACACACCCTTTTTTTCTAAAAATATCTGATTTATAAAATAACAAACACATATACTAAGAATAATTTTGCATATTTCTTTTTTTTTCCTTTGAGGCAGGGTCTCACTCTTTCACCCAGGCTGGAATGCAGTGGCGCTATCATAGCTCATTGCAGCCTCAAACACCTGGACTCAAGTCTCACTCTTTCACCCAGGCTGGAATGCAGTGGCGCTGTCATAGCTCACTGCAGCCTCAAACACCTGGACTCAAGTCTCACTCTTTCACCCAGGCTGGAATGCAGTGGCACTGTCATAGCTCACTGCAGCCTCAAACACCTGGACTCAAGTGATCCTCCTGCCTCAGCTTCCCAAGTAGTTAGGACCACAGGAGTACACCTCCATGCTCAGCTAATTTCTTTTTATTTTTGCTTTCTGTAGAGATGGGGTCTCACTATGTTGCCCAAGCTGGTCTCTAACTCCTGGCCTCAAGGGAACCTCCAGCCTTGGCCTCACAAAGCACTGGGATTACAGGTGTGAGCCACCGTGTCTAACCTAATTTTGCATATTTCTATATCTGCTTTTCCTCTACAGCATCAATGTCTCATATATCACTTGACATTTAATAGGTACTTATTCAATATTTTGGAATGGATCAATGAATATTTTCTGACCAAATATCAGCTGGCAGTGACAGCAATAAACCAAACCACATACTCAGTTTTTATTAAAGTTGAAAACTTTTAAGAGAAAATATGGATGAAAGCTTTTGTAGACTCCTAATATGAAATCTTTGAAACCAAGCATAAATGTGACATCATAGAGGTGATAAGCATTTGATTAACAAGGAAATGTTAAGCTTGTTTACAGTGGAGATATGGAGACTTCATTGCTTTACAAATGGAGAAAAATTTACGAAACCAAAAGATAATTGCTTATGCCACTGAGAAAAAACAAAATAGAATGTCTCCTCCTAATTGACTAATCTTTTCTACTTTTCTGTGGACTATCCAAGGAGGTTAATCTCCCATTCCTATAACTGGTAGCATTTTTAAAATTTTCCCTTGAAATATTGAGAGATTTAAAACCCCAGCCAAGAGAAACCTTTTTCTCAGCAGCATTTTAGTAGTTTATTCCTTATTAAATACAGAAACAACAACAGAAACAAACAAATAACAATAACAAACAAGAAACTCAATTGGAATCTATTGTATCTTTAACTTCAAAATAGATTGAGACATTTTTTAACAGCAGCATCCTAACCTATCCTGAAATACACTTAGAACTAATAAGGGTGCTGGCCTGTTATTTAAGCTCACCTGTTTGTTTTGTTGTTTTCAGAGGTTAGAGGAGAAAATAAACCTCTGATGATTTAGCATGTTTTCACAGGCGACTGTGATGCTCCCCTGCACATCACCTCTAAGCAGATCGTACTTAATCTCTGGGCAGAGAACGACTGTCTCATGCTGTTCGGTAGCAACCTGTAAATCTGATTAAGGAATGGCCCTGACAGCTCCTGTTGAGATTTCCATCCAATTGCCTTCAGTTCCATGTTGATGGATTTATGTGAAAGAGCCTGATGGTATGGAAGAAGCCTGTTTGGGGGACCACAGAAAAACACTGTAACATAATCAGAGGTTTAAGAGAACTATCACAAGGTATTCTTTTCCTGGCATAGAAAATGAATGTAAACCTTGAAGCACTATAGCAGACAATAGGAGTTTTCCAAGTAGAGGCCATATTTACCAAAAGGGTACCTCAAACTGCATGATGATTATGAGTACTGGGAATTCAAATGAACTTTGTCACTATTGCCAGTTTCATGAGAGAAGGATGTCCCTGGTGGAGCACAGATGGCATGTTTGAATGAGAAGCTGATTATGCCAAGAGGTTAGTATGCCTGAGAGCTTCGCTTATTGGTCTGTAAGAACATGAGGGAACCAGCTATGAATATTGATCTGTAAGTAGGATGCAGAAGAGCTAGCTATGAAGAGGAATTTATAACTCTCTCTAAAGCACCTGCGAGAATCAAAGCAACTTGAAATGCATATCCAATATAGGAATTTTAATTCCCCTAGTCTCTTCTGTTCTCTCTAAAAATAACTAGAAGAAATTCCATCTGTTTAAAATGCAGTACACAAAACTAAAAACATGGAACATTAGGAACCGTGTTACTTAAGAAATATTTGCATGCAGAATTAAGAAATAATATACAGGAAACACAGGAATAGTAAAGAATGGAAATCCAAAAAGTTATGGCCAGATCTGCTTAAGGAGCAAAACTAAACTCTGATACTCAACTTATGGTCTTCAACATGGCTCAGCTCCCTTAAATAGTAGCTTTTATTTTGAGAACTGTTGGACCAGTTTGGGCCCTATCTTCTTCAGTACTTAATGGGGACTCCAGATGCAAAAGTAAAAAAAGAAAAAAGGATCTTTGCTGTAACTCTATCATTTATACCTGAATCTCTGATGTTCTCCATGAAGCAATATTAGGCTGTTTCTGCCAAACAAAAAAACCTTACTCTGAGGGCATAAACTTTAATAATGTGAAACTGCTGTGCTTCTTGAAACTGAGCTTTCCTAAAGGCCATAAGCATTTTTGGATGTCTCATCATTAGTAATTAAGATTTATTTATCAATTCTGGGTATATTAAGTTATAGAAAATAAATTTAAAGTACAAGTTCATGATCACACATATAGTGAAATCTAAGAAAAGAAAGCAACTCTGACCTAGAAAAAATTAATCTGAGAAATCTTATTCAAATACACCCGCAAGAGAAATTTTGCTTACATTATTTTAAAATATAAGAGCTGTGAGAGAAGGTTTTGTTTCAGGCCTCTTTTCTTGGCTTATAGATGGCCGTCTTCATGTTCACAGGGTTTTCTTCTTGTATATTAGAGTCTGTCTTCAATTTTTTCCTGTTTGTAAGGAACCAGTCATATTGGCTTACAGCCAGTTCTAATGACCTTATTATAATTTGATAAAGAACTTATATTAGTCTGTTCTCATTCTGCTATAAGGACACAACCGAGACTGGGTAATTTATAAAGGAAAAGGTTTAATTGATTCACAGTTAAGCATGGCTGGGGAGGCCTCAGGAAACTTACAATCATGGTGGAAGGGGAAGCAAACAAGTCCTTCTTCACAGGGTGGCAGGAAGGAGAAGAATGAGAGCTGAATGAATGGGGAAACCCCTTATAAAATCATCAGATCTCATGAGAACTTACTATCATGAGAATAGCATAAGAGAAACTGCTCCCATGATTCAATTACCTCCCACCAGGTCCCTCCCACAACACATAGGAATTATGGGAACTGCAATTCAAGATGAGATTTGGGTGGGGACACAGCCAAATGATATCAGAACCCAGCTCCAAATAAGGTCACATTCTGAGGTCCTAGGGGTTAGAAATTCAACATATGAATTTTTGAGGGACACAATTCAACTCAAAGCAGCACATAATGAATATTCAGTTACTACAAGTGGAATAATTGGTTTTGGTAATTAAGAGTGTATATCACCTCGGTAGACATAGAGTAGGGGTTATGGTTGATTAGTTAGTTGTATTTGTGCCAAAGGGACCCATCTTTCAATTTATGCATAAAAGTTTTAGGCAATATGTGAACTCACAAGAAGAACAGAAAAATGATATAATTACTTATACCCCTATATTTATAAAAATGACTTTCTAATTATATATATATAGTTAGAAAGGCATTATATATAATATGATATATATATATAATATACCTCATAAAGTTTTATTATTTGTAATACTTTACATTTATTTGGCTGGAAATATTTAAAAAGAATTTGTAACCTCTGAAGTATTTATTTTTTACTAAGCATATTCCTCTAAACATTAGAACAAGTGATTTTAGAAATATGAAAGTTTTAATTTAGTCACCAGAGGGAGCTATATGTCACTGTACATAATAACTTAAAGAGAAGATACCAATGTTGTAGAAATTAAAAACATCTATACAAATGAAATTTATAAAATTGAGAAAACCAGAAATAGTGTGGTACTAAGAATAATCCAGACTTGAATAAATTTACCTATTTGACACTCACGGAACATTCTACCCAAAATAGCAGAAGCTGAATGAATGTTCTTTTTTTTCTCTTTTCTTTTTTCCTTTTCTTTCTTTTTTTTTCTTTGAGACAGAGCCTTGCTCTGTTTCCCAGGCTGGAGTGCAGTGGCCCTATCTCAGCTCACTGCAACCTCTGCCTCCCAGGTTCAAGCAATTCTCCTGCCTCAGCCTCCCAAGTAGCTGGGATTACAGGGGTGTGCCACCACGCCCGGCTAATTTTTGTATTATTAGTAGAGACGGGGTTTCACCATGTTGGCCAGGCTGGTCTGTAATTCTTGACCTCAAGCGATCTGACCACCTCGGCCTCCCAAAGTGCTGGGATTATAGGTGTGGCCCACTGTACCCGGCCCAGAATGAACATTCTTTACAAGTGCACATAAAAACATTTATCAAGAGAGACCACATTCTGGCCCATTACACAACTCTCAAAAAAATTCACAAGAATTCAAGACATGCAAAGTTTATCCACTGACCACACTGAAATTAAATTCATAACAGAAAGATTCCTGAAAAAAGTTCTAAAACTATTTGGAAACTAAATAACACTCTTCAGAATAACTCATGTGTTAAGGAAGAAATCAAAAGGAAAATTACAAGGTAGTTTGAGCTGAATGAAAATGAGAATACCACATATCAAATTTGTTGTTTCCCTCTCTGTGTCCATGTGCAGAGGGTGAGAGGAGGAAAAGGAGAATAAAAATAATTATTGGGTACTAGTCTTAATACCTGGGTGATGAAATAATTTATTCAACAAACCCTGTGACCTGAGATTACCTATATAACAAACCTGCACATGTGCCCCTGAACCTAAAGTAAAAGTAAAAAAAAAAAAAAAAATCAAAAAATTGTGGGATGCTGATAAAGCAGAAAACAGGGAGAAATTTATGGAATAAATATCTTTATAAAAAAGAATAACATCTCAAATCAATGACTTCAGCTTTCACCTTAAGAAACTAGATTAAAGAAGAGCAAATTAAACTCAAAATAAGCAGAAAAAACTAAAGTATAAATTCTAAAGTATAAATTTCAGACCAAAATCTAGAAAATAGAAAACAGAAGAGCAATAGAATAAATAAATGAAATCTGAAGTTGGCTACCCATAAAATTGATAAATCTCTAACTAGATGGATCAGATGATCAGAAAAGAGGGAGACACAAATAATCAAGACAAGCGTGAGAGTGACAATATCACTATAGAGTCTACAGAGCTGTTGTTAAACTAAAGTTGGGAACCTGAGTTTTCTAATCTGTGAATGAAAAAAATAATACCTTTGTGTGATAACTGGTCTTCCCCATCCTGGCCTTTACAGGAAAAGTTTGAAGCTCTCTCTTGGGGCCTCTATTGCATTTTTCTATTGACCCCATTGTATTCTAATTATCTCCATATGTATTTGCTATAGTTTGAATGTGTCCTTCAAAGTTCACATGTAGGAAACTTAATCCCCAATACAACAATGTTGGGAGGTGAGACCTAATAAGAAGTCTCTGCCTTCATGAATAGATTAATGTCCTTATCATGGAAGTGGGTTAGTTATGAAGAGAATGAGCTGTTATAAAAGCAAATTTGGTGTTCTCTTACACACTTGCCCTCTTGCTCTTGTTTATTCTTGCTCTTCTTCCTTTTGCCCTGGGATAATGAAGAATGAAGGCCGCACTAGATGCTGGTGTCATGCACTTGGACTTGCCAGCCTCCAGAATCATGATCCAAACAAATTTTTGTTTATTATGAATTGTCCAGTCTGTGGTATTTTGTTATAGCAACATAAAATGGACTAAGACAATATCTTACTCCTACTCTAGACAAAGAGCGTATGCAGACAGGTGCTGAACAAGTGACTTGAAAATATAAAAGTATAAAATATTATAGGTTGTAAGAAGTGTAACACAGATAGAAATAAGAATGAACATTAGGAGAGTCAGCAAATCTACTCTGAGTGTATTCTCAGGAGAACAGCCTGGTAGCCTCTCTGGAAGAAAAGACTCATTAGAAATAACAGAAGGGAGAGGCTAAATCTCTTCCTTGCCTATTACTTCTCATTTGCTTTTTCCTGACTATTGTTAAGATTGAATATCTTTTAATACATGTTAGCTGCCTCTCTTTCCTCTTCAAAGAATTGCATTACTATATTTTTTACCCATTTTTAATTACTTTTGCTTCAAAAATTCATAAAAGTGCATTATATAATTGGGATTTTAATCCTTTGAGTGTTATGGGTAGATTGCAAATATTTTTCTCAAGCTAACATTCATCTTTTGCGGTTGCTTATAGTGTCTTTTACTGTTATGTCTTTTTATTTATGTTTTAGGTAGTTAAGTGAGGTATGTTTCATTTTATTTTCTTTATAGCATCTGAGTTTCCCACTTCACAATGAAAAAGCTATCCAAAATGTGATAAATGAAATCTGCTATTTTTCTCTAACATTTATTTCATACTATAGGCCTAAACTCTTAATCCATCTGGAATTTATTGTTCATATCATATGAGATAGAGTCTACCTTTATTTTCTTCTAAATTAAGTGCCAGTTTTACCAGCACCTTTATTAAATAAAACAATCATTTTAATTCCTGCAGAATTAAAATGCTAACATTACTATATATTGAGTTTTCACTTACATTTGAAAATATATATTAACATTCTTTATTTTCCCCTCAACATGTTTGTTTCTTCCTAGCACTGATGCTAGTAAGAAAGATGCATTGTTAAGTTTATAGTGAAATTAATGAATTGCCACTAGTTTTTTAGTTAGTTTTATTGGTAATTTTAGATTTCCTGACTGTATAATTATATCATCTGCAAATGCACATTTTTGTCTCTCCTTTTCTATTTAAAACCTTTTTCTTGTTTTATCACTGTGCTTGACATAATCACCTTCAATATTAAAACATAAATTTGGGTATTCCTTTCTTATTCCTGATTTTAATGGAAATTTCTTTATTATTTAGTATTGGTTATAATATTTTCTCTTACTTTTGACAAATAGTCTTTATTGTATTTCAATATTTTCCTATTTGTGTTTTTTTATAATTTAAATTTTTTTTAATTCAAGATAACGTATCGAGGAAAGGATAACTAATGTAACTATACTAACCAACTGAATTTAATCATGGATAATATTCTACTTTTTAGTCAATGTTTTTATTTGGAATACCTACTAAATTTTATTGAAGCCTTTTTATTATCAACTAATATAAGCAATTCCACCTTCCTATAATTTGTGGATATATTTAATCATATTAATAATGATGATATATTTCTTAATGTGATCTCAAATTTATGGTCTTAGAATAAGCCCTATTTGACCATGTTGGATTACTCTCAACATACTGATGAATTTAATATGTGGATATGAGTTTTTACGTATATATAAATGAATTTGATTGATGTTTTCTATACTAACTCATAATACATGAGTTAGTACATAATACTAACTCATAATACATGAGTTAGTACATAATACTAACTCATAATACATGAGTTAGTACATAATACTAACTCATAATACATGAGTTAGTACATAATACTAACTCATAATACATGAGTTACTATATACTACAAACTCATAAAAAGTGAGTTAGTACATACTACATATTTGTATTAAGCTTATGCGTCATACAATTTTATTCTATGTTTTAAAATCATTTAAACGTCATAGGAAGTGTATTCTCTTTAAAAGTTAGGTGGAGGGCAGTGGCTCATGCCTGTAATCTCAGCCCTTTGGGAGTCCGAGGCAGGCGGATCACTTGAGGTCAGGAGTTCCAGACCAGCCTGGCCAACATGGCGAAACCCCATCTGTACTAAAAATACAAAAATTAGCCAGATCAGGTAATCCCATGTAATCCCAGCTACTTGGGAGGCTGAGGCAAAGGAATCGCTTGAACCCGGGAAATGGAAGTTGCAGTGAGCTGAGATCGTGCCACTGCACTCCAGCCTGGGTGACAGAACAAGACTCCCTCTAAAAAAAAAAAAAAAAAAAAAAAAAAAAAAAAAAAAAAGGTCAAATCTAATCACAAAACTAGCCCTTAAAATGGAGACTTTTCAATGATCTTTACAAACTCTTTAACAGTGATTGATCTATTTAGATGATCTGCCTCTCCTTGGGTCAACCTTTTGTAGTATTTATTTTAGTAGAAAAAAATCATTTTCTCTAGATCCTCACATTTCTTGCCATATATTATTTTAAAGTTATACAGAGTTGCATAAGATAATATCTCATAATTCTAAAATTACTTCTATATCTGTGATTATGTTTCCTCAGTCTTAATATAGAATAATTTTCTTTTTTCTTTTTTTGAGACAGAGTCTTGCTCTGTTGTCCAGGCTGGAGTGCAGTGGTGTGATCTCAGCTCACTGCAACCTCTACCTCCTGGGTTCAAGACATTCTCCTGCCTCAGCCTCCTGAGTAGCTGGGATTACAGGCGCCCACCACCGTGCCATGCAAATTTTTGTATTTTTACTGGAGAGCGGGTTTCATCATGTTGGCCAGGCTGGTCTCGAACTCCTGACCTCAAGTTATCTGCCTGCCTCGGCCTTCCACAGTGCTGGGATTACAGGCGTGAACCACCGTGCCCAGCCTGCTTTCTTTCTTTATTTCCTTAATCTGGATTGCCATAGTTTATCTTTTTGATTATACCTTTCAAAGTGTTGGCATTTGGCTTTATTTATTTTTTCTAATACTTTTCACTTGTTTTTGAATTTTTTTTAACCTGGGCTTTAAAATAAAGTAAAATTTTTATTTCTGGGTTGGTAACAAGGTTCTTAATCAAAAACTAGTTTTTAGACTTAAAATATTGATGTTTCACTATGAAAGGAAAGGTCAAAGCCTCAAGGAGGAATCAGCTGTTTATTGAATATCTTCTATGTACATGATACCCAGTGGCACTAATCATTTCCAGCTTCCCTAGCAAAGCTGAAATATCTCAGTGAGGAAGGTGATAAATGAAAGGCACATGTAGGCCTTCATAAATAACATATTAATTAATTCATTGAACTAGACATGTTTCAGCTCTTCACTGCAGGCCAGCTGTGTGAACTCCCAATACCTTTTTTGTAGCTTCTCGTGGTGTGGCTAGATTCTTTTATCCTACTAAATTTGAAATTGTGGAACATAGACAAAAGTAATCCCTAGTTATTAATGGCATAACAAATCCACAAATGCATGGAGACTTAAAGCAGGACCAAAGTAAAGTAGGCATCTCTTATCTCTAAGATAATCTTGTCTCTTGTTTCTGTCTCTTTTCAAATAATTTATGTTGTACTCCCAGCAATTTTTTTAAAGAATTTATTTTAGGAAATACTTCTGTTTAAACTCATGGCAACCATTGTGGTAGTCTGAAAAAAATGGCCTCCCAAATATATAGTCACCTTCTAATCCCTGAAACCCCTGAATATAATCTTATGTGTCAAAATAGTAATGTTATCTTATTTGGAAAAAGGCTCGTTACAAATATGATTAAGTTAAGAATCTTGAGATGAAGATAATATTTTGGATCATTCTGGACCCTAAATGCCATAGTAGTGTCCTTAGGAGAGAGAGGCAAAGGGTGACACACACACAAACAAGACACACACATACAAGTGAAGTGAAGACAGAGGTAGAGACTGAAGTAATGTGGTCACAAGCCAAGGAACACCAAGAAATACCTGCAGTGACCAGAGCTGTAAAAGTCAAGGTACAGATTCTTCTTTAGAGTATAGACACCTTCATGTTAGATTCTGGTCTCCGTAACTGTAGGACAATACATTTCTGTTGTTTTAAACCAAATTTGTAGTAATTTGTTATGGCAGCCCTAGAAAACCACTTGAACCACTTTATGTCTTAAATTCAAACTTTTTTATATGTCTAGGAGAAAGCCATGGGGTCTATTACAGTAATATTTTTTTTTATTCAGGATAAGAAATAAAATGCTTCTTCAATTCACAAAGATTTATTTTAAACAGTCGTGTTTCAGTAACATAAAAGAAGGCCAAAGGCAAATCACAAAAATGATATTGCTCAAATCCTAAACCCTGGGGTACTGCCTTCTCAACTCCATATTGATTATCAACCAATAAAGTCAGTTTTCATTTAAATCAATTAGTGGAAGAGCAGACAGGAGTCCCACTGATTTTTTTTTTCTTTTGTTTTTTTATATATCCACAAGTTAAAGTGATACTGGATTGGAGAGAAATCATGAAATAGCAAAAGCCTACTGAAGTCAAATTTTATTTACCTATATCTTCTAATTTTTTATGCATGCTAAAAGTTAAAGTGTGTGTGTGTGTGTGTGCGTGTGTGAGAGAGAGAGAGAGAGAGAGATTATGTGAATCAGGTTCTGTTATAATAAGTACCAAGGAATTACCTTGTTTTGATTATAAGAGCCTGTTTAAACAATTATCACCAGCTTCTTTATAGACCTCATCTTCAATATTTACAATAGTTTTGAAAAGTAAATTTTAGTTGTTTCATTTTGGAAATGAGGAAAATGAGAATTAGAGAGGTTAAATTACTTCCTGAAGGTCATAAAGCAAATAAGATATAAATTAAACTTTGCTTCTTAGCCTGTGTTCTTTCCATTATACGGCACTTCCTCCTAACTCTGAGACCTGCTATCACATATTGCTTTGAAAATAAAACAAAACAAACTTAGGATAGGGCTTGAGTCTCTTTGTCTTTTTCTTCCTCTTCCCTATTCTTTATTTTTTTTCCTTCTTCTCTTCCTCTTTCTACTTCTTTTCTTCTTCCTCATAGATAGGGTCTTTGAGATGGCCTGGAGATATAATAAAAATCATGTTTTCATAACAAAATATATACTGAGATCCCATATCTGCATTCAACATAGTAATAAAATTCATGTTAGCGTCCAATTTTCTTGTGTTTTACCTATTGTGCTCTGCTGTATCTTGTTATTTTGTTCTAAAACTCTTATAAGTATTACATTTACTTAGTAAGATATTGAATCCTCTGATTTTGCCTCTATTTTTCATTCCCTGTCTCAGAAAATGGTATAAAATCTTTCCAATTGCTCAAGTTACAAATCTCCAAATCATCAGCAACTGTACTCTCTCATGTCACCCAATCTCCTTTTGCACCATATACAGCTGCTTGGCAAATTCTGTGTATTCTACCTGAAAATTACAATTCTTAAATTTTAAGAGTGAAGGTAATAGATCTATTGAAAGTCTAATAAAAACTCATTCCCCAAAAAATACACACAAAAAAGTATATACAGTTTCAGGGAGTTCACAGACATCCCGGAACCCATCTTTAGGCCCCGGACCTGAAAACCCTTCCCTGCTAAGTATTTTCTCCTTCATCCATCTCAGTTTTCCATCCCCACTCCAAGCTTTAGTTTTCTTCAACTTGCACTTGAGTTATAGTTTAGTCTCCCAACCGATTCTCCAACTCCTGTCTCCAATCTATTCATTAACCAGGAGCCAAGATAAACATTCTAAAATAGATATTTGAGCATGCCAAATCTTGTCAATGTGCCCTTCAGCTAGCTCAGGCTGGTTGGCAAGAGTTGCATATCTTCCCAGCTCACAGTTCAGTGATGTCCAGTTGGCAGCTTGAAGTCAGTCACAGTGGGAGTATTTACAGTATAAAAGTTGTCAAATGTGACAAATCAAGTTTTTAGGCAAGACGTTAACCAGCACACCACTGCCTGTATTTTCAAAGGTTAGTGTTGGTCACTATCTAAAGTCCAAACTCTTTAGCATGTTAGACCTCTATCGTCTGGGCTTAAACTTGCTTTCTAGCTCCATATCTCACTATTCTCTGTGGCCTAGAAAACTTAAACTCCAACAACACCAAGCTACTCATAGTCACTGAATACACAAAATGGTTTTCCACAATGTGCCAGTTATGATGCAAAGCAACTTTTTCATCAACAGCCAAATCTACTTTGTTCAAAGTCAATCTTAAATGTTGCCCTTTTTGTCAAGTCTTCTCTAAGACTCACATTCAAAATCAATCCCTACTCTGTGCTCCAATCCCAGTCCTTTACTCCTCTCATGACATTTAACAATTGTTTAATAAACATTTATTGAGTGCCCTCTAGGCACTGGCAATATATTTCTGTCTGTTATAAATTCATTGCAAATTCCTTTGGGGCAAAGATTGCATTTTGTTTATTCTCCAGATTGACCCTTCATACTAAGTATAGAACTTTTCCATTGTATATGTGATGTGCAATAAATGTTTGCTGAATTTAATCAAAATCCTCTATTGTTCCAATGCAATTTAATACCTCTTTTGACTTTTAACAGAGTCCTAGGTAGTGAGGCTAGAATGAATTCCATATATGAGTAGCATCTAACGTTCAGCAAAGTTGAAAATGGGTATCAACTATTAACAAAGCAGAAGACAATATCTATACCAGATACTTTCATCTTTAATGCACCCAAAGGAGTACTTCTGCATAATTAATTTCTTGTTCTGAAGGTTAATTTGCAACCTGCGTTCATAATGTTATTTGACTGTATGCTGTGAACCCCTATGGAGAACAGTTACTGGTAAAACTACTTTTAGAAGCAGGCTTGAGGACCTATGATTTTGCCTAGCTTTGGTGGGTATTAGCTGAGCTAGATGTCACATCTTTCCTATGACTCATTCCTCACAGCAGTCAGGAAGAATGAATATTTCTATTCCTAAATTCCCAAAGAGGAAAGTAAGGAAAAGAAGACTGTGTGGTTTGTTCACATTTAGCATGAAATGTGAATAGCATATGCACTGACACAAAGCAACCAGACAGCATTTTAATTGCTCATCTAACCTCCAGAAAGAGTCACCATCTGCTGAAATTCTGAAGATTAAAACATATAAAACCTGACAGAAAACTGAAAGCACATAATAAACCACACAGCCTAGTCACAAATCTTGGAAAACATCCACAGTAAAATGTAATTTACCTACAACTAAGAAAAGTATAACACCACCAGTTAAAAGAGTGCTGGGAGGCATTTATATGGGGATAGAACAAGAACTGAAAGAGCGTTTTAACCTTTGAAGGATAATGCACAATGAAAGCCTTCTTCTCTGTGGCTGAGGCAATGATCCTCCCACCTCCTAACCCCAAAATCCAACCTTGTTCCTGCAAAACCTCTATTTTTATTACTGAGATTAATTTCAATCAAATTATCAAAGGCTAGATGACATTGGACCATCTTCATAGAGCCAAGCTAGTCATCTCTGGAAATGCCAAAGTTTTGCCACAAAATCAGTTGTTACTTTTTGTTTTTTTTTTTGAGATGGAGTTTTGCTCTTGTCACCTGGGCTGGAGTACAATGGCATGATCTCGGCTCACTGCAACCTCCGCCTCATGGGTTCAGGCAATTCTCCTGCCTCAGCCTCATGAGTAGCTGGGATTACAGGCGCCCCCCACCACACCCAGCTAATTTTTGTATTTTTAGTAGAGATGGGGGTTTTACCATGTTGGCCAGGCTGGTCTCGAACTCCTGACCTCAGGTGATCCACCTGCCTGGCCTCCCAAAGTGCTGGGATTACAGGTGTGAGCCACTGCACCTGGCCCAGTTGTTACTTTAAGGTATATATTTAGAATCTCATTTTACAAGTAAAAAGTGTCAATACTAAAGCTGAACTCCATCCCCATGTACTTCTAGTTGCATGACATAGTTCTCAAAGTGTTTAAAGTCTACTAATGAAATATACATGAATGTATCAGTGGTTCCTCAAATCTTTTTTCTGCTCCATGAAATCATGATTGATTAGACAGTAATTAGATATAGTTGAAATTTCAGCTGAACCCTGCCTCAACTATAATCATCACTCAATAAATATTTATTAATGATAATAATAATAGCAGTTAGTACTCCTTGCAGCAGTCTAAGAGTTTTACATCATTAATCCTTTTAATCTTCAGCACATTCCTTTGAGGTCAGTGCCATCATCAGCCCCACTTTACATTTGAGGAAACTAGGCATCAAAAGTTGTTTTGTCTATTTTTGTGTTTGTGTTTTAGATGTGCTCAATATCACAGCCAGTAAGTATTAAAGCTGGGATTCCAACCTATGTGGCCTGGAGCCAGTGTCCACATACTTAACCACTATTTTAAACCTAAGGGAAAAAAGTTCTGATGAATTTTTAATAATAGAGGAGGTATGAAGATAGGGAAGCAGAGGTCAGAGGGATGTGACTGCTGGCTTTGAAAATGAAAGACAGCCACAGGCCAAGAAATAGGGGCAGCCTCTGGAATCTTGAAAAAAATAAGGAATAGGTTGTTCCCTAGGTTCTCCAGAAGGAATGCAGCCCTGCCACAGCTTGATTCTAGACCCATAAGACCCATGACAATGACTTCTGACCTCCAGAACTGTAACATAATAAATTTGTGTTGTGTGATGCCATTAAGTTTATGGTAATTTGTTACAGCAGTAACAGGAAACTAATAGAGACAGTCTTTTGGCTTCAGGTCTCATTTTATTTTTTATTTTATTTATTTATTTTATTTATTGAGACAGGGTATTGCTCTGTTGCCCAGGCTGGAGTGCAATGATGTGATCTCGGTTCACTGTGGCCTCAATCTCACAGACTTGGGCTTAAGTGATCCTCCCACCTCAGCCTCCTGAGTAGCTGGGACTACAGGCATGCACCACTGCACTTGGATAATTTTTTAATTTTTTGTAGAGATGGGTTTTTTTCATGTTGCCCAGGCTGGTCTCCAGCTCTCATTTTAAGTATCAACTCTGCAGATTTTCCCTCGTCCCTTGTATAAAAGTTTCTCCTCTTACTCTGTTGTATCACCAGAGATTTGTTGTTTTTTTCTCTTCAAAAACCGTAGTGCCATTTTAATTGTATAAACTACCCTAATGTTTCTCTTGCATTGAACTGCAAACTTCAGTAAGGAAACATGTCTGTTTGCACTTTGCCGAGCACAGTAAATGATATAAGGAGCACTCAATAAATATTCATTAAATGAGGGAAAGATTATATGAACAAGTTGAGTCTTGAAATACAGCAACTTTTAGATGAAGTTCTAGAACAGAAAAACACCAGGAAACAGAAAGTTGTCCAATGGGGAGAGAGATGAAAAAAAGGGGGATGCAAAGGCAAAGGCTGAAACTGTCGGAGAGGAGTCCCACTAAATATTCCTGACTTTGTTCTGCAAGCAAAATGATGCCATTCCAAGAGGTTCTTTTAAATGGGAGATTAAAGTTATTAAATTTGTTTTATTTTAAAAAAATCTTTCAATATCATGGAATATAGTTGGAAGGGAGCAAGACTAGAGGCATAAAAATCATTCTAAGATTTTTATATTAGTCCAGCTTGGAAATTCTGAGAGTATAAACCAAAGGTGATGAAAAGAAGGCAATTAATTTACACAAGAGAAAAAGAGTAACTTTTTTTTCTTTTAAACGGCATGCTGTTGGCAAAAATTAAAAAACACACGTTAATTTAAGTAAATAATTGTATTAGTCTTTCAATTATTTTTTGGCTCAATAATTTGGATTTCCAGAGAACTTACGGTCATCAGAGTTCTAATGTTATTTTTTGATGTTATTTGGCGCAATCATTTAGATTGCTAGGGAACTTTTATGGTCATCACAGTTCTAAGGATATTTTTAACATAAAACAACATTTCACAAACTTTAATCACTCAAAAACCAAGATTATAAATTTTGTTCCTCCAATGGAAATTTTGTTCCTCCAATGGAAATTTTGTTCCTCCAATGGAAATTTTGTTCCATTACCAGCAAAAATGAGAAAACCTAGATATTTTATATATATATATATATATATATATATACACATATGTCATTCGAATGCTAACCATAGATGTATCATCTGTACTATTGCATATATAATATTTTTGTTATATTGTTCAAATTTTTTTATGGTTCATTTTATTTAAAGCAAAGTTAAAGCAGACATCCTAGGCAACACCAATGAAAACATAAGTGTGGTTGTATTTGCACATATCAAAATATATATTTAGCTATTAAAATACATGGTATTTATTTTCCATCTAAAATCATTTCACCATGTCCCCTCTAGTGGTAAGTGACATATGAACAGCTAATCTGTATGAATATGCCTCTTTTAAAATGGAACAAATTGGTTTTACAAAAGAAGGTAAATAAGAGAAAAAGTATGAAAATTTTGGCTTCAATCCTACCCCACCAATGGTTGCTGTACAAACAGAAGTGAGTCAACTGAGTCTAACACACTCATGTGAGAAATAATAGTAGCAGTCAGTGAATCTAACACGTTGCTTTTATAACTGCTAATATTCTATGACTATGCCAGCTTCCAACTTTGCTTTATATTCCTCTAATGGAAATTGTTTTCCATTACCAGCAAAAATGAGAAAAAACAGAAATTTTAGAAATTTTTTAGTCATTAAACTGCTAGCTGGTCCTAAAGAGAATATTTTCTCTAGATAAAAATCGAAGTCTTCTACTATTTTCTGTGTAAGTTCTAGTTTCCAAACAAATTTCCAGGGTTTTTACTGTTGCTGTGTTGTTTTGCTGTGTTTTGTGGTCCTAGATGTATGGCTACAACAGGAGAAGCAACAACATATACAATTCACTATGGGATTTTAGGTTGTAAAGGGTAGGATATGATATTGCAAAATGAATGAGAATCCTCTTAAATCTGAGTAAACTAAAATTTATAAATCATATTTTTCAACATATTCCATCAAGTTAACACAATGTAAATATAATTTCAAATATTGTAATGATTAGTTTAAGATGTGAAATTGCAAATTTTATGTAAAACAAGTGGAAAGTTTGCTTTCATAATTCCTCCCTTCGGTGTAATTTTATCCCACTGGCATTTACTGAATATTCACACAATGAATTAACCGAATCAAATATGCCTTTATCAAACCATTGTATTATAATCAACTAATACGTAATTCAGCAAAATCTCATTTTCTGATTCTATTATTTTGGGATATGTAGTAGTTCAAACAGGTTGAGCTTTAATTTACCTTCCTAGATAATATCTTTTAGTTGCAAAGTTCCAATAGTGTAAACAAGGGAACTATTTAACCTGCTTAAAAGTTAAATTCTGCCAACTACTTAGAGAATTTATGAAAGAAAAATACTGCTTTAATTGCAGTATTTGCATATAAGCAAAGGGTTAGCTATTTAAAATATTTTTCGGCATCTATGCCCAGCTAATACCTTATGATTTGGTTCTATGCATAGAAGTTTAAATGTATAAGAATTATAAATACTTACATACCTATAATTTAGAATATTTATGAACATAAATATACTTGGAAATATTTATACGTATATATATGCATATAAGTGTGTGTGTGTGTGTGTGTGTGTGTGTGTGCGTACATATAGTCAGCCCTCTGTAGCATAGGTTATGTATTCATAGCTTCAAACAATCACAGTAAAAAATATTTGATAAAAAATGGGTGCTTGCATCTGTGCAAAACATGTAAAAACTTTTTTTCTTGTTATTAGTCCCTAAACGGTACAGTAAAACAACTGCTTAACATAGCACTGACATTGTATTAGGTATTATAAGTACTCTAGAGATGATTTAAACTATACAAGGGGATGTTCACAGGTTGTATGCAAATAATACACCATTTCATATAAGGGACTTGAGCATCTGTGGATTTTGGTATCTGCCCAGTGGAAAGGGGCGTTAGGGTGGGGTAGGCTTGAAACCAATCCCCCATGGATATGGAAGGATGACAGTGTATGTACATGTACAACTTATACAGTACTCTCCTAGGTACTCTACTTAATACAACTTTTTTTTTGTTTCTTACAGCTTAGATATTCACTATGAGAATTAATTCCATGTGATAATCCAAAGGCAGGTAAAATATATAAAAATATGTGAATATTATTTTACTGTATTATATCATAAATACATAGTTTTTAACTAGAAAGAGATATCCATGGGAATATAATTCTAAATGAAATATAGGAAAACCACAATATGAAATATTTATGAGATCAAAATGAAAGTAAAATGCTGATTCATACTTTCATATATATATTTTAATACCTTTATAAGTAAGAAGAAAATCTCATTAACTTTCATGAATTTATTTTTATATATCTTAGAAGCATGTTAAAAATTTGAAAACGGTTGGGAAATTTTGAAATATATATAATACTTTAATATGTATTATTATGCGTGTGTTATATGGCATTATAAACATATATCACAAATGTAAAATTTCTCTTACTTCACATATGAGAATATACATTTCTCAGTTTATCATCCCTGTGGTCAAAACCCAGCCATGTCTAAACTATGAAAATCCAAATAGAACTGACTTTTCTTGCTATTTGTGACAGAATATTCTATCTAATCAACACTTTAAAGTTTCCACATCTATGTTAAGAATAAAAGTTTGTTCTTCACATAGGCAGATTTCAGAATTATGATTTAACTAACTCTCACCATTGTTGTTTCTCTCACTGCTTTTGAACTTTTTACAACTGAAATTTTTTATGACGCTCTAAAAATAGGCATTTATAGTATGTTGGATTCAGTAACTTGGGTTCCAGAATTTCAGCGAAGTAAACTAGAAATAAGAAATGGCTCTTAAATTCTGAAGTTAATTAAAATCTGCCTATGTTTTTAGTAAATGAACTTATTCTACATATTAAAAGGCTTAAAGAAAATAACGATGAAAATAACTTGAAATCTGAGTACAGATGAAGAATTTTTTTAAAGAAGATAAAACAAAGTTGACTAATTCAGCCATCTGAATAAACATCTGAAAGATCCATGATTAAGCAGCTTTTAATCCTCCTATTATTTAAAAATCTGATTAAGAGAGTAATTTGTAGTCACTGGAGAAAATTTGGAAACCACAAAAAATTATAATGGGAAATCATAATCACTTTCTGAATTGACGTATACATACATACATACATACATACATACAAATACTTTTTTTTATATAGCTAGGATCACAATATACACTGTACAAACATTGCCTTAAACATTTTATCACTATTATTTTTCTTGCCATTATATTTTCTTTGCTGACATAATTTTAATCTTTGTAGAATACAAATAGTATATCAAAAGGGTATTCTAAAATTTGTTTTTATCATTTTCTAAAGTTAGATTGTTTCCAATTTTACTAATTTTAATAACACTGTTGCCTAACATACTTGTAAAACTTTTTAACTGGAACATGGATTATATTTGAAATCTTTTTTCTTTTGGAAGGCCAAGGTGAGAGGATTGCTTGACACCAGGAGAGACCAGCCTGGGCAGCAAAAGACGACCCTGTCTCTACAAAAAATAAAAGTAAACATAGTCAAGTGCAGTGGTGCATACCTGTAGTTCCAGCTACTTCGGAGGCTGAGATGGGAGGATCATTTGAGCCCAGGAGATCGAGGCTGCAGTGAGCTATGATTGCACCACTGCACTGTAGCCTGGACAACAGAGAGACCCTGTCTAACATGAAATGAAATAAAATAATTTTAAAAATAATAAAAATAAAATAAAATTATTTTTCTTCTTTCCAACGTCACTACCTCTATCCTTATCCAACTTACCTTTGAGTGGCCAAGCCTTTCAGTTCTGTAAACCAAGCAATCCACATTCACTGTTACCCACTACAATACAAATGCCACCTAAACAAATAGCCAGTGTCACCTTCTTAAAACACTAATAATATGGTGTTTCCTGCCGTAATTAAGCCCTTTACAGACTGCTCATCATTCTTGGGATAAAACCAAGCTTTTTTACGTGTTAAAAACATGCCCATTTGCCCACCCCTCCAATCTCATCTGAAGCTGGGCTGCTCTTCCTTTACAAAGTTCCTATCATTCTAGAATTCTCATAATTCCTCCTTGGTGCCAATATGAATTCTCTCCCAACATGCAACCTGTTCATGTGCCATTCTATCTGGAACACTATTCTCCTCCCTCTTTACCTAGCCAATAGTTATATATTCTTTGTGTCTTATTTTAAATGTCACTTCCTCTAGGAAAGCATATTTTATATGCCATTCTAGCTCCCTGAAGTTCTTCATAACACTTATCACAATGTATGAAATTATTTTTCTTTTAGAATGTATTTTTAATTTTATTTTTTATTAAAATATTATAGTTCTACACATTTATGTACATATATTTTGATACATGCATACAGTGTGTAATGATCAAATCAATATAATTGGGTATTGATCGCTTCAAATATTTATCATTTTTTTGTGTTGGGGACAGTCCAAATCTTGTCTTCGAGTTCTTTTGAAATATACAATAAATTAGTTAACTGTTGTCACCCTACTGTGCTATCAAACACTAGAATTTAGTCCTTCTAACTGTATTTTTATATCCATTAACCAACCTTTCTTCAACTCTACCCACCCTCTCCTTTCCCTGCTTTTGGTAATCACCGTTCTATTTACCACCTTTGTGAAATCAGTTGTTTCAGCTCCCACATATGAGTGAGAACATGGAACATTTGTCTTTCCGTGCCTGGCTTATTTCACTTAACCTCCTTCAGGTTTGTACATGTTGCTGCAAATAACAAGATTTTATTATTTTTTATGGCTGAATAATATTCCATCATTTGTCCTTTTTCTACACACCTTCCTGTATTTCACTGTTGTCATTCAATAATACTACAGGATAGTCTCTAAGACAAGTATTCATTTTTTTATGGCCACATGATATTCCATGCTACAGATGAATGCTAATATACTCAATCATTTCTCCTGTAATCTCAGCACTCTGGGAGGCCAAGCTGGGCAGATCACATGAGGCCAGGAGTTCAAGACCAGCCTGGCCAATGTGGTGAAATCCCATCTCTAGTAAAAATACAAAAATTAGCCAGGCATGGTGGTGCCTGCCGTAATCCCAGTTGATTGGGAAGCTAAGGTGGGAGAAATTTTGAACCTAGGAAACAGAGGTTGCAGTGAGCCATGCTTGCACCACTGCACTCCAGCCTGGGCAACAGAATGAATCCATCTCAAAAAAAATTAAATTATTTATCTATTATTGAATATTAACTTTGTTCCCAGTTTTTAGCTACTCTGCACAATGATGAAATAAAAATCCTTACAGATATACACTTTATGTGCTGATGCTTTATCTCTAGTAGCTAGTATCCAAGGATTATATACCACTTTTAAGAACACATGTATTTTATATTGTTATAGATGTGGTCAGATCAAGTTCTTTTAAAAGGCTGTAAAGTCTTATATTTCTACAAGTGATATATAAAATTCTATTTTCTTCATGTACTGGCCAGAAATTATAAATATATTTACAGCGTAATGAGCATGAAACTATATATCATGGTTATTTAAATTTGCATTCCCCTTACTGTTAATGAAGCTGGAAATCTTCCTATGAATTTGTTGCCTATTTGGATTTATCCTTTCCTGTGTATTGCCTATCTACTAGATTGCCTATTTTCCTTTGCCTTGTTTTTCTTTGTCACTTTGTAAAATATTTTTGGTATATTATAGATATTAACTGTGTGCTATATATATTACATTGTTTTTTATTCCAGATCAAACATTTATGTATCAACATTGTAATATTTTGTATAAAAATTTCACATTTCAAATAGTCAAAGATGTTTATTCCTTCTTATATGTCTCTGCTTTCTCTGTGTTGGTTAAGCAAGCATCTTTTTGATTTCACATGCATTTTTAATGTTTTTCACAAGATGTTTAATGTTTTTTTTATTATTATAAGTTTTAGGGTACATGTGCACAATGTGCAGGTTAGTTACATATGTATACATGTGCCATGCTGGTGTGCTGCACGCACTAACTCGTCATCTAGCATTAGGTATATCTCCCAATGTTATCCCTCCCCCCTCCCCCACCCCACAACAATCCCCAGAGTGTGATGTTCCCCTTCCTGTGTCCATATGTTCTCATTGTTCAATTCCCACCTATGAGTGAGAATATGCAGTGTTTGGTTTTTTGTTCTTGTGATAGTTTACTGAGAATGATAATGTTTTAATATTTTTCTCTTGAATTTAATGTTAATCTACTTGTACTTTGTATGTGGCATAAAATTTGTGTTCCCTATTATTTATTCCAAAATGAATAGCCAGTTGGCCCAGCATTGCTTATTGAATAATTCATCTTTTTCCCACTAAATCAAAGTATTACTTTTGGCATGTGATAAATTCACGTACACAATTATATGGTCTATTTCTGCATTTTCTATTTTCTTCCATAACTTGTTTAGTCCTGTGTCAATATTATGTTGATGTGGTTATAAAGGCTTTGTTTTTTAGTATTATGATATCTGATTTTAAAAAGAGTCATACCATAATTTATATATTTGGCTATATTTTAATATTTAATACTATTTATATTTAAAGCTATTTAATCCAATTTCCTCTACTTACAAATAAAGTTGTTGGCACTCTACCAAGTTATAAATGTATGACACTTACAAATTAATTTCTGAAAAACTTAAATTTTGTGATACTGAGTCTCATCATTCAAGAACATTGCAGGTCCCCCAAATCTTCTGCCCTGATGAATAAATGACAGACAGCTGGGTTTGGATTTTTGTGTGGTAGTTCTTTTCTCCTAGTAATCTATAGTTGCTATTTCACTGGCTTTCATTTCAGTTGTGAATGGGATGTCCAACATGAATTTGATTTTCTGTGCCTCTATAAACTGCTTGTTTCTCTGAATGGATGCTTGCAAGCTTGGGAGTTTTACCAGAATTTGCCTAGGTGAGTGCATTTTCCCATCCATCCTGTCTGGAATTTATTAAGCCTTTTCAATTGGTAACTTGGACTTTCTTCAGCTCAGACAAAAAAAAACAACTTCAAGATAGTTATTTCCTTTCTTGTATCTGTTCCATTCTCCTCCTGCAATCTCTATTTTTCACTTTTTAATTCTCTCACATCTATCCACTAACTCTCTTATGGTTTCCATTTTATATCTTTAATCTATACTTGCCTCTGTGCTTTGGAATATTTTTTTAAACTTGATGTTCAGGCTAATAATTCAGGTTTTAGCAGAAATCCTTCTCTCCTTCATTTATATACTGAATTGTAGAGTTGTGAAAACAATGCTTTGATCCAAAAAGTGTCCTTATTTTTCTCTTCATTTTTTTTCCCTTCCAGATGCTCTCATTTCACTAGGGACGGGTTCTATTTGCTCTAATTGATCTCCCTTTTCCTGGCTTTTGTCCCTATAGATGGGTGGCTGTTTCTCTGTATCTGTTCATTAGGGCTCTGCCAACATAAAAGCTCCCTAAGTGGCAGCATTCTCATAAGCAGTGGGAGGAAAAGTGTCCTATGTGCTAATGGTACATAAGCCAGTTCACTGCTGACTTCCAGGAAGACTCCTTGTTCTTGGGTGTTCCTGTCCTCTCCAAACTTGAGGGTACTCAGTCGTCCATTCAGCTGCTAGTTGCCTCATGCATTCAAGGAGACTTGGCAAGTTATTCTGCAGCTAGTGAGAACCTTCTACATGAGTGGTTACACATCTCTGAAGGCCAAGTTCTTACAGGATCCACTGCTCTCTGATCTTACACTGAGGCTGTCATGGTTATCTCCAGCTGCATTCCAGGCCTTAGGGAAAACATCCCGATACCAGTTTTCTCCACTAGGATGCCGACAACGCTCATAGCACCAACTTTACACATCTACTTATAGGACCCTGGAGCCATTTGTATCAGTAGAGACAAGTAACCTGGATTTAGATTATAGAAATAGGGGGATGGGAAGAAAGTTGTGTTTGGGTAACCATATTCCCAGAATACCCCACCTGAATATTTTTCAAAGTCTGTCTTTTTCTCTAGATGTTCTGTGGTCCAAGCAGGCATGGACCCTCTCTGTGTTTTACTCAGCACTGTATATCCAGGCCCTCACACAAGACCTGAAACAAATAAAATAAAGCCCTCATTAAATGTGTATAGAATGAATGAATGTTTGTGATATTAATCTCCAAATAATATTTTTCAATTAGGTAGTCAGAGCTATATCCATTTTCCTTCATTATTCTTTACACTGCATTTATGCTTAAAAAGATGCTTCCAAATCAGACACTTGCTGAACCTTTACACATAGATTCATCAGAACTTTCCCACATTTCTCTTAAGATCAGTCGAGAGCTTTGCTCATCTTAATGACTCATTGACTTCCCTTGGGCCCATCAAAGATGAGCTAGCGCTTCCTTGTTCAGCCAGCATATTTTCCCCTCAGAAAAGGACATGTCTGCATTTATCTCAGGAGCAATACGAATTCAGTCTTCCCATAAAACTAAATAGCCCTCAGGAAGCCGTATAGTTAGAGCCAGATGAGCAATGTATGACCATGTTTTGTTTGTTTGTTTCGTTGGTTGGGTTTTTTATATTTTGCAAAATAATGAAAAGGTGTACCAGAGAATGTTTTTATGTTGTTTTCACTAGGGAACTTGAGACTATTAACTGCTTTGCCAGTGAAGAACAGGTGCGGATCCAATGATCAGGTGACGCAGTTGCCTTGACAGAGGATAATTATTCTTGCCCATAAGAGATAGACCCAAAGGTAAAAATCACAATATGTTCTGGATTATTTTTACCAGTAACTTTCCACATATGTTAAAGAAAAAATCTTATACAGTAGGGTAACTATAGCTAATAACAATGTATTGTATATTTAAAGATATACAAGATATAAAGATAAAAGAGAGGATTTTGAATGTTATCACCAAAAGAAATAATAAATAATAAATGTGTAAAGTTTAAACTGTCTTTAATATTTTGAGTAGCAAAGGTAGAGTTGGCTAGGAAAGCAGCAGTCCCCACATGAAAACTGAGGTTTTTAGAGATATTTTTGCACATAAGCTGGAAGTTCTGTATCATATCTGGTATGTTGGCCTTCTGGCTGATTTTTGTAGCCAGCTTTTTGTTGGCTTTTTTTTCGCATTTTTATCAATTAATTTTTAATTAATTTACTTGTTTTAGATGTATCTCTGTCTACCTTGCACAACCTCATTTTCTCTTTTATTTATAAATTATCTACCACATAAGCCAATCAACCCTACCAGCTAGCTAAATACACCTAACATAGATCCCCCCTCGATCTTCAGAAGCCCCCATACTACATCTTACCCTCTTCTTTGCACTGGAAATTATTAGGGGGTACCATTATGACTGGTACTTCATCCCAGCAGGGCAAAGAGAAAAGTACGACTATCATGCACCTGATAGTCAGTAAATTATTTCTTTGTTGGAAATAATTCTAGAGTAGTCATGTGAGAATATAAATTATTACTAATGCTTTCTTCTTCAGTTAATAAGCAGATGTTTCCAATAATCACTAACTATAATGTATTGAGAGGATAGAACAACATAGGAGAATTGGCCCCTGACATCAAATAACTTACAGTCTAGATGAGGAGATTTAGAAACCATAAAATGTCTAGATTTTACATCAATTCACAATTATTGTACACTCTATGTATATACTGAATAATACTATGTCTATTTGATGTATACACATATACAGTATATATTGTATTTAAATAATATCTGTGTTATTTATCAAGCACTTATAGCACCCAGCACATACATGAATCTATGCTCTCCAGTCCATTGCAATAACATAGATCCCTAAATCCCATTATGCAGAAGAAAAAGTTTCTATATTTGATAAGGGGAAATTTTCAGTTTGAAAAATAAGAAATAAAAACCTTCTTGAATCTTTCCATGAATATTTACTGAATGTTTACAATGCACAAAGCTCTATCCTAGTGCTGGGATGCAGAATAACAAATAACAAAATAGACAAGGTCCTTGCTATCATGAATATTACATGCTACTTTAAGGAGGCCAGATGGATGGAAAGATGATAGATAGATAGAGAGATAGATAGATAATCACAATAAACATTAAAGATAAATTTTTTAAAGGCAGCAAGAAAGATAGGGACTGGGTACAAGAAGAAACTCATTTTAGAAAAGAGTTCTAAGCTTAGACCTGAATAAAGTGAATGGATTCCGCCATGAAAGAATAAGAGAGAGGACTCTGAAATAAGCATGAGCTTATCATGTCTCAAAAGCAGATAGAGGGTCAATATCATGAGGGAACAGTGAACCAGTAAAGTGATGATAGAGGAGCAACAAATGAGAAGTGAGTATAGACAGAAGCGTGGACTGCTTCACGTAGGGTCCTGAAAGCCCTGATTAGGAATTGTAATTTTATTCCAAGCACACTCGAAAGCCATTAGAAGGTTTTATCAAGGAAGTTTTATCTCTACAAAAGAAACTCTTCTGAATTTTACTGTTCCCCAGGCAGTGATGCAGGGATCCAGGCTCCTTCTATTTTATGCTTTGCTATGTTAAACTAGTGGATTCCTAGCTTACTTTAGAAGGAAAAAGAACCCGGAAGATCACTCAAGGAAAGTTTTATATGAGCCAGGCCTGTGAGGGTTATAATCTTTCTACTCATATTTCATCAGCTAGTGTTCCATGCTATGCCCATCCCTAACTGCAAGGGAAACTGAAAAATATTGCCTAACTCTGAGTTCAGTAAAAAGAGGAAACAGGCTTGGTAATTAGTTAGCTGTATTTAACTGTAAAAGTCAAACTTCAATTCCTGACTTCTACTAATCGAGTCCTATGTATAAACCTGAGCTTCTTCAGGACTGGCTATTCAAAATTCCAATTTCCTCTAGAGTTTTCATTTAATTCATCTAATTCCCACAAATGGAGTGTCTTACTACTCCCATATTAAGTACTATAACTACTAAAGTACTTCTCCTTGTGGTATCATTACAAACTGTGCCAGAGACTCTACTTCTCTCTCAATATCCATTCTCTCCTTCTTTTACAGTAATGTAACACCCAAAATTCAGCCTTGGGCATGGTTACATGGACTAAAGACATTTTCCAGATTCACATGTGACTAGTTTATCTATGTGACTAGGTTTTGGCAAATAAAACATAACAAAGGATGTATTTGCAACTTCCAGGAAGTGCCTTTAGCCTCCTTGCTGTTGGCTGGAATGCAGAGATAATGGCTGGAGCTGGAGTAAACGTCTTGACCACAACCTGGAATACATGCTACACATGGCAGAACAAGAGGTAACCAAGGAACTTGAGACCTTGATGACTTTCGAGCTGCCACACTTGAGCTTGCCTGCATTCATGTGAGAGAAAATCTAATTTCTATCTAATTAAGCCATTGTTATCTTGAGGTTTCTGTTACTTGCTCCCGAAGTAATTCTTGGCAATACACTAACTTTGTGCCACATTCCATACTAGGTGCTTTATATACATTATGTAATAATTTGATGAATACAACAACTCAAAAGATATCATTTTACCCACTTCACAGGCAACAAAACTGAGGCTCAGAGAAGTCAAATTATAGCTTACATTGAGTAAGTGGTGTAAATGGCATTACAAAATAGGCATGTACATGTTGAAGCAAGTGTTCTCAAACCACATGCCATATCATCACTCACAGAATATAATCTACTCCAGGCTTTAGGCTCAATCTAACCCAAAGTCAGAGATCCACTACCTGGAGGCATTATAACAACCTCTTATACCACAATTTGCCATTAGCACTTCTCTAATTTTGTATCCTCTTCCAGTACTTGGGTTCACGCCTTGTTCCTAATAGTTAATTCTTGCACTGAACTCCAGTTTCAGTAGGTGTGCTTCTGGTTCTTTTTACAAAGCCTGTATATCCCTACCTTGTAATCTTATCTACTGCTCCAACTTCCCTCAATTCTTAAATGGTGGATCCAATATGCTGCTCCTTAATCTTAGTTTTATGGTTGAATCTCTAATAACTGCAAAAATCTCTGACATGGATCACTTGTCTACCATGCTATCTTCTTGCTTTCATCAAGTCAAGCCCTGAGTGCTTTCCATAATCATAGCTATAGAGAACAATGAAGTAGGTCACAGAGTGTAGTGATAAATATCTCAGAATCTATCACTGGCTGTTTTGCACTCAAACATCAACTTTAGCACTAACTACCTTGTTACCTGGGAGCATTGCCTAACCTGTCCAAGCTTTAGTTCCTTCTTCCATAAAATGGGGAGAAGAGGAAGAAGATGATGAAGAAGAGGATGCAGAAGAAACTCCTAGACTTTCCATGTTAGTTACATGAGGTAATTTGAGTCATGCAGGTAAAGCTGGTACATATAATTATGAGGAAATACCAGTTGTTGTAATCATGATAACCATTATCAGTGTTTCCTTATTGACTTCCTAGGCTGCCAGATTTTTCACAAAAACAGCCTTAAGTCTAGTAATTTGTCTGCTTGTCTTTTTCCGCTAATAGATTGAAAGCTCCCTAAGGGAAAGTACTGTCTTATTCATTGTTATTTCCCCTAAAATGTAATGGGTGCACAAATAAATTTGCTGACTTGTTGAAGACCATAAAGTCAAAAGGTCTAATTTTAAAGATAAAAAGTCGAAGTTTCAATCAAGTAAATATTCTGACCAAGTCAACAGAACTAATTAATGGTGAAATTAGAACCAAAACTTTGTCATACCGTATCTCTTTGCCTCATCCCATTTATGTTTATTACCTGAATTTTTCAAAGCCAAGATCGAATCTACCTTTCTTTAAATGCCTCTTTCTGGAGTTAATCATTTCTCACCTGCTTCTTCTGAACCTGATTCACAACTATATCATATTCTCTTAGATTGCTTTTTAATTTTCATATTGAGTCTCTCTGTTACTTGTGAAGTCATGGATGTCCCAGTGACTTACTCAACTATTTATTACTTCTATAACATCTGATGCAGTTCCTAAAGCATGGAAGGTGACAAGTGATGTGTGCTGAATATAATTAGAGAGAGTAAGACCCATCAACACTTTTCTAAATACTGTGTATACTGACTAGTCCCATTTTATGAAATGCACATATATTGTAGTAAAATTTCACTTGGGTGCTTCTGATAACCCACAAAAGTTCAACTCCTCCAGCTTTAAGGAGTCTTAACCCACCATCCTCTATCCCAGGATATAAAACACCACTACCACCCTTCCTGTTGCTTTGTAATAATCAAGGAACTACATTCCAGTTAGACACAACTATCCTAAGTTTCTCAGTTGAGCTCTTGGAATCTATGAGCAAATTATTGGGCACTCATGCTTATATATTCCCAGGGGGTTCAAAACCCCAATCAGTCAGCTGACTGTCTGAGAATCACTGCTTAAGGGTTGGCATTTGGAAAGTTCAACACTTTTCAGAACTTGTGCTCACACCAAATACATACATATTAAAGGTGTCTAAGGTGGAGTGGGAAAAAAGAGAGAGCAGTCTATTGAAGAATAGTAAGATGATAGAGAAAGAAATATTCATATATATTTTACAGCAAATCCTTTTAATTATCTAATGTTTAATATTTTAATGCCAGAAGATATTATTGAAAAGCTTATAAATATGCATACACTGGAGATGAGAGATCAAAATTTTTTACTGATAAAATATACTTTCAAATTTGTAAACTACCTGCCCTATTACTGTATAGAGCTTTCTCTTTGAAGTAAAAGAAGCTATTTTCACCTTCTTCTTTGTATGTGTCAGTGTTTCTCTTTTCTTTCCATTTATCTTTTAATGTATGACTCTGTTCTCATTGATTGTCTAAGCAATCTAATCTTGGATCCAGAACTGAAAGGCTTAGATCTAGAATTTGCTTCAGACTTATTATCTCTATGCTGCAAAGTCTGATTCACCATTTGGATGTGTTTGTTTTCTTTAAGTTTGAGAGTAACAGGGAAATAAAGAAAAGTTAAAGAAAGCTCAGGAAAGGGAGGAAAAGAAGGGAAGGGAATGGGAAAAGAAAGAAACAGAAAGAGGAAGGAAGCAAGGAAGGAAAGAGAAAGATTTATGGAGAGACCGAGAAGAGGAAACAGGAGAGGAGGGGAGGAGGGAAAAGGAGAGGAAGAAATTTAAAAGAGATGCTATATGTTATGCTACCAATCATCTTCCTATTGCTCTTCAGCATTAGAGAAGATGAGAAGTGTGGTTATCATGGTGAAACAAGCTTCCAAGCAGAATTAGAAAAGTAATCAATGGCAAGACAAGTACTATCGATTTCCACTACTCCTCTCCTCCCCCTTGCAAACAGATGAAACCCAGCAACTCAGTTGTCAATGGCAAAGCCACTTACAAGCACTGAGAACTATAATGATGAAAGAAAACCATGCTAAATGATAGGATTAAAGGCTTTTTAAAGTGTAATGTATTTTATAAAAATAGATGAATATTGACTCACTCATTACCTTTGGTATGGTAGAGAACTAATTACTAATGGGTGCTTAAATGTCATGTTAATGACATAAGTAAACACCACAACTTCTTTCCCTACCAAGAGTTTTCCATGTGTCATAGATACTATCCAGTTATTAAATATTGGTTTACTTCTTCTTTAACCCTGAGTCAAAATTTAAAAACAGATTTTTAAGGATAGAAAATGCTAGAACACACAAAAATATTAATCTCTGGAATGCAATACTTTTTGTTCCTAATTCCAAGTTAGCTGCTAAGTTAATATTAAGTAAATGGTTTTGGCTTTCCAGGCTGTTGTTATGCTAAATAAGTATAAGTAGAACATATATTTTCAACTTAACAATTACATGCACAAAGTTGTCACTCCATAGCTACTATTCCGCTTCCCTCTGCAGCTGACCTTCAAAGCATTGATGATCTTAGGTGGATGTTGAGACCACACATGCAAGAGTAAAAGTGAAGACAGAGGGTGTTAACCAATTTGTATTTTGAGAGGGATGATGAAGAACCCTTAGCTCTTTTTTGAGGCCTAGAGCTAGTTTCTATTTGTTTTCTGGTCAAATAAACTTCCTCACATTTTTCTCTAATCTAGTAGGTTACCTTCTTGTTAATAATCATGCCGATGAATATTCCCTTTCAGGGCATTTGCAGAGGAGGAGATGCCTATGTGGCCACCTCCTAGTTGAGATCCGTAATGTAACTTCTACATTTTAGGTTAGTTCCTGAGCATTTAGAAAAAAATATATTTCTCACCCTTTTTTACAGCCAGGTATGGCCATGTGACTAAATTCTGGCGGCATGACTAAATTTTGGCAAAAAATTCTTGTGGTAAATTTTGGTGCTTCTCGCCAATGTATCTCTTTCCCATGGTCTTCTTTATCTCTTCTTCTGTAATACTGTTTGGAATGTGAAATCTGCCATATTGGATTATGAGCATAAGGCCCCATTGAGCTGGACAGAACCTGGAGTCCCTAAGGACTTCACAGAGAAGAGCTGCCATAACAACCACGGTTTACATACCTGTAGACTCTTAAATGAGAGAGGAATATACTTCCATCCTCTTCAAACGACTGCTTTGGTTGTTTGTTGTTTAATCTCTCACACCTAAAGCAAAACCTTTCTAGTCTAACAACACAAGATACAGCATATATATTAGACGAGAACTTATACATATTTCAACTGATGGTGCTCACAGATGTAATCCAAATGGCAAGACCACCGTGGAATCTGTTTTCCTACATGGAATAAAAGTATGGACATTTTTTAAGGGTGATGGCACATCCTTACTTTAAAAGCTTTCCTTCAAGACCAGCCTGACCACCATGGAGAAACCCCATCTCTACTAAAAATACAAAAATGAGCCGGGCATGATGGCGCATGCCTGTAATCCCAGCTACTTGGGAGACTGAGGCAGGAGAATTGCTTGAACCCGGGAGGCAGAGGTTGCAGTGAGCGAGATCACGCCATTGCACTCCAGCCTGGGCGACAAGAGTGAAACTCTGTCTCAAAAACAAACAAACAAACAAACAAAACAAACAAAAAAACAACAACTTTCCTTAACTTTCCTTAGCTGGAGTTTTTAAACATAAATAAATAAATAAGGTTCATTTGGATACACACCACTCCTAAGGGTATAATGGCAATTTTAATCTTGGCTATTTGTCTGGAATAATGTTATCTGACTTTGAAATGATCCAAAGAGAAGTGTCCTTTTAAAGTGATGTATGATGAGCCTTTATAACCAGACGCATTGACATTTGGGGAGGAAACAGTTTGCTGGCAGCCTGGCCTGGAGTTGCTTTGGCTCCTGGCTTTATACTCACTCACCCAGGGCTGCCACAGAAAACTCACGGCAAAATGTCACAGGCAGAAAACAATCTGAGGGAGAGCTAATTACCACTTGGAGAGATCAATTTGATTGCAATGGCTGTTTCATAATACACAGATTCAAAATGAGCATCTTCCAAGTTTCTAAGATGAGCAAAGGGCTATAAATCCATTTGGGGGATGGGTAAAATAAGGTGGACTATTTTGACTTTATAAAATATATACTCTCCAAAGAGCTTTGAAGGATCTCAAAGATAAGTCAGCAGCCTCTAAACTGTTCTAGAAACATACAAAAGGAGATAATGTGAATTTGTTTCTATTTCCCATGAAACTCTAAATGTACCACCGGAATCCTCCTGGTAGGTTGTCAGGGTACCTACTGTCCAGGATTAACAGAGACCCTCTGATACGAGCTCCCTTACCTCTCCTCCCTCTTTCCTCCAAATGTTATTCTTGAGAAGGACTCATACTCTGAAGCAGCCCTGTTTCTTGGAACCTTTCAGTCCTCCCTGGGGTCTCCAGGACCCTGCTGTATCAGCCTGTTCCATTTCCTTCATATATTCAAACTCTTCCTTTTCATTTCCTCCCCTCTGCCAAACTTTAAAGAGTTTCAAATCTATCTCTTCAACTCCTCTCCCAACCTAAGCTAGCTAGTTTCTTCCTCTGACTGCAAAACTTCTCAAAGGAGCATCACTCTTTACTGCCTCTCCTTTCTCTCACATTCTCTATATTGGCTCCTGTAATCTGGGCAGTGTCCTCACACCTAATGAAACTGCTCCACTAAAGTACACTAATACTGTGCTAAATTAAATAGAACTTTCTTAAGCTTCATTTTCCTTGACTACTAGCGCCTCTAACCACCATTGATTCTTGGCCCTTTTCTCAAGCCAAGCTCCTCTCCAGCTTACACCAACCTCTGCAGGGTCCCTCATTACTGGCCATGCCTTCCCGAAAATGCTTTCCTCCTTTGGCATCTTTACAAGATACCATGACCTACTTCTCCTCCTCTGAGTTCTGACGCTGCTTTTCTAGCATGTTTTCATTTGTCCAACACTTAAATATAAGTGTTCCCTAAAGTTTACACTTCAGCACATCATGTTTCTTACTATGGTGTATGTGCTATTGCATCAGAAATACTATTTCCATAGTCATAATAAGCTCCATGCAATTCATTCTCAAATAAAATGTCTCAAGCCCTGAAATCTCTTTCAAGCCCCAAGTAAGATAACCTTTGTACATTTTATATGATTGTGTTAAAGCATAAAAATCAGAGTGTTTCAAACAGAACACATCATCTTACACCTTAATTCTATCTCTTGTCCTTTTTCTACATGTCTGGTTCAATAACCACTTCATCATTTTTATTTCTAAGATTCACAATACAAGTGTTATTGTCTATCCCTCTAACTCATGACCCATTCGTGGCCCTTGTGACCACTGACTTAAATCTAAATAAGTACAAAGTATTACCTCAGGTGCTGTGGCAGATGCAAGGATCAAGTAAAAGCTTCTCGAAGATGCCTACAAGTTGATGACAGCCCTAACAACAATGCCCACACACTGCTTCTTATATTTATCCACTTGTTTTCATTCTGATAGACTCTAATTCAAGCCCTGCTAAGCCTCTCCCATTGTCCACTGTTACAGCCTCACAAGAGATTTCACTCTCTCCATTCTCTTCTCATGTCCAAGTGATCCTCCAGGTTGTTTCCGTAGTTACCAATTCTAAAAGAAATTTAATCCAGTTATTTGTCTAGTTAAAAAGTAAAAAAGCCGGCTGTACCTCTCCACTGCACTCAAAACAGAATTCATACTCCTGCCTAGAACATATATCTCAATACAATGTATTTGTATGGTCAACAAAAACTATTGAGCATGATGCTCATGCCTAAACACAATATAGCCGCTTGGGGCACACAATTTCTGCCCTTATGAGGTCCAAGTTGAGAATCATAGGCCCCAAAATAATTTTAAATACAAAATACAAAAAAAAAATAAAGAGACTTAGGACTGTTATGTAGTAACAATTTTTTAAGTCAGTTGACAATAATTCAAAAGTAATTCCAGTCTTTCTATGTTCTTCCTGGAAAACATTACCAGAAATTCAATTTATGTTCTACAGCAATATCCCACACAAAAAATATTTTCCTCTCTTGTGCATTAAAATTCTCTCTTTCTCTGCAAATGCTTTAGAGACTATTGTCAAAAATTCCTCCTCAGTTTACCCAAGTGACTTTTCAACTTTTCTTTCTGGATTCAGATTTAGATGTTATTTTTTAATCAGTTGCATGGATTCTTTATCACAAAAGCAAACTTAAGAACAAACCCTTTTCTGCAGCCTCCCTAGTCCTGTCTGTCTCTGCCTTTTGTCACAATTACCCCACAAAAAGCCCAGGAAAAGGAGCTGGGAAAGAAAGAACACTACTTGAGTTACAAAAAAAAACAAAAAACAAAAAACAAAAAAACACTAGAAAGGCAACTTGGGAATGCTGACATATTAAAATTATCATGTCCTCAAATAAAAAATTACAAAGGAATTTTTTTTTTTGCTGGAGTTATCAGTGCTGAGACGGGGAGGAAGCGGGGCACACCAGGCAGAGATGGTTCCCCAGAGGAGGAGATGCCTGAGTTGAACCTGAACAAATGAGTTAACCCATGGAAAGCAAAGTCAGAAAAGCCTCACATTTCAGGCAGGTAACAGGATAAACCCAGAAGTCAAACAATGGCAGGACTTGAGCCACAAGGCTGGGAATATGGAACATAGTTGCAGGTCTGGAGCCACAGAGCGGCTTAAAAAAGAGAAAGCAGCAGAACTCCTGGCCTGCACATGGATTCGGTATTGAAAGAGGACTGAACAATTCAGGAGCAGGCACAGAAAGAATTCAGTAGTAGAGACCAATGAAGCAGCCCAGCGCTATCAACTGCTGCCACAGTGTGTGTGTGGGGTGTGTGTGTGTGTGTGTGTGTGTGTGTGTGTGTGTGTGTGTTTTCAGACAGCAGGAGTGATATAGGAAGTGGTGATAGTTGGTAGCAGAGAAAACCAAAATGGAGATAAGGAAGTGGAGGCTGCATAAGGCAAATGTGCAGAGTCATCCCACAAAGCTGAAGATTTCAGATGTGTCAGGTAACTTGAAAGGCCTGTGATTCTGACTAATCCTCTGGATCCCAGATGCATTATTAGCTCATAAGTGGAACCCCTTTTAAATGAGAGTTGGGGATGCCAACTTCATTGGGGTACTTCCTACTTTAGAAAGGATGGACCTAGAAATTCAAATGAAGTTTAAATATTTGCTTACTGCTTGTAAATGAAGCAAGCTGTGAGTTTCAGGGACATGATGGGGCAGAGAAAATATTGGGTCGCTATCTCCCACCTTTCCTGCATTATATACCCCATTGCCTGTTTCTTAATTTGCTTTTAAATTTTTGGCATGTCACCCAGGGGCTCGGAATTGCCCAATACATAATCATAATCCTTTTTCACAATACTCTGTTCTCATTGGTATGGTGAACCTCATTTATCTTACTTTATTTGGTTAGTATTTTGTGCATTTAAGTTTTTATTTTATAATATATCAATATCCATAAAACTACTAGCCAAACCAATATCTATCAACTTGGGTAGACGGGAGAGGAACTTCTAAGGATTTAGCAAATAATAAGCTCCAAAGCACTTGCAGAAAAAGGGGGAATTTTAGTGGACAAGAGAGGAAAATTTTTTTGTGGAGTATTGTTGTAGGATATAAATTGAATTTCTGGTAATTTTTCCAAGAACATGTAAAATTAACATCTCCCTATTTTCCCCTCCCAAAGTGCCCCCAGCTATCCTATTCAGAATAGGACAAATACTATCCAGAATGTTTCTTGTTACATTGTTTTTATTGCATGTTGGTATGTTTAAACCATATTGTTTGATGTTGCCTGTTTTTCAACTCTAAAAAATGGGGACGCCGGGCTTGGTGGCTCACTCTGTAATCCCAACACTTTGGGAGGCTGAGGTGGGTGGATCACCTGAGGTCAGGAGTTCGAGATCAGCCTGGCCAACATGGTGAAACCCCGTCTCTACTGAAAATACGAAAATTAGCCAGCCATGGCGGTGCATGCCTGTAATCCCAACTACTCACAAGGCTGAGGCTAGAGAATCACTTGAGCCAGGGAAGCGGAGGTTGCAGTGAGCCAAGATCGCGCCACTGCATTCCAGCCTGGGCAACAGAGTGAGACCCTATCTCAAAAATAAATCAATAAATGAATAACAAAAATAAAATTAAAATTAAAATAAAAGAGGGTACATTATTGTGAAAAGTCCTCAGTGACTTGCTTTTTCATTCAGTATTATGCTACTGAAATACAATCATGTTGATATGTTTAGCCATAGGTCATTTATTTTCATGGCTCTATACAAGCCCACTGTGTAAATGCATTATTCAACTCTCCAGTCACACAGAACACACAGACACCAGCTTCTTTGTTTTTTTTTTTTTCTGTTTTAATTTTGGGGTCTACATGTTTCCTTTTCTCCACATCCTCACCAGCATTTGCTACTGTTTGTCTTTTGGATACAAGCAATTTTAACTGGGGTGAGATGATACGTCGTTGTAGTTTTGATTTGCATTTCTCTGATGATCAGTGATGTTGAGCACCTTTTCATGTGCTCATTTGCCATTTGTATGTCTTTTGAGAAATGTCTATTTAAATCTTCTACCCATTTTTGATCAGATTATTAGACTTTTGTCTGTAGAGTTGTTTGAGCTCCTTATATATTCTGGTTATTAATCTCTTGTCAGATGGGTAGTTTGCACACATTTTCTCCCATTCTGTGGGTTGTCTCTTCACTTTGTTGATTGTTTCCTTTGCTGTGCAGAAGTTTTGTAACTTGATATGATCCTATTTGTCCATTTTTGCTTTGGTTGCCTGTGCTTGTGGTTTATTACTCAGGAAATTTTTGCCCAGACCAATGTCCTGCAGGGTTTCCCCAATGTTTCTTATAGTAGTTTCATGGCTTGAGGTCTTGATTTAAGTCTTTAATTCATTTTGATTTTCATTTTTGTGTATGGGGTCAGTTTTCATTGTTTTGCATATGCATATCCAGTTTCCCCAGCACTATTTATAGAAAAGAGTGTTCTTTCTCCAATATATGTTCCTGGCACCTTTATCAAAAATGAGTTCACTGTAGGTGTGTGGACTTGTTCCTGGATTTTCTGTTCTGTTCCACTGGTCTATGTGACTGTTTTTATGTCTGTACATGCTATTTTGGTTACTATAGCTCTGTAGTATAATTTGAAGTCCCAACTTCTTTGCCTTGACTGAAGCTATTATTTCTGCATTTTCTCCCAGACCGTGAGATGAAAAAATTTTGGAGTTAGCAAAAAAACATTAAAAAGTATTCTAAATATTTTTAAAAATGTAAAGTAAAATATAGATGTAATGAATAAACATATGAGGACTGAGAACAGATAAATGAAACTATTAAAAACAGATAGAAATTTTAGAACTATGAAATATAGTATCTGTGAAGAAAAATTCACTAAATGGACTTAAAAGAAAATTAGACACTGGAGCAAATTAGACACTGGAGAAGAATGGATTAGTGAACTTGAAGACAGGTTAATAAAAATGATTCAAACTGAAGTACAAAGAGGAAAGAAGACTGGAAAAAGGAGGAATCAAGTGAGCCCTAGTGACCTATGTAATAATAATAAGCTCTATATTATATGTATAATTGGGAGCCCAGATGGAAAGGAGAAAGATAAAAATATGTAGCAGCAAAAAAAATGGTCCCAAGTCTCCCATATTTGACAAAACATATGAACCCACATATTCAAGAGTTTAGCAAACCCCAAATAGGGTAAACCCAAGATAGGAGAGGTAAATGATGAGTATCTTTAATGGGAGTAAATACTTATTCCTTAAATGAGTGGCATAAGGTAATGGCTCAGAATGTGTCTTCATAGATGGATTTATTGGGTTTAAATATCAGCTATTTAATTTACTAGTTGTACGAATGTGAGCAAGTTACTTAACTCCTCTGTACCTCAATTTACTCAAATGTAAGAACATATGTGAGAGCATTAATAGTAACTATTTTATAGATTGTTGTGAAGGTTACATGAGTCAATACATGAAAAGCATTTAGAGCATAGCCTTGCACACAGTAAGTACTCAATAATCTAATTTTAAATAAAAGTAGAAACTTTGATTAAGAGAAAAGAGAAAGGGTACAGAGAGAAACAGGGTGTTATGAAGATGATATGCAAGAATTTTGAATTTCATGTATATGAATCTAAGTTGCACTTCGTAAGTTTCTGTGTTTATTAACTGTCTATACCTATGGTTCCAAATCCTAAAACTCAACAAATCTAAATGAGTAGTTTTTACATTCAAATATAATGACAATTCCAATTTTTCAGAATGCCACTGTTATTGATATTAAATATGGTAGTCATAACAATACATTGTTTTGGCATAACATATTGCTCCAAAACGTGCAGAGCATCTATGACATGAAAATTGAATCTTAGTCTATGGTTATTCTGCTTCAATTTCAAATGCCCTTATAATTTTTAGAGGAAGTTTTTTTGTAATCTATAGTAATAGATGATCTATAGGTTAACAGGCACAAAATAGATCACGTTATATATTTATAGCATCTTTAAAACAATGTGTAGTATTGTTTACTAGTGAATTATTTTCTCATATTAAGGACCTACTATGTGTGTGGGACACATAAGTGCACAAAACTAACAAAATCATTATCTGTCCCTAAAACTTATATTCTGAATGTTCTCAACTGACAGGTCACTAATACTTCCTGGACAACTCAACAACAACAAAATAGTTGCTGAAAAGGACTTTGAAGCATTTCATGATTGATTTCTAAGAAAACAATTTTGCTGCTTTCCTTCCAGCTCCCTAATCACCCATCTATCTTATGTGCTCCTCATCCTTCTGCATACGTAATGTAATTATAAATATCATCACCAAACCCTGGGCTTCATATTCTTTTCCATTCATTTTTCTTTTTAAAAAATATTTTTATTTCCCTTTTATTCACTTCTTTCATATCATTACTAATCATCTCTATCCTGATAATAGCTCAGTGGTATGTTAAGAACATTGGGCTAGTTGATGGCCAAAAAATCTGGGAGGTAATTCTAACTCTGACACTAAATTGCTTTGTGACCTTGGGCATATTATTTAAGCTCTTGAGACTCAATTTCATAATCTTTAAGTTGAGGAGAATGTACCAGATGTCGTCTAAAGTTCCTTCAAGCAATAAAATACTGTGATTCTCTGAATCTCAAATAGAAATCTTCATTACTGTGTATCATTCATGATCTATTCCTACAATCCCAGCTGTCTTTAGGGTATTTTCACTTGGATGTCTCATAGCCTAAAATTTATTATGTAAAAAATTGAGGAAGCCTAAAATAATTTGTTGCTGACCAAACTTCCTCTTCCTCTTCATCATCATTATCCAATTCTAACTCATTCACTGTGTTCTTTTAAACCCTTGAGAAATTACCTTCCCCCTTGCCACTCCAACCCCAGCTAATCTTTTTTTTTTCTTTTCTTTTTTGAACCAGTCGTTCATCTCCAAATCAAACCTTTGGTAACATTTATAAGAGTTTCCAAAAAACTTTTTCAATCAATGCCAGACTTAAGAGAGAAATAGTGCCATAAGTTCTATCCTAGAACTGATATATTGATATAGTTTCTGGATTTGCGTTAGAATTGGTAAATAGTTAACTCAATTTCTGGAAAGTCTATTCCCTTTCTCCACCTTAATTCTTTCTCTCTTTGTCATTCTTGATGCCATTGAAATGGGAAGGAATAAAATACAAGGTAATGCAAGTCACGTTTATTATCAAAAGCTTTTCCCCTGAGTCCCAAGTATAAGAAGCAGAGGTGGAAGCTGCAGGTGGGAGCTGGAGGAGGGGACGGAAAACAAAGCAAGGGAGAGGAGGATGCGTCCCAGGACTTACCCTCTTCTTAGTTTTGTGTACTTATTTCTGAAGAAAACTGAACTTAGCAGAGATCTTATTAGAAAATGTGAGGGCATTCAGTGGGTAAGAATGTAAATTAGCACAGCCATTAAGGAAAGCAGTTTGAGGGTTCCTCAAAAACTGAAAAATAAAACTACTGCATTACCCATCAATCATTTGGAACATTTTTAATGAAACAAAGGAGAAACCCGGGTTTGCAACCAAATGCCAACTAGCACTTAATCTATTTAAATATGGTTCCCCAAATCCTGGTTTCCAATTTAAGTTATAAGAAAAATAAAACGTTTCTGGGGGTTCCTAGAAAGAAAATGTTTTCCAGGGTAAGAATACTTTTATTAAGCCACTCTAATATCAGAAATATGTTTTTTTTCTGTTATCTCAGATGTGAGGAAAGAAATGAAGAAGAGGGGCCAAACACATTGCTATCACTATGTATTTCTTAAAAAAATTTTCATTTGGAAATATTCTTTGACTGCTCACAGGTGCCCCCTCCATAAACTTACCAAAAAAAAACATTGTTTAAAAATTCTGATATTTTTATAACTCCAATCCTAGACCTGGTAAATACAGGATGCCCCCAAACAACTAAGCAGTTGGATCTGACATCAGTCTCATCTTCTTTTAACATGTGGCAGCCCCTCACTATTGTCTTGTGAAATAATATCACTTTCAAACTAGGATTGCAGACAGGCATTGCCTTATAACTGTCAGCTTACACCAGACTTGATGTGGGCAGGTAAATAAAGTTTTGCTGGAAGATGCCATAACAATGTTATACCTCTTGTACCTGGAGAGTTGTAACACTTTTCTTCTTGTCTGAAATAAACACTTTTACACAGCCCAGCAGAAGTGTAAGCAAAATTAACCAAATACTTCACAAACACTCTCCCCTTTATAAATGAAAACAATCAAATTTACCACTCATAACTTATATGCAATTGCTTTTCCTGTAGCAGTGATGAGCTTCCATGAGAATCTAAGCATATATTTTTGCCTACATTTTCATCTGTTAAGATGGTTGTTGGCTAGGATTGAGAGATATATTTTCTGTAGCACAGTTCCTCTTTTCTGAAGATCCCATTAAATCAAGCAGACATGACCAATAAAATAAGTGAAATGGTGCCCTTCCACAAATGCACACAGCAAGATCCAATGAGTAATACACAAAGAATAAGGATAGTTGACATGCACTGTGTGCTTACTGTATGGCCAGCACTGTATATAAAATAATCACTTATTCAACAACAGTCCATCTTTGAATAGAAGTGATGAGAGTAAGCATCCTAGCTTTGTTCCAAATATTAGAGAGAAAGAGTTGCATACTCCACTATTAAATATTATATTAGTTGCAGGTTTTTAAATAAATGTTCTTTGTCAGGTTGAAGAAGTTACTCTTTATTCTCAGTTTCTGAGAGTATTTATCATCAGTGGAGGTTGAATTTTTTCAAACACTTTTCTGCATATATTGAGATAATCTTATAGATTTTTTCTTTATTCAGTTAAGGTAAATTAAGTTGATAGATTTTCTAATATTAAAAGTTTATATTCCTCTGTTCATTCATTTATTCTTGATCAGTCTAGCTAAGAATTGATCAATTTTGTTAATGTTTTCAAAATCCATTGTTGGCTTCCTATTTCACTGATTATTTACTCTTATCTTTATTATTTCCTGGTTGTTATTTGCATTTATTCTGTTCTTCTTTTCTAGCCTCCTAGTATACAATCTTATGCCGTTAAGTTTATTCATTTCATTTTTATTATTTTTTAGAATTTTTGTGGCTACATATTAAGTGTATATATTTATGCAGGACATGAGATGTTTTAATATAGTCATGCAATGTGAAATAAGCACATCATAGAGAATGGGGTATCCATCCCCTCAAGCATACACCAGACTTGATGTGGGCAGATAGATAAATACACTTTTGCTGGTAGATGCCACAGCAATGTAAAAACGTTATACCTCTTGTACCTGGAGAGTTGTAACATTTTTCTTCTTGTCTGAAATAAACACTTTTACACAGCCCAGCAGAGATGTAAGCAAAATTAACCAAATACTTCACAAACACTCTCCTTTGAGGTACAAACAATCCAATTACATTCTGTAAGTTATTAAAAAATATACAATTAAGTTATCACTGACTATGGTCACCCTATAATGCTATCAAATAGTAGATCTTATTCATTCTTTTTATTTTGTTTGTGCTCATTAACCATCCCTACCGCCATTCTAGCTCCCAACTACACTTCCCAGCCTCTGGTAACCATCCTTCCAGTCTCTATCTCCATTAGTTCAATTGTTTTGATTTTTAGATCCCACACATAAATGAGAACATGTGATGTTTGTCTTTCTGGGCCTGGCTTATTTCACTTAACATAATGATTTCCAGTTCCATCCATGTTGTTGCAAATGACTGGATCTTATTCTTTTTTATGGCTGAATAGTACTCCATTGTGTATATGTACCACATTTTCTTTATCCATTCATCTGTTGGTAGGCATTTAGGTTGCTTCCAAATCTTAGCTTTTGTAAACAGTGCCGCAACAAACATAGGAATGCAGATATTCTGCAATATAGTGAATTCCTTTCTTTTGGATATATACCCAGCAGTGGGATTGCTGGATCACATGGTAGCTCAATTTTTAGTTTTTTTGAGGAACATCCAAACAATTCTCCATGATAGTTGTATTAATTTATACTCCCATTAACAGTGTACAAGGGTTCCCTTTTCTCCACATCCTTGTCTGCATTTGTTATTGCCTGTCTTTTGCATGTAAGCCATTTTAACTGGGGTAAGATGATACCTCATTTTAGTTTTGATTTGCATTTATCTGATAATCCATGATGTTGAGTAACTTTTAATATGCCTGTTTGCCATTTGTATGTCTTCTATGAGAAATAGTTATTGATTTTAGACCTTTCTTTTACACTGATGTAAGCATTTAAATCTATAAATTTCCCTCTCTGCAGTGCTTTGGGTGTATCCCACAAATGTTGACATGATGCGTTTTTATTGTCATTCAGCTCAAAGTATATTTTTGTTACTCTTCTGATTTTCTCTTTCACAATGAATTATGTAGAGGTAAGTGATTTAATTTCCAAATATGTTGTGATTTCCTGATTACCTTATTGCTATTGATGTATTTTTCCCTTGGAAAAAAAATATACAATCTCTCCAATGATTTGTTTTATAGGCTACCATATATAGCTTGGTTAATGTTCCATTTGCACTTTTTAAAATGTGTATTTTGGACTTGTTGGGTTTGGTGTTGTATAAATATATATTAGGTGAAGGTAGTTGATAGGGTTGTTTGGATCAACATTGTCATAACTGATTTTCTCTCTAGTTGCTCTATCAGTTGCTGAGTGTGGCTTTAAAATCGCTGAATCTGATTAGGCAATTGTTATTTTCTCTCTTTCATTATATCATGTATTTTAAAGAAGCTTAAAACCTTTAAATATCATTTACCCTGCTGTCTTTCATCATTTCTTATGTGTTTTTGCTCTACACATGTTTTTGTTGTTGTACTTTTTTCAATTATTTTTTACAGTCAATATGAATTTATAATAACATACAAAAGTACCCTTTCTCAATTTCATTTTTTCTGTCTGAGATTATATTCCTTCTAATTGGAAATTTCTCTTTAGGGTATTTGCTTTTTTTAAATTATTATTTTAAAATTGTGCTTTGTTTCAAGTGAAAGTCTTCTTGTGACATATTACATTCAGTTTGTTTGAAACATACTTATTTCCCCTTCATTTTTGAGAATTATTTTCAACGGATATAGAATACTAGGTTGGAAGCTACTTTTATTCAGTTCTTTAAATATGCCTTTTTAATGTTTTCTGGCTTTCCACTGTTTTCTTTATGTTGAAAAGACAACTATCAGCCTTACTGTTGCTCCTTTTAAATCACTATGCACTTTTTTCTCACTACTTTTTGCGTTTTCTTCTTTTTTTTGGTTTTAGCTCTTTGAATGTGATGTCTTCTTTGGGTCTCTTAATCCTGGTTCACCAAGATTTTGAGTTTGCAGGTTGATGCTTTCATCAGATTTTGAAAATTTTCAACCATTATCTCTTCGAATGTTGCTTCTGCAAGATCTCCTCTGTTTTCAATTGTTCATATGCTAGGTATTTCATGTGGATCCCACATATCTCTTATACACTATTCTTTCAGTTTTCTTATTATATTTTCTCTCTGTGCTTCAGTTTAAGTGATTTCTATTTATCTGAAGTATCTAAGCCAGTCCTACTTTCTTTAGAAGAAAACCTAAAATAGCTTTTTAACTTATTGTATCTCAATAAACGACCACCGGTTCTCTCAGTTAAGTAGACTTTCTACAGATTGTTCCAAACATAGATAGCAACTTAGAAGTACTGAATTCCTTTAAAAATTTTTTCAGGATATTGCTTTTCTAACTTCCTATTCCCTTTATTTAGCTATTAAATTTGAAGGAAAATACAGATAAAATTCTGTAACGGTTTCATCCAGCACTAAAATTATATTAATATTCCAGTTACCAGTAATACAGCACAAGTAAACAAAAGAAATGGGAAATATTATCACATCTACAATTTCTAAGTCAGGTTCCCTGGTTCATCTGGTTGATGAACATTAGCCAGTACTGACCATAATAACAATTGATGTACTGACTCAGAAAAAAGCGAAAAAATGACCATCCACTTCCACCTCCTACTGCATTCCTAAGTGAGAAGAAGGTCTCCTTCATTGACTCCAGAATTTCTGCTTTAATGAACCCAGGGACAAAGGAGTAGAGCTGAAATATGTGTATCTTACACAATCCTATTTTAATTTGGAAAGAGAAAAAATAAGAATTAGTAACAACCCAGATATAAATGCCTCTTTCTTCTTAGATATACAGAATAAGATAATATATATGCAAAGGTTAAAATGCAAAAATAAAAACAGAAAGGGAAAGAAAAGTCTTTCTATTCCCTAGTCTAATCCCATCCTCAGAATTCATTTTTGTAACTTATCACCTTAGAGACCCCATAACATATCCAGCCCATTTAAATTTATCCATCCACTCCCCAATAAACAAATCTAATTACTTGTAACTGATATCTTTTAGAAGAAAGTAGGTAGCTTTCTAAGAACGCCTCTGTTTATTCTCTTTATCTGAGAAAATAGCATACATTGAAACTATAATGTCTTAATAGGAATGATAGAAGGCATAAAAGTAGACACAGTGTACAAGCATTAGTTGCCCAAGAAGAAAATTAACCTCCAATCTGACATATTTGAAGTGTCCTGGGGAATGGAAGCAAGACTTCCATTTAGCAATTAATTTGAACCAATTTGTAGACATGTAAACCAGTGTTAGGAAATGCACCGCAGAAGAAATTCCTGGAGCAGAGGGCGCAATGGCCTCAGCTTTAGATTTCATATTGAAAACTCATGAGCTGTGATAGCTAGAAGCTACAGGGAAAGAGTTTTGACTTCTTAGAAAAATCTTTCATATGGTGAAAAACCACTGAAAGATGGAACAAGCTGTCTCAGAAGATCATGAGTTCTCCATCACTGGAAGTATTCAAGCATAAGCTGACCACTTGGCATGAACCAAGTACCAAATTAGTAGAAGAACTACATTTCTACCAAGTCCCCTTCCCATTCTGAATTCCTGTGATTCCATAATGATGAATCGAGTAGGACTAAAAGGAGGATTAAAAACATGTCGGTATAAAATAATTATATCTAGAGAATTGACCAAGGGAAAGGAAAGTGAATAAAACAAGGTGAATAACACTGATGTTTTCATTTGTGGAAATTAAAAACAGTAATTACATATCATTTATTACCCATTACACTATCACTGATTTTAAATGACAGCATTATCCAGGGTAGGCAAACATGTGAGGAAACAGGCATTCTCATACACGGGGACAGAAATGCAAATCAACACAACCTTTTAGGAAGCCATTATCAAATATAAAATACTCAATCCTTGTATCCAATAACTTCACATTTAGGAAGTTATCACATAGAAATATTTATAGTATTATTTGTATATATAATATGTTTATTTCAGTCAAAAAAGTAGAAATTCAAAAATTAGAGTTAATATAAATGCTCATTAAGAGAGGAAGGATTAGATTAATTATAGTATATTTTTTTACAGAATATTTTAAAGTTATTAAAAAAGAATGAGGTAGCTGTTTCTATTCTAACAAATAACAGTTTCACAGCTTATATTGTTTGAGGAAGAAATGTATAAAATATATACATAGTATGATTCTCTATTATTTTTTGAAACAACAACAACAACATGAGAACTACTGTATAGGATTGGATTAACACTGGGAAAGTGTCCTTAAGAATGCACACCACACTGTTAACAGGAAATAGGAAATGAGATTAAGGGCAAGATTTTCACTTCTTAATGTGGATATTTCAGAATTTTACAAAATATTTTTGAAAACACATTTACAACTTTCATAACTTTTTTGGGATCCATCCCAATTTTAAAACTTCATCTCCTTTGTAGCCACATTTCCCTGACTAACAATCCCCAAGCATCCTGCAAATTGTCAGATTAAGAAACTTTACGCATTCCTGAAAACACTGACATTCCCTTGAGCCAAAAAACATTAATGTGGAGACAAAAACAAAAACAAGAAACCTTATTATACCTTAAATAGGTTGATTCATTGCCTTCTATTTCTTTGTTTATACATTCATCATGTCATTGCTTTATATGCTTAATCAATGCACTCCCAAAAGTTGAAATGAAGAAAACAGAAAAATGGGATTCAAGCTTAATCTTAGTTAATAGTAATTTAAGTGATCAACATGGTGTCCAGTGAGCCTTGCAAAGGAGACCCGAGAGAGAATCCTCTCAAAGTAGTAAACGTTAACATGGGGTTCCAGATGCAATTCCACTGCGTGCCTGGTCTCCTTTGTTGCACATCAAAAGCATTTAGGTCAACTATGCCAGCTTCCCTTGGTGACTCACAGAGATTATATAAATTGTTAATCATGCTGTAAAACTGTGGAAATGCTTGCTTAAAATAAAACTTATTTCAAGGAGTAGGGATTTTGTTATTGTTTTTCCAACTTCTGCATATTTGAGTTTGGCTTTAAAATGTACCATAAAAATGAAGCCTTAACATAATTTTATTAAATATTTGTTTATTCGTATTTTTATTTCTTTATTTTTCAGAGAGAGGGCCTTGCTCTGTCGCCCTGGCCAGAGTGCAAGCTCACTTCAGCTTCTAGCTCCTGGACTCCAGTACTCTTCCTATCTCAACTTCCTGAGTATCTGGAACTACAGGTGTACACCAACACAACATGCCCACCTTTTTTTTTTTTTTTTTTTTTTTTTTGTAAGACAAGGTCTTCCCAAGTGACCCAGGCTGGTCTCGAACTCCTGAGCTCAAGTGATCCTCCAGCCTCAGACTCCCAAAAAGCTATGATTACAGGTGTGAGCCACCACTGCACCCAACCAATTAAATATTTAATTTGAGATCAGACTTCTCTAATGATCTGTAGTTACATGTTAAAATATGTAGTGCCACATAGTACAAATGAGCATTTATTCTCCTCAATAGTGAAATGGCATGTTGCAATTATGTCAATCCCTCATTGTTTTCTATTCTATCTGAAGAAGAACTCTTTCATAATTGACATTCCCCTGCTAACCACTTACATGGCCTAGTAGAGCCATGGTACTTTCGTATTATAAATGTCAACAGTTGCAAACTGATTTGAATACTTTAAGTTCAATCATATAAATAAAATTAGGTACTTTGCATTACTAAATATCAGAAAAACAAAGTTTTGCCAAATGATTAGTTGAATTATCAGAATTCATTATTTCTGATTATTCTCTGCTCCAGCTTTGGAAGTCCACCCAGTTTTCTGCAGCCTCTTTACACTTTCTTACCACAATACAATCAGTGAAACTGTCACATAAAAAACCTGACTCAAGGCTTTCTCCTGTAATAAGGATTCTACAGCTTGGGCCTGCAGCTCACCACAGATCTCCAGCACAGACAGTGGAGCACTTCAGGGTCTGTTCTTTTTTGTTACTATTTTTTTATTTCCCTTATACAAAAAGTACCCCTTCTTGTAGAGTCTTTATAAATTTTCCTAATTTATATTTTCTCTCTTTCTTATTTTAGGATATGATTAAATTGCTCAGCCCATTACCCTCATTTTCTGGGATGCACTGCCAGACAATTTGGTCTATAGTAAGACAGGTTCTCAGTGCATATATTGTCCCCATGTTCATACTGTGGGACTCTGGCCTGGGGTACTAATTTGCTTGGATACATGTGTCAGTCTTGAGTTAAAGTTGAAACAGTTCTCTCTATCAATAATCACTTATCCCAATGCCAGATATATAAATGAGGCAGACTGTGTCATTTTTGCTCAGTGAAACTTATTGGGAAACTACAGATACCATTTAACAGTTAGTGGGCTTCTACCAATGCCATGTAGGCTCACATATGCTTTCTCTCTTAATCTCCTACCACCTCTCTAAATTAGATATGTTATCTCCAGCACAACAGGTAAGAAAACTGAAGGCCCATGAGGTTATATAACTTTCCAAGTTCACACAGCTAGTAACTAACAGAAATAGGATTCAGGACCAAGGCTCCTAAATCTAAGTCTAATATTCAGTTTTCTTACCATTTCCCAAATTCTGTCAAACGTCAAAAACGGTAAGTACCTACGGAAGTTCACTTCCTACGTGTCTCTGTTCAACTCTGTGGCTTTATGCTGACCTTCCTTCTTCCATGGCCTAGCTTTTTCTCATCAATAAATTGTTTGCCAATATTTGATAGAGATATTTTTAAAATTCATGAAACTATGCATAGAAATAACCATGGAAATAATCTGTCATGCATGTGTCTTTGTCCTAAAGAGACAGAATAAATCTAATGAGAATTAACCAATCCATTTGGAAGAATCTAATGTGTGTCATTTTTCCTTCAGAGGCTGTGTTGGATACTGGGAATACATTTACAGTAGGCAGAACATTATAGATAGCCTCAAAAACGAGTTAGCGGGATTAGTAGATGCAGGTGGATCTGGTCCATTTGAAATATTCCAAAACAAATTGTATATTTAAGTTCAAATGACTACCATAGAGTACTTTGTCATGGACAGAAATAAAGCTTTTTTAAGGAAGAAGAGTGTTTTCTCGTTTATTCTGTCTTGATGAGAAAAAGAGGATGAGAAATCTTTGGTCAAAATGGAAAGAAATAATACCACCATCTGCCTCACTCCTCCCATGGGGATTCCTTTGAAAAGGAATGTGTGGTAAAGAAGGAAAATCAGCAGTAATAATTGGCTTGGAAATCTACCAAATACATCCTCGATATTTGGCCATTCAACACAGGTCAACTGTAGTAATCTCAATATGCTTGCATAAACATATCAGTTCTTTTTCTTTCTCTCTCATCTAAATATAATGAGAATGGGAATGTGAAAATAAAGATCCTGTCGGCCAGGGGCAGTGGCTCACGCCTGTAATCCCAGCACTTTGGGAGGCCCAGAGGGGTGGGTCGTTTGAGTTTAGGAGTTCAAGACAAGCCTGAGCAACCTGGTGAAATCCTGTCTCCACAAAGAATACAAAAATTAGCCAGGAATAGTGGAGTGTGCCTGTGGTCCAAGCTACTCGGGAAGCTGAAGTGGGAGGATTGCTTGAGCGCAAGGAGGTTGATGCTTCCGTGAAGCTGAGATAGGGCCACTGCTCTCCAGCCTGGCAACAGAGTGAGACCCTGTTTCAAAAAAGAGAAAAAAAACATTCTGTCAAAGAGGAATGCCAGGCTGACTCAAGAGTATCATGTCCTAATGGGCCATCAAGCCAGGGCTGCAACCAGGGCTAGGCAGAAGTCAAAAAAGGAAAAAAAAAAAAAAAGGAAAACTAAAACAAGGAGTTGTTCATCAGAATAGGGGAAATTGGGGAGAGGGTCTGAATGGTCACCATAGGGTTTTTAGGTGTGCTAACATGAACTGGCAGGATTTTATAGGTGTAATCCTTTTAATTGAGGATAGAAACAATTAGAACTCAGATATACAACAAAATGGTTTACTTATCTAGGTGAATGGGTCACTTTTATGTACCTGGACATTCTCTGGTATTTGTTCTAGAGGTATGTGGCAGGTTATCCTGGAGTTTTCTGGAATGTTGGATAGCCCAGTGTATAATATTCATATGTTACAAAAGTATTCAGCAGATTACATGAACCGCTTAGATGAATAACTTCTCTATCATCCCATATTCTTTCCCTCTATTGCAGTGAAATGGAAAAAAATTAGGCAAAGAAAGAGGAAAAAATTTAGAAGAATCATAATCTAAAAAGATTTACTATTGAATTAATTGAAATGTGGCAGCCAATGATATAATTGAATGCGTTGCTAGGTGTTTTTTAGATGAAGACTCAAAGTACTAAGTAGATAGTCATTATATACATCAAATGACCAGGCTATTTAAATGTCACAAGGACTTTTGAATTTGGCACTGTAAGAAGTGAATCTGCATCTTGGCTCTGAGACATTAATAGCTGTTTACAAATGAGTTATTTACCTATCCTTTTCATCTCTGCAAGGAAATCAATGATTAAACAGAACTCACAGAGTTTTGGAAGTAAATGAGATCAGTACATCTGGTAATATGTAAAGCCCTATTAAATCTTACTATTGTCATGGACAAAAAATAAAATGAAGATATTTTCAAAACCACCAAATATAAGAATAAAAAGTAGTGAAATAGTATTTAACATAAAAGTTTAATTGTGAATTCACATGTGAATTCATATGTGAATTCCTCATAAAATTTACTCATTTCAGAATTATACTAGTTTATAAACAGGTATTCCTTTCTTTATCATGGAGATTGGTTAACATTAATTTATAGCTCACATAATTCTTTAACCTTCTTGCTATTATTTAATGCATATATTACATTATGTACTTTTACTACCTAAAATAAACATCTCTAACATTCTAGTAATATTACCTTGCCTGGAGATGTTTTTCATAAAAATATCCCCAGTAGGTTTTAGCATATAGCTGTCATGTCTATGATACAAATAGTATCTAAAAACGAGCCTTTCAGAACCATGATTGTGCTTCACTGATTACAGCAACCTTTTCTATTTTTGGCAAAGGAAACTCATGCCTCAAAGCAAAGGAATCAGGGCCAGATTGAGGAACAGGGAATGTGAAGTTAACACTCTAAAGAAGGTCTGCTTTTTTATCATCCCATGAAATTTGTTTTATAAGAAATAGATTCTCCTGATTTAGAGTGACAAAGGAGGAATAAATGTAAAAGGATAGAAAAATTCTATTTAAGCCTTTTCCCTTGGGCTCCAGAGCAGCTTTTCCCAAAATGTGCTCCAACAAAAAATAGTTCCAAGAGTTCCTCATGGGTGATCAGAACAGTGGAGGGTTCTGTTTTCAAAGAGCCAGCACTTTAATTCTTCTCAGGGATTTACAACAACTATAAGTATTTTTAGTTGTTGCAAAATCCTCCTATAAAGAAAAGTGTTCACCTTTATTTGCACAGCATTTCCTAAAGGCGTTTGACCACAGAATGTTTTTATTGTTCAACACTGACTATGAATATTTTGAGAGATCTCTACATTACTAAAAATCATGCATGGAATATAAAAAAGAAAAAGAATGACCTCCAAAGTTAGCAAGTAAAAAATGTAGCATGCAGAATTTGATAGGCAGAGCTGCAGGGATCTAGGACTAAAAAGACTCAGATTTCAGAAGATGTTCCAATTCTGAGTTTTTCTAAACAAAATCTCACTCCTCATATATAAAATACTCCACCAGGGAGGAATACACACACTTACGCATGCATGCACATAAACAATCTAGACTAGAAATCACAATCAAAATGATTGCTAATAACTGTACCCTGGTCACTGGCAGAGAAGGCTACGACAATTATCTAAACAACCTTTTAAAAAGATGACATGTTGGAAGCACTTCATGTTCAATCATTTACTGATGCTTCATTGATTTATGTAGTCTAAGTGCAGAATAACAATTTTTTTTTTTTTTTTACCACTTTTCAGCTCAACAAGGGATTGAAAATACTCATTGCATTAAGTATACCAGTCCATGTTTGGCTACCTACCAGCTACTTTCCTCTCCTCACTACTAAGATAGCTTGATCCTCTCTTCTAGCCCAATTCTGTATTCCTCACACAGATGAGATTAAAGAAGATACTTGTCAATACTCAGGGTACTTAGCAGCAAGTGAAATATGCTGGCAATTGTACTCAGACAGACCTTATGCCTGGCTCTACCAGTTGGATTACCATCGTATTCCTTAGAACCTTAAAACAAATTCCCACCTTAAATCACAATTCTTGTTATTAGATCTTTACTCTGTCCCTTGAGCTGAAATCTTTTTCCTGCAAGCAGATATACGCCAGTATCTCTAGAACTGCAGTTCAAGTTGGAGCTTATTCACGAGGGCAGTGAAAGCTTAGGTTTTAGAATGGGAATAATGTCAGAGCAGACCCGGCTAGAAGCTGATGTGATTCTTATCCACTGAAACACTGAAAAAGGGAACCTTAAATCACAACACATAAATAGTCTCAGAATCATATTTGGGGCTAACCCCACAGGTGGGAAAAATGGGGTCTCTGTGAAGGTAGATGGTTCAAGAATAAAAGGCAGGAAGATCTTTGCCTTTCTACTTCTGTGTGTGTTGCTAACCTGAAATTTTACGCCTGACTACAACTGTGAACCTGGTCCTATGGCAGCAATGAGAGTGGAAAAATAAGAAGATAAACAAGATTATTGAAGTCACTTAAACTACCAGGTAATAATAGTCAGATAATCTTGGAAAAAGACTGTTGATATTTGGTCCTAAATTATCTTGGATTTCTGTTACACTTTTGCCTTTTTCCTGGGCATTATATTAGCTCAGTAATCCCACCCTACTACTGCCATCTGCTTCATCAATAATTAGCAGTTATTAGTAGCTTGTTGTGTTACCTCTAAAGAACCCATTTGAAAGACATCCCTGTTCAAAAGGTTTACTGTAAGACCCCGTATTTCCAACAAAATAAAATGGAAATGCTATTGGGCTATATGGCTTGCTGCTCTTCAGTTGAGATCTTGGTTTGTGTGCCTGAGCTTATTTTCATGTCAGGATTAGTAAGACTCTACAATCCAATTTCCATCACTGTCTATACTGCACAATAATGGTTTTAAATTAATTCATCATTTCATCATCATTAAATTTTATAATATGTCTATAAAACTTCCTTTGGGACATGCTAATTTTGTCTTTCAAAACGTTTTTGTGGCAACATTCTTTTAAAATTTGTCTTGGAAATTTAGGTTTAAAAGAAATAAGAAATTTTTTAATTTTTAAAGTCTCCAAGTAGGAACCTTGACTATAAATTAGAGGAATAAAACAAAACTGGAAACAGCAATGCTGGTCATCAATCTGCCACATTTTCTATTTGCTCCTACTTACTGAGTATTATATTACACTAAGGTTGACACCTCGGCTTCTTCCTGTGAACATGTTCTGTTGAAAGTGCTACCGAAAAAGGATACTGTTCTAAAGGAGCCCAAAGTCTATGTGAAAACTTTAACCTATTTATAATTCTAGTTGTTCAAATTCAGTTTGTTCAAGAACAATAATTTCATTATTTTTTCAGTAGTTTGACTCCTGTTTAAATCTTACAGTATTGATTTTGTAAGCTAAAATTTCAATTTCCTTTCCTCTTTGACAGTCACAAGGACTTCCCTGGTCTTTAGAGACAAGGATCTTGACCCCAAGGGCCAAGCCAATAGCCCAGGAGCTGAATAACCAATTGATGTCTGTGTTTATGGCCTTTATCCTGCTGTTTCCAAATATCCTTAGTATCATTTTCTATACACTACGCAGCAAAATGCCTTCAAACTCACTTTCTGTAGGACTCCTTTCCTACCTGTGACCCATGCTCTGCATGCTGCTAGGTTCTCAGATGCAGACGGAATAGTTTCTTCTCCTGTAGATAGGGATTACTTATCACTGGATTTGAGTCTTAGGGTCTGAATAGAATTTGTCTGGCCATGCTTCTTGTAGCCCACAGTTAAGCAAAAAATAAAAATAAAATAAAACCAATAACCTTAGGTATATGTAAGAAATAAGTAGCAAAGACTTAGACTTGACCATATATTTAACCATATACTTGAGGTTAAGGAGACTTCATGGACTTAATAACTTTGGAAAAGTAGGAAGAATGAAATAATCTATTCTTTATTATTTGATTTACCCAACATGTATGTATTAAATACTCACCCTATGTCAGTGAAAATGGCAGGCGCTAAAGCTATAATGGTGAATTAAACAGACATGCTCTCTGACCTCATGTTTCCAGCCTAGTTTAAATATACCGTGGGCCTCTTCTATAAGCTGGGTCAACTTGAACAACTCACCTAATTGCTTAAGCCCTCGTTTCCTTTTTTTTTCTTCATCTAATAATTATACTTGATGATACTAAAGTTGTTTGTTTGTTTTGAGATGGGGTCTCACTATGTTGCCCAGGTTGATTGCTAACTCCTGGGCTCAAGCAATTCTCCTGCCTCCACCTCCTGAGTAGCTAGGATTACAGATGCACACCACCACACCCAGCTGTGATTTTTTTTAGCATAATGTTCTAAGAAAATTAACACTGTCACAAGCAGAGTGAATGATCTAAACAGTAGATTCTTCCACATATATCTTGCTAATTAGCCAAAAGTAGTTTTAGTTCTCATTAAACAATCAGTACTTCCACAAACATGAATGTAAAAGTTTCTTCATGGCTCACGCCCTGTAATCCCAGCACTTTGGGAGGATGAGGTGGGCAAATCATGAGGTCAAGAGACCGAGACCATCCTGGCCAACATGGTGAAACCCCGTCTCTACTAAAAGTACAAAAATTAGCTGGGTGTGGTGGTGCACACCTGTAATCCCAGCTACCCTGGAGGCTGAGGCAGGACAATCTCTTGAACCCAGGAGACGGAGGTTGCAGTGAGCCAAGATCACGCCACTGCACTCCAGCCTGGTGACACAGCAAGACTCTTTCCCCCCCAGACCCCCCCAAAAAAGAAAAGTTTCTTCAATCATAACAGGTAAGTCATGGAACTGGCAAACCAAAAAAAAAAAAGTTTTTAATTTCACTTACAAATGTATCTGAATGTTTTATTTTTCCTTAAATAAAAATGTTGACATATTACTTTTATCTTAAACCATGAAGTTGGAAGCCAAATAGTGATTGACTCCAACTTCGTGGGATTTTTCTATATTTTACCAGCTGAGAATCACCTTCTAAAAGCCCATCCATTCTTCCAGTCCTTTCTCACGTTGTATGACTACATTTTCATCTATTTGTATAGACCTGCACACGACTGGATCCTTCAAAGATACATGTCTTAAAAGCTATTCTCACAAAGCCATTTTTGTGAATGTCTGATGGAGATATAGGCCCCACTTCCTACATACTAGCTAAACATTTTTTCCATGCTCTGGCCTACAAGGAGTTACTGCTAAATACCCACAACGTGGTAGAAATAGAAAAACCTTGACAATCAGGATAATTACTAATCTCACAGAAATAGATAACCTGAGGAAGGTCTCTGGATGCTAAAAAGATAATTGAGGATAACTGCAAATGGCAAAGCTTAGAGAAGGTGAAGGGGAAAATTAAAAAGACAATAAATATCAGGAGCCTTGATGGGAATAGTTCTCCAAGAAAACCATTCTTGTTCTCTTCCAAAAAAGACAAATATTAATGCTCCTCTAATCTGCACCAAAACCTGGAAAATCCGTGGGGTTTACATTAGTGGGCAGATGAGACAGTTTGACAAGTAAAGAGCCTGTTATAGTGTAATCTGATCAGACCTTCCCACACCTCACAGACTGCAGTAAATATTCAATGAATAGCTGTTGAGTGGTCACAAGAAGCTGAGCAGTAGCTGCAAGCGTGGTAGAGAAGGTGCTTAGCTTTTAGGTCAGGCTCGTTGGCTCACGCCTATAATCTCAACACCTTGGGAGGCCGAGGGGGGCGGATCACCTGAGGTCAGGAGTTCCAGACCAGCCTGGCCAACATGGCGAAATCCTGTCCCTACTAAAAATACAAAAAATTAGCCGGGCGTGGTGCCAAGTGCCTGTAATTCCAGCTACTAGGAGGCCTGAGGCAGGAGAATCTCAAGGCGTATGTTGCATTGAGCCGAGGTTGCGCCTTTCTACTCCAGCCTGGGTGACACAGCAAGACTCTGTCTGAAAAAAAAAAAAAAAAATTGCTTAGCCTTTAAAATGGTGGATTTGAAGTACCCAAATGGGGATATGAAATAGCCATTTGGATTTACAGTGGAGAACGGGGAGGCCTGAGCCAGAGATATACATCCCAGAATTGTCTACTCAGAGCAGTTGAAGATATGCCCAACACCTATCTCTTATTAACTGCACTGAAAGACTAGGGGTCTCATCATAAGATATGTGGATGATTAAAAAGAAACAGAAAAATCTCTGTAGGTTTGAGAGGGGCTGAGTGGAGTCATTAAGTCAGAGAGCCACACAGATGCACTGGGACAACTGGAAGTAGGTGTTAAGCACTGTGAATACTGCAGAGGATAAGCAGAAGTGGCGATAGAATTCCGAAGGCAACAAAGATCAACTTTTCAAAAATTTTGCCTAGGCATCCTAAAGAAAACACTGTCTCCACAAACATAATGTTCCAAGTCCCTCAAAATATGAGACTGGATTAAAAAGGAAGCAGAAGCATAAATTAATTTTTAAGGGTTCTTTAGTTTCTTCTAAAATTAGGATTGACCCATTTAATTAAATACTTATAATTGTTAGTGTTATTATCCATATAATGGCCTGAATACCAGAGTCTGCAGCTCTATGGAGCCAGGAAACATGTCTCTATTACCCACCCACCATTTTACACCTAGAGCTGATCCAGCACATGGTGTAGAGAAGACACACATAAAGACTTGTTTCAATGAATGAATGAGTGGCTTGGTTTCTTATCCAGTTTGGAGATAAATTTATGGTAACTTGCTGAATTGATGCACTACATGAACTCATACTAAGCCTGGGTATTTGAAAGTCTCAGGATTTTCTTGTTCTAAGTTTGAATTCAGATCTATCCTTCTGAAGGTATTTTCAAAGATTAAAAACATTAATAAGTCAGTATGTTAGAGCTTTCCACCTTTAAAAAAAATCTCATGTACTATCTGACTTCTGATCTTAGAAGTATTTTTACTGATGAAACACAAAAGGTAAAAAATGACATAATTAATGATTCATTATTACCACTCCCACGTGGAACATTCTATTCATTTGTGGCTTGAGTTCATTTGAACAGAGTTTATCATTGTTCTTGCCATAGCAATGCCTTGCTTTCATGCAGAAAATATTAAGCCACACTTAGAAATGAAATACATACATAAGAATCACATCAAATACATTTTTTCACTTCTCAATGAAAGTCACTTTGGCAGCAAATTTTGAAATAGTTTCAAGCTCCAGTCTACTGGGGCAAACTATTATGCAGTCTCTCTTGAGAATCTGTTTTGGGGATTTACTCCCTCTAGTGGTGGGGAAAAACTAATTTTTTTTAATTTATTAATTGTTTTCTGCTGAATGTTTTGCTTTTGATACAATGGTCCTTTTAGGTAAAGACTTCCTTTGCTTTTCCGACCAAATTTGGTTTAGGTATAACATGATACTTACCTAAGGTAGTTTTTAAAATGTATTTTTGGCTATTTCAGGACATTCCTAATGCTCAGTATATATAAACAGTTTTAAAAATTTAGCAAAATAGCTTTCTGCCTTGGCTTTCTTTAATTAATTGATTCACTTGCCATTGCTATATTTCTTGATTACTTCTGCCACTATCTATGGTGGATTAAAGTTGGCTGCAAAATTTTGATCATTTTCCCCATTGAGAGGTGAACTTTTATTTCCTCTATGACTCTGGCTGGCCCTGGAAGTGCCTAACAATAGATGGTGGTGTAAATGAAAATGACACCATGCTGGTTCTAACCTTATTCTTTAAGAGGATGGAAGAGTCTGCTTCTTCTTGCTTGGAATGCTTGCTCTTGGAACACTCCATCTCAGTATTCAGTGACCTCACTATGTAAGTACACCAGAGCCCAGGTAAGCATGCATCTAAGCCAGCATTAACTTTCAGTGACATGAATATGAAATCTTGGTCATTGCATTCCAATGGACTCCTCAGATGATGGCATTCCCAGCCAATCTCATGTGGAACAAAAGAACCACCTAGCTGAGCCTAGGCAACCCACAAAAAATGAAAAATAATAAAATGGTGATGTTTTTGTGTTTTTTGTTTGTTTGCTTGTTTGTTTTTTGTTTTGTTTGGTTTGGTTTGGTTTTTGAGACAGAGTCTCACTCTGTCACTGAGGGTGGAGTGCAGTGGTACCATGTAGGCTCATTGCAACCTCTGTCTCCTGGTTTCAAGCAATTCTCCTGCCTCAGCCTCACAAGTAGCTGGGATTACAGGCGCACACCACCACGCCTGGCTAGTTTTTGTATTTCTAATAGAGACGGGGTTTCACCATGTTGTCCAGGCTGGTCTCAAACTACTGACCTCAGGTGATCCACCCGCCTCAGCCTCCCAAAGTGCTGGGATTACAGGTGTGAGCCACCGCGCCTGGCCTAAAATGGTTATGTTTTAAGTAATTAAGTTTTGAGCCTATTTTTATGCAGTGGTAGATAATTAGGATACTATCTCCAGTAAAAGCCTGGATCTTATCTTGTTTCTGTTTCTCGTTCTAGCATTGCTAATTTCCCCTCCACGGTTCCTCTAGCCTAATATCCTGGTTCTGATAACTACAACCAATCTGAGAACTCCAAGAAAAGGCATATCTGTAATTTTTGACATTTTTGTTCAAGATCCTAGATTTCTAAGTAAACATTTTCAAATCAAATAAACTTAATAAATAGCAAAAACTATTCTTTCTGTATTTTGAAGATATCAAGAATAAAATAATAGTTAATAACTTAAGGATTCCAGTTGTAATTGTCAGAGTTGCATTATTAATTACCATGCTAATATGCATCCCCAACTATAAAGATCCCACTTTAAAATTTAGCTTTATCCTCTAGTGAAATTTATTTTTTAATGATTATTTTCCTGATTGGTATATCCTTGGTCCTCGTGCAACATTTAACCACTGCTTGCTTCTTTTCTGGCTCTTCTTTCTCCTCCTAATCACTCCCTCAAGGTCCTCTCTAAATCAAGTCAGCATTACTTGATTTCATTCCCACAATTTCAATGATCACTTTTGTATGTACCTAGCAAATGGGTTCAATAATAGTTGCTGAATAACTAATACTGCCTGCTCAGCTCATCTTCAAGACCCAGCTCAAGTGGTCACTTTTGCATGAATACTGCCTTGTTCCTGCTATTAAATCTGGCCTCCCTTTATTTGAACTCGCATAGCTCTGTGTTTGTATTTTCTAAAAATTATCAAAATTTGCCTTGTATAGGAGGAGCTTGAGAATACACCTTTCCCTACAAATTTCTAATCTTAAAGACAGGCTCTGTGTCCTTGGAGACTTCATCATGAACACTCACTTCTTCTTAGTCTTATTATTTAGTCATATTAATTTTATTTTTATTTACATTATGATTTCCACTAACCCCTGGTTAGAAGAATGTTTCACAGAAATCATAATTTAGGCATTAACTGCAAGTCATCTTTACTAAGAAACTAGAGAATAAGAACTTTTTCTACTTAGAAGTAACAGAATGCTGACCTTTACAGCATGTCATCCTGAAAGATTTTATCAGATGAGAAAGTAGACTGAGTCCCTGAAAGTTAATTATGTGATTCAAGTCTTCTTTCTGAATTCATTTTTTGTCCACTTGAATTTTCCTCCTGTTAAGACACTTTTTAACTTAATACAGATGAGCCATTGCTTTCTCTGTCTAGTGTCCCTAATTTAACATTGTGTCACTTTAAAATCTTCATGAAAGCTTTCAAGGTCACCACCAATCAGGCTTATCATCTTGATAAAAAAAAAATTGCTTCATTGTGCCATTTTGTCTTTTATTTATTTGGCACGACCCCAATTCCTTACTAAAGTTATCTCTGGGAGTAGAATGATGGAGGCCAAAGGCTGAGAAGGGTAGCAGGGAAGGGGGCCAAGAAGGAGGGGATGGTTAAAGGGTACAAAAATACAATTTGATTACATGACTATGATCTAGTATTTGGTAGCACAAAAGTTTACCATAGTTCCATAGTTAACAGTAATTTAACATGTATCTTTTAAAATAATTGAAAGAGTGGAATTGGAATGTTTCTAACACAAAGAAATAACAAATACTTGAGGTAATATATACTACAATTACCCTGATTTGATCATTCCAAATTGTATAACTGCATCAAAATATCACAGGTACCCCACAAATATATACAACCATTATGTATCCATAATAATTAAAAATAACAAATTTTCAAAATTAAAAAAGTTACCTCTGGGAAAATAAAGGAAGTGTTTTCTTAAATCTACACTAATTAGGATGCATACCCTTTTAAAATTAATATATAGCCAACAATGTAGGATTTTAGAAAACAAAGACAATTATCACTGATTTCCCCCTTTCTCTTTTTCATTAGAAGGTAAAATCATGGAGTAAGATAGTAAGAAAGGGAACTATGGCATGCATCATTTGATTACTCAAAGTACCAAACACCAAGATTGGTAGAATAGACAAGTCAATAAATGTATCACACTGTATGTAAGAAGAGATGGATAGAGGGCAAAGATGAGAACGTCCATTTTGGAGATGGAAAATGTGAGAACTGCACGATATTTAGGTAGACATATTAACGTAGCATGGTAGGCCCAACTGGTAGTGACCTTGAAAACTTTCATGAAGGGCTTAAAATGCTGTAAATTAGCGACACAAGATAGAGAAAACAAAGGCTTCTCTGTATTCAATAGAAAAAAATGTCTCAACACCATGAGAATTCCAGTGGACAAAAAATGAATTCGGAAAGAAGACTTGAATCCCATATTAATAATTAGCTTTCAGGATTTTAAGGCTTGAAGATAGGAAGCTTGGGCTATACGTGCTAATACAAAAGTCATCAATGTAAAAATTATATTTAAAAAAATTATATTTTAAGGTCTCAGAATGGGTGATTATATCCAGGGAAAACCTGTAGCAGAAGAAAAGAAATGTTGGAGGAATGATTTTATTTGATACCTGCCTGTATGCTTTAGTAGGGATGGAAAATAGAATTCTGTCTCAATACAGAATATGATTCACTCAAGACCAAAGAAGTAATGAATGCTATACATATAGAATAATTAGATGCATGCAAATATTTTCCCAGCTTACAACAGAAATAGTCCATAGATTATCTACGCAAACAAAACGGAGCATAGCTAGAGGGAAAGTAGTAAGGCAGTGTGTTTGTGATATTTGTGAAGGAATGAATGGGAGAATGTTAAATTTTGTGCCTGGAATCTAGAGGCCTACATGATCAAGTCTGTTTGTCAAAGCTTTCTTCTTTTCTTTTTTCCCTTGCCCACTCTCCTTAAAATGTCTTTCAACAACTGAATTGTAAGAGTTGGTCCCTCCTCTTCTGTACTAGTTTTCTATCCTATCCAGCTGCTAACCATTATGTCAAGCTTCTAAGAAATACAACAAAATTAATATTCCATCCAAACACACTTGCTCTATTTCTTATCACACTCTCTATCCTCAAACCCTGCTGGGGTAAGCATGACTTGTAATGAGAAGGACCTTTTTACCCATCCTCACTTTGCTATTATGGCAAAGCCAGATTTCTCTTAGGGTCCAGGACCACAAGACTGTGAACACTCACATCTCACACATTACTATTTTTTGTTCTCAAATATTCACAACTCCAGACTGTGGGAAACATTTATGAGACAAATGACCTGGTTTCTTCTACAAACAAGTTTCAAGGAGGGAGAGAAGAGGGACAGAGATAAAGAAGAACTTACCAATTGAGAAAGATTAAAAAAACAGCAACCACTCATAATGCACAGGTCATGTCTGAATTTTGATTCTACTTTTGGAAAAAAAAAACACATTCATATTTATAAGATATATGAGATCATTGGACATTAGAATACTGACTGGATAATTGATGATACTAAAAAATGTGAATTCTATTTGTGATCATGGTATTGTGGTTGTTTTTAAAAACATTAACTTTTAGAGATATCGACTAAAATATTTTCAGATCCAATTATATTGTCAGGCATTTGCTTCAAAATAGTATGGGATTGGTGGAAGTGACCACAAATTGATTGTTATTGAAGTTGGAAAATGGTACCTAAAAGTTTCTTATATTCCTCTGTCTTTTTGTGTTTGTGGTCTAATTTCTCTTTAATAAAAGATAGATCTGATAGATAGAGAGATGGATAGATAGATAAGTAGATAAGAGGGAGAATCTCAGAATAGACAATACATAAACCTAAAAACGTACAATTGGGAGATGGCATAGTGAGGGCTGCATGAGTAGGCCTTGGGAAAACAATCATAGAAACTCTATGGTTTCTGAAAGTCTAAATAGTGTCATGCACTTCATTGATCCACCTGCATAATTTCTTTTTGGTATTAGAACCTACATTTCAGACCTATTACACAATTCTTAAAAAGATTCTAAAGTGCACCATGACTTTTCAGATTTGGCCGACACCCCGCTGCCCACTTTGTATATCCACTCAAGAAAATTTCCTGATTACAGCCTCTGTTGACCCAGCAGCTTAATTTAGAATGGAAAGGTAAAGAAGATTTTTTTAGATATATCTGTGGCACCTTTCTATTAGCCACCCATACCATGAGCCATATGTAAAATGACCTGCCTTTCCTGTCTTTCATGAAGTATGTAATTGAGTTTTCACCTCTTCTCCATATTTAGTAAGATCTGTGCATGAAAAGGAGGCCATAGGCTAAATTACATTTAACCATCTCAATTGAAGTTGTCTCAGGAAAAGTAAAAATTTTTTATTCATTATGACTGACTCTTTTATGAAAAACCTTAAGTTCAGATTCTAATATCTTAAAAATATTCCCAGTTTTATTAATCTAAACTTGTTAACTTCATTTTTAATGGCTCTACCACAAGTCTTCTTCATAAATCGTTTTCATTTAGACAAAAATTGCCAATTTCCAACTCTGTAGAACTGACTGTGGACTTTAGTTACTGACCTTACATAACTCTCATACTAAAAGCAAATGTGTTTTCCTTTAACTTGAAGTTCCCCTTGTACAAACGTCTTCACCTGAAAACAAATGTAATTTCTTATTTATTCAGCTTTATTATTCTTCAGAACGTGTTAGAAGTTCAGGCTGGAGGCTAACATGTTCAAGTTTAGGAAGTGGATTATTTCAAATCTTACAAAACAAATGGATTCTTGAAGAAGACGAATGTATAATACAACACGGTAGGGAACCTAGGCCAGGGATAGAAAGATCAGAGGGATCTTATGTAGAGGACATCTGCCTTTTTTTCTTCCTTGTCGAACATCTGAACCTCTTTTCCATGTTTGGGAAATTTTCTGAACCTGAGTTTTGGTAGGAATCAGAGCATATCTTTCACTAAAAAAGCCCACAAAGGCCAGTTCATTGTTTTCCAAGCCCCTGAGACAGCTGCTGTGCAGATGTGGATCTAGGCTCAGTTAACCAAATGCACATGCCATGGATCTGGAGTCTGGAGCTAATAACATAAAAAAGCAGTGACTCCAGGGAATTATTTCTGTTGCAAAAGCAGCAGCAGCAACATCAAGAGTCCAGAGGCAGGATTGGCAGTGTTGCCATGGTGACAGGCAGAGCCCATGATAGCGTGGGTGCAAGCTGCAGCATTCATGTCTGGTGGCTGCATTACTAGTCATCTCACTGGACTGCTTCTCAGAACTAATTTTGTTTATTTGTTTTGCTTTTCTATTTTTGGTTGTGCAGTTACCTTTTAAACTTGCCATTCTCCAGGTGCTTCCTTATCTTTGCCAAAATTCTTCAAGTTACCCAATATTTGTTCAATATATTATTTTTCAGCTTAATTCAGCCAAAGTCAGCTTCTGTTGCTGGTAGGGAAAAACTCTGACTTTATAGAAAATGGTACCAGGAGTGACTGTAGCACAAAACCTCCAGGAAATCTGAGGGATAGGGAGCATCTAAGGAATAGGAAACTGGTAGTCCATGGCCTACCATAACAAAACAGCTAATGAAATTATCATCCAAGTTCCCTTGGAATGAATGAACTACACAACAAAGGCAATATCTTGGGGGTTCATGTCAGCAAGGCCAAATGAAGGGCATAAGGTATTGAATGGCTTCAGGGCAAGATAAAGTGAGGGCTTTTAATAGCACTTGTCAGCTGAAAGGGCAAATGAAACACTCAAACCTCAAATCCTTGTCTCAAGGCATGGACTCAAATCCATAGTCCTGGCACATCACCTCCTCCTCCACCCATAGCTATGTGGTTTATGAATGACTCTGCTCAGTGTGCTACTATAAGCTGGAAGTGGACAGCTGCAGAGTCACATCCTCTGACTTAAAAAGCAGTGGATAAAGAAAGTCTAATCAGTAGACAAAACCTTGGGAAGTAGATGTCACTGTCCTCTTTGCCTCTAAAGAGGTAGCCTAAAATCAAGATGTATACCAATTTGTGAAGATCTAATGGTGTTACTTGATGGTCAGGAATTTGGGGGATGGGAGTAGGGAAAGAGAGAGGATTTGTGACAAAGTTTGGGAAAAAGTTATGAGCACATCCAGCCTATGAAGATGGGTGTTTATCATGTGAATTCTCACCAAAGGCCTCCACTCTGGAAAAAGTGTTTCATAATTAGGAGAAAGTTGAATCCCTCTGGATCCTTCCCCAGTTGCCCCAGTGTTTGCTTGGTGGGCTCAGGCACAAAATGATCAGAGTAGCTGATAACTATTGCAGTGTAACCATCCATTCCAAAACTTGGTGGTTTAAAGCTATGGACAAGGGAAAAACTGAGGGAATCACAACATGTGCACTTGCTGTGGTATTTCAGGGTCCTTCCTCCTGGGGTCAGGTCTTTCATTCAGTCAGTAGATCCCAGGTCTAACACCACCTCAGATCTATGCATGAGATTGTAAGTTTTATGGAGGGCAACTGCCCTCAACTGCCCATTCATTCGTGATTTCTTTTAATTGCACGGTTTTGGTAGTACTTTTACTAGTTACCAGTTGACTAAGGACAGCATGTTCTGTCAACCACAGAGTCAGGCCACACCTTGCCCCGTTTCCAAATTTGCCATTCATTAAAATGTGTCTACCTGACTTTTTATTAAGTGCTGTCAATGGACTCTGTTGTCTCAGGGATCTCTGCATCTCCACTGCAATAGTGAGCCAGTTTTGTACTGGCAAGTCTCGCCATTAGCCCTTGCCTACTGAGGATGGCCACCTTGAACGTTGTACTGATGTTGATGCCCCTTGCCCAGTACATTTTCCATTGTTTTGGTGAGTGACATATCCCCCTGGCTTTTCTATGGAACATAGTCATATGATGGAACTTCTAGCCTTGCATAATATATTCATAGTGCATTCATCCTATCATGTCCACATCTCTGAGCCTTTTAATCTCTTCTTACACTATATGTCATGGAAATTCTGGCATTTCTTCCCTATGTGTCATCTATCACTTTCTGCTTATCCTCACCATCTCCCCAAGTCTTTCTCAGGGTGTTAAGTCACATATCCTAAGCGAGATTTAAATATACTCTTCTCTATCCAACCATTATGTCATGCCCAACCTGATCAAGCACCCCCCAGATCCAACACCATATGAACCTTCCAACTCCTCCAGGCACATGATAGCAAGATCTTTCCTCACTTGTCAGACCCAGCATATTACTAGATGAGGTTATAACTCAGCCCTAGTTGTTCTCCTAGTAGACAGAAGGGAGTTAAGGGTAGATCCTAGGAAAATGAGTGAATATATATTGTCTTGGGAGGGCGAGGCCTCTGCATCATTTTCAAATGGAGGCAGGTACCTACTTAGGAAAAGTTAGGAAAGTAGTTAGTAGTTAGGAAAAGTAACCCTTTTTGAAAGTTCAGAGGACTCAAGAGGATCTAGGAATTCAAGATTTTTAGGGCACCAACCCCATCCCATGAGTCAAGTTCCCAGTTTATTTCAATCAGAGCCCTGATGTTGGCTTAGTAGACCTTCAATGGTAGGATTTAGATATTTTAGGGGGTTCAACTATTCTTTGGTCCTGGCCCTGGTCCTCAGTTTCTCTCCCCTCCTGCTGCAGAAGATTAGTCTCTTTTATGCTACAAAGGAGGCCCTCTGGCTTTCAAGCTTAGCTTTTGAACAAAGGCTACAATTCATCTTTTTGTGGTATTTTTCCAGAGCATCAATCAAGCTTAACAAGAGCCACCCAACTCTATCCTCCTTACAGTTACTATTTTTCCTATATTGCTCAAACACTGGAAACATCATACCATCCAGTGCATTCCCTTCTACCTATCTGCCATCCCTGTTCTCTGCAGTTTATACTGTTTGTTATCTTGTGCCGAGGCTCTTTGTGCTGTACCTACCACCAGTGATGGGGTCCTTACTGCCTGCAAGGCAGCTGTGTAATCTGGCTCCAAATGCTATCCGTGTGTGTACTCTCTTGGTCCACTACTGCCACCACCTCTCATGAATTGGGCTCCCTGAGAAGCAGATTCTCAGATAGAAATTTGCCTTCAGGAGGTTTAGGGAGTGCTCTTGGAGTCAGTTCCTGCAGAAAGAAAGCAGATTGGGCAGAGGAAAAAGTGGAGCAACAATGAAGCCTCAGCTAAAGCCTCAGCCAACTCCAAGGGAAATCCCAAAGAAAGAATAACCCTTCACAGTAGTCTCAGTGGGGTAGAAAAACTGTCTCCCCACCAAACTTGCTAAGGGTGCTGTCTTCAGCTGAGGCCACATCCAAAGGGGGTTGACAGCTGATGTTGCCTGCCATTACTCCAAGAAACTAGGTGAGTAAGTTCTTCATGTCATGTTCTGCACAGTCCACCAAAGCATCCACGAAAAGGTATATGCCTCATACTGGGAACGGGGAGAGTAAAACAGAGCCAGATAACCTCTGGGCACCTCCAGTACTGCCATGAATACTGGAAAAAAATAATGAAAGACTAGAGAAACCGCATATTGACTAGACTATATCAAAACAATTTTAGCTAGCTAATGTGAGTTTCCAGATGATGTTATTTACTCAGGCTGCTGACAAAATCTATTGTGCAAAGGTATTTTCATAGAAGTACATAGAAGGAGCAATTATGCTGGTCTTAGTGTAGCCATGGAAGACTTCTCATTCAGGATTTAGATAGACAAAGGAAGAGCAAAGCATTTTAAGCAGCAATACAGCACCCCAACACAAAGAAATATGTCACGTTCCATGCACTGCAAAGCATTCGATATTGAAGTTTTCTTTGCATCAGAAATAAAGGTTTGGAAGGTTAAAACTACAAATGTATTTCCTTTGCACCATGACAAATCAATCAGGAAGTATGAAGTAGCTACATCACTTGAGTTGCTGCAGATCTTTTGAATAATGACTGCAGTAAATATAAATCAATATGATCTCAGTGAAGAAATTCCCATTAGACCTTGGATTTATTTGCTGGTATGTTTTCAACCATCATAACTACCTTGTTTGTCCATTCCTTTAACATGTTCAACATCTAAATCCAAAAGATCTCAGTTAAGAGGGAAAAAATGCTACATCATTTCTGTGTGCTTTACCCTGATCATGGTTCAATTTAAGATATGTCTCTCATTGACCTAGGCTTCTATCCTCAGGCCATTATTTCTCTCAGTTCTGTATATTGTCTTTTCTCAACAGGGAGTCCGATGTAGAATTCTCCCTTATTAATCATTCTATTGCTAGCTAATGTGTCTGCTCAGATTCACAGGAGTGCTCAAGCTGGTCACAGTGGTGACGCAATGGCTTTTGGTGAATAATTTCAGGCTCCCTGGGAGGGCATTGCATGACCTCACATGCCATCTGCCAGGCCATCTGTGTCTTACTCTGGATCCTAAATAAAACCAATAGTTCCTACTAACTTATTACATGTGTCATTCTTTCAGCAAGCATTTATTGAGTGCCTACTATGTGAAAGGCAATCTACAAGGTGATGTGGGTTAAAAAGTTACACAGAGAAGAGCAATAGGAAAGCAAGTAACTATGAAACAACTTCATAAGTGATACAGAGATGTATGTGCAAATTCTAAAGGAAGAATTTACACATTGGCAAGAATGTGCATAAGGCTTTTCTTCATGTTAAAGTGTGTACAAACAAACATTTCATCCAGCTTTTCAAAAATCAAGAAAAGGCATATATATATATATACATATATATACACTCACGCGCACACAATTAATGGTAGTGCTATGTGTTTTAAATTGCATTTAGTCAGGTAATTAAATTGGTGATAAAATGAATGAAGCTGGCACTGCTTTCAGCTAGTGAAGCATTACCTATTACTCATCTTTGAATGAGCAGACACCCAGGGAGAAAAAGATAGATGGGCTTGGTAGGGGAGGGTGAGAATCTTAAGAGAAGCAATGCTTCTTCTTACACTTGCAGCCATTAATATTACTGTATGTTCTCTCTAATCCTATGTGTTATGCTATATTTATATTTAAATAGTTTCCACCAGCATGTACAAATGGCAAGAATGCTCTTGAAGCCCTCTTTACTATGCTGATTAATATTTATATAATCCTATATTTATGGAACACTTACTATGTGCCAGACATTGTGCAGTATTTCAGAGCTAATCTCATTAAAGTTTCGCAGGATCTCTTTGATGTAGCTATTAATATTCTCATGTACATGAGTAAACTGAGGCACAGAGACTTAATAATGCAGCAACTGGGGACCCAACAAGAAACAGATGATATATTCAAAAGGAACAATATATAAGGATAGAAATTAGGAAAAAGGAAACTTATAAGAGGCAGTGTAACATGAAAAGAAAATACAATAATGTCAACCAGAATGTGCAACCACAGGGAGCCACTTCCACATGTAGGCCCAAAGGAGAAAGGGGAGAGATGGATGTTACTAGAGCCACAGGAAGGTTTGAGAGAAGAAACAGCATCTTAAAGAAGGCTGCAGAAGGATGCAGCCACTGATAGAACCAACAGAGAATAAGAAAGTCTACTGAAGGAGCAAATAACCTCACCTCTCTTCTCCCTCTCCTCCCATCCTCCAATCTCCTGCAGATGCCTCCACTAACCAATGCTCCCCAGTGACAGCAGGCAAGGGAGTCCAGTTGTTGATGCACAATGGAAATGTAGTACAAAGAGAGGACAGAGGGTGAGGGAGTTCAGAGGAGCAAACAGAGAAAAGCGAGTCCAAATAACTTGCCCAAATTCTCACAGCTAGTAAGAGACAGTGCCAACAAACTCTGTGAACTGTTTCCAATGTGACAAGTTGTTTTTTCTATAACTTATAGAAATAACTCCCAGCACTTTGGGAGGCTGAGGCGGGCAGATCACCTGAGGTTGGGAGTTCGAGAACAGCCTGACCAACATGGAGAAACTCCATCTCTACTAAAAAAAAAACAAAATTAGCCAGGCATAGTGGCACACACCTGTAATCTTAGCTACTTGGGAGGCTGAGGCAGGAGAATCCCTTGAACCTGGGAGATGGAGGTTGCAGTGAGCCGAGACAGTGCCATTGCAGTCCAGCCTGGGCAACAAGAGCAAAACTCCATCTCAAATATATATATATATATATTTTTATATATAGTAATAAATATTTCAGAAATTACACACTCTACAAAACCAAAATATAACTTTTTTAAAAATGATATTCCATATAAAATCAAAACATTTTGGCTCATAAAAGAATTTTTCTCAATCAGAGCTATTCAAAGGCTACCTTGATATGTTATTGAGATCCTTCAATGAAGGCATTCAATCTAGTAGCCACTCAATCAATATTTTGTGAATTACTGTATGAATAAATAAATGACCATTTGCTATAATCTGAAAGTTTGTGTCCCCCCAAAAATTCACATGTTGAAATTCAAAGCCTCAAGGTGCTGGTGTTAGGAGATGAGCCTTTAGAGGGGATTAGGTCATGAAGGCAGGGGCCTCATGAGTGTGGTTAGTGCCCTTACAAAAGGAACCTAGGAGAGCTCCCTTGCTTCTTATACCATGTGAGGACAGAGTCTATGTCTATAAACCAAAAAGTGGGTCCTTTATAGACACTGAATTTTCTGTTGCCTTGATCATCATGGACTTCCCAGCCTCTAGAAGGGTGAGAAATAAGTTTCTGTAGTTGATAAGCTACCCAGATTGTGGTATTCTGCCATTATAGCCCAAATGGACTAAGACAACATTTATTTGGGTTCTTAATAGAAGACAATTTCTATACTTCTGAGATTTTTTTAAAAAAATTGATGAACCCTGAAGATTCTTTCTGACTACTAAGATTCTATGATTCCCATAAACATTCAATATGTTCCTCAGACCTCTCAGTTACAAACAAGGATAGCTTTAAGGAACTAGTTGTACAGGATGCTTAAGCAGTCATATGACTAGAAATATTACATTCCCAAGGGGGAAAATCATAAAGGATCACTCTCTGTCAGAAAAGTATTCAGCTGCTGGCAACAGAAATGTCTGAGCAGAGATGATTAAACAAATGGCCGCTGAGTGTTTGCAAGGCAGTTGTTGTCAGTGCTGATGCCTTTGCAGTTCCCCAGGGGCTTTTGCTCATGCCTGGCTGTACATTAGCCGCTGCAGCTCCATCATCAGCTTTCATGACTAAGTCCTTTAGAAGGAGGAAGTAGCAATGCCTGCATCAGGAAAGCAAAGGCTTTCCCTGGAACCTTAGCACAGGACTCTGCTTCTATTTCATGACAACCCAGAGGGCAGTGGGGGAGCAGAGTGTTGAAATGGAGGTGGGTCAGTGAACCAGAAGTGTCTGCCTCAGCTTCCCTAGAAATATCAGTTGTAAAATATGGTCCTCCAGCAGTAGATGTTTGCATCTGCCGATTAAGAAAGAAGGCAACCAGCAGCCTTCTCACGTTCAGGTTCAGGTCCTTGTGGGTGTGCTATGTTTGTTAACATTTCCTCTAAAGACAAGAGTCCAGGGAGTATTAGCTCCCAGCCATCTCTGTGATTGGTATTGCTGTGTCAGGTGAGCGTGGTGAGTTCCTGTGAATGAATTTTGAAAGTAAGTGCAACACTTCAAATCAACCTTATCTCCTTAGCAGTGGAAAATGGAATTAATCAAACAGGAAGCATCAAAATCATGCTATCTTTAATTTGGAGGGGAAAATTATGAATGTATTTAAACTCCCAACTGGATGGAATACCTGACAAGCTTTATTCAGTGTCTGCCTTAATAGGTCTAATGGCAGGGAACTTACTATCTCACAAAGCTAAATCACTATTTTGTTGGAATACTCCTTAAAACACTTTTTATACGGAACTGAACCTGGCAGCCTCTTAAATTCTAACTATTGACCCTAGGTATTTTTTCCAGAGTTAAGTTAGATAAATCCCTATGTCATGTGATGTCACACAAATATTTGAAGTTATTGTCCATGTTCCCACTTTGGCCACTTCATCTTGTTTTCAAAGTAGTTGTCATTTAGCAATGTGTACCCTGATATACTATGTTTTGACAGCATACTTCTTAAATTAAAAAAAAAATGTACTGGCATCCAGAAGGAAGGGTACTCTACAGATATGATAAGAACATAGTCTGATTCTTTTTATTTTTATATTTCTGTTTTTGAGACCCAAGATTACATTAGTTACCCAAACTCTTGTTCGATTTGTACAATGTCAGTTGCAGAGCCCTGTGTCCTGACTCCAGATGCCTTCCTTAAAGATGACTCAATCCTTCAATTATTTCATGTGTGCTATGTTCAAAGCACTTAGGGATTTTTTTTCCAACTCCTCAAACTTATCTACTTATATAATCATCTATCCCAATGCTGCTCTATCTGAGTGTATTTATACCATCAAACATCTTGTCACAAGTCTTGCTGAAATCCATTATACTATATTAATATATTTTCCTATAAGTAGGCAATTTTTTAATGAATGAGGAAACAAAGTTTGGATATTTTTGTGGAAACTATATAAAATCCATTAATCTACACAGATTCTAGAAACTTCATCAAGATAGCTGATTAGAACCTTGTGATTAAATATACTATCAAGATTATTAGATATTTAAACAAGAAAAACCTGACATCCTTAGCTGGAAAATTAAAAGGAACTATCCTGAATATATTCCCTTTTATTTTTTTCAGAAAGTATCAATATAGGCAAAGTAAAAAGAGTTTTAGCACATTAGGATGTAGCAGGTAGCCTGGGCACAGTGGCTTATGCCTATAATCCCAGAACTTTAGGAGGCTGAGGCAGGTGGATCGCTTGAGCCAAGAAGTTCAAGACCAGCCTAGGCCACATGGCAAAACCCTATCTCTACAAAAATACAAAAATTAGCCAGCTGTAGTGGCACTCCTCTGTAGTCCCAGGTACTCAGGAGGCTAAGGTAGGAGGATTGCTTGAGCCCAGGAGGTGGAGGGTTACAGTGAGTCAGATTATGCCACTACTCTCCAGCCCGGGCAACACAGCAAGACTCTGTTTCAGAAAAAAAAAAAAAAAAAAGGAAGGAAAAGAAGATAGCAGGCATGGCATATGAAGATGAAGATTACAAGGCTTTGTTCCTAATGTGAAAAGTATTTCTTTAAATACAGAGAGCAATCACTTTGATGATCATGATACACAGGGCATATAAAAGAAAAAGAACAGACAGTAGAGAGAACAAATAAATTATCTGTCAACATTTTTAAAGAGAAACTTATTAAAAGTTTTCGCACTCCCAAATTGGCTTTCGAAGTGTACAGGTTGAATGTACTTGAGCAAACGCTGGCAAATGTTCAGGCATTCTGAAAATTATAAACTAACTAAATGTATTAGATCTGTGAGACCATATGGTAGCTATGGAAAATTTTAAATTAACCCAAGGATGAAATTGTTGAACTGTTAGCCAAAATGGAAAATCCTTTTTTTATAAGCACAATGATGCTGGAGGATGAGAGTTTACCAGTGAGACCTTGAACATGAGAAGAGTCCCACAGGAAACTATGGAAATTATGGCCAATGAGTCATTTCAGAGGTTGGGCCACAGTACACATTACACTTTCTAACCTAAGACAATCTGATTTCTGAAGAGGAAATCATGCTGGCCTAACAAGTACATGAATAGAGAGAACAAAGGAAATAAACTCATTCCTCTGTAAACATTTACTGTGTCCTTGCTATGTGTCAAGTACTGGGCTAGATGCCAGGAATAAAGATACATTTCAAAATATTCCCAAACTCAGGGACCTCAATCTAATATCTGGGGAAAGAAACAAACTGTACATGATTGGCTGGGTGCAGTGACTCATGCCTGTAATCCCAGCACTTTGGGAGGCCAAGCCAGGAGGATCACTTGAGCCCAGGAGTTTGAGACTAGCCTAGGCAAAATAGTAAGACCCCTGTCTCAACAACAACAACAAAATTAGCAGGGCATGATGGCATGCACCTATGATCTCAGCTACTCACTACTCAGGAGGCTGAGGTGGGAGGATTACTTGAGTCTGGGAGGTTGAGGCTGCAGTGAGCCATGACCATTCCACTGCACTTCAGCCTGTGACAAAGTGAGACCCCTGTCTCAAAAAAAAAAAAAAAAAAAGAAAAAGAAAATTGACATGATTGTACTGAAAACTTTGTGGATTTTCAGAATTTATGTTTGTATTTCCTACCACAGCAATGCTTCAGAGACTGGTGGGATCAGGATACATCCTTCTGTGTACTTGTCTTTCATTTAATTATGGCCAAGGTCAAACTTGCTGAAATTGAACAGGAAGGCAAGCCATAGTCAAGGACTAAGAGTATAAACATTAAGTTGTAAGCAGAAGACTTAATGAGAAAAAAGACTCATGGAACAGTGAAGGAATATTACTAAATGGAAGCAGTTACCTTAAAGGAGCGCTGTGATAGGAAGGCCAAAGGAGTGCATGAGCAGGTAAGCAGATCTCCTCTAGGTTCCTCTCCTCCCTCTGTCCACATAGGCGAAAGATGTTTTTGAGGCTGCAGGATTATTAGCTTCAATGATAGTGCCAACCACAAGATAATAGGGAAGGTTTCTAAAGAGTACTCTGATATAGGTAAAACAAGCCAAGTGTGCGGGAAATTGTAACTCCAGTAGCTGAGTTTAATAAGGGAAAAAAAAACTATTGAAAACTTGAAAATGCATTTGTCTCTGAGAACAAGGGGTCAACTGCATGCATTAAGAACAGCAATATCCGATGAAGCTGGAAGCCATCATTCGCAGCAAACTAACACGGGAACAGAAAACCAAACACTGCCTGTTCTCATTCATAAGTGGGAGTTGAACAACAAGAACACATGGATAGAGGGAGGGGAACATCACACACTGGGGCCTGTCTGGGGGTCGGGGGCAAGGGGAGGGAGAGCAATAGGACAAATACCTAATGCATGCAGGGCTTAAAACCTAGATGATAGGTTGATAGGTACAGCAAACCACCATGGCACATGTATACCTATGTAACAAACTTGCACGTTCTGCACATGTATCCCAGAACTTAAAGTTTGAAAAAAAAAGAATATCCAAGCTGACCTGCCCACCCACCCACTGAGCAGCCGACACACAGGCAAAGCTGAGACATGGAGCAGCAGCACATGAAGCAAATGCACTGCACTTTTGTGAACTAACTCCTGACAGAGATTTACAAATAATGTTGGCTAAATGAATCAGTCAGGCAAGAATAGGATACTTCTTTCTTGTTCCATTGGAATAACTCTATGGAAGGTTTTAAGTGGGCAGAATTTGAAAGTATCATATCTATATTCAAATAAAGGGAAAATCTACAGAATTCTTGTGTACCTGGTATGGGTTAAAATGTGCTTCCTGAGCCTGAATTAAAGTTTTGCATTGTATATTCTTCTATACTACATGTGTGTATAACCAGCAAAGAGAAAAATGGTTTAATAATTGACTGTATTAGTACTCCTTTACAACTTTAAGGAGTAATGCTAAGGAAAACTAACTTCAATTTATCCTCTCTGGACTCATCGGTCTAAGGGGAAGGATAAATAGCCCAGTCTAAGGAGAAGAATAAATATGTATATTCTCTCCATATACGATATCAAGTCTTTCCAGAAAGATGGTCCTACGCTTAAGCCCAGGTATTTCAGGGAAAATATATAAGTATAATCATCTTAGGGGCTTTCAGATGTAGGTTCAGAGGAAGCACTAATTCCGATCATAAGAGGGGCTTCTTGGACCAACAACAGAGTTGGACAAGCAAGGATCCAGTTTATGAATTGTGATATATTTTTTGTTGTTAGACACAGAGGACTAAAGATATCCTCTGGGGTGAATTTACCTCCCCCTTAGTGTGTGTTTAGAGTAACATGGCAGAAAGGAGGAGTTGTGGCTTGAATTTGAAATGCGGATACCAAGTAGGGTTGATAATAGGACATGAAACAGAAACTTATGGAATAGTCCCCATACCACCACAATTATAAATGGGAAACTGTACAATGACCCAGAAGAAGGGATTGAAATCATGAATGGGGTTTGAGAGTGAGAGGAACTGGGTAATCCATCCAACTTACTAGCCCTTAAATCACCAACTTGTTGAATATGAAGACAGTTCCTGCATATTTATTGTGGAAGGTTGGAAGCTAAATGAGTTTGTGCCAACTACAATTGTTCTGGATCTGAAATCGTGTCTAATATGAGGATGATATTTTAAATCTTAACTGAATGAGATCACTGACCAGGAAAATATATTCTTTTCTTTATTTTCCAGTGTTTAATTTTTAAGTAGGTAATTTATTCATAAATTTTAAAATTCAAAACAAATAAAAGAACAGATAATGAAAATTATTCATTCTATCCCTGTTTGTTCCCCAGCCACTCATTTACTTTTCCTCAGGGACACCACCCTTATCAATTTCTCAGTATTCCATCAGAGATTTATTATACTTAACACTATACTTGTGTTATATGAGCAAACACTCATTATTCTTACCTTTTTTGCATAAATGGTAATATATTACACATACTGTTCAGCACCTTGCTTTAATAACATATGTATCTTAAAAAACATTCCAATTCAATACATAAAAAGTGTCTCTGTTATTTTTAAATGACTGTGCATTGTGCTATTGTATGAATGTACCTTTCTATATTTAATTTGTTTCATATTGATTGACATTTAAGTTGCTTTTTTTTTTTTTTTTTTTTGAGACGAGGTCTCACTCTTGTCCCCCAGGCTGGAGTGCAATGGTGTGATCTCGGCTCACTGAAATCTCTGCCTCCCAAGTTCAAGCGATTCTCCTGCCTCAGCCGCCCACTGAGTAGCTGGGATTACAGGTGCGCCTGCCACCATGCCCGGCTAGTTTTGGTATTTTCAATAGAGATGGGGTTTCACCATGTTGGCCAGGCTGGTCTTGAACTCTTGACCTCAGGTGATCCACCCGCCTCAGCCTCCCAAAGTGTTGGGATTACAGGCGTGAGACACTGCACCCGGCCTGGTCTTTTATTATTACAATTATAATGCTTCAATGAATATTCTTCTATATATATCATTTTACATAGTGCAAATAAATCTGTAAAATAAATTCCTAGAAAGGGAAATGTGGGCCATAGTACAAATGCACTGTAATTTTGATAACTATTGCCAAATTACATCCCATAGAAGTTGTAAGAATTTATATTCCCTCCATCTTTAACATAATTTTATTAAATGTTTTGATATCACTAGTCTTATATATTAAAAAATAGGATCTCAGATTGGCTGTAATTTGCATTTCTCTCATTATGAGTGAGATTATCTTTTCATATGTATGACAATACTTGTATGTCTGTTGCCAGGACACATTAGGCCTTCCACGTAAAAATAAATGTGTATATATATATTATTCTCATTCAGGTTATAGGAACACTTTTCCAGTTAAAGCAGCAAGGCAGTATCAACAATGTGTAGTCTGGTGCAGAATGTTGTTCAAATACACAGAATCTCTGATCCCAATATATCTGCTTAGGAAATAAACTTCACAATTACTATTGTCTATTAATGGGTTCATAATATGAATATGTATAAAATGAAACTTTTATTTGTCCTCATCTTCAAGCAATGGATGTAATGGGACTATGGAATGGATTAAAATTCTCCCCACTCTAAAATGTTAGCAGGTTTGAGTCTATTACTAGAACCTTTCTTTGGGGTCCTGTCTTATAGATCCTTCCTATATGCTGCTATCTCTGTAGTCACTTGCCTCCTACCAGATAAGACCAAGGAATAGAAAAAAATTAAGTGGAGGAAATAAATTTAATCTGTAATTCCCACCACCCTCCCACTGCAGGTGTATTTTGTCATAACCATGGAGGTACTACTATATAAGACTCGAACGTTTCTTTGTTGAAGCCCAAGTGGAGGAAGTAAAAGTGAAGCTTACTTATTTAGTACATTCATACAAAAAAAAAACTCATAGAAATTGAAACAAAAACCTCAGAAAAAATAATAATTAAACATATAAAATTTCTTATTGATTAAACCAAATCAAGGACTTATGACTTTTCATTCATCAAAAATATTAAGTAAAAATGAAAATTTCCTTTGACCATACAGAAGACATGAAATAGCTTAATTATACAAAAAGAAGTAATGCTTTAGAGCCCAAGAAAAATATAATTTTATACCCCCAAATTACTGGATATTAAGAAATTTTACTTGACAAAAAGTTTACTTTTCTGGTTTGGATCCCTAATCCTGTTCCTTATAGTGATAAGCTACTATGATCATGGCTGTCATTATGACTTAATTGACCCAAATTTCCCTGGCTACAAATAATTATAGGACATGGAAAGAAAACCCATTCCTCTTTAAAGCATATCTGGAAACTACTCATGAGGATTTCTGGAGAAATGAAGAAAACTCAGCTCCCATGCCAGAAACCAACTATGGGTTTTAATCTGAATTACATCTAATCACATACCTGCACAGCATATATAGGTGGAAACTGAGCTTTATAGAAGTGGCATAGTTACTGGGTAAGCGCATCTATGAGGATAAACAAATGTTAATGTTAATTGGTGTGTATAGCACCTAAGTCAACCTCAAGGTGCCTAATATGAAGACAGAATTATAAAGTACACTAGATCTCGTCCAACTGTGCCTAACTATAAATTATTTCTATTAACAGACATAATATTTAGTAAGAATTTGCTAGTACCCTGAGTGATAGTGAATTCAAAATGAATTCCATTTTAAAATAATCTCAAGTCAAGTAAATAATCAGTCTAATATAATTGAAATAACAAATGGGGCCAGGTGCAGTGGCTCATGCCTGTAATCCCAGCACTTTGGGAGGCCAAGGCGGGTGAATCATTCAAGGTCAGGAGTTCAAGACCAGCCTGACCAACGTGGCAAACCCTGCCTCTACCAAAAATACAAAAATTAGCCAGGTGTGGAAGTGTACACTTGTGGTCCCAGCTACTTGGGAGGCTGAGGTAGAAGGATCCCTTGAACCCAGGAGGCAGGAGTTGCAGTGAGCCATGATCATACTACTGCACTCCAGCCTGGGCGACAGAGTAAGACCATGCCTCAAAAATAAATAAATAAATAACAAATGGGAAAGTACATAGACGTTTTAAGAATAAGATCCTGGGAGAGGAGACAAGGCAATGTGAGTACGGAAAGAAGACAGAATGATACAGCAGTGCTGGCTTTGAAGATGGAGTAAGAGCCACCAGCCAAGGAATGTGCACAGCCTGCAGAAGCTGGTGGCTCTCCTCTAGAGCCATGAGAAGGAACACAGCCTTCAATGTGCCAACACCATGATCTTAGCGCAGTATGACCCATTTCAAACTTCCAACCTCCAGAACTGTAAATAGTGAATTTGTGTGGTTTTCCTCTGCTATTACTGTGGTAATTTATTACAACAGCAGTAGAGAACTACTACAAAACCTTCAGGAGGGGTAAAACAGCACAGGCTTCATCGACTCATGCATTAACTTCAATAATACAGAAAATTGTCCAAGGTAAAGCATTGTGTTGTGTTCCCTGCTGGGAATGAGGTAGGGAGGCACTGAGATGAAAGTTGTGCCTGGTGCCCATGAAGGTAGGTAATAGACATGCAGAAAGAGCAGGGAGAGGTGGAACCCAGAGTGGGACCAAGAATGAGGGACTGAGCTGGCAAGGTGGCTCAGCTTGTGATCCCAGCACTTTGGAAGGCCAAGGCCAGAGGATCGCTTGAGCCCAAGTATTCAAGACCAGCCTGGCAACACAGTGAAACCCCTCACTCTAAACGAGCGAGAGAGAAAAAATAAGGGACAATGAGTCACATTAAGTCCTCTTTGGCCAAAAATATTGCAGTGAGGGTCTGTTTCATCCCTTCTCTCCCATCTCAGAGAAATGGAGGTTACTGCTAGTCTCACCTGCATTCTGGATTCAGTTTCAGGACCTTTCCTCCAGTGATAAATGTGCAGTGCCTTAGGGGAACCTCAGCCAAAGCTATAAACTTCAACTGGCCACCACAAGAGTGTGCATGTGAGGTGACTGCATTTTTTCCCCCTGCCAAACCAGAAATAGCCAGTATAGGAATCAACCAGCATGAAGATTGGAAATTGCTCCGATTGGAAGGAAGCCCAGCTTAGGTTTGGGCGCCTCCAAAAGCTCCCTTTTTAAAGCCACCTGGACTGAGGCGTCGAGCTTTCAGCTCCACCAAACTCTCACCTGGCCTGGCAGCGAGCGGCAGAAGAGCGCGGGAGCCCGGTACCCAGCGCACCGAGCCCAGTGGAGAGCTGAGCCGCAGGCACCCGCGTCTCCAGGATGATAGGCGACATTGCAAGAAATCTCTACACCTAGCAGCTCAGGGGGCTCCAAGCAGAGCAGCAAGTTCGAGGATCTGGATGCGGAGCCGAGTAAGGCGCAACCCAGCGGGCCTCGGGCCGCCCTTTCAATGGCTCGTTCATTAACACCTGTGGGTGCCTCCAGACTGTGATCATTGCAGGGCTCGTCAACTCCCTGGGCTGGGTGTTGAGTGCCTACGCTGCAAACGTGCATTTTCTCTTCATTACTTTTGGAGCGGCAGCTGGCCTGGGCAGCGGGATGGCCTATCTGTCAGCGGTTGTCATCGTGGGTGAGCAGGTATTTCCGAAGAGACGCGCCCTCGCCCAGGGCCTCAGCACTAAGGGGACCGGATTCGGTACTTTCCTAATAACTGTGCTACTGAAGTACTTGTGTGCAGAGTATGGCTGGAGGAATGCCATGTTGATCCAAGGCGCCGTTTCCTTAAACCTGTTTGTTTTTGGGACCCTCATGAGGCCCCTCCCTCCTGGGAAAAACCCAAATGACCCAGAAGAGAAAGATCTGCGCGTCCTGCCCGCGCACTCCACAGAGTCTGTAATGTCAAATGGACAGCAGGGAAGAATAGAAGAGAAGGATGGCGGGTCTGGGAACGAGGAGACCCTCTGTGACCTGCAAGCCCAGGAGTGCCCCGATCAGGCCAGATCATGTGCGCTTTCCGGTTCTGAAGACGGTCAGCTGGCTCATTATGAGAGTCAAGAAGGGCTTCGAGGATTGGTACTCAGGCTATTTTGGGACAGCCTATTTACAAATCGAATGTTTGTAGCCTTTGTTTTCTGGGCTTCATTTGCATACAGCAGCTTTGTCATCTCCTTTATTCATCTCCCAGAAATCGTCAATTTGTATAACTTATTGGAGCAAACGAAGGTTTTCCCTCTGACTTCAATTATAGCAATAGTTCACATTGTTGGAAAAGTGATCCTGGGCGTCATAGCTGACTTACCTTGCATCAGTGTTTGGAATGTCTTCCTGTTGGCCAGCTTCGTTCTTGTCCTCAGTATTTTTGTTTTGTTGTTTTTGTTTTTGGTTTTGGTTTTGGTTTTGGTTTTTTTGAGACGGAGTCTCGCTCTGTTGCCCAGGCTGGGGTGCAGTGGCACGATCTCGGCTCACTGCAAGCTCCACCTCCTGGGTTCACGCTATGCTCCTGCCTCAGCCTCCTGAGTAGCTGGGACTGCAGGCGGCCCCCACCACTCCAGGCTAATTTTGTTTTTGTATTTTTAGCAGAGATGGGGTTTCACCGTGTTAGCCAGGATGGTCTTGATCTCCTGACCTCGTGATCCGCCTGCCTCAGCCTCCCAGAGTGCTGGGATTACAGGTGTGAGCCACCGCACCTGGCCTCCTCAGTATTTTTAATTCTGCCTTTGATGCATATGTACGCTGGCCTGGTGGTCATCTGCACACTGACAGGGTTTTCCAGCGGTTATTTCTCCCTAATGCCCATAGTGACTGAAGACTTGGTTGGCATTGAACATTTGGCCAATGCCTACGGCATCATCATCTGTGCTAATGGCATCTCTGCGTTGTTGGGACCACCTTTTGCAGGTAAACTGTCTGAGGTTTTAAGAGTTCATAGTGCATATAGATACGGTGTGTTATGTTAAAAAGTCCAAGATAAAGAAGGAGGTTTCCAAATAAAAAATAAGATCCTGAAGTGTATCCAGCAAAAAAACCGAACTGTGTTAAGAAATCTACATGGGCCGGGGCGCTGTGGCTCACGCTAGTAATCCCAGCACTATGGGAGGCCGAGGCAGCCGGATCACGAGATCAGGAGATCAAGACCATTCTGGCTAACATAGTGAAACCCTTTCTCTACTAAAAATACAAAAAATTAGCCAGGCGTGGTGGCACGCACCTGTGGTCCCAGCTACTCGGGAGGCTGAGCAGGAGAATTGCTTGAACTCAGTAGGCAGAGGTTGCAGTGAGCCCAGACAGCGCCATTGCACTCCAGCCTGGGCGACAGAGCAAGACTCTGTTTCAAAATAATAATAATAATAATCATAATAATAAAAGGAAAAGAAAAGAAATCTACATGGAGCTAAATCATCTTGGGATATGAAATTTACCTGGTTTTCACTGAAGCCGTCTAATCTTTAAAAATTCCATGAAATAAAGAACTAGGTGAAATTGACATAAATGTTCTCAATGACTGGAACACATAAGAATGAGTCGGCTTAGCTTCAGGGACAGTAAGGTTATGGAAGTCAATGAGCATTGCCTTAGTGTGATTTGAAACGTCTGAGTCAGTCCACATTTAATTGCAGGTCAGACTTTGCCCATGTTCAAGAGACAGAGGCTGTTAATTGCTTAGAAAGAGCTAATGAAAGAATAAAACATGGTTTAATGGACTTACAGAATTACAAAGCAGTGTTTCAAAATAAATCATGATATATAGTTCACAATTCATATATAAAGAAGAACCAATAATAGCTACATAGCTAATAATACATTGCCACCCAAGATTGTGCCTTTAGTTATGGAGTATGATTTTTCCCCTTTTTTATTAAAGCATAACATGTCTGCAGAAAAGTGCAAAAATTCTAAGTATACACTTTGAGGAAGCATCATGGATGGAACACATCTGTGTAACTACCACTTGGGTCAAGAAATAAAATGACTACTAACCCTGAAGGCCTCCTCATGTTCATCCCAATTTCTAGTGTCTCCTTCCTCTGCAAAGACAATCAGACTTCTAACAGTACAGATTACTTTTATGTGGTTTTGAACTTTAGAAATGCTGTTATACACCCGGTATTCTTTTGTATCTGGTCTCTTTTGTTCAATATTAATTTTGTGTGTTTCTTCCATGTTGTATCATGTTTTTGTAGTTTGTTCATACCATTTAAATTATGTTTAATTTATTAAAATAGAGATGGGGTCTCAATATGTTGCCCAGACTAGTCTCAGACTCCTGGACTCAAGCAATCCTCCTGCCTTGGTTTCCCAAAGTGCCAGGATTACAGGCATAAGCCACTGTATTCAGCCTGTTTATTTCATTTTAAGGTATAATTTTATCAACAGCATTTCAAATACGTATAAAGAAGTGAGGTCTGCTGAGAATGGTATAACAGCCACTTGTGAGCTTCAGGAGTTCTAGTTCATTTTTTTTCTTCCCATAGCCTGTCCCATTTACCAACACTATGCTTATATATACACTAGTTCTCAGTGAGTGGTTTTATGCCTCTGGCTGGGAGTCTCAAATCATGGTCACTGCAGCACAGACAGAGAAATATGGCCTTGCTCTAAGAGAATAATATTGTATATTCAACTACTCCTCTGTCTGTACAAAAAGACAGCAATTCTAGCAATTGCTCAATAATAAATGGCAACTCAATTAATGCATCTAATGTTAATATCAGAGGACCACACCTTTAAGGTCATAGTGTAACTTTTGTAGCTAGAGGAAAAAGTTGCTTTTCAGAATGAAATATTAATAGTAGCGTTTGGCAGAAACTTCTGAAAGTTGAGAGTATAACACTTAGTCTCAATAGGTTGAGAAAAACCAGACTGGCTTCAGTTTGTAAGTCATCTTAATTTGTATCTCAAATTAATATAAAATGGAGAGGCCATAGAGGTGGATGTTAATCAAACACAGCAGTGAAATGAATATCTTAGACAAATTTATAGCCAATGGAAAACTTGTGAATGGAGGACCCTAGACTGCTGTGGAAAAAGCATTCTTGCCTAGCAACTCACAGCCTGGCTGGGTTTGGGCTGGGTGCCTATTTTTAGTTGTCTTCTGTTACTGAGCCGGATGAATACTGCCCCTTCTTTCAGTTTGCTTTGGATAATGGCCAAATGCCAAAATCTACTATTCCTTAAATAGCATAGCTCCCGTCTGTTCACAGTCAACAAGAAGAAATTAAGATGTAGAATATGCTTGGTCTCTTGGTCATTCCTGCCTAATAAGACTGAGAGAGATTTGAACTATTTGTCACATGACTTTGTCTTATTTTTTGAACATATGGAATTGGTAAGCTGTCATTAAAAGTGTATGATGCAGCAAGGCTGAATCCACGTTTTCCCTAGGAAAGAATTTATATAACTTATAGCAAGGAAATGAGACAAAAGCACAGGATATTCTGTAGTCTTTCTATCTTGCATGGTATCTTGAGAAATTTCACATGTAGCTATTTTGTCTTCTCTCTACTAAAGAATAGAAGATCCTGTATCACTGCCTCAAGTAAGAAGGGAAAAATAGTCATTGGCTGTTGTAGGGTCAATTTTCTCTAGGTTATGCTAGAGTAACAAACAGCTCCAAAATATCAGTAACTTACCATAACAAGGTTTATTTCTTGTTCATATTAAATGTTGCCTGAAGGTCCACTGTCTCTGCTCTCTGTGTCTTCTCTGTAGTAAGTTCCAGGCTAAAGGAGAAGCCCATAGTGGGAGTATGCCATTCTCATAGCAGAGGGAAGGGAACAATGACTGAATCTTACAATTGTTTATAACTTTTCTGTTCAGACATGGCATACATCACATAAGCTCACATTCCATTGGCTAAAGCAAGTTATGACAAGTTTGACAGCCAAAGAGCAGAAAGAATAGTGCCCTTACACGGAGGACTACCAAGAAGAAGCCTAGTGGACAAGGGCCTTATGGAGTCACCAGTGAGGACATGGATGGAGATGGGGCCATTATCCTTTGCAAACTAATGCAGGAACAGAAAACCAGATACTGCATGTTCTCACTTATAAGTGGGAGCTAAATGATGAGAACTCATGGGGAACAAATATACACTGGGGCATATCAGAGGGTGGAGGGTGGGAGGAGGGAGCGGATCAGGAAAAAGAACTACTGGGTACTAGGCTTAATACCTGGGTGACGAAATAATCTGTACAACAAACCCCCATGACACAAGTTTACCTATGTAACAAAGCTGCACTTGTATCCCTGAACTTAATATAAGGTAAACAAAAAACACACACACAAAAAGAAATCAAATGTTTACAGTTAAAAAAAAAACACAATTCACCAGAGCTAATATCCCTATTAATCACCTTGAGTATGAAAGAAAGAGATAGTTGATCTCAAGTGGGAGATACTGTGTTGGGAACATATCCATAAAATTGAATGGTAAAAGATCTTTTTTGCCTACCACTCACCTTCTGAAACAGGGGTTGATGTAAGGACATTTTAATTGAATTCTGATTAAATTTCTAAATCAGTTTAAGGAGAATAAGCTCACTAAGCAGAATCCCAAGAAACCTGTGAGGAGGGCTGGGTGCAGTGGCTCACGCCTGTAATCCCAGCACGTTGGAAGGCCAAGGCAGGTGGATCACGAGATCAGGAGATTGAGACAATCCTGGCTAACAGGGTGAAACCCCATCTCTACTAAAAAAGAAAAAAATCAAAAATTAGCCCAGCGTGGTGGCGGGTGCCTGTAGTCCCAGCTACTTGGGAGGCTGAGGCAGGAGAATGGTGTGAACCCAGGAGGTGGAGCTTGCAGTGAGCCGAGATTGCACCACTGCACTCCAGCCTGGGTGACAGAGCGAGACTCCGTCTCAAAAAAAAAAAAAAAACAACAATAACAACAACAAAAAGAAACCTGTGAGGGAAGACTCAAATTATTACATAGTTTTAGTTGAGAAGAACATAAAGGGATGGTGTTAGAAAACACTTCTGATTGACATCTTTTAGTATTATGAAACTTTTACATCCTTCCCTAAATAAATAACTTGGGAATTAATTTGGACCCTTACAAGAAGCAAACACTAAACATACTTCTAAAAAAAACATCCCCTTATGTAATATTATCCTTGGCAGAATATTTTCACATCCTCAGGCTCTAGGCCTTACTCTTAAAACTACAAATTCCAACAAAGAAATGTATCTCACGTTCCATTTTGTCCCAATTCCCTTGAAAAGGACTCACTTGTCTTGTGACTCATGTGTTCACCATAAACAAATCAACTATGCCTTGGTATTGGGGTGAGGTCAGAGTCATAGAAACACATACCAGCTTCCATGGAACCATGTAAATGGCAAGAGGCTGTACCCCTAAATAGTGCCAAGAGGCCAATCCCACAGATGACCAAGGCAACCACTCCCACCTTTGAACTTGATGCTTGTTGCTGGCCTTCCAGCTTGACTCTTGGTTCTTTTTAAAGGAGTTTTCTCAGAGGCCCTTTTGTGTTTCTTCCTGTGCTGGGTTGCCTCAAATGAAATAAATAGCCCTAGAAGTGATTCCTGGAGATCCAGCCCCGTGGGCTTGGCCAGGGTCCTCATATGATGACTCACCTATTCCTTGTGGTGAACAATTTAAAAAATACTCCAAACCATTTAATGTATTAAGATATCAACACTAGGACACGTGGTCCAATATATTCATTAGTGCATTAATGCATGCATTCATTCAGCAAGTGTTTCTTGAGCACTTTAATACCGCAGACACTTAGCTAGACGAATTATGATTCCTGTGAATATATAGAAGATGTGACCTCATTCTCATGGTCATTACCACAAGATCAATATATCTTACTCGTTTGGAAATGCCAAGTCCTAATGTTGGAGAAGTGACTGTGAACCTGGCCTAACAACTCACTTATTCTTGTGTAGTCATTTGGAATAACCTTTATAATAAATTAATTTTGAAAACTTATATCAAGTCATAAAAATGTTTGCAAAATGGACCTAGTGATTTGTATTTAAGATTTATTAAGGAAAACACACACAGAAGGTATTAATTATGCCCCTATATTTAGTTTGTAAAAAAAAGAAAAACTAGAACACCTGACTGTATACAAATGAATGTTAAGAAATTTGTAGTGTATCAATCAAATAAAATAGTATGCATGTTTTAAAATGATATGTATGAATATGAGAAATTTTTATGTCAAGTGGTAAAACAAAAATACAACTAATCAAATCACCATGATATATATTATTTAAAATTTGATATAAGACCCAAATAGAAAGACAAACAAAAATATAGTCGTGTTTACCATTGTCATGTTCAATCATAATATGCGTAATCATATTGTACCCTTAAGTGACATTTTGGAAAGCATCAGGTCAAATAATATATAGTTTTCAAGTACATTGATTTATTTTGGCTTTGTACCTTTTTACAACATCTCAATATATTTTTGGTGGTGGTGATAATGTAATTAACCACCATATAAGATAAAGCCATATGAGCTGCTATAATAAATTTTCATGAAAGTGTATATTAGCTCAAATACAGTAGAAGTTTATTTGTTGCTCATATAACGGCCCAACTCAAGTGTTCCGGTTGGTGGGATGATCTCTCCACACGGTTGTCACAGGGTCAGGCTGTTGACCACTCTGCTATCTTCAGGAGCAAGACTGTGTTTGTAGCTGCCATCTCAGTTAGCCATGAAGAGAAAAGACCACGGTGGAACATGTGGTTGAGTGTTTTAAGTGGCAAAGCTCACTCATCAGTTTTGCTCATATTTTACCTAACTTTCAGGTATTTGGCCATATTTAATTGAAAAGATGCCAGGAAATAAAGATTCACTGTTTGCCCAGGAAGAGGAGAAAACTAATTTTATTAAAGATCTAGCAATCTCTGCCCAAACCCAAAGTTTTTCAGTTCCAGATAGTGGTTCCTTTATGCATTTTCTTGATAGCTGGGTGTGAAACAATCAATTGTGAACTGAATTGTGATGAGAGGTAACACAGAGAACTCAATATGTTCCAGGCACTGTTTTAAAAATACATATAAATATCCAATTCTCACAACTTTATGAGGTAATATCATTGTTCTTTTTATTATTTTATTTTATATTATTTTATTTTATTTTATTTTAGAGACAGAGTCTCCCTCTGTCACCCAGGCTGGAGTACAATGGCATGATCTCAGCCTACTGCAGCTTCCACTTCCTGGATTCAAGTGATTGCCCTGCCTCAGCCTCCCTAGTAGCTGGGATTACAGGCATGCACCACCACACCCAGCTAATTTGTATATTTTTATTAGAGACGGGGTTTTGCCACATTGGCCAGGCTGGACTCATAATTCTCACCTCAAGTGATCCACCCTCCTCGACCTCCCAAAGTGCTGCGATTACAGGTGTAAGCCACTTGCTCGGCCTTATTCTTTTTATAAAGACAGAAATTCCATGTGTCAGAGACCCAACAGGAAACACCCAAAAGTGGCAACTTAAGAAGTTTAATAAATGAACTGCTTATTAAAACATAAGAAAGGTTAAAGTTGACACTAAATGGATGGTAAAGCACCCAAGGACTATCAGCGCTGGGAGTCTTTACAACTCTGGGTCTGAAGAGGCAAGAGACAGGAGCAGGAACTTTGGGAACCACAGGTGAAGGAGAAGGCTGACTGGTGAGACAGCCTTTGGCTGAGGAACTTGGGTATTGCCAACCAATAGAATGGTGAGAAGAAATCAAAGGGGTAAAAGCCTACATCTCACTCTCCTTCCACCCTGTAATTTCATCCTAGTATCTTAGCCACAAGCTGGAGGACAAATGAGCCCATTGATATAGGTCATCAGGTCTGTCTCAGAAGCACAGAGTATTGTGAAGAACCATGGCAAGATGATCTGGAGCAGTAAACAGAATCTATCCAACATGCTGGTGTTCAGTAGCTTACCTGTTATCCAGATTATGTAGAGAAACTGGGATTCAAACATGGGCAGTCTGCCTCCAGGGACCTTGAATTTCATCATTATGCCACACTGCCCTTAGTAATGTGACTTTAATAATAGACTTTTCAAATTTATAAAGGATTTGCCTTTTTTTTTTTTTTTTTTTTAGATGGACTCTCACTCTTACATCCAGACTGGAGTGCAGTGGCGCAATCTCGGCTCACTGCAACCCCCACCTCTCGTGTTCAAGTGATTCTGATTTACCTTTTTATCTTTAAATTGGGGCAGGTCCAAGATATTCTGATAATAAAAACTCCCTGACTTACTGTGAACCTATATGCTTTCTTAAGTGAAAGAGAAATGGAGTTAGGCTAAAAGTGGAAGTACTGTATGATTTCAACTATAAGGCATTCTGCAAAAGGCAAAGCCATGGAGACAGTAAAAAGATCAGTGGTTGCTAGGGGCTTGAAGGAAAGGAAGAAATGATGAATAAGTGGAGCACAGAGAATGTTTAGGGCAGTGAAACTATTCTATATGATACTGTAATGGTGGATACATGTTATTATAGAATGAACTCTAAACTACTACACCCTTTAGTTGATAATAATGTAAAAATATTGGCTCATCAAATGTAACGAATGTGCCAAACTAATGCAAAGTGTTAACAACAGGTGAAACTAGGTGGGTGGTGACAGACTGTATGGAAACACTACTTTTTGTTCAATTTTTCTGTAAACCTAAATCAACTCTAAAAAAAATAAAGTGTAACGATCTTAAAAATGGATACAATTGGGGTCATTACGTTAAGTGAAAAAAAACACAGACAAACATCAGATTTTTTCACTTATCTATGGGATCTAAATATCAAAACAATTGAACTCATGAAATACAGAACAGAAAGATGGTTATCAGAGGCTGGGAAGGGTGGAGGGGAATTGAGGGGAAGGTAGGGATGGTTAATGGGTACAAAAAATAGTTAGAAACAATGAATAAAACCTGGTATTTGAAAGCACAACAGGGTGACTATAGTCAGTAATAATTTAATTGTGTATTAAAAACTAACTAAAAGAATATAATTAGATTGTAACAGAAAGAATAAGTGCTTGAGAGGATAGATACTCCATTTTTCCATGATGTGATTAAAAACTATGTACCCACAATAATTTTTTAATTATAAATAAATAAAGGAAAATAAGTTGGCTCTTGTACACACTTTAAGTCTGTTTCTTATAGCTAATCAAATATTCCACATAATCCATCTTCTACTTTCTTCATTAGACAATACTTTCTCCCCAAATTTGTCTGAGAAAATCCTATATAGAAAGAATAAAGGGAATGTCACTTTGGTCACCAGATCCTAGATAAGGAGTCTTCCTTTGAAACTTAAGTGATCTTGAAAAAATGAAAGTAAAGTTGTACTTCTTTATATGGCAGTAACTGAAAATGTACATTAAAATTAAAATTAAAATTTTGGTGCAACATAAATGTATTTGTTTACTAGATAGGAGATTAACAGAAAACCTCTATTGAATTTAACAATCATTGTTTAGAACTGATGCCAAATTAAAGCTACTGATTGATTCTGCAGCTGTAATACAGCACCAAGATTTGATGAGGTATTGTCATCAATGTTCGCTTTATTAATAAAGTCATATTTTGGAAGATTTTACCTTCATTAATGATAACCTTACATCCAAAACAGACCTTCTCATAATTGCTCCTTCTAATTAAAGTGTGGAATTTCTTTTCAGTTAATTAACCAGCTCTGGGTGAATTTCCCGAATTGTGGATTTTCTCACTGAAGAGAAGTATAGGAATGATCCTTTTTTTTCCTCCAAAAATGCTTTTGTCAACAACATTTTAATATCTTATGGTGAAATAACATTGTATACATTTACAAACATTCAGAGTGTGTTATCTCAAAGGGCCGCTCTCTTTTCAATTCTAAGTTCAAGCTTAACTGTCCCTAGAAGAGAATTTCGGACTACTTCTATTCTTGTTGGTAACTCCCTGTCTGAATTTCTACAGTGTGTGAATCTGCCCTGCTCTTTTTGTGTGCAATTTTAATTAGAATCTTCAGATTCTAAGCTCTTCTGGGGCTCTTTCTTATATCCATTTGTAGCTCAGGTACTGAACACAGTGTGTGTTTAATGAATACACGTTGTTGATAATGACAGTGTTCAAGTTTTTGAATTCTAAGAAACTATCCCCAAAGTATTTTAAGTGGTATTACTATTTAAAGAAATCAATCTCCTGATTCACTGAATAAACCTGGCATCATTATGGCATTGAGGTTTCAGGATATCAGAATCTCTAAAAGCTGATATTTTAAGTAAAAATTTAACTAGGTCATAATCTGTCATGTTAATGTATAGAATAGGAGACTCAAGAATAGCAATTATCTTAGGGTTGAAATTTCATATTTAATTCATTTTCATGTTGCCAATGATATCAAAACGAGTCACCACTTTTTAGTACTTGCTAAGAACTACTGTTATATTTATTATGTAAGTGTATTTATGATGTAATATAATATATTATGTATTACATATTATATTACATATTATATATTACATATATACATTATATTACATTATATATTACATATATTACATTATATTACATATTATATAATATATTACATATTATATTACATATTATATAATATATTACATATTATATTACATATTATATAATATATTACATATTATATTACATAATTTATTATATTTATTATTAGTACTTGCTAAGAACTACTGTTATATTTATTATATTAAGTACTGTTATATTTATTAAGTAAATATGCTATTACATAAAAACCAGTCTATAAAGGCAACTTTACACTTTTAATGGCTCCCTCTTTTACTTAGAATAAAATCCAAACCTTTTGTCTTGTCCTCCTAAACCCTCCTCACTCTCATTTTGTGCCGCTCCCCACTTGCTCTTTCTTTTTAGTCATATGGCCTTTTTAACTGTCTTCAACCATTGTACTGAGCTCTACCTAACATTAGAGTTTTGGCACATGCTAATCCCAATGCTTGGAATTCTTTCTCCCTACTCTTCACCAGCTAACTCCTGCTCATTCTTTAAGCTCCAGTTTATCAGATACTTCTCCTGAGAGTCTTTTCCTAACTCCCTCCCAAATCTAAATGTGGTCCCCTTTTTTGTGATTTCCACAACACCTCTCCCCTGACAATACCCATTTTTGTCCTCCATTATCTGTTATTAAAATAGGTAATTACTTATTTAATATATATTTGTATTAAAATGCCTGCCTCCTTCATTAACCATAGTTCCAGGAGGACAGGAGTCATCTCTAATATGAAAGGCACTTAGTAGTATTTATTGAGTGGATGAATTAATTAATACATCAAAAAGGAATTTTAATTATAGCATCAAAACATGATAATTTCTAAATCATTATTGATTGTAAATGACTTATTTCAAAATAGTTATTCTGAAAAATTATGTCAGAAAAATGTTTTGTGTCTACTTAAAATAGGTTCTTGTCTTTTTTATAACTTAAATAATATTTAAATGTTTCTTTTATCAATAAGTGGTGACCATTTTTCTCATAGAATTTAAACCTATCTTACTTTTAAGAAGCAAGCATTTGATTTTGTTAAAAGAGAAATTGAAGACAATATTTAGACTATCAAACATGAAATACTTCAAAACATCAAGCTTGAAACAGGAAAGGCAGATAGTCTTATGGGACCATTTACCACAAGTATCTTTTGTAGGTGATCAACTAATTCCAAAAGGCCTTCTCCAAACATTCGTATGCTAAGACATGCAGTTTAACAACAAATCCCACAGGACTTATTATAGCACTCATTTTTATAATTAATTATATGTAACTATGAATTGATACTTTGCCATTTCATTTCTGATCTTCCCAAATAGATTTAATGTTTCTTCTAGAGTAGATGCTGTTTCTTAAATTTCTTTACAGTATCCTTAGTGCAGTAAAATGCACATAGGTTGCACAACAATCAGTTGCTAAGTAAACTAATTCCTAATTATTTTATTTCATTGAAGGGTCAAAATGCAATAACCAACAGGTAGTTTTGCCCCTGTTGCTTTTACTTGGATTAGGAAATGATTCCAGAAAGTGACTTGGAGTTTGTACAATGGCTCAGAAGATAGAGAATTTCCCGAGGAACCTTGATATTTATTGAATGCCAATTATATGCCAGAGTTTTCACAGACATTTATCTCATTTAATACTCCCAACAATTTTATTACACTGGTATTCTTTTTATTTTTCTTCAGTTAAATAAATTGAATCTAAGTTAATTTTTTTAAAGAGACTTTATTTTTAGAGCAGTTTTAGATTCACAGCAAAATTGAGTGGGAGGTATTGAGATTTCTCATATCCTTCCTGCACCCACCTATGCACAATCCTCTCCCCCCCATTATCAAACTCTTACACCCAAGTGGTACATTTATTACAATCCATGAACTTATATTGACACAACATTATCATTCAAAGTCCATAATTTGCATTCAATTTTAGTGGTGTACATTCTATTAGTTTTGACAAATGTATAATGATATGTATCCACCAATACATACCATTTCATGACCCTAAAAATTCCATAGTAATATGCCTCTTCATCCTTCCTTCCCTACTAACTCCTGGTAACTACTGGTCCTTTTACTGTTTCCATACTTTCACCTTTTTCAGGTGTCATATAGTTGAAATCATATGGTATGTAGCCTTTTCCAATTGTCTTCTTTCACTTCACAATATCCATTTGAGTTTCCTCCATGACTTTTCATGACTTGATAGTTCATATCTTTTTTTATCACTGAATAATATTCCATTGTATAGATATGCCACAGTTTATCCATTCACCTACTGAAGGACATCTTGATTGCTTCCAAGTTTTGGCAATTATGAATAAAGCTGCTATAAACATTCATGTGCTGTTTTTGAGTGGGCATATGTTTTTAACAAATTCAGGTAAATACAAAGGAGAACAGTTGCTAAATGGTATGGTAAGACTATGTTTAGTTTTGTAAGAAACTGCCAAATTGTCTTCCAAAGTACCTGTACCATTGTACATTCCCATCTGAAATTAATGATAGTTTCTGTTGCTTCACATCCTCACCAATGTTTGGTATTGTCAGTGCTTTCAATTTTAGCCATTTGAATAGCTGTGAATTAGTATCTCATTGCTGTTTTAGTTTCCAAATCAAAAATAACATATGATGTGGATCATCTTTTCAAGTGCTTGTTTTCCATTTGCATATCTTCTTTGGTTAGGTGTCTGTTCAGTTCCTTTTTTTCACTTGTTAATTAAGTTATTCATTTTCCTATTGTTGAGTTTTAAGAATTTTTAAATATATTTTGGATAATAGTCTGTTATTAGGTTATTTTTGGAAAATGTCTTTCTCAGAACAGATGTTTTTAGTTTTAGTGAATTCCAGCTTATCAATTATTTCTTTCATGTATGGGTACCTTTGGAGTTGTATCTAAAATATCATACTCAAGGTCACCTAGATTTTTGCCCATGTTATCTTCCAGTAATTATATAATTTTGCATTTTACCTATAGAACTATGATCCATTATAATCTAATTTTTGTGAAGGATATAAGATCTGGTTCAAATTAAATCTGAATCTACATCTAGATTCATTATTTTTGCATATGGATGCCCAGTTGTTTCATTACCATTTATTTAAAAGACCCTCTTTGCCATTGTATTGCCTTTATGGCTTTGGCAAAGATCAGTTGACTATATTTATGTGGGTCTGTCTCTTAACTTTCTGTTCAGTTCCATTGATCTATTTTTCTGTTTTTTCACCAATACCACACTGTCTTGGTTATGTAGATTAACAATAAGTCTTGAAGTCAGGCAGTAGCAGTGTTCTAACTTTGTTCCTCTCCTTCAATATTAAGTTGGCTAGTTTGGGTCCTATGCCCCTCCATATAAGTTTGAGAATCAGTTTGTTGATATATACAAAATGATTTGCTGAGATTTTGATTGGGACTGCATTGACTCTATGGATCAAACTGGGAAGAACTGACATCTTGACAATGTTGAGTTTTCTTGTCTACAAACATGGAATATCTCTCTATTCATTTACTTCTTTGATTTTGTTCATCAGAGTTTTGTAATTTTCCTCAAATAGATATAGCACATCTTATTAGATTTATACCTAAGTATTTTATTGATTTCTGTCTTAATTTTTATTATTTCTTTTCTTCAACTTACACTGGATTTAATTTGCTCTTCTTTTTCTAGTTTTCTAAGGTAGACACTTTATTGATTTTAGATCTTTCTTTTTTTCTAATATATGTATTCAATGCTATAAATTTTCTTTTACTTTCACTCCATCCCACAAATTTTGATGTTATATTTTCATTTAATTCAAATTATTTTTAAATTTTTCTTGAGATTTTTTCTTTGACCCATATATTATTTAGAACTGCATTGTTTAATCTCCAGGTGTTTGGGGATTTTCCAGCTTCCTTTCTGTTATTGATTTTTATTTTATTTCCATTGTTTTCTGCAGACAGATATTGAATGGTTTCTAATGTTTTAAATTTGTTAAGATGCATTTTATAGCTCAGAATATGGTCTGTCTTGGTCATGTGAGCTTGAGAATAAGTTAATCACTAAGACCAAATAACTAGTAAGAGTTGTAACTCAGATTCAAACTGAGATTTACTTGATCCCAAGACTACTCTTTCCAGTATCCCATGATACCTTTGAAGAACCAGAGAACAGAAACAGCTATGCAATGGTGGGTATGAACGGTAGGAAAGGAAAGAAATAAAAAGAGAAGGAAATAAGGCCTGAATCTAGAAGTTGAAATGGTCATCTAGAGAAAGAGATGCTGTGACTTTTCCTTTCACTCCTGCTAAAATTATGATTACATGAACAGCAGACATTACAGTAATCCCAGAAACTAAACAATGGTTGATACTGCATTCCAACTGATAAAGCTGTCTGTGGTCAGGAAGAGATGTTAACAGTGAAATCCCAGGAAACGCAGGGCAGAAAAGAGTGACATATCAGATGCACACAACGCAGCTGGTTGGCAGACTGGACAGGTAAGCTGTTGTGAACTCTGGGAAGGACTCACCAAAGACTGAGATGTTGAGGATAAGGGCAAGCATTTTTGTTTTTTCTTTTGTTTTGTCTTTCATATGCCATCAACGGACTTGAGCATTTAAAAAATATAATTTATATTTATTTAAACATTTTAGAGAGTAGGGAGCAAGATGACAGAATCCCCAACTTACCTTCCCTCCACCACAAGGAACAATCTAGAAGTCATCAAAAGACAAAAATGCCTTTGTGGGAGCTTTAGGATCCATTTAGGAGGTGGTAAAACCCTGATGAAGCCCAAGACTGAGCAGAGATGCTATGAGAAGGCAGGCTCATGACCCAGTGGTAGTTTCACTAAATGTGGCCCCAGCTGCAGACCAAGGGCAGCCCCAGCCCCCTGTGGACTCAGTTTCAACCCTATTTTGCTGCATTTCTGAAGCCATCCAATCTGCACATGGATCTAGGAGGAACTATGCTCTCTGTTCCCGTGGTAACAAGCCCACTCACTATGGACCCTACTGCAGATTCTAAAGTGGCTCTGTAACCAAGCTCAAACCCCACTCTAACAAAGTCCTTAAGGCACTCCATTGTTCCCAGGGACTTACACAAGGATCTGCTCAGGGATCCTGTAAAAGCCTACTGAGGGTCTCTATGGAGCCACATGCACCCACACTCTTGTTATCCTGCTATCTGTAGACTCAATTACAGACCCAGAAGAGTACCACAACCTGGTTCCAGTCCTGCTCAACTGTGGTCCCAGAGGCAGTCCTCTCCACCTGGGGATTTGGCAGGATCCACATCTGCTCACACCCCCTGTAATATGCCTGCCAACTGTGTATTCAACTGCGGAACTGGTAACAGCCACATGGCCCAGTTCCGGCCCCACTTAAATGCAATATTGGACATAGTCCCATCAGTCTGGAGACCCAGCAGGAGAAGGTTTTTACCTGCTGAAAACAGTCTGTAAAGACAGAAGGAGATGCTTGTTTCTTCAAATGCATAGACATCAGTGCCAGGCTACACAGATCATGAAGAATCAGGCAAACATGACAACTACAAAGGAAATTAATAAACCTTCAATAACTGAGCCCCAAGAATTAGAGATCTATGAATTGCCTGACAAAGATTTTAAAATAATTATTTTAAGGAAACTCAGCAAGCTGCAAGAGAATAAAGACAAACTCAACTAAATCAGGAAAACAAAATGAGAAGTTCAACAAAGAGATAGACATATAAAAGAACAAATAAAAAGTTCTTGAGTTGGAGAATACAATGAATGAAATGAAAATTGCAATAAGGAGAATCAACAGCAGACTTGATCAAGCAGAAGAAAAGACCTGTGAACTCAAAGACAGCTCATTTAAAATTATCTAGTCACAGAAGAAAAAAGAAGCCTTGGACTAAGAGTCACACCATCAGCTTTCTTGGTTCTCAATGTAAAAACACTAAAACTTCCTCATAAGTGAAGAGATGTCCTTTTTGTCCATCTGCATTTGTGAAAAATAAAATTTCTTGAGAGCTTTGCCCCTTGGGTGACTACATATGTAGTGGTGACCCACTGTGGTTTCTAATCAATCTTGTCAAAGACTTAAGTGGTCCATCATGGTGTTTCAGGTGACCAATTATAATGCTGGGTGCACACAATTACCAACCATAGTGATATATGTTTATATACATCACTTGTTGACCTTTTAACTTGTGAATATAGTTCATCTTCTCATAGCTATTGTACCTGTGTGACTGTCATTAGCATACCTAAGTGTTTATGCTTGCAAAAATATGTATGTTGTTGCCTATCTTATTATATAAATTGTCCTATGAAGGGTTCCATCATGTTTTTATGTGTTTCTCAATCCCCTTTTAAAAATATAAACAAATATGTCTTTAAAAAATGTTAATTTATGTTTTCCAGATTATGTTTTTGGGATTTTGATCTTTTGGGATTTCAACATTCAGGATTAAGATGTTAGGGATTTTGACTTTCAGGATTAGCATCAGCTTCCAAAATGGATACATCTCTGTACACATAGAACCTAAAAAGGCTGTGTCATGAAGAAATGGAAAAATCTTGAATGGATCAATGACAAGTAAGGGTATTGAATTAGTAATTAAAAATCTCCCAGCAAAGAAAAGCCCAGGACCAGATGTCTTTACTGGTATATTTTACCAAACATTTAAAGAAGCACTAATAACTATCCTCTCCAACTGTTACAAAAAAAAATTGAAGAAGAAAGAATGCTTTCAAACTAATTTTATAAGGCCAGCAATATCTTGATATTAAAGACTGAGAAGAACACTAACAGAAAAGAAAACTACAGGCCAATATCCCTGATTAAAATTCTCAACAAAACACTAGCAAACTGAATTTAACAGTGCATTAAAAGTATTGTATACTACAGCTAGGCACAGTGGCTCATGCCTGTACTCCTAGCATTTTGGGAGGCCAAAGGGGGTGGATCACCTGAGGCCAGCAGTTCAAGACCAGCCTGGCCAACATGGTGAAACCCCATCTCTACTAAAAATATGAAAATTAGCTAAGTATGGTGGTGTGTGCCTGTAATCCCAGCTACTAGGGAGGCTGAGGTAGGAGAATCTCTTGAACCCGAGAGGCAAAAGCTGCAGTGAGCCAAGATCACACCACTGTACTCCAGCCTAGGTGACAGAGTGAGATTCCATCTAAAAAAAGAAAGAGAGAAAGAAAGAAAGAAAGAAAGAAAGAAAGAAAGAAAGAAAGAAAGAAAGAAAGAAGGAAGGAAGGAAGGAAGGAAGGAAGAAAGAAAGAAAGAAAGAAAGAAAGAAAGAAAGAAAGAAAGAAAGAAAGAAAGAAAGAATTGTAACTATGACCAAGTGGGATTTACCCCTGAGATGCAAAGATTTTCAATATATGTAAGTCAAACAATAATACACCACTTTAACAGAATGAATTTCTTAAATGATCTTCTCAGTAGATGCAGAAAATCATTCTGCTCATCAAAGGAGACAATCAAAATGGAAAAGCAATCTATGGAATAGTAGAAAACATTTGCAAACTATGTATCTGATAAAGGGATATTTACTTTAATATCCAAGATCGATAAGGAACTCTCATAAATCTATACCAAACAAGCCAATAACTCAATTTAAACATGGGTAAAGAACCTAAATAGACAATTTTTTTCAAAGAAGACAAACAAATGACCGACAGGTAAATGAAAAGGTTCTCACCATCACTAAATCAAGGAAATGCAAATCAAAGCCACAGTGAGTTATCACCTCACACATATTAGGATGGCTATTATCAAAGAGTCAAAAGACAGCAAATGGTAGCAAGGATATGGAGAAAAGGGAACCCTTGTGCACTATTTCTGGGAATGTAAATTAGTACAGTCATTATGGATAACAGTATGGAGGTTCCTCAAAAAGTTAAAATAGAACAACCATATGATCCAGAAATCCCACTTCTGATTATATAGCAAAGGAAGTAAAATTGGTATGTTGAAGAGATATCTACACTCCCACATTCCTTGCAGCATGATTCACTATAGCCAAGATATAGAAACAACCTTACTGCCCACCAACTGATGAATGGATAAAGAAAATGTGTTGTGTATACATACAATGGAATATTTTGCAGTCTTAAAGAACTAGGAATACCTGCTGTTTGTGACAACATGGAGTACATTATACTAAGCGAAATTAGGCACACAAAGATAAATATTGCATGATCTCACTTATATGTACAATTGTAAAAAGTCAAACTCATAGAAAACAGTAGAATGATAGTTGCCAGGGACTGGGGGTGGGGGAAATGGGAAGATATTGGTCAAGTGGTATAAGCTTTCAGTTTTAAGATGAATAATTTCTGGACACCTAATATAGAGCATGGTGATTATAGCTAATAATAATGTATTTTATACTTGAAATTTGCTAACAAAATAAAGCTTAAATGTTCTCACTACACTTTAAAAAAAACCCTGTAACTCTGTGAGGTAATGAATTTGTTAATTAGCTTAATTGTAGTAATTATTTATCAATACATATGTATATCAAAACATTACATTGTATATGTTAAATGTATAGACTTTTAATTTGTCAATTATACCACAATAAAGCTGAAAGGAAGGGTAAGAGTAGAGTAGGGTGAAAATGTAGGCATTGCTTTATTAAGGCAGTACTTTAAAAACCTACCGGAAGAGGGATACTTAATTTATTCCTGTGTAAACAACATTTATGACATCGATTGCTTTTTAAATCTTAGGTGTTTTAAGTGGAAATTAAAACACTGCCCAACACCTTCAAAAAAATTTTTTTCCAACATAGTGGCAAAGCCACAAGAAGATTGGAAGTATCTATTCTGTAGTTCAGATATTTTCAGATAACAGGAGGAAGAAGAAATTATGGTAAATGAATTGAACAAAATGACTATATATGAAAGATAAAAAATCACTCTAATAAGTTTTTATTCATATACACATGTGTGTACACATGAATATAGGAATAAATGAAATGTACAGTAAAATTCCCAGAAAGTACAACTATCTGGTAGCAATGTCTGTATTTGCAAAGATGCTAGAATTATTCATGGGGAGATTCTCTTTAATAAAAAATCTAGCTCTAAAAATTATTTGGTAAATATTCTTTCTGAGTTTCAGTGTGAAAATGCAGAATCTTTTTCTGACTATTTCAAAAATTATTAGAGGTTTTAAAATGTCACTTCACTGTCTCTGCACATGTTGTTATTGAAAATAGAAATTTAAGTGTTGTCACTTCTGCTTTTTGCATAATTCATTATAAAATTCTTCCAAACACATTTTAGAGACCATGATATTATGACAGATACCACCTTCAAGATTTAAAATACATTGCAAACAATTAAAGTATGCTGTTACTAACATATGTAGGTCTTTTTAAAAAGCTTACATCTTTCTCTTTAAAAGATTTTTGGTTACTTTGAACTTTTAAAAATGAGTATGGTTTTACAAGAGTTTTTCTAAATTGCCTAAGCTATTAGAATGTGACATTTTGATAATGAAATATTTTAGAGGGAACTTCGAGCTGGCAGTAAACAAAAAAATGGAATAGATAAATGGAGCCACAGAATTTATCAATTTACCATAGACTCCAAATGTCTCAACGAGAGGAAACAAGTCATCCATAATTCCTGCTCTCCCCACTTCTGAAAGGACTTATAATGGGCTTTTCTCACAATGTGCTCTAAGGAACAGTGCTCCATAAGATGGTCATTACCAAAAGATTTGGTGGTCAAAACAGCTAGGAAAATGCTGCATGTTAGATCCACCCTCTCAGATTCCTCATGCACATTAGCTTAGTAGAGTCTCCAAAAAGTGCTGAAGTTAGGCAGATCTGTTTTGCCATGCTTAATTTTTTCTATATTTATTGGATAATAGAAACCTTTTCTCCCCTGGGGAGAATCTAGTGGTTTCCTTCAGGCCTCCAAATCCAGGTAACAAAAAATTTTATATTTATAAAGGGCTTTCTATATAAGCTTTTCCAAGGCTTTAACCTGAGAACTACAACATGAACAACCAAATAAACTAACAAACAAAAAACCTAAAAAGGGTAAAAAAAAAAAAAGAGTTATAACAACATTAAAACATATTTTATTTAAAGCCTATTTATAGTTCCAATATTTGAATGACTTCATGTACAAAAATGGTTTATGTTTTGGGAAAGAAAGCAAGTCCCAAATATGAAGGAATACAAAAATTAGTCTAATTGGTCTTATTTTGACTCATTATTAAAAACTACACTCTCTGTAGTAAGCATCCAATGAGTTTAATGAGTGCCCCATGTATGTTTTGACATAGACATAAATGGCTTTCATACTGTGTTATTTTCATGAATGCAAAGAATGATCCATAGTATAGTGGAGAATTTTCTTTCCAAGTGTCAGTGTTGCTAGTTCTTATTTATTCTCATCAAGTTTTTGACAAATTTTTAACTAGTGTGAAAACACATATCACAGCCAGTGTCATCTGAGTGGGATGAGCAAACAAGCATTCCAAGATGTACTGGCCCTTCATCATTATAAAGCAAGATCAATTTTGACCTGACCTTTCACATTCTGTTCCACTCTGCTTTCCGTGACATCACTCAAGCTCTGAACATGCAAACGGACGCAGAAATGACATTTTGCTGCCAACAGTGACTCTAACAAAAGAAAAGCCAAGAGAAGATAAATATTCTACCTTTAAAGCTATAGCTCTAAAGAATGTCGGTGTTTAAAGTATTATAAAAAGGTCGACAATTGTTTTTTATTTAAGCTTGTATAATTGGGCAATTAATCTAATTGAAGGGACAAAAACATGCAGAAGTCAATGTGTCCACGATAAATGTTTTAACCAGTGGCATTTGAAGATCTTTGTGAACGAATGGCCCACATCTAATTGGTCATAAAACGATCAGATCAGATCACATTAACTGAGCTCCGGGTATGAACCAAGTAACCTGATAATGTAGGAAATCAGCACAGTCGATGAGTTTCTTTGTACACATTGTTTAACATTGCTACTTTTTGAGATAGCATTAAAGCTAGACAATCCTATCTCTTTGCTCCAAAAGCTAGTATTTTTTAGAAATCCCTTTCCCATTGGTTAGTTGTCCTTTTTGTTGCTCAGTAAAGAGAAAAAGAATAAGAGAAGAAAAAGGAGTAGGGGAGGAGGAGAAGGAGAAGGTTTTCTTTCTGGTAGCTAAGTAACAGTAACAAATTGAATGGCTATACAATGCCACCTAAACAGAAACAGTATTTCTTCAGAAGGCTCATTCTAAAGAGGGGGGAAACTTGTCTCCAGAAAACCTCAGGAAACCTTTTCCTCAGATCTTATTTTTCTGAATGAGGTCTCATGCCCTGTGGTGAGGACATTTATATCAGTTCTCTTGGAGCTGAGGAAGCATTCAGTTTCCTTTGAAGTGCATGGACACTATTGGAGAGCTGAAGGAATTGGGCTAAACATACAGGCATTATCTGGAAAGAAGGAAGCAGGAAATGATGCTGGCAATTAATCTTTCCCCCTAAGCTATATTTTTAAAAATAAATCTTTATTTTGTAATACCAATACTTACTCTCCTTTGCATCTATTTCCTTCTGTTCTTCAGTGTCTTAAAGATCCCATCTACCTCATCTGGACTAAAGAGACCCAGCAAAGGTTTGTTTGCTTTTTTGAAAGAATACTTGAACCAGAGTGCTAGAGAAAGAACAATGCAGTGCCAGCAAGATGATGGCAGAGATCAGGGAGATGGTCAGGGCTGCTTGGTCAGCCACTCTTTCCTCATGACCTGGCGTTTCCTCTTGGTAATAGAGTATTTGTTTTACTTGCTTCCTCAGCATACAGTCATTCTTCTGCTAGTGACATCGCCCTTGCTTTTCATGGTTACTCGCCTCTCTCTATTCTCAGTCTACCTGGTTACCTAAGGGCTAACCCACTCGCAGGCACTAAAGGTTTGCACATAATGCAGGCATGGTTAAAGAAACATGTTTCTTTGGCCAGAATAATTAGCTTAGGGACAAGCAAAAATCCAAGCTTTACCAAACAGACCCAAGAAGTCAGCTCCAGGACCTCTTTTCACTGTATTCCCTGGCTCTGTGTGGCTTAGAAAAACCAGCAGCCACTGTGCAAGGAACTTCTCTGAATATAAAACTACACAGAAGAAAGCACAGCCGTCAAGCTAAGACAGAGAGTGCCTATCGACATCATTTGAACACCTGAATCTAGTTATACTTGAAATCAGCATCCTTCTGGACTTTTCAGTTATATGGCCTAACACATTGCCTTTGTTAGTCTAGAGTTCAGATTTTGACTCTTGCCATAGATTAACTGACCCAACACTGCAAAACTTTGGAAGTAAAAGTTTTATTTCATTAACTATATTTCCCTGTATTTATCATTTGACTTTCTTTCATTTTTCTTACCCTTCACTTATCTTTTCACAACAAAATATTACTGAACAATGAAAGAGGAAATAGACAACCCCCTCCTGCATGCTTTCTGGATTTTCCCAACTAGAAATAATCTCTTTCCTTTATATTCCCATGAAACTTTATTCCACTAACATTTACCTTTCATTTGCTTTCTGATGTTATTGCTCTTTATTGCATGGTACTTTTAAAATCCCAGAAGCATTTCTTTTATTAACTGTTTACCTAAAGTTCATAAAATAAACAAATAAGCAAATGTACTGAGCTGAAAATCCTATCTTAGATATCACTCAAAGTCTTCTTTGTCTTTTAAAATTCAAATAATGTTTATCTTTCATTTTATGACTAAAGAAATTTCAGAGACTTGCTTTGTTTTGGAAAAAACAGGAGAGAAATAAATTCAATAAGTAAAGAAACATTGAGTTATAAAGTACTAACCTTTATTATTATCTTACTAATACTTCTCCCTTTGACATTCACTCTGAAATATCTTTTAAATTACTTCTCATGTTCCTTTGGAGAGCACAGTCTTGAATTCTGCTAGATATCACTGCAAGGGTAATCTCTAAAGGTGAGAAGACCAGAGACAATTGGTCTTCTTGGGCAGCCCATGGCAAAGTCAAGGGGAAAGCGTAACAGGTGGCAAAGGGCAGCTGATAATTTGTAATTGAGATGGAAAACACCAAAAGATATCACAAATAGGTTATGAGCAGAAGTCAAATTCAAAAAATAGTAGAAGCGGCCAGGCGCAGTGGCTCACGCCTGTAATCCTAGCACTCTGGGAGGCAGAGGCAGGCAGATCACCTGAGGTCAAGAGTTCGAGACCAGCCTGGCCAACATGGTGAAACCGTGTCTATACTAAAAACACAAAAATTAGCAGGGTGTGGTGGTGCATGCCTGTAATCCCAGCTACTCAGGAGGCTGAGGCAGAAGAACTGCTTGAACCCAAGAGGCAGAAGTTGCAGTGAGCCCAGATCATGCCACTGCACTCCAGCCTGGGTGACAGAGCCAGAGTCTGTCTCAAAAAAAAAAAAATAGTAGAAGCCTATAGTTAGCAATGCTATATTATACACTTAAAAACTGGCTAAGAAGATAGATTTCATGTCAGATGTTCTTAACACAACAAAATAAAATTTAAAAAAATAATAAATGTTAAAAGCGAATCATATGCCTGGCAGAGAACACTCCATAGAACTATGCTATTTTTAAAAGGCTCTCCCCATAGCCTCAGATACAGAACTGATACATATGTATATATATATATATATATATATATACACACACACATATATATATATATGGAGATATATATATATAGAGAGAGAGAGAGACAGAGACAGAGAGAGAGAGATCCAGAGAGAGGCAAAATCTACAGACAAATTCAAAACTTCTAAATATAACCTATAAACTTTTTTTTTAACTTTATATTCATGAACGTATTTAAAAATTGCAAATATATACTTTCTATATTTACAGGCTCTGAGACAGAGTACCTCTCGTATCCCTTGCCATTCTAGGAACTAGATTTCATTATTTTCTTTATTTTACCAATGAGGAAAACTAAAACACAGGATAGTTGTTCCTTCTACAACATTACTTGTCCAAGAAAGAAGCGAGAAATAGAACTAAAACTGAAGTCTTTTGGCATTAAAATTATGTTGTCCAAGACAATAGCTTCTATTGCCTAAATTTCAACTCAGAAGAATAATGCATAATACAATATTTATGTGTTTCTTGACACCTCAAACATAGGAAATGTTGAGAATCAATGCTTCAAACTGATCACAAAGAGGCATGAGAAAGGTGAGTGTGAGGAAGGCCGGCTGGAACAGTAAGGGTTAAGAGGCTTTCTCTGTGTTACATTCCAATCTTTCAATACTAGAGCATTGTGAATGTTATCTATTCCTTCACTTTTTTCTCTATATTTTTTCTTTCTGATGGTTTGAATAAACTGGCACTAATTTAAAAAGCTAGACAAGATTATACTGTATTGGACAAACTAGCTCCTGTAGGAAAAGCTTAAGTTTCTTTCATTAAAGCAGGCATATTTAAAGAAGAAAGAAATGCTTATAAATTGAAAACTCAATGGACGAAATTAGAGAACCAGTCAGTTGTGTTTTAACAGCAATTTGCTTCTTTAAAAAAAAAAAACAAGATAGTTCCAGCTAATGGGAGGCTGAGGTAGGAAGACTGAGGCCAGGAACTTGAGACTGTAGTGCGCTATGATCACACTTGTGAATAGCCACTGCCCTCCAGCCTGGGCAACATAGTGAGACCCTATCTCTAAAATAATCATCATCATCATCATCATCATCATCATCATCATCATCAAGGGGTGTTTTCTGAGAAATCTTATGAACAGACAAAGATTTTGTTGAAGTAATTCGGAACTCTAATTTATGACATTTATACTCTCCAAAACACAATAGAACTGAATTCTGTTTTGCTTCCTCTTTATATACATGTTGACTCATCTCTCTTCCTCTACCTGAAAAGAATTTTAACACATCGGTCTACCTGACATTTCAGATTCCTAATTTGCTTTGTGAGAAAAACAAAAACTCTTCTGACATACTGACTGAGTAAACTGTGTAGGAAGGAAGAAATCTGTCAGCTTCCATTTGGGGGAAAAGGACCAAAGATACCTATTAAGGACATGCAAGAGAAAAAAAAGAAGTAAAAAGATGTAGAAAACATTTAAAGACTTTGGGAAGAGATGACAATAAAACCGGCACCACCAATTTATACTTAACATTTACACATTGGCTCTGTCTGGCTGATTATCCATATGAGTAGCCTGTCTTCCCAGCTGGGCTGTGACTTTCTTTCAACTTCAGCACCTAGCTAAAAGGCCTTTAACTGCATTGACTGTCAAAAATCTTTGACTCTCATTAAAAACAAAATGGATATTTGAGAAGAAGAAGAGGAGGAGGAGGAGGAGGAAGAGGAGGAGGAGGAGGAGAAATAAGAAGCCCAAAGGCAAGCTCTCTTCCTGTCTTAACTAAAAAGGGAATCATCTCACAAGAACACAAAAAAAAAAAAGAGAAGAAAAGTCATTGCTTTGGGGGAGGTGAGGAAAGTAGTATAGAGATGATAACTGACTCTACGTTAGGAAATGGAGAAAATCCATAAATTATGTGAATAGCAGGACCTTAGAGAAAATGGAAAGGTTTTCTACATGCTAGGGGGCAAGATAGTGAGATCTCTTGGCCTTCAAGGGTGAAGATCTTTCTGAACACCAGTCAGTTGAGCAGTAACCACTGTGTATCAATGAAAGATGGGGCTTCATGTGCTATGTTGCTTATACAACAATCAGAGCCTTTGCAGGACTTTATCATAAGAGACAGTTACATGGTTTTCTAAGACTTAATTTTTCCATCAGCCTGGATGGGAGGGGGCTTTGGTTGAATTAAATTGACTCAAAGGAAACATCTCTTGCACAGAAATATTGTGAAGTTAAAAGTATAGCTGCTTTATACTTCCAGTGTCTGGGGCCATTTATGACATCAAGGAGAAATACATTTTATAATAAAGTTTACCTTTGTTATTGTTTGGAAAAGTTAAAAAAGTATATAATGAATATGACCTATTGTTACCAATCAGAAATTGCCACTTTTGGCATTCTGGTTAATTATATTTTTCACTGCTCCATCATTTATATGAAAGATCTAAAAATGTTGAACAAATTGGATATAGAAGAAATGTAGCTCAAAACAATAAAGGTCATATATGACAAACCCACAGCTAACATGATACTAAATGGGGAAAAGCTGGAAGCCTTTCCTCTAAAATCTGGAACAACACAAGGCTGCCCACTTTAGCCACTTTTATTAAACATATTACTAGAAGTCCTGGTCAGAGCCATCAGAGATGAGACGGAAATAAAGGGCACCCAAATTACAAAGGAATAAGTGAGATTAGCCTTGTTCACAGAAAACTTGATTGTATTCTTAAAAAACCCTAGAGACTCTGCCATAAAAGGTTAGAATGAAAACTGATAAACAAATTCAGTAAAGATGCAGGATACAAAATAAACATATAAAAATCAGTAACATTTGGGTACACCAATAGCACATCCTCTGAAAAAGAAATTAAGAAAGCAATCTCATTTACATTAACTTCAAAAAATATAAAATACTTATGAATAAATTTAACCAAAGAAGTTAAAGATGTCTACAAAGAAAACTATAAAAGTCTGATAAAAGAAATAGAAGAGGGCAGAAAAAATAAAAAGATATCTGTATTCATGGATTGGGAGAATTGATATTGTTAAAATGCCAGTACAACCCAAAGTGTTCTACAGATTCAATGTAATCTCTATCAAAATACCATGACATTCTTCATAGAATTAGAAAAAAATTTCTAAAATTTATATGGAATCACAGAAGACCCATAAGAGCCAAAGCAATCCTGAGCAAAAAGAACAAAGCTGGAGTTGTAGTGCTAACTTGACTTTAAAATATATACAGAGCTATAGAAACCCAAACAGCATGGTACCAGCCTAAAAAGAGACACATAGACCAATGAAACAAAACAGATAAATCTACACATTTACAGCCAACTAATTTATGACAACAGTGCCAAGAACAAGCATTGGGGAAAAATGAGTGTCTTCAATAAATGGTGCTCTGAAAACTAGAAAACTATATGCAGAACTAAACCATATCCCTATCTCTTTCCATATGCAATTTTTGCCTGCCATGTCCAAAAGCAAATCAAAATGGATTAAAGGCTTTAAGACCTAAAATATAAACTACTGGAAGTAAACAGTGCAGAAATACTCTAGAACATGAGTCTGGGCAAAGAATCTTTGTGTAATACCTGAAAAGCAGAGGCAACAAAAGCAAAAATAGAGAAATGGGATTATATCAAGCTAAATAGCTTATGCACAGCAAAGGAAACAATTGAGAAAATGGAGACATAACCCACAGAATCGGAGGAAATATTTTCAACCTATCCATCTGACATAGGATTAGGAACCAGAATATATGAGAAACTCAACTCAACAGCAAAAAAACCCTAACCCAATTAAAAAATGGGCAAAAGATCTGAGAAGACATTTCTGAAAAGAAAACATACAAATGGCCAACAGGTATATAAAAAAATGCTCAACATCACTAATTATCAGAGAAATGCAAACCAAAATCACAATAAGATATCATCTCACCCCATAAAAATGGCTTTTATCAAAAGGACGGGCAATAAAGAGTGCCGGTGAAGATATGAAGCAAGGAGAATTCCTGTACACTATTGGCAGGAATGTAAATTAATACAGCCAGTTAGGAAAACAGTATGGAGGTTTCTCAATAAATCATATGATCCAGCAATCTCATTATTGAGTTTATATCCAAAAGAAAGGAAATAAATATATCAAAGAGATATCTGCACTCCCATGTTTATTGGAACGTTCACAATAGCCAAAATATGGAATCCACCTAAGCACCCATCAATGATTGAATGGATAAAGAAGATGTAGTAAATAAATATACACCACGGGTCCCCAACCTCTGGTACTGGTCTGTGGCCTGTTAAGGACCAGGCCTCACAACAGGAGGTGAGTGGCAAGCAAGTGAGCAAAGTTTCATCTGTATTTACAGCCACTCCGTATCCTCACATTATCTCCTCAGCTTTGTCTCCTGTCGGATCAACCAGGGCATTAGATTCTCATAGGAGCATGAACCCTATTGTGGACTGTGCATGTGAGGGATCTAGGTTGCATGCCCCTTATGAGACTCTAATGCCTGATGATCTGAGGTGGAGCCTAAGTAGGGATGCTAGCCCTAGGGAGTGGCTGCAAATACAGATTAACATTAGCAGAGAGGTTTCGCTGCACAGAGACCTACAAGTCTCTGTGCAATTGCTTGCAAATTTATATTAAAACCCTATCAGTGAGTGGCAAGTGACAATTAAGCTGCATCTGGTGGCAGGCTTTAAGACAGAATCCGACACTTATTTTAGTCCATGCATGCTCTGCCCATTATTTTATTTACCACTTCCATCTGTGCCTCTTTCCCACACTGCACACTTGTCTCAGTCAAAGTTTTGGTAAGCCCACAAGTTAACCCTAGCCAAAAGTAGTAAAAAAACAAACGTCACTGGAGAGCTTCTTTGAAAAGGAGGGAAGACCCAATGATGAGACTGCAGAAGACTCTGAGACTGCCAACAAAAAGAAAGCTGCATTTAAAAGAAAATCCCAAGAGTCCTACTTAAATTATGGGTTCATTGAAACAAGTGCTTCACATTCTCCAAGCCCACTTGGTATAATATGTGGTAATAGGCTACCCAATGAAGGCATGAAACCTCCAAAACTGCTTTGCCACATGGGGACCAAGCACCCTGCGTTAGAAGGCAAGGCTTTGGAGTTTTTCAAAAGAAAAAAGAAGTGAACACGAAGAACGGAAGCAGTTATTGAAGGCTACCACTTCATCAAATGTGTCTGCACTAACAGCATCATTCTTAACTAAGAAGTCCTTTACAATTGGTGAAGAGTTGATCTTGCCGGCTGCTAAAGGCATTTGTCATGAACTTTTAGGAGAGGCCAAAGTTCAAAAGGTGACATGTTTTCCTGTTTCAGCTAGCGCTGTAACTAGATGAATTGATGAGATAGCAGAGAATATTGAGGCACAATTGTTAGAGAGGATTAATGAGTCACTGTGGTATGCAATCCAGGTTGACAAGTCTACTGATGTTGACAACAGAACAACAATGCTTGTTTTTGTGCAATATATTTTTCAGGAGGATGTGCCGCATGAGGATATGTTATGTGCACTTTTATTGCCAACCAACACCACAACTACAAAACTATTCAGGTCTTTGAATGATTACATGTCAGGAAAACTGAATTGGTCATTTCGTGTTGGTATATTCGTGGACATAGTGGCTGCCATGACTGGACAGCTTTCTGGTTTTGCTACTTGGGTTAAAGAGGTCACTTCTAAATGTGAGTCTACACACTGTATCATCCATAGATAAATGCTGGCTAGCCGGAAAATGTCCACCTGAACTTAACAAACGTTTTGCAGGATGTGATTAAAATTATCAACCATGTTAAAGTACACACCCTTAACTCATGTCTGTTCGCACAGCTCTGCGAGGAGACGGATGCAGAGCACTCACATCTTCTCTTATACATAGAAGTGAAATGGCTTTCTAAAGTTAGATCACTGGCCAGAGTTTTTGAGTCACAAGAGCTATTCCACAGATTTCCTTTAGAAAAACAATCACCACTGGCAGTCCACTTCAGTGACACAGAATGGGTTGCAGAACTTGCTTACTTATGTGACACATTCAACCTGCTCAATGAACTCAATCTGTCACTTCAGGGGAGAAGGACAACTGTGTTCAAGTCAGCAAATAAAGTGGCTACATTCAAAACCAAACTGGAATTACGGGGGTGACAAGTCAACATCGGGATTTCTGACATGTTTCAAACATTAGCAGAAATTTTGAAAAAAACGGAACCAGAAACTTCTTTCTCCCAGCTGGTGCTTGTTCACCTATCTCAACTTTCGAAAGAATTTGAGCATTACTTCCCAACCACGGAAGACCCCTGAACTTTGGAGGAATGGATCGGTGACCCACGTGTGAATAAGCCAGGTGAATCGACTTTATCTGTGTTAGAAAATGATCAACTGCTTGAAATGGCAAATGATGGTGGTCTTAAAAGTATGTTTGAAACAACTTAAAATCTCCATATGTTCTGGATTAAAGTTAAGGCGGAATATCCTGAGATTGCCACAAAAGCGCTGAAAAGGCTGTTTCCATTTCCAATATCCTATCTTGTGGAGAAGAGTTTTCTGCAGTTACAGCAACCAAAATGAGATTAAGAAGTAGACTGGACAGGACAGGCATGGTGGCTCACGCCTGTAATCTCAGCACTTTAGGAGGCCGAGGTGGGCAAATCACGAGGTTAAGAGATAGAGACCATCCTGGCCAACATGGTGAAACCCCGTCTCTACTAAAAATACAAAAATTAGCTGGGTGTGGTGGCACATGCCTGTAGTCCCAGCTACTCAGGAGGCTGAGGCAGGAGAATCGCTTGAACCCGGGAGGCAGAGTCTGCAGTGAGCTGAGATTGTGCCACTGCTCTCCAACCTGGGTGACAGAGCAAGACTCCATCTCAAAAAAAAATAATAAAAATAAATAAATAAATGAATAATAAAAAAATTAGACTGGGCATAAGCAGCACACTTTGCGTGTCACTCTCTCCTATCACCCTTAGATGGGACCATTTATTAATTGTTGCAAGAAAACAAGCTCAGGGCTCCCAATGCTTCTACATTATGGTGAGTTATATAATTATTTCATTCTATATTACAATATAATAATAGAAATAAAGTGCACAATAAATGTAGTGCACTTGAATCATTCCGAAGCCATTCCCAGCAGTCCGTGGAAGAATTGTTTTCCATGAAACCAGTACCTAGTGCCATAAAGGGTGGGGATTACTGATATACACAATGGAATATTATTGAGCCATAAAAAGAGTAAAATCCCATCATTTGCAGAAACATGGATGGAGCTGTAGGCCATTATGTTAACTAGAGGTCTATTAATTAGAGACCATCAGGTTAAGTGAAATAAGCCAGGCACACAAAGATGAATATCTCATGTTCTTACTCATATGTGCAAACTAAGAAAGAAATGGGTTTCTAGAAGATAGAGAGTAGACTGGTGGTTACCAGAGGCCTAGAAAAATGGGTGAAAGAGAGGGAGAAAGAGTGGTGGATTAATGGGTATAAAAATAAAGTTAGATATAAGAAATAAGACTTAGTGTTTCATAAATCAGTAGAATGACTACAGCAAACAATAATCTATTGTATATCTCAAAATAGCTATTAGAGAATAATTCAAATGTTCCCAGCATAAAGAAGAGATAAATGTTTAGGGTGGTGGATATTCCAATTATCCTGCATTGATTGTTATATATTACATAAATGTATCAAAATATCACAACGTATCCTGAAAATATGTACATCCCTTCTGTATCAACAAAAAACACAAAATAAAAAAGAAATATAGCTAAGAAAACAATAGAGAAAGAAAATGTAATATTTAAAATTTGACTAACTTAAAAAAATCACTAATGGAAAATAAATAGCAAGATAGTCAGCTTAAAACATATCATACCAATAATTATATGTAGTGTAAATGAAATTAACACTCAAAATCATAAAGAAGCAAGATCCAACTATAAGTTGTCTAAAAAAGATGCATATTAAATGCAAATACACAATTACAGTGAAAGTAAAAGAATGAAAAAAGCTATCTTGTATTAACAGTAAAGAGAAGAAAGCTGGTATTACTATATTAATACTTACATTAATAACAATATGAGATGTAGAGGTAAACATGAACATTATCTAATTATGAAAGGGGCAATTCATGAGTAAGACATATACACTGTAATCTTCAAATGAATGGAACAAAAACTGACACAACTAAAGAAAGATATTCACAGTGTAGTAGGAAAATGTAACACTCCTTTCTTAATAATTGACAGAAGAAGTAGACAAAAAAATTGTAAGAAAATAGAACATCTCATCAATGTTTCATCAATGTTATTAACTAGCTTGACATTATTGTTATTAACACTACACCAAGCAACTGTGTAATATATATACTTTTCAGGCGCACACAGAACATTCTCCAACATAGAAAATACACTAGAATATGTAATAAGTCTCAAAATTATAAAATGAATTAAATTAGAAATTAATAACAAGGAGATATCTAGAAAAAGGTGCAAATATTTGGAAAATAGCCTATGGTTCAAAGAAAAGGAAGTTTAAAAATATTTTGAACTGAATGATAATAACATAACATCAAAATATGTGGGATACAGCTGAAGTAGTGCTTAAAGGTAAACATATACCTTTAAAGGTGCATACTAAAAAAGAAAAAAGGTTCAATCAGTTGTCTAAACGACTACCTTAAGCTAAGAAAGTAATTAAACTCAAAGCATTTAGAAGGAAAGAAATAAAAAAGAGAATAACAGAAATCAATATAATAGAAAACAACAGAAAAAAGACTAACGTTTTTTAAAAGATTAATAAAATTGGCTTAAAAATCCGTTACTGAACTTATGAACACAAAGAAGGAAGCAACAGACACGAGGGTCTACCTGAGGGGAGAGGGTGGGAGGAGGGAGAGGAGCAGAAAAGGTAATTATTGGGTACGGGGCTTAATACCTGGGTGATGAAATAATATGTACAACAGCCCCCTGTGACACGTGTTCATTTATGTAACAAAGTTTCTCACGTACCCCTAAACCTAAAATAAAAGTTAAAAAAAACCTTAGTAATGTTAATCAGGTAAAAGAAGACACAAAGCATTAATATTGGGAAAAAAAGAGGGTATATCACTACAGGTCTTAAAGGCATTTAAGTTATAACAGGGAATTGTTAACATATTTAAAAGAATACATTTAATAATTTAGAGAAGTAGAAAAATTCTTTGAAAAATATAATATCAAAACAAGAAATAGAACATGGGAATAGCTTTACATGTAGTCATTAAATTAAATTAATAATCAAAAAGCTTTCCACAAAGAAAACTCTATATTTGGATGGTTTCAGAGGGTGAATTCTATGAAACACTTAAGAAGGAAATAATGCCAACCTTCCACAAATCATTCCAGAAAATACAGAAGGTGTATCCCAGAGAAATGGAATCAATAGAATATATAGATAGATAAATAGCTACATGTAGTCATGTGTCACTTAGTGGTAGGAATATGTTCTAAGAAATGTGTCATTAGGTGATTTTGTCCTTGTGTGAACATCATAGAGTTGACTTACACTAACCTAGCTGGTATAGCCTACTACACACCTAGGCTAGATGGTGTGGCCTATTGCTCCTAGGCTACAAACCTGTACAGCAAGTTACTGTACTGAATACTGTAGGTAATTGTAATACAATGGTAAGTGTGTATGTATACATGGAAAAGATACAGTAAAAATGTGGTCTAAAAGATTTTTAAAATGGTACACCTGTGTAGGGCATTTACCATGAATGAAGCTTGCAGTGATGGAAGTTGCTTTGGTTGAGTCATACGGGGAGTGGTGAGTGAATGTGAAAGCCTAGGACATTACTGTCCACTACTGTAGACTTTATAAACATTGTACATTAAGCTAAATTGATTCAAAATTCTTTTCTTCAGTAATAAATTAACCTTAGCTTATTGTAAGTTAACTTACAATAACTCCAATGACTACGGGCAGGAGAAGATGGCTGTCTCTATTCTGACAAACAGAGAATTCGCCCTTCCTCCACTTTTTGTTCTATTCAGGCCCTTGGTGGATTGGATGATATGCGCCCACTTTGAGAACGGCTATCTGCTTTACTCAGTCCACCAATTTAAATGCTAGTCTCTTCCAGAAACACTCCCATATTGTTTCTAGGTGTGTCTACACATAGAAATAATGTCTACCAGCTATCTGGGCATTCCTTAGCTCAGTCAAGCTGACACATAATATTAACCATCCCAGAAGGTGGGAATAATTTCCAACTTATTTATCTTAATCCTGAAATGCTGAAAAAGGCATTGCAATATAGTTAAATTACAGAAAAATATTCCTCATGAGAATACACAAAAGTCTTCAACAAAATATTAGCAAACTGAATCTAATAACATAAATAATGAATAATAATACATTATTATCAAATGAAGTTTATCCCAGGAATGCAACTTGAGTAAACTTTCAAAAAATGTACGTATTTCAATGTGATTCAAAATAAAATGAAACAAATTGACAAAAAATCAGCACCTATTTGTCATAAAATCTATGAATAAATCAGGAAGAGAAGGCACTCTCTTAATGTGATAAAGGACAGCATGAAGAAACTACAACTCATATCATACTTAAGGACATGCTTACTGATATACCTAAAGATACACTTTATCTGAGCTCAGGAAAAAGCAAGGATGTCACTTTGTCTCATCTTCTCATTACTATAATGCAATTTCTGGCCACTGTAATAAGGAAAGAAAAAGAAATAAAAGACCTAAACATTGGAAAGAAGTAAAACTGTCTCTATTTGCAGATAACATGATACTGTAGATAGAAAATCCAATGTATAAAAAAGGTACTAGAACTAACAAGTTAATTTCCAAACACAAAGTCAATATACAAGAGAAATTGCATTTCCATATATAAGCAGCAAATAATTAAAAATGAAATTAGGCTGGGAGCAGTGGCTCAGTGTGGTGGCTCACACCTGTAATCCCAGAACTTTGGGAGGCAAAGGAGGTCGGGTCACTTAAGGTCAGGAGTTCGAGACCAGCCTGGCCAACATGGTGAAACCGCATCTCTACCCAATAATACAAAAATTAACTGGGCATGGTAGTGCGTGTATATAGTCCCAGCTACTTAGGAGGGTGAGGTGGGAGAATTACTTGAACCTGGGAGGCAGGGGTTGCAGTAAGCCAAGATCACACCACTTTACTCCAGCCTGGGTGACAGAGCGAGACCCTGTCTCAAAACAGAAAAGAAAAGAAAATGAAATTTTAAAAAATACTATTCACAATAGTATTAAAAAATAGGGTCTTATGGCCTTGATGTAGACAGGATATAAGTACAAACCACAAAAGAAAAAAAAAATTATCACAGCCTATAGGCAGTAGGGAAATAACTTGATCTCTATGGCTCAGCAGAGAATGCTTAAAATATCCTCTTACCTCACTGCAGTGGCTCCTTTGTTGTATAAGAGTTTGCACTATGGGCAAAACACAGAGCTTTCTCCTAATTCTGAATGGATCAAAATGCTGCTAATCCTCAGAAGAAAGTGCAAGTCGTCTGTGGCCCTTTTAGCCCCTTAGTCAATCCTCGCCTCTGCCCTTGCTTCTCTGAATTAAAGAGTGTCATCAGGAATAATCAAGCCATTCTCCCTAAAATCCAGGAAGATGCTTTGTCAGTAGAGAGGGAGTCAAATGTCATGTTTTGAATCCTTGTCCTTTGAATCCGTACTTTTTGGAGGCTACTCTGTGCTTAAGCACTATGTTAGTGTTGGGAATATTATCTGAAACAGGATGTAGCCCCTTACTTACATTTGGGTGGCAGAGAAGAACACAGGCAAATGCAATCATCAAATATTATGGAGGCATGAGCAGAACATGATAATATAAGAGTACTTAGAAAAAGTGGGGTGTCAGGGATGTAAGTTGTAAGCTCAATCTAGACAGATGATGGTGGATAGATGAAGCATATTTATTTGCCCTGCACTGGTAAATATGGCATGCGGATGACCCATTCTGGTTTTCTGTGTAGATTTGTATGCGTTGGCAGAATATATTCGTTATTTAAGAAACAGTCTCATTCTTGTATCTCTTCCTAAAGACATTTAAAAATGCTATTTAAATTTTAGTACAAAAAAGTCTTTACCAACTGTTATTTAGATAGGCAAAAAAATGTATTTCTTCTCATTAATGTCTTCTGTTAAAAAATATGATGTGAATAGTCTTAGTGATGCTTCACTTTTGTTTACTCCTTTCTTTTGTGGCTTTGAACTCCTGTCTTAATAAATATGCAGTATTTTGGTGTTTCAAGATTCATTGCTCAATAATAAATGCTAAAAGAAAACAACAAATACACAATAGAATATTATGATTGCCCTATGTGACCAATAACTTCCTAGCATCTCTCAAAGTAAGTAATTATTCTGTCCTTTCTTATAAATGGGAGTTCTTTCATGCACAAGTTAAAGAGAATTGAGGAAATTTATGTTTATTACCTATTCCAAACCATGCTTCTTCCTCCAAATGATTCCACATCAAATCTTGTTTCAGCAGAATTCAAAATCTTTCTGAATTATAATGCCTAGCAGTACAAAACTTCATCTCTACCTTGGGGAGATAGCTGTTATAAAATCTTCACCATTCTTTGGAAGAGAGTGTGCGGTAAAGAACACACCTATCTATTGAACACTTATTTATTGTAGGTACCAGTACTGTTCTGAAAATATAGTGGTGAATGAGGCTGACACAACCCTTGCTCTCATGGAACATACATTCTAGTTGACAGAGGCAATATTTAAAAAACTATTGGAAATCAAATAAATGGGTAAATAGATTTTTGTCTGAATCTATCTTCTGGGCACACATTTGTCTTATTAAGGGACCTAATATACCCACTATTTTCCAGTAATCAGATCCCACTAGCATGATGTCATCAGTGTAGTTGTCCAGAATAAAACCTGGGGATGGTGACATAATCAAGGAGCCTCTGGATTACATATTATGGAACAGAACCAAAGAGTAGATCTTTCCCTTAGACAAGACAGTGAATTATACTGCTCTGCTTCTATGTCAAGTGAAGGTGAAAGCAAACACCTTCTGGAGTTCTGCATTTATGGATACAATGAAAAACACACCTGGAAAATAAATAGCTGCATATTGGATGCTAGAGGCTGTCTTGAGTTGTTCCAGTAATGAGGTCACCTTTAAAAATCAACTGCAATTGGAATAATCACCTAATTAGGCTTTTGAGAATCCTCTTTTTCCCAGGATGCATATAGCTTGTGCATAAATTAAACAGGTGAGTTAAATGGGATATGTGATTGCAGTCAGTATTCTTCTATCTTTCATGTATTTGGTGGTGAAACTTTTCTCTGTAATTCCCCAGGGTTGTGATATTATTAGGGAGGTTGAAATCTAGAAGGTTTTTCTTTTTTTCTCCCTTGACACAGCATTCATGGACAATGTCAGAAGCTAATACCAGTTGCTAAGTATATCTATTCCAACTCTTCACTCAGGGAGTGGGAAATTAGCATAGGATGAGTTTGCAGAACCACTGGGCCCAGTATAACACTGACTCAGCACAGACTTTCTATTTATGACCTTCCAATAGATCACAGTGGCATTCTGGGTCAGAATCAGAACAAAATAACCCTCAGAAAAGTCTGGGTACTTCGCTTTTCTGAGATATAGTTATCGTGGTCAATAACCACAAGTCCTTTGGGGTAAGATCTGGAGAAGAAATTTACTTGTAATGCAAGACACCTCTATGAATATATCCATACTCCAGGGACCTATCTTAGGTCTGGAATTTATTTTTATTTTTTATTTTAATTTCAATAAAACCTATTGAAATTAAACTTGTGTTTGGTTACATGAATAAGTTCTTTAGGGTGATTTCTGCGATTTTGGAGCACCCATCACCCAAGCAGTGTTGTATTAGTCTGTTTTCATGCTGCTGATAAAGATATACCTGATAATTGGAAGAAAAATATGTTTAATTGACTCACAATTCAACGTGGCTAGGGAGGCCTCACAATCATGGGAGAAGGCAAAAAGCACTTCTTACAGGGTGGCAGCAAGAGAGAATGAGAAATAAGTGAAAGCAGAAACCCCTTATAAAACCATCAGCTCTAGTGAGCTGTATTCACTACCCTAAGAATAGTATGGGGAAAACTGCCCCCATGATTCAATCATCTCCCACCAGTCCCCTTCCACAACACGAGAATCATGGGAGCTACAATAAAAGGTGAGATTTTGGTGGGGACACAGAGCCAAACCATGTCAAGAGTACACTGTACCCAATGTGTATTCTTTTAGCCCTCACTACTCTTCTCACCTTCCCCTGAGTCTCTAAAGTCCAATGTATCATTCTTTGCCTTTATGGCCTCGTAGCTGAGCTCCCACATGTGAATGAGAATGTACAATGTTTGGTTTTCCATTCCTGAGTTACTTCACTTAGAATAATAGTCTCCAATTCCATCCAGGCTGCTACAAATGCCATTATTTCATTCCTTTTTATGGCTGACTAGTATTACATGATGTATGTGTGTGTGTGTGTGTGTGTGTGTGTTTATGTGTATGTGTGTGTGTATATATATATACATATATATATATATGTATATATATCACATTTTCTTTATCTATTCATTGGTTGATGAGCATTTGGGCTGGTTCCAGATTTTTGCAATTACAAATTGTGTTGCTATAAACATGCATGTGCAAGTATCTTTTTTGTATAATGACTTCTTTTCCTCTGGTTAGATAGCTAGTAGTGGAATTGCTGGATCAAGCAGTAGATTTACTTTTAGTGCTTTAAGGAATCTCCACACTGTTTTTCATAGTGGTTGTACTAGTTTACATTCCCACCAACAGTATAAAAGTGTTCCCTTTTCACGACATCCCTGCCAACATCTTTTTTTTTTTTTTTTTTACTTTTGATTATGGCCATTCTTGCTGGAGTGAGGTGGTATGGCATTGTGGTTTTGATTTGCATTTCCCTGATAATTAGTGATGTTGAGCATTTTTCCATATGCTTGTTGGACATTTGTGTATCTTCTTTTGAGAACGGTCTATTCACATCCTTACCCACTTTTTGATGGGATTGTTTGTTTTATTCTTGTCGATTTGTTTGAGTTCTTTGTAGATTCTGTATATTAGTCCTTTGTTGGATGTATAGATCGTGAATATTTCCTCCCACCCTGTGGGTTGTCCATTAACTCTGTTGATCATTGCTTTAGCTGTGCAGGAGCTTTTTAGTTTAATTAAGTCTCATCTATTTATCTTTGTTTTTGTTGCGTTTGCTTTTGGGGTTTTAGTCATGAAGTCTTTGCCTGGGCCAACGTCTAGAAGGGTTTTTCTCATGTTATCTTCTAGAATCTTTAAGGTTTCAGGTCTTAGATTTAAGTATTTGATCCATCTTGAGTGGACTTTTGTATAATGTGAGAGACAAGGATCCAGTTTAATTATCCTACATGTAGCTAGCCAATTATCCCAGCATCATTTGTTGAATAGAGTGTCCTTCTCCCACTTTATTTTTGTGTTTGTTTTGTAAAGATCAGTTGATTTGAAGTATTTGGCTTTATTTCTGGGTTCTCTATTCTCTTCCATCCGTCTATGTGCCTATTTTTATACAATGTGCCTATTTTGTACAATGGTGTTTTGGTGACTATGGCCTTACAGTATACAGTTTGAAGTTGGGTAATGTGATTTGTTCTTTTTGTTTAGTCTTGCTTTGGCTATGCAGACTCTTTTTTGGTTCCATATGAATTTTAGGATTGTTTTTTCTAGTTTTATGAAGAAAGATGTTGGTATTTTGATGAGAACTGCATTCAATCTGTAGATTGCTTTTAGTTGTATGGTCATTTTCACAATGTTGACTCTTCCCATCCATGAGCATGAGATGTGTTTCCATTTGTTTGTGTCATCTATGATTTCTCTCAGCAGTGTTTTGTAGTTTTCCTTATAGAGGTCTTTCCACCTACTTGGTAAGGTATATTCCTAAATATTGTATTTTTTTGCAATGATTGCAAAAGTAGTTGATTTCTTGATTTGATTCTCAGCATGGTCGCTGTTGGTATATAGCAGAGCTACTTATTTGCGTTTTGTATCGTGAAACTTTGCTGAATTCATTTACCAGTTCTAGGAGCTTTTTGGATGAGTCTTTAGGGTTTTCTAGGTATAAAATCATATCATCAGCAAATAGCGACATTTTGACTTTCTCTTTACTGATTTGGATGCCCTTTCTTTCTTTCTTTTTTGATTGCTCTTGCTAGGACTTCCAGTACAATGTTGAATAGAAGTATTAAAAGTGGGCATCCTTATCTTATTCCATTTCTCAGAGGAAATGCCTTCAACTTTTCCCCATTCAGTATAATGTTGACTGTGGGTTTGTTGTAGATGGCTTTTATTACCTTCAGGTACAATCCCTTCTATGTCAATTTTGTTGAGGGTTGTAACCATAAAGGAATGCTGGATTTTTGCAAATGCTTTTTCTGTATCTATTGAGATGAGCATGTGATTTTTGTTTTTTAATTCTGTTTATGTGATGTATCACATTTATTGACTTAGGTATGTTAAACCATCCCTGCATCCCTGATATGAAACCCACTTGATCATGGTGGATTATTTTTTTGATATGCTGTTGGATTTGGATCGTTAGTATTTTGTTGAGGATTTTAGTATCTTTGTTCATCAAGGTTATTGGTCTTTAGTTTTCTTTTTCTGTTATGTCCTTCCCTGGTTTTGATATTAGGGTGATACTGGCTTCAAAGAATGATTTAGGGAGGATTCCCTCTTTCTCTATTTTTTAGAATACTGTCAATGGGATTCATACCAATTCCTCTTTGAATGTCTGACAGAATTCAGCTGTGAATCTGTCTGGTTCTGGATTTTATTTTTTGTTGACAATTTTTTTATTACCATTTCAATTTCTCTACTGCTATTGGTCTATTCAGAGATTCTCTATCTCCCTGGTTTAATGAAGGAGGGTTGTTTATTTCCAGAAATGTATCCATCTCCTCTAGGTTTTCTAGTTTATGTGCATAAAAGTGTTCATAATTGTTGCAGGAAGTCAGGGACCCCAAACAGAGGGGCCGGCTGAAGCCATGGCAGAAGGATATAAATTGTGAAGATTTCATGGACATTTATTAGTTCCCCAAATTAATACTTTTATAATTTCTTATGCCTGTCTTTACTGCAATCTCTGAACATAAATTGTGAAGATTTCATGGATATTTATCACTTCCCCAATCAATACTCTTATAATTTCCTATGCCTGTCTTTACTTTAATCTTTTAATCCCGTCATCTTTGTAAACTGAGGATGTATGTTGCCTCAGGACCCTGTGAAGATTGTGTTATCTGTACAAATTGTTTGTAAAATGTGTGTTTGAACAATATGAAACCTGGGCATCCTAAAAGAACAGGGTAACAGCAATGTTGAGGGAACAAGGGAGATAACCATAAGGTCTGACTGCCTTAGGGGCCGGGCAGAGCAGAGTTATATTTCTCTTCTTGCAAAAGCAAATAGGAGAAATATCACTGAATTCTTTTTCTCATCAAGGAATAGCCCTGGGAAAAGAATGCATTCCCAGGGGGCGGTCTCTAAAATGGCCACTCTGGGAGTGTCCGTCTTATGCAGTTGAAGATAAGGGATGAAATACGCCCTGGTCTCCTGCAGCACCCTCAGGCTTGCTAGGATTAGGAAATTCCAGCCTGGTAAAATGCTAGTCAGACCGGCTGTCTGCTCTTGAACCCTGTTTCCTGTTAAGATGTTTATCAATGACAATGCACGCACAGTGGGACCTGAAACCTCATTAGTAATTCTAATTTCACCCTGGCCTTGTGACCTTGCTCTATCCTTCTGCCCTTGTGATCTTTTTTGCCATTTGAAGCATGTGATCTCTGTGAGCCACTCCCTATTCGCACACCCCTCACCTTTTGAAATTCCTAATAAAAACTTGCTGGTTTTGCAGCTCAGATGGGCATCACAGAACCTGCCAATAGGTGATGTCACCCTGAGAGACACAGCTGTAAAATTTCTCTCTTTTGTACTCTTTCTCTTTATTTCTCAGAGCCGCCGACACTTAGGGAAAATAGAAGAGAACATACGCTGAAATATTGGGGGCTGGTTCCCCCAATACATAGTAAGCTTGAATAATCTTTTGTGTTTCTGTGGTATCAGTTGTAATATCTCCCATTTCATTTCTAGTTGAGCTTATTTGGATACTTTTCTTGGTTAATCTCACTAATGGTCTGTCAATTTTATTTATCTGTTCAAAGAACCAGCTTTTTGTTCCATTTATCTTCTGTATTTTTTGTATGTTTCTTTGAATTTCATTTAATTCTGTTTCAATATTCATTTTTTATTTTCTTCTGCTGGGTTTGGGTTTGAATTGTTCTTGTTTCTCCAGTTCCATGAGGTGTGACCTTAGATTTTCTATTTGTGCTCTTTCAGACTTTTTGATGTAAGCATTTAATGCTATGAACTTTCCTCTTAGCACTGCTTTTGCTGTATCCTAGAGGTTTTGATAGGTTGTGTCACTATTATTGTTCAGTTCAAAGAACTTTTAAATTTTTATCTTGATTTCATTGTTGACCCAATGATCGTTAAAGAGCAGGTCATTTAATTTCTATGTTTTTGCATGATTTTTAGGGTTCCTTTTGGAGTTGATTTCCAATTTTATTCCACCGTCATCTGAGAGAGTATTTGATATAATTTTGATTTTCTTAAATTTACTGAGACTTGTTTTGTGGCATATCATGTGGTCTATCTTGGAGACTGTTTTATATGCTATGAAAATAATGTATATTCTGAAGTTGTTGGGTAGAATGTTTGGTAAACATATGTTAAGTCCATTTGTTGTAGGGTGTAGTTTAACTCCATTACTTCTTTGTTGACTTTCTGTCTTGATGACCCATCTAGTGCTGTCAGTGGAGTATTAAAGTCCCTTATTATTATTGTGTTGCCATCTATTTCATTTCTTAGCTCTAAAACAATTAGTAATTGCTTTATAAATTTGGGATCTCTAGTGTTAGGTGCATCTATATTTAGGATTTTGATATTTTACTGCTGGACTAGTCCTTTTATCGTTATATAATGTCCTTCTTTGTATTTTTTAACTGCTGTTGCTTTAAAGTTTGTTTTGTCTGATATAAGAATAGCTACTCCTGCTCACTTTTGGTGTCCGTTTGCATGGAATATCTTTTTCCACCCCTTTACCTTAAGTTTACGTGAGTCCTTATGAGTTAGATGAGTCTCCTGAAGACAGCAGAAACTTGGTTGGTGAATTCTACCTTCCATAGCTTTTAAGTAGAGCATTTAGACCATTTACATTAAATGTTAGTATTGAGATATGAGGTACTATTCTATTCACTGTGCTATTTGTTGCCTGAATATGTTGGGGTTTTTTTCATTGTGTTATTGTTATATAGGTTCTATGAGAATTATGCTTTAAGGAGGTTCTGTTTTGGTGTATTTTGAAGATTTGTTTCAAGATTTAGAGCCCTTTTAGCAGTTCTTGTAGTGCTGGCTTGGTAGTGGCAAAATCTCTCAGCATTTGTTTGTCTAGAAAACATTGTATCTTTCCTCCATTAATGAAGCTTAGTTTTGCTGCATACAAAATTATTGGCTGAAAATTGTTTAAAGAGGCTAAAAATAGGATCCCAATCCCTTTTACCTTGTAAGGTTTCTGCTGAGAAATCTGCTGTTAATCTGATAGGTTTTCCTTTAAAGGTTACCTGATGCTTTTGCTCACAGCTCTTAAGATTCTTTCTTTCATCTTGACTTTAGATAACCTGATGACTATGTGCCTAGGCAATGCCATTTTGTGATGATTTTCCCAGGTGTTCTTTGAGCTTCTTGTATTTGTACTCAGCTCAGGGAAGTTTTCCTCGATTATTCCCTCAAATAAGTTTTCCAAACTTTTAGATTTCTCTTCTTCCCGAGGAACACCAGTAATTCTTAGGTTTGGATGTTTAACATAGTCCCAGACTTCTTGAAGGCTTTGTTTTAAAATTTTTTTTTATTGTCTTTAATGGGTTAGGTTAATTTGAAAGCCTTGGCTTCGAGCTCTGAAGTTCTTTCTTCTGCTTGTTTGAATCTATTGCTGAGACTTTCTAGTGCATTTTGCATTTCTCTAGGTGTGTCCTTGACTTCCAGAAGTTGTGATTGTTTTTTATTTATGCTATCTATTTCACTGAGGAATTTTCCGCTCATATCTTGTATCATGTTTTTTATTTATTTAAGTTGGACTTCACCTTCTCTGGTGCCTACTTGATTAGCTTATTAGTTGACCTTGAATTTTTTATCTGGCAGTTCAGATTTCATCTTGGTTTGGATCCATTGTTGGAGAGCTGGTATGATCTTTTGGGGGTGTTAAAGAGCCTTGATTCCTCGTATTACCAGAATTGTTTTTCTGGTTTCTTCTCATTTGGGTAGACTACGTCAGAGGGGAGATCTGGGAATCAATGGCTGCTGCTTACATTCTTTTGTCCCATGGAATGCTCCCTTGGTGTGATTTATAACCAGATTTGGTTTGGTTTTTAATTGGCTTCCTGAGACCCAAATTATAGTGGCTGTTTTTGCTCTTCTGGGTCTAGTCACCCAGTGGAGCAACCAGGCTCCAGGCTGGTACTGGGGAGTGTTTGCAAAGAGTTCTGTGATGTGACTTATCTTCAACTCTTGCAGCTGTGGATACCAGCATGTGCTCTGGTGGAGGTAGCAGGGGAGAGCAGTGGACTCTGCAAGAGTCCTTGGTTTTGTTTTTGTTTGGAGCACTGGTTTTGTGTTTGTTGGCATCCAGCCAGGAGGTGGCACTTTCCAGACACCATCAACTGCAGTCCTATAGGAAGGATGTAAACTTACCCTAGGAAAACCTGACTAAGTATTCAGGTTTCTCAGGTGGTGGACAGGACCATAGAGCTCCCAAAGGATTATGACCTTTGTCTTTGGCTACCAGGGTGAGTAGAGAAATACCACCAGGTGGAGACAGGGATAAGCATGTCTGAGCTCAGCTTTTCCTTTTGCGGGGCTTGCTGCAGCTGCTGTGGGGGATGGTAGTGTGGTTCCCAGCCCAATGGAGTTATATTCCCAGGGGAATTATGGCTGTCTCTGTCGAGTCATAAAGGTCACCAAGGAAGTGGGGGAAGGCTGGCAGTCATAGGCCTCACCCCATTCCCATGGAGCTGGTAGTCCTAAAGGCCAGTCTCACTACCGCCGTGCCCCCTGCCGCAACAGCACCAAGTGTATTTCCAGGCAGCCAGTGACCAAGGCTTAGAACTTGCCCCAGACCATGAGCCTCCCCATTGAGAATGCAAGCAGAGTCATAGTTTTTCAGCATTTCAGGGAACCTGCAGCAGTGATCCAGTTCCTTCAAAGGGTCTGTGGATTCTCTCAGCTTTCCTGTTATGTTCCTGCAGTAGTTCTTGGAGCAAAAGTTCACAATGTGAGAATCCACATGCTGCTCTGTTCATTTGAGCAGGAGCTGCAAGCTAGTCCTGCCCCCTCTTTGCCATTCTAATCCAGGTCTGGAATTTAGATGAAGAGTCATGATTCTCTGTTTTGATGGTTTAAGTCAGGTGTATGTTCACCAAAACTAAAGCTATCTCAGTTATATAGATTAAGCAGGACCTCAGAGTAACACTCAGGTTTTTCCATCCTAAGGACCCTATGATATTTTATAGGTGAGTCACACCTTTATGATAACCATTAGAGGCCTATCAAATAAATAAAATAGATTGATAATGATATAATGATAATTTATAATGATATCATGACAATCACATCCACCTTGATTCTGGTGATTAAATTGCTCCCTTGGCCTCCTCCGCCCTAATAGTCTTTCATTTACATCAAATCTTAGAAACCACTTAAACATCAGTATCTCCCACCTTTATTCTTGGCAAAAGAGGGAAGCCAATGCAGTACTTGGTGTTTTGGTGAAAGCAGGGTCTTTTGGGCCTTCCCAGAAACCAACAGGGAGTTGTTGAGCCAGTCGTCCTGGATAATGCCACTCCAACATCCCCATCTCCACACCTTCTCAGATCCCTGTTATATCACAGCTAGGAATTTTTAACATCTTCATTTATCACAGTTCACTGCATATTTTACATTTACATTAAGATCAGGATTAAGTTAACCAAGTGAACAAATTGCTAGAACTTTTTCCAACTGCTAGTATATTAAAGACAGACTCTCTGATGAGTGACCCCACATTAATAAATTATGCTCCTCTTTCTTCCTTGGTTTAGCAAACTCGAATCCATTCACATACACATATTCCATATTCTCATGCTTCATGCAAATACAATTTAAAAACAGATAAATATTGCTATTCTGTAAGCATGCAGAATTTCCTTTGGGTTGACTTTGTAATTTCCCCCTGCTCCCCAACCTCCTCGGGCTGCTGAAATTTTACTCATGCTATAGACTTAGAGGCCAAGAAAATTGGTAGAAGTGAATGAATGGAAAATACACACAATCTTTCAAGGCAACTACCTCAGATGAGGTAGCTATAGGTAAAGCAATCAGAAAAAAGTGTTTCTGCAGGCATGTAAAGGTCAGCGGAGTTTTGGGATAGTGTGCTAGCCAAAAACTTGTAACTGGTAGAACCTAAATTATACCTGGGGATCCAGCTACAAGGATGTTTGAGAAAGGTGGGCTTTTAGCCATTCAACTTATGCCTACAATAAAACCTCTAGAAAGAGGTCTGAACATATAATGAGCTAGCCATCTGGACTGTATCTGTCAGGTTGGGTAAAGCACTGAAGTTAGTGCCTGGCACACAGCAAGTGCTCAATAAATGTCTGTACTTATTTTATTAAAAGTATCAGCTTAAGTATCACTTCCTTAGGCCATTTCTGTCCTTCTGGACTAGATTAAATTCCCTGGCTATATGCTCCCAAAACTTCTACAGTTTTGAAATTCTTACCTCACTTGTAATTACACTCTGAAACCTCTTTCTTTTATGATGAAACACAAGTTTCATGAAAGCAGGAACCAAGTGTATCTATCTTTTTAAAAATATATACCACTAGGGTATATGGCTAATAACAGGTGTACAATAAATGATAATGAATTAAAAAGTGGAATTGGTAGAGGCTCTGCCTCATTGTCTTCAGTTGTTTTCCTAATAGTATGTTATTGTGTATTAAAGGAATGAAACACAAATGCCATGTTACCTGGTTTCATTGGTATCTTATTAAACTAATGAGGTGCAGGGCTAAGAAAAGTTATTTTAAAAATATATCTAGCTTCTTTCTAGCTACTTGAACTGAAATGTCAACTTAAAATTTCTAAAATGGAGTGTTATAACTTATCTTGTATATTACATGTCAAATAGCCTACGTCTTGGTCCTCGACTATCCTAATTTCACAGAATTCTATCTAATTTGGTGTCTCTAGATGTGTATAGTGTCTTGATGACTTTATTAGATTAATAAATTCTTAGGTCAAATTTTTCATGGTTTCAATTCTACTTTTGTTCTTGCAGTTTTGTCTACATAATCAGCATTTGTTTTACATGACAGTGTGGTCAATATCGAGGAAAGCCTGAAAAGAACGACAGTTAAACTAAGAACCTGTGTTGGAATCCTGGGTCTTATAATTTACTACGGTTAAGAAAATTACCACATTTTGTCAAATCTACAACATTGCTGACAAATCACCAAGAAAGAAAAGATACATCCCAATTTCATGAAGGTTAACATGTGGATTATCTTAGATTGATGAAATACAGTACACTTAGTTCTTTGACCTTCAGCTTTTTCATCTATGTTACTTACCAGCTGCAGTCCTGCCTGCTTCACAGCTATATTCTTCCATCCCTCTTGTCCACTCTCATTCCCTGGGAATGGCTGGAATACCAAGTCTGGACCCCAGGGGACATTTTCCTGCTGGATGCACTTGCCTGCTATTCAGTTAATCTGTCTTGGATGGGCACCTAACCCAAGCTTCTTGGATCATGTTTTTCCCCAGGGATTTCTTTTTCTCTGTATTTTTAAAATATACATTTTTAAATTTTAGAATAGTTTTATGTTTTTAGAAAAGTTGTAATAATAATACAGAGAGTTCCTGTAATCCTTCACCCAATTTGCCCCATGGTTAACATCTTACATTTGTCAAAACATTAACATTGGTTAATTACTATTAACATTAACATTGTTACATTACTATTAATTGAACTCCATATTTCACCAATTGTTTTCATTAATGCCCTCTTTCTGTTCCAGGATACAATTCAAGATACCACAGTGGATTTAGCTGTTGTGTCTTTTTGGTCTCTTTTGTTGTATAATAGTTGCTTAGTTTTTGTTTTTTATGACTTTGACAGTTTTAAGGAGTACTGGTCAGGTATTTTGTAGAATGTCTCTCAATTTGGGTTTATCTGATATTTTCTCATGATTCAACTGGAGTTGTAGGTTTTTGGAAAGAAATCCACAGAGATGAGGTGCCTTTGTCATTACATAATATTAGACAGTAAATGATAGTCACATGACATCACTGGTGATGTTAAGCCTTCATCACTTGGTTAAGATAGTTTCGGCCAGCCTTTTCCACTGTAAAGTTGCTATTCTTCCTTTTCTATATTCTTTGGAAGCAAGCCACCGAGTTCTTTGGAAACTTCTAAACCAAAGCCAATTGAACAGATCCTGTCCTTATTTAATGAAGGGATCCAAGGACTATACAGGCTGTGGAAAAAGCCTGTCTGCAAGGTGGGAAAATAAACCTGCTGATGAGATATGGACAGAATTGTGATGGCATTTCCACCTCCTGAGGCTCAGAGAAGCTCCCTGTCTTATATTTCACTCTACTATTGTGCCAGAAAATTTCCCTTTTCACCTTCACCAGTCTAGGTTGAATTTCTATATGTCCAACCAAAAATAGGCTAAAATACTATATACCTCATTGGATTGCTATGAGAATTAAATAAGTAGTATGCAAAGGAGTGCCTACCACAGAAAGAGACACATAGAAGTACCAATAAATGTTGAATATTATTATTAATATTAGTTGATGCACAGTAGTATTTTGAATCCGTTATAATAAAAACATTGTGGAAATAAACTAATGGTCATAGATTTCTTAGTTATATTTGAGAATCTGAGATCACACATTAAACATACTTGTTATTGTAGCATTGGACTCAAAGAGAAGTGAAACGAGTTGTAGCTTTATCAGGATCTTGCTGCTTCTGCAAGAACTAAGCCACGTTTGTGTTAGATTCAGAGGCAAGAAAAGAGCATCCTGATATTTGAAGTACATAATTATCCACATTCTTCTTTCCTGAGGAAAGGGCCATCAGAGCTAAGTCTTTTAGTCAAGAAGCATCTTTGATTCACAAATACTGTGTGATCCTTAATGTCCCATGACTATTATCTAGAATTGTTTCAGCCTGAAAGTGCAGAGAGAGGGTAGAAATGTGCATTTATATCTTTAGTATATATCATTAATGAATCTGTTGTGACATTTATCTATAGTCATGAAATGAAAAAATAATTGGGGCATAAGTGACTTTGAACTACTACTATTTAGTTCTCCAAATTTAATTTTTTTCACAACGGGAAAATAGCTATCAAGAAGACAAACTTTTAATAGCCCTTTAATGAAACTGTCTTGGTATTTCCTTTTCCCTTAAAAAACTCATTTACAAATTGTTTCACATTTCTACCTTGGTTCTGATTTTCTAAAAGCAAATTTGGTATGAAAGAAGTGCAACAGAAAGACAGGCTAGTGTCCAAGTATCTAAAATGGTTTGCCTCTGTGCAATGGAAGGAGAATATGCTCAGTGGTCAGTGCCAATACCTGGAAGTATACCAGATGCTTGGCAGTGTAGCATAGATCTCAGTGAAGGAATTCAAAGTAAGACAAAGTAAAGGAGAAAAGAACGGACTATACAGAGGTATCCCTACACAAAATGGTGAAAGAAGTAGTGTATATTGCATGTCAGCCTACCTCCAGCATCAGCTCTCTCCATGTTTCCTTGACTCCCTGAAAGCAGATGACTTAGTGCCCACCTCATGCATTCCCCGTTTCAGACTTAAATATTCACTTCCTGTCCTATAATCCCTCAATGCATCAGCAAGCACCTATTTGAGCACTGACGAAGATAAAATACACACAAATATAAATTTGCCATTGCCCCAATCCTCCAGAAACTTGCCGTTTAGTGGGGGAGGAGAAGCAAGTATGTAGATAACTAAAACAAAAAGGCAGTGTGGTGTAGAGAGGGACAAAGAACTACAGAGATGAGAACTAGGAGAAGAAAAGAAGAATAATCTGAGGTGTAGGTTAAGATGTGGTATGTGGGAGGCTGAGACAGGAGAATTATTGGAATCCTGGAGGCAGAGGTTGCAGTGAGCTGAGATAGTGCCACTGCACTTCAGCCTGGGCAACAGAGTGAGACTCCGTTTCAGAGAAAAAAAAAAAAATATGTTTGCTGTGGTGTGACAGAGCTAAGGGAGGAGTTCCTAGAAGACAATGTACAAAGTCATGAGAAGAAGTTCAAGGAAAAGATCCTGGATTTGATAAGTTTAACGTAACTATAGAATGCAGTTTAAATGAGATGACTCATGGATTGCATTGATTTATTCCTAGAATAACAAATATTAAAGGAGGTAACAAACAAATTGCATAAGATAAGTAAAGGGAAAAAAGACAGCCAATTATTCAAATAATTCTAGCATAAGAAATAATACAAAACTATAAGGACAGCAGCATTTCCCCCATCTGTTCATGTTTTGAGGCACAATGGGAAAACCCCCACTTTTTATTATCAAATGGTTTACATAATGATCAAGTACATTAGATCAAAACAAAAAAAATGGGCTTTAATAATATGGAAAACATCCTTTTCCTGCAGAGACAGATTGGGGACTGAAAGCGTCAGTTGGCTGGGTGGCTCATTAGCTGTCTTTAATGAGTGGCACCACCTTGGAAATAACCAGGGCCCTGAAATAAAGATGAAAAGGCAACAAAGAGGGGACTCTCTGTTACCCTTAGGCAGGCAAATCAAAGCAACTGAGCCTAAAAAGAGATGGGAAAAGTTCACTTCAAAGCATTATTATTATCTTGCTCATTTCTGAATAACTGAAACCAACGGACCTCCCAACACACTTGCTGTCCTTTTTTTGTCCATGGGGAAACAGGCCAGTCTATGAGTTTACTGGTTATCCATTATTTCCATCTTGCAAACATCCCCTATTCCTTCTTTTGCTAACCAAATACTTTTTTCCCTTTTGAGAATCTTTCATCCCCAAGAGGATGCAGGTGGTTGATTGTGTGAGCCAGGACAGCCAATAAGAGTACACCTTCAAAGATTGATCTGCTCAACAGAACAAGAGACTTGATTTCTTTGTAAGGTTACAAAATTTGTCAACTGTGTAGGGCTGGCACTATGGACATAATGTGAGGGGAATGAAACCAACACAGGAAGCAATGCCGAAAGCAAGTTAGAGAAAGAGAAAATCATATTCTTCCTAATGTTGTTAAGCCCAGGACAAGCCCTGCTATTTCTAGTACTTCTGAGTTACACGGGTCAATGCATTTTCTCTGCCTAAGTTAGAATTGCATCCCTGTCACTTGTTACTTCGAGTCCTCAATGCAGTACGTTTTTGAGCTACACTTTTCCATAGGACACCAAAGAGACTTTGAAATCAAGATTTTCCCTGTTTCATGATTATGGGTAGTGTGCATGCTGTAGCATGAAGATGTTCAGAGTGCCATACCACCTTAAGAATAATTACTGAAAGAGGAAGAATGAAAGCAACCAGGATGAAAGTAAAGTTTATTTTTCACCTTCCTTCACCACTGATAGAAAGGAATGATTTGTGTTGATAGTCTAAGGAAATTCACATTTTGATCTCCCAATGAATCACCTATGGAAAATTAGAAACATGATGTTGTCATTATAAAGTGGCCCTGGTCCTGCAGATAATATTTGCAGCTTCAGTAAAAAAGTAAAAGATCAAACCTTAATTGATTACTTATTTTGGGGTGCACATGGCACTAAATTGCAAGTGGGGATGGAAGGGCGCAAATATCTTAGGAGGGAGGACATCTTGACCCAAATAGACAGATTCCACTACAGTTCTATGAAAAAATCACATGTACATTACTTAGTAGGGTTAGCAAAGTCTAACTAATTTATAATACTGGGAAAACAAAGTAGCTTTATCACAGAGTCTGAACTGAGATAATTATAAAATACATACCTAGTCTATACATTGCTTGTAGAAGATTCTCAGTAAAATCTTTCTGATAGAATAAAAATTAAACGCTATCAGTTTCAACATAACAGAAAATTTAAGCTGCGAATGCTCGTAAAGAAATTAGGTAAAAATAATGGAGAACAAAACCCGCAATCGGCTTATCAATCGGCTTACTGTTGACACGCCACGCCACTCAGAATAGTATCTAATTTTCTTGATCCCTTATCTCAGGTAAAGCTATTGACTCGGGGAAATAGGTTATGCGGAAACCATGAAAGTTTCTAGTCTGGCCGACCCTAGGTTCAACACTCTATTATTCCAGACAAGCGATGAGCTCCTGTCGCTAAATTTCAACATCCCTGTCTGTCAAATGGGAATAATAATGATTCTCTCATTGGGTGGCTGTGAGAGGTGAGTGAAACAAGACGGAAATTTGACCCAGGAAATATCTGTACCTCTTACTTTAAAGAACAGAATTAAAAAATAATAATAAATGATCAGAAATTAAGGTAGAATAGAGTGAACACTAATAGCGGGAAATAGCTAATTTGCAGGTGAGGTGGCTGAAAGGCTCCTACGCTTGAAGTGTTTGCTGGATGCACAGGAGATCTGGGATACATCCCGAACTCGGCAACAGGACCAGCTCCTTTCCTCAGGGTTACAGAACAGCCAGGTTCCAGTTCAGGTCTGGGAATCTACCCATCCAGAGTTTGCGCCCTTTTCGTTTTGCAATTTAAAACCGGGTTGGAGGGGGAAGGAGTGAAGGCAGCATGCGGAGAAAGTAAATTACAGTTCAGGTGACAGGAACAAGAAAATCTCCAAGGTCAGGGTGGGGTGTCAACGAATTATGCAAAACACTGCGGAATGAGGAGTCACAAACGCCTTGCAAAGAATTCTGAATTTTAGAAGCTCTTTGCAGAACCCCCTTCAGCCCGCTCCAAGCTGCCTTGGGTCCCTTTCTAGGCTGTCAGACTTCGCCTTCCTTTCCTCCTTGTTTTTCCCAGCAACCAAAGCATCTGAAGAACATTTTTTTCCTCCGTAAATCTGAACAAATTTCCTTGCAGCTTTCCTTGCAGAAGCTTTTTTATCGCTTTAACAAAACTTTCCTCTGCTTCTCTAGGGAGAGCCTAGTATTAGAGCTGCCCGACAGGCGGGACCCCGAAATCGGGGCAGCTCTGGCTTAGTCCAGGCTATTCGAGTGGGCGCCTGAACTGGAGGCGCCGTCTCCACCGGGATGGGGATCCTAGTGCAGGCAGACGCCTGGCAGGACTCGGCGAGCTGGGGTCCCCACCGCGGTAGCCAGAGCAGAAACCCGAACCCCAGCCAGAGGGGCCGCGCGCGGGGAGGGGTGCGCGCTAAGCCAGCGTGGCTTCCGCAGGAGCTATTTTTAGCGGTGCGTGCCTCCCCCCGCCCCCGGCGTGGTAGCCTCCGGCTCGCGGCGCCCCACGGCTCCTCTCAGTCTCCCCCGCCGCTGCCGGCTCTTGGTAGCTTCCACGCGGGCAGGTCCGGAAACTGAGCATGTCTGCAAGCGCTCAGCGGCGCCGGCAGCAGCGGGGCTAGAGCTGGGCTGCGTCAGGCTGAGCCCATTCACCTCGCGGCCACAGGAGCTCAGCGCCGGCGCCGCGCCGCCCAGCCCCGCCGAGAGGGGCGCACTCGCCGCCGCGGGGCCCGCCGCCGCTCACCGCAGCCCCCTCCTGGCGACCCGCAAGTAAGTTTGTGAGGCTGCTGGGCGTTAGGGCGAGGGCTTGGCGCCCGGGGGAGTCCAGGAGGGATAGCGAGAGGCGCGGCTGGCGCCCGGGAGAGCCGGCTGGCCTCTGCCCCCTGTGCCTGGCGCCTCTCCGAGCCACTTAGCCAATTTGAAAGCGGGTGGCCATTGGGATGCTCGAGCGGGGACGACGGGCAGAGCAGGAGGGCAGAACTAGCTCCAGCGGGGGCCCAGAGGGCGGACTTGGGAAGAAGGAAAGACCGCGCGGCGAGGGAGGAGACCGGGCGGCGAGGGAGGAGACCGGGCGGGGAGGCTGGGTTTGGGGCGCGGGAGCCCGGCCAGGGACAGCCGCAGAAGGAAAGTGGGGGTGTCGCCGGGGGATAGAGTGGGAGCAGCGTGAGAGCAGTGTTGGGGGCGCAGAGTGGAGGGCAAGCGTGTCTTGAACAGAACGGCAGGAGGATGGGTGGAAAGTGGGGCGCGTGGAAAGCGGATTTGGACGAGAGCAAAGGACGCCGGTGGAAGGGACAGTGGGCTCCGGAGGGGCGAGTGGATTCGGATAATTTGGGGAATCAGTAAAAGGCTAGGGGGCACATCATGATGGAGTCAGCCTGGAATCTGTCTCCCGCTAGAGTACCCGAGGCCACATGTTGGGAACTGGCTGGGGAAAGGATGGATGTAGAAAGTGGCCTGGAGGGCCGACTGGAAAATCGCTGAGGGATTTGGGTGAAGAGGGGGGGAGCTGTGCAGTATCGGGCGGAGGAACTGGGCTGCTGGTAGGGCCTGAAAGGTTCAGGAGAGGGTTGGAGGCTTCCCCGTGCCGCCCCTTGAATAGTGATTTAGTACTGTTATCTGAGGTTCACTTTCACCCCTGGCTCCTCCTCCGTCTACTACCCGGCTTGGACGCACCTCGGCTCGCTGTAGGCGAGCTTTAGGAGATTTAAATAGACATTAGGCAGTGGGGAAGGTAGTCGTTTACGGGGGGAGCTGCTCGGGCTTCCGTTCAGTGGTTCCCGGCACGCTCAGGGTGCAGTGTAGGGTCTGAATGTGTGTATTGCGGGGGTAGGGGGAGTGGTGTCAGTTCTAGGCCACAGGAATTCGTGGTCTGGCCCCAGAGGTGCGGTGTTTTTGGCCGGGAAGTCAGGCAGAAGTCTGCAGCGTGCAACTCGCAGCGGGGCGTGTGTGTGCGTGTGTGCGCGCGCGTGTGCATGTTTCCGGCCCGGGGTCGCGTGTGTGGCTGCAGCCTGTCTCCGTGACAAGAAGATCCAGGGATCTACGGGCGGCACGGGGAAGGGATTAAGGGGAACATACTTCCCTACGTCTTTTCTGCCTCCTTTTCCCAGGGTAGCATTCTTTGCTTATCCAATGATGCCTCTTTCTAACCTCTCCCTCTCCACTTACATCCCAAACCTGATGCGGGTCTTCTCTGATTCGGCACTCTAAGGAGGACTCAGCCGCCGGCTGCGACCACCGTGGACTCCCTCTATGGAAGGGAATCCTGGGAGTCCCGGCCGTCAGAGGGGTTCCCAAATCCAAAGGGTCCATCTCCAAGGCGTCACTCCAGGGGTCCGCGGTTCACTTTGCTGCCCCTTGCAGGTGATGCTGTGATTGTTGCCTGCGGACTGGGAAGCACGATGGCTCCAAAAGGCCAGCGGGGCCGAGAAGCAGGGACAGAGACCAGCATTTAAGGGATCTCTGGTGGGGGCCTCCCTGGAGTTCTCCACATGTAAATATAGCGAAAAAAGAAAACACTACGTTACTAGAATAAACACGTCCTAAAATTTCTGTGCAAAAACACCTTTTTGAACAGCAAAGATTTCACCCACCAAAACAAGGAAGCAAGAAGCTTCCACAGTGTGCAGGATCCGAAACAGGACCGGCCCGGCGTTGGGTGAGAGTGGGGGAGGGGTTGTCGGCTTCTCCATCCAGCTTGCCATGTTCTGTCGTCGGTTTCACATTTTCAGAGAGACTTTACCAGATGCAGGAAATGAGGATGAAGGCAACTCTGGAAGGATGCAAAGAAGGGAGAGCAAGCACTGTACCTACTGTCTGCTGTCTAAGAGGGCTGGTCTCATAACTAAAAGGTCCAGTCCCTGAGATCTTGTGTGCAACCGTCAGAAATAGTTCAGGACATCAAATTGCACAGAGAAGATTCAGATGAAGGGAAACAAGAACTCTGTGGAAAACTGTTGGGGACAGTGGCACGAGTTGTCTTGCAAGGTGATGTCTGTCCCGTGGAGGGACACAAGAGCGAGGACAGCATGGTTCTAATGGCCAGGGCATGTCTTCTTATTCCATGTGACAGTGGCTGGCTGAGTTGCTAGTACGTTTTTGAAATATACCCTTTGAAATATGTTGATTATTCTGGACATCTGTAAGGTGGGAGATTTGAATAAAAAGACTTCTGCTGTCATTATTGGCTTTTATGGCTATGATTTTTTTCAGTCATTATTATAAATCATGTGAAGGTAAAATAAATGATCATTTTAGCCATTCTGTTCTGCACAGAATGCTGTTCAAATAAAACATCATCTGATATGTTTGCCTGTATTGTTTTGTTTGGGGGTCACGGAAGAGGGAAAGTCGGCCAAATTGATTAGGGTATCATATAAAAGCAGAGATTAGGTCCGGGTAGATCTTTTGAGTGTGTGCAGGAAAAGGCTTCATTATAGAATGCTAAATTTAATGTGAGATGAGAGAATCTTTTACTCCCGATCTCCTGCATTTGAAATACAAAGGATTGTACCCTTGGGCTGGTTCCTGGTCCTTAAGTGGAAGCCTAACTGGACACTTTTTTTCTGGAGGATTGTTCCCTAAATCCTGGGAAGCTTTAGAAAATAGTCAATGGAATTTTTGTTGCCCTAAGATAAAGTCATTACAAAGAAAAAAAAAAAAGAAGAAGAAGAAGAAAGTAAAGGTGGTGAAATGGCTTGAGGAGGCAGAATGAGAAATAGAGATGTCAGTCAAAGTGGAAGAAGAGAAATCACTTTCTCTCACTTTAGGGATAGATCTTGTTGATAGGCTTAGAGCAGTGATTCTCCACTGGGGGCAGTTTTACCCCCTAGGGGATACTGACAATGTCTGGAGACATTTTTGGTTGTCACAACTTTGGGGGAGAGGTGCTGCTGGTGTCTTGTGGGCCAGGCCAGGGATGCTGTGAACATTCTACAATAAACTGGACAGCCTTCTGCAATTATCCAGCCCAAATGTCAGTAATGCTTAATTTGAGAAACTTGGCTTTCAATAAGATGTGCTTAACATTAAAAGCAACCCCTTTTAGGATACTTTCAAATATTCCTATTGGAAGTCCATCTTGAAAATCAAGAGTAGTTAATAAGAGACTTTCTTTGCAAAATGGTCCATATTCAAAAACACTTGTTTTAAGGAAATTAAAGAGGCTTCCTTTTGGCAGAACTGTTTTTCAGCCTTTAAAAAACAAACAAACAAAAAATCTTAAGACATATTGAGAATTTCTAAAAGGTGAATCATATGCATATGTGCATGTGAGCTAAGTAAACATTGTTTGATAAAACCAAATCAGAACTATTCTGCTGTACTAATTTCACTGAACTTGTTTGGTAATTGCTTTTTAAAAGCGATAATCTTAATTTTTAATTCAAATGAATTTAATTAAAATTACAACTTGTAAGTTCTTTATCAAGTGAGGGATTGAACAATCAGAGAAAAATGTTAGACAAATATTTATTTGAAACACCCCAAAATATTCCAAAATGAAATCTTAGTATTTATAGGTATCTACATAGAAAGGTAAGAATGTCGTATAATTTTCTCGTATTGTATTTAATTTCCATTTGAAATCGACAGCATGGAGCGTATTGAGAAGCATCAAGCCTTTCGATTCCGTAGCACAATACGTTGCCTAGAAAGGAGGAACAATACCTTACACTCATAAATGTAATAAGATACTGTTCTAATATCCCCTGCATGCAGGAGCTCAGAGCACTTATTAGGTAAAAGCCTTGTCATTAGCACAATGAAGCCTAGTGAAACTAAAATTTGGTCGTTGTATCTACCCCCTCTTCTGTCTCACCATTCCACCCATTTTTGTTATTGGTTTGTTTCAGAATTCATTCTGAAGGTATCATCATTAGGGTTGCTTACTTCCTTTCTTGTTCTAATAACTATTCCAATCACCCTTACCTATTACTGTCCCTCAGGGATTTGTGTCGCAGCAGACTTGATACTCCTGCTAAGACTCTGGGGCACCCAGCAACGCCACCCCCCCCCCGACCCCGCCCTTTCTCCTGTGCATACAAACACAAACAGCTCTTTTCTGCTTCTAGGTGGAATGGGGATTTGTACCTGTCTTGGAAAAAGGCAGTGGGGAGAGCCTTTGTTTTTCACAAAGGCAACCTCAGTTTCTCTGCTTCTATATTTACTGAATTGGTTTGTTCAATTGCATATTCTTGCTATTAGAGAGGCTTCCTCTTTCCCAAGGGAATAGTGAAAGACCTGAGGAAAAGATGACTTCAGTGTAAGCAACACTGGTACTGATAGAATGCACCTGTCATTGGACTACGTGAAAACCCAATAAATATGGTTTGAACCAGTGATAATCATATTTGTAAATTCAATAAGCATTTGTAAACTCAGCAGTAGCAGGTTCTGTTCTAGACACTGGGACTCTTGCACTTGCAATACCCAGATATATCTCTAAAAGTATCTGTACAAAGAAACATAAGATGGGCATTCATTTTCATTGAATTTGGAGCAATTATAGAGATATTTCCCGATTGTTGAAAAGACTTCAGAACATAATTGGTGAGATGCAGAAGGCAGAAGAAATCATTAAAGGGAAAACAGTTACATGGATTTCTGTACAGCCTAGACAAGGAAGAAATGAGAAATTTGAGGTGAAAGGGGTCAGTTCTTGTCTCCCTTTTCCTTTCCTTAGCAAATGATTATTGATTTTGTTTGACATCTGAGCAAGGAGAGGTGGTTTCCTTCCCTGCAGATACTTGTTGAATGGATGTGTGCCCTTTTGCACTTCTGATAGCCACAGTGGTAGAAGACAATGGGCTGGCTGGCACTGGTAGTTAGAGGAAGCAGAATTTCAAATCAGTTTTGTTCTAATGGTGTTTGCAGCAAAGGCTCTAACCACACACTTTCAAAGACTGAACATTCTGTGTCACTATTTTGGGGGGATTAATATAAAGACTACAGAACTGAGCATTTTTGTTATTTTGGGTACTAGGGAATACCTATGCTTTAAAGTATACTTGTTTGGAGAAACCATATTTATTTGGGGGAAAAGGAAATATTGATAAGATGGCAGCTCCATTTACCTAAAAACAAACTTGCTGCTTACTCTGGCATGTCAATTATTGTGCCAGCTGGAAGGAGGGTCATGTGAGAATTTTATCAAACACCTTATGTTGTTCTTGTTGAATTCAGGAGCAACAACAAACACACACACACACACAGAGCAAGATTTTGAAATTTATGCTGTAGCAAAGGCAAAGAGAATATCTTTTTTTAAAATTTCATTTTATCTTATAATTGTTAAAGATAAGTAATAGCAATGCAGGAAAAAGGCAACCTTGTTTGTGGAAGGTTTTACTTTTGTTTACAAATGCTTATTCATCTTAAGAAAAAAAATAGCCTGGAACATTTCCCCAGGCTTTCAGTCTTCTTTATAAATAGTGTATCTCTTCTATCTCTGGATTATTCATTATGTGATGCCGTTTGGAATCTGAATCCTGGGCTCAGATGGCTGATGTGGTTCCTTCTGATTTTGTCATTCAGAATTGTCTCTATCCTCCTAAAGAAGGTGAAAGAGACATGCTGTTTGTCATTGGGGGCACAGTAATAGGTGCAGGCTGTAGTCTGTTTTACAGAATTACATGCATGTTGCTTGACCTTGGTCTGGGACCCCACTGACCAAAACACTGAACTCAGCCTTCTGGATCATGAAGCCTGGTTTTTGCAATTTTGATTTGAACAACAGTGTTTTGACCAGGTTTGACAATCAACTGATGTGTTTGGAAAAGACTGACTGATGAGCCAGAATACTAACCACCCATTTACAAGGAAAGAGGCACAGACATTTAGGGAAGATCAAGAGCTTTGCAGTCAAATCTGGCACTCCTGCTTAGTAGTTTGTGACTTTAGATGAGCTTAACTTTATGGAACTTTTATTTCTTCATCTTTAAAATGAAGATAATTATGAAGTGATTTGCCTGAGGTCAGTAGTCACTCTGCATCATTTCAGCTTAGTTTACAGTTTTCAAAATCTCCATCCAAACCTCTTTCTCAAGAGCATGCTTATTTTCTTGGTTAAATCCATGTTTCTTCTGTTTATTTAAAAATGCTCAAGAACCGATATTTAGCTCAAGAGCTTCTCCTTTCAGCTGTTAGATTCTGTTAGAGGCAAAAAAAAAAAAAAAAAAAGGTAACTGATGGGTCTCTAATTATGTTCAATTCAGGTATTCACCTAAATTGTCAAAAAGATTAAACGCCTTTTTATTTTTTCCTAATTGGGATGAAAATAAGTAGAGCTTTAGGTAAAGATTTCTAAAACCAAACAAAACCATATGCATAATGTCTTTCAACTAGGATGTATTTTTTGATGATCAGAAAATTGAAGATTGGCCCTTGCTGATAATTCTGTTATTAAGTTTATAGATGTTTTTATACCAGTTTAGTGTTGTTGCCATTATGGTTTATTGAAGCATTTCAGATTCAATAAAAATCTGAAAACCTGTTGTATGTTGTTCATTGTAAAATAAATAATGTATGTATTCTTATTTGTAATTTATGGTGACTGATATGCATATGATCAATTGGAATAATGAAAGAGTTAAAATTGGAAACCAGAACAGATGGAAACTTTGAAAGAACATTCTCTTTAGCACCACCCAAGTTTGTATTCAAATCTCTGTTCCTCAGTTATTAGCTACAAAAAAATTGGGCAAATTACTTTCTACCTTACTACTTTTTAAGAATCATATCCACCGGATTATAGGTTATGATTCCTGTGATGATTCGGTGACATAAGCAAGTAAAGATGCTAGCATGATGTCTGGCACCCTCTTTGTCCTTGTACTCTGCTAATTCCACCACACTTCAGCTGTGCCCTTGCAAGTGATCATTTATGCTTGAATTAGTTCCAACTGTTTTACTCTCAAGAATCATAAAGCCTGATCTCAAGTTTCTTGAGGAAAAAAAAGAGAGACATGATTCATGACTGTGTAAGTGGAGCCGGGAGCTCTATGTGACTCTAAGCAGGACCTGATTCAGGGCTCACACCCATGTGACCAGTTGCACTGCAGTTTCCATTGCAATTTCTTAGCTCCTCTTCCTTAATCTTGGCTATGTCCTTGACAGGCTTACTCTTCAGGGTTCTAAGATGGCTGCCAGAAGCTTTCAGAGCTTCATGTTCCCAGGTTCAAACCTAGTGAAGAGGACAGTCTCTTCCTGTACCTTTTACAGATGAAAGAGGAAGCTGCTGTTCCTAGAAATTCCAGCAAATATCCCTGGTCAGGTCAAGAGCCCTCCACCAGTCATAGTGGCTGGAAAGGTGGAATATACTGGTTGAGGAAGTGTGTTTTCCCATAGAAAATTGAGGGATTGCTGTTTGTATGCTGATTGTATGCTAGCACAATAAGAAGCCACCACAGCATTTATGTTACTGTTTGGCCCCAAAGAAAAATGTTAGAGCCATGGTTTTATTTCATCTGGGTCATGGTTAAAGTCTAGAGGATTCTTTCTGTACCATTACTGAATATGTGTTTCCAATGATTGATCTGAATTTTCAAGATTAATGACAGCAGTGCCCATTAGCTCTCTTCCTTCAATCTACATCATTAGACTGGCTGGGTACACACTAGAATTTATGTTTTGCTACAAACAACTGTTCAAGGAACAAATTAATATATTTTCTTACATTAGATACTAGGTAGTAGAATCACTGTTTTCTGATAAAAGTCAGGAGCTGTCATCATGTAAATTGTTAATCTAACATCCCGTGATTTATTCCTTTGTTCCTGGCTTACCTTACTAACCTCTGGTCCTTCATCTACATACCAAATTACACTTTACAGGAAGGCTACTAAGATTTATGTACAAACAAGTCTTAGTATCTACAAACATGGGCAACTAAAAAAAAAATCCAGAAAGGTTAACTTGTTAAATGTATATTAAAAAAAAAAATTCTACATCATCCATTAGGGCTGTTGAATGCAGTCTCTTAAATGCAGTCATTTTCTAAGATAAAATGTGATCTTACTTTTTTAATTAACATATTAATGGACTAAGGATGCTTTCTCTCATTTATTTTTCACCCTTTGCGTAGATCACAGTGACTGGATGTCATACATCACATATTAAGCAGAAGAATGTTAACAGCCATGATAAATGGCTTTGAGTGAAAAATATTTTCTTCTGTTTTCATTCATCCAATGGTTTAGTCACATAAATAAATGTAAGTGCCTTATTTTAAAATGTCTTAAAATGGGAAAATAAAATCACATATCTTTGCATTTTTAAAGTTAGTAGCTTTCAGGCTACTATAAAATGTAGTCTGCTTGTGGTAAGTATGTCAGTGTAGCAATTGGTTTTTCCATATGTAGTTTCCAACATGGGAGGTGGGGGAGATACTTTAGCACAATGCAGTTCAAAAATTAAAAACCACAGAAATGAACCAGACTTTCATTTTCTGTTATATCTATTTAGGTTCTTAAATTCTTAAGAAGACTAAAGAAGTTGAAAGGTATTCTTTCACACGACTAAAGTATCATTGAAGTGAGATTTTTACCTCTTTGCCAGCATGTTTTTAAATTTCCAATCAGCAGTTACATTGGTGGGTGTATAACAGAGAAAGCATAAAGTCATGTGAATGTTTCAGATACAGTTTTTAATTATCTGAAATATGAAATGAACAACTAAGAAGAAAAAATTACCATTCTGGCATGGTAAAAATATTCTGTAATTTTAAGAAATACCTAGAGAGAAATCATTTTAACATAGCCTTTAAGGCATAGCTGTTGATTATATACTGTATTAAGAGTTTTGTGTTTGAGTATCATGCACACATTATGTTTGTTCCTAAATATTATGGGTAAGGTTTTCTTTGGTATTGCAGTTTTTAAATTATTTTTGCTGTCTAATGGGACTGAAAATAAAAGGTTTTTAGTAGCTTAATTAGAAACTATGCACTTTTAAAAAGTTTTCCATCAACTGCCTCTTCTGACTGAAGCACAGAGATTTGCAAAAACAGTAATAGATACATTATAGATAACTACATAGAAAAGCTCTGAACTAATCATTTAGATTACTTTGTGGAAGGGAATGGAGTAAGGCTGAAATTTCACTGGAACTTACTAATAGTAGTAAGTCCAAATAAGGTAAATCTTAAAACAAAACAGAACAAAACTCAAAGTTATGATGTTGTAACTTATCAGAGTTCCTTCACTGACTTCAATAGAAGTGTATTCTATTCAGATTAAGCAGAAAGGAATCCATTGGATGGTTATGGAGGAGTTCATGGAATTGAAGGAAATTCTGAAGAGCAGGACCTTGGACAGGATAATATCCCAGTGCTGGAATGGATCAGCTCTAGCTATTTTCCATCATTGTGTCACTGTCCTCAAGACTCAGCATTTAGAAAGGACAGAGAGAGAGAGAGAGAGACAGAGTTTGGGGGAAGAATAGGCCATTTTGACCAATAGTCCTAAAGCATAATCTATAATCTGTTACTACTGGAAGAGGGGAATAAATGATAATGTGCCTGCTGGGCAGGCACATTAGACTGATGTCCATTCAGGATGCAGAAACTTGTTTTAGTGATCATGAATTACTAGAAAGAGAAAAGGAAAACCAAAACCCTTGAGTGTATTATCTCAACAATGTCTATATGGTAAACAGAAATACTGTTTTCATTTCCTAAGGCTACATAACAAACTACCACAAACTGGGTAGCTTAAAACAACAGAAATGTATTCTCTCACAGTTCTAGAGGCTAGAAGTCTAAAGGTGTTGACACGGCCATTCGGGCTTTGGAGGCTGTATGGGGAAAATCTGCTTCATGCCTTTCTCTTAGCTTCTAGTTTTGCTGGCCGTCCCTGGCATTTGTTGGTTTATAGACTCATCACACCACCAGTCTCCATCTTCATCATCTCATGGCTTTCTCTTCTGTGTCTCTGACTCAAATTCATAGAGACAGAAAGTAGAATGGTGTTTGCAAGGGGATGGGTGATGGGGGCATAGGGAGTCAGTGTTTAATGGGTACAGAGTTTCAGTCTGAAAGGTGAAAAGACTACTGGAGATGGGTGGTGGTGATGGTTGCACAACGGTTTGAAGGTACTGGATGTCACTGAAGTGTGCACTTAAAAACGGTTCACATGGTAAATGTAATATCGTGTATTTTACCACAATTAAAAAAAATTAAACATGTAAAAAGTGAAGAAGAAGAAATTAGTGAAAATTTCTAATTCTTAAAAATCAAGTGAGGGCCAGTAGGATAGTTGAGAGTAACTGGGAGCCTCAGACACAAGGGAAATCTGTGCTCATCCATGAGTTCTTTCCCAGGGACCTTTACTTAGTACTTATCAGAAATTTTGGGGACAGAGAAGTTGACCAGAGAAAGCCCCCTTTGGTTCCACAGGTGTGCAGGTACTGAGACCCTGCCCTTAGGAACAGGCACAAAATCCCACATACCACCCCAGATTTTTCTCTCATGTGAAAAGCCTTACACAACTAGGGGAAGGGCAGAAACTATAGGGCCCACGGTTCTGCGCTTATCCAAAGCAGAGGTCTGCAAGCCATATAGAGCATAGTTTGGTGCCACATGAAGAGGGAGGGGCAGAAAAGTTGTGGAAAAGCCAGCCCAAGGCCCAGGTCCATGGGGCCTAAGACTAAGGTTGGACTCAGAGAACTCAAAAGTTTACAGCAGCTGCGTTCATAATTGCTCCAAATTGGAAATAACCCAGATGTCTGTCAGTTGAGGAATGGATAAACAAATAGTCATGGATTCCACAGAATAGAATTTTACTTGGCAATAGAAAGGAATAGAGGGAATTTTATAGACCTCACCACTGTACCGGTGATCACTGAGGATAACCACTGGGACAGGAGCCATGAAAGTTTCATGAAAACGTTCGGACAATGTAAATGTTTGGAAGTAGATTAAGACAGTTATATGCCAGGTGCGGTGGCTCACGCCTGTAATCCCAGGACTTTGGGAGGCCAAAGTGGGTGGAACACGAGTCAGGAATTTGAGACCAGCCTGGCCAAGATGGTGAAACCCCGTGTTTACTAAAAATATAAAAATTAGCCGGGTGCACTGGCGCACGCCTGTAGTCCCAGCTACATGGGAGGCTGAGAGAGGAGAATCGCTTGAACTTGGGAGGTGGAGGTTGCAGTAAGCAGAGATCGTGCCACTGCACTCTACCCTGGGTGACAGAGCAAGACTCTATCTCAAAAAAAAAAAAAAAAAAAAAAAAGACACTTATATAGAAAGCAGGAGTACTTAGAAGGGCTGATTATAAGGGGAGAATATAAGGCCAGGAATGAGGGACCATAATTTTTCAGTGAGAAAAATACCCTATATACAATCTGAATTTTTTCATTATCATACATAAAATACTACTGATTTATATGCTATATTCTATTTTTAAAACTCAAACCCATTTATCAATATATATACAACTTTCCCCCTACCCCAAACTTATGTCAAGTTAATCATAGTCTCCAAGTTTAAATGATTTTAAAATTAATCTAAAATCTTTCTAAAATAGGTGGTTTTAACCTGTAGCTCACTGACATGGATAGAATTCAGTTAATTCACAAACCTGGACAGAGAAAATGACATCTTTATTGTTACCTCTAATTGGAATTTGGCATATTCATTAATTATGGGTGTGGGTCAGAAACCACATAAGTAATTAGCAGTACCTGTCACTTTGTCACCAGTAGAAGTCACAGAGAATATATCACATTACAGCTGTTTGCAGATATTTTGAAAAACCATTTATGCTCATCACAACTTTGAAAATATGATTATTAGACCTGCTGTTAGAACTTTTTATTTCAAGTATAGTTGACTCGAACAATATGAGAGTTAATGGTGCTGACCTGCCCCACAGTTGAAAATACACATATAACATTCGACCCCTCAAAAACTTAACTACTAATAGCCTACTATTGACCAGAAGCCTTACCAATAACATGGCTATTGTGTGTGTGATATGTATTATATACTGTATTCTTAAAAGAAAGTAAACTAGAGAAAAGAAAATGCTATTAAGAAAATTATAAGGAAGATAACATATGTTTATACATTAAGTGGAAGTGAATAATCATAAAGGTCTTTATCCTTATCCTCTTCACACAGAGTAGGCTGAGAAGGAGGAGAAAGAAGAGGGACTTGTCTTGCTTTCTTGGGGTGGCAGAGATGGAAGAAAATTCACTTATAAATGGGCCCATACAGTTCAAACCTGTGTTGTCCAAGGGTCAACTGTATTAATAAAGAAACACATAGACTGTGTCAGAAATTCATTCTTTTAAAATTTGATAACTGTTTCTCATTGCATTTAGTTTCATTTGAAATCCTATGTATCTCATTTTTAGAATGTATTATAGGTTTTACAGACTCCCAGAGGGATTCGTAGATGAAGAACCTAAAATCTTTCTTTGATTCCTCCCAGTAGTAAGTTCTATTCAGTGTGAACACTGGTGTGGTCCAGAAAGCCAGAACTATTGAGGGTGTTCTGTCCACGCTTGTGCTTGATCTGCCAGATGTCAGCTATGCAATTCCATAGGAAACACTGGTTCTAGCAGGTTTCATGCCATTTGCTGAGTTAGCACGTTTCTGAGCATCTGTAGATTCTCTGTGGGCTTTCTACAGGGCTTTTCCTATGTGGAGCAACGCAGTCTTAGAATTAAGTGCCATGTACAACCCATTGTAACCTTTCCTATCAGGAGGCCTAGGCTTTAGACCATACCATATGCATGACTCTGGATCCCTGGAACCCTAGATGGAGAGAGGCAGCTCTGAATCTGTTGGGTTCAACCTCATGTGTCTGTGGATTCCAGAAGGACCGACGTCAAACTTCCAGGCCCATAGATCAGGGATATTTTTCTAAGTTTTAATGTGGTTCCCTGGCAGGCTGGGTATGACTTAAATGAACATACCATCCTTGCCTAGATCTATACTCTTATCTTTTAAACTTTATTTATTCTAAGGGCTGTCATGCCAAAGCATATCATTTGAGTGACTTAAATATCAGTGGAGGTAGTAGTCAAAGGGCCTCCCCCTGAGGAGTAGGAGAATTGCTTCCTCATGAGTCGTATTTACAATTAGATACATACCCATTTTAAAGCTAAACTTCCTAACCATTTTAATAAAGCTTATTTCTTTTTTGACTCCCTGACAGGAAGTTTTGGCTCTTTTAGGGTAAAATCTGCTTCAGTTTAACTTCTGTCATTGACCTAACTCAGGTCAGTGAAACCTCACAATTATTTAGGAATTTCCTGAAGTTACTAAAATGCTCTTACTGTGGCCTTCCTGATGTATTCAAGGAATGCTAATCATAGTGACATCTGCCAAATCAAAATATATTTACTGGGAAACAGCAGTTTTAGGTTGCATGAAACTTTTTTTTTTAACCCTTTGACCAGCCTCTTCCCAAATGCACAGAACATTTTTCTAACAAATGCTGAGGATCCAAGTATGTGCCAGGCACTCAGCCGAACATGGGATACAATAAGGGGTAAAGCAAACATGGCCCATGCTTTCATGGAGCTAATAGTATAATATTTGTGCTGGGGAGAGGATGTCAGTTAGACTACCTGGAAGGTGCTCTGAAGGCCAAGCAGAGGCGGTCAGCAGGTTGTGCTGCAGAGGAACATGACACTGAGAATGGAGGGGCTGCCTAGTTTGAAGGCCACTTGGAGCTGGCGGCAGGAGTAGAGAGGTGTTCCAGGCAGAGGAAATAGGTTGGCACATATGAGGACACCAAAGATGGTCAGAGTGTCTGGGGCAAGGTGAGTGTGGGACCAGATGGAGGTGGAGAGGTAAGCCAGTGCCAGATAATCCAGAGTCCTCTTGGTGAGGCTAAGGATTTTGGTCTTTGAAGCAGGGGGTGACATGATCAACCATCCTTTATTGGCACAGACATAATGATATCTATTTTCCAAGAGAACAGATAGTATTCAGCAAAATCAGCATGCCTAGCAACTTTTTAAAAAGTCTTCTATTTAAACATAATGGACATGATACATATACCATAATACATATACAACATTACAAATATGCCTTCACCTCTGGATAGCAAGCTTTCAGTTTCAGTGCTAGGATTAGATTACTTAGTTTCTCTGAGGTTCTGAGGGGAGGGAATTCTAAACCACTTGCCTTTGTCATTTGCCTTTGAAGAATTGTTTGTAAAGTTTCCATTATAAAAAGCTATTAACATTAACCTCAATCTTTTTTTAAAAAAAAAGGCTGTTAAAATTATTCAGCTGTTTGCTTGCTATTGCCATAGCTTACTTGTTTATTTGAACTTTATTATAAAGGGCTGGAGATACTGTTACTGTAATTGAATTGAATTGACTTGAAAAATAGTCCCTTATAGGGATGGTAATCTCTAGTACATTTAAATATATATAAAATAAGTTCTAGGGTACATGTGCACAATGTGCAGGTTTGTTACATATGTATACATGTGCCATGTTGGTGTGCTGCACCCATTAACTCGTCATTTACATTAGGTATATCTCCTAATGCTATCCCTCCCCACTGCCCCCACCCCACAACAGGCCCCGGTGTGTGATGTTCTAGAAAATTTTGAGTCCCCATTTGATTAGCAAACATGAGCCAAAGTCATACTAAACAATTGTGTACATGGCCCTCTCAGCTAATCCTCTGAATTAAAAGTCCTTGCAATCTTTAGATCATTTGAGTAAGAATGTAAAATGCAGTTTTCATTTCATGCTTATATTTTTTTAAATGAGAAAATTTTGTCTGCAGAGTAATTGGGCAGCTCTGCCTCATTTTTAGTGTTAACTACCAGTGGGGATTAATTACTTGCCAGCTCATTATATTATTCTCATGGAAACTCAGAGTTTGTTTGTGGATATTTTGGAGTATTGGACAGTAACAAGTGTCCTTCCGTTTAATGCTGCCACCCTAGGTCTGTGTGTCCCCATATGTGCAATTTCTGAAACGTTTCATGTGAAGCAAAGACAGCTTGTGCTGAAACAGCTGGCCTCCACCTGCACTTGGGAGGCTCATTATTATTCACCAGGTACTTATTATCTAGTAAGCAGAAGACGTAAGAAGTTGCATATTGATTCTGCATCGTGATGCACTTTCAAAGACCCCTTAAACAAGGATATTCAGAGGAGGTGACTAGAGCAGTTGCAGAGAATTATTTTTCTGTGTGTGTGGCATCTTTATACACGACGTCAACAAGAGCCTTAGAGTCTGACTACTATCAGAGGACCTTGTTCTCTAGCAGGTTCTGTTTTTGAGACTGTACTTCTGTGAATGTGTGTCTTTATGCATCATTCCTTTGTGGACTTCCCTCCTTCTGGGAATGTGTGTCTTTAATCTATGCAACATTCCTTTGTGGACTGCCCTCGCCCCGTAACCACCTTTTTCAGTCCTGTGGTAGATGTGGGGCTAATGTGACCTATCCAGCCAAATAACTCTCACCTCTAGTCTCAGTGAGTTGCTCAAGGATAGATTCATGGTCTAAGTTGGTAAAATGATGACCTTATTCCCTGGGATTTTGACAGAACACTAAAAACATGCTGTCTTTCTCATGGAGCTTACAAAGCTATTAGGATTCTTGCCTAGTGCAGCTGATGCCCATCATTGTTATCCAGTGGAGGAAGCCTGCCTGAAAGAGAAATTAGTCAAAACAAAACAAAAAGTAAAAAAGTACATCTAGCCCATTAATCCCACCACACCTGCAGCCAGTATGATTTCTGAATATTTCAGCTGCATTAACCCATTATTTTTCACTTCTATTTAAGCTAATTTAAGTTAGGGTTTTTTTTTTTTTTTTTCAATGAAAAGAATTAAAACATAAATGCTGCCTAAACTGTCCCTACACTGAGGTGGCAGCAGGAAGGGAGAGGTCTGAAGATATCATCTGGTATAGATGTAAAAATTTCTGTTGCCCTGAGCCAAAAAGAGTTTGTAAGTGAGACCAAAGAAGGTGGTAACTTTTCTCTCCTGTTTCCATTTTCTTTAAGTAGCACTGGATGTTTTAACAAAACCTGTTTACATTCCGAGGTTGTAGAATCCTAGTTTTTCTCATATACAGAAATGAGAGACTTTGTGTTGCTATGTACTACAGAAACAAACATAAATGAGCTGGATGAATCCTAGTTACAGCTTTGCCATTTGAAATCCATGGATACATTTATTTCTCATAAATTTGCTTTTAGCATGAGGTATTCTAAGGTCTATTGTTCAACGAATAAGATATTACAACTCCCGTAATGGTCTCTAACATGAATAACAAGATTAGAGGGACAATCAGTAAAAATAATAAAAGACAAATTATCTTGTCAATTCTCTATTTCTAGTAACTCAGCAATAAAAGCCATTTATGTTCTCATTTGGACATTAAATAGCTAGAAAATAGGAGTCAGTCATTTCGGATGCAAAATTCTGCCACAGCTTCATTCCATTTGGTATCGTAGGTATCAGTTTCTTACAGACATTTCCTTTTAACCACAGGAAAGAAAAGATACCCAATACGGTAATAAAAATGAGCATTTCAAATGTCCTGTAGACCTAAAGTAGAAAGCAGAAAAACAGAGGAACTAAAATGACATTTCTGATATAAGTTTAAAATAGAGGCTTATTTCTCATGATTTCTTTATGAAAAGACGTGTGAAACATGTATAAATTAGGATTGTTCATGGCTAAAAGGAGGTCAGGGGTATTGGAGGTATTATTAAGATTCACTTTATCTTACATTGATACTTGTCCTGTGGATAATAATTTCTGCTAAGATGGGTTATAAGATAAGCTTTTTAACTAAAAATAGAACAAGGTTACTAAGCTATAAGAAGAGATAATCTGCATATTAATTCAGTGACCAGAAAACAGTGTCATCCAAGGTGTGGTCTGAATGGTCTCCAAGTACATTATGAAACACCTTGGTTGGCTCACTTCCAATTAGAGGGAAAAGTGCAATAAACACCAATTTCCCACATGGCATCATAGAATGTACTAAGGTGTTTATTATCCCTTATGATACTGCAATAGGAAAAATAGATTTCTCCTTCCCAGGTAATTTAATGAGAAGAACATCCCATTTCAAAAAAAAAAAAATCTGTGCAAAAGAAAGTAGCATGAGCATAATGAAACTCTGTGCTGTATTTAATGAACTGATGGCTTAATAAACTATTGCCTTGGTGACAATAAAAAGTTCTGACCTTTGTATCTATAAGAAATTTTTCTAGTAAGCAAAATTAGCATTCACATTTAAATTTGGTGTTTGCTTCCAATACTTGATTTGTTATTAGTTCCTATTTCTACAAGCCTATATAGTTAACAGAGCAGAGCTCCTCTGAGCTGTTCCAGCCAGATGGAACATTTCATAGTCTCACATGGGAAGTGGCTGGAATCCAAACTTCTGTGCGATGGAGTTTCCTGTGCGTTTGGATCTGTCTGCAAGTTCTTCTACCAAAAGGAGTGAGGTATGAAGCATATCCTCTTGCCATGGACACACCCATGCAGAATGCAGAGGTTGCTGGATGGGACCTGTAGCTGCAGCCTGAAGACAGCTGGCCATGAAAACAGATGGGGTCCCTGGGCTATGAGAATTTAGTACTGGCAGGTGAAGTGTATTGGAAGGTGTGGGAGCCTCCTTAAATTTTGTGAAATTAAGAGAGAGCTGGGTTTGCAGAAGTCCAAGTGTTGACTCTGAATTCATGAACACTGCATGTGGAACATTGCCGACAGCCTGAGCATTCTGTTATTTACAGTACAGACTCTGATGCAAAGAAGGGACTGTTCCAATGCAGAATAGCATGAACCACAGAGGAGCAACATCAGGGCAACAAAAGTAGAAGGAATGTCCAAATATTTCCTATAGCCTGTCATGAATGTGGTTCTGACCAGAATTGATCGGAATTGATTTAAGAACACCTCCCTTGACAACCTAAATATGTGTGTGTATATATATATGTATGTGTGTGTGTGTATATATATATAGTGTGTATATATATGGTGTGTATATGTATATACACACCATATATATACTCTCTATATATTTATATACACATACATTATATATTAATATATACACACACATACTCTATCTATATTTAAATTTATGTATTAAATATACAAATTTATATATTTATATATTATATATATTTATATATAAATATATAGAGAGAATATGTATTTGTGTGTATATATATGTGTATATAAATATATATGTGTACATATATATAGTATATTCTTAAGATACCTGCATAATAAACTGTGAGTCATTTTCATTCTGAATTTCAGGGATTCACAACTCATTCATTCATTCGTTCTTTCATTCAGCAAGTATGTCGATTGTGCACTCTTTGCCAAACATTGGGAAAAAAGTGGTGAATAACACCAGAGAAATCCTTGTTTTCACAGACTCTGCTTTCCAGTTTATAGTGACAATCATCCAAGGGACATACCTCAAAATAATAGGAGACATCTATGACGAACTCACAGCCAGCATCATACTGAATGGGCAAAAGCTGGAAGCATTCCCCTTAAGAACTGAAATAAGACAAGGATGCCCACTCTAACCACTCCTATTCAACCTAGTACTGGAAGTCTTAGCCAAAGCAATCAGGCAAGAGGAAGAAATACAAGGCATCCAAATAGGAAAATAAGTTATCAAGCTATCTCTCTTCGCTTCTATACCTAGAAAACTCCAAAGACTCTTCCAAAATACTGCTAGAACTGATAAGCTATTTTAATAAGTTTTCAGTATACAAAATCAATGTATAAAAATCAGTAACATTTGTATACACCAATAATGTCCAGGCTAAGAGTCAAATCAAGATCACAATCCCATTTACAATAGCCACAAAGAAAGGAAATACTTAGGAACACAGCTAACCAAGGAGGTGGAAGACTTCTGCAAGGAGAATTACAAAACACTGCTGGAAGAAATCAGAGATGATACAAATAAATAGAAAAACATTCAATGCTCATGGATTGGAAGAATCAATTTCATTAAAATGGCCATACCGTCTAAAGCAATTTATAGATTCAATGCTATTCCTATCAAACCATCAATGTAATTCTTCCCAGAATTAGATCACACTACCTGATTTCAAACTATCCTACAAAGCTATAGTAACCAAAACAACACGGTACTGGTACAAAGACAGACACACTGATATGGGTTGGCTATGTCCCCACCCAAATCCCATCTTGAATTGTAGTTCTCATAATCCCCATGTGTCATGGGAGTGACCCAGTGGGAAGTAACTGAATCATCGGGGCTGTTACCCCCATGCTGTTCTCATGATAGTGAGTGAGTGAGTTCCACCAGATCTGATGGTTTTATAAGGGACTTTCCCCTTTGACTGGCACTTCTCCTTGCTACTGCCATGTGAAGAAGGACATGTTTGCTTCCCCTTCCACCATGATTGTAAGTTTCCTGAGGCCTTCCCAGCCCTGCAGAACTGGGAGTCAATTAAACCTCTTTCCTTCTTAAATTACCCAGTCTCAGGTATTTCTTCATAGCAGTGTGAGAATGGACTAATACACACATAGACGAATGGAACAGGGTAAAAATCTCAGAAATAAAGCCACACACTTAATCTGATTTTCTACAAGGTTGGTAAAAACAAGCAATAGGGAAAGGACTCCCTATTCAATAAATGGTGCAGACATAACTGGCTAGCCATATGCAGAATAATGAAACTGGACCCTTACTTTTCACCAAATACGATAATTAACTCAAGTTGGATTAAAAATTTAAATGTAAGATCTCAAGCTACAAAAATCCTAGAAGAAAACCTAGGAGATACCCTTCTTGACATTAGCTTTGGCAAAGAATGTTTTGCTAAGTCCCAAAAAGCAATTGCAACAAAACCAAAAATTGACAAGTGGGACCGAATTAAAGAGCTTCTGCATAGCCAAAGAAACTATCAATAAAGTAAACAGACAACCTATAGAATGGGAGAAAATATTCACAAACTAAGCATCCAACAAAGGTCTAATGTCCAAAGTCTATAAGGAACTTAAATCAATAGCCAAAAAACAAATAACCCCATTAAAAAATGGGCAAGGGACATTCACAGACACTTCTGAAAGGAAGACTTACAAATGGCCAACACACATATGAAAAAATACTCATCATCACTAATCAGCGTAGAAATAAATAATCAAAACCACAATAAGATACCACCCCCAACCAGTCAGAATGGCTATTATTAAAGTCAAACAAGAGACGATGCTGGTGAGGCTGCAGAGAAAAGGGAATGCTTATACATTGTTGGTGGGAATGTAAATTAGTTCAGCCATAGTGGGAAGCAGTTTGGAGATTTCTCAAATAACCTAAAACAGAGTTGCCATTTGACCCACTAATCCCATTGCTTGGTATATGGCCAAAAGAAAATAGATCATTCTACCAAAAAGACACATGCACTAGTATGTTCATTGCTGGGCTATTCACAGTAGCAAAGACATGGAATCAACCTAGGTGCCCATTAGTGGTGGATTGTATACAGAAATTATGGTACATATACATCATGGAATACTATGCAGCCATAAAAAAATGGAATTATGTCCTTTACAGCAACATGGATGGAGATGGAGGCCATAATCCTAAGTGAATGAATGTAGAAGACCAAATACTGCATGTTTTCACTTATAAATTGGAGCTAAATATTGAGAACACATGAACCTAAACCTGGAAACAGGAGACACTGTAGACTACTAGAGGGGGAAAGAGAAAGGAAGATGTGACTCAAAAAACTACCTATTGGGTATTGTGCTCACTACATGGGTGCAACACACCCATGTAGCAAACTTGCATTTGTACTCCAGTACCTAAAATAAAAGTACAACAAAAAGTCTCAGTGGAAACCATTATAAATGCAAGATTTGTATTAGCATTAAATTGCATCATTCTTGGAAGTAAATATAAACAAACAAAACAAAAAAACAAGCACATACAGCAGTCTCCCACTTAACTGTAGTTTTCCTTTTCAAGGTTTCTGTTACCAGTGGTCAATCACAGTCTGAAAATATTAAATGGAAAATTCTATACATAAATTTCATTAGTTTCAAATTGCTTGTCATTCTGAGTGGTATGCATATATTAGTCCATTTTCACACTGCTGTGAAGAAATACCAGAGACTCGGTAATTTTTGAAGAAAAGGAGGTTTAATAGACACAGTTCCACATGGCTGGGGAGGGCTCACAATCATGGCAGAAGGCAAAGGAGAAGCAAAAGCATGTTTTACTAGGTGGCAGGCAAGAGAGCATGTGCAGGGGACATGCCCTTTATAAAACCATCAGATCTTGTGAGACTTATTCACTACCATGAGAACAGCAAGGGAAAAACCCACCTCCATGATTCATTTACCCCCACCCCCCAACGGGTCCCTCCCACAACACGTGGGGATTATGGGAGCTACAATTCATGATGAGATTTGGATGGGGACACAGCCAAACCATATCAACACGTGATGAAATCTGCCATCTTGCTGTGGCCCAACTGGGGTGTGAATCATCCTTTTGTTCAGCGTATCCATGCTATAGATCCTACCCACCCATAGCCTCAGTTATCATATCTATTGTTGCAGTATTGTAGTGCTTGTATTCAAGTCATCCTTATTTTACTATTCATAATGGCCCCAAAGCACAAGAGTAGTGATGCTGGAATTTGGATATGCCAAAGAGAAGCTGGAAAGTGCTTCCTTTAAGTGAAAAGGTGAAAGTTCTCAACTTAATAAGGAAAGGGAAACTAATCACATGCTGAAGTTGCAAAAATCTGCAGTAAGACTAAATTTAGCCAAGAAATTGTGGAGAAGGAAAACAAAATTTGTGTTAGTTTTGTGGTTGCACCTCAAAACTGCAAAAGTGATAGCCAGAGTGCGTGATGAGTGACTAGTTAAGATGGAAAAAGCATTAAATTTATGGATGGAAACCATGAATAGAAAGATGTTCTGATTGATGGCAATTGGGTTTGGTACTATCCTCGGTTTCAGGTATCCATTGGTGGGTCTTGGAATGTATTCCTCTGCAGATAAAGAGGGACTACTGTACATAATAAAAGCTTTGAAGAAAACATATTCTGATAATGTGATAAAGCATGACAAGCATGAGGGTTGGTGAGCAGTAATAGAAAAGAGAAGGAACATGAAGATTGACCTGAGAGTAGACCAATATCTAGAGGATAAGAAGACAGGGAGGCACCAGGAAAGGGAACTGAGAAGGAGCAGCCTGTGAGGTAGCGAAAATCAAGTAAGTAGTTCTTAGCAAATGTTTATGTCACTGAAGAATGTTAAGCCCAGGAGTGACCTACCTGATCAAATGGATGCTTTCAGGAAGCTTCGCCCTGGTTGCCAAGGGGGCAGGACTAGAGCAGGGTAAGAGCAGAGGCAGAGAAACCATTTAATGGGCTGTTGCTGTGACGTGAGAAGTAAGGACTGCTTGGACTATGATTATAGCAGTAGATGTGGTAAAGGTAGCTGGATCTGGGATATATTTCAAAGGTAATGTGCAAAAAATGGTAGTACACAGAAGATTTACTGATGGATTCAATATTGGATGTGAGGGAAAGAGAACTGGGCGATCTACTTTAGATCAATGCTACAGAAAATATTCATCTGAAATTTTGCTATCTGGTCTGTAACAACATGAGAAGCTTGGGCCAAAATGTAAATCACATTTTTTTCCATGGCAAGATTCTTTCAAGGAAGGAAGTACATTGATTTACATTCTAGCACAGTCCCTTATCTTGTCGTAGACTGGAAGGCACTTCCAGACAGCCTCATATGCAGATCTTACATTGCAGCATTGAATTAGATGAAGTCATCAGTGAAAGCCATTATTACCAAGTGGTTTATCCAGTCCCATTCTTGAAGAATTGCTGATTTTGTCATTGTACAGGAGTGTCGTGGTTGCCAACATTACTTGGAACTGCACACAGATAAGTTATAACATACTTTGTGGAGCAATGCCTTCTTAAACTTTTGTGTCTTGGGTTATTTTGTGCTGCTATAACAGAATATCTGAGACTGGATAATTTATGAAGAACAGAAATTTATTCTCTCTCATGATTCTTGGAGGCTGGAAAGTCCAAGATCAAGGCTTCATCTGGTGAGGGCCTTTTTACTGTATCCTCACGTGGCAGAAGACAGAAGGGCAAGAGAGGGACAAACTCTTTGTCCTTACATGGCAAAAGGGCAAAAGACAGAACCCATTCCTCCAAGCCCTTTCATAGAGGCACTAATCCATTCGTGAGGTTGGAGCTTTCATGACCTAAACACTTCCCAAAACACCCTGTCTCCCAACACTTTTGTATTGGGGATAAAGCTTCCAACAAATGAATTTTGGGGGACACATTCAGACCATAGCATTATGATTTCTAGATTTTCATATGACAGTTTAATTTTTTTTTTTTTTTTTTTTTGGTAAGTAGGCAAATAGAATAAGCTGAGGAAAACATTTTTTTTTAAAAAGTCAATTACTTTGTGTTTATGAAGTAGGGTCACAGGGTATATTAGGCCAATCTTGCATTGCAATAAAGAAAGGCCAGGGACAATGGCTTAAATGTCTGTAGTCCCGTCTGTATTCCTGGCACTTTGGGAGGCCGAGGCGGGCAGATAATGAGGTCAGGAATTCAAAACCAGCTTGGCCAACATGGTGAAACCCCGTCTCTTAAAGAAACAATTAGCCGGGTGTGGTGGCATGTGCCTGTGATCCCAGCTACTTGGGAGGCTGAGGCAGGAGAATTAACGTGAACTTGGGAGGCAGAGGTTGTGGTGAGCCGAGATGCACCATTGCACTCCAACTTGGGCGACAGGGCAAGACTCTGTCTCAAAAAAAAAAAAAAAAAAAAGAAAGAAAGAAATACCTGAGACTGGGTAATTTATAACGAAGAGGTTAGCTGTCTCAGGGTTCTGCAGACTTTATAGGAAGCATGGTGCTGGCCTCTTCTCAGCTTCTGGGGAGGACTCAGGAAGCTTACAATCATGGCAGAAGATGAAGGGGGAGTAAGCACATCACATGGCAGATGCAGGAGAGAGACAGAGAGACAGAAAGAGAGAGAGAAAGGTGCCAAACACTTTTAAATAACCAAATGTCATGGGAACTCACTATCACAAAGACAACACCAAGCCATGAAGGATCTGCCTCCATGATCACCTCCCACCAGGCCCCACCTCCAGCACTGGGGATTACAATTCAACATGAGATTTGGGCAGGGACAAACAGCCAAACCATATCACAGGGTAACTCAAGCAAACCCTTACTTGTTCTTGAAAACTTAACTCATGTGCCACTTTTATGCGGCCTTTCATATCTTTTAACCATTCTACATGTTTTTCCTTTGTGTTTTCATAACAATCTGTGTATTTTACCATTATCATAGCATTATTATAAATCAAGAATAGTTGACTTACCTTTACCTGCCTCCTCCTAAACTGGAAGCAAGTAGAAGGAAGACTGTGTCTTATAACTTCAGTACCTAATAGGATGTATAGAATATTGTAGATATTTAATTAAATCCTTACAAGCTAAGTGATGTGATCTTAATTTCAAGGAACAAAAGGATAATTGTGTACACTGCTGGGCATAATGGTTAGCACTTAACTTTGGGGTAACTACCAAGGCAAAGCCTTCATTAGGCTAATGACAGTCCAAGGTAAATGATATCAGTTGCAACCTCAAATATAAGGATAAGAGGTTTTAGGATTTAAATGAGGATTACACATTGGACTTAACCATCTCTATTAAAAGAGAGCAACTGGCATGAGTGATAGTGCTTCAAAAATAAAGGACATTATAGTATATATTGTGTATATATACCTACATATACACTGTATATATGTCTATCATATATATGTGATGTATACATATTATAATGTATACATATAATAACCTCATTGTCACGTTATACAACATGTTATGCACGACTCATTATATGCATAACTCATTAGATAATGTTACCATAAGATTTGAGGTGCTGGGATCTAGTAATTTTTTTCTCTTATTTGCTTTAGTATCAGCTGGAGTTCAGAAGTGGTATTTGGCAAAACCTCTGAGAATCTAAAGAGTTGATTATAGTTTACAAGCTGACCAGTTACCATCCAGTGCATCTAGGTTTCTTAACAAATCACAATTTGTGAAGCTACGGTGTTTTCCATTCAAGAGATTTTTTGAACATCTACCATGTGAAAAAGTACCAGGTGCCATTAAAGTGCTAGGCACTGTAGGGGAATAGAAAGATGAATTACACATGAATCTTGTCCTTAGGGAAGAGTGAGATGAAATATCTGCCATTTCTTTGTTGCACATACCTCCACATACTGAAGGATAATGCAAACTGAACCTCTGTCCTGAAGAGTGAGTCATGCTTCCTTGGTGGAGATCTCAGAGCCTGGAAAGTCTTCTAACCTGACAGTGTCATGTCTGTTCTTCCCACTGATTGTTCCCAGAAGTGGCTGCTTTCTTCAATTCTTGAAATTGTTCCTGTAGGTGTACCACTCATTAGGAAAGATCCCAACTATCTCAGCACTTTTCAAAGCCAGTGTTGTTTGAAGTCTCCTGCTGGTTGTCCCAACCTGCAGTTCTTCGAGTCTCATGGGCTTATAATCAACTTGCACTGTACTCCCAGTCCCTTCTCATTTCCTTGTTTTGCCCTGAAGCAATCAATTGTTCTATCAACTTTCGCTTAGCTACAGGTGAGTTCTCCAAAGATCTCTTTCTTACCCTGTTCCTAAAAGCAGGCATAAAAAGAATTAGTGATCGCCTCAGGCTCTTTTAGGTATTGATAATGATGATGATAGTACTAATAATGATATTAGTAATATGTATTGAGGGCTAAAAATAGGTGAGTTCCCATTCTAAGTGATTGGCAGATTTTTTCTCATTTGTTCCTTGTAACTGTGGAAGGAAGATGGCATTATTATTACATTTTAAGATAAGTAACCTAGTCAAAGAGAAGTTAAGTTCTTGCCTATCACCTTCCTCATTTCTTAGCACCACCTATAAAACCAGCCCCATATTGAGTTCTGGTTTTCTCATAAGCTTCCTATGATTGACTGAACTCTAGTGATCACCTGTTTGTGTTGATGAATAGTAGTAAGGCCAGTGTACATATTAGGGACTAAATATCATCTCTGGCTGTCATGCTCTCCTTGGACAAGCAGTGAATGTTTGTATGGTTCTTGAGCTTGTATCAAAGGCTGAGGCAGGTTTAAGAGAGGAAAGATAACACTGGAACAAGAGTAGTCTCAGGTTATGACACCTGTCTTTGCCCATGCTAGTATGAGTGTTTCTAATTTTTGTCTTATAATGGTCATGTATTTATTTTGAACTGAATTGGTAACAGATGCTGTATGAATATTGCTTTTCCTTGAAAAAGTTAGTCTTCATCTCTAGGAGGAGTCCAAGCACACCCTAGAGCTGTGATGGTAACGCTACTCAACATTATCACTGCTGTTTAGAGGCACTTAGGCCTGAAACTGTATGTGTTTCATGTGCATTATTTCACTTAATCCTCATAAAAACCTCAGGAGGTTGATTCCACTGTATTATGAATACAGTAATCTGTATATAGCAATCCGTGTGGCTGATTACTCATTCCTTTATAAAATGACTTGAACCTCATGACTGGGAAGACATTAGATGAATGGACTCAGATTTTATTTTATTTTATTTTACTTTGTCTTTGATTATATAATTTTATTTTATCTTATATCAGATATATTATTTTTTCTTGGATTAGATAATTTTCCTAAGGAGGAGGATCCTACCACTTACTAAATACAGTAATGTGTCCCTTAATGACAGGGCAGCATTCTGAGAAATGCATCTTTAGTTGATTTCATTGTTATGTGAACATCATAGAGTGTGCTTACACAAACCTAGATGGTACAGCCCATTATACACCTTGGCTATATGGTATAGACTATTGTTCCTAGACTACAAATCTGTACAGTACGTTATTGTACCGAATACTGTAGGCAGTTGTAACACAATGGTAAGTATTTGTGTATCTAAATATTGCTAAACATAGAAAAGGTATAGTAAAAACACAGTATTATAATCTTATGGGACCACTGTCTTATATGCCATACATAGTTGACTAAAATGTCATCATGCCATGTATGACTGTACCTGCTGTTTGGGGGACACTATCCTAGCTGTTTCCAAATAGTTTCTTATTTCTACCAACCTTATGATTTAGGTTAAATATGGATTTAGAATGTGTTTTCAAACATGCACAACTCTTTGCCTAAGAACACCTTGGGAAAGGAGTAGGGAGAAATCTATAAGATAAAGGAAATGAACAAAAAGTGGTGAGGGGACTTAATGAATATGGAGCAAATGTTTAACATGGAGAAGAGATCTTTGCCAGCAAGCTATTGCCCTGGCAGATACATAAACTTTATCCTGTGGGAGGCAATGATCTGGCGACAAACCAAATGTAAACCTTGCAAAGGAATATTGCAATAAAATTCGGCTGGTAGTCAACAGCAATTTTTCTTATAATAAGTATGATTTGTTTCTCTGCCTTCTCTATCAGATATGCTTCTGCTTATTTATGCATAACAAGTAGGGATGGGGGAAAAATAAGTCCTTACAATAGGAATCTGTATTAGTCTGTTCTTATGCTGCTAACAAAGACATACCCAAGACTGGGTAATTTATAAAGAAAAAGAGGTTTAATGGACTCACAGATCCACATGGCTAGAGAGGCCTCACAATCATGGCAGAAGGCAAAGGATGAGCAAAGGCACATCTTACATGGAGGCAGGCAAGAGAACGTGTGCCGGGGAACTGCCCTTTATAAAACCATCAGATCTTGTGAGACTTATTCACTATCAAGATAATAGCACAGGAAAAACCCGTCCCCATGATTCAGTTACCTCCCACGACATGTGGGGATTATGGGAGCTACAGTTCAAGATGAGAATTTGTTGGGGACCCAGCCAGACCATATCAGAATCAATCATGATAATAAAGTCTCTGTCTCTATAATGCCGATGTTTTCTGCAGTATTTTATGAAAGCGAGTGGGATGGAATAGAATGCAGTGGAATAGAAAATATGCAAAGGTGGATACTCAGAGCCATAAATATTGACAGATGGAAGATGCACATAGCTGATTTGAGCTATAGTGTCAAATAATACTTTTTTATTGCAAGAAAAACTTTCTGGAGGAAAAAAAACAAAACAAATAAACAAACAAACAAACAAAAAACCACCCCAGAACAAAAGCAATTGTGTTTATTGGCAGAAGGATAAAACCTTTACTAATCTGTCCAGATTGAAACACGTTCTTTTCTTTCCCCTTCAGTGACCCTGAAAAACAAAACATGAGAAAGATGCATTTATATATATATGTGTGTGTGTGTGTGTGTCTATGTGTATTTTGTATGTATGTGTGTGTTATATGTAATAACATTGCTTATTTAATCTCACACATATACAGATATACAATGAGTTGGGATAAGCTAGACAATATTGTACGTTAACAATCAAACCCCAAATCTCAGTGTTTTAGACCACAAAAGTTCATTGCTCACTCATGTGAACTTACTTTATCACTTTGTGTTCATCGCAGATTAACTGCACCTCTCCTTTACCTCATTTCATTCTGGACTGAGGCTGACATTGTAGCCTATACCTGTAATACTACCTATCTTTTAACAGAGAGAAAGATAAGAACATGGCAGACCTCATACTAGATTTAAGAGCTTCTGCTCACATGAATCAATTCTTTCTACATGTCATTTTGTCAAAGCAACTTAATGTCAGCATGGGACAAGTATATATAATCCTCTTGTAGAAAATATTTTTGAATAGTAATGCAAGCTGCTACAGTATAGTAGCACATTAGAGTGATACACAAAACTAATACTGTATCTGTTGGAGAGAGTATTGGTGGGTGTTGAATGTGTTGTAGTTTTCAGAATGTAATTGTACCCAGGGCAACTGTTCCATCTGATACTAGGTGTGTACTTTTTTTTCCAGGTGGTTGGGGTGATGTTGATAGTAACAGAATCTTGCTTTGTGGCATTAGCCTCATTTATTCTCATATACTCTTTCTCTTTATTCTTCATATTAATGTCATTGCGACACTATTTCTATATTATAAAGTTCACTCCCAATATTTTTAAATCAACAGATACTTATTGAGGACTGACTTTGTGTCAGGCACCTTGCCGCATGCTTGACTATATGTTGATCTCATTCAGAAACACTGTTTCTTAGTGATTTAAGGCCTGAAGTAAATAGTTAATTTTAGATAAAAAACACATTGATGAAGGACTATAGTGCATGAATGAAACTACATCACAGTTTTGTGGGAAGAGACGGACACGTTGTAGAAAATTTCACAGAGTGCTTGGGACCATAGTTACAGAGAAAGATTGATGGGATTTTGTCAGAAGTCAAGGAAGAAGTGGGGTGAAAGCCTTCTAGGCAAAGAAATCAGTATAAAGAAGAGCATATAAATGTAAAGCATGTCTGAGAAATAAAACTAGTTCTTTATAGTTATGGTATAGAATTTGGGGAAAGCATAAAGATACATCTGAATAAATGCAATAAGAGAAATTGGAGATATTTGAAACAATTCATCATCTCTATCTAGAAAGGTCAATCTTCCTGAACTTCTGAGTATTCTCACTGGCACCTCTGACTGTGCAGTCTGACCTCTTCATTTTTACTCACCCTTTTCAATTGAGCAGTGTCCCAGGGTGAGTCCCATGGTTGCTTTGTATGTATTAACTTTGATTAATTTGAGTCCTGCATTTCCCATTTTCTATGACTACCTAAGATTTATACTTCAGCATCTTTATTATGGCTTATTCCATTTGGATAGAGTGACCTAGCTCCAATGAGTGGCCTAAAAGATGACCCTCCTCTAACTTTCTCATGTTGATTTCTATATTTCTGTCCAACATATACAATGTCTCCTGTTATACTAGATCCTACAGTTAACGTGTTTACAAAAATGAATTAATTCAACAAAATGAGTCATTTGCAACATGAAATGCACCGTGAATCATTGTTTTTCTGCTGTTCTACAAATATTCGACCCAAGGCATTCAATGACTCATGTGTGGCATAAGGACTGTGCTGTACAGACATTTCAGAAACAGATCGAAAGGTAACCTGCTAGGAAAACCATCATTGCTTTAGTTACTTTTTCATAAAAGTTAGTGGTATGGATATTGCACAAGAAGCTCCTGTGCATTATCTTTTTGAAGAGATTCAATTGAATTGAGGTTGAGAACACTATGTATCAATGCTTTACTTTCCACTAGGGAGAAACAATCTCTTCATACACTGCCTTCCAGGGTATATTTCTGCAGAAATTAGTTGGACAATGTTCTTCTTTTTCCCAACTCTTTTTCATTTTTATGTCTGGATTAGATGATGGATAGTTTGGGTTTAGAACTGGAATATTTCAGAGTGACTCAAACCCATATGTTTTAAAATGTGACAATTTTAGGTACAAAAATGTAAGTGATAAAACGCACGTCATATAAAAGATGCGGCTATAAACCAGCATTTTTGACTTTCAATAGTGTTTTGGGGGGCATAACTGTAAAATTGCCCCAGAATAAGAACAGTGAATGCATTACCTGGAGCCAAAGATTTGAAGAAGCAGCGCTTGTCACTGATAGGGTGTTGTTTATAAATTTTGCAGTCACTTTATATTTCAGCTATGCTTACGTACTGATTTCACTACTTAGAAAATTGAGTCATTTATTTGAGAGTTGAGGTGGCTTCCATGTTATATATGCAGAATACAACAACTATTTAAAATTCTAATAATTTGCTTTTTCTATTTTGATTGATTTCAATACTCAGTCAGTAGGAAAATAAAAAAGATGTATTTGGGCTTTGAAATTTACAGGGACTGGGAGCTCAGTCAGGTTTTGAACTTCAGGTTTAGGCCCATCTAACTTTTGTAATGCAGTTGTGTAGAAGAGCAAGGTTTGTATTGAACAAACCTGCCTCTGAATCCCTGCTGTGATGCCCTTGTTAGCAAATTTTATCCAATCAAGACACCATTGATTGTAAATAGTACCCAGACTTTAGGGATGCAAAGAATCTGATAAATATATAGTACCTGTCTGATTTTGGTAAGTTAAGTAATAACCTCTTTGAACTTTAATTTCCTTATCAGTTAAAAAGGTAAGTGAATAATGGTATTCTCCTCAGAAAGCTTTCAAGATTTATAGAGATATTCTGGGAGTTATATGACAGAATAGGTAGAAATATCGAGCCTTTTTTTTCAGGGACTCAGTAAATGCCTCAGTGATTGTAGATAGGTTGTTTATATTTCAAATAAAAACCCTTTTAGGAATGAGAAATAAAATGTAGTCTTGACCATCTTTTCCTTCTAAAAGAACATAAAAGTATCACGAGTGAGAATTAAAAGCAGATCAGATAAAAACAAAAGTCAATTTTGTTAAATTACTGATAATAGGGATAAGAAAGGAGTAACCAAAGAAAGACCTGTCTACTTATAGCAAGCTTGAAGTCACCTGGGAGTGTTGGCCTCCTAACTTTATAAAGAGTTCATGGCCATCTGCTGCTATTTTCTAGTCTATTGTCAGTTTTCTTTGTCCCAGGTTCTAGAATCATTCTTCAGTCAAAATAACTTCCTACTATATTTGAATTCAACAATTTGTTTTCCCAAAATATTCAGTTTAATAAGTTTCATAGTCAATGGTGGATCTATGCCTTAAAAAAAAATCAATAATCAGCCGAGCGCGGTGGCTCACGCCTGTAATCCCAGCACTTTGGGAGGCCGAGGCGGGTGGATCACGAGGTCAGGAGATCGAGATCATCCTGGCTAACACGGTGAAACCCCGTCTCTACTAAAAATACAAAAAGAAATTAAGCCCGGCGTGGTGGCGGGCACCTGTAGTCCCAGCTACTCGGGAGGCTGAGGCAGGGGAATGGTGTGAACCCGGGAGGCGGAGCTTGCAGTGAGCTTAGATCGCGCCAGTGCACTCCAGCCTGGGCGACAGAGCAAGATGCTGTCTCAAAAAAAAAAAAAACAAGAATCGTTTAGACATTATGACCTAGGTATAATATAATGACAGAGAAAATGTAATGGCAGTAAAATATAATGACAGAGAAAAAAAGTTATAAATTGGGTATTTGTGGGGAAGAAAGGGAAAAACAAGCATACCTGTTTGGGTTTTTTTGTTTGTTTGTTTGTTTTTTTGAGACAGAGTCTCGCTCTGTCACCCAGGCTGGAGTACAGTGGCGCCATCTCGGCTCACTGCAAGCTCCGCCTCCCAGGTTCATGCCATTCTCCTGCCTCGGCCTCCCGAGTAGCTGGGACTACAGGCGCCCGCCACCAGGCCCGGCTAATTTTTTTTGTATTTTTAGTAGAGACGGGGTTTCACCGTGTTAGCCAGGATGGTCTCAATCTCCTGACCTCGTGATCCATCCGCCTTGGCCTCCCAAAGTGCTGGGATTACAGGCGTGAGCCAGCGCACCTGGCCGCAAACCTGTTTTTTTTTTTTAAATTACAGATATGAAAACGAAAGCCCTGAATAAGTTAGCCTAATATTTCAGTTTTTCTATATAGATTGGCTGAATTTTTCTTTAACTTTTAGAAGGCATGCATTTCACATACATACAGAATCAACTTTATTGGATGCTTACTCTGCCAGGAACTTGGCAATTTTTTTTTCTTTCTTTTTTTTTTTTTTTTTTTTTTTGAGTCAGAGTCTCACTCTGTCACCCAGGCTGGAGTGCACTGGTGTGATCTAGGCTCACTGCAAGCTCCGCCTCCCAGGGTCACACCATTCTCCTGCCTCAGCCTCCCGAGTAGCCCGCCACCACGCCCGGCTAATTTTTTGTATTTTTAGTAGAGACGGGGTTTCACTGTGTTAGCCAGGATGATCTTGGTCTCCTGACCTCATGATCCACCCGCCTTGGCCTCCCAAAGTGCTGGGATTACAGGTGTGAGCTACCGAGCCCGGCCGGAACTTGGCAATTTGTATACCTTACTTCATTCAATCATTCAAGGAAACCTACTAAATAGATTAAAAACCAGGATTCAAAGTCACCGTTGGCATAGCGTTTATGGTACACATGCTCAAAACAGAAAAACCTACATAATGGAATAGTTTATATATTGGAATAAAATGTATAACAATAAACTTGTTTTAATTAAAATTTAACTAAATATTTTAAAATTGGTGTGGCTTCCTTTCCAATACCCTTCAGGTAAGTATATTTGTGTATGTGTTTCTCCTTCCAAAATTGTGATATCTACCAGTGATTTAATAAGTATCATATGTATTTCAGTAATTTTTCGCTTAAGACAAAAGACATCATTATTCACTTCTCTCTTTTTTAGCTATGCAAATTATTAACAAATTAATCTGTAAATAGTAAAAAACACTAAAATGCCTTATGTATTTCATTAAATAACATTGCCTTAGTTTTAATTACTTTCACAGGAAAATTCATTCAATCAAGTCTTTTCTGACTAGTGATTGTAATCCTGACTAAATGTGTGTTTTATATCAAATCCTCTCTAATTTAGTTTGTTACTGTACCACGTTTTAATCTGTCTCTCATCTCTAAGTGGTAACTGGACTCTATGCTAAACCAAAATCTTGACTCATCACCTCAAATTCCTAAATATTTATTTATTTTTTTAAAGGCAAACTGGATTCTTTCTTTTGCTTGAAGACATATTTTCTTGGAAAAGTGTTTTGAATTTGATCATTTCTTCTGTCTGAAGTCAAAGCTTAGAATTATATCTAATAAGTAAATTGTCAGACTAGCCAGCTATTCTCAAAAAATGTTGGACATATCATTGTGCATTTTAATTTGAAGTCAGATGAATCCACAGATTTAAAAATCTTTGAGAACCAGAAGTTCATTTTGTTTTAAAGGCTCTAAGCCAGAGCTGTCTACTAGAAATATAATGTGAGCCACATATATAATTTTAAATTTTCTAGTAGCAACATTAAAAAAGTAAAAAGAAGTAGGTGAAATTATTTGTAACAATACATTTTATCTAGCTCAACGTGTCAAAAATATTTTCTTTTCAATTTGTAAGGAATACAAAAAAGCATTACTGCAATTTAATTTAACATTTCTTAGATTAAGTCTTCAAAATGTGGTATATATTTTAAATTTACAGCATTATCTCAAATTAGCCTCTTTTTAAGGGCTCAGTAGCCACATATGGCTAGTGGTACCCTATTGGACAGCTCAGGTCTATTTGATGGAACATATATTGGCAGGTTCTACCTTTTACTCAAGGGAATTTTAGTTTCATGGTTAATTGGCGTTAATTATCAGTAGTAATCATAATGTAACTCACCATAGTTATTACTTTAGCTAATATATGGGCAGAAGTCCACATGCCTAGTTTAAATAATTCCTTATTTTTGGTTGAGAAAAAGTATAAATATTTATATCAAAATTACCTTTCTACATGACACTTAAAGTAGTATAATATTTTATAAAGAAAAGAATAAAAACTGGGTTCAGAGATTTTGTGATTTTGCTTTCCAAATTAGAAGAAATTAGGTCCAGGAAAACTATTATGTAGAGAAGAATCATATTCACTGAAATTGAAGTGTTACACTACTTTCTTTGCCCATGCACTCCATCAATGAATTGTATTTTCATCATTTGACTTTTATGTTTCATTCTTTTTTTGGTAGCCAAATTTGTGTTAACAAGTTTTCTTAATCTCCAAAATATATTTTATAAAGAGATAATAAAAAAGTTGATGTGTATTTACAGCTTAAGGTCCATCATGGGTGAAAGTACACTTTTTCAAACTTTACTTTGGAGAGTCAAATTTAGCTAATAACTGCTTTTAAGGGTTAACATTTCTAGGTAAGGCAAACACTCAAATTTAAATTAGTTTAGGAGACAGATTTAAATAATTCTTTTCATGACTTTGCTAATATCTCACTACAATAAAAATGATCTTTGATCTATTTGTATTAACTTGGGAAACATTTGATTAAAATAATATTTAATGATTTATTTAGCTGTGTGGATGGATGATAATTTTCTACATTCATTTTTAATTCCATGCATCCCCAAAATACACACCCACCCATTATCCTCTGCAGTGGCTGCTTCTCATGTTTTTTTATCTGCCACTGTTCCCTTTGATTTCTCCAGGCCCAATATCTCTTCCTAGCAGTGTTCTGTATCTAAGATTCAATTTCTGTTTTATGTATCTGCTTCATTACCATTATGTAACTATATTCCTTGGTACTTCCTTCTGTTTTGTAACATCTAACGAGGATAGAGAGCATTTTATTTGCTATTTCTAACTCAAAGCCACAGTTTTATACTAGAGAAAAAACTGAGGATTCTTTGTTCTTCTTAAATACCTCAGGAGAGGATATAAGAGACTACCCAATTGACTTAGATTTTTAGAAAGCAACATGTTTGAGTTATTTCTTATTTTTAGGTTACCCTTCTTGTGCATTTCCCTCCATTCCTTCAGAGCTCTTTTTTTTTTCATTAAAATGCAGTATGAATCTGATTATCTAGATTTTGAAGAGCCAGGGATACTATTATACACATTAGTTTAAGTTGCACTGAGATGGTTCTCCTCTGGGAACATCTAAGGAATAATTTTCCTGATGGCTGGGGCAATATTAGACATAAGTGTTCAGATTTAATCTGCACGTAAGATTCAACAATTTTGGATTCACAAAGCACTGATGTACAAATCCTTAAAGTTAATAATTTTATTTCATTCTTATATCATAATACATTGGGTTTTAAAGCTTCCGGTATCCATTATATCTTGATCTCATTAAACATACACTTAACCTGTGACTAGAAAGCAGGTAATAGGGAGGAGCCAGCTCCCTATTAAAATAGTTCAAGATATTTACCAAAAGCAAATGGAAAGCTTTGTTTACAAAAATAGCTGTTCATGATGTTCACAGCAGTTTTAATTGTAATAGCTAAAAACTAAAAAAAAAAAATCCCAAACAAGTTTTACAAATTGTGGTATATTCATAAAATGGAATACTACTTAGCAATACAGAGAAAATGGTGTACTGTTATACACAAAAACATGGATGTCTCCATGACTTTACTTTGAGTGAAAAAATAGTACATTTTGTATGATTCGATTTTTATCAATTTCTAGAACAGACATCAGAAGAGGAGTTACTTATGGGCTAAAAGGGAAAGCAAGAGAACTTTCTGGAGTAATGGAGATGTTCTATTTCTTGATTGGGATGTTGGTTACATGGTTGTGTACAACTGCTAACCCTTACCCAACTCTACACTTGGTAACTGTGCATTTTGCTCTGTGTAGATTTTATGTAGATTTTCAAAATAGATTGTAGATGTTAACAAGCTTGTGATAATAAAGGAAAATGTTAGCCAGCCAAAGGGAGAGAAATAAAAAGGATTGCCAAGATGGAGGGAGAACTAGAAGCACTTGTAGCTTCACCTTACCTAGCAGGAGAAGGGGATACCAACTCTACATAAATTTCTAAAAATAATAACAGGATTATCAACAATTGGGAAAAGAAGGAAGGAATAGCATGAATCATCAAGAAACAGCATTTTATTCAGAGTTGGTAGCCAACAAGTGACCTAAAATAAGAAAACGTTATAGGAGGTTGCTTCCTGGGAATGGTATGTGAAGGGAGGCGTGGGCATGCCTCCTTTTCAGTATAAGTTTGTCCATGGATCAAATATGTTACTGTGTATACACAGTGCTTTGATGAAAATAACATTTTAAAGATGTTATGATTTCCCCATTGTCCCCAGGATAACATTCGAAAGCTTCAATCCTTCATGGTCTGGCGTCCCCTTGCCCCTCTAGCCTTATATTTGCTAGTCCTTTTTCCTCCTCACACTCCTCATCCACCCATTGTCTTCGGGTTTCCAGAATGTGTCTTACTCTGTTTCATCCTGGGCTTTTTCCTATAATGTTTTCTCAGGTTCAAACACTTAACTCTTCGGTTCCCATACTCACTGGCCTAAGGGATTTTTTTGTCCTTTTTTTTTTGTTGTTCTGTTTTAATCTGTGTGTATCTACCTCCAGAATGAAAGCATCCTAAGGGCAGGAACCCTATGTGGATCTTTTGGAAGGTTGCATCCAAACCAGCTATAACAGGTACCTAGGGCTGTAGTTGGTTCCCAGTCATATATTTAAAATGAGTACATAGTTTGACATTTTAAAATAGTAGCATGACTTTAAGAAGCAATGTAAGTGTCGAATTCTAAATCTTTCCCTGTTTGTAGACAGATCTCAAGATGTTAGGTCAATGGCTACAAAATCTTGGAGTGATATTTCTGAGGATACAGTAAAAGCAGTGATTATCATATGTCCATTTTCTGAAAATAAATGAGGACCACTTATATTAATCAATGATTTTCAGAGAAATGAAACCAAAAGGACACACACACACACACAAAAATGGAACCAAAAGGACACACACACACACAAACACACACACACATACACACACACAGAAATTTATTAAAAGAGAGATTGGCTCAGATGATTATGGAGACTGAGAAGTTTCACAATCTGTTGTCTGCAAGCTGGGGGCCCAGGAAAGCCAGTGGTATAGTTTCAATCAAGGACAGAGGGCCTGAGGACCATGGGGCTGATGGTGTTAAGTCCTGGTCTGAGTTTAAAGGCCTGAGAACTAAAGGCACTAATGTCCCAGGTTGTCAGAATTTCCATCTCAAGGAGACAGCAAATTTGCCCTTCCTCCACCTTTTTGTTTATGTAGGCCCTCAGTGATTGGAGGGTGACTGCGCACATTGGTGAAGTGGTGAAGTGATCTTCTTTACTCAATCTGCCGATTCAAATGTTAATCTTTTCCAGAAACGCCCACACAGACACATCTAGAAATAATGTTTTGCCAGCTATCTGGGCATTCTTTAGCCTGGTCAAATTGACACATAAAATTAAACATCACACCTCTTTAGGTTAATATCCCAATACTGACCTGGTCAGACCTAGGAGAAGGGCCCAAGAATTCCTTGCCTTCCCTGTGTATTAGCTGGTTCCTCGCTATTAATGGCTTTCTAGTTAGATCAAAATCCAAAGAAAGAAACTGCAGGTGAATATCTAAACATCAGGAAGCTTTTACATGATCGCCTATTGATTAATGCTTAAAAGCTACTTATTTAAAAATGCTAGAATGCATTAGAACATTCTCTCTTGCATAAACTACTGTGTAGTACTAGAGATCTACACAAAATAAAATTAAAAATCAGCTAAATGTGTACATTTACATAGGAAAATATTCAATATTTACTTGCTTTTTATCCTTATATTTTATAAATTGTTGGCAAAGCAGACATAAATAGTTCTCAGCTTGACACAATATGTGACTTAATTTGTAGTACTCAATGAAAAGCTCTGGTACTACTGGAGGATTTATAAGTTAAATTTTAATTTTTTTTTTGTTTTTTTTTGAGACAGGGTCTTGCTCTGTCATACAGGCTGGGCTGCAGTGGCACAATCATGGCTCACTGCAGCCTGGCACTCCTGTGTTCAAGAGATCCTCCTGCGTCAGCCTGACAAGTAGCTAGGAACAAGGTGTGTACCATTATGCCCAGCTAATTACATTTTTTATTTTTGGTAGAGATGAGCTCTCACTATGTTGCCTAAGCTGGCCTCAAACTCTGGGGCTCACGTGATCCTCCTGCTTCAGCCTCCCATAGTATTGAGATTACAGGTGTGAGCACTGCTCCCAGCTAAATTCTTATATTGAGCAAAACATCTTCAGAAAAATAAAATCAATTCTGTACTAATCATAGCAAAATTATCTTTCATAACCTTACATACACATCTTAAATAATTATATATGTTTGTGTGTATCTATCATATATACGACATTTACATAGACGATAAATTAGCAGGAACCCACTCCAGGATACGTGAGCTATTTATAGCCATTTTAGTGGACCTATTATCAGTCACTTTGGTTAGCTTTCATATGAGTATTTGAAACTATATATGGATCTCTATTAATATAAAAATTAGTTATTGAAGACTTTTCTGCCTGAGAAAAATGAACAAAATGAATATTTCAATCTTAGAGCAGTAAATTATTTTTTCCTTTGAGAGATAAAATTTGTTTTCACATGTGGTAAAATTTTCTAATATTTTATTAAATATAAAATTTTAGTCATCTTTGGACAAACCAATAGCTTTGCTGCTTTAAATCTAAATTTTAAAATAAAAATATATATACACATATATAAATATATAAAGGTATATGTATATACACATATATATATTTGTCCACATATTTATTGAGCTTGAGGGTTTGTAATTTTACAAATGTTTAAGAAAATGTACCATTACTCTGTCCCTTTCTTCCCACCTCTCTATTCTTATTCCTTAGGGAAACCATGTTCAACATTTTTAGCTGCTTTTTCTTCCGGTTTACCTCTGTGATTCTGAATATCTTCATTTTTTATGTTTTTGTTTTGCATATTGTCTTCTGATTTCCTACTGTGGAAAATGGGAATGATTTTAAATATATATTTTCCTATATTTTTCAGTTAGTCATAAATTTTCAGTTAAATCAATATTAGTACTCATATTATGGCTATAAAAATGTTATATTTTATTATATGATTACATTTCTTTAACAATATTTTGTTTTTCCTGGAGTTAATAATTGGTACAGTTCCTGTGACCTTTTTTTTTTTTTTGTGAACTCTTTCCTAAGCTCTCTATCAGAAATATAAACAACTTCTCAATAACTTTGTTAAAATCAGGTATTCTGTCATGGCTTTGGTTTTAGTTTTGCTTTCCTGGAGACATTCCTCAGACAGTTGTTTCCTGGTTGTCTGCCCTCCTGTTCCAATCTGGGGTGGCTGCTCTGTAATTCTGCTGCGCCACTGTCATGCACCATTTCCCTTCACTGTCATCCTGACAATTCTCTTTGCTTTTCTCCTGTCTTGGATTTTCTCCCCTTGGGGTTTCATGTCTTCCTTTTTCTTAGTTTTCTTCCTAATTTTAGTCAGGCATATCCTCTTATAACTTCTAGAGAAGGCTTCCATAATTGAGAGTATACATTTGTGAGATATCACATGGTCTGAAAATGCCTTTATTCTAATCTCACATTTGATTGATAGTATAATAGGTACAGGAATATAGGTTAGAAATAAGTTCCTCCTAAATTTTGAAAGCATTTCTTCATTTTCTTCTAGCACTCAATTATTGAGAGGTGTGATGCTATTCTGCTACCTAACATTTTGTTGTTGGTCTGCTTTTTACAATTGCTTTATTTTCTTTGATTGAAGCTTTTAGGGATTTCTGTTTGTCCTCAGTGTTCCAAAATTTTACATTTTTGTGCCTCAGGTTGGATCATTTTTTTATCCATTGTGTAAAATACTTAGTGAATCCTTTCTATCTTGGTGATTCATGTACTTCAGTTCTAGTGTATTTTCTGGAATATTGTCTGATGAATACCTTGGTTTTCTGTTTGACATTTCTGGAGCTCCTACAATATGTGTATTGGACCATCTTGATCAGTCTTCTAATTTTCTTATTATTTATCTCTAATTTTTATCTTTTTCTCATTATTTTTCTACTTTGTGAGTGTGATTTCTTCAGCTTTATTTTCTAATTCCTTTATGGGATGAGTTATTTCTGCTCTTCTTTTAAATTTCAACGATAATTTTTTAATAGTATCCTGTTCTTGTTTCATGTTTGCATGTCTTCTTATATCGGTTATAGTGTTCTAAAGTTTTCCTCTGTTCTTGCATTGTTCCTTTTTTTGGTTTCTTTTGTCTCTGTCTGAATTGTCCATTCATATTTGCAAATCAAGGATTTAAAAGCTAATTAGATAACTGGTATTTATGTGTAGAACTTGTTGAGTGGTAAGCATTACTATTTTATCACTTGTTCACTTTATTTGGTATATTTAGTTTATATACTAAACTATCATTAATTCTAGGTATTTTTGTCCTGTGTGTGTTAATTTACTCAGAAAGGAATATTCTGAACTCGTTCCTACTAGACTATTGGTTTAACTTTTTAGAAGACCCAGCTGCTATTGTCTTACTGGGTGGAGGAGGTGTAGTCATCTGGTTGCTTAGGGTAGGGATTGGATCTAAGAGCCTATATGCTTTTTAGATGTTTAACCAACCATTTTTCTCAGCCCTACCTATACCACTGCCTTCAAAAATACAAATATGTGCCCTATTCCTGCACCCTTTTCTGATTTCTGTCAAGTGAATTTGCTTGTTAATTGGCTATTTCTCTTCCCTACCCATTCTTAGCATTGAACTTTCAGCTTCATCTGCTCTGCTAAGTTAGTTGTTTTTTATCTTTTCACTTTCCGGCATTTATAATTTGCACCCTGTCTCTCCCTCCCTGCCTCTTCTCTCTGTTATTGTTTCCCTTCTTATTCTCATTGTTCTTTTGGGCCTCTGACTTTTATATCCTCATCTTCACCTACACCCCCACCCCCCTGCCCACAGACCTTTTTTTCACTTGTGTGTGTAGTTATAGGAGGGAGCAGAGGCTAACTTGTTTGACTGGGAGTCTTAACGATTTTAAGAGATTTTAAAGATTGAATTTTATATGATTTCAGTGAAATAAACTAAAGCGATTTGAATTAAATATGTCTTGAACATACACCTCCTGCTCTACCCTCTTTTGCTTCTTGTGCAGTAGTTAACAATCATAGTACCAAATTCTACCCTGAGTACATTAAGATAAACAGCCAAGTTCAATCTCAAGTCAGCCCAAGGCCAGCTTCAGTTTCAATGGGGGATCATTTGTAGTCAAAAATAGAGAGCAGTCTTAGAAGAGTGTCCTCAGGGTATGGTGGCTGGCTTCCGCCAGAGTGAGCAAGACGGGAAAACGAGGCAGAAGCCACAGTGTCATCTGTGCCCTGGCCTCAGATGTCACATTTCTTCATTAATTCAGCATACTATTAATTACAGAGATAGGCTAGTCAATTCACTGTGGAAGAGGTGGTACAGGGATATGAATACTCAGAGGCAAAAATCACCGAGGGCCATATTGGAAGTTAGCTACCACACTGGATGTTTACTCAGGCTCCCTCACTTATTAAGTTACTCTCAGATCCAAGCTTGAATGACTCAGGTTGTTGCACCTATATGAATTAAGTCTTATGGTGTTACTTGTGAAGAATGAAAATAACAAATGTCAGTTTTTTGAAAGCCATTTATAAAGCTTAAATTAAAACCCCAACTTGTGTAATTTGTTGTATATTATTAATACAGTCATCAGCTAACTAAGACCCTATAAATTGGCCCAACATAAAATTATCCTTCAAGATGCTAATAAAGGGTATCCACATTGTGTATGTGTCCAGTGTTTCATCTGGGTAGGCCAGGAATCAGATGACACCCAAATAGGGACTTCTGTTTGGAAGGGCTAATGTTTTGAACCACATAGTATGTATTTTGGAAGGACTTTCTTATTAAGAAAAGTGATTATTAGAAACGTGATTATAAGGAGCATCAGAGATCACTTACCAATGTGAAATTTTAGGAGGATAGAGAGCATCTTTATTTTTTTCTCCAGTAGTCATTTCTTATTTTTTTTTAATCCTAATACTCTAAGTAGTCACAATGATATGTGAATCATTGCATGATGAGACAATACCGGCTTCTCTTTTTTTGAGAAATAATTTCTATTATCATGACTGCTTTTGAGGTTGGTGAAGATTTAATATTGCCTTACATCATGCCATTGAAACTACACATTCAACTTTGGGATTTTAAAAATTCTCTAAATATGGACTTTTAGGGGGTAAGGGAGTGAGAGAGTTGTAATTTCCATTTTAAGTCCACTAGAAACCAATATAATTAGGGTACAGCATATTCTGTCCTGTAGTAGATTTTAGAAACATGCAAATGAAGCACACTGTTTTCCATGGTTGTTTGATTTTCATTTGGGTGTTTTGAATTTAATGAGATTTTCCTGATTTAGTGACCAGTAAGCTGACACCATGTTTTACTGTGGAAGGATATTTTTTTTCTTTTAATAAGCACAGCAATTCATTGCATGATACACCATTGCTGTTTTGTGATGAGGAAGAACCTACCAATCCAATGTACGTTTATTCTCCTTTTGCTAGGACAAAATGAATTTGTCCAGCCATATCATAGCCTAGAGATATATTATTTCTGTGGCAGGAATCCATTGCCAAAAATAAAAAAAAAATTATGGAACTAAAACAGTTCATGTAGGTAGGAAGTGTAAGACTCACTGCCATATGCTGTTCTCATCCTATCACACTCAACATTGAATTAGTTGAAATTTTAACATGTACCTTCATTTCTCTGTAGCAGAAACTTTCTGAAAACTGAAGAGGAGATCAATCATACCATTATTGTTACTGGAAATTAAAGAAGAATGTTTTTCTCATCTTTTTAATTGGAGAATCAAAAGAAGTGTATTGAATCCTGGACTATGTTTCCACGGAACTAGTTTTAATAGGTTTCATGTAAGAAAAACAATTCTGTCATCATACACATTCAGAGAATTGTGAATCTGTAAACAAAGTTAAACAGACTTCCTTACTGCAGGTCACCAGAGAGCACATACGCAGCCTGCATGCCCAAAAGGGAGCTTTTATATTAATCCAAGATTGCAGGGACCCTTTTTTCCTCTAGGAGTATGTTATGATGTTAGTGTCTATGGAATAAAATCTGGGAAACACCTTTGTAGGTAATTTTCACTCATTGCAAACCGAAGTTCACTTTGGTTCTTGATATTCTTGATCAAGAATTGATCTCTAACAGGTGCTTATTATGGGCCACCATACCATTTTCACCAGTACTTCTCTAATTCTATGGAGAAGGCAATATTTGATATGTTAATTAGTGATGAAGCTGACTATAATATGCTTGAGTCTAAAATTAGGCATAATTACTTCTATATATAAGACACTGAGCACAGTTTGCCTAAGCTGAAGTTAAATGTGTTGAGAATTTGAATTCCCTTTTATAGGCTATTTACCTCAGTAACATTTAAAATATTTATGGAATGAATCATCCAGATTTACTCTATGCTAGGCAGAGCTTTAGGAACATGAACTTATAAATGATGTTGAGATTGTGGTTTAAACAGGCTCAGTAAACTAGTCCAGGGTCCCATGGCTGGTAACGTAGTGAAGCAGGTACTCAAACCCAGTTCATTCTGACTTCACACAGCTCCTAACTACCTCTGGCATATATAGGCATAGATAGAATGCAATTAATAATAATTGTTTAGCCTTATCAGAGAACAAGTATCCTAATTTAAGTAAAAATAATGGGATTTTATCTGCATTTTAAAAATGATGATGTATATTAGAGCATAACGGTATAGACACTCAGAATTTTATCTCCGTGATGACATTGGCTTTAACAGTAGTGCTTAGTGAGTAAGTATCCCCGAATAATTAGATGAAGATAATATAAAAGGTGTATTTCTAAGCAAACTGTTTTAAGCATGTGGAAGTATATTTTATCAGAGGTTTAGTTTTTTTTTTGTAAACTTGTCGAGTGGGCGTTTATTTGAGAGGCATTGTAGTAGAAAGGGTCCTAGGCTTTTTAAGTTTCCATTTCTCCACTTACTAGATATCCTATTATTAGTATATTTTGCTCAAGTTTTTTGTTTGTTTGTTTGTTTTTGTTTTACCTCTTTGGAGCCTGAATTTCCTTCAATTTAAAATGGTAAGGTAGTATGTATTTCAAAGGATTGTTGTAAATATTAAATGAAATAACTTATATAAAACACATAGGACAAGGCACAAAGCTATCACATTTTTCTTCCCGTTTTCTCTATTTCAGTAATATTTAAAATTTTTATTTGTCATTGAAATTAACTCATTTAATATATATGTTAAATCCCAAGATAAAATATCCTAGACCTTCTACAACCAGATGTTATCCTCCTAACAAACTAATTTGTAGTTGAACATCTGTTTAAAGCCTGGCTAAAAATTGCCTTAAAAATCCTTCTTTTCTGATACTAAGACAATGTTTTTACTCATTTAATATTTCAGAAATGTTCAGAAAAGCGGTTATTCATTCACTAGTGGGACTTGCAATCAGTGGCACCTTAGAATGGAAGAAATATAGCAGAAACATACTGGGTGATGCAGCAAAGAAATGTGTTGAAATCTATTACATATGAATTGTTATTTTCTCCATTTCGTAGAAAGGAAACTGAAGTTCCAAACACCTGTGTAGCAGTGGGTAGAGAAAAGACTCGGATTCCACTTTTCAGAGAAGATCATCTCTACTTACACTTAACACAAGTCCTTAATTCCACAGGAGTAAATCCGGATGAGCCAAATTGGAAACAAGAGGCATGTGGAGTAGATCAGAAAACACTTTTTTCACGTGTGTGTATTATTTTTAAACTTCGACATGAACTAAAGAATAATCATGAAATGTATTTCTTCAAAAGCCTTTAAAAACAGATAATCTATAGGTTAGACCATTTAGAGAGGTAATTCGTCTGGGATAATTTGTGTAACTTTCTAACAGTTTTTGTCAAATAAAAAACTGTAGTAAGTCGACAGTGCATTCATGATGTGCATTCACTGATGTGGCTCAACATTGGTAACAGTATGTAGAGAAGAATCTGACAATTTCAGAAATATAGGCACACATATCAGATGATTATATCAATGCAAACCTGTTGCTTTGGTTATATGAGGGTACACTTCAAAAATACACAACTCAAAGCTTTTTTCTTTTTCTCTGTCAAAATAGACAAACCCAGGTTAATAAAAATAGCCAGGGAGTTCAGTCTCCCAGGAAGAGCAGTCTGAAGAATGATGACATACATTGTGCCTTGAAGGCTACAATCAATCTTTATTGAAAAGAATCTACACTGAGGACAGGCAGGGCTTTTTGGACATTCCTACCTCATTACATTTTGCATTTATCTGCCATCTTCTTACCTCTGTTGGTCATTGAGGGTTATAACCATTTACTTAGAGTGATTTTTTCTTTTTACAAATGAAGATAAATGAGCCTACAATATTAAATCACATCCTTGTTTCCTCATTTTATTTCGGTCCCTGTAAAGATTAAATGTTGAACTTTTTTCTTTAAAACTTAAGTAAAACATTGGGCTAGGAAAGGTTAGTGGCTTAATGTATTTGTTTTTCTCTCTTTTTTTCTATCTATCTATCTATCTATCTATCATCTATCTATCTATCTATCTATCTATCTATCTATCTATCTATCTATCTATCTATCTATTGCTCGAAAGAGAGAGGGAGAGAGAGATGTAATTTTTTGTGCAAGTAGAAATTCTAAGTTTAAGGTCTGATTTTATTTATTTATTTACTTATTTATTTAATTTATTTATTTAGGGACAGAGTTTTGCTCCTGTTGCCCTGGCTGGAGTGCAGTGACGCAATCTCGGCTCACTGAAACCCTCGCCTCCCGGGTTCAAGTGATTCTCCTGCCTCAGCCTCCTGAGTAGCTGGGATTACAGGCATGTGTCACCATGCCCAGCTAATTTTGAATTTTAAGAGCAATAGTTTGCAGACTGGGAGCCTCAAAACTGAAAAATGGCATCAAGCCTCAATTCTACAGCAGTTACAGCACAGTTGACAGGGAATAAAAGAGGAAGTGTGTTCACCTTTGTCGTGATTGGCTGTCATGTTTTCTTTTTTAAGGCAAATAGAGCTATTTAAGCTGATTTGTCTATAGCTGATTGATTTAATTTCACTGAATCATGCTGTGAGGGGCAAAAACATAACGCTTGCATTTTTATGTTTAGGGTTAGGATTTCCAGGAAATTGGGATGACCTAAATTTTGCTTAAGTGTCTATGGGTGGTTGACCATGAGGTATCCAAACAGTAGCCCCCATTTTCATTTATTTATTTTTAGCAATAGGAATACAGGAAACTATACCAAATTTAGGCAACTATTTACTAAAGGAAAACCAAAAAAGGGTATGAGCCCATTACTTTGTTCAGTAAGGTCTGGTTTTAAATATCGATCTTATTAATGCTTTTTGCATAAAGTGTAACCTTAATGTGTATTTTTCCTTGCTTCATCTCCGAGGTGACTTTCTAGTTAGGACACCATTGGATCAAGGTGCTCAAAAACAGGGGGGCCCCTCTCCCATTACACAGCACAGTGCTTCTGGGTATGTCCTGTTTCTGGCAGCTTGAGGATCTGACTGACATAGCAGGATGCTTCAGAATATCTTTTTGTAGGAAAACTCTCTCTCATTCTCTCTCTACTTCATCTGTTCTAACTAAATTCCAAAAAAAAAAAACAAAAAGGAGTGGGAGAGTTTGTATTGTTCTTCTGAAAATAAAAACTTAGAAAATAGCTTTTTTTGGTATTCAGCCACAATAATGTGCATTAATATTCCAATCTTCCTTCTGCTCATGAAAAAGGACACAGAGGAAAGACTAACAAAGAAAATAAACCTGTAAAGAATAGTATTGAATGTGAGAAGATAAAATTAATATATTCCTAATGACCATGACAGGAAATAATGATAGCATTAAACTGTAGTGTCTTTTCCATAAGTTTTAGATATACTGGGCATATGTGATGCTTATTATACACGTAGGCATCTCAAGCAGAATTTAACCTTGAGAATAATTGTTAACAAAATTGATTATTAAAAAAAATCAATGGCTTTGTTATTTGAGTGTAAACACGTACACAAAAATGAAGAGCCAAAAGTTAGTGGTTACGATTTCTCTCTTGTTCCCTGCCCTAGAACTGAGTTGTTAAAATCCAAAACAATATGCTTTTTAAAAGCTATGTTGTATAGTATTTATTGCAGCTATCATTTGCTTCAACTTTAACCTAAAGGCAAAGTCATGGTAATCTCTTCCTTGCTCAGAAATCTTTGGCATCTCCTCAGAGCCTCGAGGAAAATGAATTTTTTTGTATGGTATTCAAGGCTTCACAAAGATCTCCCTTGCTAGCCTCTTCCCCACTCCTTCCACCCTGCTTCCTATGTTCACAAAGTTCTCTGCCTTGCCTCAAATGTTATAGATTTCAGTCTTCTTTGAAATACCCTCTTAACACTTCTCTGCTTAGCAAATTCCTATTATTCTCAAGGGTCAGCTCAAATTTACCCTTTAGTGAGGAGGGCATCTTGCATTCTTCTTTCTTCTGACTTCTGGCCAAATTACTTTCTTCCTCCCTTGCATTCCCTGGCTCCTTTGTTCATATCACAAGTTTGGCTTAGATTACACAATTATTATAAGATACTTGCTTTTCTGCTAGTTTCTTAGTCTTTTGGAGTGCAGATACAGTGTTATTTATCTTTTAATCATTAGAGCCCAGTATGGTAAAGGAGAGAAATAAATGAATTGAATCATAGGTCTATCTCCAGATGTTAAAAGTCATTGTAATAAATGAGGGAGAAAATATCCAAAATGTTTTTCTTCTCCTTTATCTGAGTCTATCAATCTTATTGCTTAAGTGGATGGACTATTTGAATAGTTGATATTTCTAATTAGCTTGTGTATTCCAAAGGTAATTTACGTTGCTCCTGTGTTTTACCATTAATCCCAAACTGTGGACATCATAAAGATGCCTTACAAAATTAATTTAATAACTAGCTAAATATAGCATACCATTTTCTTCAAACTGATTGCTTCATGGGTTCTTATTTCCATGAGATCTTCTAGCAGAAGTAATTTCGGGTTGGTGTCTATCTGAAAGCCTTCTGTCTAGCAGATAGCATTGAAGTGGAGCTTTCCTTAAAGAGGACAGAAAAGCAGACTGTCTTCCCTCTTTGCCGCAGAGCCAGAAGGACAGGGTGAAAAGTGTCTTTCCTTTGACTAAAGAGAATCACATTCCACTAAAGGCAGCCCATTTCAGACTGATTATTGGCCAACTTTATATCCAGAAGGAAAGCAATTTAACAGAAAAGGAGTAGTCTTTCAGAGAATTAAATTTTTTGTCTAGATTTGGACTGAAGAAACAAGGCATATTGAGGTAGAGCAATTAAAGCTCTTTTGGTCTAGAAGAGAAAATCAAACTCTAAGGGAATTTTAAAAGCCCTTTTTGTTGTGAAATATGACAGTTTGCAGAAGCCTGTTCTTCTTCCACTTACCCTTTCAATGAGGAAACTTATCTTCCTGACAAAAATTGCATTAAGAAGCAGCTGCAGCCGTTTTCCCGTAGGCAGCATTCTGAGGGAATATTTGAGAGAATAACTCCCCAAAGATAAATGGGTTCCTCAGTAGCCTTGGGCAGGAGGAATAAAGGCGATTCTTTATTTTTCATACTGTGGGCACTTCTGTGAATTTGCTGGTTAGCCCAAGCTAAAAGTCAACACAACTTTTTGATTAGGAATAGTTGCAGGTCAGCAGTACTTTTTGTTTTGAAGTTTTGCAGCACAGTCCTGTGGGTGGTTATGGTTCTTTTCTCTGTTTCCAAGTTTGCAGAAGTTTGAGAGGTGACCTTTTGTGGACTGGAGGAGGCTGAGAAACTGAGTGAAGTGCACACTGTATACCCCTTTGCCGAGAAATTGTCTCTCAGGCTGCAGACCTTAGAGCAGTGGTAACTATGATTGACATGTAATGATGCATTCAAAGCACACATCACATAGCAAGACCAAATCTTCATTCTGAAGTCGTATCTAAGTGCTAAGTCCTCATTCTGAAGTTCTGAATGAAGTTTAGCCCCTCATTCTGAAGTGCCAACATTCATCTTCACAATGATCTGTGACTCTCCTCACCTTCTGTTGCTTTCTTCCCCCATTGTCCCTACAGATCTTTCCTTCACTGGGTTACATCCACTCCTGCGTCAGGATCTCCTTGTCGTAGACTTAGGTTTCTCCAAGTATTTGTCCCCTTTACCTCTGGTTAGCCCACAGTGACAAGGCAGCAAAACTCATTTTTATAAGGGGTGGAGGGGGAATCGTTGTGATAACTTACCCTTTAACATTTGTCTCATAGGCTCATAATTCCATTACTTTGCCTGTAATAGTGGTAAGTAAATATGCCCTTCTGTTTAGGTTTTAGGGCAAAGTAGTATTTTAGCAGTTAAGAATTTACTGAGCATATTCCTCTTCACAAATAATTTATTGGTGATTAAGTATAAAATTACCCTGTGTTTTTAATTCTTATTTTCTCCCATCTCTTTTCTCTTCTCTTTTTCTCTCATTCTTCTTTTTTTGGGGGGGGCGGGGACAGAGTCTTGCTCTGTTGCCCAGGCTGGAGTGCAGTGACACAATCTCGGCTCACTGCAGTCTCTGCCTCCTGGGTTCAAGTGATTCTTGTGCCTCAGCCTCCCGAGTTCCTGGGATTACAGGCATGTACCACCATGCCTAGCTAATTTTTGTATTTTTTGTTGAGACATGGTTTTGCCATGTTGGCCAGACTGGTCTCAAACTCCTGGCCTCAAGTGATCCACCTGCCTCGGCCTCCCAAAGTGCTGGGATTACAGGCATGAGCCACCACGCCTAGCCTCTTTCTCTCTCATTCTTGGTAGCAGTTATTACCTATACCTTTTTGAATGCTGAAAGTATTGATTAATGCTCGTAAGACTTAGTAACACAAATCTGTAGTACTTCATGTAACAAGAGCAAATGTTTTTCAAATCTATTATAGGAACCATTTTATCTCTACAAATAAGAAGTTAAAAAATAGTTTTTAGGTAATATGAAAAGTAATTTGAAATCACAATTTAACAAAACAGGGCCTTGTGAAAAATTTTGTTTGTTGATAGGACAACTGATGTTAAATAAATTTTTCCACATTAAATGTTTTCAGTTGACTATGTTTCAAAGAAAAAATGTAATGGATTTTATAGTATATAGTATAGATTTTATACTACAACTAATGAAATGGAACCTTTATGGTGAGGAGGGTCCTTGGACAGTGGACGTGTGACTGGTAGTAACATGTGGTCCAAAGTGCAGCAGGGACAGATAGGAGACAGAAGTCAGAGGTTGATGTTGAGGTAGGGGTGGTGGTGGTAGTGGTAGTGGTGGAGGAGGACACAGATGGGCCAAACAGCCCTACATTTGACACCAGTTTCTGAATGGTGTTAAGACTATTTAGTAAAGATGTTGAGTGAGCAGTGAGAAGTAAGAGCGAGGAGCGAGAAGAAAATTAGAGTGTAGCCCCTCCTTCGCATTCAAGCTTCCCCACCAACTAAAGGCACAGCCTCCAGATTCTACCCCAAAGTGCATTCTGACTGATGTTATAAATTGCTTTTGCTTCCCTTCATAAGGCGGTATTTTCTAGAATGATAATTAATGATAGAGTTGTAAAACAATCTTAAACAATTAATTGGGAACTATCAAATAAGTATCTGTGATGTTTGATGTTGGAAAAACATGATATGAACCTTTTGCTGAGGAGGCCCTAGTTTACTAGTTGAAAGATAAATTTGTCATGACATCTCTTAATACAACTTTATATATCTTCATTACTCAATTAAATAAAAACTCAGCAATAACAAAACTTTATTATATGAGAAAATAAGAAAATAGTATATGATGCAGAGGAAAAAACTAAAGGCTGATAACCAATATGCCTGAATTTTAGCTCTGCCATCTCCATCCCCAACAAGAGGGGCATTGCTTTTGTTTTGCGTATTGAGTTTCAATATAACACTTTAGTTGAAAAGAAGGTTCTTCAGCAAAATACTTGCAAACAGAATCCAGCAGCACATCAAAAAGTTAATCCAGTGTGATCAAGTTGGCTTCGTCCCTGGGATGCAAGGTTGGTTCAACATACACAAATTAATAAATGTGATTCATCACATAAATCGAACTAAAAACAAAAACCACATGATTATCTCAATACATGCAAAAAGGCTTTCGATAAAATTCAACACCCCTTCATGTTAAATACTCCCAGTAAGCTGGGTATTGAGGGAACATACTTCAAAACAACAAGAGCCATCTATATCAAGCCCACAGCCAACATTATACTGAATAGGCAAAAACTGGTAATATTTTCCTTGAAAATCAGCACAAGACAACTGCCACTTCTATCCAACACAGTATTGGAAGTCCTAACCAAAACAATCAGGCAGGAGAAAGAAATAAAGGGCATCCAAATAGGAAGAGAGGAAGTGAACTATCTCTGTTTGCAGACGACATGATTCTATATCTAGAAAACCTTATCAACTCATCCTAAAAGCTCTTCCAGCTGATAAACAACTTCAGCAAAGTTGCGGAGTACAAAATCAATGTAAAAAAATTACTAGCATTCCTTACACCAGCAACAGCCAAACTGAGAGCGAAAGATAGAAAGGCAATCCCATTCACAGTTGCCACAAAAAGAATAAAATACCTAGGAATACAGCTAACCAGAGAGGTGAAAGATCTCTACAAGGAGAATTACAAAACACTCCTCAAAGAAATCAGAGAAGACACAAACAAATGGAAAAACACTCTATGCACATGGACAGGAAGAATCAGTATCATTAAAATGGCTATACTGCCCAAAGCAATTTATAGATTCAGTGCTATTCCTATCAGACTACCAATGACATTCTTCAGAGAACTAGAAAAAAAAAGACTATTTTAAAATTTATATGGAACCAAAAAAGAGCCTCAATAGCCAAGGCAATCCTAAGCAAAAGAACAAAGCTGGAGGCATCTTTACCAGACTTCAGACTATACTACAAGGCTACAGTAATGAAAACAGCGTGGTAGTGGTACAAAAATTGGCACATACCAGTGGAACAGAGTAGAGAGCCCAGAAAGAAGTCTGCACATCTACGACCACTTGATCTTTAACAAAACTGATGAAAACAAGCAATGGCAAAAAGACTTCCTATTCAATAAATGGTGCTGGGATAACTGGCTAGGCATATGCAGAAGATTCTTTACACCATATACAAAAGTCAATTCAAGTTGGATTAAAGACTTAAATATAAAACCCAAAACCCTGGAAGACAAACTAGGCAATACCTCGTGCACATAGGAGCAAGCAAAGATTTCATGACAAAGACAACAAAAGCAATTGCAACAAAAGCAAAAATTGACAAGTGGGATTTAATTAAACTTAAGAGCTTCTGCACAGCAAAAGAAATGATCAACAGAGTAAACAACAACCTGCAGAATGGGAGAGAATATTTGCAAACTATGCATCTGACAAAGTTCTAATACCCAGCATTTATAAGGAACTTAAATAAATTTACAAGATAAAAACAAAAACCCCATTAAAAAGTGCGCAAAGGACATGAACAGATACTTCTCCAAAGAAGACATACATGTGGCCAACAAGCATATGAAAAAAAGCCCAATATCACTGACCATTAGAGAAATGCAAATCAAAACCACAATGAGATACCATCTCATGCCAGTCAGAGTGGCTATTACTAAAAAGTAAAAAAATAATAGATGCTGGCGAGGTTGTGGAGAAAAGGGAACACTTATACACTGTTGGTGGTAGTGTAAATTCGTTCAACCATTGTGGAAAGCAATATGGTGATTTCTCAAGGAGCTAAAAGCAGAACTACCATTCAACCCAGCAATCCCATTACTGGGTATATACCCAGAGGAATATAAATCATTTTACCATAAAGATGCATGCACGTAAATGTTCATTGCAGCAGTGTTCACAATGGCAAAGACATGGAATCAACCTAACTGTCCATCAATGACAGATTGGATAAAGAAAATGTGTTACATAGACACCATGGAATACTATGCAGTCATAAAAAATAGTGAGATCATGTCTTCTGTGGCTACATGGATGGAGATGGAGGCTGTTATCCTTACCAAATTAACACAGGAACAGAAAACCCAATACTGCATGTTCTCACTTAAAAGTGGGAGCTAAATGATAAAACTTATGAACACAAAGAAGGAAACAACAGACCCTGGGGTCTACTTGAGGGAGGAGGTTGGGAGGAGGAGGAAGAGCAGAAAAGATAGCTATTGGGTACTGGGTTTAATACATGGGTGATGAAATAATCTGTACAACAACCCCCCCTACACGTGTTTACCTATGTAATAAACCTTCACATGTACCCCAAACCTAAAATATTTTTTTTAAAGGAAAGGAGGTTCTATACAAAAAAAGAAAAAAAAAAACTTTAGAACTCTCTGGCAATACATGTTATGCATCCTGTGTTAGTCCTTGGGTACCGTGAAATTTCCTTCTTTTTTTTTTAGAGCACCTAGTGCCCTCCATCGTCATCAACCACCCACTGCTGCGGATGCTGAGCCCCCATCTGTTGAGTGCTTACCCTGTGCCAGAAACTCTGTATTGCCTGTGCATTTTCTCACTGATCACTTAGACTAGGCTTGGGCAAACTTTTTTCTGCAAAGGGTCAGGTAATAAATATTTTAGGCTTTTGGAACCATAAGGTCTCTGTCACAATTACTCATCTCTGCTGAGGAGGGGAAAATGGTTCCATAAGACAATGTGTATTGTGTTGAAATAAAATTCACACACTACACGGTAAAGGAATTAGAACTAGAATCCTGGTCGTTCAACTTGAAATTTTACAATCTTTTCATAATTCCTGCTAATAGTGTGACCTCCTAAACTGTAAAGGAAATTTTGTAGGTTAAAAAAAAGATGTATTTATCTTCTGTAAGTGGATAGCAGGACCTTTAGGAAAAGAATAAAAGTAATAGAAGACCAAAGAGGAAGAGACTCTTGGGAAGAATTTTTTATTTCACAGAAATCTTTCTCCCCCAATAGAACAATGAATTGCTTGTCCTAATATTGTTTCCTTACCTCTTAACATATTGCCATATAACATATTCTGCTAACAGTATAAAGACTTGGCTGTCTTTACTTTGCTATTATTCTTTCTGAATCTACAAAATTTTTCTTTAAAAATAATCTGCATGTGTTCTCCTTCATTTATTTCCACACTTTTCCTTCGGAAGACTTGCTAGTCATTGGAGAAAATATGGTGTAATGGTTAAGGGCCCAAGAGCGCAAATGAGATTTCCTAGTTTTTTTATCCCCAACTCTATTAATCTTTATCAAATAACTTCTCTGTGCCTAGATTTCTCAACTGTAGAGTGTGTATAATAATAGCATCTATGACCTAGGGTTGCTGTGAAGGTTATGATTACTGCATGAGAACACACATTGTGTACATGCTGGTTACTCTCCAGCTTGCTCAGTACATGTGATTCTTTACCACTCTTGTTTTTAGTACAAGTCAGTCCTTGAGTCACCCTGAAATTTGCCAGTCACATTTATTTACTTGATTTATATTTTTCACTCAGATCTGAATGCTTTAGGAATATACCCATAAAGAGAAAAACTTAAAATATATTTTACATTTACATTTTTATGCAAATATGCATAGATTATTTTGATTTTAATTGCTCTTTATTAAAAGAAGAGTGCCTTTTAAAAATTAAGTTTACTATAAGGTAAAATCCTCATTCAAGGTGAAAGCATTTGTATTTGAGGATCTGAAGAAGAATACATTTAGGTGATGTTATCTAAGTGCAATGTATTTTTGTTACTTGTAAAAGAACAGTAAATAACAGACATATGTATAGTCATTAGTTATCATGATTGTGATTGATCTTTTACCCTAGATACCAAGTATATAAAGTCAGTTGCTTTGCTGTCTTTGGAATTATAATAGGTTTGGGTGAATGTTCTGTGATTGCTGATAATTATCGTATTGGTGGGAATGTACCATCTTTGACCACATCGTCTGTCAAAATTTCAGTATGTCTACCAGTCTCCCTTCACCTCTCACTCGTCCAAGAAGCATTCCCAAGGTAAAGCAGTCTTATTAAAATGGAAGGATGTCCCTAGTGTGTTGCGTAGAAAACAACAACCATGATGAGTGCAGGGATACTCTGGTTAGGTAAATTTTCTCGTGTTTACATGGATCTTAAATGTTAACCTTGCCTGCAGCATAATTCCAATAAGACAAGAAAAAGGTAAGTAAACTATATTGAAAAAAGTGACTCTTGTTTTCCAAGCTAAATTCTGCCTCTGGCAAGACAAGTCAATTATTTTTCTAGTCAATGAAGATAGAAAAAGAATAAAGTAACCAGTTGATTTCTGCTTCTGATTAGAAAATTTTGTTTTAATCTCAGCCAGAGATGTTTCAGCTTTGCCGCAGGGCAATTTTAAATACAGTTGTCAAGGGAGGACTTCTTGAGAAAATGACACTAGAACAAATTCTTGAAGGGAGAGAGCCATGTGAATATAGGGCAAAGAGCATTCCAGGCAGAGGGACCAGCCAGTGCAAGGACCATGAGGTGGGAACATGCCTGGAACATTTGAGGAACACGAAGGAGGCCAGTTTGATTGGTGCACAGTGAGCAGAGGAAAGCAATAGGGAATGGAGTCAGAGAGGTAGTAGGGAAGGGTAGAGGGACATCATGAGAGCTTTCTAGGACTTTGTAGGAAATGGTGCCTTTTTATTAATTTCTCTGTTTAGAACTTTGTATTTAGAAAATAGTGCATTTTTATAAAGGAAATTACTTTTATAATTAATACTTCCTTTATGAGAGAAATCATTACATTATTTTAATTTTTAGGAAAATTCACAAATACATATATAATCATTTTAATTTCCCATCTCTGATGAAAATTTTTGCCTATAATTTCAGTAATAAAGTATCCTTTGTAAAAATTGTTTTCTATATTTGACCATCATACCATTTTTTAATATGCTATATTCAGTTTGAATGCCGAACCTCCAATGGTTAGCTCATTGTTTTCTATATTTTTATTTGACAGAAAGTAGTTCAAAAGCAAATGAACTACTTTGTGGAGATTAAAAATATAGTGAGCAATTTTATGTCCTTTCAAAAAGCATAGTTTGAACCAAGAAAAAGTTACTTTTTGTTCCTGCTCTTTGATTTCATTTTAATTTTAAAACTAATTTCATGCTTTTAAATGTTAAATTACTATAAGGGTTTTCAACTTTCTGTCCTTAATTCTAGCATTATCTATTATCTACCATGCTAATTTCCTTTCTGATTAATTGGGAGTACGACAGACACCAGCACAAAAATAGCAGAGGTCAAAATACTTAACAAATGAGATACTGATACAATGCATAATTCATGAAATATATTCACTCCTGTTTTTGATCTTCCTCAATTGTAATGCGTCTTGCTAAATGCAGCTCACCACATTGTTTTAAATGTTGCTGAAATTTTCAGATTCCTAATGTTTTTATACTTGTGAAAAAAAATCTCTTTTGGTCTGTTTTGTCATTGGCTTTCTTTATAAAAGTTTCTTCTTAAAGGAATACTCATTTGGCTTTGTACTTCAAAGTTCTCTAATATTTGGTTACTCATGCCAGAGGAATTGTGAGTACCAGCTCATAATTCAAGTTAATCTATCGATAAGCAAAGTATAAATTTACTTCACCATATAATGTACCAGCATTCTATTGTTTTGTGTTTTCAAAGAAAAGAACATAATTTATTGTTGTCCTTGCATTAGTCATCAGGACTATTGCAGCTGCAAGTAGCAGAAATCCAATTCAAATTATTGTATTTTAAAAAGGATGAGGGGAAACTAAAGGATGTGGGTTTGATTCCAACCCAGTGGCTTTAGGTATTCAAATGATATCACTAGGATGCTGACTGTCTGTGCATTTCTCTCACTTCACTAACTCCTGAGTTTAGCATCATTTTCAGGCACCACATGGCAGCAAATTGGCCCCTGTCAGTCTCAGGCTTATGCGGCTCATAGCTAACAATCCAGTGTTTATTATTTGGCCACAAGGGCTATATTTGGCCATTCTTAGCCATGAGAACACCCCTGGATAAGTCTTTGTCCAGAAGAATGGGAAACTGATATGGATTAAGTGCTCAACTGAGATAGGAAAGGTGAAATGGCAGGAACAGAGAATGGGAGACTTTAAAACCAGAGATGCAAGATGAACAGCAGCAATACCAAATTCCAGTGTGGGTTAGTTTCATTTGTTTCACAATAAAGGGAAAGATTATGATGACATTTTTATCATTTGTTTGTTTTTATCCCTGTCCAGTAAAATCCTCTTTTAGATTTTAAAATATCCTACATTAAAAGTTAAAAATAAATTTAATAAGCAAAGGCGGTCCTGCTGTATTCTGGGAAGTGTCTGTAAGGCTACCGTGCTGGAAGCTGGTTGTTTGGGGTATGTGAAACTTCAATGTCAGTCTGCCTGCTTTCTGAGATTCAGATATTGAGATGGTGACAATTTTGTTTCAGAGCAAAGAATAAAGAATAAAAGGCAAGAAAGTAATAAGAAAAAAGAAAACCCTTGAGCAGGAATAGTAACATAACAAGATCACCACCATCCTTTCAGACCAACACATTTAATGAGTCTCAGAGATACATCAAGAGCATATTTCTTATTCCAGAGTCAATAGTTAGCAACTGAAATAACCTAGTGGCATTAATGCTCCTGCAGGGCCATTTCCCTTTTTCATTTCTGCTGTCAGAATTTTCGACCTCATCATCCCTAGCCTGGATTACCACTTTGGCCCTCTGCTTATCACACCTGCTTTGAGGGGGTCAGGAGCTCAACTTGGGGTCAGGCTCACCATCATTTTTTTCTGAGTTGGAGTCTCTGTTGCCCAGGCTGGAGTGCAGTGGTGCGATCTCTGCTCACCGCATCCTCTGCCTCCTGGGTTCAAGCGATTGTCCTGCCTCAGCCTCCCGAGTAGCTGGGATTATAAGTGTGTACCACCACGCCTGGCTAAGTTTTGTATTTTTAGTAAAGACGGGGTTTCACCATGTTAGCCAGGCTGATCTTAAACTCCTGACCTCAGGTGATCCGCCCACCTCGCCCTCCCAAAGTGCTGAGATTACAGTCATGAGCCACTGTGCCTGGCCACACCATTTTGAAATACAAGGTTAATCATGCTGCTCATCTGTGTAATACTCATTGACACTTTTTTTTTTTTTTTGAGACGGAGTCTGTCTCTGTCGCCCGGGCTGGAGTGCAGTGGTGTGATCTCAGCTCACTGCAAGCTCCGCTTCCCGGGTTCACGCCATTCTCCTGCCTCAGCCTCCCGAGTAGCTGGGACTACAGACGCCCTCCACCACGCCTGGCTAATTTTTTGTATTTTTAGTAAAGACGGGGTTTCACCGTGTTAGCCCGGATGGTCTCGATCTCCTGACCTAGTGATCCGCCTGCCTCGGCCTCCCAAAGTGCTGGGATCACAGGCGTGAGCCACCGCGCCCAGCCATCAGTGACACTTTCTTAACTACAGATGCACGTTTTGGAGCACAGGACCTTTTATGATACATGCCTAGGCTCTGGCGAGTGGGAACAGCAGTCACATGACAGTCTCACATCCCCCTACCTATGAGCAGGTTGCATAGGTGTCAGTGAGCGGGTTGCATGGGTGTGAGTGTGTATCCAGTGTACTTTTCTGGGTCTTAGTTTCATCACCTATAATGGGGAATCAAAATAGTGTCTGCCTTGTAGACTTGTGTTGTGAGAACTCAATTCAAAAAAAAAAAAAGTGACATATTCACCACAGCATTTGGCAAATACTAAACTTTAAATGAATGTTGGCTATTCTCTGACCCCTCTCTGTCTGTAGCCCTATCCATGGACACTCTCCCAAATTTGTCCTATGATTTAGCCACAGCAACCTTCTGAGTTCCTCATTTGCCACTCTGTTTCACACTTCTTAGCCTTCATTCATACTGCCCCTTCTATTTCTTCCACTAGACTGAACAGTATAAAGTTAGTAATTCTCTCTTCCGTGCTTTTATATACTTAACACAATGCCAGGCACTTTGCTGAAGACTGTAACAAATACTGCTGGATGAGGACAACTATTTCTTTCTCAAAATTGAATTGACTTCTTTGTGTACTTGCCTTAGTTCAGCTTCATGGTGGGGTAGTGCAGAAGCCTCATTGAAGGAAACTATTTTGCCCTAGTGTCAGGGATATTCTGCAACACTGCAGAATGGGTTTTGTGGGCTAAGTGTAGTGATTTTACTGACAGCCTTTTAAAATTTTCTATGCTGTCCCAGAGACTTCATGAAAAAAAAGTTGTATGATCGGCCTGTTTCAAATAAAGCTAACATTAGATCATTTAAAAAAGAAATCATGTTTATTTCTAGGGTTATTAGAGAAAATATAAAAATTGTCTTGAAATTGTAGAAGCTTCTCTGGAGCTGTTTTGGGGAGTTTTGGATGGGGTTTATTACTGCTGGATGTTAAGAACTTCTTCTAGATTATGACTTGTCTTCTTAAGACTCCACCTTCCCTGTGCCGGAGAAAACAAACATGACCCCTGCAAGTGCAGGTCACTAATATTGAGGGTATTGGGCTCTGCCATCAAAGTGTGAAGAACTACTGGCCCTTTCATTTTCATCAGCATTGAACCATTCAACCAGGGTGATTTGTCCGCAGTAAAATACATTAGAAGCATTTCTCCTACTCAAATGTGTAGTTGTTAATTGGCAACTTCTTCTGAGAACTCAAAAATATTCATTCTTCCCTGATTTCCATAGCCAGTCTTGATAAAAGTGACCCCCCAAAAATGGTAGTTAAAAGGAGAAAAGTATGAAGTGCTAAGAGAAATAAAGTTTTATTATAAATATCTTTCATATTAGAATTACTTTATTTGCAATTGCAGTGATTTATTTTTGGTGAGTTGCCCAGAATTGCTTCAATACAGTAAATGACTGTCTTGTTCAAGACATGCTTCTTACTTGTTTGTGTATGAACACAAAACTATTTGCCCTACTTTATAAATATTTAGGTTCATTTTATCATTAGTCCCCAAGTAAACAAACATCTCATCCAGTGACAAAAAAGCAATGTATTCTAATTGTCTAATATAACAAAACATTTTTAAATTAACTTTATGCAAATTTGATAGGATATTTTTCATTAGTTGATTAAAATGAAATGTTTGAAAAGTTGCTTCAAATATTTTTCACAATTAAAATTATTGTTGCCATAGATTAATTTGTCATTGAAACACTTACAAAAATACAAGTTAATTTCTTTGCAAACTCATTGCAATTGCACTTAGAGATGTCTTAGAAATAAATTATAAAATATTTTTTAAAGATTTATATTAGCTTTATAATAAAATATAATAAATGATGGCTTTGAAATTATTTGTATTGAACTACAAAAGGAAATGTCGTAAATCCCATTCTGAAAAACTTTTTATTCTTTGTAATGGTAAAGGGAAGCATTACATAGAATATCTTTAAGATAATTCTTTTGAGGCCAGGTGCGGTGGCTCACACCTGTAATCCCAGCCCTTTGGGAGGCCAACGTGGGCGGATCATATCAGGCCAGGAGTTCTGTACCAGCTTGGCCAACATGATGAAACCCCATCTCTACTAAAAATACAAAAAATTAAATTGGCATGGTGGCATGCACCTGTAATCCCAGTATGCAGGAGGCTGAGGCGTGAGAATGATGAACCCAGGAGGCAGAGGTTGTAGTGAGACAAGAACGCACCACTGCACTCCAGCCTGGGTGACAGCGAGACTCTGTCTCAAAAAAAAAAATGATAATTCTTTTGGCATTCTTTGTTATATTTATTTCTTAGAAAGAACATAGTGTGTGTGTGTGTGTGTGTGTGTGTGTGTGTGTGTGTGTGTGTGAATGCCCTTCTTCCTCCCCATCCTCAGCATACTAGTTTCTTATTTTCATAAAATAAGTGATAAATTTTTTTGGATTTGAGAATTTATTAAATCAAGTCACGTATTAAGGAATTGGGAAGCAAATATGAGAGAGGGTCAATGAAAAATTTAGGATGCTCACATGGTAAATCATGAGCTTTAAAATCAGAGCTGTACATAAGAAGCTGTGTTTTAATAATCTGCCTTTGCCATGTTTCTTCTTCCAGTTGAATCTTCCAGTTGGATATCCACTATCTTAAATGTTATGAACACTTAGGATCTTGTTATGTATATTTAAGAAACTTAAAATGCTTATTACAAATTATTAATGCTTAGGAATTTGATTTTTGCCAATGCCCAAGTAACTTATTGGTTGGAAACTGCATACATTTGATAGAACAAGGGCTGATTATAGGTGAAACTAAGAAAGATAAAGCTAGGTTTTGGAGACTTGCACCTTATATCGGAGACCCAGTCCTACCATGTGTGTCTGAGAGTTTGCATTTCCTTTGGCTATACATTAATTCTTTTAAAAAATTTGAAATATAATATACATATCATAAAATTCACCCTTATAAAGTGATTTCTTTATACAACTTTATACAACTTAGTGATTTCTAGTGTATTCAAAAAGCTCTGTAACCATCACCACTATCTAATTCCAGAATATTTCCATCACCTTAAAAAGAAACTGTACCCATTAATAGTCATTTCTTACTTCCTTCTTTTCTAGCCCCTGGACACCATATTCTACTTTCTGTCTCTATGGATTTGCTTATCCTATCTCTATGGATTTGTCCTATAATGGACATTTCATATAATTGAAATCATACAATCTGTGCCCTTTTTTGTCTGACTTCTTTAGCTTTACATAATGTTCTCAAGGTTCATTCATGTAGTAACATATATCATTTATTCATTCTGCTTTATGATTGAATAATATTCCATTGTGTGCATATACTATATTTTGTTTATCCATTTATCAATTGATAAACTAGAATAATTCCACTTTTTGGCTATTGCGAATAACACTTCTATCAACATTCATGTATAAGTTTTGTGTGAACATATATTTTTAATACTCTTGTATGGATACCTAGGAATGGGATTACTGGATCATATGATAACTCTACCTTTGAGTTTTTGAGGAACTGCCAAACTTTTTCACAGCAGCTATGAACCATTTTACATTCTCAGCAATATATGGAGATTCAAGTTTCTTAACCTTCTAGTCAACATTTTAATTTGCAGTTGCCTAATTTTGAGTTATTTATCTTTTTATTGCTGAGTTGTAATAATTTTTCATATATTGTAGATATTAGATCCTTATCAGAGATATACTTTGGAAATATTTTCTCCTATTATGTGGGTTGCATTTTTACTTTCTTTATAGTATCCTGTAACATGTACAAGTTTTTAGTTTTGAACTCCAACTTACCTTTTTCTGTTTTTGGTTGGCTGTGCTTTAGCTGTCTTATCAAAAAATATTTCTCTAATCCAATGTCATGGAAAATTATACCTATGTTTTCTTCTAAGATTGTCGTAGTTTTAATTCTTACACTTATATTTGTGATCTATTATTAAATTAATATTTGTATATGGTGAAGTAGAGGTCCAATCCACTTCTTTTTGCATGTAGATAATGATTGTTTCAGCATTTGTTGAAATAACTGTTCTTTTTGGCACTCTTGTTGAAATTCAATTGACCATGGATATATGAGTTTGTTTCTGGACTCTCCATTATAGATTACTGACCTTTATGCTTATCCTATGCCAATACCACACTGTTTTTATTATTGTAACTTTGTAGTAAATTTTGAAATCAGTAAGATTAAGTCCTACCAACTTTTGTTCTTTTTCAGGATTGTTTTGGCTTTGCTGGGTCCCTTGGATTTTCATACGATCTTATAGATAAACTTGTCTATTTCTGTAAAAAAGATAAAAGGCAGTTGAAATTTGTGGAGGAATTGTATTTAACCTGTAGATTAATTTGAGAGGATTACCATCTTCACAACATTAATTCTTCGAAACCATGAACATAAACATGTCTGTACTTGCTTAGGTCTTAATTTCTTTCAACAATGTTTTATAGTTTTCAGTGTACAAATCTTGCTTTTTTTGTTAAATGTGTTCCTAAATACTTTTTTATACTTGATTGCTATTTTAAATGAAGTTTTTTTTAAATTTAATTTACAGTTTGTTCATTGGTAGTGTATGGAAATACAACTGAACTTTGTGAATTGATCTTGTGTCCTCCAGCTTTGCTGAACTCATTACTAACTCTAATAGTTATTTCTTTGTGTGTGGAATCCTTAGGATATCTGCAAGTATTTTTACTTTTTCCTCTGTACTCTTGATGCCTTTTATTTCATTTTTGCTTACTTCCTCTGACTAGAGCCTCCAGAATAGAAGTGGTTAAAATGGCCATCCTTTCTCGTTCCTGATCTTAGGGGAAAGCTTTTAGTCTTTTACCATTAAGTATGATGTTAGCTGTGAAATTTGGATACCATTTAAATTAAGTTCACTTAACTTGAATTAGATTGTTATAAATTTAGATGTTGATTGTAGTCCCTGGGGCAACCACTAACAAAATAACTCATCAACTCATCTAAACTACACTCCAAAACCTTGGGAATTTATTGCATGCTTCCCCTTCTCCTGCCATTCTTGATTTCAGCTATTTTCATTTTTGCTGGGCCTATTGCAGAAACTTTAAAACTATTTCCTGATATTCCATTCTTTCTGTCCTCCAGCTTATCCTCCATACTGAAAGCAGAAAAATGCATATTTGATCGTATCATCTCACACCATCCTACTACTGCTAATAAATCCTTCAGTGGTTCGGCATTGACTTCAATAACAGATGCAAACTCCTTGGCTGCCATCTCAGCACCTTTCTTGAAACATCCTATTACCTCCCCTGCTTCTTCTGATGGTCTACCCTTCACATCAGACACATACATTGACACACACACACACAAATGCACACACACACATCCTTACTCCTTTAACCATCCTTGTCCTAATCACTTCACAAACATGCCATTCTCTCTCTCTCTCTGTCCTTTCCATGTGTTGTTTCGTCTGCTGAAACACTTTTATTTTCTCCCTCATCTATGGTGCCTCAAATTTTCAAACTCTCACATTACCTTCTTTAGGAAGCTTGCCTAGCTTCCCTTTTTCTGTTTGATGGCTTTCTATCCTCCACTTTCCTCTTCTAACCCTCAAGTATAAAATTACACTTTATTTTAATTGTTGATTTACGGGTCTGCCACTCACCTTGCCCGCTGAGTTTCTTGACATCAAATTCTATTTTTGGTTTCTGGATATCTCAAGCTGAACAGTGATATGGAGTAAATGCTCAAAAATATTTGAATGAATGCTTACTACTAATAGTGTACTCATACTGCCCTTCTGGGTATCCAGAATTAAATACTGAGTTTTACTCAGACATTTCTCCATGGAAGGACATGGCATCTTGAATCTTTCCTTCTTTTATCCCTCTTTCAGCCCATTCTATCTGCTTGGTTATAATTACTACAGTACACTCTTCACTGAAGAAAAAATAAAAAAAATTTTGATTTGAACTAAGTGATTTCCCGATTATTTGATTCCTAATCTAAGTTATAATTCTCTGGGTCAATAGTTAAAACTATGCTCAGGGTTTTGTTTTTATTTTTTTCTTATAAAAGAGTGATTTTTTAATTCAGATAATATAGACACATGAGATATAAATTAAAAGGCTGATTTTAAGGCCAGGTGCGGTGGCTCATGCCTGTAATCCCAGCACTTTGGGAAGCCGAGGCAGGTGGATCACCTGAGATCAGGAGTTTGAAACCAGCCTGGCCAACATGGCAAAACACTGTCTCTACCAAAAATACAAAAATTAGCCAGGTGTGGTGGTGGTTGCCCATAAGCCCAGCTACTTGGGAGGCTGAGGCAGGAGAATCACCTGAACCCCGGAGGCAGAGGTTGCGGTGAGCCAAGATCATGCCACTGCACTCCAGTCTGAGCGACAGAGTGAGACTGTTTCTTCATAATAATAATAATAGAAATAAAAAGGCTAATTTTAATGTTAATCTCATTTTCCTGAGGCCCACTGGAAAGAATGCAGTGGTGGCAGGGCTAGCCAAAATGAGATAAAAGGATCACAGTTTCTCCAGGTAAGGCAAAGTATACGTTGTCAGTGCAGAACAGGAGTAGCCATTGTCTGGCACCCCAGTGGATCCCCAAGGACACAGACTTTCATTGTGTGGTTTAGGGAAAGGCAGAAATTATATTGTAGAGATTCAGCAATTCCAATGACAGATTCAGAGACTTGATTGTGTTCCATCAGGGTACCCTGGATGATAGTCTTATGAATCACTCCCTATTGAAGCAGTAGATCTGACTCTAGTCATTAAGGGATTCATTTGCTTTTGCATAACAAACCCACCAATCCCTTTGTAACATATTGCTACCTCACTTTCACATTTCAAATATAGACTTGTGCCTACATTCAAACTGATGAATTGGAATCAAATTATGTTACCCGTCTTTAACTAACATCAGGTGGAGTGTCTTGCCCCCTCTACCCACTAAATCTTTTATTACTTTGGGGAAGGGACACTGGCAAGCCCCAGATATTGACTTCAGCTTTCTCTTCTGAAGATATTTCATTTTTGGTGAACTCTTAAAGCCATCTTAGATTAATACCAAATAGGAGAATTTTGGGCCCTGTGGCAGGTTGACAAAACTTCCTGGTACTTCATGTCATAAACACTGGATCATAATGGCTCTTTAATAACCTGAAAATGTTGACATAAACCCATGGCTTATGGCATTACCTAGAGTCATTTAGATACTGAGCTAATTCAAAATTTGTTAGGCAAATGTGTATACCATTATGATAGGATATTTAAGCCCTTAGTAAATAAAACTGTACTTATATTTTGCAAATATAAATGTAACATCAAGCAGCTATGCTTAGTCAGTTTTCTAATTGGGAAATATCCGTGAATTATAAAGCATGACTTAAAATATTTAATTTGTAATTAGCGTAGAATTACAAAGATAATTCATAAACTCACTGTTTACAGATGAGATTTTAATTGTGCTTTTTAAGGCTTAAATATCTCTATCATATGGCATATTTAATGAGTCAGAACAATTTGGAAGTAATTATTATTATGAAAAAATAATTCTGTGGCCTAGATAGGTACTGCAGATGATATGGGCTTACTGACTAAAATTAAAAATTGGAAGTAAGAGCTTATAGAAAATGTGACACTAGCATAAACTAAGAAATATAGAGAGAAGGAAGGAAAGCCTGTAAATGCTTGACATTTTATGAGATATTTCATTTACTGTGTCACATTAGACTGATGATCTAATTCAACTTCCTTGTTTCACGAATAGAGAATAAACTTGAGATTCTTCAAATGGCCAGACGAGGATCACACAACTTACTGACACCATCCTGGGGTAGAACCCAAGTTTCTAAGCCATCAATTTTATGTTGTCCCCATAGGAAACTCTCATTATGAAACAACTTCTCAGATGCCTATTGATCTGGGTTTAAAAAATACTTAAACATTGTCAGAATGTGTTATATGTAGTCTTAAGTATCTCAGAGTTTCAAACATAAATGTTCTTGAGGTCATATCTTTTCCTTCATGATATGAAGAAAAAAATAAAATATTTTTCCTAACAAAGAAAGTGGAAGTATAAAGTCTATTGGAAATCACCTTTCTCTTATGTTGATGTATAAACAGAATTCCATATCTTGTCTGGTTATAAGCACTATCAGGACAATTTTTATTTCAATAGTTAAAATTGTACATAATAAAGAATTATAATAGCTACTTAAAACACTAAAAGTTAATGTGGCTTTTTATAGGTTTAGGAGAACAAATACTGAACTCTTTTGTGGGAAAACTCAGAGCATTCATTGTTCCGGTTATATCTGAAGTTATTTACAAGTATAATTCATGAACTTCTATTTTATCTGTTAAACAAAATTATAGGAGGCCATTGTTTTGGACTGAGCTCCTGTTCTGGGCCCCAACAAACCAGACCAAACCAAAATGGAGTCACTCATGCTAAATGCCAAATAATCAAACGGAAACTTTAAAGGAGCATATGCAGTCCCAAGCAGACCAGTTTTTCCTCAAAATAGGAGATTCTATTCTATCCGAATCAGATTAATAAGGAAGTCCAGTCTGCTTTGCCCCTTACAAAAAAAAGTAATCTAGGGCTGGGCGTGGTGGCTTATACCTGTAATCCCAGCACTTTGGGAGGCCGGGGTGGGCGGATCACCTGAGGTCAGAGGTGATCAACATGGTGAAACCTAGTCTCTACTAAAAATACAAAAATTAGCTGGGTGTGGTGGCCCACACCTGTAATCCCAGCTACTTGGGAGGCTGAGGCAGGAGAATCACTTCAACCTGGGAGGTGGAGGTTGCAGTGAGCCAAGATCACACCACTGCACTCTACCCTGGGGGACAGAGTGAGACTCTGTCTCAGAAAAAAAAAAAAAAAAGCAACCCAGTGTTAACCAATCCATTTTTTCCTTATTCCCACTTTTTAAAAAAACCACTGTTCTGCTATAGCCCAGTGGGAGCTCTCATTCTTTTTTATAAAACGGAGGCTACTTGATTCATGTGTCTCAAATAAAAGCCAATTATATCTATCACTAAATTTGTTGTAATTTTATCTTTTGACATATCCTAAGCCATCCATGCTTTATAACTTGTAATTCTCTAAAACATATTTTGTGATTCTTGGTATTTATACCAAGAATTTCTCTCTCTCTCTGTAACTCTCTCACTCACCCACTCTCTCTCTCTTTAATTTACCCTCTGGTCCCTATCTGATTATTTGGCAAATAGGACTGCGAATACTCCCTCTGTCTCTTCAAGCTGCTCTCATCAAAAGAAGGAATTTACACATATTACATAATGGACAGAAATGTTTTTGCCCCAATTTTCTCTTAGTTTAAAGGTGCTTCTTTTCTTAAAGGGAAATTTGCATTTTTCATTTCATGTTTCCCTTTAAGAACATACTTACATACTTTTGTGTCCACATTGATAAATTTATTTGAAATACTGCTCTTTGGGGATCATTCCCTAATTGCATGTATTCAGCTATAAATATTGATAAATATAACAAAATTGGCTGGGCGTGGTGGCTCACGCCTGTAATCCCAGCACTTTGGGAGGCTGAGGAGGGCAGATCACAAGGTCAGGAGATAGAGACCATCCTGGCTAACACGGTGAAACCCTGTCTCTACTAAAAATACAAAAAATCAGCCGGGCGTGGTGGCGAGCACCTGTAGTCCCAGCTACTGGGGAGGCTGAGGCAGGAGAATGGTGTGAACCTGGCAGGCGGAGCTTGCAGTGAGCTGAGATCAAGCCACTACACTCCAGCCTGGGAACAGAGCGAGACTCCATCCAAAAAAAAAAAAAAAAAAAAAAAAAAAATATATATATATATATATATATATATATATATATATAAAACGAAATCACAGATAAAATAGATACTCAATAATCATTATAGAGACTAGCATGCACTGCTATTTAGATATACATATTTAATAAGTCATACTGGCTCTTTAGCTGTACCTAAAACATGCCAAATCCATTTTTGTGTCAGGGCCTTTATTCATTATTCTTTCTTCCTTTGATAAAAAAAAATACTTCTTTCTATGCTAAATGGGATATTTTGTAGATCATAAATTCGTTAGTAAAACTCTGAAGAAGGTACTACTGCTTTCTCCATTTTACAGATATAAAACTAAGGCAGAGACGTTTAGCTTTTGAAGGATTAAATGAGATAAAGTACTTAGAACAAAGTTTAAAATGTAGTAAGCAATATAAATATTACTGTATATAAATGTGAATCAATAAATATTAGCTTTTATGATCTGATATGTAAATTTTTTGCATTTCTGTAATTCTTTTCCCAAAGTCACTTTACAAAACACAATTTTCTTAGCTGATGAAAGAATTTTTATAAGCTTCCAGCCTAAAGCTCTTCTGTAGGCAAGCTGTAAAACCATCATTCAGAAGTTTTAACTGTTTACCCTGAATCCTTTTAACCATAACTCCGGTTTTTGTACTATAGTGATTAGCAGCAGTCAACTGATAGGATGTGATTGGAACAGTTGTGAGGGAAAAGAAAAAAAAAAAAAAACCTTCTGACTTGAATGGATCATAATAATGACCTGCCACCCTAAGTCACCAGGAAGCACTTAAATTATCTTTATTTTAGTCCATTAAAAAAGCAAAGGTATATGTAATTATATGCTTTAGAAGTTCTACCTGAGCTGCTGAATACCCTGTCATGTTTTCAATACAACTTTTAAAATCCATAAATACTTCAGAAGAAAGTTTAAATTGTCCCCTTTCATGTTTTCTGCCTAAGTATAATTTTCCTAGATAGGCCTTTCCTGATCACCACATCTAAAATAGATGTAACCCTGTAACCCACTAGCCCCTTACATACTTGCTGTATTTTTCTTCATAGCATTTATGATTTCTTAATATTATATATCCCTGTTATTTAGTTGTTATTGTCTTTTTCCTCCCCTAGGATATAAATCAGAACAGCTTTTTGTGACAATTGCGGTGAAACAGCTTTTCCTGGTTTTGTGCTATATTCATGGCACTTAGAACAGTGCCTCTCATATATAGACATTCAAATATGTGTTGAATGAATGAATGAATAAGGAATAGAAAACCACCAAGGAACACAGCAGGAAGCAATGATTTACATTTATACTATCTACTATAATTTTAGGAATCTCAAACAATTTTTCTTAAAGCCTCTGTATTATTCAACATTTACTGATATTTGCAAAAAGTTTATAGCAAATCTTAGTGTAATCTCAAAGATACATTGGGTAAACTTGCATTATTCATAATGTAGACTAGGCAAATATAAACACAGTACATGAAGATACTAAGTGATAAGCCCAAGCTTGAACAGCTTGTCTGCCTTAAAAGCAGTCAACATATTTCAACTGCTGCTACTAAAAGTTTCGTTTTATTTATTATATAAAAAAGTGAAGACGTCCCAATATTTTTTCTCTGTCACCTCTGTATATATAGTTTATTTTATAGCCTTCACCTTACTTAATTTTATATCTTGGGACTAAGGCTACTATTTTCCAAATAAACGTGCTCATATATCTAAAACAACAGTAAATGCTACGTATAAATATGATATACAAATTCAGGTTAATGAGACTTGAATAAGATTGAGAAAAAAGGAAAATATTTAAAATAGTACATCTTTTTAGAAATACTTACATATTGATTTCCTCATTTATTCAATTAGTCAATCTACATATATATATATATATACTTTCTAACAAACAGTATTATTAAAAGACAACTAAATGTGATAGAATATATGTTAATGAAACAAAGATAAATAATATTGTCTCATCTCTAGAGGGACTTCAGTGGGGGAAGACAGGAATATCAAATATGTGTGAATGTGTCTGCACACACACATACACCATATATATATTTAGTGTTCTGTCCTGTTCACCATCTGCTACTGCTTCCCACACAAGTTCTTCTGTCCTCTGAAAGCTCTATTCTTCTATCCACCTGACTGCTAACCAAATGATCTCACCTCTAAGGGAACTGGAGGCCATACATTTGCTTAGTCATAAGTACCACTGTTTCCCATTTTCCCATTTCTGTATTTAAAAAGTGTTTCTCTATCTGCATCCAAGATCACCTCATTTTGTCAAGCCTCAGAGGAGGTTTTCTCCTCTTTTTCTGGACTAGGATCATCCTTCCATCTATATCCCCCACCTCTATTTTTTTTTTTTCTTTTTAGGTAAAAGGGTCTTGCTCTGTTACCAGGCTGGAGTTTAGTGGCTCCATTATAGCTCATTGCATCCTTGAACTCCTGGGCTCAAGCAATCTTCCTGCCTCAGCCTCCAGAGTAACTGGGATTACAGATGCATACCACCATGCCCAGCTGATTAAAAAAAAAAATTCTTTTTTTTTTGTTGTAGAGATGGTGTCTCACTATGTTGCTCAGCCTGGTCTCAAACTCTTAGCTTCATGAGATCCCACAGTGCTGGGATTATAGGTGTGAGCCACTGAACCTGACCCCGTCTATATCCTTAATCTGATGTCTTCTCTTCAGGAATTTTCTTGCTTCTTTTTCTTTTCTTTTCTTTTCTTTTTTCTTTTTTTTTTTTTCTCGAGACAGAGTCTCACTCTGTTGCCCAGGCTGGAGTGCAGTGGCACGATCTCAGCTCACTGCAACCTCGGCCTCCCAGGTTCAAGCAATTATCCTGCCTCAGCCTCCTGAGTAGCTGGGATTACAGGTGCCCACCACCATGCCTGGCTAATTTTTTTTTGTAATTTTAGTAGAGATGGGGTTTCGCCATTTTGGCCAGGCTGGTTTTGAACTCCTGACTTCAAGTGATCCACCTGCCTCGGCCTCCCAAAGTGCTAGGATTATAGGCATGAGCCACCGTGCCCGGCCTCTCTTTTCATCTTTTATGTATTTTTTTAGCTTTTCTCTCTCTACTGGCTCTTTCCCATACCCTGTATTTCACCTCTGGGTTGTTTTTTCATAGTTCATCTGTGTGCAGCCCATACCAGTTTGCATCTGAGAGTCCATTGTGAGCATCTCTTCCCAACATTGCATTTGGTGTCACACTGGTAGATTGAAATTGCCCTCACTATAGTGGGGTTATTTTTGTGTGGGAAATTGGCAAATTCTATGAATCAAATTCCCCTCCACTCTCCAGCACCGGTTGTTAAACATTTACAGGCAAACTGCTGCTGTAGTCCCTCACCTTCCCTTAAAACCATGTTCTGGAAAAGAGTATACTCTAAATCTATCAGCTTCTTCACTTCACATCAAATCTCTGAAACTAGACAGCTTCCCTTGCCTCTACTGGAAGTCCTATACCCTGGGAGTCATCTTAGACTCCTTGCTTTTCTTCACTCTGCAAATCCAGTCAGTCCCTGACTATCTTTCTGTCCCTCCTCCTCCATCACTCCATTCTCACTCCCAGCTACCTTCTTTCAGGTCTTTACCATTTCTTACATAGATTGTTATAATCTTCTCCCAGTTTGTCCTCCTGCCTTCTGTCAGACTCAGCCCATTCTTCCCAATGCCACTGGAATGGTGTGTTTTAAACATTTAAACCTGATCAAGTTTCTTCCCTACTCAAAATCCTTCCCTGGCTCTTCACAGCCTCTGGGATAATGTCTTTATTATATAATACTTTGTCATTTCCAAATAGCAGAGGACCATGTCCAGATCGCTTAAGCAAAATGGAACTAATGGCAACTGAATATTCTAGAGAATGGATCTAGGTTGAATGATGTCAACGGGAATTTGTTTCTCTTCATATTTCAGTTCTGCTTTCCATTGTGTTGGTTTCAGTCTCAGGTTCGGTGTGATAGCAAGGATGGTGGCTGCCACTGCAGCTGTATAATGTCTCAACTTTAACATATAGCAAGAAAGAAACTAGAAACTCCAACCTTCCCATGAAGAGATTCATAATTATCTCATTGCAACTGGGCCATGTGCCTACCCCAAAGGAATCACCATTGCTAGTAAATTGTAATATGTTGATTGGCCTGTATCCAAGCCACATGAAAGTTAAGGAAGGTGTATCCTCAAATGGAAATTCAAACTCTTGCTGGAAGAATGGACAGTAGGAAAGCGACTACTTATAATGAAAGCATCTAATATGTATTTAGCGCTTTGTATATCTCGGGTAGTGCTTCAGTGTTTTGCATGTGTTAACTTAATTTTTAAAACAACATCATGAGGAAGGGAGAAAACTGATATACAGAAGGCTTAGGTAGTTTAACTAAGTTAGACACAGCAAATTACTGGTGTTTATTGCAAAATACAAATTTCTGAGTATGGGCCTTCCTTTACTTTCTTACCTAATAAATTCCTGAGAATATTTGTAAGCCAGATGACTGGTAGTTCAGAAACTAACTTAAATAATATAAAGTGAATGTGTTACATTTTTAAAGAGCTAAAAACCACTGGAGATTTCTCACATTCCCTGTCTTCCACAGCACCAGATGACTTTTAGAGTGCATAGAAATGTCAAAATGGGTGGGGTTCCCTGGTTTTAGGAGGTTAATAGCTCAGGATTGGGTTGGGGTGGAGATGTTAAGTCCCCAGCTGCTTGCAGCAGATATCTGCTTCCCACGAACTACAGTTTCTCTCCTAATCCCTCCACAGGGATCAGGGTACAAAGATAGCTAGCCACCGTTTTTTGTTTTTGTTTTTGTTTTGTTTTGTTTTGTTTTTTGAGACGGTGTCTCGCTCTGTCACTCAAGCTGGAGAGCAGTGGCACAATCTCGGCTCACTGCAACCTCCGCCTCCCATGTTCAAGCGATTCTCCTGTCTCAGCCTCCTAAGTAGCTGGGACTACAGGCGCGTGCCACCATGCCTGGCTAATTTTTTGTATTTTTAGTAGAGATGGGGTTTCACCATTTTAGCCAGGATGGTCTTGATCTCCTGACCTCATGATCCATCCGCCTCGGCCTCCCAAAGTGGTGGGATTACAGGCATGAGCCACTGCGCCCGGCCAATTTTTTTAAACTTCTACTTGAGTGAAAAGGCAATTACATAGGATTCCGGCCTTTCTCCCAGTAGAAGCAGTGGACAGGAAGAATTTAGCCAGCTGATGCATGAAAAGTGAAATTTTGTATATTATGTGTAACACTCTTGTATTCCTTTCCAGTCTTACATCTTACCACATACCCCTCACATTCATCCTTTATTGTAAAATCCCGTATGCCTTTCTCTTACATGCCTTTCACAATTCTTTTGTGTCTTGACAAATTCTACACCATCTGCATCTGACACATCATCTCTCAAAAGTTGTGTCAAGTGTCGTCTTCTTAGTGAACACCTTCCTGGAATCACCCTCCTTGTGAGGAAACAGCTGTGCTTCCTTTTGTCCAATTGCACTTAAAAGAACATTTGCCATAGTTTCTGTAACTAATTACTGTGTTTCTGTATTTATGTTTGTCTGCTTCTCTTATGCTGCAAGATCCTTGAAAGCAGGGAGCCTATTTTATTATTTCTTATATCCTTAGAAAAGTGCCTGACACACAGCAGGTGCTCAATAAATGTTAGAGAAATTAATGAATGACATAAGAACACATAGCAGGTGCTCAATAAATATTAGATAAGTGAATGAATAACATAAGAGATATGCAGAAAATATAACAAGGACTCCTAATTGGCAGGAATTAAAGCTGGTTAGAGCTAGGAGGGATGTGTTGGGCAAAGCTTCTCACTCTAAGATTCTAGATTTGAGACCATTAAACACATATATTCCTGCAATAAAGATAGCCTTTGCTATCCAAATATTTACTGTCACATTTTGCTAGAATTTTCACAAAAGTTTTAGTATCCAAATAGAAAATTCTATCATAACATTTATATAAGTGCAAGAATGGAAATGTTTAAGTCGTAGGTGAGTCCATGTAGGAGGATATAGAGTATCTCCATATAGAATCATGCCAGTGTCTTCTAAGGAAGTAGAAAAGCCTGTGAAGAAAGTTGGTGAGTACAAGAGGTCTAGAAAATCCCATGTATTAAAAGAAATATTGGTGCATAAAATATACAGAGAAAGATTAACACATAAAACATACGTTTGATCATGCACATGGCTCTCTCTATAATGCTTGTATTTTCCACATGTAAGACAATTTTAAAATATATTATGATTATTGGTTTTTTGAAAGCTTCCCTGTGTCACTCAAGCATAATATGGTATGTTTGAGAAGCTAGAGACCTATCTCATGTGGTGGGTAGACAATCAGAAAAATTGAAACCATGGATTACCTACTGATGGCGCTGTAATTCTTTGAAGATCTGAAGGAGATGAAAAAATTTGATCATTCGGTAAAAAGTTGACTTTCAGCTGAAATTCTGGACTAGTACAAAAGATTTTAAAACTATGTAAGATAGATGGAATCATTGGAATGAAGATCATAGAGGAGGGAACATCTTGGTAATGGGGTTGCAGCAGTTTATTCCACCCCCCCTACCGCCGCCAGTGAATTGAAGAAAACTATCGACAAAGGTAGCAAACAAATTTTCAGTAATATAAATTTTCTTGATATAATTTGGCTTTTTATAAATAAGTGTTATCAGAAGATAATGAAAAAGAGCTAGAATATTACGCATCCAAAGATAGGTTAGCATAACTTTTAAGTGAAAATTGTGGAGGCGATAGTAAACTAAAACCTCTCTACTTGTGTAAATCTGAACAGCCGGGACTATTAAAGAAATGTGGAAGGGTAAAGTGTCTATTATGTGGTTCTTAAATCTAAAACTTGGTTGAAAAAGGAAGCATTCAGTCATTTTTCAAGGAGTCATTGTTTCCAGTGGTCCATTTTTTAGGGGTATAGAATCTTAGAACATAAAGAATTGTGGCTGAGGTTTGGGTAAATTTCATTTAATAAAATAAATGGTTAATAAAGTTGCTGTGAAGAAACCTAGTTTGGATGATAAACTAAGAAAATTTCTTTTTTTTTTTCACATCAGCATGAATATCTGAATTATTTTTCCATCCCTAATTCATTTTGCCAGTGGCAACATCATTTCTCCAAGGATGCTGTGGCTTCACTGAATCTTCAGTGGTACTCTCTGAGGTTTAGAGGCCCTTTCTGTTGAGTTCCAAAAAATGGAAGCTCTGGCTGGGCGCGGTGGCTCACGCTTGTAATCCCAGCACTTTGGGAGGCCAAGGCGGGCGGATCACGGGGTCAAGAGATAGAGACCATCTTGGCTAACACGGTGAAACCCCGTCTCTACTAAAAATACAAAAACAAAATTAGCCGGGCGTGGTGGCGGGCACCTGTAGTCCCAGCTACTCGGGAGGCTGAGGCAGGAGAATGGCGTGAACCCAGGAGGTGGAGCTTGCAGTGAGCCGAGATCGCGCCATTGCACTCCAGCTTAGGCGACAAAGCGAGACTCCGTCTCAAAGAAAAGAAAAACAAAAAAGGAAGCTCTTTGGTGTTCGATTTTAATTAAGCATGTCCGTGTCTGTGGAGTGAAAGCCAAAGGCTTTTAGAGAATAGGCAATTCTTCTCTAGGCTCAATGAAAGGACTTGTTTAAGAGAAGCCAATTGATTTTTATCACGTTGTATATTTTCCAATAATGCCCTAAAGAAGAAAACATTTTCCTAAGCAAAGAGTGACATGCAGATTTCTTTTGTGATCCGTATTTGTGAAAAATGCCTCACTTCAGGATTGCAATATGCCCTAACAAATAATACTGCCTGTGCCTGGGGGCTGAGTAGTGGTTATCACCGGAGAAGGTCTTACCCTCTTAGAAGTAGACATTAGTTTTCTACTATCTATTGTTTGAGTATGAGTCAAACAGTAGATGCAGATGCCTTCACTGTCTAACAGAGGAAATATCAATAACTTATATAACCTTTATAACATAGCAATTCAACTAAAATTGACTTAACAGATATTTATTGATTGTTGATTGTAGGCAATAAACTCTACTAGGTTGTACAGGGACTAGGAAAAAAATTAAGATATAATTATTGTTCTTGAGGAATTAGTAAAAGCCAGATCAAATAAGTAAATAAGTAGTTATTGGGTTTATTTTGCTTTTGTACTTTTTCTAAAATACCTATAAATGATTAATTATATTTTATGTGACTATTACTATATCTGCTCTTTCATTGACTGTCATTTGTTATGACAAAAGGGGGCTCTCTGATTCCCATGGCTAGAAACTTCAAATTCAGTATTTCTTAAATAATAAATATTTCTTAAGTAGGTAAATAATATCATATTATTAACATTTAGTGTTCACCTTTCACAGATAGGTAAACCGTAACATGAGTTTTCTGATGAACCTTGTTATAGAAATATGTACAAAATGTATAAAATGTGAAGAGTACATATATGAAGGGAACTGAATTTTTCCAAGTTTTGAATTAAAGTGGGTATTGATTTTTGAGCTAGATTTTGCAAGACTAATATTTCTATTCAAGAAGGGAAAGGACATTCCTTGAAATGGGAACATAATGATCAGTTTGTTCATTGTGAAACATAAGGTCATGGATGCATTTAGTTTATTTGGAGAGAAACCAGGTACATGTTGCCAGGTTTAGGGGGCACGAGGGGTGGGAAAGTTTAGGATGAATATCAACAAGGTGACTTGGGCTGTGCTATGAAGGACATTGAAGCAAAGTCTGAAAAGTCTTCAGAAAACACACACAAACACACACGCACACACCCCTACCTATTTATATATTGCATTCCTAAGTGCATTGTGTTCAAAAGCTGATTTTCCTCGACTTGTCCCACGTTACTTCGGAACATTAACATGCTTATGTTCTGAGAATACAGAAAGATTCATTAAATGTGCCTAAGATATTTTCTCATTTGAAACATTTATTTTAAAAAATTTAATCTGCTGCTTTTTTTTAACTTAAACTGTTTTTTGGCAATCTTTTTTATTGGGCAATCCACATGGGTTTGAACCTTTAATGACTCATTAAAATTGATTGTAGATTCTAAAAACATTATAAAAACATTGATAAATATATCAAAACAGCTGGTTTTGAGATATTGTACTTTTAAAAAATGATTATTTATTTAGTGCTACCCTTGAGTACAATAAAGTACACCTGAAAAACTTTGAGTTTTGAACCGAGAATTCTGTTTAATTTTGGGCTAGTTCCAAGTGAAGAGCACTGTGCTAGGCCTTCAGCAGAGAGTGGAAACAAACACACTGAGCAGTAGTAATCCGAGGGAAGACAAGCCAGAAGATATAGCATAGGCCACACTGAGGAGGATCCCAAGCGTAATAGTTAGGTTGTAGGAATAGTCATCAGAGGTTTTCTAAATAAGAAATTTGCATATGTAAGTGCTTTCCCTTAATAAAATTACATTGTAATATGGATTGGAGGGTTAGAGACAAGTTTGAAGGCCAATGCAATAATTTCCAGCTAATTTCCAGCCAGTGATGTGCAAACTGTGTACCAGGAACACCAGTGATCAGTGGAGAGGATTCAAGTATTTGCCAATGATATGTTCCCCATCAAACACTGAAGATTTTTTAATTTTAAGAATTTAAAAAAATTAGGGTGATTTTTTGATTATTAGGTTTTTGATCATATGATTTTTTGATCATCCAAATGATCAAAATGATCCAAATGTTCAAAAAATCATTATATTATATGTTCCCCATTAAACACTGAAGATTTTAAACTGCCCAAAGAATTTAACTTTTTTAAAAAATTAGGATGTTTGTCCATTTTTAAGATTTTAATATGTTATTCAGATGCTTTAAAAAATCTGAAAAAAATAAACCAGTCAAGACAAAAGATAATAAGGATTTGAACTTGGGGGATGGCAATCAGAATAAAGAGGAGAAAGTGACTTCAAGATATGTAGTTGAGCAGTAAACAAAGCAAAACAGAAACGAAAACAACCTCGGACTACCATTTAATAAAAAATCAGGGAAAATTATTCTGGAAGCCAAAGAAAAAGATCAACTCCATAGATTAAAATTTTGAAAATTATCTCCTGAGAAAATCACATTAGATAGAACTTTGAACAATATTACCATATGGAAAAATGGTGATGGATCCATGAAGAACAGTGAAAATTGGAGAGCTTCGATGTTTCAGCACCCTGGAAGTCAAGGGTTACAAGTTACCCAAAGAGAGAGGGAAAGGAAAGGGATGGGTATAGCAGGCAAAGGGAATAACACGTCAACATCCTATGAGCTATAGAGGCACAGGTGCACTCAGGAAAATGCAAAGGAGAAATCAGGAACAAGTGGGCGGAGTGGAGTCTGACAGAAGCCTATTGGAATCAGTAGTTAAGTCAATACACCAGTTGACTGGTGATGAGAATGTTAGAGTGAAGCTCAGAAAACAAGAGTGGATGTAAAAAGGTGAAGGCTGTGGGTATAGGGTAATAGTTGGTGGCATTTGTGAATACAGGGAAGAAGTGAGAGAAAGCAATAGTTTGAAGTCACAGCTGAGGCAAGGAAAGATTGTACAGAATCAGAAACAGAGGAGAAAGAACCAGTAAGAGGCAGACATGAAAGACGGAGGCACCAAAGAAGCTTACAATCGCATTAAAGTTCAGGAGAAAATGAGATCAACGCACAGGGACAAAAGTTGTCTTTATAGTTCATATATGAATGAAATGATCTTTTTTCTCAGAAAATTATAGCAGTATCTGATATAGTTAATTATTCTCGAGAAAATATCTCAAACTGTTTTAGGGTGATCTTTGTTTGAAGTAATAATTTATTTAAAAGTTGCTGTAAGGTTCATAACTGTTTAGTTCTCTGGCTATGGTAAATACTTCCTGTAATTTGAACATAAGGATATTTCTGAAGGGGGTGCTTAGGCTAATCACAAATATAGACATGTTGCTGTGATAAATGCTTTAGACTAATTACTGACATGCTCAATTGAATACTAATACTTCCCATGAAATGACTTTAATACAAGTAAAATGACAGCTGCACTGCAGTGAGAGGACACATAAAACTGCATTAGTTTGTCTCCAAGGTTACCATCTGTGCTGATCTGAAGTTTTAATGTGTGGGATTTCTCAACCTGTGCAAAGACTGTATTTTCAGGATAGGTATCAATAGGATATAAAAGCAGCTTGGAAGCTACTTAAGCATTTATTTGGGATACATCCATGCTGACCTTAATCATTCAATTGTTCTAGAGAGACACATATCTGTGTTCTGTTAGAAATTTTGTGCAACGATTGGGGAAATAGAATGTCAGGATTATTTGACTCCACTTTGCATATACAAATAAAAAGATGTGAATTTACATGTTGTACAACTGAACTACATTCTGGATAAAATTGAGGGGCAAAACAGATTTGAAAAATTGGATGACTTCTACTCTAGAGTTTTCATAGTTATTCCATAATTAATATTCAAGTTTCAAGAAAATATTTAAAAACTTATAAAAGTATAGACATTTTAGGAGTCTAGAACCTATAAATACGGCTCCAAATTAAAGAAATGGTATTTTGATAGTCTAAAAGGAAAAGAGAGACTGCTGTTAGTTCAAAATTGTATAGAACTTAACATTTCTTAATGTAAAACATTTATCATTTTTTCAACAAATGTTGATTGAATACCTTCCCTGTCCTAGGCACCGTGCTAGGCCATAAGTTTGCAAAGTCATTAAAACTTGCTGTCTGTCCTCAAGGAATTTACAATCTAGATGGAAAACAGACCAGCCCAGGTAATTAAACCACCCTTTCTGAAGGTTGTCATGGAATAAGAACAGGATGTTGTGAAAGAACATAGGGGCTGCACATAATGACGATTAGGCAAGTTTGGAAGAAATGATGTGCATGTTGAGATGTAATGAGTTAGAAGTTAGCTGAGCAGAGGGGAAAGGAAAGGGATGAGTGTAGCAGACAAAGAGAAAATAGCACATCAAAGGCCTGTAAGCTGTGGAGACACAGATGCATTCGGGAAAATGCAAATCAGCTTAGCTGAAATATAGTGTGTATTGGGGAGCAGGGGAAAGGAGGTAAGGGTCTCAGTGAGAGAAGGTGGAAAGGAAAGCAGGTGTCAGATCACCTGGAGTCTTGTGAACCATCTCAGGGAACTGATACTTTACTGCGAGGGCAATATAGAGCAATTACAGAGTGTTGGGGAAGACATCTATTACCACCAGCATCTCCTTGTTCTTCCTCATGATTGTCGTCATCATCATTGTATGAACTCACTATGTGGCAGGCAATATCAAGTTAGTTCATGCATTTTTACATAAAATTTTTATCATGAGCTTATTACTACATCTAATATTCCTATTTTACAAATGAAGAAATAAACAAGGAATGCACTTAGTTTCCCCAAGCTCACAGTTACCAATAAGCACAGTTGGTAATCGCATCCAGGAGTTTCTGACACCATAGTAGTCCCTGCCTCTCTACTCTGCAGTTCTTATGTAGAAAATGACTGTGTTCCACCAAGAGCACTCAGTTTGCAGTGTATTGCAATGATGTATTAGATGACAGCTAAACTGGAAAGGGGGGCTGGTTATGAAGTCATTGTTATTAATCAGGCATCAGAAGACAGTGGATAGAGGTAGTGAGAATGGAGAAAAGTGGATGTGTTCCAAATATATCTCAGAGGTAGAATCAACCAGGCTTAGTGATTAACTGGATGGGTGGAACAATATACTTCTGGCTTGGACGATGAGTATATTTCAGGAAGTGTATTTGTAAAATCCACTGGATATGTTGGTTCTCCAAGAAGCAGTAATGTCAGAAAGATTACATTTATACATTTCTGGTAGGAATGTAAATTAGTACAACTTCTATGAAAGGGAGCTTACCAGTGTGTTTTAGAATTTAAAATGTGCATAGGATTGACCCAGAAATTTTATGTGTAGGTATTTATCCACAAATATAAACCGATATTATATCATGTGTATAAGGATATACACTGCAGCATCTTATGTAATTGCAAAATATTGCATACAAACTCAATCTCCTTCAGTATGAGATTGGCTGATGAATTAAGGTAAATCCATTCAATGAAATGCTCTAAAATCCTGAATAGGAATGAGGCATCTCTATATGTGTATTGATGGGGAAATATTGTATATGTACATGACTTTATGACTGTATGTATGTAAAAAATAAAGGTGCAGGTAAAACTGTATATGTTAGGCTGCCATTTTATCAAAGCCAAGTAGATAGATAGATATCGAAGTAGATATAGATATAAATCTGATAGCTGGGTACAGAGGACAGAAAAGGGAGAGATATTTATTCTTCAGCGAATATCCTTTTGATTTTACTCTATAAGCATAGATTTCTTATTAAGAATTAATAACAAGATAACACAAATTATAAAAATTCAAGGCAGAACCCCCTCTTTTAAAATCTTGTCTCTAGAGAAAGTTTACCTTAAGGGAAAAGTAAAACTGTTAGTTTGGTTTCCTTGTTTATTTTGTGCCTCATTAAGAATTTAACTATGGGCTAGGCATGGTGGCTCACGCCTATAATCCCAGCACTATGGGAGGCAGAGGAGGGCAGATCATCTGACGTCAGAAATTCGAGAGACCAGCCTGGCCAACATGTCAAAACCCCATCTCTGCAAAAAAATACAAACATTAGCCAGGTGTGGTGGCGCATGCCTGTAGTCCCAGCTACTGGGGAGGTGAGGCAGGTGAATCGCTTGAACCCAGGAGGTGGAGGTTGCAGTGAGTCGAGATCACGCCACTGTACTCCAGCCTGGGCGACTCCAGCCTGGGTGACGGAGTGAGACTCTGTCTCAAAATAATAATAATAATAATAATAATAATTTAACTATATAGACAATCAATTTTCACAGGAAAAATAATATCTTTCCCCAATGATTGACTTATATCCTTCCAAAGTCCTGGAGTTCCAAAAATTCATAATTCAAGTGTAAGAATATAATAATGTCACTAAATTATTATTTTTGAGTCATTCAAGTCATATTGTTGCTAACATTTTATTTTGTTCATTTTTTACATTAAATTTTTTTCTTATTTTTTAATTGGCAAATATAAATTGTATCTATTTATGATATACAACATGATGTTTTGATGTATGTATACATTGTGGAATGGCTAAATCAAGCTAATGAACATGTCCATTACCTCACTAATGTATCATTTTTTATGGTGAGAACATTAAAAAATCTGCTGTCTTAGCAATTTTCAAGAATGCAATACATCGTTATTAACTATAGTCACCGTGTTGTGTTGTACAATAGATCTCCTGAACTTATTCCTCTAGTCTAACTGAATTTTTTGTGTCACTTGACTAACATCTTCCCACTACCTCCAGCCTGCCGCCCCTAGTAACCACCATTCTACTTTCTGCTTCTATGAGTTCTGCTTTTGTAGATCTCACATATGACTGAGATCATACAATATTTGTCTTTTTGTTCCTGGCTGATTTTAGCGTACTATCTTTCAGGTTATCCAAATTGTTTCAAATGACAGAATTTCTTTCTTTTGAGAAATGTCCATTCAGGCCCTTTGCCCATTTTTTTTTTTAATGTATAGTATATTCAGAGCTCAGGTATGAGCATTGTAAGTAAGCAAGCTCAAGCAGAGTAGAGAGCCTAGGTTAGGAAATATCAATAAGGTAAGTTTATAGGGAAACCAGAAAACAAGAAAGAGGCTTTAGATTTTATGTGAAAATAAAAAGGAATCCACCTTGTAAAACTCAAAAGAGTCTAATATTTCTTTGATAATTTGCTCTGCTAACATTTATTTGAATCTTTAGCATAAAAGTCTTCTCTTCATACCTCATGCATTTTATTCTTCATTTTATGCCCATTAGCTCTTGTAGTGCCCTGAGTGGAATTCAAATATATATGTACCTCATTACCTGCACAGTACATCTCTTAAAACAAAATCCAATGGACCCTTGGATATCCCAGTTTGAAATTATCTATAATGTTTAGTATCCCCTTTGGAATTGAAGCCTAATTTTCTGCAGGCAAGGCAATGTCATTCACTGTGTACACTTAATGCTTATGGTGCTTATGGTCAAAACCTTGAACCATTTTGGTTCTTCCAAGAACCATTTTTATAGATTTACTGTTTTAAATATGAAATATAGAAAACCTATATTTATTATGTGGTAGGTTACTTAAACTGATATTCACAGAATTTTAAGATCTTAATGATACAGCAGCATCTAGGTATGTATAGAAGTAGTTTAGAAAAATGTGTCTTTTGCTTAAATAAAATCACTTCACAGAAGATTTGTGAAATGGCAAAGTAATTACAACTAAACGAATTTATTAGAATATAGTATTTTTTTTCAGATGGATTTGAAGCCTAAAATCTCATTCATGAATAAAATGATTAAAATGATTATTTTGGTAAAGTATCATCCCAATAATCCATTGTTGTATTCAAGGACTCTTCACATTTTAATAAATATGTTAAAAGAGAGAGGGTTTATTAAATTCACATCCTATTTTCCTTAATATTGCACTAAATGAGTGACCTAAAGAGAACAATTGTGTCTATGCTTATAGCTTATATCATAGCTGGGCATTCAGGGGAAGTCAAATCACTCCATATATTTTAAAATGTTTCCTCTAATATGAAGATATAGTCTTTCTCTTGTGAAAAAGGGACAGATCTCACTCTTAGCAATGTTAGAATTTTGGCTGAAAGCTATGAATTCATATGTAAGTGTGGAGAATGATGTTGGAGATTTGTGTTAAGATTATGAATCACCAAAATGAACAAAAAATTTAAACTTATGTGAAGATTTTAAAGATGTTTTCTCTGGAAAGATTACATTGATAAGCAATCAATCATTTACATGTAATTAAAAAAATAACAAGCCCAATACAGGGTTTTTTAAAAAAATCACGTCATAAAAAAGTAAATATAACAGGCTTTTTAATTTTTTTCAACTCAGTAAGCTTTGAGTGCCTGTTAGGCACATTGTGCCTATTCTTGACAAAATAAATCAGATAGTTATAAGTTATAAAAGAAAAGGAAAGATGATATAACAACAAAATGAATGTTAGAGTGATTAGTATAATTGCTATGAATGGTCACTATAAATTTTTTTGTGTGCTTGGATATTTACTTATAAACATGTAAGTTTTTTTTCTTTTTCTTTTTTTTAATTTTTGGTGTCATCAGAAAAAATGCAATTCTTTAATATTTATTTCATTTTAGAAATCTACATATAAGCTTATCAAATTCCAAGTTGGTAGTTATTGCAGGTAAAGGACATTGAGTAAAGATTGCACTTTTAAACATTATGGTTAGGATCTTAGGAAATTATCCTGAACTTTAAGGACTAAAAACAATACCCTGTCAAAGAAAAAATGCATCAGACAGAGTTAAACAGCTGCGAGGAAAACTGGATTCCATATTATTGCAATAGAGGAGAGAGACTGAACACAACTCCGCTAAAACAAAAGGCAGAAGTGTTTTTAAGTGCTGGATTGAGCTTGCAGAAAAGTTCTAGAGGACATTGAGTGAGGGCATGGTTGGTCAATTTGATTATGCCATCTTTGTTTACTAATTGGCACTTATTTAAATTAGACTTCTACCCTCCCACAGGGAGAGGCAGCTAGCAAAGCTATCTTTTTCAATGGCTACATTTTAAAGGGATGGCTCCCAGGTCCTTGAGAAATACATTACTGGATTATGAAACTGACAGGTGGTTGACACAAGATTTGCATCTCAAAGGGGCAGAGAATGGATTTACAATTGCAAGTTTCCTGAAGTAAATACCCTAAGGAAAAGGAAGTCAGGAGGCCATAGACAGGAAGAAACCCACCTAAAGTTTAGTCAAACTGAGGGAAACATTAAGTCTATCTTGGTCAACTCTTCAGTTATACTAAATTGTACCATGTACATTGACAATATTTGACCATTTTTGACCTACAAAAGCAATGGGTTCATATGACTCTATCTAAGATTCTAGGATCCAGTTTGTTTTTGTATTATTTTTACATTCTGCAGAAGCAAACAATTCTCCACTTATGGTTTTTAGTTTTACACTTTCTTATTTCAAAAAGGACTTAGGGGGATTTTATGTGTATTTACATTAAATAATATATATATTTATGCATATGTTTGTATATATCTGTGTGCTTATTTAAAAAAAGGTTAAAATTGAAGTTGGCAAAAATAATAATAAAAAAAAAGGTTAGCAGAAGTCTTGAATACTTCCTAAAGAAATGTCACAGGTTTGTTTCAGAGCTTCCCATAAGTTAATGCAAGGAAAGAAGTGTAGTAAGTTGCAGTAATGACCCTAGGAGAAAAGCAACCCAGAAATTTAGAATAATAGTTTTACAGGTGTTCAGACCTAACACAATTTTTCCCTTTAAGTGCTCATAAAGGCAACATTTGTGTGTTGGCAACTTGTCCACTAAGCCTAATAGTTGATTTCATAGTCTGGGTTTTTGCTCGTTGATTGTTTTTTTTTAAATGATGTCTCTCAATGCAAACTTGGCAAAACTCCACAGTGTAATTTAGTAAAAGCAATTTGATTAGGTATGAAAATAACAACATCCAGATACACAGTCCTCTAAAGATGGAATTAAATATATCTAGAAGAATGAATTGCATCAGACAATATTCCATATATATGTGTATATATGTGTGTGTGTGTGTGTATATATATGCTTTTTTTTTTGGTAAACTGAACCCTCGATAAAAATGAGGCAATACAGCTTGGAAACTTTTGAAGTTAACTGTTGTGGTGTCAGAATTTGGAGTTCCTTTGCCTTTACAGATGTAAGTCTATATGCCGTAACAATTTTACCAAGGACAGGATAGACAGCCTCTTTTGGAATGTAAACAGACAAGTTAGGATGTGGATGAAACTTCATAGCTGCTTACTTCACTGGCAGGCCAATATTATTATTCTGGCAGTCAGGGTCCAGCTAAAATTAGAATTCATTAAAATCATGGTTCTTGCTTTATTCCTTGATAGCCACTCATATGCGCTTGTATGCACACAACAATTTTCAGAGTGTGCTTTATTTTTGTGCTTTTTTAAAAATATGATGGCCTCTATGTTAAATGGTTTTTTATAGGTAAATATTATATTTTATTAATCCTTGTATCATTAATACTAATAGTAATAGGGCACGAGAAATATTTTGTTTGCTTATGAATGACTTAAGGAAGCTGAAGTTTGATATTTAAAATTATAAATATAAAATGTAAAATTGTCAGTAAACAATGGACTGATTCCATCTCTCCTTTGCCCCATGTTTTCCGCTTTGCAGTAAGTAAAAAAACCACAAAACTTTGGGGGTCAAGGTCACCAAGTCTCAAACGTGGTGGCAGACGCTGCTAGTTTTCTGCCAGTATCCACTTCCCCACCTTCCTTACCGACAGGCACTTTGGTTTACGGTTAGGACACTAGATGCCCGGAATAATGGCTGCATTTTCCAATTGTCTTTAGAGTAAGAGTGGCCAAGTATCTAAACTCAGGCCAATAAAATGTAGGCAGAAATGTCATGTGTAAATGTTAGGAAGCATCCTTCTTTTCTTCGTCCTCCTTTCTGCTGGCAGGAATGCAGACATATTCGCTGGAGCTCAGCAACCTCTTGGACCACGAAGGCAAACACATGATTGAGAAGGGTGGACTACAAGAAAGAATACACCTCCTTCCCTGGTGTCCATGGAGTTGCCATATATGCCTTGGCCTTCTCAGGTCGAGATTTATTTGTATGAAAGAAAAATAAACTTTTTTTAAGCCACTTTATTTAGTGGCTTTTTCTTAAACTTGTAGCCCAGCCTAATGGTAGTCATTTGGGGCACATCTTTGGAAATCCTTCCCAACTCCCTGAGACTGGGCTGGAAGCCCCCTTTTCTGTGCTCCCACATGCCCTGTATGTGCCTTTATTAGAACACTTTCCCTATTTTATTGAAATCATCTTATTTTACATAAAACATTATTTGAGCACAAGAACAATGTCTTATTCATTCATCCCTGAGCTAAAGCTAGGATAGTGTACGTTCACATAGGATATGCTCAATAGGTATTTGTTTAATTGAAAAACACTGGATTAATGACCTGACTGAATAAAGTGCTAACAGTACTATGGAATTAATTTGATTGATTTTGATTCAAAATCATAGGACACTATAGTAGATGTCAAAATACATGTGTGGAGATGTTTGTCATATTTGTTACATACATAACACCCTGGCTTATCTCCCCCATGTTAATCAATATAAATCATTTTTCCTATTATTTAGTGGAATAATTTAATTCACTAAATAATTTAGTGAATAATTTAATTCACTAAATAATTTAGTGAATAATTTAATTCACTAAATAATTTAGTGAGTAATTTAATTCACTAAATAATTTAGTGAATAATTTAATTCACCGTCTTATTTAGCGAATAATTTAATTCACTAAATTATTTAATGAATAATATTTTGTTAAAGCCTTGGGTGTGATGGCAACTTGTGTCATGGAATTCTTTTCTTTCTTTCTTTCTTTCTTTCTTTCTTTCTTTCTTTCTTTCTTTCTTTCTTTGCTATGGGCTAATCAGGATCTTTGTTCTAATCTTTTTATCACAGGTATATAAAACTGATTTGGAGAGTATAACCATATGAGAAAATATTTGGTTCCTCCAAATCACATTCTCTCATTTCCCTGAATTCTCTACTCCGGGGATTTAACATTTTATTAACTGTTCAGATGGTTTTAAAAGTAAAGCATTCAGCTTATCATATGGTTGGTTTAATTTTATCTTTGGTTTATTACATGTCTTATATTTTAAGAAAAAGATCATATTTTTTGTGTGTATCTTATACCATGACAAAACCATTGATTTGGATGAAATAAATCTGTGACAAACCACATAGACCAGGTACTAGAGATATTCATTTATTTCTTTTCTTTATAGGTCCTCTCAAACTGTGAGTAACTAAGTGGTTTGTGCATCATTCCAGAAGCAAAGCTAAAATTTTTAGCGGTGTTGTCGACTTGACCTGCTAATTTCCTGTTCTGGAATCGAGAGAAGACTCCTCAACAAGTTGCTGCAATGTCTGTGTCTAATCTATCATGGTGAGTGAATGGTTTTCTTGCCTTAAATGTAAATGAAAATATATCATGAGCAGTATTTTCTGAGGGAGTCGTACAGGCAGAACTTGGGCAGAGAGAAAACTTAAAAATCTGGTTTCCAAAGATTATTGTCCCATGTTAGCGTAAAGAAAGCAATCTAGGATTAGAAGTCTGACACTTTCAGTGCTATGATATCTGGGGGCTCTGGAAAGGATTGAAGCCTCGCACTGAATCCCAGTGACCTCCAATACCTTTCTTCCCAGCACACCCTAGGAGAGAGAAGTAATATTATATCCTTTCAGTATTCCTTGCTATCGGTATATTCCCAGATATAGGACTAGCAAGCTATATGGGTGGCTGCCAGTGTGGGGTAGATATTTGCTCATCAGTACTTCTTTGCTTCAGGTTTTATATTTCAACAAATCTACCCAGATTAAACTGAATAGAACTGAAATACGGAATAGAAAAATTTGTTATAGATGCACATCTCTAAATAGCTGGCATTCTAAATAATCTTTGACTTTCAGTGCATGTTTAAAAGCTGTTTGGGATTTAAAAAAAGAAGTGTAAGGATATTTTTCTGACAAAAAATGAGCTTTTCTATAGCAATGAAGAACAATACTAGTAGGGATAAATTTGAAGGTATTTTATTGAACTTTGACTTTTTTATATAACGAGATGAGTAAGTGACATTTATATAAATTTACAGTATTCAATACATGAATATAAGGAAAATCTGGTAATTTTTTCCATTTCTTTAAGAATTCATTTTATCCTTGCTCTTCAATTTGTGCTGGAAATGTAGATAGCATCAGATTAAACAGTTGTTACTGGCTCAACTTAGCTCCATAAATTTATTTTTAGTGAAGTCAGCAATTTTTTTAGGGCAAGGATGTAATTATTTGTTTAGATTCGGAGTCATGTTTCTGAAGGACCCACTGTTCATGGACTCCCTAGAAGATATCCTTGGATCTTTTGGCCTGGGTGCTAAGAATCTCAGTTTGAAAAAAAAAGCATTAAAGAAACTAAAGTATAATCAAACAAATTTCATTTAAACTTTGAATTATTACTGCACAGTATGTTTTCTTATTATATTATTATTAAAATTAAAAGTTTTTAAAAATGTAATTTTTGTAGAACCTGTGAGTCATTTTGAGCTCCTGGGAGACCTTGACACGTTTCCTTAAAGGAATTATACTCCTGGCAAATTGTGTGTAGGAGATGAATTCTCAAAAAGCAGGGAGCATGTCAAAGAAGGGGGACAGGAGGGTTGGGGAAAGGAAAAGGAAAGGGCAGGAGATTGAAACAGGTATGATTGTTGTATTTCAAGATAGTGTGCAGTGCAGCCTGGTTCACAGGGTCAGGGCAGGACTAACATTGAGGCCTGGCCTCGGTGCATGCTTCTATTAACTGCTTTGATGTGATATGAGGATATGATTGTTGCTCCAAAACACAGTGAACTCCGCAAAGAGAGAGACTGCATGTCATGGTTCCAGCCCAATTGTCCAGCACAGCACCTAGAATTTAGTAGATATTCTGTAAGTGCATGCTTGGAAATGAGTGAAAAAATGCAAAGCAGGTAATTCAATGGTAAATAAATGTTATCCTTCTAAAAGAAAGCTTTAAATTGTGAGGCTATCTTATAGAATTCATCTATGTGGAATTTGTAAGAATTCTTTCCATGTTACAGCTTCAGATTTTATAGAAATGATTCTTGGATATTTTTATCAGCACTATCCTCGATTCTAGCTAGTGTTCTGCATTAGATTTCCATGCAGGGAGCTATTAATTTGTTTTACCAGTGTCACCCCCACCATGCAGCTGTGAGGTGTTTGGCATCCTCATTCTCCCACTTAGCATTTGGGTTGCCCAAGTGCTGGCAGCAAAGGAGACAAGAAAGTAAATCTAAAGCATGCAAAACGAGTCACTGATTTATGTCACTGATACCTAGTTTAGACATCGTTAACCTTCTATTTTTTTTATAATAACCTTTGTAATTCTTCTATATTCCTAACATCTTCTAATTTTTATTTTGGGGATTATTGTTTTATAAATATTTTAACAGGAATGCACAGTAACTCATCATTACATTAATTTAGTTAAGCTGTTATAGTCCCTCATCGGGCTCTCTGTTTTGAAATCCAGAAACAAAGACATGAAAATATTGACTGATATGGGAAAATTAACTGGGTTGAAAGATTACTAATTTAAAATAAGACATGTAACATTTAAGTGTATGCCATGCTTGATTTAGCCTGACTAGTGCATTCTCTAACTGTTGTGGAAAACTACATGGGAATCTAAATCAGAAGTTTGGCTGATAACCATATAATCATAACAAGGAGAGCTACATGCTTCCAGTGTTCAAAGGAATCAGGATAGGATACACTTGGCAGGATACACCTGTCAATAGAGGATCCACCTGCTAAACACAGAGGTCAGCCTCGCAGGGCAGCTTCTTCGTGTCTAGGAGTTGGATTAGCACTGCCAATGTTTGCCCCGATGATTCTGAGTTCCACTTCTGCCAGACTCTGTCTGCTTGGCTGTCTTGTCAATGTTACCACTGAGCTTCTAGTCAAAACTTCCTGCAATCTGTGAACAGTGTAGTCTGCCTACTATGACATCGTATTAGTTGACCATATCCACGTGTTGATTTTAAAATGTAACTCTGAGGTTAATGTGGGAAGTGCAGGATGCCTGTTGTGACTCTCGTAGAAAACCTAGGAATTTTAAAAGCATAGGTTAGTATAGTTACAGGCATATTTACAAATACCTAAGCAATTCTCCCAGCTTTTAAATACCCTGTATAAGAAAGTTATCTTTTTATACATTAAAGAAACTTCTTGCTCTAATAGTTATGTGTATGATACTTGAAAAAATATATAAATAATTTAGCCATTTCATGTAAAATCTAAGAAATATATTTAATCTAGGAAACTTCCAAGTTTCCAGGAAACTACAGTCTCAGTTGGAAAAAAGGAATAGTGGAACTTGATTGTTTCATGAATCTTCCTATTTAGTAAATAATGATCAGAGAGAGACAATGAGTAAGTTGATGCTCGTTGAAATAGAAACAAAGGGATGCGCAGAATCTGTTGCAGAAAACTACGAATAAGTGACAGGTTCCAGGCTAATCTGAGGGAAAGAATTGTTTCTGGTAGCATGGATAAGTAATTGGAGACAAAATACTGGTCAGCATATGTACAGTAACACTAAAATAGTGGGAACTTAGTGTGTAGTAGGGCCTGGAGATTAGCAAGGAATTGGTTTAGTAGTGGAGGGTCTCAGTATGTTGATAGAGATCCTAGTGAAGGCTCAACTGATTTTGCAAGATGACATCTTTTTGACCCAAATTATTTTTCACTGTGATGCCTGCACACACTTTAATTTTGGTCCCCAAATCTGTTAAAGACTGGACAGCATCTTGTGGAGGTGATAGTAATTCTTCTAGAGCCATGTATGGGAGAAAGAAGTCACTGGATGAAAGGCAGAATCCAAGTAGCCACTCAAAAACTAGTGAGCATCTATAACATGCCATGTCCTGTGCTAAGCACAGGGAAACAGTATTGGTTAAAAGTAATGACTGCTCTTTTTGGAGCTCATTTATAAGCCAGAAGACTGATAAGTGATCAAATAGCTCTGATTTAATGTGATAAGCGCTTTAAAAGATAAAAGGTACGTGCAGAATGTGTTTGAAAACAAAAGGGATATTTGTTTTGCCTGCTTGGGATGAAATGACTTATTTTTCAGAAATACAAATACACCTCTTGCATTTATTCCTTAATATAAAGAAATAAACTAATTGCAAATGGTCAAACACTACAGAAAAATTATATAGCAGAAACTAAAAATGACCTAAATCTTATAATTCACAGAAAACCATTGTTTAAAACATTTATGTATATTATTTTCTGCATATATTCGTTTTTTTTTTTTGCAAAATTAGACTCAAAACATGTATGATACTTTGCCATCTTCTGTTTTTAGTGAACAGTTTCTATGGCCCTCACTCCATTTGGTGGATATAGAGCCACATCATCACCTATAGAGGCTGGTGTATCATTGCAGGGCAGTAGTGTTGTTTAGCCATCTAGGTTGGACCTTCAGATAGCTTCCACTTTTCTTTTATACGATTGTAAATATTTCTGCTGTGGGGAAAATTATTCAGAGATTATTGGTCACAAAGTACTGTGCCATTCAGGGTATGCAGCAGAGCCCTATCTTGTTGCAACTACCTGGATTGTAGACATCAAGGCCCTGGAAGAAATAACGTTTCTGCGAAAGAGACTTGTTAATTCATCTTCTTTTTTTTTTCAGTTTTAGAAAAGGGTCCATTATGTATGCTCACCCTTTTCCCAGATTTAGTTCCTCATAAACATCAAGTAATGTGCTGGTAACTGGGAAATACTGCAGTTTGTTAGTAGAATTTTATCAGAAGTCAACAAAATATTCCGTTTTGCATGCCTACAGATTGGAAAAATAACAAAGCCTAAGTTGGGTAAGTTATTAATGTTTTGACTAAATTTAGAAATGGTGAATGATCTTCATTACATATGTATATCATTTAAAATACTATTATGAATGTTGGCAATTTCAATAACACTTTAATAGGAAATAAATACATTTGAATTATTCTCTTTATCCAAAAATAATGATTTTTTTTAGGCTGGGTGCAGTGGCTCACGCCTGTAATCCCAGTACATTGGGAGGCCGAGGCGGGTGGATCACTTGAAGTCAGGAGTTCAAGACCAGCCTGGCCAACATGGTGAAACCCCATCTCTACTAAAAATACAAAAAATTTGCATGGATGGTGGCGCACACCAGTAGTCCCAGCTACTCAGGAGGCTGAGGCAGGAGAATTACTTGAAACCAGGAGGCAGAGGTTGCAGTGAGCAGAGATGACACCACTGCACTCCAGCCTGGGTGACAGGGCAAGACTCCATCTCTAAACAACAACAACAACAACAAAAACAAAAAAAGTAATAATTTTTTTTTAGAATTTTAGAGTTCAGAAAAATGCAAAATTAGAAATGCAGAAAGTTTTCTTTGTCAGATTATTCACATTACTTATAATATTTATGTCTAACTTCTTATTTAATGAATAAATGAAGAAGTTGAATCATTCTATATTGTTCTTTGGCACCTGCATTTAGGATGAGAAAATTCTGGAGAGACAGAAGCAGCCACTTCATTTTAAGGAGGTGGAATGGGGAAATCAAACTCTTATCTCAAAAATTGCTATAGCCACTGTTTTGCAAACTACTTGTCCTATTTGTGCTGCTAAATTGCAGGCTCTCAGGGACAATACTAATGTACTTGTATTTGCAATGGCAGAGGAAGTAGAGACTTGAACTGTCTCTATTTGTGGAACAATCAGGACCTGCAGGGGGAACAATGTGGATAAATAGAGATTGTAAGGGAAGTTATTAGCCCCGGTTTTATAGTAAAGGAGGAAAAGTCAGAATTTTGAAGGGTCTATTGTTGTCAAGAAGGAAAAAATAAAGAGAAAGGTTAGATATGAATATAAGGCTGATATTTCTAATTTTTTTTTAAAAGGAGACCTCTGTGTGATAGGAAAAGCTTAGTTGTGAGAGATAATATGAGTATTTCTCAGTGGTAAGTTCATGTTGAATGAATGACTGTTTCATTACGGTACTGAGAAGAGAGTGGGTTTGAGAACCTGAAACCAAAGAATCTTCCTGTTAAGTGGAAATGGTCAGCTTGTAAAGGAGTAGAGACAGAGTAGAGTAACTCAAGTTTAGGGGAGCATAAATTAAGAGAAAATAACCTAGGAAGAGAAAAAAAAAAAAGAATAGAATAGCCAAAACAAAAGCTCAAGAGGAATGAAAAATGTGTCCTCCCAAATTACATAAAACTTTAAGGTAAAGTATCATTATTTGGGTTAAAGTTAAATTTAATTAATTCTACAAAATGCCAATGTCTTTCTATTCAAACTATGCCTTTTCAAATTGAAAGTCTTTCATTAGTAAAATGATTAATACTATTTTGATTTGGGATTGACACTTTAATTAAATACACTACATTTTTAGAATCCGCAACCATTTTTTGGCTTTGAGCTATGTGCCTTTAGAATAACTTTTTAAAAATTAGACATTTATAAGAGACTTGGATATTTTTCTTCTTGTATCTCCCTCAAATTATTTCTCTTTGAATAGTCAAATAATTAGTAAAACACTATATTTTAATTTTGTCTTTAAAAACTAATGCCAACTAGACATAAATCACATCCTTGAAAGGAATTGCTTGGTAAGTTTTGGTCTAGATAGAGGAGTTTGATTTCCTGTGCATTTAATGAGCCTGAGGTTGCAGGTTCAAACCCCACAGGGACTAATAAGTTCTATTCTCTTTCTTTTCCAAAGCCTACTAGACCTGTAACCTTGACCAGCCCTCCTTCTCAAACTTGCCATTGGTCATAAGTCATTAGAAATAATTGATTGATTATCACCAGCTTACAACCAGGTTTGGGGAAAAATATAAACATGAAAATCAAGTGTTCTTTAGGGGTTGATAATGGGTCACATATATCATCTTCCTTTTGAATATCATCCAGGTCAAATAATTTAGATTTATGCTTTGAAATAAGACTTTTCATCATTCTCAAATGAACCATAATTTACTTTCTTGTGGAAGATCTACAGTGAATTATCACACCAATATTTCCTTAGACTGTAGAAGCTTTAACATAAAACTGGGTAGTCCATTCCAAACCTTAAGGCTAGAGTTTCTAAACACCACCCATTTGTGGACTTGAACAATTAGGTAAAAGACCAGCAAATCGTCTACGATATAATTTAGTTATCAAAATAGTTATGTAGGCTAAGAGATGTTACTTTCAGCATGATCAAATAAAATTGACTGTCAAGTCTTAAACACTATTTTCTGTAAGTGTATAAAATTATCAACATTGTGTTATCCTAGTAAAAAAAATAAAGAGAAAGGTTAGACATGAATATAAGGCTGATATTTCTAATTTTTTTTAAAAGGAGAACTCTGTGTGATAGGAAAAGCTTAGCTGTGAGATAATATGAGTATTTCTCAGTGGTAAGTTCATGTTGAATGAATGACTGTTCCATTACGGTACTGAGAAGAAAGTGGGTGTGAGAGCCTGAAACCAAAGAATCTTCCTGTTAAGTGGAAATGGTCAGCTTGTAAAGGAGAAGAGACAGAGTAGAGTAACTCAAGTTTAGGGGAGCATAAATTAAGAGAAAATAACTGAGGAAGAGAAAAAAAAAAGAATAGATACATTCTCCATCTTCTTTCATGTATTACATTTTGTTTGGTTTTTATTTGTTTTTAAAATTTCCAGCTTGATTATAAAACTATTCCAGTTTAAACAATCACTTTTCATTACCATTATATGGTCAATAAAAGAATTCAATGCATTCATTTACACTGAGTTTTATGTTTCCCTTTTTTTTTTTTTTTTGAGACGGAGTCTTGCCCTGTTACCCAAGCTGGGGTGCAGTGGTGCGATCTCGGCTCACTGCATCCTCGCCTCCCGGGTTCAAGGGATTCTCCTGCCTCAGCCTCCCAGGTAGCTGGGACTACAGGTGCGTGCCACCATGCCCGGCTAATTTTTTTGTATTTTTTAGTAGAGAGAGGGTTTCACTGTGTTAGCCAGGACAGTCTCGATCTCCTGACCTCGTGATCTGCCCGCCTTGGCCTCCCAAAGTGCTGGGATTACAGACATGAGCCACCACGCCCGATCTATGTTCCACTTTTAAGGGTAGGTTCATTGATATGAGCTTTGAGAATAATTTAAAGTTAGTTTATGAATGAATAATTTTAAAATAATTCTTGCTCAATTAGAGATAAATTAGTATAATTTATTTCTAAACAGGCAGTATATTATTTTTATTAAATTAGAATTTAAAAATATTTATATTCATTCATTTCTTTATTCAACAAATTTTTGAGCATCTACATTGTACTATTTTTAATGCTGTGGAGAGAATGATGAATGACAGAAATTTCTGCTCTCATGAAGCTTAGATTAATTTTTATCTATATCTGTGCTGAAGACAGATATAGATAAAAAATATGTCAGCATGACAGATAGTGATATGTATTTTGAAGAATAAGCAGCTCATAAAGATAGAGTATGATGGTAGAGGATTGGGGAGTTGGTATGAAGAGGCTCCTCAGAAGTGACATTTAAGCAGAAATGAACTATACAACTTTTAGAGGAAAACCATTTCAGGCAGAGAAACAGAAAGGACAAAGAACCTGAGACTGAAAAGTATCTGGTATGCTTGGGGAACTGTCTAGGAAGCCAGGTAGGTGGAAAACAGCCAATAAGGGGGAGAGTCCCAGGAACTGAGCTTAGAGAGGTAGCAGGGAGGCATGTAGGCCAAGAGAAAGACTGGAGTGTGTTCTAAATGTGATGGGAAATTTTGCCCTCCCTTACTAGGTTACAGGTGAGAGTTCATATGAAATGTAAATTTAGAGAAATTCAGTGATAGGAATAATTGAGTGTTGAAAGCAGAGTCTTGACATGATCTGATTTCTAAATTCAAAAGGATTTCTCTATGTTCTTCAAAGTTTATGAAAATAATTCATATTGTATCCTTAATATAAACATATGACAGAAAAATAAGATATAATAAAAAAAGAAAAGATACCAAGGTAATGGAAAACCATTTTCATGAATATAACCAGTTTCTCATTATTATACATTTTAAGAGATTCAACAAATCTGACACATCTGAATAATTAAGGACATGGTATGTGTTTTGTTTTGTTTTATTGCATTTTATTTTATTTTTTATTTTTATTTTTTGTTTCTTCTTAAAAAAATGGGATATATGTGCACAGTTTTCAGGTTTGTTACATAGGTGTATGTGTGCCATGGTGGTTTGCTGCACCTATTGACTTGTCCTCTAAGACCCCTCCCCTCAACCCCCACCCCCCAACAGGCCCTGATGTGTGTTGTTTCCCTCTCTGTGTCCATGTGTTCTCAATGTTCAACTCTTGCTTATGAGTGAGAACACACACGGTGTTTGGTTTTCTGTTCCTGTGTTAGTTTACTGAGGATGATGGCTTCCAGCTTCATCCATGTCCCTGCAAAAACATGATCTCATTCCTTTTTCTGGCTGCATAGTATTCCGTGGTGTATATGTACCATGATTTCTTTATCCAGTCTGCAGTTGATCGGCATTTGGGTTGGTTCCATGTCTTTGCTATGGTAAATAGTGCTGCAATAAACATACTTGTGCATGTGTCTTTAGAGTATAATGATTTATATTACTTTGGGTATATACCCAGTAATGGGATTGCTGGGTCAAATGGTATTTCTGGTTCTAGATCCTTGAGGAATCACCACAGTGTCTTCCACAATGGTTGAACTAATTTGCATTCCTACCAACAGTGTAAAAGCATTCCTATTTCTCCACAGCCTTGCCAGCATCTATGGTTTCCTGACTTTTTAATAATCACCATTCTGACTGGCATGAGATGGTATCTCACTGTGGTTTTGATTTTCATTTCTCTGATGATCAGTGATGTTAAGCTATTTTGCATATGTTTGCTGCATAAATGTCTTCTTTTGAGAAGTATCTTTTCATATTCTTTGCCCACTTTTTGATGGGGTTGTTTGTTTTTTCTTGTAAATATGTTTAAGTTCCTTGTAAATTCTGAATATTAGACCTTTGTCAGATGGGTAGATTGCAAAAATTTTCTCCCATACTGTGGGTTACCTGTTCACTTTGATGACAGTTTATTTTGCTGTGTAGAAGCTCATTATTTTAATTAGAACCCATTTGTCAATTTTGGCTTTTGTTGCAATTGTTTTTGACGTTTTAGTCATGAAGCCTTTGCCTGTGCCTATGTCCTGAATGGTATTGCCTAGGTTTTCTTCTAGGGTTTTTATGGTTTGGGGTTTTACATTTAAGTCTTTAATCCATCTTGAGTTAATTTTTTTATAAGATGACGGAAGGGGTCCAGTTTCAGTTTTCTGCATATGGCTAGTCAGTTTTCCCAGCACAATTTACTGAATAGGAGATCCTTTCCCCATTGCTTGTTTTTGTCAGGTTTGTTGAAGATCAGATGGTTGTAGATGTGTCGTGTTATTTCTGAAGTCTCTGTTCTGCTCCATTGGTCTATATGTCTATTTTGGTACAAGTACCATGCTGTATTGGTTACTGTAGCCTTGTAATATAGTTTGAAGTCAGGTAGTGTGATGCTTCCAGCTTTGTCCATTTTGCTTGGGATTGTCTTGGCTATACGAGGTCTTCTTTGATTCCATATAAAATTTAAAATAGTTTTTTTCTAATTCTGTGAAGAATGTCAGTGATAGTTTGATGGGAATAGTATTGAATCTCTAAATTACTTCGGGCTGTTTGGCCATTTTCACGACATTGATTCTTCCTATCCATGAGGATGGAATGTTTTTCCATTTGTTTGTGTCCTCTGTTATTTCCTTGAGCAGTGGTTTGTAGTTCTCCTTAAAGAGGTCCTTCACATCCCTTCTTAGCTGTGTTTCTAGGTATTTTATTCTCTTTGTAGTGATTGTGAATCGGAGTTCATTCATGATTTGGCTCTCTGCTTGCTTATTGTTGGTGTAAAGGAATGCTTTTGATTTTTGCAGATTGGTTTTGTATCCTGAGACTGCGCTGAAGTTGCTTATCAGTTCAAGAAGTTTTGAGGCTGACACGATAGGGTTTTCTAAATATAAAATCATGCCATCTGCAGACAGAGACAACTTGACTTCCTCTCTTCCTAGTTGAATAGCCTTTATTTCTTTCTCTTGCCTGATTGCCCTGGCCAAAACTTCCAGTACTATGTTGAGGAGGAGTGGTGAGAGAGGGCAACTTTGTCTTATACCAGTTTTCAAAGGGAATGAGTCTAGCTTTTGCCCATTGAAGACGATATTTTATGTGGGTTTGTCATAAATGTTCTTATTATTTTGAGATATATTCCATCAATACCTAGTTTATTGAGAGTTTTTAACATGAAGGGATGTTGAATTTTATCATAGGCATTTTCTACATCTATTGAGGTAATCATGTGATTTTGTCTTTGGTTCTGTTTATGTGATGGATTACACTTATTGATTTGCATATGTTGAACTAGACTTGCTTCCAAGGGATGAACCCAACTTGATCATTGTGGATAAGTTTTTCCATGTGCTGCTGGATTTGGTTTGCTAGTATTTTATTGAGAATTTTCCCATCCATGTTCATCAGGGATATTGTCCTGATGTTTTCTTTTTTTCTTGTGTCTCTTTCTGGGTTTGGTATCAGGATGATGCTGGCTTCATAAAATGAGTTAGGGAAGAGTCCCTTCTTTTCAGTTGTTTGGAATAGTTTCAGAAGGAATGGTACCAGCTCCTCTTTGTACCTCTGGTAGAATTCAGCTGTGAATTCGTCTGGTCCTGGGCTTTTTTTTTTTGGTTGGTAGGCTATTAATTACTGCCTCAATTTCACAGCTTGTTACTGGTCTATTCAGGGATTTGACTTCTTCCTGGTTTAGTCTTGGTAGCATGTATGCGTCCAGGAATTTATCCATTTCTTCTAGATTTTCTAGTTTGTTTGCATAGAGGTGTTTATAGTATTCTCTGATAGTAATTTTTATTTCTGTGGGGTCAGTAGTGATATCCCTTTATCTTTTTTTATTGTGTCTATTTGATTCTTCTCCCTCTTCTTTATTAGCCTAGCTAGCAGTCTATTTTGTTAGTTTTTTCAAAAAAAAAGCAGCTTCTGGATTCATTGATTTTTTTGGAGGGTTTTTTTGTGTCTCTATCTCCTTCAAGTCTTCTCTTAGTTATTTCTTGTTTTCTGCTAGCTTTTGGATTAGTTTGCTCTTGCCTCTCTAGCTCTTTGAATTGTGATGTTAGGGTGTTGATTTGAGATCTCTCTAGCTTTCTGATGTGGGCATTTAGTGCTATAAGTTTTCCTTTTAACACTGCTTTCGCTATGTCCCAGAGATTCTGCTACGTTGTCTCTTTGTTCTCATTGGTTTCAAAGAACTTCTTGATTTCTGCCTTAATTTCATTATGTACCCAGGGGTCATTCAGGAGCAGGTTTTCCAGTTTCCATGAAATCGTGTGGTTTTCAGTGAGTTTCTTGATACTGAGTTCTACTTTGATTGTACTGTGTTCTCCAATAACTCTTCCTGCAGGGAAGCCTCACCCAATGAGGAAGGATAGGCCTGAAGAAACACTCTGGTGGCAGACTGCCACAGCAGGTGTGTTGGGCTGTGGGGACAAGTCTTGAGACAAAGCCTCCCTGGCTCCAGCAGGGGAAAAGCACAGCCTGGAACTAGAGAAATGGGTGCTGCCCTTCCCCTGCCCAGGGAGCTTAGCTTGTTAGGCAGTTGCGAGTCCCAGTGCTGACTGCTGCCTCTCCCACAAGGAGCTCAAAGGACTTAGACAGCAGGCAGTCACAACTGTGCTGGTTGCCCCTCCCCCCAGGAGTTCAGCAGGCTTAGGCAGATTCCAGCTGAGAGGCTGTAAGAATCTGCCTGTTCCAGGGTTGGAACAGTAGGCCTGGTGGCATGGGTTCGCAACTGGTATCTTCCAATCTGTGGGTAGCACAGTTTCATGGAAAAAGCAGTTTCCCTGGTTGGGTAGTGTGCTCAATCAACACCTCCCTTGGCTGGGGGGAGGGGGTTCCCCATCTCCCTGTGGCTCTCAGGTGGCCTGCCACACCACACTGTTCTTCCTTCTCTCTGTGAGTCACACCAGCCTTCTAATCAATTTTGATGAGAGAACCTGGATACCTTGGTTGCTGGTAAAGAATTCACATGCTTATTATGTTTTTTTTTTTTCGATGGCAGCCTTAGAACACTGCTGCTTCTAGTCAGCCATCTTGGCCTCTCCCCTATGATACATGTTAAGCATCCCTAATTTGAAAACCCAACATTTGAAATGCTCCAAAATCTCAAACTTTTTGAGTACTGATGTGATGCCGCAAATGAAAAATTTTACACCTGACCTTATGTGATGGGTCACAGTCAAAACAGAGTCAAAACCATTTCATGCAAAAAATTATTGAAAATATTATATAAAATTATCTCCAGGCCATGTGTATAAGGTGTATATGAAACATAAGTGAATTTTGGGTTTGGACTTGGGTGCCACCCCTGAGTTATCTCATCATAAATGCAAATATTCCAAAATCCAAAAGTATCCAAGATTCAAAACATTACTGGTCCCAAGCATTTCAAATAAGGGATACTCAATCTGTATAAAAGAGATGTCATCTATAGAAACATTTTACCTTGCCTTTTATCAGTAGATGAATTATGTTTTTATAAATTGTGGAAATTCAGAATATACAAGTCACCCTCGATATCCATGAGTTCCATATTCATAGATTCAACCAACCTCAGATTGCAAATATTCAGGGAAAAAAATTTACAAAGTTCTTAAAAATTTGAATTTGGCCCACAGCAAGTACTATGTTGAATCCACATGAATGAAGTAATGTGTAGGCATTATATTAGGTATTATAAGTATCTAGGGATGATTTAAAGTCTCTGGGAGGATGTATATAGTTATATGTAAGTTCTGTATCATTTTATACCTGGAACTTGAGTATCCTTGGATTTAGGTATCCTTGGTAGGACCTGGAACCAATCCTTCATAGATACTAAGGGATGGCTGTATTACAGTTGCCCAACTTGTGTTTTATGCTTATTTTTAAATCCCCTCCCTTTCCCATAAACTTTAAGGCTAATTTCAATATGTAAACACAAAAGTGCATTAAACAATAAATTTTTTTTACTGGTTGTTTAATGTGCGTGTGGTTTTAGTGAGGAATCAGGTATAACACAGTACCCATCCAGGTGCTAACATGTTATGGAGAGAATGTTGGCATAAAATTACTAGGCATCCTTCTTGGATAAAATTCACTTTATTCTAAAATTATGACCTTTCTATACTTTTCATGGTAAAATATGGTTTCTTCTATGGTACTGGTTATAGATGGAAGATAGGGTGTTCTTTAATATCTTTTTAGACAGTCTCCCTCTGTCACCCAGGCTGGAGTGCAATGGCATGATCTTAGCTCACTGCAACCTCGACCTCCGAGGTTCAAGTGATTCTCCTGTCTCAGCCTCCTGAGCAGCTGGGACTACAAGTGTGTGCCATCACACCTGGCTAGTTTCTGTATTTTTAGTAGAGACAGGGTTTCACCATGTTGGCCAGGCCAGTCTTGAACTCCTGACCTCAAGTTATCTGCCTGTCTTGGCCTCCCAAACTGTTGGGATTACAGGTGTGAGCCACTGCACCCAGCCCTGATGTCTTTTTTAAAAATCAGAATGTAAAATCAAAAAGTTTGGAATTACTGATGTAATAGGAATTACTTAAAATCGGCTCCTAGCCAAAGTAGTGTCAATGGTATATGATCCGTATTACAGAAGTCACTCGTGTATCTCCCACCTTCATTTGGCACTTAGGTTGGTAGATTCAGTGTATTGAAACAGCTTAAACATTACATAATTGCCTAGAAAGGGCTAAAAATGATCTTATAAGCATACAAATATTACAGCCTACTGGAGTCTTCTTTTACTAGACACACATAGATCACTGCCTATATAAGGAGCATGGCTAATCATCTTCTTCCCTGGATATTTGCCATTTGATGTCTGGGAAATACACCATAGTGTTATAATTACTTTTTTCCTACTACTGCTTTATAGTCATATTTAACATTTATGCATTTTCCTTCTCTTTTTAATGATTACATTTTCTTTATTGGGTAGCATTAAAGTTTTCCTACTGATGGGTCAGACAAACTCATTTTTATTATGGTCAAAATCAGTTAATTGTTCAATACCATCTAACTTGCTAATGCTATTTCCAAGTATTTAGAAATATCTATTTTTCATAATAACTAGGTTTGAGCCTTTGAATGTGTTTTAATTTCTCAGAATTTGGAAAGTTAAATGTTCTCACATTTATACTTACAGAGGTCACATAAATGATATTTAGTGAGTTCAAACTATTAATTATAGATACAAGGTTGAATTCAAGTGAACATTTTCCTTTGATCTAGGTCTGTTTAGATAAAATGGTCCATGATTTTAGCAACTTCAGTGCTAAGTAATCAGAGCAGCCTAGCAGCAGCAACAGAGACAGAATAATCTCCACTGACAGACGATTTTATAAACAGCCAGATTCACCAGGCCTCCCTATTTCAGCTATGAGCTCATAGCAGAAGGCTGAGGTTCTAAGATGTCCACCATCTTTTCTGGCTGATAAATTTCATGTAGGAGGAATATTATTGTTCCAGATGGTTTTTCAGCGTTGTGCACACTAGCCTCATAGACTCCCGCTGTAATTGAAAATTGGTTTTGCTCCAACAATTGACAAAAAATTAGATTAGGTTAACTACTTTTTGATTTTAGATTACTGATACAAAGTGCTTTCATGACTATGACAAAATAAATTGAAATTCAGACTAAGTGACGTCCCTGTGTGTATTTTCACTTAGATATTTTTCCCTGAGGTTTTTATAGTATCATTAAATTACATTCAGATACAGAATTTGCATAGAATCAGGCTCATTGAAATTTTGATGATCTTTTTCAATCTGTAATATTGCTAGTAGTGTTTTTATGGAAAACTAGCTAGATATTTTAAGTCACTGTAAAGACGATGATATAAAAAGATTTAAAAGCCATCTATTATTAGGTTGGTGCAAAAGTAATTGTGGTTTTTGTCGTACTTTTAATGACAAATAGTTTGCTTGCATTGTGAAAGCATTCATTGTTTACTTCTAGGTTCTCATGAAATAAGAAAGTAATTTTCTTGAAGGTTTGTTTGATAGTCCTCCATAGATTTTTTTTAATTAAAATTTTAAGCATTTGGAGAATAAAACATATATTTAGCAGGTTATAAATGAGATCAATTGAAGTCAAACTTTGAGCTATAGTTATCATCAGAACATATATGGGGAGACACATGAAACCTCAGCTTCCCAGTTGAAATATCCACGAGACATCTGACTACTAGGAAAGGGATGGGGTCATGTTACACAATTCTGGTCCCAGGTGCTCAACAGGTGCTTTGCAATCACAAATGGCTGGACATTCATTAGTGCTTTCAGTCTGACTCCCAGCTAGGCCTTGGAACAGAGAGTGTGTATACAATATTGGTTGAAGAGTTTGGTTAAAAAGAAAAGCAAAGCCCAGTGTTAGAAAAAGAGGTGACATCATTTGGTTCCTATAAGGCTATTCTGTGCCTACCATATGCAGACACGTTTTTAAAGACATGTGGTGCCTTAGCTCTGCTGCCCAGGCCAGGATGCAATGGCATGATCATAGTTCACTGCAACCTCGAACTCCTGGGCTCAAGCCATCCTCACACCTCAGCCTCTGGAGTAGCTGGTACTACAGGCACATGCCACCAACCCAGCTAATTTTAAAAATATTTTCAAAGGCAGGGTCTCAGTATGTTACCCAGGCTGGTCTCAAACTCCTGGGCTCAAGTGCCCTTCTCACCTCAGTCTCTGTATACCGACATTTTTTTACTGGTCACTGAGGAGTTTTGAGGATATATTTCCAGCTGTGAATTAGCGCTGTGGCTCATTTGAGCTAAGGTGAAAACATTCCTGATATTCAAGAAAATAAAACAACCCTGTTCCCATTCTGTCCTGTTGATTTTTAACATCAACCCTTTGGAGGAATATCCTCAGATTCATGTTCTGTCCTTTTTTGCCCTTTCTAACTGTCCCTTAGCCTTTTCTCATCATCGTAAATTATTACCTGACATTGACGGGGGATTTCCCTAAAATTGTAGAGAATTTTGTAGAACGAAGCTGTGAAATCATAAAAGACAGGGTTACAAAGCCTGAGTTCATGATCAAGGACTAGTGAAGACAAAGAATCTTGTTACAAAATGAGAAAAATAAAAATAATATTGGCCTAAGACTTCAAAATGAGAAAAATAAAGATAGTTATTGGCCTAACATTACTTTCTTCCTTTAGTTTGAAAATGATGTCCTTCCTGACTTTTTGTTATTAAAATGGACATTCTTTTGTGAAATGAAGGTGATAATAAATGATCATTGATGTCACTAATTGATAAAATCAGAAGTGGTTAGCCCTAAATTGGGGTTCCACCTCTGATTTCCACATGTGTGCTTTCATAGATCTAAGAATGTGGGAACTACTGATCTAATTCAGCTAATTACTCAAACCATGTATCCCGTCAACAGAAATGCTAACAAGTGGTAATCCAGCCTTCCCTGAAAACCCTTCCTGTGGGTTCTCAGCCAGATGGGCTACCCATTATGCTTTTGGACTCTTCTAATTAATACAAGTATCCCCTACATTGGATGTAAGTCTTCTATACTAATTGCTACTTTTTAATTTTACCCAGAACTGTATATGCTATGTCTAATGTAACATTTTCCTAATTGTGTTCCACAGAACATTAATTCTATGGAACTCTATGGAATAATTAATATCTATTAATAGATATTACCACAAAAAGGGGGGAGAACTACAGTCAAATTATTTTGGAAAACAATAGTTCAAACTATAGGTTATTTCAGTACTTCAGAAATGCATTTTTGGGATAATACACACACTTTTCTTTTTTTTGAGACAGGGTTTCCCCCTCTCGCTCAGGCTAGAGTACAGTGGCATGATCATAGCTCACTCTAACCTGAATTCCTGAGCCCAAGCGATCTTTCCGTCTCAGTCTCCCCGGTAGATGGGACTACAGCATGCACCACCACACTTGCCTAATTTAAAAAAAAAAAATTTATAGAGATGAGGTCTCACTTTGTTGCCCAGGCTGATCCCAAACTCCTGGCTTCAAGCAATCCTCCCATCTTGGCCTCCTAAATTGCTAGGATTACAGGTGTGAGCTATGGCGACTGACCTAACAAAATATTTTTGAGTATAATTATATTTGACGCAATCAGGGTAAGTTAGCTGTAAGTATGACCACAAGACAACTAAGTTGATTAGTATAGCATAAGGAGTTCATGGGCAGCCATGTTCTATTTGCTAATCTATGCTGGATATATTTCAGAGGGATATACAGTCATCCGAGTTTCTGAAATTTGGCCTATGGAATTAATTTTTTTTAAGCAGCGAATGCTATTTAGGGCAGCAGTAAATCATTAAACAAACATTATATTCATTTCCTGTTCTACCTTTCTTTAACTTTTCTTATCTAAACATGTCAATTGCTTTAACCCTTAATCAGTTACATGATTTCTATACCCTTTAACTTTACTCTAGGCATGCCCTTGTTTTGTCCTTGCTTTTGTTGAAATTATGGTGATAACTGAACACAAAAATCAGATTTGTTTTGACCTAGTGTAGTATAGGTGCTATCTTCTTTTTCTATTTGTATATTTCTATCAGCATTAACAGAAGTTCATTTTTATTTTGTTGTGTTCTTTTTGTCTAGTACTTCATGTGGTTATCAAATACCAAATTAGAATCCTGTAATAAGTGCATATCTATATTAAGAATCAACTTGTTAGAGCTGGTCCATCAACCTGTCACATTAAGATCTTTTTGGAATTTGTTAATTAGCTTTCAAAGAAATATACCCACTCAAATATCTCAAGTAAAGACAGGTTACTGTAGGGATTAACACTGGAAATCACGAGGACAAATATCTTAGTGACACAGTGAAACTCGCAGCATTGCAGAAATAGCAGCACATCCAAGTGTCAGAGGTTGTGCTGGGACAACCTCTTACTGCTGCATCACTGGGCCACATGGGAATGAGAATGTGGCTTAGGAACTGGAAACCCATTAAGATGCAGTGATGCCCGAGTGACTGTCATCTCGTTGCTTCCCCCCACTCTCTTCAAGGAGCAGGACTCTATTAATGTCTCTTCTAGTTCTCTGGCATTAATCTCATTCGCTGACATCTGACTTTTGTTGTTGTTGTTGTTGTTGTTTTTGAGACGGAGTTTCACTGTTGTTGCCCAGGTTGGAGTGCGATGGCACGATCTCGGCTCACCACAACTTCTGACACCCAGGTTCAAGTGATTTTCCTGCCTCAGCCTCCCGAGTAGCTGGGATTACAGGCATGTGCCACCACGCCTGGCTAATTTTGTATTTTTAGTAGAGATGAGGTTTCTCCATGTTGGTCAGGCTGGTCTCAAACTCCTGACCTCAGGTGATCCACCCACCTCGGCCTCCCAAAGTGTTGGGATTACAGGTGTGAGCCACCATGCCCGGCCTGATGTCTGACTTTCTTTGGGACTTCCAATTCTGCTCCTGCTACCACTGCTTAAGTCTTACTGTATATTTCAAATTCAAGAGTTGGCCTATTCATTACACTGCTGAGTCTTATACCCTTTTTCAATCAAGCAATGCTTCTACTATTGCAACTTTAATCTGCCATATGCCTTATATAATGGGTTTGATTTTTGAGTATAACTGTATTTGACCCAATCAGGATAAGTTAGCCGTAATTATGACCACAAGACAACTAAGTTGATTAGTATAGCATAAGGAGCTCTTAAAATGTGGTTCCTAGGCTTTGCAGAATCAGCATCACCTGGAAACGTGTTAAAGGCATCATCCCAACCCTACTGCATCAGAAATTCTGGGATGGCATTCAGCAATCTGTATTCTCTCAAGCCCTCCAGGTAATTCTGATGCATGTTCAAGTTTAAGAGCAGATGGTATAAAATTATCACTCTAGAGTCTAGATTTATGGTGTGAGTGCCAAAAATAATGGCTTTAGGCATAATTGATATGTAGATCTTTCTGATAATATTAACTAACAGTTTCAGCTGCTTTTTAAAGTTGTTTTTTGACAAGAGAAGAACATTATAAGCATGTAAGATCATGCTTTTATTCCTATTTGTTGTGGCATTTAATTGATATAAACACTGGACCAATTTTTTGTATACAAGTTTACTATAATAAGCCTGTATTCTTTTTTTTACTTTTTTCTTTCTTTCTTTTTTTTTTTTTTTTTTTGAGACAGAGTCTCTCTCTGTCACCCCGACTAGAGGGCAGTAGTGCTATCTCAGACACTGCAACCTCCGCCTCCCAGGTTCAAGCGATTCTCGTGCCTCAGCCTCCCGAGTAGCTGGGATTACAGATGCGTGTCATCACACCTGGCTAAGTTTTGTATTTTTATCATGGTAGAGACAGAGTTTCACCAAGTTGGCCAGGGTGGTCTCGAACTCCTGGCCTCATGTGATCCATCTGCCTTGCCCTCCTAAAGTGCTGGGATTACAGGCATGAGCTACCAAACCCGGTCCAAACCTGGATTCTTCATGTTTAAAGTACTTGAAAAGGAATGTGTATCCCTGCCTATTTTGGTTCTCATATATATTTTTTAATATAACAGCTTTATCGAGATAGAATTTACACATCATACAATTTACCCATTAAAGCTAAGCAATTTAATATCTTTTGGTATATTCACAGAGTTTTGCTTTTATTGCCACAATTTTAAAATATTTTCATCACCCTAAAAAGAAATACTGAACCCGTTAGCAGTCATTCCTTCTTTCTCACTCTCACCCCATTCCCCTTCCCCTTCTCCCAGTCCTAAACAACTACTAATTTACTTTCTGTCTCTATGGATTTGCTTATTCTGGATATCTTAGATAAATTATATCATACATATCATACATTATATAGTCTTCTCTTTCTGTTTTTTCCCCTTAACATAATGTTTTCAAGATTTATACGTGTCATAAAATATATTAGTACCTAATTTCTTAATTTCCAAATAATATTCCATTGAATGGATATACCATACTTTACTCATGCATTCATCAATGGAGGGACATTTGGGTTGTCTGTACATTTTGGCTAGTATGAATAATGCTTCTGTGAACACTCATGTACAAGTTTTTACATGGACATTGTTTTCATTTCTCTTGGGTATATACTTAGAAATAGAATGATTGGTTCACCTGGTAACTCTTGTGTTTAACTTTTTGAGGAACTTCCAATCTATTTTATAAAGTGGCTGTCCCATTCTACATTCCCACCTACAGTGTTTGGGTGTTTCTGTTTCTCCACATCCTTGTCATCACTTATTATTATCTGCTTTGGGTTACAGTCATCCTAGTGGGTCTGTGTACAATCTCACTGTGGTTTTGATATTTACTTCCCTGGTGATTAATGATGTGGAGCATTTTTCTTATGCTTATCGGCAATTTTTTTGAAGAAATGCTATTCATATTTTTTGCTCATATTTTACTTGGGTTATTGTATTTCATTATGGAATTATAAAAGTTCTTCATATCTTTTAGATGCAGGCCCTTATCAGATATATGATTTCATAGAAGTTTTTTGGGATGAAGATTTAAAAGGTCAAATATGATTCCTGTGAATGGAGAGAGAAATTAATGAGAGATAAAAATATTAATTTTCTTCTCAATGAAACACAGGGTAGCAGTGGGCATTAGTACGACAATTCAACACCAAATCTACCTATTATATATGCAGGATATTTAATTGAGATTTTTGCTTGAAATTTGTTGAGAAGGAAGCCAGTGCAGAGTTCTGAAGGAAAGAGAGTTTCCATAAAGAATAGATAGCTGAATATTGAAGAGTTCACACAGGACTGGAACTAAATATAAGTTATTCAACCTGTGAACAATGATCTTAATTATTGGTGACACAGTTTCTCAGGAATGATGGAACAATAAGCAAAATGCACTCATCTTATACGTGTGAGAGAGGAATGGAAATGAAGATGGAGAAGACTTGCCTCCATTAAGCTGGAATGCGATGAGTAGGAGAGAGGAGGCTGGTGAGGAGATGGAATTAGGGTCAAGGAAGCAGAGGGTCAAATCTTTGAAAGATTTGAGCATGTTTGAAGGAATGGAAGGAAAGTGTGTGGGGAGGGACCAATCAATTGAACATAAAAGAGAAGGGTAGGGCAGAATCTCAGTGAGGTAGGCAGGGAAGAATACAGAACTCACAGGGAGCTGTATAATAATGGCCATTGGGTCACCTCTTAGAGTTCCTGAACCTTGCTCAGATGTGGGATCTAAACACACAGGTTATACCTTTACTGTTCATGTGGGCCTGTTGACCTCAATGAGGTTTCTAATCTTCATTAAATTCCCTCTTCTAATATATTTATCTAAATTTTCTATCTAATCATCAGGGTTGGGTCAATTCATTCATGAAGAAATGTTCCTTATTATGGAATACTCTGTATTGCTGAGTTATTTTTGCAGTGACATTCTGAAGTTTGAGGCAAGCTTTTAATTCAAAAATTCTCCTGATATCCCTTATAATTCAGTATTTTAGTGGCTTAAATATACCTCCAGTCATACTACAATTCCAGGTGGCATATAAAAGTGGGAAATGGTTACAAACATTAATCACTTAGCCGAAGCAAATTTAATTAAACAATAGTCTAAACATTTCTTTCTAAATTATGAGCATCCATCAGATGATATTCCTTTTGTTTCTGTGGTTTATATATGAAGCTTTCTTATTGATGCGATTTCACTATCTGTAGATTAAATGTATGGAAATCAGACTTTTAACTCAGCAGAAATCAGGAGACCCAGCTTTAAGTCCTGGCTCTGCAGCTAACTAGCTCTGTGTCCTTGGTCAAGTCACATTCTTTCTGAATACTTTGCTTCTTCATTGTGAAATCACAAGATCAAAATGTTAAGTGTATAGTCCTTTCCAGCTTTGTTATTTTGTGAATCTTTCTGTTAGTTTGGAGTTGAACTTTCTCTCATTGTTTACTAACCCAGATCCCCAAGTGAAAAAAAAAATGCAGCATCCTGATTTAAAGGTATAATGTTCCATAATGTCTTATGTTCTCATGGCTGATTTCTTCAGCTGACCACAAGTCTTCAAAAGAGAAATCGTGGTGTTTCCTTCCTGTCCATGGATTCCTTCACATATAACTAACATTGATCTAGAGCTGCTTGTGGAGCTGTCCCAGTCACAGGCCTTCTGAACAGCATTTTTGCGCTTGTTAGGACCTAGGCTTCCTGCTTGGTGTGGACCCTGATTATGATTACTACACTCAACCCCACAGCCCAGCTCTGCTAGAGGGTCCCGGCAATCCGGTATTTTCTTTTCTAAAGTCTCCTATCCAGGTCTGAGAACTATAGGTTTTTTTTTTTTTTTTTTTTTTTTTTAAGGAGAGAGAGAAGTTAGGGGGACAGGGGGCTATATACTAGGCACTGTGTTAGGTGATCTGTAATATAATTCCAATAAATGTTTATACCTTTTCTGGCTCTGGCAGCTGGGTAATCACAACATTATATATGGGAAAACTAAGGCTAATGCAGGTGAAATAATTTACCCAAGTAAGCGGAGGGAAATGGTCTGAACCTCTGACAGCTAACATCCAAAGTGTTGGCCCTTAGCTACTCTGATTTTGTGCATCTATAGTAACTTTGGGTGGAAGAGTACTTTTTCTTTTTTTTTTTGTAACCCTGGGTGCCTGGAAAGGTAGGAAGGAAGTGGGGAGACTTGAAGAATATGAGAAAGGAAAGATTGGTAACCATATCTTTGGAGAGCACATTCATTTCATTTCAGGGTATCTATTCTAATGGAAATCATATTTTCCCATTGTTAATAATAAATGATCATGAAGGCAGTTGTTATTCTTTGAGTTGCTTGTATAATGATGCAAGAACACTGTTAATCAGTATTTTAATTAGGTTTATAGCATTAAAGTTGTTTTTATATTTCTCTATGTAAAGTTTCCATGAGTTTCACATAGTTAACATCATTGGTTTCTGGATATCTAATTCATTTTCAGCACTGATAATAGGCCATGTTGTATTAGTTTGGAAATGTATTATCTATGATATGTATTATATCCTCTTGGCAGCTACAGCATTGTGTTAAAATGAAGCATCGCCTGTAAGCCAGATGTGTGCCCTTGTCATTGCCTCATTTGAAATACTGCATTATGAAGAAATTGATGCAATGCTCACAAATCTATAAGGATTATTTTGCATGTGTTTGATTAAAATGTAGGGAGCAAACCATTACTTTACAATACAGAGGTTAGAAGTTCAGCATGTAGTGAGTGTACACTTTTGCCCAAAAGATAAAAAGATGATCAAGACTGAAACTCCAGCTTCACATAGCTCACAGTCTGGTGAAAGAGATAGATATAAGACTGGGCTTTCAAAACCATACCATAGGAATTAACTTCATTGACTTTATTCTATTTACCTACAGGGTCTGAAGCCATACATCGTAAGCCAAGTCAGTGCAGCCTTTAATCAAAATCATTTTATCATGTAGCACTTAGGATTAAAAAAATCACCACAAAATTATAGAATGAGAAAAACTTGGCATAATAGCAACTCCTCAGGAAAAGACCTAGGGATTTTATTTGTTCATAAAGTTAATATACACCTAAAGTGTGGTGAGCCTCTATACCTATTACAAAAGGTAGAATGAATAGAAGTCTGGGGCAAGAACAAATGGGCAAGGGGGAAGACTTCATCTGTGTGCTATAGTAGTTAGATCACATGTAGAGTAGGGGGCTCATTTCTAACCACTACTTTACAGAGAAGACTGACAAAATGATGCTTGTCTATAAAAAGTAAATAAAAATAGAACTGCATCTCATAAGGATGTTTGAGTTTAAAAATGTTAGTTAACTTTAAGACCAATTGGAGTCTGTGATGATGATGGTATCATTAAGGACAATGTTTACTTCATTATCTCATTTAATGTTCTGACAATCCAGTGAAATAGGCGTGCTTATGATCACCCATTCACAGATAATGACATGCACACAAAGAAGTCACTGCACTTCCTGAGATCACATGACTCGGGACAGCTCAAGCCCATGTTCTTAATGACAGTGCTGTGCTACATCAAACATAAGCAGTTGCCGGTCCTTGACAGTGTTATCCTAGGCCTTCAACACTGTGTGAGGAAGGAAAGTGACTTCATAGCTTCATCGAGTATAAGGATACAGAACTAGTCATTGGCTAAATTTGGCAGATGCTGAAAAAATGGCAGGAGGAGCTATCTTAGGTATATTTCGAAATCAGGGGAAGCTCTTATCTTTGGTGTGCTCCTTTTATTTTCTTTTCTCTATAGAGATGGAAATTTCCAGTTATCTAGGTACTAAGGATTGTCAAAAGCATTCATTGCTGTCTTACTGTCTTAAAATTCTTTTTTTCTTTTTTCTTTTTTTTTTTTTTAAGTTGGAATCTCACTCACTCTGTTGGCCAGGCTGGAGTGCTCACTGTAATCTCTGCTTCCAGGGTTCAAGCTATTCTCCTGCCTCAGCCTCCTGAGTAGCTGGAATTACAGGCATGCACCACCAAGTCCAGCTAATTTTCATATTGTTAGTAGAGATGGGGGTTTACTAGGTTGGCCAGGCTGGTCTTGAACTCCTGGACTCAAGGGATTGGCCCACCTCAGCCTCCCAAAGTGCTGGGATTACAGGCATGAGCCACTGCTCCTGGCCTGTCTTAAAATTCTTAACTTAAAATAATATTAAAGAGCATTTTGTTATTTCTTATACTAGTTCCAGTCTAGACTCTTGCTTTTTCTTCTTCTTAAGGGACAGAAATAGAAGGTTTCATTCAGAACTCAAAGTGAACATCCTAGGGCAGGACTGTGCAACTCCTTCAAAGAAGAATGATTCCTGAAAGCTTTTATTACTTTCCCTGGAACAGCAGTTGTCTGTGACAATTACCTAATTTGAGGCAAATGAATGACAATTCCTTTCCATTCTTCAAAAGCAACATTGCAAAAGAAAGCTGGAGGGAAGTCTAGAGAGAAAATTCTTATTGATATTTTACAAATATAATATGTTTCATTTGTTACAATTCATATAAACTGCCTTCTTGTAAAGATGCACCCAGATCTTAGTTGAGCTTACGTAAATTTTTTAAAAGTCACCATTTCCTATAATATAACTTATATAATGCTATATTATGCAATTGTAACTAACATGTGTTGAACACTCAGTATGTGACAGGCAGTGTTCCAAGTACTTTACACCCCACCAACCTGGGGAGTTAACAATGACAAATATTCTCTCTTTATAGACATAATAAATGCACAGAATGAGTAACCGTCCAAGGTCACGCAGGTAGTGAGTGTCTAAAATGTGACTTGAAACTGAACATTCTTTTTCCAGGTTCCAGGTTATGTGTACACACATAATCAGGTTTCTAGATGGCCTTTTGTTATCCAATTTGTTATGCATGAAAGAAGCAAAATTGTTCATTATGTGGGGAGTCTGTGAGGCAGTCACTGCACATTGGCTCACTTGATATCCACCCTGCTCCCATTCTAAAATGTCTTCCTGCACTCTAAAGGCTGGAAACTAGAAAGCCACATTTTTAAGAGTCCTTTACTGCTAGACTTCTACCTGTGCTCTAGGTTCTGCCAAGCAGATTCAGACGTCTAAGCCTTGGAATGTGTGAAAATGAGGTACGGGCATGGCAGCAAAGACATGTGATGGGTACTTTTGTGCATGCTGGTCTGGTCTTTGGCATTATAGCTGTTGAGCAGTGGGCAGCAGCAGCAGCAGCAAGGTTTCCTCTAGAACACTCTTAGGGTATGGTTGGAAGCTTCTGTAACTGTCTACTATCCCGTAATAAAATTCTTGCTACTTAAGCTAGCTAGATTACATTCTCTGCAAACAAGATCCCTAGTGGATGCAGAGGGCTTCAAGCCTATAAAGGGATATTGGTTCAGGAGGGTCTCTGACCTTTGGTGCCCATCCAGTGCTGGAAAATTGAACTAGAAGGCTCATTTTAAGTTTAAAATTTTTCTGATTTTTAAGACAGAAGACTCTGAATAGGGTAGAGAGGAGATCCTTCATGCATTTGCTTAAGCAAGTTTTTCTATAGAAATTATCTCCTCCCTCCTGAGTTAGCCATATGACAAAAAGCATTGCATTTCTGGGAGAAAATGTGCCTCTTGTACTGCCTTGAAGAATAACTAAACCAAAATAATTAAGGAGAGCCCAAATGAACATTGCCTGTTATGTGAATCCAATCAATTCTGGAAAAGCAATAATGGAATGGGGAGTTCTCTGATCTCTCTTGTCTTTGTTTTTCTTCTCCTGCCCTCCTCCAACCCCTAAGTCAAGGGGAAAATGGGAAGGGCACTGGACCTTGAAGGTGGATATGGTGATGTGGGAAGCCTCCCTGGAAGGGAACAGTCATTGAGAAGGGCAGGATGTTTTGGAAACAGGAGTCTGCAAGTTTCTCTGGTGTAAAGGGAAGTGTGGAGAAGCAGGGGAAAATAAGCATGGGGACAGGAGCTAAGAAAGAGCTAAGGAGATAGTCTTCCATCATGTGGATAGGCTGATGATTTTTTAGCAGACTTTTAAAAAAGGCTTTTTTAAGAAGATTAATATGAAATCAGTAAGTTAGATGATTGGAGGTGGGAATGAAACAGCAGGAGAAATAGTGATGAAGCTGCTTCAGTAAGCCAGCAATGGCAAATAAACACCTGAAATAAAAAACTGGAAACAGAAAGGACAAGAGTTAGCAAAGATGCACTGGCCTAACTTAAGAAATTGTTATGTAAGCTGGGTACAAAAAAAGAGTTTTTAAAAAATGAGAGTGAGCATTAGTGCCATGCCTCTTACATATAAATAAGAATACAGACATGTTAAACTATAGAACTTGAAGATTAATTATCCTTGAAGCATAATTCCAAATACAATGTTGGAAAAAGATTGCAAATATCAGGGAATGCAGGTTTGCACAGACCAGTCATTCTTTTTAGTTGTTTGTTAGTGGAAAAATTATTTATTTCACAATTGAAATAACTAGCACCAAATATCTAAAAGCTGGTGGGTTTACCACAGAAACTCTCTCTCTCTCCATCTAGACACAATTATGTTTTCCAGGTTGCACTAGGAGAAACCTCATGCTACGTTCTCATGGGTCTGAAAAAAGGAGGTCATTCTTTTGAGATTGTTGGGTGTTTCTCTGAGGTTCTTTATCCAGTTGTTACTTCTGTTTTTATTTTGCTTATAAATCTTTATAAAAGTGACATTGGAATACTTACCTTTTAATGGAAAACTGCAAGGGTCACGGCAGAGCTCAAGATTACTTTTTCTTTTCCCACATGGAAAATTTTAAAAATACAAAAAGTATTTTAAGTCTAGGGTTGCATCTCTCATAGTATTTAATTTCAAATAGATCATTGGAGGACACATGGTATAGACCAGTCATACAAGTGCATTCGATTTTCCAGGTAATAAAAGTACCCAGAAGGTGTTCATTATGCTCCAACTCTTGAGTAGTATGCATCACATCAGTACTAAGCTGGTGACTTAAAGGACTCTAAATCTGTTTACAGTAACAACTTATTTTTCTCAAGGTAATTTATTTTGCACTTTTAGCCATCCTAGGACACATTAAGGACCAGGAACCAAGTTTAAAATTCTCTTACAGCCTAAAATAGTTATAGCAATGTCTACTGTATAAAGCTCATATGCTTTCCAGGGGTAAATCCCTTGGGGAAATATTACTTTTATTGTAGAACCAATATTAGAAAGATTGTGGCTTTCCAGGCCATAACAAATTAGAAGCAAGAAATTGCAAAGGGAAGGAAAAGGTGACAGTGACAAATACAGTGAGTGCATCAAGAAGTAAAAGCTAGGTGTTTCACTTTAAGAGGATGAAGAGAAACAGAATCCTTATTTCCCTAGACTTGGAAAAATTATTTGAAGACCTAGTTGTAAATAAAATTTGTGGCTAACCCTATAGCAAGTGCTGGAACAATGATGTCCCCATCCAATACCTGTGCATTTGGATCCAGCATTCAAAGACCTGCAGCCCTTGCCTTTGGCCTAATACTGCTCTTATGCCATTTGTTAGCCCCAAGGTCTCACAGGACTTTCAGTTCTTTTTTTTTTTTTTCTGAGACAGTGTCTTGCACTGTCACCTGGGCTGGAGTGCAATGGCATGATCTCTGCTCACGGCAACCTCTGCCTCCCTGGTTCAAGCGATTCTCCTGCCTCAGCCTCCCGAGTAGCTGGGATTACAGGTGCCCACCACCACACCTGGCTAATTTTTTGTATTTTTAGTAGAGACGGGGTTTCACTATGTTGGCCAGGCTGTTCTCAAACTCCTGACCTTGTGATCCGCCCGCCTCGGCCTCCCAAAGTGCTGGGATTACAGGCGTGAGCCACCTTGCCCAGCCTTTCAGTTCTTTAAGTTGAGCTTCAATAGCACAGGACCTAAGAAATTCTACCATTTTACTATCTTGCACCTTGAAGCTCGTATGTTCCTGCTTTGATGGCTTAGGCCAATAAGCTAGGCTGGAAAGCTGATAGTATAAAATTATTTGAGCTTCAGTAGACGTCCTCTGTGCTCAAAGAGATCTTTCTGTTCTCTCCCACTTTAGGGTAGTTTCTTCCAGGGATAGCCTCAAAACTTAGGTGTCTGAGAATTATATAATGACCTCTAAAATCAGAGCCATGGGAACTGAGTATTCAGTTTAGACCCCTTCTTTACCCTCATCCTTCTAATAAGAAGAATCATAGCACTCTAGAGCTTTTAGTGAGATAAATATCTTTCCAAACCTCAAAAACTCCTGAGAACAATACTGTATTATAACCCAGAGTAATAATTAATTTTTGTAATGATGACATTGAGTCATTATGAAAAGGTTAAGTCATCCAACATAAAGTTTAATCAAGCAATGCCTGCTACATGCAAAAAAGCAAGGAAGAATTGCATACATTTTGAAAAACTGCCCATGAAAATGTTTTAACTTTATAAGGAAAGATAACTTTAGGCTATTTGGTAAGTTAAATTCTGTGAAACGCCCATGTGCTGTCAGTGCTGGTTAAATGAGGCATGTCTGTATTTGACTGTGTTTTCTCATAAGACAATAAGTTATTAATTAATAAACATGAATACTATATCCCTACCATGCCTATGAGGCCTGTGTCTATAGAGCCTAAATTAGTTTATACTTAACACTTTAAAATCCTTTTTCAGTAATTCATGGAATAATCCATATGCTTGGAAGACTTGTGAGAAGCTGATCATACCCATTTTCCCAGTTAGTTTTTAAAGTAGAGATCTGACCTAAAGAACTGAGCTTACCTCCCAAAGAGAAGTATAAATTCAACCTCAATAAAACTGATATTTCATATTTGATGATGTATGCCTTCAGATATTAACTGGAAAGACAAATTTTTGGGGGTATATATGGATTAGTTTCATTTGCTCTTGGATTTTAAATTTATCCATCATGGGCTGAGTGCGGTGGCTCATGCCTGTAATTCTAGCACTTTAGGAGGCCGAGGTGGGTGGATCACTTGAGGTCAGGAGTTCGAGACCAGCCTGACCCACATGTTGAAACCCTGTCCCTACTAAAAATACAAAAATTAGCTGGAAGTGGTGGCAGGTGCCTGTAGTCCCAGCTACTTGGGAGGGTGAGGCAGAAGAATTGCTTGAACCCGGGAGGTAGAGGTTGCAGTGAGTTGAGATCGCACCACTGCACTCCAGCCAGGGTGACAGGGCAGGACTCTGTCTCAAAAAAAAATTATCCATTGTGGATGAAAGTAGCAATTTCATGATTTTTACTTAATTATAATTTTTACTTCAGCAGGATTGTTTAGTATTTTTATTTTTAATGTTATAATAAGTAATATACATTCATGTTTAAAAATCTATAATAAGAAAACTAAGGTTTTATAGATTTATTTATTCCACAAATATTATTTGAATGTCTGCTTTGTGCCAGCCTAGGGACACTACTGGGACACCTTAATGGACAAAAAACATCAGCCTTTCTAGAGTCTGTCTCTTGGAGAGGAGGAGAAGGGGAGTGTATGGAATAATAGCTTACACTTATATAATGCTTTCTGTGTGCCAAGCACTGTTCTAAACACTTTCCATATATTAATTCAGTTAGTTCCTCATAACACCGTTAAGAGATGCAAACTGTTATTATCGCCTACTTTATGCATAAGGAAACTGAGATACAGAGAGGTTAAGCAATTTTTCCAACGTCACACAGAAAGTATCAGAACAACGCTTCAAACCCAGGCAACTTGGCTTTAGTTGCAGGTGTTCATAAGTATTGCACATACAGTATCATTACGTTACTATTCTGCAGAATTTTAAAAATCATAACAGTATGAGCAGAATAAACAATTCAGTAGAAAATTTTAGTTACTGAAAAACAGATGTTAATTTGGTAATGGTAATAATAGTAAAATAATTTATAATTTCTATCCCAGAAAACCTAAATTCTTCTGTAAGTCAATATGTATAGATTACCCAAGTAGACTCACACATAAGACTCTCCAATATAGTTTGGTCTTAAGTGAATGATTCACTGGAAATTTTAATTTGCTCTTTGGAAGCCCCCCTCCCCCAGATACTCTCATTAGTAAACTACCAACCCTGTGCCTGTAGGACTCAAGTTTTTGCACAAGAAGAGAAATTCAGTGTTATTAAATTAAAGGCAACATTTGCTTATGTTTGTCATTTATCTTTTGTGGGGTTCGCCTTTAAAAAACATAGAAACTTAAATGATATGAAGTCTTCAAAATAATTGGAATTGGAGAAAGTGAGTGGAAGCAGAGATAAAACAAGATTGACCGTGAGTTGATAATTATTAAAGATGTGTGATGACTTGATAATTATTGAATCATGAGGATTCATTAGGTTATCTGTCTATGCTTGTATTTGCCATTTTTTCACAACTAAAAGTTTTAGAAAGATACAGAAATTATATTTACAAAAAATACTTTAACATTTTGCTGTAGATCTAATTCAGCCAGGGTTAATATCCAATGTGAAATTTTGGGCATGAGTTGCTAAGAATTTACGTTGATGGTATTATGCATGTGGTAGTATAAAATAATAAATCATCTTTATTAAAATGATGCCTGTGTTCCATGACCATGACATACACTCCTTGACTTGAGTCATGAGGGAAAAATGTGTTCTTTCTTTAAAATATTTTTGAGTAATGAATGCTGAAATGTAACAAATAAAGACACATGCTCCATTTAAAATGAGATTTCAAGTCTGTGTCCCTTTAGTTTTTTTATATACCACAACAAATGTTTTTTTCAAACCACAGTTTGATGTCCTATGAAGGATAAATTTATTTGTGCATTCTTTTGAGCTCTGCAAACTTAGAATTTTTTTTAAATCTTAGCATACAGATTTAAAATCTCTTTTTGTTGTTGTTGTTGTTAGTGTTTTTCCATACAGTATTCATTTATTTCTGATGGCTAAAGCCATTCTTTACATAAGAGAAACATTTAAAATATGGAAAATTTTAAAGAAAAAAAGGCATCTGCAGATCTGTAATCCAGAAGTACCAATCAAAACACTGAGGGCAGGGGCACCTTCACACCATACCCTGGCACTGCCCCAGAGAATTAGGGAGACACCAGCTGGGATTGTTATGTTCTGTCCTAAAGACCTCTCATCCTCAGCAAATAATTCCTTGCTCAAAGCATGACACAAAAGCATCATCAGAGCTGCAGGACGTTTGAAAGAACCAGGTGATGAGCATGAACCTATGTGCATCTGTGGTCAATCGCAGTTTGCTCTTGGTACTCTCTGCTGGCAAGTGAGACCTTAGGACTTACAAATAACCCAATGGATGTTCAACCCTTGTGGTGACTGACTGATTTTTCCCATTGCTTAGAAAGTTTCTTGTACATAGGAAATCCTCACCCCACATATGTGTTTGCTTTGTGCAAAGGACCAAAGGATGGTCCTATTTACTCTAGTGGAGGACAATGGAAGAGGACTGCGTTTGAGAGGGAAGGATTCATGAGCTCAGTTTTGGAAACGTTGAATTTGAGCTGCCTTTAACACATCTAAGTAAAGATGTCAAGTAGGCAGTTGGAGAAGATAAAATTTAAGTTAGGTTGGTGAAGAGACAAGAGAATTTTTTTTCCAGGTGAGTTAGAGCATACACAAGGTCACAGAGGTAGAGACATGAGGGAATATTATATTGACAACAAAATATAGTAAGGTAGTGCCAAGTATGGAAAACCTGTTGCTTATGATATGCAGTGATGATATTATTGCATATGATATGCAGTGATGATATTATTGCTTTATCAGCATAAAAAATTGGTAATGGGTGGGAATTTCATATTCTTTAACCAAGAAGCTTCAGAATGAGATTTTCTATAATTTTCCTGTAACCTAGTTATCACCCTAAACCAGCTAGTTATGTCATAGACAATAATATCTAAAAGACAGGGAGCAAATAGGAAAGTAATTTCCTAGGAACAGTAAATATAGCTATGATATTTCTTCACAGGATAGGGGTCATCACCCAATAGATGTACCAACTCAATGACATTGAATCTAAATAAAAACAGCTTGCTGGCTCTTTTTGTTGTTGTTCTTTAGATTTTCTTGCCATACGCAGCTTCAAAACAATTACCCAAGCTCCTTTTAGAACCATATTGCTCCCCACACGGGGGATCTGGAGAACCTGTGACTGTTTTCCATCCTTCTCCAACTTCTCCACTTAACTTGAGATTGTTTTCCTTTCTGAGTCACAGCTCCATATGGTTTCTGTTTCCTTCCTCTTACATAGCAAGCTGATTACCTGTAATCTTTTCATTGCTACAGTCTGTACCTTTAACTCTAATTAATCTCACAAATGTATGACAAAGAGAAATTAGTAGAAGCAGTATGGGCGAATATTAGCTTATCCTTATTACTAGAGAAGTAAGTCAACACAAATTTCCTAATGGTAAATTGATAACACTGTCTTTGCATGTCATAAACCATGTGAGATAGTTATTCATTAGTTTACTACAGTGTGCCTGGACTCAGATAATCCCAAAACACAGTAACGAGTCATAATCTAGCCACCAATTTATATCAGTGCTTTGAAGTTTTTATTCAAACTGCTAATTTACATAATGAATAAAAGTAGAAATCACATGTGATCTATTTTTAACAGTCTATGTTAAAAGTCTTTCCATTGCTATAAGAAACAGTCGATAGAAAAAAACATATTATGTCTAAAAAGTTAAAAATCTCCAACCACTTAAATGCTATTAAAATAATCTTATGAATTCTTCTTTATTTCCCCTTCCTTCTTCTTGATGGTTTTTGTGAGTAATGAAATACATAACATAAGGTGGATTGAAAGGTGCTATATTTCAGATATGTAAGGAGTACTTTATAGTTTAAGAATATAGGAATTTCAAAAATGTAACTTTTCTAGTAAATTTTATGTACATATTATAAATAATTCTATAATGATCTTCATATATATGATTTTGGTATCAAATTTTACTAAGTACTTGATATAACTTGTATAATACATACTTATCATTAGGATTTGATATTCCTATATATTTATACTATCAGAAACACAATTAAAACATTGTTAGCCAAGGAAAAGGTGATACTTCTACATTTTAAAGACAATTTTAGCTATTTCTGTTTAACATACATTTTAAGATAATAATGGGACACAAATTTTAGGGAAATAGTAGAAAATTATTTTTAAAATGGAATCTCTACCTGAAAAGGCAGACCATAACTGTTGTACAGATATACTATCCACTCAGTGATTAAATAATCAATGACAGAGCATTTTCAGCTGCAACATTTTATTCTAAGAGTTGGGGGCAGGAAACACATTTTCAGCTATTGACACACAGCCACCCCAAAATCATGACAACATGTTGCCCTTTTTGAAAGATGAAATCTTTAAAATTAGAGGACTTTTTAAAGGGTATATTTAATAGATATGCTATACAACTGTTAGAATGGTAAAAAAAAAAAAAAGATAAAACAATTTCTTACAAAATTAACCACATGCTTGCCATATAACCCAGCAACCTCACTCTTAGGTAATTACCTAAGAAAACTTAAAACCAATATCCACACCAACACCTGTGCTATGATGTTGATAATCATTATCATTAAAAACTATAAATATCATTGTGCATTCTGAATATCATTTATATTCATAATCATTAAAAACTGGAAACCACCTGAATGTCCTCCAACTGGTAAGTGGATAAACTGATATGATACAGCCAAATGATGGAATACTACTCAGCAATAAAGAGTGGGACCTATTGATTTTAACAATATCATGGATGACTCTTAAATATATTTTGTCAACTTAAAGATGCTAGACCCAGGAAGCTACATATTTGACTTCACTTATTTTAGGGATGGAGAGCAATTTGGTGGTTGCCAAGGTTTGAGGGAGAGGACAATAGTTGACCAAAAGAGGCTGCACAGATGAACTCTGGTGTAATGGGACTGTTTCACATGCTACTTGGGTGGCAGAAATATGACTCTATACATTTCTCGAAGTCCACAGAACTGTGCATCGTGAGTGTGAACTTTAGATATGCAAATAAATTTTCAAAAGGATCAACCTAAGGATCTCAGGATGGAATGCAGACTGAGAAAGAAATCTAACGTTTACAAATGTATGTTATAACCTCACTAAAAGTAGTGGGGGGAAAAGTAATTGACCTGAATAACTTTAGAAAACATTGACATTGTTTTCACTGGAAACTGAAAAGCTAAAAACAAAAGGAACTGTGCATAGCGATACCTTCTGGCAGTTCTGAAACCATGTTATGTGTTTTGATGTATGTGTATGTTTTAGATCATGGGAGCCAGATTTATCACTATCAGATAAAAGCTAAAATCACTACCAGATAAAAGCTAAAATAAGCAAAGGGGGCAGTCTAGAATGAATCCTGTGGTGTTGAATTAGAGTTGGAGCCATCAATATGCACAAGATAAAGATTTTCATGCTGCTGATAAAGACATACTTGAGACTGGGAAGAAAAAGAAGTTTAGTTGGACTTACAGTTCCACATGGCTGGGGAGGCCTCAGAATCATCATGGGAGGTGAAAGGCACTTCTTACATGGCAGCAGCAAGAGACAATGAGGAAGTAGCAAAGCGGAAACCCCAGATAAACCCATTAGATCTCATGAGACTTATTCACTATCACAAGAATAGCATGGGAAAGACTGGCCCCCATAATTCAATCACCTCCTCCTGGGTCCTTCCCACAACATGTGAGAATTCTGGAAGCTACAATTCAAGTTGAGATTTGGTGGGGACACAGCCAAACCATATCAGATATGGATACATAAAAGTATAGATATGTGTGTATACATCGTTTAGTACAGATACATCTATTTCCTAGGTCTGTCTACCAAGAGGGCCAAGAAGCAATGATACACTATTGGTAAAGAGCAGACCCAATGCCTAGATTGTACTTTCTAAATACCACTCTCCAATAAAAGGACTCAGCATTCTTTGGGAAAATGGCTAATTCTAGGGCTGGGCAGGGAAGATACAAGACAGACCTTGAGTGTCTTCTAGTGTCAAAAAATGAGGAAGTGCTCAAAAAAAGAAAAGAATGGGGCATGTCACAGGGGCACAGGGGCCAACCTAAATGAGTTCCCAATGGCCAAGACTGGAACCATTAAAGCAGCAAAATAAATAGAATAGTGCTAGTTTACAACCCAAAGCATAAAACAAATGTCCATGAGTTCCTACTTATATAAATACATACATACATACATACATACATACATAAATACATAAATAAATAGAGGGAGAACAGATAAATCTTCCACTTTGAACAATTCCAAATACTATATGTAGATATAACCCCCTCCAGGAGGTGGAGCTTAATTCCACTGTGCTGGAAAGTGGGTCATATTTAGTGTCTCACTTCCAAAGAATAGTGTTTGGAAAGGGAGAAAGAGTAACTTTACAGTAGAGAAACCTGACACACACCGCCTGAGCCAAGTGATCAAAGTTAACGTTGCTGGTGATACGGGACATCCATCTCATGTACCCCCTGATAGGATGTGCGGAGGAGGGTGCCTCATGTTTGTGACAGTGTTCCCCAAACACATAGTCCTAGTCTAATTATGAGAAAAAAAATTATGAAACAAAGACTGAAGGACATTCTACAAAATACTTGACAAATATTATTAAAACTGTCAAGGTAATACAAAAATAAGGAAAGACTGAGAAACTCTCACAGACCAGAGGAGACTAAGGGGACATGACAACTAAATGCAGTATGGTTCCCTGGAATGGACCCTCAGACAGTAAGGAGACAGTGGAAAAACTGGTGAATAATGTCTGTAGTTTTTATTAGGTTGGTGCAAAAGTAATTGTGCTTTTTGCCATTACTTTTAATGGTAAAAACCGCTATTACTTTTGCACCAATAATAGTAATATGCCAAGGTTAATGTCTTAGTTTTGACAAATATACCATGGTTATGTAAAGTGTTAATGTTAGGAGAAACTAGATGAAGGGTACACAGAAACTCTCTATACTGTATTTGAAACAGTTCTTTAAATCTAAAATTATTTAAAAATAAAATTTTATTTAAAAACAAATGAATGCTGTGTATGTATAATGACTTGGAACAATTCCAAGATATATTATTAAGTGCAAGGAAAAACCCCCAGCAATTTGCAGACCAATATGTATAATATGCTACTATTTATATTAAAATATGTATGTGTAAATTATTCATATTGCATTGAGTATCCTGGAAAGTTTGTCCAAAAACTTGGTGATACTGATTGCCTTGAGGTTTTCTGGGAAGAAGAGTGGCAAGGAGATTTACTTGGATATCTTGCACTTTGTTGCACCATTTAAGTTTTGGTACTTGTGCATGCATTTCTTATTGAAAAAATAAACTAATGATATGTATATAAATTTTAAAGCCCAGCTAATCTCTTAGGGCTTAAGGGTAGTAAGTAAACCCTAGGAAGGTGGGGTAAGGCTGAGGAGAGGAAGGTCACACCTTTGAATCTTAAATAACAACTATAGCGTACATGGGTCGGAAGGAGCCTTACTTTTTTACTGAATAAACTTTTCTATCTTCTGATTTAAAAAGTACAATTAACTTTTTAAAAAGCTCAGTTAGTGGTGGCATTCTAGTCATACTTCTCTGAAGAGATTTTTTTCTAAATCTTTATTACTTATAGTCTCCGTGGGATTTTTTAAGAGTTCAGCAGAAGATGATTATACTCTTGGGAATTTTGATGAAATAAATAAAGTATTGATTAGTTCCTGTTTGGGGATTTAAATCTACAGATTTCTTTTTTCTGCCCTTGAAAAAAATCTAGCTAATAAGGTTTTACCTCAACTTTTTTTTCCCCATAAATCAACAATTTCTTTTAAAAGTCAACATGACCCAAGTAGGAGAATGTTTTAATATGTTCAACTTGGCCTTATAAGTTAGATATCGAGTTGTACCTTGCATTAGTTTTTTGCAGCTGCCACAACAAAGTACAACAGAGTGGCTTAAACAACAAAAATGTATTGTCTCACAGTTCTGGAGACCACAAGCCAAAATCAAGATGTCTGTAAGGTTGGATCCTTCTGAAGGCTGAGGCAGAATCTCTTTAAGCTCCTTTTCCTAGCTTCCAGCAGTTTGCTGGCAATCTCTGGCATTCTGTGCCTTGTAGATTAATCACTCCGATCTCTGCCTTCTCCTTCACATGGCCTTCTCTGTGTGTGTGTGTCTGTGTCCAAATTCTGCTTTTATAAGGACACCAGTCATATTGGATTAGGGCTTACCTAATGAACTAATTTTAACTTGGTTCCCTCTGTAAAGATCCTATTTCCAAATAAAGTTTGTATCACTAATTCTCTTCATTGGCTGAGCTGTGGTCTAGACTGTCAGTAATTGCATTTCCGTGGTCTTCCTTTATTCTTAAACTTAGCTGTACATCAGAGTCACCTGGGGAACTTTGAAAAATACTGATGCAGCAGTCTCACTCTTTAGAGATTTAGATTTATTTGGTACAGAGTGCAGCCTGGGCATCAGAGTGTTTAAAAGCATTTTCCCAGATGATTCCTGTTTGCAACAGGATTGAGAGCTGCTGCTGCAAGCCCCATGCACTCAAGGAGAAAGAACGAGTCAGTTGCCACATGAGCATATTCTGCCTTGGGCAAGGAATGGGAAATGAGTGAGTCAGTGATCACAACCCTTTCTATTTTTGAATACTGAATAGGTATAAAACTAATTAGCCTCTTTTCCTTCTGGTGTGTGTAAGGTTCAAGCACACAGGAATATTAAGGGAAATTAAATGGCTCTCAGCAAATTTAGTTGGTCCAGATGCCTTCTTTAACTCTACTATCTTTAAGTTTCCCTCTTCCCTTCTTGGGAATGTGTTCAAGGGGGTTTGAGTAGCAGCAATTGCTCAGGTGCCACCCACCCCACCTCTGGTGAATCAGTTAGTTTTCATTCATCAGGGCCTACGCTTGAAATAATACAGACATCTGAGAGTATAAACATAGCTATTTGCTATTCTTCTTTCTGCTGATAAATCACTGCTTCACTCACTGAGTCTTATTGTTCTCTAAAAATAATCCTTTCACATGCACATCTGGGGATTTTTTTCTCATCTTCCCTAAAATTTCTGTTTAATCCCTCCCCAACAAAGTCATCTCAACCAAATTGGAATACTAAATCTTTTACTTTTTCACTACTGTCTTTATTTATTTGTACTTTCCATAATGATTTTGGTGCCCAAAAGGCCACTTGAAAATACTGAAATGTTGTGAAGTTTAAGTGGAAGTAACTACCACTTAGACACTAAGCCTACTAAATGATCTGAGTTACATTTCCCCATCTCTGACACAGACACATTAATTCCATAATTGTCCCAGTGCACTTCATTGTGTTCTTGTCAGGATTAGAAGAATAAAGATAGTAAAAAGGACTTGGGAAATATAAAATACTCTATTTTCTCAGTTTTATTGTATTCAGTGATACAGCTGTGACAATAGCAATCCTAGCATTTCATCATCACTATTTGATTGAGCTCCCAGCTGTTTACCTGGCCAGGAGCAATCAAAATAGAAATGAGTTCTTATAGCTTGTTTTGGATTTTATAGTCTGATGCTAGCTACCTCATCCAATATATTATATTTTGAAGCTCATTACAAAAAAATGGGTGCTACAGTGATGGATGTGAATAGTTAACAAATATCATTTGGAATAGAATTTCACTATCCCCAAAGAACCCTCTCTGAAGTATTATATGTGACATTCAGACTGTGATTAGAAACCCTCTTTTGACCAGAATAACCCAGAGTCATACAGGGATGGGATTCTAGGAAATGTAATTCCCACTTTAACCAAACAGATGTAACACAATCTAGCTTAAACAGGTGCTACTATCATCTGTGTTTTACAAATGAGAGGCAGGGCACAAAGAAGTCAAGTAAATTACTCAAGGCCACACAGCTAATTAGTGGTAAAGTCAGGTTTGAACTCAGACAGTCTGATTCCAGATTGCAAGCTTCTTACCCCTGAGTTTTGCTGTCTCTATGATAAGATAAAGGGTTCTGTAGAAAATCTCAGTGCATTTTTCCTTGCATCAAGAATCCTTGTTTCTGATTAATTAAAGAAAACTTATCATCAGGCTGTTACATAAAGCAATTATATGTGTTGTGGCCCTTCTGTTCTACTTTTTGTTAATAACCCTAACTTATTTTCATTTTTTCACAGAAATTATTTGTGTTTTGCCCTTTCAAAATTCACTTTTTTTCCTGAATCATTTCTTGATTATAAGCCTTCCAACTATTTTGATTGTTGTTTCACTATGTGACTCTTAGCAGTTGCATGTGTTGCACTAGTTTAATGATCGTTCAGGTTTATGTTCTTTGTATATATTCTGACATCATTAAAGTGTTCATGCTCCATATTTCCAAGCATACTGCAACATCCTTAAGTCAGGAGTATTCTTTATATCACCACCAAGCAGTGCATAGTAGATGCTCAAAAGTATTTTTTGTTAAATGACAAATCTTCCTGTAGCAAATCAACTCCATTGGGTTTTGTTATTCTGGTTTAATGTCTACCCTCCTAAAAATACTCCCAAAAGAGGATGAAACACAATGAATATTTTTAGACTGGAAGATTCCCAGGATTTTCCAACACTAGTAAAATTATTCCTTCCAATCAGTTTCCTCTTTTTTCAAAGGTATTAAAATGCTGATAATAATATTTTTAAACTTTTATTTTTTAATTAACATAAATTGGTCTTATATTATGATTTTATAGCTAGAGTTGGCAGATTACTTGTGACTGAAATACTGAATTATAACATCCAATTTAGACTGGGAAAATAAATAAGACTTAAATTTGTTGTGTTATAAAATGAAATGTCTGTATTAAGTATCTCCATAATGAGATTTCATTCTGAATCACACTTAGAGACAGAGTATCTAATTGCAATCTGTAAATAAAACATGCTCCAAAATATCACAATTCTGCTGGGTAGATTATGACAGATAGATACAACTAGGTATGTGTTTTGGAGGAGTAAATTATTATTTTTACTTTTTAATTTAGTCAACATGGTTTATTAGCTGCTACTCAAAAATTTCAGTCTGTTAGTACATATTATGGTGAAGAGTAAGTTGAAGAAAATGGAGAATTAAAGACAAATGAAAAGTAAAACATTTCCAAAGAGAGTTTTGTTTGAAACTACATGACAAATGTTTTTTCAAATTTCTTTATCACCAATTTTTCAATCATGTACCTTCCAAATTCTAGACCATCCGGCTGTATCATTGGCCACAGTCCTTGAATGTCATCACGCATCTGGCCATTTCTCCTTCAAGCAAAGTGAACAACCAGGTGTACTGCTCAAAGTTCTGCCCACGAGAAAGATGTCCCTTACCACTCTACTTCAGGGATGTCCCAGAAAAAAAGCTGTAGTGGTGCAGCTGTCTGTTCCCTTTCAGGTGGTACTGGCATATCACGTTGAACCATTTGCAGACCATGCCTATGGTCTTATCTTCCTCTAATTAAGCGTTCGGTGTCTACTAAGGCCTGGTAACTGTTTCTCAAAAACAGAGTAGTTATCTACGTGTGATGCCAGGGCTCTGAATTTTTAAGGGCCTGCACTGTGATTCACCTGTAGGGATCTGACAAAGGCCTGGCAGCTCTGAAATTTTAAGGGCCTGCACTGTAATTCACCTGTAGGGGTCTGACAAAGGCCTGGCAGCTTTTTCGGTCACTCAGTAGATTAGTTGGAGTAACACACACAAATGAGGAATATGTTATCTTGAAAAGCCAAGAGACCTCTTTTTTGGTTGTAGGAGGGGCCAGATGCAACAACTTATCCTTCATCTCAGAAGAGATATCACAGCATGCCCCCACACCACTGGACCCCTAGAAATTTCACCTAAGTAGAAAGCCTCTGAATTTTTGTCAGTTTTATTTCCCACCCTGGCATGCGGTAAGTCTAAGTAGTTGCTACTTCTTGCTCAGTAGGTCTGATCAGCATAATGTCATCAATGTAATGAACCAGCATAATATCTTATGAAGGGGAAAAATTGACCAAGATTCCTGCAAACTATGGTTTTATAGCCTGAGGATTGGAGAGTTGATATATCTCTGAAATAGGACAGTGAAGGTGTATTGGTGGCCTTTCCAGCTAAAAGCAAACGGCTTCTGGTAGGCCTTATTGACAGGGATGGAGAAAAAGGCATTTGCCAGATGGATAGCTGTATACCAGGTACTAGGGGATGTGTTAATTTCCTCAAGCAACAAAATCACATCTGGCACAACAGCTGCAATTGGAGTAGGCACGTAGTTTAGCTTAAGATAATCCACTGTCATTCTCCAAGATCCATCTGTCTTCTCCACAGATCACACAGATGAATTGAATAGTAATATGATGGAAATCACCACCCCTGCATCCTTCAGGTCCTTGATGATGGCACTAATCTTTGCAGTCCCTCCAAGAATGGAGTATTGCCATTGGTTTACTAGTTTTCTAGGTACAGACAGTTCTAGTGGCTTCCACTTGGTCTTTTGCCATAATGATCCTGACTTCACAGGTTAGGAAACCAATGTGAGGATTCTGCCAGCTGCTGAGTATATTTATTTCAGTTATGTATTCTGGAACTAGGAAAATAACCACAAGATAGGTTCAGGGACTTACTGGACCCACTGTGAGACGTCTTTGAACTAAAACTTCATTGGTCACCTGATATCCATAAGCCACTACTTTGGTGACCCACAGTGATGTTTGGGTCTCCTGAAATTAATGTTAGCTCAAAACCAGTGTCCAGTATTTCTCCAAAGGTCTGATTATTTCTTTTCCTCAATGCAAGTTTACTGTAGTAAAAGGCTATAGGTCACTTTGGAAAAGCCTGGGAAAAAGAATTACAGCATGAATTTTTGAGAGTATGCTGGAATCCTTCCTCAAGGAGACCCAACTTCCCCTTCATTGAAAGGGTCCTATTTCTTTCTTTCTTTCTTTTCTTTTTTTTCTTTTTGAGACAGAATCTCGCTCTGTCGCCCAGACTGGAGTGCAGTGGCACAATCTCAGCTCACCACAAGCTCCGCCTCCCAGGTTCACACCATTCTCCTGCCTCAGCCTCCAGAGTAGCTGGGACTACAGGCGTCCACCACCACGCCTGGCTAAATTTTTGTATTTTTAGTACAGACGGGGTTTCACCGTGTTAGCCAGGATGGTCTCGATCTCCTGACCTTGTGATCCACCCGTCTCGGCCTCCCGAAGGGGTCCTGATTCTTTAAAGTGGCTCAAGTCTGGGAATTGATTGAGGGAATATGACTCTGTTTTTATGATTCAGGTTAGGCTTTTGTTCACTTGACCAAGACTTTTCTGCTTATACCAATGAAGTAAGAATTTAGTAGGCTTCCTATTTCTTTTCTTCGAGAAACATCATGATCAACTAGCTAATACCACAGGTCTACAAGACTCAGCGTATTCTGATTGCTGCTTTGGCACTTCTGTCCATCAGGGAAACCCTGCCCACCTTGCCTGTGACAGTTGAGTGCTGCCACTTGGCCTCTGCCACACTGCAGTTCAGTTATTCCCATTGAATTAAGTTTTCCCAAATCAATGGGTGTAGTTCCCACAGTAAGGTCTGGTCTACAGAGAAGAGCAATTGTGGAGCTCTTCAAGAATGATGGGGCCTCCCACACAAATTTATTTCTCATGCTTGTGGTAAAATGTATATCTTCTGGATTCTACCAGTTTAGATAGGTAGATCACAAATAACAAGCCTACCCTAACATTCCAATCTCCTTGAGCCTTTGAATTTTTTCCTCTGTAATAAACCAAGTCAGGTCTGGCATTTCCAACTTGTTCACTGTTGACCACCTTTTGGTTCATGTTTCAGCCATCCAAATAAACTGCTGGAGTCTAGATCAATAAGTTTGGCCTTTTCCAACTTTATGTTCCTTTCACCATTATCCCACACCCTTAGTATCCATTCCCACACATGTTCCCTGGATTTTTGTCTGTGTACATTAGAAAACTCAAATATTTCTTTTGGAATGTAGCACAGCTCTTCATGGGTCACACTTTGAACCTCACCTTTAGGGGCCTGTTGGGTCTTAAATCTTGTTATAGATCTGCAAACAAAGAGATGTGAGAGGGGGAGGTTCTAAGGAGATCTAGCATTGTCTTGCATGTGAGGCCTCAGAGGATACCATTTCAGTTTCTTCAGGCAATGCAGGGTTAATCCCCTCAGACAAAGTGGTATAGGGTTTTCAGATGGGGGTGGAAAGCCCTCTACCACTTGAGGTTGTTGGGGGACAAATCAATTCACCTGGGGGTAGGGATGCTGCTACCACTGGGTGTGGAGATGCTGGGAGTAAGGAAGCCACTTCTGCTGGGAGTGGGGAGGCCACTTCTGCTGCATGGAGAAGCTTCTTCTACTGAACAGGGGGAGACTTCTTCTACGGGTAAAGAAGACTTACCAGAATGTAGGGCCTCAATGTCCCCAACTTCATCAGAGTTTTCCTACATATCTCCATCCCAACTTACAGGATCCCATTGTTTTTTCAACTAATACCCTCATTTTAACAGTAGAGAACCTGTGAGACTAGGAGTTCAACTTGTGTTATAATTCAGCCAGCTGCAAGATGAGATTCTGCATTTGATTTTTGTCAATCTTAGCCCTATGGCTACAGGAGTAACAGGTTTCCTTCAGAACACACATAGAAGACGTTAGGTCATTTCTACCACATAAAAACTGGGAATTGGAACCTCTTAGCTCATTCTTTTTTTTTTTCACCACTTTGTCCAGAAACATTAGGAGTGAACAGCCAAACTTACTATGTTTGTTACTTTTCCAAAAGTATCAGAAGGTATTATATGCAGTCGCTCAGCTCCTTGCTTATTTTTTTTTTGAGACAGAGTCTCACTCTGTTGCCCAGGCTGGAGTGCAATGGCACAATCTTGGCTCACTGCAAGCTCCACCTCCCAGGTTCATGCCTTTGTCCTGCCTCAGCCTCCTGAGTAGCTGGGACTACAGGTTCCCACCACCACGCTTGGCTAATTTTTTGTATTTTTAGTAGAGACGGGGTTTCACCACGTTAACCTGGATGGTCTCGATCACCTGACCTAGGGATCCACCCGCGTCAGCCTCCCAAAGTGCTGGGATTGCTCCTTGGTTCTTATAAGTGATGGATTGAGTTTCCAATGCAAATATTTGTGTATTTCTGTTGCCAGATCAAACATGTAGTATCAGTGCTTTCTTCACTTCTGAAGAGGAAGTCATTAAAATATTTACCTCAAATCAGATTAGAGAGCCAATTCAGAAACCACATATATATATATATATATATATATATATATATATATATATATATATATATATATATATATAGTGTGTGTGTGTGTGTGTGTGTGTGTGTGTGTGTGTGTATAGGCTCATGTGATTATGGAGGCTGGAAAGTCCTACAATCTGCCATCCACAAGGTGCAAATCCAGGAAAGCTGGTGGCATAGTTCAAAGGCCTAAGAACTAGAGAGCTGATGGTATAGATTCCAGTCCAAGTCTGAAGACCTGATAACTGGGAGCATAATCATTCACTCCTTTCTTTATCTCTTCTGTGAAAGGTGAATTTGAAACTTGTCCCATCAAGAAATGAAGTCTGATTCCCCTTCCCTTGAATAGGGGCAGACTTTGTGATTTGCTTCAGCCCACAAAATCCAGCAGAAATAACTTTGTGCAAGTTCAGAGCCTAGCCCACCAGAGTTGTTACATGCTTCTACTCTTTTGGAACCCTATCCAGCCACCATGTGAACAATCATAGGCTAACTTGCTAGAGGATGAGAGAGTATATCAGCCAGAATTGAGTCAACCCAGGTATCCCAGCCATGATGATGTAACAGAGTATAGCAAAGATCAACAAAACCAACTTGCAACTGACTACAGATGATGAAGGAGGCCAATTTAGACAAACAAACAAACAAAAACCCAAAACCACCAAGATGAGTTCAGCCGAAATTGTTTATCCACAGAATAATAAGCTAAGTAAGTGGTTATTGCTTTAAACCACTAAGTTTTGGGTTGTTTTGTTATGCAGTGATAGATAACTGATACACCAAAGGAGTTCTTTAACAGAACAAAAGACTAATCAACATTATATTAAATAACTCTATCTTATATACTGTATATAATTAACTCTAAAAAGCATGAATAGTCTGAAATCATTCTCTTATTCCTCCAAAGAAACTAATAAGCATCTGCAGGCTGTGTGGCTAGAACATACTTGGGATTCTCCTGTCTGTATCTTACCCCGACCTAATCTTGTCATAGGGTGGCTTGGCTTACTGTTTGCTTTTGCATTTGTATGAGTACCTGGAGCACAGTCTGTACTCATTGATCCCCAAAATGGCTGTTACTTCTGGCCCTCTAATATAACTGCTGAGTTGATTCAGAAACATGTAAATTAAAAGTTGACTTAATAGAAGTTCACTTATTTTTTAATTAAAAAATTAAGATGTAATACCCATTCTCTGTTTTACTTATTCATATATATATATAACTATGTTTTGAAAAGTGCCTGTCTCCCTGCAAATACCTGCACACTGACACTTATAGCAGCTTTCTTCATAGTTGCCAAAACTATGTCCTTTCAGTAGATGAAGCAATGAAAAACTGGTGCATTCAGACAATGGAATATTACTCAGTGCTGAAAAGAAATGAGCTATCAAGCCATGAACAGTTATTAAGAAATCTTAAATGCGTATTACTAAATGAAAGAAGCTAATCCAAAAAGGCTACATACTGTATGATTTCAACTACATGACACTCTGGAGAAGGCAAAATTATGGAGACAATAAAAAGATCAGCAGTTGCCAGGGATTACTCAGGAGAGAGGGATGAATAGGTAGAGTACAGAGGATTTTTAAGGGCAGTAAAACTACTCTGAATGATACTATAATGGTGGATACCTGTCATTATACATGTGTCAGAACTCTAGAATGTATATCAAGAGTAAATCCTCATGGAAACTATGGGCTTTGGGTGATAATAGCACGTCCATATAAATTTATCACTTGTAACAATGTACTATTAGTTTGGTGCAAAAGTAATTGCGGTTCTTGCTGTTAAAAGTAATAGCAAAACTGCAATTACTTCTGCACTAACTAAATACTCTGGCTGTGCGAGAGTGGGAGCAGGGGGTATATGAAAACTCTGTAGTTTCTACTCAGAGTTGCTGTTACCCTAAAAATTCTCTAAAATATAAAGACTATTACTAAAAGTATCTGGACTATGGATTATGTATTAAACTAAATGTTTCCCTCTCTTTTTTTGTGGAAACATTTCAGAATTGTTGAAGTATATTAATGTATACTTATGTATGTACATCTGTGACAGGCTAACACATGACAAGATTTAAATCTTTGAAACTGATACTATCTTGAGCTACTTAATTCACCATCAGTGTAATAATGCTGGGATTTGTCTGAAGGGTGAGTGAGTTCTCCTTTGAATCTGATTGATTTTCCCCAGAGGGGCATTAGAATTCAGAATGCATTTCTAATCAGTTTGCTGTACCTAACTTATTAGAATTGCTGTTTGATTAGTGCCCACTGCAAATCAATATAACATGAAGGGTGTCCATTTTAATAAGCAGAAAGACTACTCTAAGAAACAGATTTATCAAAGAATTTCTTAATCTGAAGTGCCAGTTGAGGTCATCTACTAATTGAATACCTTCATTTTATAGACACAGGCACTGAAATTCTCAAGAGTTAAACAGTTTCCCCAAGATCACATAGCTGGGTAATGATTGGGCCAGTACTGTTATTTATTACTTGATAACATCTTTCAGCAGTACAAACTGTCTGAAACATGTGATGGAGGAAGGAGAGCATGCCACAGCAACTGTACGTGTACAATTTGGATAATTCATTGACCTGGGAATTGCCAGTACTAACCCTGAATGTGCTCAATTTTGAGTTTTTCAATTACATTTCCTCATGGAGGAAGGGGTTTATTTTGGCCTTCTGTACAATTCTTGCTCACCCTTCAAAATTCAGTTTAAGCATCATATTGTTTGGAAAGCCTTCACTAGTGTACTCAGGCACTATTGACCAGATTCCCCACTACGTTTTGTGCTACCCATCAGTTACAGCCACAGTTCTCAACCAAGGGGTGCTTTTGCTCTCTAGGAGAAATAGAGGAATGTCTGGAAATATTTCTAATTGTCATGGCTTGAGGTAGTACCTAGTGGGTGCAGGCCAGTGATGCTGCTGAACATCCTGCAATGCACAGGACGGCCCATGCTCATCAAAGAATCATCGATCCCCAAATAGCGTTGCTCTTGAGAACCCCTGAATTATAGTTATTGTTTTAGATACTTGCCAAAGCCAAGAATGGTTCTTCTCTCTGGAATAGTTACTTTTAGTTCTTTTAAACTAAACAATGAGATGAACATTTTAGGACATCAAGAGACACACATTAATTCAAAGGTGTGTTTTTTTTTTCCCACTGCTCTTGCAATTTTTAAAACCTAAAACTGTGTTCAACAGTATTCAGATATGACTTACATTGGCATCAGTTCTTTGATGGTGAGACTTCTCTTTCTTCTCCTCCTCCCCCTGCTTAAGTTCACTTACTTTGTAAGGATTTAGATGCACAATATTTCACTTACATTTTCAAGGGGAGGGAATAAGGGATGGCTGTATTACTTTATCTCCCCTCTTCCAAAATAGAATTATTGGCTTCCAATAAGAGCAAACTAATATCTCACTGGTGGCAAATTCAGTGGGCAGGTCCCTTTCTCTTCACTAATGTCAACTTTATACATACCAACAAATTTGTTTTATACATTCTTTCAATTGTTGCTGCTCTTTGGGCAAGATGCACGTGGGTGTAATCGTGACTGCCGGATCTGTCCTGCAGATCCTGGCCGACAGATGAAATGACTACTCCAGACACAGGTATGCAGTGTAAGAGCAGCTAGGTGACTGCCTGGCTCTAGTGGCCAGAGAACAGCAGCAAGAAGCTGGAGCTGCTTGCTTTTATTCAGTGGAGGCACAGTGCCAAAAACTGGAGCCAACACAACCTGTAGGTAATTAACATTTATTGTTCCCGTTTCAGGGAACGTCAGGCACGCGGATGATCAAAGGTGAGTTCCTGGTCAACACAAGTAAACAAGCCTGTTTAAGAAAAATTCCCCCATACTCCCTTGTATCTACTCCTTGCCTTCTGCCTTAGAGTTATAGAATAGCTGCCTTCAGCTATTCTCCCCTGGGGCTCTGCAGAAGCTTCCTACCTTTCAGAAGGTTTGTGTCCTTTACCTATAGTTTCTCCCACCACTCTGACTGATTCCCCACACATGACTTAGCTAAGGAAAATAGCAGTCACAGTAGGATAACCCCATTAGCTTCTCGGAAGAAAAGACCGACCATATATTCTGTGGTGTGGTGTTTGTGGGGCCAAAGGGAGGATGGAGAGGAGGCGAACTTGGCCTGTCAAGAGGGATTTAGCTGGTCATTGTGGCTGGTGCCCATAATCTCAGTGACTCTGGAGGCTGAGACAGCAGTATCACCTGAGGACAGGAGTTTGAAACCAACCTGGGAAACAGCAAAACTCTGTCCAAACAAAGAAGCAAACAAAAAACAGGAAGGGAGGAGGGATTTAACAAAAGGGATTTAACAATTATCATATACAAGAAATACCAGACATTTTAAATGTACTGAACACACAAAGCCAATGAAATTGTAAAAAATAATGAACAAAAACCTTAAAACATTTAGTGTAACTTTAAAGCTCAAAGGAATGACATCCATGGAAATTAATTCACAACTCCTAGAGAATGTTTAAGAATATTTGTGATTTACTCACTAGCTTTATTTTAGCGGGATGATATAGTTGCACTGCATGAAAGGCTTAGTTACAGTTGGGCTTAATGATAGAAAAAGAATTAGTTTGACTTTCTTTTCTGGAGTACATAAAAATAAGTACATATGGCCTTTAAAATGAGTTTTGTGAATTAAATGATTTATTTTTATACTTGATTTTTCTCCTTAGAGAATCATTTTGCAAATGTTTTACCTTGGAGAGTATATGACAAGGCCTAATGCCACTAAATATCAAAATGAAGACTTTTTTGATTTATTGGGATTCATTTTTGAAAATGCTTACAGGAATTCACACACACACACAAACACACACACACACACATAAGAACTTTTTTAAAGAAACTACCAACAAAATCTCAATCTGAAAACTGACAATGGATAGATAATTTCCTATTATTTCAATAACAATCTGAGGTTAGAAGGCCAAAACAAATTTGAGTTTGCATTTGCACTTGGCCTCATCCATTTCTACGAGGAAAAGAATGTAGGTACACCAAATTTTCTGTAGATTGAATTATAGTTTTAATATCCCTTTAAGCATATTTTTGGCTTTGATATTTCATTTGCCAGTAAAGAGATTCTTTTGTTGCCAAGCAAAAGAATTAAATGAGTTTGTTTTAGCTTGGAAGCTAACACTCCTGTAACTTACTTGCTTTTCTAATCAAATCCAGTGATTATTAAGTATCTTTTATATGTGAAGTGGTGTTAGACGTTGGCTATTAGTAACTCTTCCTTAGAAGAAATATGTAATTCCTTCAATATTCAGTAAACCAGTTCATTAGTACAAACTCAACCTGGAACCTTCTTTCAAAAGTAGACCTGAGCCTTTAGAAGGCAGTAGACTTTTAGAACATTGAAAGACTTTCAAGGTAATTCCTGAAAATGGATGCTGAGCCAAGTGAGGATCCAAGTGCTTATAAACTTAGCCAAGAGAATAGTCAAAAATCTCTGATTTGAAAACCTAAGATGTAGCTAAGCCAATATAAGATATGACTTAGAAAGGAGAAAATCATTATATGGTTGACTTACTGGTATAAGAAAAAGAGGAGTGATGGAATGTGTATAACAAGCAACTTTAAAATTAATATCCCAGAGAAGACAACAATAATTTCTAACGACTCTATTTTGTATTAAACTCAAAGCTTCTGAGGCTTCATCTGTTTCTGTTGCATCTATGGTTTTATATGTGTTCCCCAGAAATGACTCATTTGTTCAGAAATGTTTATATTCATCCAATTATTCACCTTTTTATTGATTTAATACACCATTATTGAGTTTCTGCTAGGTACCTGGTACTATGCTAAGTGCTGAGGTTATAACAGCAAATAAACCCTGCAGTGTTTTTGCCCTGATGTAATTAATTACATAAACAAGTGTCTAATTATATTTGAGATGAGTGTAATAAAGAAAAAGCATTTTATGATATGGGACTGATTTATAGAGAATTTGATCTAGTGTACAGGAAAGAGACAACTGCCCTATGAAAGTGACACTTAAGCTGAAACTTGCATGTGGGCAAACTCTCTAGTTTGGGAAAGTCCTGGTATCTTCAAGGAATTAAGAGACCAAAGAGAAGGCTGGATGATAAGGAGTAGGAAGAGAGTGGCATGACAGATCATGCACAGCATTTCAGGCCAAGTTAAATATGTTGGCCTTTACCCAACAGATACCCATTTTGTACTGTGCAGTGTACAAATGGCACATAATGTGCACATGATGGCATATAATTGGCACCATGAAGGACACAGAAGTGAGGAAGACATAGTTGGTTCATTCAGGAAGCCTCTGGTATCGTGGAGGAGACAAGTAAAAGATGCCTTTTCTCTCATGTGATATTTCTGGAAGAGAGGGTCGCTAAGCTTTCATTTTATTCCCTGTCCTTCACACAATAGATGACACCTACTTTCTGCTCAGCAGTAAATAATACATATTGATTGCATGATTTTTAATAAACACCTATAATGTGATGATAAGGCCTTGCCTTTCCAGGTCCCTGATTTCTGTGCAAGATTTTGACTCTTAGAACTTTGGCCTTTTAGAATCTAGAGAGCTTGGGACTCAGGCTACTGCCTCTGAACCTTTGTGATTAAACCATACCACCTTAGATATGGTGGGGGCCCCACCCATTCAGGACTGAGTGAGTGCTAGGCCACTAAAAGTAAGCTATTGTATTATATACAGGGTCTTACTAGCAGTGTGGGAATTGAACACTTCGGAGCCAAAGTGCTCAGGATCCAGTCATGACTCTGTTTCTCATAAGCACTGTGATGTTTTAATTTTCTTATCCCCAGCTTCTCAGCAATAAAGTGGAGAGAAAAGCAGAACCTACTTCACAGGATTATTGTGAAGATTAAATGTGAAAGTTCTTAGTACATTCCTGATGCATGTTAATATTAAATACTCAAAAATGTTACCTGCATTTAAATTATTGTTTTGTTAGGTAATTCTCACAATTCCTGTGAGATACTAGTGTTTCTAACATTTGACCCTCAATTTTTTTTTCTGATCACTTTCACTCTTGACTATATCTGGCTGCCCCAGGCTTTTTGTGCCAATAGGAGGTTTACTCAGTTGTATTCAGTAGCACAAAAATCAATTCCCCTAATCCCAGTAGGCATCCTGTGCTTCAAATGGTAGGATGGGGAAATTGTGTCTCTGGGCCTGAAAGCCCATCTCTCAAACTGGGCTGTAAATATAAAAGCTATTTAAAGCCAAATCTTGGAAACAATTTCTGGACTTCTTTAAAATTGTCACCATAATAACAGTGTGCCAACTTATAGCATTAGAAACAAACAGACCTTTGGGCTGTAAACAATTCCTACGTAAGTATTCTTATCAATTTTCAGAACCAAATTTATGTTGGCACAGAAAGTTCCGGAACAACCATTATCATTTTTCAAGGTGGAGTGAGTACGCAGGGAGTCAGGATTTTAGACCCAAAACTTTATTCTCAAATAAAATTATGTTTATGATCAAGTCAGGCGATATGCACCTTAATTTTTATTGGCTGCGAGCAGACTGCATTTTATTTCTTCCATGTATTTGGGATAACTTTTCTCTTCTGGTAGTTTTCTATATTTTCCAAAGGTTTTATAATAAATTTGTATTATTTATAGAATCAGAAAAATTATTTTTCCTTAAAAAAGATGTATATATCATTACAGGGTAATGACGTGTACATGTATCTCTTCTATAATCCTATTTATTTTTATGGTCCTATGCACAATGTGTTATAGAAATTTACTGATACATGATACCTTGCATTTTTCTGAAAGCTAATCTTGATGAATACCATATGAATTTTAATTGCTTGCCAGGGAATTCATTTAGTTGTGTATGACTGACTTAGAACATTTTTTGGCAAATAACCAAGGAAAATTTGTTTTATACAAGGCTCAACATTGCCCTCATTTAATTTTTTAAATATATGCTTTACTTTTGTAGAAAAAAAAAATATATATAGCATTCATCATATAGGAATCCTGTTTTTAGTAAGCTCTTCTGTGATATTTTTTTGGCTTTGCCCTCAAGTTTGGCCTAACATTGCTTTTGAACATAGTCATTTGCTGTAAGTCCTAAATGTGTATTCAAGCACATATAGGTAGCTGACCCTGAGAATTGTATTGTGCTCTCCATGTACTCTCAGAATTAACGATCCCTTGCCATACTCACTGTGATGTGCTAATGTATGTGCTAGTATTTTTGGAAAGACATCAATGTCTTTTGAGCTTCTTCTTAAGACTCTAAAATCTTTGAAAATTTAAGGTATCCTAGACAGAGGTAGTGATTGCTAAACATTTGTTAAGATGAATAAGAGCTAAGTAAGACACATTTTCAGTAACACTGAAAAGACTTTTAGTAGGTTAAGGGTCAATAATTAGATTTTTATTTTAGCCCCCATACTATCTAGAAAATATTCTTAATTGTACGCTTTCTAGTCTTCAAAGTAGATCCAGTTCTCAGTGCTTACAGTAGTTATCCTATTGTAAGTAAAGAAATAGGATTAATATATAGCTAATGCTGTATCTACTTTTTTTTTTTTTTTTTGAGACAAAGTCTCAATCTGTCACCCAGGCTGGAGTGCAGTAGTGCAATCTCAGCCCACTACAAACTCCACCTCCTGGGTTGGAGCAATTCTTCTGCCTCAGCCTCCAGAGTAGCTGGGATTACAGGCACCTGCCACCATGCCCAGCTAACTTTTTAAAATATTTTTAGTAGAGACAGGGTTTCACCATGTTGACCATGCTGGTCTTGAGCTCCAGAACTCAAGTGATCCACCCATCCCAGCCTCCCAAAGTGCTGGGATTACAGACGTGAGCCACTGCACGCAGACTGCTATATCTTCTTTTAATTTAATGTTTTATAATTTTTTTGCTAGTACTGTGCAGTAGTTTTCTTTCTTAACCAATAATATTTTTAGTATAAATAAGGATCTAAGGAGCTATGTAAAATTTCTGAACTTGAACTGATTTGTGTTATTTGGGACTTTATTTCATGGTATTAATGCTTTCTTGGTGTTGGTTTGTAAATGCACTGCCAATGATTTATCAGTGACGGCAGATAGTTCCAACATGACCAGTGCTAAGAGACCATGATCAGCTCCCAGTTGCCACAGTTAGAGTGGTGTCTATCCTGTGTAATTCCGAGAGGGAAGGGACCATGTTGAATTGGAGAGATTGGGGAAAGGGAAGCTAGTGTATATTTATTTTCTACACTGTCTCAGGCATTGTGACACGATTATTATATATGGGATCTCATTTAACATGTTCAAGGTCATCTAGCAAGTATGAGAAAGAGCTAGAATTCAAAATCAAATCTATCTCTCCAGAAGCAGATAGTCTTCTTATCTATACTACTTAAATTATTTAATAAACAATGTATTTTTAGATCTGGAAAGCTTGGTAAAGCATTGCTCATGTAGACGGATGGGTGGGAATGGGATGTTAACAAGGGGAAGCAGTAAAAAATATTCCAGTCACAGTGACATGGTGAAGGATAGAGATTAGAATGTGTGTTTGATAAACACGAAGTAGTTTGGTTTGGCCAGAACAATCTTTGGAAGATTGGTAAGAGTACAGACTGGAAAGGAAGGTTAGCAACATGTTGTAAAGGACTTTTCAAATGCCAAGATAAGGAGTATGGACTTAATTAGGAAGGCACCAGGGAGCTACTGAGGGTTTTGTGTGGAGGAGCAATATGATTATAGCTGACAGCAGTCTTAATAAGGCTTAATAAATAGTACAGTCTATAACCTTAGGCCAACTGCTGAGCAGAAGCCAAACGCTGTACTGCAGAATTAGCAAACCAATTACTGTGAGGGGTGATGGCCTGAATTTAATCTGAGTCATCCTTCACAATGGAGTAGAAACTCCTGGCAATGTAAACAAGTATGTGAAGTGACAGGTGACATGTCTTTTTGGAGCCGACTTCACTTATTTGACTCCACAGTGGCATGCTGTTAAAATGCCTTAACAGTGCCATAATTTACTTTTCACCATTTAACAAATCTCTCATCCTTGTAAATATTCAGTGTGTTTTTATGGCTTTTCTGCAGGCCTAAAATCTATTGCCATCTGTCTTATTAGTTGTAATAATGTTTTGCCATTTTTTATTGGTATTAATAGGCTTTGCCAAAAGGGAAGTCATCATTATGTTTTCTGCCATTTGATTTAACAGCTGATTTTGACTATAAGACAACATTCAAATTTAGTTCTAGCAACTAAGATAATTTTTTAAAATTTAGAGAGTAAGCTACATAAAAACATATTAGTTTCCTTTACCATTTGGTAATTTTAAGACTGTGTGTGTGTGTGTGTGTGTGTCTGTGTGTGTACTCACCTACATGCATGCAAGGGCAGGAGACTGAGAGTGAGACTGAGAGAGAGAGAGAGACAGAGAGACAGAGAGGGAATTGCTTCCTTCTCGGGAACAGCTCCTGGCAAACCAAAAAGTTACATAATTAAGTTACTTATAAGACACACTCTTTTTAATACATTTTGATGGTTAGTTCTACTCACACTTATTGCTTACATAGTCATAAATTTTTGCCTCTTTGTCTGCATTCCAATATTATTTTGAACTTATATAATTTATTTATTATAGTAAGCCTTCTTCCTTTTTCCTTTTAACTAGATTGTGTGTCTCTCAAAGACATGTTTATGCGTTTGATGCATAGCATGGCATCTTGGCTCATAGTATATTTTCAAATATTTATTCCATGGAGTTTAAGTATTCCTTTCTTAGAACTATCATGCTTGGGCTTTTGCTCATTCCACAAGTCTTGAGAATATCCTAAGTATTTTGCCAGGTAAACAGAACAGAGTCCCTCTCTTAGAAAGCTTACAGCCAAAGGATCAGAAAATGACAATGTAGTCTGTAAGTGTTATTGGTGTAGGTAAACTTGAGGTTAGAGAATGGCTAATTAGAGGAGGTGACCTTTTATCTGAGTTGTAATGCAATTAAAAAGGAAAAGTGTAAAGATGAGAAAACAGGAGCTATAGTTATAACAACATCTACACAGTCATGAGTGTAAGAGAGAATCATGGGATCAGATCACGGCTAATTGTGTGACTGAGGGGAGTGGTGAGTAATAAATCTGGTTTAACACAAAAAATCAGTTACAAACAGATTTCTATATTGTCATTTTAAAGCTACAATTTAAAATTAATTGGTTGCTAAATTCTTGACAAAGGGGTCAATTGCTGTGGCTATCCATTGGTATTTCTTTGAAAAAATAAAAGGTTGTCTGGTTTAAAAATAATATTATTTTATTTCATTATTTTAGACCTTATAAGCACATTTAGAATCTGTATGGAATTAGAGTTCTAATATATATGTATACATATACATAATATATAAAAATAATAGTACTTTCTTTTAAAATTTGAATTTTCAATGAGATAATGCAAGCAAAGTGAATACCATAGTGCACAGCAAATGTAAGAATTCAATTTGTATTATTGGTATGTTTTGTGGAGTGTTCTGTCTGTATTCATGGGAAAGATCCAGTGAGGTATGAAGCATATTTGGCCTGGTGAGAATGCATAAATCTGGCCAATGCTCCCTTGAAAGCTCGTCATTCTGGTCTAATATTTTTTAAATATTTGCCACTTGGTCCAAGGCCCTTCTTATTTCACCATTGCTTATCTCTAGATTGAAACCCAAAGTAGCAGCTTTTGAAGGTTTTATTTCAAAATAACTTTTTTGCAGCTTAATCTTTTGTGGTTGGTGAGATGGATGGGGCCTTGACTCAGGAATTATCAAGTTTTCTCTTAACTTAGAATGTTAATTAACGTGACAAAGAAACAAGGTTGATGCATAAGAAGGAAGAATGAGTACTATAAGGAGACTTTAGGAATATTGCACATCAAATATATTTCTGTGTGATTAATAAATTTTTTAATGTATTATGTTTAACACACATATATTGAATTGTCAAGTTCACTTCTGCCTTATATCAGCTGTGTGATCTCATCTGAAAAATCACTATAATAGTACCTATGTCATAAGATCACTAGAGAATTATACAATAATTTATATGCATATTTAACATGATAGCTGGCAGATATTAAATATTCTATTGGTGTTAGCTATTGGAACTCCACTATTATGCAAATGTGACATGGTTATGAGGATAAATTGTGCAAATAACAGAGAATGTACACTTCTTAAAACTAGATTTATAGATTTATCACTCAGATCTGAGTAAGGTTTACTATAGTGTGTTATGTATAGTCCTTATTCTCCAGAACTAATTATTTGTTACTTCAGACTGTGAGTTTGAGGAGATTCATTCATTTCAAGTGTGATTAGAAAATGCCTAATAGTCTAAATTTCAAAACATGTCCTTGAGGCCAATAAGATCATTTATTAAAATTTCTGTTTCTATAATAACATAATGCATACACTGTCTACAAAAACTCTTACTTTTCACAGAAAAATGTCTTAAGTTTCCCAATCAGCCCAATTTTGTGATGTAAACAGGACCCACTAGGAGTTCCAACTTTTACCACATTCATACAGTGTTACTACTATAGTGCTTTTCTACCCATAAAGTATGAAGTATTGTTCAGTCAGGGTCCCAACCGGAAATAGATGGCACTCTCAAAACTGGTAATTTGAGGAGAGTTTAATAAAGGGATTATTTGCAGAGGTTTGGACCAGAGTATGGGTGACTGCAAGGAAAGTGCAGTATCCTCAGGGGACTAGGAGCAGCATTGGTGATGGGGTGGGCTTTACCACTTCTAGGCCTGAGTGGCCAAGGACGGTGAGAAGCTGAGGGCTTTGTGGAGAGGGCTTGAAGTCTCAGACTTCTCTCAGGGATGCAGTAGCCTAGTCAGTATCAAGTGGTCAGCTATAGTAAAGGGACTCATCTTAAATTTCAACTTTTGACAAAAGTGACAGATCACTCAAAAATGTATAGAATTTTATTAAAAGGAAGTAGAAAAAAGACATTAAATCACTGAAGAGGAAGTTCATTTGGAGCTGTGTTATTGTCAAAGAATGAAGACTGCAAATTTGGGATTTTGTAAACTTTAGTTTTTTATTTTATTTTGTAAATGGGCTACTTAATATATATATAATATATGTCTAAAGATAAGCTATAAAAGATTCATTTGCAAGTATACTAATATGTTTGTCTCCTCTCACCTCCTTTCTGTATATTTCATGGCATTGCCCTGTTCATTGCTGAGCAAAAATTCAAATGTTACAATATAAAGTGACTCTGAATCCCATCACTCAGAGATAACCACTGTCAACATTTTAGTGACTTTTCTTCTAACAAAATGTCTGATTTTTTTTAATGATGCTAAAGCTCCTTCCTGTTGTTTGTTGGTCATTTTTTTTTAAGAGTGCTTTAAAATAGATCTCAGTAATGGGATTCAGTAAAATAGTATATATCCTTGCTATGGAACATAATGCAGCAGCCATTAAAAATCATGCTATTAGTTTATTTATTTACCGAAGAGGAATTCATGTTCACAAGACAACTGAAAAAAAATGAGACTGCAAAATAGCAGCTACTTAGATGGGTTAATAGATAGTTCAGCGCCACTTTGAACCTACCTCCAGACCTCCAGATATGTATGCATGTGTGTATGTATTCTGTTCATGTATCCACAAAGATGACTATAAGAAAAGTCACCAAAATGTTGACAGTGGTTATCTCTGAGTGATGAGATTCAGAGTCATTTTACATTTTTGTATCATTCAAATTCTTTTTAGCAATGAGCATATGTTAGTTTTCAGAAAAAAGTTATTTTTAATTTTATAAAAATGCTCATAACCAACGCTCATAACCATTACACATATAGCACTATTATCAGAAAAATATAATAAGCAAAATATTCCACTCCTATGGTTTTCATTGATGGCATCACTGACTCCATTGAAATGTCAAATTTTCTATTTACACACATTTGCATGTAATGTTTTGGGAAATAGAAGCACAGGAACACTGTGAGCAATTGAGAGTTGTGACTGCTGTGAGTGCTGTGGGCTAGAACATGCATCTTACCCTGACGAAGCATCTTCCTTCCTCAGAACTCACGGTGACTTAAAAGGATGTGCTCATTCTGCCTCCTAACATTCTGGTGAGGCAGGTGCGTTGCAGGCTATTTCTTATCCTCTATTTACTTACAAATAAAGAACTTTGAAGCACAGGGTGGTGTATTGGTTTGTTCAAGGTCACATGATGAGTCTGTCAGCAGATCTGCAAAGAACATCCCAGTTCCTGGAGTCTGGATCTAGTCTATAGCCTGTTGTTGGCTCAAAAGCTAAACAGGTGATAGATGAGCTCATCATATAGCTAGAGGTATGAGGAGTGGAATTGCCAAAGAGCCTGTGAGACTTGTTATCCTGCATCATGTTCCATTCCCTTTGTGGGGCTGCGGACGGCCTCCCAACAGGGCAGTTAGAGCCTACCAAAGTCCCCAGCTCTGTGTTCCTCTGGATTGCTGGATTGTTGGGAGACAGGCTTTTAGTTTCTCCCTGGTTCTTTGTTTCTTATTTGGGCAGTAACTAATTGGATTTTCTTAGTCACTGGATGTTTTTCTTTGCCAGTCCCTCTGCAGTAGTATTAGCTGACAGTTTTATTTTATTTTATGGAATTAGATATAACTCGTAACTCCAAACACTATGGAAATCAACATGCGAATTGGACTCTGCATTCAAACTTTTTTCAGAAAAGGAAACAATTCATCCTGGATAAATGCATACACGTTATTTTAACCCTTTTTTAAAGGGTTGAAACTGAGCTTTTAGAAAGTCAGTAGCCCAGAATATTTAACTTCTTAGGGCAGAAAGGAAGGAAAGCATTTTTATGTAAAGAGGAGGAAAATAACTTGTGCTCAAAAATACCTTTAAGTATAAACATGTATGAATTTTACAGAATAATCTAAGGGGAAAGGAAAAATATTTATTATAGGATTATGAGAGAAATTTAACATATAAGAAACTGACACTGAAGCAAAGCTGACGGTTTTAAATTACTTTTCTTTGAAAGTTATAGCATTTGTTAAATTGGTTATGAATTGGAGGTCATATATCTTTATTTCTTTGTTTGTAGAATTCATGTTCTAACATTTATTTTTAGTTGGAAGTACTGAAGAATATATTTTTCTTATGAATTTCTTTTGTATAAATTTCCTTATGTATGAGAAATAAATATATTATTCTTTACTAATATATTTACTCTACTAGTAGTTTTATTTTTAATTTCAGTTCCAATTTTACAGTTACTTAGGGTTTTTGTCATTAAGTAAATAAGTGATGTTTTAAAATCGCTTTAAAACATTGCTATATGCAATCTCTTATGAAATCACAAACTCCCAAATCTGTATACTCATTAAGATAGTTTTGTCTGCTGGCATTTCTTGATAAAATATTTGGTATTAAATATATAATATATAATACCTAAAATAGCTTAAAGCATTAAGAAGATATCACATCATAATTAGTACAACCAGTTAAGGTATTAATATTTTAGGAATGTTCTCAAGTCAAAGAGACCATGCTCTGACAATGCATTAAAATATTGTGTGTGTGTGTGTGTGTGTGTGTGTGTTAGTTACTAGCCTTTTTTTCAGTTTACCCTAATTTAATGCTAATAATTGTTAAAGATATTTAAAGTCTCAGACAATTCAGAATGTAAAATCTAGCTGGTCTTTATTTAATTTCTGGATAGATGACCTACAATGAAGACCCACACTATAAGGGAAACTGCTACTAGAGAAGAAAATTAACAAATGTAAGCAGAGTCAAGATCGGCTGTCTCTGAGTGTTTTTGAGGCTGTACCCCATCAATAAAACCTGTCCTTCCAATATGTATGCATGTATTTATTAATGAATTATATATGAACTACTGCAATAACATACTATGTACATAGTAAAACATAGTTCCAAAATAGAATTATTAAGATAAGCAGAAATTTTAACATATTTAATACCACTGCCAAATAGATGATTTCTTAGAATACTTGGATTTGTGTCCCCCGGCCCCTACAACCCACACACATTCTATAGAACACTAGTAAAGAATGCTGCTCTTCTCTAGACCTCTTGACATAATTCTGAGCTGCATAATTGGAAGTTAAAATTGGAAGATTAAAAATTGTTTGCTAATTGACAAGTGTATCAGTTATCTTATTGCCAAAATAGTAGAATGCATCAAACTGCCCTAGAACTTAATAGTTTAAAAAAATAAGCATTTATAATTCTTCACATGTCTATAGGTTGGCTGCCGGTTTTCTGGGCCCATTGTAAGCCTGTGGTTAGCTGCAGGGTGGAGAGGCAGTTTTGCTAGTCTTGGCTGGGTTCTCTCACATGGCTAGCTGTGGACTGGTCACATGGTTCTCACATGCCCAACTCAGGATTGCTTCAGTTGAGACAACTGGTCTCCCTTCCATATGCTTCTCACATACTTGTCTATCACATTCCTTTAGAAGTCTAGGCTGGTTATGTTCTCATGGTGATCTCAAAGAGGCAAGACTGGAAACATGAAGAAATAAATGAATAAATAAACATGAAGAAAGAAACTATATCAAATTTGCTTCTATCCATTGGCCAAAGCAAGTTATGTGATGGAGCTCAGCAGTAGACTGGGAGAGGCCATGAATTGTAGTCATTAATGCCATCAATCTACAGCAATAAGAAAATCTCTTTTCCTTAAATATACGCAAGTTGATAATTTCTATATAGCTATAAGAGTGGCTAGTGCTAATTATACCCCAGTGTTCTGATTATTTGGCTGTTTGGGGTAATTCTCTAGCCATAGAGGCTAGAGAAGTTGCATCTTTGTAATTCAGTTCATTGGAAGTTTAAGTTAAAATTTAAAATTGAATTTTTAAGGGGGTTCATTATCACTGGCTTGGGTAGTCTGGGCTCTAAGGAAGAAGAAGGGAAGAATTGTGACTATCATAATTATGCATCCATTTGTTCCACATGTGGATAGAGCTTACTAGTTCTACATAGGACATCGCAGTGGAGAAAGGAAGTCTCCTTTCGGAGCACTGGCTGAAAATTAAGGAGGAAACGTGCTAAAATTCTGTAAGTCAGCTAAAGAATTGATAAGCTCCACTACAAAGATACAAAGTCTGTGTCCTGTAGTATATATTACACACATTTATTATTTAAAAGACATGTGATCCCAATGGGAAATAAGAGCACCTCTCTTCAAACGTGAAAAAAAGTTAATTCTGAATGATAACTTTGTATCTATTTTTGAGATAATATAAATGTCCTAGATTCCGTGCTGTGTCTTAGAAAAAGACAATAAATATTTGCTTATTATTCATTATACTAAATAATATTTGCTTATTTAAAGCACTATAAAATAGTAAAAAAAGACTAATAGTAATAATATCTTCACTTTAATCACATTTAATAATTTTCCATTTGTTTTTCACTTGTATCATTTCACATGAAGAGCCGTATGACTTCTCAGAGTTCATACGGACCCTTATAGAAATAACTACCATTTTTAGAGCACTCATTTTATGCTCACAACTCTATAAGGCAGGTATTTTAATTACCCCATATTTGCAGATTCAAAAAAGAAGGGCTTTAAAGGTAGACTGCCTAAGGTCACAGTCAGTTGTAGAGTCAGAACTTGAAATCTTCTCTTTGACATGAAAGCCAATGCTCTTCACCATTACATTTCACTGCACTTAATGGATATTAATATTATAGAGAACTTTTAAGAGGTAAATGGTCTGAATAGTGCCTACTAAAGATATGGTCAAAATGGTCTTTGGGATTGGCCAGGAGAGACAATCCCCTGGCTGGCCAGCGTAAATATCCAGCATTCTCAAACATTCTAGATACAATAACATTAGTTCTCAAGCTGACCCAGCCCACTGGACCACAGCCTTGGCTCTGACTGTGTTTTCAACTAAGTCACCTTCTCATTGTGATTTGCTCCCATAATGAATACACAGACTGGCCTCAGGGGAGTTTTATTACTTATCATAATTGATTAAATTAGCATCTAGTTAAGTAAATATTAACAGAGAAAAACATTTCAAAAAAGACTACAACTCTTATCACTGTAAGCTCAGTCTTTCAAAACTATATAGATTATCTCCAAAGTGCACACGATGGATACCCTCAGATGAAATATTTGTTCGAAAATGCAGTCGTCAACTATCCTTTTGACCATCCTACTTTATCAGTGCAGCAGTCCCAGGTGTTCACTCTTGGAACTGTCATTCAAACTAAATGACTGGGGTTCATTTAAGGAGCGATTTCTGTATTTCTGGAATTATAGCTAGGTTATACTCTAGAAGCAATTTGAAAAAAATAAATGGGCTAAATTCTGACAGGTAAATTAGCTAATCCAAAGATGGTTCTAAACAGAGTTTATTCTCTCAGCCTCTGTTCTGCTAATTAGTGTGCCAGAACAGTTGTTTACTCAGTGGATTTGTGCCATTATTTAAACTTTTGCTAAGGCAAAACTAGATCTTAAAAGTAGAGAAAAAATTGGCTTGGTTTTGATTTGTGCACGTGGGCAGTATTTAAACCACTGGAGATGAAGACAAAATGAAAAACCATACATCTCTTAAGAGTTAGCTCTCCTTTTTCTGAGTAATGAATCTTATCCTCCTTCAGGAGCCTCTGCTGAGAGAAATATAATCCCATCATATCACTTTAGCTAAAATATAGGGAAAATGTAAAATCTCAACCTTCTTCCAAGCAGTCTTTTAAATAGAATAATCATTTCTTTCCTAACTAGTCTTGATTTTTTGTTTGTTTTTGTTTTTTTGAGACAGAGTCTCGCTGTGTGGCCTAGGCTGGAATGCAGTGGCATGATCTCAGCTGACTGCAACCTCTGCCTCCCGAGTTCACGTGATTCTTCTGCCTTAGCCTCCCAAGTAGCTGGGACTACAGACGTTTGCCACCACACTCAGCTAATTTTTTGTATTTTTAGTAGAAATGGGGTTTCACTATTTTGGCCAGGCTGGTCTCAAACTCCTGACCTTAAGTGATCCACCCCCCTCAGCCTCCCAAACTGCCGGGATTACAAACATGAGCCACCACACCCAGTCTGATTCTTTACAGAAAAACTTAGAAAATACATGTAAATAAAAGGGAAAATATCAGAATTATCTGTAACTTAGTAATCCAAGTAAACTTTTAACATTTTATATGTATTTTCTTAAGATTTTTCTGTAAATTCAAATGGGTTCAGATTATCATCTACTTTTTCCTACTAAAATATATAGTATGGTAATTTCCCCTGTCATGAAATATTCTTCAATAATATTATTTTTAATGGCTGCCTAGTAAGTGGGAGCAAAACTTCCATTATAGATTCTATTATGTATTTAACCAGTCATTTTGGTCATACTTAGATTGTTTCTAATTTTTCACTTTTAGAAGAGCACTACAATGACCATACATCTGACAAAATTTTCCAACATCTAAAATTATTTCCTCAGTGTGAATTCATAATAGTAGAAATTATGGACCATGGGGTATGTAAAATTATAAATCTCCAGTGAATTTTGTCAATTTGTCCTCTTGCAAGGTCTTATCTCCACTAGCAAATTTATGAGATTCTACTTTCCTTGGACTCTATTTTTGATTACTATAATTTATTTTTTTAATTTGAGGAGTTAAAAAATGGTGTTATTTTTATTTCTATTTATTTTCTTATTAGTGAGGATAAATGCTTTTCTTATGCATTTTTGTATTCACATTTCTTCCTTTTGATTTGACATATTTTTTAAAACTCTCCTCAAGATTGAGTTATTTAGCGTATTTTGAACTATTGCTTTCATCATTAATCAAAAAAATAAATTGAAGACTAATTTGGGATTAAGCTATGAAAGCTGAGTACTAAATTTCACTCTAATTTGTAGATATTTAGCAGGGTTTTTTGTTTGGTTTGGTTTTTTTTTTTTTTTTTTTTTTTTTTGAGACAGGATCTCACTCCCATCGCCCAGGTAGGAAGGTAAGAGTGCAGTGGCATGGTGACCATGGCTCATTGCAGCCTAAACCTCCTGGGCTCAAGGGATCCTCCTGCCTCTTTTTTCTTTTCTTTTCTTTTTTTATAGAGCTGAGGTCTCACTATGTTGCCCAAGCTGGTCTGGAACTTCTGGGCTCAAGCTGTTCTCCCTCCTTAGCCTCCCAATGTGCTGGGATTATAAGCATGGGCCAATGTGCCCAGTGGTAAAACTAAAAATTAAACAGATTATTTAGTTTTTAATATTACCTTTTATTTCATACAGTCTTATAGAGAATATAATTTCTCTCTGAGAATGTATTTTGTGAAAGTACAAGATTTGCCAATAAGTGAAGACGATAAAAATAATCAGCAAAGAAAAGAACCAGGGATCAGTAAGTCCGCATCATTATTGGTCTTGTTTCTTTCAACGTCTGGGATGGTAAAAGGGACACACCATCTGCAGTACCATGGTTATGTGGACCATTTCTGTCTCTGAAATGTTTTGTTTTCCAGAGTGAGTTTTTTTATCTTGGAATTCTTAGCTTCCACTCTTTAAAAACTGTGCCAAAGACTGGGAAGGAAAGGAAAGCAAATAGAGACACCTCTACAGAAGTGAGTTCTTGGTATCATCACTGCACCTAATGCAGGAGGTGGAGTTGACGCAGGTCTTTTTATTCATTCATTCAATAAACATGGGGTAGGTTATTGGATTGGGTATGTGGATTGTTACTTTAGGAGGCTAGGGAAGGTTGTCTCCGATGAGAGAGGAAAGAGCAAGTGCAAACTTCTTGCAGAGGAGGTATGTAAGGAACAGCAAGGGAGCTGCAACAGAGTGAATGAAGGGGAGAGCCATAGGAGCTGAAGTCAGAGACAAAGTCAAGGGCTGGACCACAAAAGGCCTGAGAGACAGACAGTTTTCCCTGACTTACAGTGGAGGGGCTGTGGGACCAGATGCCTGGGACTCCTGCTTACTGTCTATGTGACCATCTCTATACCTCAGCTGCTCCCTCATATGGGATAATAATATTTCCCCCTCTGACCTATTATGAGAATAAAATGTGTTGATCTGAGGTACTTAGAACAGGACCTGGCACCGTAAGACTTAATAGTTTTTTGTTATTGTTATTTTAAAAATTGATACCTGCCTCTAAAGGCCTCTAATTTCTGGCATATCCACTCTACTTTGCCTCTTTTTGATGCCTTGTTACATTTGTTTTTTTTTTAAACAATTGATTGAAAGATCATAACCGAATCTATAGTACTTATGTCTTGAAAAACATTTGTATTTATAATAGCTGTTTTCTGTTCTTCAGGAAGTAGAGTTATAAGTGATGGAGAAAAGCTTCAGTGTGGTCTTAGATTTCTTCTGGAATGAAAGTGATATTTTTCCATTGGGTCATTGAGTAATTTCTGACTTCATTCTGTAGGAATATGATCAATTTAAAAGTATATAGTGATTAAGAGTGAAGACCCTAGATACAGGTTGTGTGGGTTTGAATTTGAGCTTCACTTAGTTGTGTGACCTAGGGCAAGTTTTTAAAACTCTTTGTGCCTCAGTCTCTTTATAAAATTAATATGATGATAGTACCTATCTCACAGTACAATTTTAGGATTAAATGAAAGTGTATGGTGTATGAACATTATTTGCTAGGCTGCCTGACTAGTAGTAAACATTCAATAAATATTGGATACTATTATTATAATCAGCGATTTGTGACTTAGAAGTATATAAGTGAACTAAAATTAGAATCACTGCATCAGGAAATTTGTTAGAAATATTTTTGAAATTATCATTTCCTTCTCTTCTGCTGTTGCTAAGTTAAAAATGGTAAGAAATGGACTCATCAGATATTTCCTCCCATTGATTTTAATTCTGCTTCATGGCTGCGCGTTTTGTATACTGATTCATGACTGTATTCACTGAAGCCCAATCAAAGACTGCAGGGCAAAGCTTCTTAGAAGACTTCAAACAACCAGGCTTGCAGTTGTGAATGATATGGGTCTCAGACTCATCTCTCCTCATGAATTTATTTATTTATTTATTTATTTTGAGATGGAGTCTTGCTCTGTCGCCCAGGCTGGAGTGCAGTGGCCTGATCTCGGCTCACTGCAAGCCTCCCAGGTTCATGTCATTCTCCTGCCTCAGCCTCCCTAGTAGCTGGGACTACAGGTGACCACCACCACGTCCGGCAAATTTTTTTGTATTTTTAGTAGAGACAGGGTTTCATCATGTTAGCCAGGATGGTCTCGATCTCCTGACCTCGTGATCTGCCCGCCTCAGCCTCCCAAAGGGCTGGGATTACAGGCATGAATTGATTTTTAAGAGAATAAAAGAGACTGATAGATTCTCCAAAGGGCTGAGAACCACCACTAGGGGCGTCACTGTACATTGTCGTCACTGTATATTGTCATCAGTTGCTTTAACTTGGCAGCTGCTGTTATTGTGACATGATTGTGGCTGTTTTCCCTCTCTTCCTGAAATATTAGCATAGGAATATTAATTTTCTTAAGTCTTCCATTATCTCTATGAAAAATACTTGATTACTTGGGGCTATGTGAAGACTATGTTCTGACAGGCTAATCTAATCCTCTAAGAAAGTGTGAGAAATGTCTTAGATGAAAGGCTAGTGATAAATCAATATGTGATATCTCAATGTAGAATAAACAGTCGGACACCTGGGGGCACATGGTCTTAGTTGGGGGACAGAGGCTGACATGTTTCTGCCTTTAGCTTAGTGATGAAAATATTAGCATCTGTAGCATTCATAATTATGGATGCAAATTAACAAAATTTTCTCCAGTGCTGTTTAAATAGAAATTTCTATGATAATGGAAATATTCTATACTTGTGCTGCCTAATACCGAGGAACAAATTATTTTATTTTATTTTAATTATTTAAAATTTAGTTGCTGTGGGTGGCTGGTGGCTACCCTATTGGAAGCATAGTTATAAGCAATGGCTTACATGAGTACTAGGTTTATTTTCCTCACATAAGAAGAAATCTAGAACTGGGAAGCACAGGGATACCATGGGTGCCTAAGGATGTTGTAAGGAAATGAGCTCCTTCCATGTTCTTCCTCAGCATCCCTGCCTGACATTTGACTTTCATCCTCACGGTCACAAGATGGCTGTGCCCTGGTGCATCTCATCTGTATTTTCTACAGGAAGAAGGGGATTGGGTAAAAGGTAGACATTTTCAGAAGGCTCTTCTGTGTTTTTTCCAAAAAGACTTTTACCAACCTCTCATTGACCTAGACTTGTTACATGGCCATCCCTGCCTGCAAGGGAGGCTGGGAGTTTAAGTATTTCCCTCAGCAACTTCTGTTGTAGATAAAGCAAAAGGAGGAAGAGGTTGGAATGGATATGGAGGCCACTGGTCTACAGTTTTTACCATAGCAGACATTTGGCTCTTTGTCCTGTGGAATTCCACAATCATGCCACACTCATGGGCCTGGAGCTGCCAATGTCTTTTTTTTTTTTTTTTAAACATCTAGTTGACAAACTGTAAATGACACTAGACTTGGGCTTGAAGACTGTTTAGCACATAGAATATAGGATTAGAACTTTGATATATTGGAGTGATGATGAGTATTGCATTTGAGGAAAACTGTCTAATGACTGGATAGTGTAAATGGATTTTGAAGTATTAAAAACAACTTAGCACGTACCGAGGAAATAAAGATATAAGAGTTAGAAATTGAAAACCAAAATCTCAACATCAGTAAGCATCTCATTGTTACAGTATATACGAGACTCATGGCCTGATGGAACACCAGCCCATGGGTCACCCTGGGAACCCCCACACCAATGCTTATCCTCTCAACCACAAACACAGATTTAAAACTTCCCTTTACAGAACAGGAAACTGAAGCTTGGAGTCATTACGCTACTTATCTAAAACCTCAACTGCTATGTGACAGTCAGGATTCAGATCCGAAGTTGGCGGAGGCAGGGAAGCCACGGCTTTATTGTCCTGGGCTCGCGTTCTGCCTCTTCCCCTCTCTATGTGATCTTTCTATGACCACATCTGCTCACGCTTGTTCCCCAGCTTGAAATTCGTTCTCAGTGGCTGCTCTGAGTTGGCCCCCCAATCTGACTCTCTGCCCTCTAGCCTGCAATGAGGGAGTGGAGGATGCCGGCCCAAGACTATCATATGCTCCTCCAGAGTTAACAGTTTCTTCTAATTGTCTTTAGATCCCAGAACAGCATCTGACACACTTAAGAAATGCTTACTTTAGGCCGGGCATAGTGGCTCACGTCTGTAATCCCAGCACTATGGGAGGCTGAGGTGGTTGGATCACCTGAGGTCAGGAGTTCAAGACCAGCTTGGCTAATATAGCGAAAACCTGTCTCTACTAAAATTACAAAAATTAGCCAGGCATGGTAGTGTGTGCCTGTAATCCCAGCTACTTGAGGAGCCTGAGGCAGGAGAATCACTTGAACCTGGAGATGGAGGTTGCAGTGAGCCGAGATCTCGCCACTGCACTCCAGCCTGGGCGACAGAGCAAGACTCTGTCTCAAAAAAAAAAAAAAAAATGCTTACTTTATCAGATAATGTGTGATATAGATATAAGAATTCTCCCAGTTTTGGAGGGGTATTAGAAAAATATACAAATGTTATTTTTTTTTTCCTCTTTCCACCAGGGATGGTTGGTTTGTTTCCAGACTGATTTTGCGTTTCTCAGTTTTTCTAAGAAAATATGATTGTAAAATTTAGGTCAAATTTATGAATATCTTCCAATATTTTATTCAGTATATTTAAAACTTATACATGCTCAGTGTAAATATTTTTCAGTAATCTCTGTAATAATTTCTCTTTGAATTGACAGTTATACAGGCTGATGTTCCCTTAACATGGAAACTAAGAATAGAAGGATTTCTGTAGCCTGTGTGTGTGTGTGTCTGTGTGTTGTGTGTAGAACTGTAGTGCTTTCATTTATATAACAGGTTGGTATCTTTATTTCTCTTTAAGTCTTTTTTGTAAAGTCATAATCCCTTGCAAAATGAATGTATTTTTTAATCATCCAAAGGCCCATTACAAAAAATTGAAAGGAACTTTATGTGTTATGTAAACCAATGGGCCAACTTTTAGATAATCTTAAAAGGGAAATGATGGAATGGAATTAGCTAGCATTTAAAAACTACAATTGTATAGCACAGATGGAATGAATGTTATGTTTATCCTGTGCTTTCTTCAAATGTAGATTATACTCTTTACCTATCTGATTTCATTTCAGAGCTAAGAGAAAGAATATTTATTAATATGTTCAAAATGAGCTGGTTTTAACAGCTGCCTCAGGAAGAAAAGTTCATTGATTTTATAATCCTGAGAATAAAGACTTCATTACCTAACACTCTCCTAAACACCTGCTGGGTGTAAAATGATGCCCTACCTCTATTGAAATGAAGCTTCTGCTTATTTTGTAGAAGGTATAAAACTTTGAAAACTAAGACAGATCCATAGAGTTTGGGATATTTTAGAACCAGTACTTCAGTTTATCTTCCTATCATGGTCTTCCAGTTGCTGGAGAAAATAATAGAGCCTTCTTATGAATACTAAACTCTCTAGTACCAGTGGATTTCAAGGATTTCCTGGCCCTTCCTCATCTCAGGGGAAAATAATTTTGCAGTCTGCTTGCTAGTTCCTGGTCAGACTGACAGGACAAACCCATTTTAGTCTATCTTATGGACTACAGTAATGCAACTCTGAATAGTTAAGTGATTTGCTGTAGTAAAGTAAATTATTTGCTACTCCTCTCATTGAGATGTAAGGTCTAACTCTTCTTCCCTTCCCTTGAATTTGGGCTGGCTTAGTGATGTGTTTGACTAAAAGTATTTGGGAGAATTGATGCTCTAAGACTTTTGAGGCTGGATCATAAGAAGCCTTTCAGTTTCTACACACAACCCAGGGGACACTTGCTGTTGGAGCCCTGAGCTGACATAGAAGTCCAACTATCCTGAGGCCACCGTCCTGTAAGATATGCTGAAGATATGCTAAGCCAGTGTATAGGGGTTGTAGCCCATAGACTTCTGAGCCATCCCAGATGATAACATGCAACAGAGATGAATTGTCCCCACTCATGTGAGTCTAAATTGCTGACCTAAAAATTCATGAGATTTAATGATGATAATGATGATGGTGATGATGATGATGAAGATAGTAATAATGATAAACTGTTGTTTTAAACTGGTGTGGATAACTGGAACACCTGCAAAACTGTAACTCAGAGCTTTTGACTCTAGTGCCTGTGCTCAGTTTCCTCCCTGTAACTGTCAGCTGCCCATGTACCTGTGATATTGTATTAAACTTATGATTTATAGGAATTACAGGAATAAAACGAATGAGTTATATTTCTCTCATAAGAAAACAAAGCTAGAACGAATTTAAAATAACTCTGCCATCATGCTTCATTTTTCTTCATATCTCCTAACCAAAATGGCATTATGTTACGTATCTATTCGTTCGTCTGTCTTCTTTCTCTCCCAGGATATAAACTCTATGAGGACTTTATTTTGCTCTTTGCAGCTTTAACAGCACCTATACTAGCATCTGGCATGATTAGGCACTCACAGTGTATTTGTTGAATAAATGAATGAATTAATGAAAGATGATTCTCAGAGAAAATAAAGCATAAATATCACTGTATCTGTTTAGAGTATTATTCTTCTGGGAAAATGTGAAAACCAGAATATTACAAAGGTAATAAAGCAAACATTTGATAACCTAAAACCCCAATGTAGCAAATGTTAAGATGATACATGTTCACATCATAGTTTTTGTCTTAAAGAAATAAAATATTAGAGTTGGAGGTTGAATTTGTGTATATTTTTCTATTTCCCTCTTCATTGTCCTAAAGTCAACACTGTTATATATTTGACTTGTATATTCTTATGCTTTTACTACATATAATTTTATCTACAAATAATATATCTACTTGGCTCTGCCTTCAAAATATAATATATTTCCAATCCATTTTCACCTGCCCTTGCTACTTCCCTAGTGCATCCCCGATCTTTTCTCAGAATTACTACATCTTCCTAACCGTTCTCTGCTTACTCTCTCACAGCATCAGTGCAACACTACTCCATCTTTTCTTCACCCAGCAGCCAGATTGATCCTTCAAAAACAAACATTGGATCACGTATCCTCCCCTCTCCTCACTCTTCCATGGTCTCCATCATACCTGAAATACAACACCAATCCTTGCCATGTTCAAGGCCCTGTTTCATCCAATGCTGCAGTGCCAGCCCTCCTGTTCCTGCCGTGCTCCAGGCACTCCTGGTGCACTGGCCTCTTTGCTGTTTAGAGAGCACACCGAGCACATTTCCTCCTCTGGGCCTTTGCGTTTGCTCGTTCTTTCCCTTAGCTTATCCTCCCACCGTCTTGTCTCACGTGAGTTGCTTACAACCTGCATTTGTTTTTTGTTCAAAAGTCACCTCCCAATGAGGATGGGCAGTACCAACTGATTAATAGTTGAACTCCCTTCATGAACCCATACCAAGGTTTTTTTTTTCTGCAAAACTTACTGCTACCTGGTAGAATTTGCTTATGTTTGTATGTATGCATGCATGTAGGATGCATTTATCTGTTTTCTGTCTATTCCCTCGTTAGATTATAAACTTTGTAAGGTCAGGGACCTTCTATTATTCTATTGTTTTGGGGCCTAGAACAATAACTGACATAAAGTAGGTGCCCCCAAAGTATGTGTTGAATGAAAAAATATGGGAATCTAGTGTTTTGCTTTTAAAACTGTACATAAAGTTTATCATACTGGATGCATCTTGTGGCAATTTGCTTTTCTCATGTCAAAGTATGTCCATATTGAGATTGATCTATAACTGCCCAATGGGTTTTCCTTGCCTGCTGCCTAGACAGAACTGATTTATGAAGACACGAGAATTGCAATGGATAAAGAGTAATTCACTCAGAGCTGGCTGTGCGCGAGACCGGAGTTTTATTATTGCTCAAATCAGTTTCCCCATTTGGGGATCAGAGTTTTTAAACATAATTTGGTAGATAGGGGCTTGGGAAGTGGGGAGTGCTGATTGGTCAGGTTGGAGATTGAATCATAGGGGGCCAAAGTTAGGTTTTCATAATGTCTTCTGTTCCTGGGTGTGATGGCAGAACTGATTGGGCCAGATTATCAATCTGAGTGGTGTCAGCTGATTCATCCAGTTCAGGGTCAGCAAAACATCTCAAGCAGTGATCTTAGGTTTTACATTAGTGATGTTACCCCCAGGAGCAATTTGGGGAGGTTCGGACTCTTGGAGCCAGAGGCTGCATGACTCCTAAATTGTGATTTCAAATCTTGTCGCTAATTTGTTAGTCCTGCAAAGGCAGATTGGACCCCAGGCAAGAAGTGGGTCTTTTTGGAAAAGGGCTGTTATCAATTTTGTTTCAGAGTCAAACCATGAACTGAATTCCTTCCCAAACTTAGTTCCGTCTATGCCCAGGAATGAATAAGGACAGCTTAAGGGTTAGAAGCAAGGTAGAGTCAATTAGGTCTGATTTCTTTCACTGTTATAATGTTCTCCGTTACAATTTTGCAAAGGCGGATTCAGATTGAGCTCTTTATCTGTATATCTAATCTATCTAGTCCAGTTATTTTAACTGTGGCTCATTATCCCACACAGTTTATTGATCCATTTCACTATTGCTAGATTGTAGTTACTTACAGTTTTTCACTTTTCTAAGCAATGCTGAAAGGAACATTCGTTTAAAGATAGTTACCTTCTTTGTTTTTTCCTTGTAGATGTATAACAGAATAAGAATTTGGTTTCTTTCACTTAACAATTACATTCATGATAATAGTGATTGCGTTTAAATTATTTTTTGCTTTGATGATTGGTCTACCAGCAAATGTTCCCATAAAAATCTAAAAGTCATTTTAGGAGGGGAAACATAATATCACATTTTTTGAAAGAACAAGTTTGATATTATGTTTATCCTTTAAATCTCATACTTTTCTGATAAAATACCCTAATTATGAATATTTTCTCCTAAAAAAAACTAGAAAATAATGTTACCCATGATTAAATTATTTGTTCTGGTGTTATATGCATGCATGTTTGTGTGAGCATGTATAGCAGTAAGATCATTTGAATTACTGTGGCCCCAGTGGTAATAGGCAACACTACTCTTCCACTAAATCATAGAGAAACCTTTCAGAGAGTTTTGCATTTTGTTTGTCAAAGTTTAAGAAAAAGCTAATTTTGTGACAGAGTTGTAAGCTTTATTAAACTGAACAGATGAGGAGAAAGAAATGAAACTATTGAAAAACTCATTAAGGGTTGTAATTCTAGAGTATAGTATGGACAGTTTCCAAAAGAATAGTAGCTTTTATGTGCTCTGAAGAAGCATACTTTATGGGTGATGTCATGTGTTTTGACTCTGAAGCTATGAATGTCACTAAAACAGATAAGAAAAAAAATTACTTTTCCAGGGGTGATAATTTTTCCTTGCTCATAGTCAAATTATTCTGAGAGACAAAGAAGCTGAGTTCACTTTACTTAATTTGTAATTTGTAACAGTTTAGACAGAGGTTAATCTAAACTTTACTTCTACATTTATCTGTGCTAAGAAAAATTAAAAATTTGCTAATGTTAAAGTTGAATGGATTCAGAAAATACAATCCATTAATTCAGCAATTCTGTAATTAGTGCCTACTAGGAATCAGATGCTATTCCTGATGCTGGGCATACAATTATGAATAAAATCATTGAGGTCTCTACTTCCTTTGAGCTTACTGTTAGTGGAGGATAGAGATAATAATAAACGCGTTTCAATGAGAGAGCATCCCATGGTGAGATGACCATTGCTATGAAGCATATAACACAGGGCGGCATGACTGAAGGTGAATGGGTAGGGGTGGGGAGGAACTGCCTTAGCTGTGGTGGCCAGGTGTCACCTCTAAGGAAGTAACAGTCAAGATAAGAGCTGAATGAGGGATCACTGTGCAGACATCCGGTGACAGACTCTGCAGTACAAGGAACAGCAAATGAACAGTGCTGATTATGGGAACATGTTTGCTGTGTTGGAGGAAGACAAAGGTCAGCGTGGCTGAGGAAGTGAGGGAGGGAATGGTTGGTGAGGTTGGCATGACAGGAAGGGGGCCGTGGAGACTTGATAAGGAGTTTCCTAAAGCCGATTTCGAAGAGCTCTCCTTGGCAGCAACACCTTACTTGCCGACCTTACTGCTCTTGACAGAGTCTCTACTTGAACATAGAAAATGACAGAATTACCTTTGAATCCGGGCTTGTCAGTCATTCAGTCAGGTCTTCTCCCTAATCACCCTCAATTGTGAGGATCTGCGATGCTATGAAAGGCACGTGCCTGTTCCAATAATTACCAGTACATCTGTTTAATCACTTAAACATTTAAAGCCTGAGTTATTCATATGTTCATGTGACTTTATAAGCACATCGGGGACTTCTGAATATGAATTTATGTCCCATGTAAAGAACCAGTACACTCTCTCTACATGATGGGACGGGGTGACCATCAAACTGTGGAAAGTGGGTACGTTTTGACGTGAAATAAGAGTGATACTATTTCACTATAGTTTTCCTTTACTATCTGGTGTTCCAGAACATTCCTTCTTCGCCACCATAGCATGTGGCCCTATCAAAGCCCCTCTATCTTCTCAAGGCTCAGCAGTCTCAGGTATAGTAACCATTCTTTGTGTGACATATTTCGTCACCCTTCAGTGCTCTGATCACTCACTACTTTATTGGATGTTGTTGGTCATACAAATATGACCAAAAGTGATCTAACCAATCAAAAGTGGGTCAGATGGATGAAGAGTAAAGTAGAGCTTTATATTCTGGATGCTACATCCATTTTCACTATTTAAGGTCACCCTAGCTTTTTTGAAATCCACTTCACATTTTTTTTCCTTTCCAAGGAGAAATTTAAAATAATCATCTCTTTTAGTCTAAAAACAAAAACAGATACTGTTTATAAGCCTTTCTTCATAAAAAAAATTAGAGCTAGTAATTATTGAAATTGATAGTAGCAAAAGCCATAGCTACCATTTCATGTCTCCTGTTTATGTGCCATACAGTCACCTAGACCCTTGCATATGTCATTTCTGGTTGGCATGAGGCTTCTATCAAGTATTTATTATTATTCTCAGTCTACATATAAAACTGGAATTAAGAAGTTATGTAATCTCATTCAAATTTTCACTTCTGGTAATTAGCATATCCAGGTTTCAAACAAGATTTGTTTGGCTCAACAGCCCAAAGTTGTAATCACCTCACTCTCTAGCCCCATTTAAAATCCAAATAGCCACCACTGTACTGTATCCCAAGAGTTTTATGAATATGAGCTCAATTACTCCTCACCACAGCCTAATAAAAATGAGTGTTTTGTGCCTATGCAAAAAAAAAAAATGAAGATGAGAAGTTTTCTTCAGGACCTTACAATTTCAAGTGACAGAAAACCTAAGTTTTAATGGTTTAATGGTTCATATAAAGTCTAGGGGTGGGCCTGGCTTCAGTCATGCCTAAGCCTAAAGGAGATAATCTCCCTCTCTTCATCTCTTTACTGTATGTTTCTCTCTGTCAGCTACCTTCACACATAGCCTTCCCTGCAGAAGTAGCAGAATAGCTTCCAGCAGCTACAGGCTCACATCCTCTCTGGTCACCCTAGAAGACCAGCCATGCCTCTCTCCCTGTAGTTCCTACAGTTTCTGGAATTGAGTGTCATTTTCCTTGATTGGCTTGACCTGAAATACATGCTCCCCCTGGGGCAGGAAGATCAGCTCAATGCAACTCAAACCCCAAAAGAAGAGAAGTGGTACATTGTACCTTCCCCAAAAAGAAAGGGGGGTGACTATTGGCTGAGCAAAACAAACAAACAAAAAAATCTTTCTATGTGCCTCCAGTGCAATAGCAGTAAGTGGCATAGTCAGGACTCAGATCCAGATTCATAAGGCTCCAAAATACTTTCTCTTACCCTTTATGCTGTCTTTTATCTCCATATAATTGTCTTTTAAAATTCATTGTGAGACTGTGAAGCTCCTGTACTTCCGTTAAAAAAATTATTAAGGAAGTGATGTTCAAAAGCATCAGCATACTTGTGGTTAATCTCTTTTAAAATAGCAAGTCTATCAATGTACAGGTAAATACTATTTCTAGAAGCTAGAAACTCTGAACTTTAGGTAAGAAAATATAATGATTTCGTGTCTAATTTCATAGATATCTTTGCGTTAAGTAAAATGTCCCTCTTCATATCTCCAAAATAAAGGATATTTAGCATAGAATGGAATTTTTCTTACCTTATAAGACTGCACTATTTTCTGCCTTTTACACCAATGCAACTGGTCTTTATCAACAACTCACAATCTTTATTTCATTATCTTTGACCTCTGATTTAGAGGACAGTACTCTCCCCTTGGGAGAAATTAGGAAGCATATAAGCAGAAAGAAATCATGTAAACAATGGAAAGAGGACACTATTAGGAACCAAGAAACCAGGATCATGATCCCAATTTGACATTGGCTCCCTGTGAATAAGGGATGGCAAATGGGTTCTAACTTTCTGAGATGATCTCCAACAACCCTCTTATATAATCTCTTTAATGGCTGTTTTCATGCTGAATGCAATAGAGTTTTTCATATTAGCCAATAAAGCAAAACTCATTCACTCAGACAAAATGAATTGAGAATCTATGACAAGGTACTGTGGTAGATACAGTGAAGCTGCAAGATGCCTCCTCCTAGGAATTTGTTGTCATCCCCTAAAATGCATTGTCTAATATGTGTATGACACTGTGCTAGAAGCTGGGACTGTAGAGATGTAAAGAAAACTACTGGGGGCTTATACACTAGCTGGAGAGATGTAAGCAAAAAGAAAGATAAACACAACAAGGCAGCATATTTGATGTGTGATGTGCCATGTGAACAGGACAAACACCCACTTTAGAAATTCAGCTTCTAATGACCAGTGCAGATCTTTAGGGACTGTTCACACGTACATTGTAATATGTGTGGATCTCTTTGTGTCCATGGGTATCAGCATAGAGGTAAATGTAGGAGATCAAGGTAGGGACACAAGGACTAGATTGTCAACCAATTATATTCAAATCCAGAGTCATCTAAATAAAGAAAGAGATTGGGAAGCCCACCACAAACCAGAGAAATGGTTATATCTACCTATGTTAAAATGCAAAACAGGAGTCACTAGTTTGTATTGACATATGCTGTAAATGAAAAACACACCCTGAATTTCCCAGATTTAATATGAAAAAAATGCAAAATATCTCAATCATTTCTATACTGACTACATGTTGAAATGATACTATTTTGGATATACTGAACTAAATAAAACATAATTAAAGTTACTTATTTTTTAATGTGGCTTCCAGAACATTTAAAATTACATATATGGCTTATATGATATGGCTATTGGATGGCACTGGGTTTCCTGCTTTGGAACTGTGCAAATCATTTAACTGCTCTGATATTCATTTTTATCATCTGTAAAATGGGGATGAAAGTAGTGCTGTTCTCACAGATTTGTTCTTAGTGTTAAATCAAATAATACTTAATAAGTACTTACCAGTGCCCAGCTTACAGTTAGGATTCAATAAATGAGAGCAGTATGTTCATGATACAGACATAACATGTTGGTGCAGGACGATATAGCTTGTCCAATAAGTGTGGAATTAGATTAGCACTACTCCGCTTCCCATAATTTACTAGCCTTATGACCTTGGGCCAGTTACTTAACCTCTAAGTACCTCAGCCCCCACCTGCATATGAATTGGGTTTATTAAGAGATGCATCCCCATTGCTGTTCTTGGGATAATTAAATGAGATAATCCATGAAAGGTGCTTAGAACCTTCCTGGAGCAAAATGATGGAAAATTATATTTGTATTGTTGTTACTGCAATTGTTCATATTCAGAAGATATTTGCTTCTTTAAAAATTGTATTTCTATTTGTGTTTGTTACTGCTATGGACCGAATTTCTGCGTCTCTTTAAAATTCATGTGTTGAAACCTTAATCCCAAATGAAATGACATTTGGAGTTGGGGGCCTTTGAGAGGCAATAAGGATTAGATTAGATCAAGAGAGTAAAGCCCCGGTGATGGGATTAAGTGCCCTTATAAGGAGTTGAAGAGACCAGAGCTTTCTCGCTACCATGTGAGGACATAGCAAGAAGGTATCTCTCTGGAAACCAGGAAGAGAGCCCTCGCCAAAAACCTGACCACACTGTTACACTCTGATCCCAGATTTCTAGCCTCCAGAACTGTGAGAAAAAAAAAGTTTGTTTTTTAACACAGCCAGTCTATCGTAGTTTGTTAGAGCAGCCCAAAATAAAACAGTTGTTTTAGTTTAAAATTTTTAAAATTTAGTTCAATTTGTGTTTTTCCTGATATTTGCTTTCCTTTTTTTCTGATATTTTGTTTTAAATTCAGAAATTCTAAACCACTGTGTGTTATGAATTCCCATGTAGCTAAAGGCATGTGCTGGCTTTTAAAAGTCACTGCCCACCCCACCTCAATCACCTTCTTATTTGACATACAAACATTGTGGATTTTATCTTGCCCTGCTACCTGCTAGGAGATCGAGCAGAGCATTTGTTTTCTTACTACTGAATCCTTAATACTTAGCAACATGCCACCAAGTATTCACCAAAGGGTTCAATAAATTCATTGAATGAATGAGAAACCCGATATAAATACTTACTTGAAGAATAATAATGAAATCAAGTTTTAATATAGTTCTAATTAGGTTCTGCATTTAAAGCTCTTATGTGAATAAAATCCTTGAGAATTTGTGAATTTTTTAAATCATTGACTAGATTCTGGATAGCTGAAGTTAATGGATAAGTGAGGTTTTACTGTGGCTGATATTCGGAGGCATGAAGAAAATTTCACTGAATTGACCTTTTATTTCATCTTCAACTAAATGGAAAAAAGTCTGCTCCATATTATAGAGAGAACTGAGAGTGGTGCTCCTCAGCGGTGGGACTGCGTTGGTAATTTTCAAGGTGGACAGCAGTTTTAGAAACTCTAGGATGTTATATAGATAATTGTAGTCTTATAATTTATTGATTTATTCCCACACCCACACCCTACCCCAAAAAGCTATGGTCTAATAGGCTCTGCTTTGAAGAAAAGAGTGCAATATTTTCTGGACAGTTGTGCTCAGTGCTGCCATATGGACGACTGCACAATTTGTCCTCAATCCTCATGTCACAGGACAATCGGCTCAATCTCTAATGAAAATGTGATGTTTTTTCTATATATACTGAAAAGTACTGCTGATTTCAGTAGTAGAGAAATTATATGGTATATTATTACATGGTAAACTATTTGGTATGTAGTTAAAGAATAAAGAAAAGATACTTCCATTCCTTTCTAGTTCTGGGTGATAGAATAATTTCCAACTCATCAAAATTTCATTGTTAAACCTTACTATAGCCCTAGGCATGCATCTAAAACATATCAAGCCACTGTTGAATAGATTACTAGCCACAGTTTCCACTCTCATTTTTTCTTTTCAGGAAGGCATAGGATTTGGTTTGTAATTATTATATCCTTAGATACAGAAAATTAAAAAATAATATTTAAGAGATTATTCAGCAGTTGGGATTTTTAAGTAATAATTTAGCTTTAGTCTTTGAAAACATACTGAAATATAAAACATCACCAAATTAAAATTAAAATACCAGTATAGCATGTTAACCTAGATGATAGGAGTGTTTTATCACCAATGTGTATTCCTAGGTTAAATGTATAAAAATAATTGGTACTTCCCCATTCGTACCATATTCCCAGTATTAGTATTAGCCATTGCTTAATTTTTAATAGCTGAGCTTGGATTTATAAACTTCTGTTTAAAATTTTCATTGTTTTTTAAAAAGATAGTATCATCTGCTAGGATTTTTATGGTTTTGTGTTTTACATTTAAGTCTTTAATCCATCTTGGGTTAATTTTTGTGTAAGGTGAAGGAAGGGGTCCAGTTTCAGTTTTCTGCATATGGCTAGCCAGTTTTCCCAGCACTGTTCACTGAATAGATCCTTTCCCCATTGCTTGTTTTTGTCAGGTTTGTCGAAGATCAGATGGTTGTAGATGTATGGTATTATTATTTCTGAGGTCTCTGTTCAGGTCCATTGGTCTATATGTGTGTTATGGTACCAGTACCATGCTATTTTGGTTACTGTAGCCTTGTAGTATAGTTTGAAGTCAGGTGGCATGATGCCTCCAGCTTTGCTCTTTTTGCTTAGGATTTTCTTGGCTATATGGGGTTCTTTGATTCCATGTGAAATTTAAAATAGTTTTTTCTAATTCTGTGAAGAACGTCAATGGTAGTTTGATGGGAATAGTATTGAATCTCTAAATTACTTTGGGCAGTATGGCCATTTTCACGACATTGATTTTTCCTATCCATGAGGATGGAGTGTTTTTCCATTTGTTTGTGTCCTCTCTTACTTCCTTGAGAACTGGTTTGTAGTTCTCCTTGAAGAGGTCCTTCACATCCCTTGCTAGCTGTATTCCTAGGTATTTTATTCTCTTTGCAGTGATTGTGAATGGGAGTTCATTCATGATTTGGCTCTCTGCCTGCCAATTGTTGGTGTAAAGGAATGCTTGTGATTTTCACACATTGATTTTGTATCCTGAGACTTTGCTGAAGTTGCTTATCAGTTCAAGAAGTCTTTGGGGTGAGATGATGGGGTTTTCAAAATATAAAGACATGTCGTCTGCAAACAGTAACAACTTGACTTCCTCTCTTCCTATTTGAATAGCCTTTATTTCTTTCTCTTGCCTGATTGCCCTGGCCAAAACTTCCAATACTATGTTGAATAGGAGTGGTGAGAGAGGGCATCCCTGTGTACTGGTTTTCAAAGGGAATGCTTCCAGCTGTTGCCCATTCAATATGATATTGGCTGTGTGTTTGTCATCAGTAGCTCTTATTATTTTGAGATATGTGCCATAAATACCTAGTTTCTTGAGAGTTTTTACCATGAAGTGGTGTTGAATTTTATCGAAGCCTTTTTCTGCATCTATTGAGATAATCATGTGATTTTGTCTTTGGTTCTGTTTATGTGATGGATTACGTTTATTGATTTGCATATGTTGAACCAGCCTTGCATCCTAGGGATGAAGCCAAGACTTGATCATGGTGGGTAAGTTTTTTGATGTGCTGCTGGATTCAGTTTGCCAGTATTTTATTGATAATTTTCGCATCGATATTCATCAGGGATAATGGCCTGAAGTTTTCTTTTTTTCTTGTGTCTCTTCCCGGTTTTGGTGTCAGGACGGTACTGGCTTCATGAAATGAGTTAGGGGAGAGTCCCTCCTTTTCGATTGTTTGGAATAGTTTCAGAAGGAATGGTACCAGCTCCTCTTTGTACCTCTGATAGAATTCAGCTGTGAATCCGTCTGGTCCTGGGCTTTTTTTTCGTTGGTAGGCTATTAATTACTACCTCAATTTCATAGCTTATTACTGATCTATTCAGGGATTCGACTTCTTCCTGGTTTAGTCTTGATAGGGTGTATGCGTCCAGGAATTTATCCATTTCTTCTAGATTTTCTAGTTTATTTGCATAGAAGTGTTTATAGTATTCTCTGATGGTAATTTGTATTTCTGTGGGGTCAGTGGTGATATCCCCGTTATCATTTTTTATTGTGTCTATTTGATTCTTCTCATCTTCCCTCTTAGTCTAGCTATCGGTCTATCTATTTTGTTAATTTTTTCAAAGAAACACCTCCTGCATTAAGATTTTTTGGAGGGTTTTTCATGTCTCTATCTTCTTCTTTTCTGATCTTAGTTATTTCTTGTCTTCTGCTAGCTTTTGGATTAGTTTGCTTTTGCCTCTCTAGCTCTTTTATTTGTGACTTTAGGGTGTTGATCTGAGATCATTTTAGCTTTCTGATGTGGGCATTTGGTGCTATAAATCTCCCTCTTAACAGTGCTTTATCTGTGTCCCAGAGATTCTGGTACGTTGTATCTTTGTTCTCATTGGTTTCAAAGAACTTCATTTCTGCCTTAATTTCGTTATTTACTTAGGAGTCATTCAGGAACACGTTGTTCAATTTCCATGAAATTTTGTGGTTTTGAGTGAGTTTCTTAATCCTGAGTTCTAATTTCATGGCACTGTTGTACTGAGAGACTGTTTATTATAATTTCAGGTTTTTTTTTGCATTTTGCTGAGGATCATTTTACTTCCAACTATAAGGTTGATTTTAGAATAAGTGCCATGTGGTGCTGAGAACAATGTATACTCTGTTGATTTGGGGTAGAGAGTTCTGTAGATGTCTACTAAGTCTACTTGATCCAGAGCTGAATTCAAGTTCTGAATATCCTTGTTAATTTTCTGTCTCGTTGATCTGACTGATACTGACAGTGGGGCATTAAAGACTCCTACTATTATTGTGTGGGAGTCTAAGTCTCTTTATAGGTCTCTAAGAACTTGTTTTATAAATCTGGGTGTTCCTGTACTGGGTGCATATAATTTAGTATAATTAGCTTTTCTTGTTGAATTGTTCCCTTTACCATGTTATAATGCCCTTCTTTGTCTTTTTTGATCTTTGTTGGTTTAAAGTCTGTTTTATAAGAGACTAGGATTGCAACCCCTGCTTATTTCTTTGCTTTCCAAGGCAATTCCATTCAGGACATAGGCATGGGCAAAGACTTCATGACAAAAATGCCAAAAGCAATTGCAACAAAAGCCAAAATTGACAAATGGGGTCTCATTAAGCTAAAGAGCTTCTGCTCAGCAAAAGAAACTATCATCAGAGTTCACAGGCAACCTACAGAATGGGAGAAAATTTTTGAAATCTAGCCATCTGACAAAGGTCTGATATCCAAAATTTAAAAGGAACTTAAACATATTTACAAGAAAAAAACAAACAACTCCATCAAAACTGGATAAAGAATATGAACAGACACACTCAAAAGAAGACATTTACATGGTCAACAAACGTATGAAAAAAAGCTCAATATGACTGATCATCAGAGAAATGCAAATCAAAACCACGATGAGATACCATCTCATGCCAGTCAGAATTGATTATTAAAAATCTAGAAACAATAGATTCTAATGAGGCTGTGGAGAAATAGGAATGCTTTTACACTGTTGGTGAGAATGTAAATTAGTTCAACCATTGTGGAAGACAGTATGGCAATTCCTCAAGGATCTAGAACCAGAAATAACATTTGTTCCAGCAATCCCATTACTGGGTATATACCCAAAGGAATATAAATCATTCTTCTATAAAGATTCATGCACACATGTTTATTGCAGCACTATTTACAATATCAAAGACATGGAACCAACCCAAATGTCCATCAATGATAGACTGGATAAAGAAAATGTGGTACATATACACCATGGAATACTATGCAGCCATGAAAAGGAATGAGATCATGTCCTTTGCAGGGACATGGATGAAGCTGGAAGCCATCATCCTCAGCAAACTAACACAGGAACAGCGAACCAAACACCGCATGTTCTCATTCATAAGTGGGAGTTAAACAATGAGAACACAAGGACACAGGGAGGGTAACAACACCCACCAGGGATTGTTGGGGGTGGGGGGTGAGGGGCAGGAACTTAGAGGACGGATCAATAGGTGCAGCAAACCACCATGGCACACGTATACCTATGTAACAAACCTGCACGTTCTGCACATGTATCCCATTTTTTAAAGAAGATATATTAAAAAGGATAGTATCATCTGAAAAATTTAGTTACAAAATTCTTGTAGAAAATGTATATGTACACACACACATACCCCCCATATATATATACACCACACAGATATTAGCATTATGATAATTTAATATAAATCACAGTATTTAAGAACAAATATGAATAGTTTAGATATGACCCTGGGCAATAGGCATTAGGAATTCAAGGAGAGTTCTTCTTCTAGTGTTTCTAAATCCTTTGTCTAATGAGTCTACCAACAGAGCCATTTATTTACAGGGAATTAAATGGAAACTGCTAAAGCACTCCTGATAATCTCCACCTGCTGTCCTATTATTAAAGAGCCTTGGAGTACAGTGAAGTAGACAAACACACTCATCTTACGTATTTTATTTCTAGTATAACCTCATGGACTAGTGATACGTTTGCAGTCATTTAAGAGGCTTTATGTAGCATGAAATACCAAAGAAGAGTGAAATCTGAATCATTATAAAACAAACCACAATACAGAGGTGAAAAGTACCATGAGTCTTAGCAGCTTTATTGTAAGAGTCCATTCAAACATTAGCATTTTCACAGTGCCAGGTGAATCCATCTGCAGGATACTGAAGTATACTGTCTGGTGCCTGCAGTTTGAGAACTGCTCATTATTAACTGGGTCATGATTCAGGACAGCACCCCAGATGCACCACTTCCAGCTTGTGCTAAAAGACGACTAGCCTCATTACCATGCCTGTCTCCTATGCACGCTCTCACTTACTTACCAAGTCATCATTTTTACCATCATTTCCAACCATGTCCATCATCTGTTGCCTATTTTAGACCTTATTTACTTTTTAAGTATACTCTAGATGTCCACTTAATCAGATTCTATGTGAATGTAAATGTTAGGGGCAGAAATGAAAGGACATTCATACTAATTAATTCGCAGCTTAGCACTATTCGTACTGCGAGGCTTTAGAAAGAATTTCTAGGCATGGCAAATCATATCTTCCTACTCCTCTTCAAGTGCAAGAAAAATGCAGCTCCTCCTGGAGAACAGTGGCAAAAATGAAATGTTTGTGGAGCCAGGCTATGTCCTTTCTTAAAAACAAGTTGACTTTAATTTCGCCTGGGTTGGACATGCTGATTAACAGAAACAGTAACAAGACCAGGGCCTTACAATGTTTTTCAGACCCTACTATCTGCAGAGGGAAGCAAGAAGAACCCTTTCTTACTAGGCTATCAAATAGAGATTGGCTTTGTGAAAGTTTTCTTTTCCAGTCCAGGCAGATGAATGAGAGTGAAAAATATGAGGGTGATGAGAAGTGGTTTGTCTCCCCAACCCTGATACCCTCTAGAAATCTGCAAGGTGGACACTTGTGTTCAAATGTGGTTCATTAACAAATAAACTTGTAGTCTAAGAACATTGCTGTAACTCACTTCTACTTTTCTTTACAAGTTAAGGTGTGGAAATACCCTGGGGCTATCCTGTTTCATTACTTCTCTGAATCCACAGGGAACTTCTCCACTTAGAAATCAAATTTTTGAGGCCGGGTGCCGTGGCTCACGCCTGTAATCCCAGCACTTTGGGAGGCTGAGGCGAGCAGATCACAAGGTCAGGAGTCCGAGACCAGCCTGACCAACATGGTGAAACCCTTTCTCTACTAAAAATGCAAAAATTAGCCAGGCGTGGTGGTGTGTGCCTATAATCCCAACTTCTCAGGAGGCTGAGGCAAGAAAATTGCTTGAACCTGGGAGGCGGAGGTTGCAGCAAGCTGAGATAGCATCACTGCACTCCAGGCTGGGCAACAGAGCAAGACTCCATCTCAAAAAAAAAAAAACTAAAAAATCAAATTTTTGGCCAGCCACAGTGACTCATGCCTGCTATTACAGCTCTTTGGAAGGTTGAGGTGGGAGGATTGCTTAGGGCCAGGAGTTCAAGACCAGCCTGGGCAACATAGCAGGACTTCATCTTTACTGAAAAATACAAAAAGTAGCCAGGCATGGTGGTATGTGTCTGTACTCTCAGCTACTCTGGAGGCTGAAACAGGAAGATCACTTGAGAGGCTGAGTCTGCAGTGAGCCAAGATGGTGCCACTGAACTCCAATCTTGGCAACAGAGCAAGGCCTTGTCTCAAAAACCAAACCAAAACAGAAAAAACAAAGAAAGGAAACTGAATTTTTGTGATGACCTCTGGTGGAAGAAAACTTAATAAGCTTTTATCCCACCTTCAACATATTCCTTAAAAGACACATAGTTCATTCTTTCTGGTAGTTCTATTTGTTATAATGTTGTGTAATTTATAGCTGAAGACCATGTTTACAAATTTTGTGTATCATCATACATATCTCTTATTTCTAAAATAAATTAAAAGTCAAACGTTACTTTGAGGGCATCTCAAATTTTTGAGGCTAATCAGTTTGGTAACTTTTGGTAACTGAGGCTAATCTCTATTAGAATGCTTCACAAGAAATCATTAATCTACTTTATCTGATTTTTCTTTTAATATAAAGGGAAAATGGTCTGATGATATAAAAAGATCTGAAAGCAATGTATGAAGGGGAGGGAAGTATGGTAAAGTGCTGAAGAAGTCAGTGTCTGGGTTCTTACAGGACAAAATTCAAATCTCATCTCTGCCACTTACTAGTTATGTAACCGTGGGCAAGTTCCTCAACCTTGGTAATTTTCTATTGTTTATTCTGATCGATGGAAATACGAATAGCACCTCCCTTAGAGTCCACTGTGAGATTAACGAAGTCATGCATTTAAATCACTTACCATAATGCCTAGCACATTGTAAGAACACAATGAATTACAGTGATAGCAATGTCAATATCAATATACTTGTGTTCCTTGGTTAAAAGTCTGATAATGGGCACTATCTCTAAATCGCTTCTGTGTTTTCCTTGTAGCATACAAAGAAAAATACACTTCCAGAAGATCTTTCTCACATACATATCTGAAGAGTCATCGTATTTAATAACCTCCTTCGTTGTACACACCGAACGGCATATTCTTTGGGTGATAACAGCTTGCTGTGTGGGATTTGGGTCTCTTTTTGCCTTAGATGTTGGTCTGATACTAGCCCCACCCCCCAACAGCCGGGCTCCTGGCGGAGGTAGTGGGTGGAGCTAACGAGACATCTAGTACGGGGCTCACAGGTAACAGAACTCTGATCAGATCCGCCCCGGCTCCCACACAGCTATAAGGTTGCCTGCCTGCCTGCACAGAAATGACGAAGGACAAAAACAGCCCAGGGTAGGTGGGATCTATCAGCCTCCATCTGTTGTTACTTCCTGTGTTATGAAGAAAACGTTTCCTAGTTCCATTATAAAATAGCTCTCTGATTTCTGTGCAAGTGAGAAATCAAATCTTTGTGTTTATGGGACCAAACAGATGGATTTCTGTTGCCATTTGGTTCCTGGCGAAGTGGGACCGTGAACAAGGCAGACTGCCGAAAACATAGGTACTAAAGAAAGGGAAAACCCTTCTGATATGTTTGCTGTGCAGTATTCATTGCATACGATCCCTTTCAAAGTCATAGTTCTTCGTATTTTTAAATGCTGTTTTTCCTAATTTCAGCTCGGCACCACCTATCGTTTATGAACACAGTTTTATTGTTTGGTGTAAGCGGTTTTAAATGGCTTAGAGAGATAATCATAATTTGTATTCTCAATTAAAATATATTAAGCACATATATTTCAGTATGTTGTATTCAGCTTAAATATATTATTTAAAATAATCTAAAATTACTTGAAAAAAACAAAATCATGAAAAATGTTGTCTATATTATTCTGTGAATAATAGTTTCAACCACTTAATATTTTAAACTAATAATAGCATAGGTCTAGCAACAAAAAATAATTATTGGAAATTCTTACTTTCAGTTGTTACCGGCATAGACCTCATTACAGGAATAGGCCTCATTGCCCTTGGTAGATGACCAGGTGCTCTTTTAGAAAATCAGTTAAAACAAAAGTGCAGAAATCTACCACCCCCAGAAGCAAACTACCTTTACTCATGAATTCTCATTATTCCTGACTGTAAGAATGCATTTTCTTTTTCGTTATTTCTGTCAGGTATAGATAACATCATTGATGTTGTTAACATCATTTAAATTTCAAGATTATATTATGCTCTTATATAATTAAAGCTATTTTGTTCTCTGGTATAAAGTTTATAGGTGGGCAGGTAAGAAAAACACAATTTTTGAAAGTTGAGTACTTAACCAGATTACTTAATTAGCACCCTCTTCTGCCTGGCTTGACATTTATAGTTAATCATGAATTTGCATCTTGGAAGCCAGAAAACAACAATTATCTGGAAACTTAATTTAAAAAATATAAATTTTGCCTGACTTATATTTTAGGGGTTGAAATTGCCTTGTTAAGAATTAACCTCCCTCAGCTGATGTTACCCCTCTGATCACTTTTGACTCTTCGTTTAATTATAAGTAAATAACTTGCAGTGCTTCTTGCCTCCCTTCCATCAATATTTAAACAAGGAAAAGCATTCATAGCTGTGAGCCAAATGCAGCTAGCTACATAGAATATGGTTTAGTCACAGAACCAATAGAATTACCAGAAACCTCAGCAAGTTATTCCTTTAGAAGTAGTCCCAGATACAACACCACTTCTACTCAAAGCCAAAGTTATTGTTGAATGTAGGCTACACACTGTTCTGTATGCTTTGCCTGTGTTAACGGCATCATCACAACCACTCCTGCAAAGTTTGTATTGTTATAATTCCCATTGTAACTGATAGCATACTGAGATAAGAAAAGAGTAAGCAAATTATCCAGCTCCACGCAGCTAGTAAATGATGATGGTAGAGTCCACAGAAGCTTGGTAATAGATTTCTTAAAAATTAAAATAAATCCAATCCCAAATTACTTGTTTAAAATTCCTTTTACATTTCCTTCATTAGATATTCAAATTACAAAATATGTACATATTGATACAAATAAAAGAAAAATCTTAATGATGCCACATTAAGAGGATTTCTTTTACTTTTTTGTCTTTTAATTTTTTTTTGCTGTCCCTTGGAGTCAGTAGGGGCCACATCCCCTTTCTAATCCTACTCTCTGGGCATGGAGAGCACTTTCACATTTTTCTTCATGCTTGCCACATGTATGCTGTCTCACAGGCATGCACACTTTTAAACAAAAATAACAATATAAACATTACTCTGAAACTTGATATTTCATGAAGTCATATATCATAGTGCTTACTCCAGGCCAGTAAAGTTGTAGTTGAGCTTTGCATTGATGCATAATATTTCATGTGATGAATGAATCATAATTTATTCATGCAATGATGGATGTTCAGATAAGAGAATGATCAATTCCTTGAGTGTTTTAAATAGACACCTGACAGAAAGAGTGAAATGAGCTAGGTGCTTTTACCAAAGCTAAGGTCTGCTTATGAAGACGTTCCTCATAACGCTGCAATTTCTTAGTGATTAAGTGATCAAAATTATGTCTGGATGCCTCCCAAGTACACATTTCTTAAATTACTCCATATCACCTGAAAGAATGTGGTGAATCTTTTCATGTTTGTCCGTGTGCTATTTTCAGTTTAGATTCTTTGTAGCAAAGTGGAAGGAATTGGGTACATTTAATATTAAATTTTTGTTGTTGGAAAGGGAAAAAAACACTAAATTATTGCAGTTCTAAATTATGGTTTGAAAAGGAAAAGCAAAAGCTATCAAAATACGAAGCAGGAAAAGAGAGGCAGCTCTGAAATCAACACATTGCCTAGGACATTCTCCCTAAGAGTCTGCTCTTCTTGGCTGATGCAGCAGCAGTGCACTGTACACAACAAACTGCCAGTCCCAAACTCCTTGTAGTGCCAACTAGCATTCCAAGTAAAACAGAGCAGACCTTTTAAAGCCACCTAAGTATCTCTTGAGCATAGGAGTATGATTCCTTAAATGCTCTTATACTTTCATTTTACAGAGCTCTGAAAGAGGGTGCTTTTTTTTTTTTTAAGTTTTAGTTTTAAGGCAAAGCAAAGCTTTGGCACCGATTGATAATTTGCCTGTGCACCTCAGAAAAGTAATTCCTTTCTTAAGAACAAACAGCTTATCTAGTCATTCCCCTAACTTTTCTTGCTTCTAGAACTGAAGCAAATTTGCTAATTTTGTAGTATTCTGTAAAGCAGCAAACTGTGATATTCAGTGAAGTTCTCACTGCAAATTGGGAACCGAGAAAGGATATAACACATCCTTTGCACTCCTATAGAACCTATCAAGGCTAAAGATGTTGAGCCTGACTCTCTTAACAGCTCCAGTGTCTGAAATAAATATTCTAATGTCTAAATGAAATTGTGCTCATTCCCTCAGGGTTTAGTGTAAAACAATATGCTCTTGAGGTGAGGACAAGAAGGCCGTCACCTGAGCATGTGAGTTTTCATGTTGATACTCTGAACATTCCATTCTAGACTACCTGGAATCAAGGACCACATCTGAGTGTGTTATACTTGCAAACAGTTTGGCTTATTATCATTGCAATTGGAAATCTTACAAGCATATATACTGGCTCTAATATATATTTTATTTATACAGATGAATTATGCCCATTTAAAAACAAAAAAGTTATCTGTAGAATACATTATAGTTTTCATTCTTATACATGGATCAGAATAGAGTTAAGAATGTGTTCTTTTAGCTTTGCCATTTTAAGCAATTTTGTATATACATAATCATTCACTTGGAAGCCAGTTCAGTTTCAATTTATATAATGATTGTTTTTAATTTAGAATAACAGGAAATTTTCTTTTTTCTTTCAAATATTAGTTTTGATAATGTTGAAGTATGCTGGTTGAAAACTTTATGATTTTGAAATAGCGCAGAGACAGGCATTACGTTGCTTGATATAGTATAAGATTTTGATTGTTTTCTAGAACATCGTCTCTGTTGAGATTAGCAATAGAAGTTTTAAGTATTCTGCATATATTTCCAATTTGGTTCAACATACATTTCTTTAGCTTTTATTTTTTGCATGTCCCTTGACTTTTTTTAAAATAAGAATATTCAAAAATGAATAAAACATGATTCCTGCTCTCCAGAATTTTACAGGTTAGTGGGTGAGACTGAGAGTTACATGCTTAAAAACAAATGTGTGTAACAGCAGGAACGCTGCTACTGCTCAAACAGTAGGAAGTTAAAAACACGAGAACGTGAGATGATTTGGGGAGCGGGAGCATATTTGACTAAATGTCCACTGTGTGCTCAGTTTGGGGTCCCAGAGGCTAGCCGACATATTGTATGCAGGACACATGGAACATAGTCTAGCTCCTAACTCCATCTGCATTTGGTTTCTGTCTGGTAAGCTCATGTGTAATTACAGACTCAGGACAAAGAGGTGGTTAATTCTTCAATGGTAAATTAAATATGATACAAGATGGAAACCGAACTCCACAAATATCCAGAAGAGAAGCATGATATTAGCTGAAATTTTTATTCCATTGCATTTTCTTAAATCTGTGAAATCCATGTAAGTCTGAACTTAAAGACAGCACTATCTTTTAATTTAGCCTATAAAAATTTCAGCAAACCAAAATGTTTGTTAAAATAACCATTAACCACATATATATCCAAATATTCATTATATATATAAAATTTCTTTAAAATATCATGCTCAGAAATAGAGTAAGTTTTAATTAACAGGAAAATTGTTTCATATCTTGTTATCTTTACCAAAAATTAAAAATCACCACCAACAACATTCTGTATCTATGGATACCTTTTCTTTCTGTTACGTCAAAGTGCATCATGGAATTATTCTGAAAATAGGGCCACCTGCTCTATTTGATATTGGACTTTTAAAGAAACAAAAGTTTAACTTGGTCACCAATTTACTGTTCCTGGAATTGTACTTTATGAGAACATTTCAAATTAATTGCATCCTTAAACTGGGGTCACATTTGAAATCTTGTCCTTTGCTTTTTGTTGTTTGTTTTGAAACTTGTTGAAAATTCTTCCCAGGATTCTTTCTATGTGGAATCCAATTTACAGTACATTTTAAGGGCCTTTTTAAAAAACATAAAATGAAACATAGGCAATCCTTTAGTGGATCTGTCCTGTTTTAGGACTAAATTGATATCTTTTAATAGATGTAAGGCCTTTTGGATTATCTGCCCCGAACTTCTCCCACTATTGATAGGCATCTTGTACTAAGCCATAGCCATATATTGAAAATTGCCCCAAATGTGCTCTGCTCTTTCTCACCTCTTTGTTTTTGCACAAGCTTACCTCTGCCCAGGATGCCCTTTCTTGCATCGTAGAAGAATGTACAATGACTTCCTTGTACTACTTCCTCAAGTGCCTGGTCAGATGTGACTGCCCCTTGGAGATCTTTTCCATCTCCAGTGGTGCTGTGCACTTCGAGCTCACCCAGTTGGCTTTACTGCACATAATCACATTGGTGTCATCACATCACCCATGGATCTCTCTCTCCCTCACCTGGGAAGACTCTTCTTTGTATTCCCTGGGCTTAGCATGGTGCCTTGCCCTAAGTGTTGGGCTAACCAAAGGTAAAGTACATGGACCACTTTGAAAATGAAAAATATGTTTGATGATAGAATAGCTCTCAAATGCTTTAGTATATTTCCATCAATGTGAAGGCAGTTGAAATTGTCTGCTGGATTTCTTTGATCATGAACTATGAGCAGTAGGAATCATGTTGATTAAATTCTCTTTTTTCTTTCTCTGCCTGTGACCATGCCTTAATTCAGGCACTCATTATCTCTCACACAAACTATTTCAAGACTTTTCTAACTATTCCTCCTACCACCAGTTCCTTTTCCTGCCTTCTCTCCTATATGCCACTGCTAGAGCTAACTTCCCTCAAAATGTTTCTGATTGCATCACTCCTATTCTTAAACTCTCATGGTGGCATCCAATTATAATACATAGTCCAGGCCTTTCAGCCATAATTCAGGACCTGAGCCTGTAAGCACTGTAAGATGTGAGACATTGTCATGTTTTCCTCACTGTTATCCCCCCAGCATATAGCATAGTACTTGGCATAGCCTAGGTGCACAATGCACATGGGCTGAGTAGCCCATTTCATCAAATCTAAGATGGTGTGATCAGAAAACACACCATTATTTTACACACTGCTAAGAAAAAAACCTGCCAATTAAACTAAGGCACAAAGCATTCTTATTCTTTGAATTTTTATTTTATTCTTATTGAAAAACCATTTTTATACTTCAGGAAAAAAGATTTTATTATATGTCACTCTAATGCATAAATAAAAGGGAAACATAAGAAAAATACATTGGTTAAAGTAATTATTACAACTTTACATTTTAAGTTTGACCTTTATGAATCTCTTTCTACCTGCAAATCATTGAGATTTGTGTTTTTCCACACAGTATTCTCCATTTCATCAGGAGTATTAGAGTTGAAGCATTTCTTAAAAGAGTGATTTTAGGCAAGTGGGTTGCCTGACCTCAGGAGTTTGAGACCAGCCTGGGCAACATGGTGAAATCCTGTCTCTACTAAAATACAAAAAATTAGCCAGGCGTGGTGACATGCACCTGTAGTCCCAGCTACTCGGGAGGCTGAGGCAGGAGAATTGCTTGAAGCTGGGAAGGGGAAGTTGCAGTGAGCCAAGATGGCGCCACTGCACTCCAGCCTGGGAGACAGAGTGAGACTCTGTCTCAAAAAAAAAAAAAAGAAAAATTATATATGTATATATATAAAATTTAAAAAGTAATTTTATTTCAAGTTGCTGACACCTACTTTGCAAGTTTTGATGTCCATGTATAGGTAGTGACAACATCAAAACTGCTACCAACCCAACAGCATCTTCATTTCAGAGGTGTTAAAATGTTAAAAAATAATAATAACTAAAGTCCGTCTCAGAATTGATGATATTAATTGTCTTATTCGTGGAATCAATATATGGTATTTTTAGTCTGTCCCCAACATACTCTTCCAGTTTCCTCTTCCCACTACTCAATCCCTCACACTTTTACTCCAGACTATGAGATTTTGTGAACTGGGGCAGATGCTTTTTTGACTCTGTGTTGTTGCATTCATTCCAATGTAATTGCCATCTTCAAGCCTTTCTTACTTCCCCAGATGGACGGGGTCTCTTCCGCCTTGCCACCCTCTGAGCATTTTGTGTATACTTATTTGAATACTTCTGACAATTTTTAGTATGCATGTTGAAAGATAAGAACTAACACTATAGTACTTTTGTCTGTACCCTTGCTGCTTGCACACAGCTATTATTTGATAAAACTTGATTAAATATGGTTTGATATATTTCCTTCCTTTTATTTGCTTATGGAGTGGTTTAGAGTTCCAGAGTTGTCCAGGGAGGACTTCTGTTACTATTGCTTTTATATGACTTGGTGCCCTTGGTCAAGCATCATTTAACAAAGGATTTGTTATTTTGAGTTAGTCAGAATATTTAAGTTTTGTGTTGGCCAAGGCCCATGTCTTACAAAATAAACAAATAAAAAGCTCACTAACCCAATATTTTTGTGCATTTCATCAGGATTGAACAATCTATTTGATAAATGACAATTTATATCTTCACAATTTTTACACTAAAATCATCCCAGAGACCGGAACCTAAATAAGACAACTAAAAGCAATTATAGAACTTTCAGGAGCAAGTGTAAAGTCTCAGTTGAAATACTGTCTATTGATAAAAACATTAGCCAAGGTCAAATGCATGTCCTTTAAAACTGTCTTCTCATTTCATTACTGAGTGTTAAAATTAAGAGTCTGTGTCTGAATTCCTGATGTTAGTCATGAGTCATTCTATTTATAGATGTTAATGTAATTCTCAAAGAGTTGCCAACAAAGGAACAGGTGATGACCCCCTAGAGCAGTGTTACTGAAAATATTGTCAGTCCAATCAGTCACCTGGCATACTGGGCAGAAATGCAGTTACCTGGGGTCAGAGTCATACCTTTGGACTCTTTTGACTCCCAGGATTCTGAGTAATTCTTAAAGAAAAGGAAGTTTGAAAGTTTGTATTTTTAGATTATGATCCATTGAATCTGATACCATGAAAGATATATTTAGTGTTTTCCCAATAGACCTAGATTAATACCCAAATTCCAATAGAGCTCTTGCTTCTGGACTGTACAATTCAATGCTGTTTAGTCACATAATTCAAAAACTTTAAAAAATATTTTCTATAACATTTTTATAACTAGTTTTTCACTATTAAATTCTGTAAACTTAATGACATTTCACTTCAATCTATACAGGAAGTTAATAACTTTTCCTTTGAATAGATAGAAGAAAGAAATAAAAAGAGATCATTTTGTATTGTATGCTTTCCAGCGGAAATGATCTATGATATAGAATTAAATAAAAAACTTTTTAAAACAATTCTGAGTCACTGCAAGCACTCAGAGAGATGTGAGTCACCATAGGTCACCCAGAGGATGAAGATATAGCTGGGAACAGAACGAAGATACTGTCTTTCTGTCCCTTACCCACTTGCCTGCTTCCTCCAACAATTCAAATTCATTCATTGAGTCATATGACCGTCTCATAGTGTTGTTGTTTCCTGAATAGCTTTTTATTAAGGATTTTCTGGGCTTCTAGTATACTCCGCAGAAGCAGAATTAACATTATTTATCTTAAAAAAGCATTGGATTATTTACGAAATAAAAACAAAACTTGAAAAAATGATCAAATAATGGATTTTGATACATCTAGCACCATTGCCTTGTTTTATTTTTATTGATAAAATAAGTATGTTGGAAGTTATTTAATGCCATCAATGTAATTTGAAGAAGAAACAAATGGAATCTATCTTGATGAGCAACTATTGTGGGTTTTTTTTCTCCACACCATGATTTCACCTACATGTTTTCTTTGCAGCTTGCATAATCTATAGAATATCCATCCATGATAACATAACAATACATTGGCAGCTATTTGATTACCTTTTGAGCGTTGTTAATCCCTCTGCCCAGCTCTTCTTTGAACTGGTCATGAAATGAAACATTAAGTCCCATGTCAACCAAAGGAATGATAGATGGATGGAGACTCAGGAATCCAGGAGACCAAATAAAGAAACATGTGTGTGCATGTGTTTGTGTGTGTTGTATGTGTGTGTGTTCTTTCTGAAAATTCCAGTTGCATTTATTATTTGCATTGTACATAATAACACATCATCAAATTGACCTTTAATTAAGTGGCTAAGCCATCTGAGTGGCATTATTGTTTAGACAGTTCTCATCAAAATTTTTAGTAGTTCTCCATTTCTTGAGCTAGAATTTATTAGTTGAATGCCTACTTATCTATTAAAGACATTTGATAAATACCTCCAATGTGCCAGTCAGTGTGCCAATCACTGTGCTAGGTACTGGGATTCACTGGTGTGCACAATAATTACTTTGGATTAGGTCACCTTTTATTAAAAGATTAATGCTGTTGTCCCAGAAGTGGGTTAGTTAGTTGTCTTGGGATAGGTTTCTGATAAAAAGATGATTTTGGTCCCTTTCCCTGTGCTCTCTAATGTTTTCTTTACATTCTACCTTCTGTCATGGGATGATGCAGCAGGAAGGTCCTCACAAGTTGCTGGCACCTTGATATTGGACTTTCTAGTCTCCAGAACTTTGAGAAATAAATGTATTTCCTCTTTAAATTACCCAGACTGTGTTATTCTCTTATAGCAGCAAAAGCCAGACTAAGACAGAAAATTGGTACCAAGAGGTGGGGCTGTGCCATCATAACTACCTGAAAATGTGGAGGCACCTTTGGAACTGTGTGACAAATAGAGGCTGGAAGAATTCAGAGGAGCAGGCTAGAAAAGGCTAGATTACTGTAAATGGAGCATTAAGGACAATTCTGATGAAGGCATAGAAGACAGGAGCTATAGGGAAACCTAAATCTTCTTAGGGATTATTTAAGTGGTTGGTCTCAGAATGTTGGTAGAAATATAGACAGTAAATGCCATTCTGATGAGCTCCCAATTAGAAATGTAGAATAAGGTATTGGGAACTGAAGGAAAGGCCATCCTTCTTACAAAATGGCAAAGAAGTTGGCTGAATTGTGTCCGTGCCTGAGGACTATATGGAAGACAGAATTGAAGAGCAATAAACTAGGATATCTGGTGGAAGAAAATTTTTAAGTAAAATTTTGACAGAGCTGTGTAGCTGCTTTTAACTAGTTATAGTAAAATGCGAGTGGAGAGAAATGATTTAAAGACTGAGTTTATAGCTAAAAAATAAGAACAGAAAAATTTGGAAAACTCTCAGCCTGGCTGCATAAAGAATAAAAAAGCATGTTCAGGAGAGAATTCTAAGGGTCTGACCAAGCAACTGATCACTAAAGAGATTAATATGGATAGAAGGAAGCCAAGTTCTATTTATCAAGATAATGAGTGAATGACCCCAAAGGCATTTCAAAGATTTTTGAGGCAAGCTAGGAACTTGAGGGCCAGATTTCCAGAGAGGTTCCCTTAAAAGCTCAATATTTGCTGCCCAGGTCTGCCATGGGACTCTGCTCCCTGCATTCTGGTGCAGTGCTCTTTGGCTGCCCCAACTGTGGCTCAGTTGGGCCTAGATGTGGCTCAACCTGCTGCTCTGGAAGGTACAAGCTGTAAACCCTGGTGGGTGTCCACATGGTGCTAATTCTACAGACATGCAGATTACAAGAGCTGTGGAAGTTTGGCTCCCTCCACCAAGATTTCAAGGACTGTTGTGGATAGCCTAGTGGCCCAGGAAGAGATTTCTCACAGGAGTAGAGTTACTGCAGAGAGCCCCCATTAAAGCAATACCTAGTGGAGCCATGAGAGTGGGGCCACTTCCAAGATCTCAGAACTGTAGAGCTACCAGCTTGCAGCATCAGCCTGGGAGAACTGGAGGCATGAGACTCTAACCTAGGAGAGCTGCTGGGTGGACTGAGCCCAGCAGTCCCACAGGGGTGGGACTGCCTGAGGCCTTAGGAGCCCAATGCCTGCCTCAGTATGCCCAGGTTAATTCTGGAACTATGAGGCAATGTTGTTTTCCCTATTAGGTTTTGGACTTACTTGGGACTAGTTAGCCCTTTCTTCTTGCTTAGTCCTCCCTTTTAAAATGAGAATGTATACCCAATACCTGTCCTACCATTGTTTTTTGGAAGCATGTAATTTGCAGACTTCATAGGCTCATTGCTAGAGAGAAATTTATCTAAGGATGAATTATGCCTTGAGTCTCAGCCATATCTGATTTAGATGAGACTCTGGACTTTGGGCTTTTGAGTTGATGCTGGAATGAGTTAAGACTTTTGGGACTGCTGGGATGGAATGAATGTATTTTGCACTGTTAGAAGGACATAAATTTGGTGAGCCTGGAGTAGAATTCTGTGGTGTGAACATAGCCCCCAAAGTTCATGTGTTGGAAACTTAATCCCCAGTGCAACAGTGTTGGGAGATAGGGCCTAGTAAGAGGTGGTTATATCACCTCTTATTAAAGAATTAATGCTGTTATTGGGGAGTGGGCTAGTTATTGCGTTATTGGGTGCCTGATGAAAGGGTAAGTTTGGCCCCCTTCCCTGCCCTCTCTTATGTTTTCTTCCCCTTCTGCCTTCTGCCGTGGTATGACACAGCAAGAAGGCCCTCATAAGATGCTGGCACTGTGATTATTGGACTTCCCAGCCTCCAGAACTGTGAGGAATAAATTTATTTTTTTATTAAATATCCAGTCTGTATTTTTCCATTATAGCAATACAAAGCAGACAAAGACAAGCGCATTACCTATACATAAAGCCAGCATACTCTTATCTGAAAAAAAAAATAATTACTTCCTTCTAACTATCTAGCTTCTAGCACAGGTTAGGAAAAATCTTCTTTATTCCTGTCCCCATCTACAATAAGCTAACCATTATCTGTTCTATGCAGGAGCTCTTCATTAGAAGGAAGGCAGTCCTAAATCTTGAAAAGCCCAGGACATAGCATATCTGTTGTTCCTTTTGCTTAATATGTCTGTCATGATATAGCCTCATTTATAAATTTCTTGTGTTTCCTATTGCATCAGCTGCCACACTGTGTACTTATTCACTAATTTCGTAAAAGACACTCCTTATACTAAAGGCTGTCAGAAAGATGATACATGGTTAACTCTCATTTTTCATCAGGTGCCACAAGCCAGCACATGTTACAATCAAGGGAAGATGGAGCATCCATACGTTTCTCTTCCTCTGGCTATAGAGTTGACTGTTGACTGTCAACTCCTCACAGTCACTTATTCATTAATTCATTTACTTGTTTTAAAATAAAATGTTTTTTGAGTGCCTGCTTTGTGGAAGCACTGTGCTAGGTACAAGAGATGCAATAGTTGACAAGGCAGGGATGGTCCTAGCCTTAGGAATTTCAGTTTGTCACTTGCTACTCACGTTAAATTTACTTTTAACACCATTGCTCTCAATCACTGACTTCTAAGTTGACAGTTACCCAAAGAATAGATCACTGAGAATCTCTTTACACCTAGAAATATCTGTAAAGACTTACATTACACCATCGGAGTCTGCCCTATCCTTTAAAAGCTGCCTTTGTCAGTTTCCATGCACAGGATTAAGTGCCTTCATCTTTTTATATATGAGAAACATGACTCGCAATCTTATATTCTGCTTCCAATTATCTGAGGACTGCACAGAAGACAATGATGTGGATTCTAATGAGACACAAAGACCTGTGTTCTACTTCCTACTATTCCATTGCTTGGTACTTTGAAAGTATTTGCACCAAGTAAAGTGATGCCTTGGTTTCAGAAGCAGCTCTAATGGTGGCTAGGGGCTTAAAAGTCTCTAAAAGTGGCTGTGCCTCATGCCTGGGCAAAACCAGGTTCACTGCTGGTGAAACAATTTGTAGAATATTGTCATTTTATAAAAGTAAGTTAATAAGCATTCATCTGATGGTATGTTTCAAAAATTCTGGGCATGTTCTCCTTAACATGTCTCGTTAAGGAAAAGACTTTCTGTAAGGCAAAATCGTTCCCTGTACTGAGAATGTACTAGCCATGTACACTGGTCTAAGACAGATGACTGATGGATGAGCCAAAATCATAGACTAATATGAAAAGGATGTTTTACAGCTATTTATATACATATGTAATTACGTATAATTGGATGATATATTTCTATATTAGAAGTTATATATAAAGTGCAAGTAAGTTAATGGGCACGTGTATATTAAATTAAAATCTATATTAGTTATATATTTTATATTTATATATTTAAGACATGAAGAGCTGAACAAGCAGATGTTTAGCCTGAAGGAAAGAACACTAGGGGGACATAATAGCAAAGCACGTGTATTTGTGAATCTGTTTATTCAAGAGCAGTTAGATTTGTCCTGTATGGCCTCAAAAGCAAATTAGGGCTAGTGGTTTGAGATTACGGGAATGGATTTTAGCTCACTATGAAGAAAAATTTTCTCAAATTCAGATCTGGCTAGAGTAAGAGTAGTCTCCCCTGGGAGACGGTGAGTTCTCTTTCCTTAGATGTACTTAAATATAAAATAATTCTAGAGAGAAATTCACCAGGTTCAGTGGCTCATGCCTATAATCCCAGCACTTTAGGAGGCTGAGGTAGGTGGATCACTTGAGGTCAGGAGTTCGAGACCAGCCTGGCCAACATGGTGAAACCCCATCTCTACAAAAATACAAAAATTAGCCAGGCATGGTGGCGTGTACCTGTAATCCCAGCTACTCAGGAGGCAGGAGAATCACTTGAACCCAGGAGGTGAAGGTTACAGTGAGCAGAGATCACGCCACTGCATTCCAGCCTGGGCAATAGAGTGAGACTGTCTCAAAAATAAAAACAAATAAATAAAGGAATTTTGGAGAGGAATCAAGCATTGGGAATGCAGTTTAAATACATGGCCTTTAAAACTATTTTAAGCCTGGAAATACAGGATTCCTGCTGATTCTCAGTTTCTTTATTTGTAAATTGACAATAATATTACCTGTCTTGTCACCTGCAGATTGTTTTGCAGATCGGAACAGATAATATGCGCAGTGTCACAAAAATATAAGGAATGAGTGTTTCTATTGCACCAAAGGAAATTACTCATTAATGAGTGTGAATCAGATGTGACTAATACCACAGGTTATTCATTATCATCTATAAGAAACATTCAAATTAAAACACCTAAAGATGCAACATGAACTTGCATTTTTGAAACTATGTTTAGAGAAAAGGATCCTGACTCACTTTAAAGGGACTTGGATTACTAGTGAATTTATTTCCATTTTGTGTTTAATTTTAGTCATTTGTATTAATGTCTTCTTTTTCTAATATGTTTAAGATGATGGGTGACCTTACAGACTGGTTTTTGTTGGTTTATTGGTCTGTTGGTCTGTTTTGTATGTCTTACATTAAAGAAATTATGGAAAAGGATAATAATCTGTCCCAGAAAATCCTACCTCTGCAAATAATATAGCAGAATTAAAACCATTTAGAGAACTTAAGTTAGATTTCCCAGATTTATGTATTCACATTCCTATAATAGTTTTTATTAAACTTTAAAAGTTACAAGGTTTACCTGATTGTTATGCTTCAGGCAGCGCACAGATGTATACATGAGATATTATGTTGTTCCTCTTAATTGCTCTTTCTGCATTGAATATGTTAGTTTGTTTTTTCACCTCTGTTTAAATCATTACCCATTCATATACTCTACAATTCCTGGGTGAACTTTGGGAAAACACTTTGCTTCTCTGAATGAATAGCAAATGCAACACAAGACCTTGGATAAGCTATTTAAAAGTCAAATAAGAGCCTCTGAAGAATGAATCAGTCAGCAGAAACATTATCATGGTGAAAACATTTCCTACTTTTCTCAGCATCATCATTTATTTTGTTTTCCTAAAACTAATTAATATATTCAAAAGTCAACAAAATTTTACTTATTAATAATGTGCAATAAACAGAAACATTTGCCAGAAAGCACTGCATCAGGAGTTAGAAGACTTGGTTCTGATAGTTGCTAATTTTGTGACCTTGGGAGATGCATTCACTTCCCTGAACCACATTTTTTCTCATGTGTTCAAGAGAACAAATAATGATCAACCCACCATATCTTGAGGAAGGATCAGTGGGGACAATATAGATAAGTACACTTAAATTATTTCTGTAGTTCAGTAATAGTAAGTGAAACCACCTACATTCTTTCCAATAATAATAATACCTAACATTTTTATAATTCTTTATTACACCTCATTGTTTATTATTTCCATTTTATAGGTGAGAGATCTGAGGTTCAGAGGGTTTAAAATGATCTATCAATACCAGTAAATGGTTGACCCATAAGTCACCTCCACTCTTTTGAGTGAATACCTGTTTCCCTAAGCCCATATTTTATACACTTTGGAGAAACAGAACAGCAAGCCAAGGAGAACACAGAAAAAATTATGGGGAGAGAGGCTGGTTGTCAGCCTTAATAAAGCTCGATGCTCTCCTTACTTAAATGACTGTTTCATGTGACCTTCAACTACAATAGTATTCTAAGTGGAGTTAGGAAGAGATTTAATGGGAGGGGGGTTTATTGAATCCATTTTCAATGTAATGCATAAACATTTAGTTTTTCTCTGTTAAGTCAGGTATCAATCGAAGGCAGTATTTCTCAACATGTTAATAATTGTGCATGCCTCTCAAATAAGAAGAGTTCTTAGACATGTTTTTCATAATCTCCCCTTAATAAAATGTTAATAACACAAATATACTTCATGTCTGTTTATGTTCTTTGGCCCTTTGGAGTTCCAGAATCATTATGCTAAGATTTTTTCACCCCAAGACCTAATTTTGTATGATGAGAATACATGATGGAAGGCTGAGCAATGTATCTCTGCTTAGAGAAGTGGCATAGATGTTGGGAGCACAGCGAGGCTGTATCAGTCTGTCTTGATTCAAATCCTAGTTTAGCCACTTACCTGCTGTGTAACCTTGCTAAATTACATATCTGATCTTTGTCTAAACGAGCCTATCCGTGAAGTAGGGATTGTAAGAGCAGCAGCATCATATTGTTACTCATATAAAGTGCTTAGGACAACACTGGCATTTAGGAAGAGCTCAATAAATGCTTTTTTGCTATATTATGGAATCCTGATTTAGAAATAGGAAAACCTGAGCTCTAAGCCTGACTTATCTGTGTAGCACAGAGTCAATTATTGCTCAGAGCCTCAGTTTCTTCATAGATACATAACTGATTTCACTCAAAACTACAGATCGTTCCAATTGCAGAATGTAGTTATAGGGTCTCATCTATTTATCTCTACAGTTAAGTGAACTTACCTATTTTTTTCTGTTACTTATTTATTAATTTTATTTTAGCCTACGAATTTCTAAAAATCTCTGATTATATTCTCATAGTTTTGTCTTATTGTAGCCTAGTGACCTGAACCCAGAATCTTCATAGAAAGGTACTGTATTCCACAAATATTTCCTTTGGAATAATAATAGCAGTTAATGCTTTAAAAACATTTTCAAGCCCAATATTGCACTAATCCTCAAAACATCTTGTGATGGAGATATTTTTATTCTTATTTTGTGATGAGAAAACTGATACCATAGTTAATGGAGTGAAGTCAAGCTATGAGGAAGGAAATCCAAGTTGTCTATTCCTAGACCGAAAATATTAATTAATTAGATATGTGCATCTGTGAGAAGAGGCTTATTGCCCCCGTGACAATTTTTTGGCATTAAAAAATGCAAAAATTGAAACAAAGACATAAAGAAGAAACTATTCATTTCCTGACTTCTATTATGGTATTTTTTTTTCTCTTCCTCCTTGAGTGCAGGAGCTTTCGACGTGACAAATGTCAGCCTATCGCAGCTATCCTTAGGAGATATCCCCAGGTTGCTTGGCACTAGTGCAGTAGAAGTAGCAGTGAGACAGACTCTTGGCAGTCAGTCCATCTGCCTTTTCTGTTATTGACTTCATAGTTGTTGAGTGGCAGGTCTTACTTATCCTGTAGCTGGAAGAAATATTTTTTAAAAAACATTCATTTATTTGATGAGTATTTATTGAGCACGAAGCATATCTCGGGCTTCATTACGCAATAACCATGGACTGTCATCTCTTATCTGTTCCTTGTTCTGTATCACTGAGGATGGGCCTCTTCTCTGCTGTCACTACATTTATACTCATTCATTCATTCAATGAGCATTTATTGAGTAGTTACTATATGCTAGGTACTAGGGATAAAGTAGTAAGGAAAACAGTTTGATCAAAGTTCCTGCCCTCATTCCAGGAGGAAAGGGGAGATAAGCAAGGTACCTTAATATATAGAGTATGTTAAATAATTTTCAGTATTAAGGAGAAAAATAAAAAATGGAAGGGGGATGTAAAATGTTGGGTGGGGTGACATTTTAAATGATTGGCCATGGAAAGCCTCAATGTGAAGGTGATTTGGGATCGATACTGGAAGGAAGTGAGGGAGTTAGCTGTGGATGTCTGCGAGATGAGCATTCCCAGTGGAAGGAAAGTAGGTACAAAGGCCTGAAGTGGGGGCATGCCTGATGTGCTTGAAGGACAATGTGATTAAAGTGGTGTTATCAAGGTGGCAGGAGGGGTGGAGGAGTAATAGGAGTTGAGTTCAGAGAGGCAATAAGAGGTCAAACCATGTACAGCCTTGTAGTTCATTGCAGAGACTTTCGCTTTAACACTGATTGATATGGGAAGCCACTAGAGGTACTGAACAGAAGAGTGATGTGATCAGATTTACATGTTAACATGATCATTTTAGATGCAGTTTTAAGAGTAGACTAAGGCAAAGCAGAGAGACCAGGTAAGAGATGCTGTTGACTTGGGCTAGAGTAATGGTAGTGGGAGGATGAGAAGTCGTCAAATTATTGATAAATTTTGAAAGTATACCCTGCAAGATTTGATGAGGGACCAGTTGTGGAGTGTAAGAAAAAGAGAAAGAACAGGAATGATACCAGGGTTTTTGTTTTCAGTAACTAGAAGACTAGAGCTGTCATTAGCAATATGAGAAACATCATGACCTGTCAACATCCTTTCTCTTATATCACTAGATTTAGAGTGGATAACTTCACCAATTTGAACATAATGGCAGGATACTATTATAGTACTTTATCCAAGAGAGAATTCTGAGATTGGTTTCTATTCTTGAGTATTCCATGAACTAGCCGTATGATGTATGATTCAACCACTTACTGTAAGTCTCAAATTTATTCATTTGCAAATGAGACTGACTCAGACATTATCTTCTCTAAGAAGCCTTCTTTAATATCATTGTCCAAAGAGTATTCATCAATGTCTCTACTGACCTACTTCTATACCTTGTATAAACTTCTAATAGTCCACATATTTTGTGCTTGATATATCTGTTTTCCTTACTATACCATTTGGTCCTCAATTGAGTCTTATAAGTTTTTGCATCCTGTGTACAGCAACACATGATAGACACTTAAAATCTTACTTTAGATGATTTCTGAATTTAATGAAAAGATGAACATTTGTCATTGTTTCATGAAATTCAGTGTTCATAGTATAATTTTAGAAAATATTATAGAAGTAGGAAGGAAATATTAATATTATTGTTTTGAAATATGGATTATACCACCCAGAGTCACTTTTTTTGTGGGGAGAGTGTGGCAGACAAGAGGGACTTCTTTTTCAATGCCAATTCTTTTATCCCTAATAGTTTACATTAAACTAGTGTAGTTTGATCATGCTCGTGATTATTCTTCAGAAGTTAAACCTTTAACTTAGAAATCACATGGTTATCTTTGGATTTTTTTGCTCTCAATTCAAAAATTTACATCTTATAAACTTAATTTATAAGAATGTAATGTATTTCCAATCCAGTTTACATTTATTGACTTCCCCCCCAGAAGAAATACATTTTTATAATAAGTATAAATGTAGAAATAGAATAATGATGAAAGGCTCAAGGCCTGCCACTAAGAAAATCTACAGTTTGCATCATGTAATTTAGTTATACTGGAAAACACATACCACAGTGTTGCGTCATGGAAGAGCCTCAACAGATGTCATTTTTCTGTATACAGACAATATCCTCATAATGGATATTGAATACATGTAAATATATGCAAAATACAACCCTGATTAAGCATATTAAAATATAACTTATACTATTGATGGCTAATAGATATTTTTATTTGATATTGTACAGCTGATAAATGATGATACTTATTGATTACTTACAACATACCTGATATAGTACTTGGTATTTCATATTTGCATCTTTATTCCACAACACTATAAACTAAGGAGTATCCTTTCCAATTTTTAGTTAAAGAAAGTTGCTGCTAGTGATAATTTCAAGTTTTCAGCCCAAGTCTGTTCCCAAAGCCTGACATTTTTTTCACTTCCAAACTACCTTCCAGAGTATTTCATCCACTGTTGAGAGATGAGATGACCAAGACGTCTCAAGGTCAGGTCACCAGCTGAAATCCACTTTTCACTTACTTCCTTCATTCTGTCTAGTTTAGCAAACAACAAGCAATTATTATCATGTTCATGAAGAGTGGGCTTTTTTGTACTAATATTTTCAGGGCTAGTCTTGGTGATGGAAGCTGTATTCTGTGACTATATTGACTGAACTTGAATACTTGCTAACAAATATAGTAGTGGGATTCATCGGGTCTCAAAGTTGCTTTTACCCTATTTGCAAGTTAGCCTGTCACTGCTTCATGGATGACCACAAAGAGCTTTATTCCTGGTGGCTTGATAGGCAGCATGACCCTCAGCCTAAGTCCTTGCTTCTGGCCTCCATATCTCACAGGGATGATCTTGATGGAAGCTATACTTACAAAAGAATATTGAGCTTTAGAAATCCACTCATTTTATTGTAAGCAGTAAGCAAACCTGCTCTTTGTCTGGAAGGGTGACATTATCTCATTAATCAAGATTGTTCCTGGCAAATACACTCTGAGAAGTGGCCAGGGAAAGAAAAGCCAAGGCCTTACTTACATGCTTTGCACTCCTAATGAGATGTGTAGGAGCACAAGACATCCATGGAGGATATCTCTCCCCACTGGATTCTTGTATTTCTGAACTTCAAGAATCTAATCTTTCTTAGAGACAATGTTGACAAATTAGTAAAACCATAATTTCAAGTATCCAAATTGTACCAATGGAAGATAGTAACGTTTTGCTAATTATTTCTTTGTGTTTAGATATTAATCCCAAATGGCCTGGGTGATTAAATTAGGTTAAAGTATGAGGGAAAAGTATGTTTAGAGCTAGAAAGAGAGTGACAGAGATGGAGATGGATGGATAAATTTTTGATCCATTAGTCTGTGGTGGTAATGATTATGGGAATGAGACAGGAAGACAGGAAGATAAGTAGCATTGTGTATTTATTCATTCTTTATCTATTTAATGATAAATGTTTGTCCAACACCAGCCCCCATTCTAGGTCTTGGAGAGAACAGCCATGGACAAGACCAACAAGGTCTTCACCCTCAAGGAGCTTACATTTTAATGAGTATAGTAAGGAAACAAACATGCAAACAGTAAATAGGATCAGAAAGTGACAAGTGCTATGAAGAAAACTAAACAATTTTTGAGTTTACTTTAGTTACCATGTTCCCAGAAGACTTCTCTGAGGTGCCAACATTTGAGCGAGTATGTGATTATTAGAAGATAGCTATACATATACTACATCCACACACACACACAAAAAACAACAACACTTCAGGATGAGTAAGTATTCTGGGCCAAAGGAATACATAGTCAAAGACTGTAAAGCAGAAGTAAGCTGGGTATGTTTGAAGGAGAACAAGTATGTCAACGTGGTGGAAAGAGAGTGAACAAGGGTAAGATTAAGAGACCATGGAGAAAAAATATTAGTCAAGGGGATGGTCAGGTAGTATCTTTGGGGAAGTCATGGTAAGGAATTTTGTTTGTCACTGAAAGTTTTAAATTATGATGTGATATATTTGGATTTATGGTTAATATGGGCTACACTGGCTCCTTATGGCTTGGATTGTGGAACGGATTGCAGTTGGACAAGAAAGAACACAGAGAGTCTAATAATGTTTGCAGAACTTGAGCCAAGAGAAAGTACATTTTAGGGATTACTTCGTCATGAGAGACAAAAATATATTGAAGTTAGTTGAAACAGCAAAGAATTTATCGTAAGGAAGATAGCTCATGAAAATCAAGGGCAGAAAGGTAGTCAGTCGCCATAAGAAACTGACTACATATTCCTTTTGCCTAGAATACTTACTCATCCTGAAGTGTTGTTGTGGTCATTGTTTGTTTGTGTGTTGTTGTTGTTGTTGTTGTTGTTGTGTGTGTGTGTAGTATATGTATAGCTATCTTCTAATAATTACATATTCATTCAAATGTTAACACCTCAGAGAAGTCTTCTGTGAACATGATAACCAAAGTCAACAGAAAGCTATCAGGAACCAAGGGATTCATTCGTATTCATACTCTCTTTCTCGTCCTCTTTCCCTCCCTCCCTTCTTGCCTATAGACTTTCTCTGCTTTGGTAATCTATGGCCAACCAGAAGTTCTTCAGCTCCACTTTACGTAATTTCCCAGTTTGAATGCATGAGAATGGTTACATATCTTCTCTGAATCTATGTTCAAATTTCACTGAAGAAACTCTTCACTTGATTTGCCCTGGGCCATATGTCTACTTCTGATCCAATTGGTCAGAAATGAGCTGAGCTAGAATACTTAAATTGGGATGGCAGGAGCTGTGAGAGCACAGTTATACATACAAGAGCATGTACAGTATTGGCTTATAGCTCAATTAATTTCTGCCTCAGCTATAGAAATATAAAGGAACAAATGTGTTGGCTGTTAGTAGACTTGAATGCTTGGCTAGGGTTGACAGAAAGTAACAGGTTTTGAGTAAGCAGCACAATTTAGTCAAGTAAATGGGCAGCTTGTGATTAACAGTGTCAGTATCATGAGTTGTATAAATTAGGGATCCTCAAGGTCTCCCTTGGTGTTCCCACATGTAGAAAGGTTAAAACAAAAGTGATATTCAAAAACAGGCAACAGATATATCTTACGATATGTTGGTAAAGCCTGAAATAGGCATCTGGAGTGACAAGGGTAAAATCAGGTTGCAGTAATAAAGAAGTTGGTCAGACAGGTCTGTAGACCTCATTGAAGAAGGTGAGTTTAAGCAAAGGTGCAAATGAAGTGAAACAAAGGCATGAATGAAAGACACAAATGAATCTGCGAAACAGGTATCTGTGGGGGAAGCATTTTAGGCAGGGCAAGTAGGTAGAACAAAACCCCTTAGGTAGGAATATACTTGATCAGTTTGGGGAGCAGCAAAGAAGCCAGAGTGGCTACAGTGCAATGAGTTAGTGAAAGAATAGTAAGAAAGAAAGTCAGTGAGGTAATGGAGTTGGAGGAAGTATCTCGTGATTGGCCTGTAGGCTCCCTGGACTTTGGTTATTTTTCAGAGCAAAGGATAGTCATTGCAGGACTTTGAGCAGAAGACATCATCTGTAAATACTAAATTTTCTCATATAAACCTATTAAAAGTACATACATCCTATGAAGTTTGTATATTAAAAACCAGAAGATGCACTACCAGAAAAATATAATGGAAACCATTCTTCCAGTTATTTCCGTATTTTGAATGTAGAGCTAAGTTTTGGTGGCAGATTGGAGGTGAGTGTGAATAAAAGAAGGAAATCAAGAATAAGTCCGAGTATTTTGGCCTGAGCAACTGAAAAAATGGACTTGCCACCAACCAAGATGGGAAAGACTGGGGGGTAGAATAGTTGGAGGGAAATAAAAGTTTAGTTTGGACATGTGAACCTTGTGATGTCCTTTAGGTGTCCAAATGGAGATGCCAATAGGTTTTTGAGAATTTTGGAGAGATCTGGTCTGGAGATAGAAGTTTGGAAATTGTTTGCATATAAATGGTATTTAAAGCCATGGCTTCACTGAGGCAGTAAGTGTAGATAGAAAAGAGAAGGCCAAAGATTGCTCTGGGGCATCCAACATTAATAGGTCAGGGAGAAGAGGTGGATCTAGCAAAAGAGACTGAGAAGAAGTGATCAGTGAGGTATGAAAAGACATATGAGTGTGACATCTTAGACATTAAGTGAAGGAAGGGTATGAAGGAAGAGGGACTGATAAACTGTGCCATCTGCTAAGGTAAGCACTGATAACTGACCATTAGGTTTAGCAATGGTGATTGCTGACCATTGGAGGTCATTGCTGACCTTGATGTGGGCAGTTTTGGTGGTATGGTAAAGTGAAAACTTGACCAGGGTGGATTTAAAAGAGAATGAAAGAGAATTAGAGACAATAAATATGAGTCCATGCTTTTGAGGTGTTTTTTGGCAAAGGAGGCACAGAAATGGGACTGTAGTGGCTGGGGAAGTGGGATCAAAAGAAAGTATTTATGAGAGTAAAAACAGCATGTTTATATGCTGATATTAACAGTTTAGTAGAAAGGGAAGGGTGGATTATAGAGGAGAGAGGGGAAATTATTAGAGCAATGGGCTTGAATAGATGATAAGAAATATTATCTAGTACATAAGTAGACGATTAATAATTTTAATATTAATAATTAGCAATAATTTATCTGGGAAAGTGTTTCTCTATTAATTGCTTAGAGAGTTTTTCATCACTGCTCAAAAACCTTTTGTAGCAGCCCATTGCCTATTCAATCCAGCCTAGGAACCTCAGCCCAGCAGGCAAGATGGTTGTACTCTGACCTCAGTGTACCTTACTGGCTTCATTTCCTTCAGTTCTCCCTCCTGTGCCTAAGTTAAAGAACTTTCACATTAATCTTTGTTTCTTTGTGTATTGCATGCGATAGACTAGGTTATTCAGTAACCATAGACCTGGTGCTGAAGCTACAATACAGCTAGATTGCATTCTAGATTGTTCCCAATGTTGTTCCCATGTTCAAGGATCTCATGTATATAAGGCAGCATACCAAGCTAGTGCTTCTGATTTTAAAGTAATAAGAGATTTTTTTAAAATTTGCTCTGAAGGCAATTCTGAAAGATAAGTTTCAAAAATATTTGAAACAACAACATAATCACTGGGGCATTTTCACGCTACGTGCTTTTTTTTGGTCTTTACCATTTTATTTTGAAATAATTTTAGACTTAGAGGAAAGTTACAAAAGTAGTCACAGCATTGACGTATGTCCTTTACCCTGCTTCACCTAGTGTTAATATCTTACATTACCATAGTTCAATTATTGAAATCTGGAAATTGTTATCGATGAAATACTGTTAATTAATTTACCAACCCTAAGTAATTCCATTAGTTTTTCCACTACTGTCTTTTGTGTGGATTAGGATCTGATTCAGGATCAGTTTGTTGTTATGTCTCTTTAGTATCCCCTAATCTGTGTCAGTCTTTCCTTATCATCCATGACGTTCCCATTTTCAAAGAGTAAGGGTCAGTTATTTTAAAGAACGTTTGAGTGATGTTTCCACATCACGGGATTCAGGATATGTAGGAGAATACTCTCTGGAATATATGAGCCAGGATGCATTTGTGCAAAAAGTAGTAATATGTTATAGGCAAACAATATAATCTTAAAGACCACATTTTAACAGTTTGGGGCTGGTTTTTTTCCCCAGTTTAAATCTACTGAGGATTTCCTATTCACAAATAAAAAGGTGACTCAGTAAATCAAGCAAAAAATGCTTGAGAGTATGAAGTAAAAACATACTGTTACGTGCTTCAGGAAATACAAGGAAATATATGACATAATCCTTTACTTCAAATACTGTACAGTCAGGCTATGGTGACAAGACATAGAGAATATGTTCATTGTTAATGAATTTCTTCACTATTAAAATGTATATGCACAAAAGTTTAAATGAAAAGCATTTTAACAGACAAATTTACTGCTACAGTAAAAGGTATGTCTACATGCAGACAACTTGCTATCCCATGCTTAGGTAAAGGAAGAGACTTATGCAATTAAATTACATTATTCTGTCATCCGTGTCACTCCAGTCTTTTTTCTTTCTAATGTTAATATCCACACTTGCCCTCCATGTAAATATCAGTGTCCAGTGGTTCTATTTCTCAGGAATTTCTCTTTGTTAAGCCAGAGTAATCAGTAGTCTCACTCCCTATGGTCTTTTAGTCTGGACTACAGGTGACTAAATTTTTACAGCTGTTCTTCTTAACCTTATACTCTTGAGTTTTTTGTTTTGTTGGTTGTTTTTCCCTAACAGTAAGCCATGTTGCAAACTTCCTAACCAGTTTCTCCATCATTCTTTTTTTCCCCAGCATTACCCAAATTATACATTACTTGTATGTAGTATAAAATCTGCCTTTCACTGCCTTTCAGTTGAGTTTACCATAAAACGTTTGACTAGGAAGGATATAAAAATTTGTTTACACTATTTGGAAAAGGAGAGAAAATTCTCTGAATGGGGTAAGTGGATTCTTGGTTGGAAGCTCATGTTGGATAAAATGACCACTCAAGTGTTTTTTTCAGCTCTAAGTCAGGATGGAACTTAATGGCACAGCACAAATCGGCTGTTGCCACAACTGGGCAACTGGAAAATGCCTTTTGATGATGGTGATTAAATAAAGGTCAAAGAATATCACTGCATCCTAATGGTAGTCATCACACAACATCAGCCTTTCTCCTGGTGCCTTTGAAAATGTCACTTGAAAAGTCTAAAAAATGCTATGTGTTTTGTTTAGGCAGAAAATGCCCTCATTAAGTACCTCATGTTTTCGTTAGAAAAATCAAAGAAATGTTAGGGTTCTGAGTACTAGATTGTAGGTTTAAAAGAAAATTAAATGTAACCTTTTGTTATGTAAAATAATAAACTCCTAAAGTAACCATAAAGGCTTTATTTTTACACAAAGCGTATGTCTGTTTTCTAAAAGGCTCTAAAAAGAGCCATGTGATATGATCTCAAATCTATAGGATGAAAAAACCCACGTTACTGAAGTAGTAGTTAACCGTGAATAATTTCTAGTGGAAAGTGAAGATTTCTTAAGAGAGTTATTTTCATTTTTTAAGGTATGAACTTGAGCATTTGCGGTCTTGTCAGGGACAGTAGTTTTAGTTTTGCCTACTCAGTACTCTTAAGAAAAATCAGATACGGAGCCTCATTTTCTTTCATATTCTGTCTATTCCTCTTTTTTTTTTTGCCACCATTATAAGTACTATAGCCCTTATCAATGGAAGGCAGAAAGGATGTCCAATTTAAAAGCAAAAGTTTACTTAGTTGTACTATGCTATCATGAATCTAGTTATATATTATATATATTATATATAATATATGTATTGTATATTTATACACACACACACACACACACACACACACACACACACACACACAGTATTTCATGTAAATTTCATGCTAATGTTCCCTTAGGACTGACAATATGTGGACTACGTAATCTAAAGTTTTGTTTTTTTTTTTAATTTACCAGGTAAATTGACATCCCCATGTGACAGGGGTAAATCTTATTTCTCAAAGTATGCTTGGAAGTCATGAGCTTTCGAATGTCTGATCATGAACAGCAGCATACTACTGGATGTGTAGCTTCCAGTGTCTAGGAGGGTTTATGGTAATCTAAAGAAGCACATTTTAAAGAGATGCCTATGTACATTCAAGTATGAGAAGTATTTCTTTAGATTACAGTGTTTTGGGATACAAACACTGGAGGTGAATTACCTGAGAGTAATATATAAACTCCAATAATCTCAAGAAGGTATGTCAAGGGTAGACAAATGATAGCTGCAATTCTAAATCTGGCCTATTGACTATTTTTGTATGGCCTTCAACCTAAGAATAGTTTGTACTTTGTAAAAAGTTGAAAAAAAAACAAAAGAATATTTTGTGACACATGAAAACTACATAAAATTTAAATTTCTGTGTTCATAAATGAAGTTTTATTAGAACACAGCCATACTCATTTGTGTATTATCAATGGCTGCTTTTGTGCTACGTCAGCAGAGGTGAGTAGTTGTGACAGAGACCCCATGGTCTGCAAAGCTGAAAATATTTACTATCTATCCCTTTCCAGAAAAGCTTTTCCAACCCTTGAGCAAGATGATTTTATTCAATTACTTAGATTCTCTGTGCTTCAGTTTCTTCATCTGCAAAATGAAGATAATAAACTGTACCTATTTCATAGAATTTTTATAAGAGAATGAAGAGGCAGTATAGTGTAATGATCACAGACATAGATTCTGGAACCCAAACTGTCTGAGTTTAAATCTTGGTCCTCTGTTTAATAGCTTTTGGCCTAGGCAAGTTACATAACATTTCTGTGCCTGTTTCCTTATCTACAAAATAAGGAAAATATAGTACTAGTACCTACCTCATAGGATTTCTGTAAAATCAAATGAGTTAACATAGGTGACTCTTGTACAGTTGACCCTTGAACAGTGTAGGAGTTAGCGGTGCCAATCTCCCACACAGTCAAAATCCATGTAAGACTTTTGACTCCCCTTAAAACTTAACTAATAGCCTACTGCTGGCCAGAAGCCTTACTTATAACATAAATAGTCCATTACCACATATTTTGTACATTATATGTATTATATACTGTATTCTTACAATAAAGTAAGCTAAATGAAAGAAAAATGTTTACGAATATCTAAAAAAGAGAAAATATATTTAATATTTATTAAGTGGAAGTGGATCAACCTAAAGGTCTTCATCCTTGTCTTCACATTGAGTAGGCTGAGGAGGAGGAGGAAGAGGTGGGGTTGGTTTTACTGTCTCATGCGTGGCAGAGGCAGAAGAGGTGGAGGAGGTGGAAGGGGAGGCAGGAGAGGCAGGCATACTTGGTATAACTTTCTGGAAATATATCATAGTTTCTGTCTGATGTTTTTTACTTTTTCAGTCTCTAAAAATGTTTCTGTACTGTACTGTACCAATCCTTCTTCCACTGTTTGCTTTAGTTTCAGTGCCCATATCTTATGAGTCCATTTTGAAAATGAATCAAAGAAGTCTTGAATAATTGGAACCCTTCTGCCAGATTTTCTAATGTCAGTTTGTTTTCTGGCATTGCTTTTCTTATGCCTTCTTCCTCATTGTCTGGCACTGGTTCGAAAGCACTCATCTCCATCAAGTTGTCTTCTGTTAATTCCTGTCTTGTGGTATTGATTAGCTCTTTCATTTCTTCAAGATTCATCCCATGAAACCCTTTATTTCTCACCTTTCTTTTTTTGCCATATCCACAATCTCTTTCATGAGTTCTTTGATTGGCTCTGTCATAAATTCTATAGAGTTGTGCACACCCTCTGAACACAGTTTAATCCAGGATGAATTTCTTGCTTTGGGCTTTATGGCTTTCACAGCTTTTTCTATAACAATGATGGTAGCTTCAATGGTGCAGTCCTTCCGGATTTTCTTGACATTCTCTTTATCAGTTTTCTCTTGCATAACACTGACAACTCTTTCCATAGAGTACTGTGTGTAATGAAATTTAAAGGTCCTTATGACCTTCTGATCTAGAGGCTGAATTAGAGATGTTGTGTTTGGGAGCAAGTAGAGCATCTTCAGTTGAACTCATGGAGGTCTGGGTGGCCAGGAGCATTTTCCGATACCAAAAGAACTTTTAAAAAGCAGTCCCTTTCTGGCAAGATACTTCTTGAATTCAATAACTCAAAGCGTTGATGAACCCAATCAAGATAAAGGGTTATCGTTGTCCAGACCTTCCTGTTGTGCAGCCAAAAGACTGGTAGCTGATGTCTATCATTTCCCTTCAAGGTTCAGAGGTTAGCAGCTTTATAGATAAAGGCAGTCCTGATTATAAACCTGACTGCATTTCCACAAAATGGTAGAGTTAGCCTAACCCTTCCTGCCTTTAATCCTGGTGCTCACTTCTCTTTCTCACTAATAAATGTCCTTTGTGGCATTTTTCCCCCCAGAATAGGGCACTTTCATCTGCACTAAAAAAACTGTTCAGGCAGATATCCTTTCTCTAGTGATTTTCTTAATGGCGTCTGGGAACTTGTCTGCTGCCTGTTGGTCAGCAGAAGCTGTTTCTCCTGTTGTCCTGACATTTTAAAGCCAAACCTCTTGCTAAAATTATCAAACTGTCCTTTCCCGGCACCTCAGTTCTCCAACTTTAGATTCTTCACCCTCCTTTTCCTTTAATTTGTCATATAATGGCTTTTCTTTTTCTGGAATCCTATTTGAGTCTGTAGCTATGCCTTTCTTATAGCAATATTGTGCCCACATGAAAGCCTCGAGGCATTTTGCAAAGTGCAGTGTTTCTGTGTTTGCCAACAGAGCTGCAGCCACGACTACACAAATTTTCTTTTCTCTTTTCACAATGGTCCCTATGCTGGATTCACTTATCCTGAAATGGTGGGCAACCCAGCTGCAGACCTCAATCTACAGTACATATCAAGCAATTAAACTTCTCCTTGTAATGTCATGACTTTTCTCTGCTTCTTGGGAGCACTTCAGCATCACTAATTACACTTTATATGGGTCCTGTGGTGTTATTCACAGTTTACGGTATTGTACCAAACATGATGAAAAGTACACTAGAACCATGAGAAATCACTTTTTCCCTGTGACATGTAATTTACTGGAGAGACAGACTGCTCACACAGAGACGATTACCATCTCATGGTGTTTTAAGGCATACTCAATACTTGCAACACTTGAGCTCACCACAATAACAACAGGAGGTGGGTACAAAATTATTATAGTAGTACAGTACATACATGTATTACTGTTAATTTTATGCAGTTATGATTGAATACTGCATCTTTATGTTTGTTTACTTTTCTCTAGACTTTGAATGGCTCTGTGTAGGGTCTTCAAGTGTGTAAGTTTTAATAAATTTCAACTTTTATAATAGATGGTGTATATTTTATGGTAATAAATGATAAAATAGACTAGTATCTAAACATATTTTATGCATTTGTGACATACCTTTTTATTTTTTTCAATATTTCTAGGTTACAAAGTTCATCTACAAGTTTTTTTAAATTATCACAAATCTCCAAAATATTTTCCAGTACATTTATTTTTTAAAATTCACATGTACCTGGATTCTCACAGTTCAAATCCATGTTGTTCAAAGGTCATCTGTAGTGTCTGGCTTTAATAGTGTAATTTTTTTATTATTGGTGATAGTATTGTGATTGTTTTCATCTACCTCACAAGATTATTATAAGAATTAAATGTGATAATTCATGTGAAACTTAGGGCTCAATAAATATTAGCTGTTATTGTTTGTTATTGATGAGACACATTTCCAGCTGTAATGTACAGGTGTATCTGTGATTCTCATGTTGACTGGGGATTGGATGGCTGTCAGAATAAAAGGGAGTAAAAGGGAAGTAAATTTAAAGGCCTTCCATATGATTGATACAATATTTATTCCTACATTTAAAATCATCGGTGACACTGACCTTAACTTGACAGTAATTATTAACTAGTGCTAGTGTCCTTATTGACCTTGTTATATAAATAGTTGAGAATAGTTTATTATCAGTGTGCGAATTTTATGTAACTGGTCATTCTACAAAGATTGAGTGTGACTGAAGGAGTCCTTAACTTTTTGTGTTTATATCATTATTTCACAAAGCACACTATCCTTAATATATTAAAAAAAATAAACTGATAAGCCTTCTAGCCAAATTGCCGTGAATTCAAAATTACTGGAGTCAAAGTAGATTACTTTTTATTGTATTATATATTTTAGGCCATCTCAAATCACCAGAAGTTGACAAAGATTACATTTTAATTCACACTTGCAAAGTAGAATAAAAGGGCAATAAAAAAATCTCATGGTTGAATTCTTTTGTGTCAGAATAGTAAGTAAGGAAGTTCTTGGCAAAGAGAGTAACTATATAAAAAAGGATGAAGTGAAGTGCTTGGCTGGTAGAGAATTTTTTGTTTAGAGATAAATACTGGACTTAGTTAAATCCAGAAAAACAGAATATTTTAGGATGACAGTTGGGTAAGTTAGAGTGAGATGTCAATGCCTTTGAGGTAATCATTAAATTTAACATAATACGTATGATTAATTCTAAAAAATAATTTGTACTATTATTTAATTTTTCCTACTGCTTGCTTTTCATTATAAACCCATTATGAACTTTAGCAGTAAGAAAAGGTTTTCCTGCAAGCAAGATTTAAAAATTAGAATAGGTTTCTAAGAAAAATTGGACAGTGTGTATATACGTATATGTGATTGTGTGTGTATACTTTGTTATAAAGTAGGAAATTAAATTTAACTACATTTAAATAGTCTATGATAGTTTGTTTCTTATCCAATTCTCTTCCAGTCCCATACTTTTGATAATTCATAGATATCCTCCATTAAATACTATAGCAATTCAATACCCAGAGGAGAAAAAGTGTGACTTCCTCAGAGGAGAAAAAGTGTGACTTTTCAATAGGTTGTTTCACTTTTACAATTCCATCCTAACTAAATACTACATTAACATAAAAAACTACAACAACAATAATTAGCTTTTTGGATCTAAATATTGGCCTAAATATTTAGAATAATACAGTGTTAGTATCTGTCTTATATTGTCTGTTTCTCTAGGATTGTGCCTGTTTAAACTACTTTTGGAAATTAGTACCAACCTAATGCTGTTAATAATTATGCATGCCATCATGTCATGATACCTAATGGAATCATAAGTTAAAGTCTTTCATTCAATTCCCATTAACATAGTCTATGCACTGTCTCATCTACCTAATAAGTCTTTATTGCCTTCTGTAGTATAACTTTGGATTTTCTCTACTGCTAATAGGAAACAATTACTTCCACTAAATTCACTTACACTGTTGCATTGTATAATTCCAGAGAGCACTATTGCATCATTGCTCCCCACCCCAATCCCCCTGGTACTGTGCAGTACACAGCCTGCCTGACCATCCACAGCAGCCATGACATTGCTTTCTTTGCACAAGCACAGAGGAATACAATTTGAGGTATTTATGTTTACTATTTAGAGACAGACAATTAATTGACATAGGATTTACATAAACTAGCATTTTCATAAAGATCCAGAATTTGATAACATGACTTAGTTAATATAAATTTAATCAATATTCACATCTGTTTTATTCTTTGGCAGTTCATAGTTATTCCTAAAGTGGAAGCGGCACTTGGGAATATAAAGATTTGGACTTTATAATTTACTCTCCAAAAGATTATAGAGTTTTTACTTTGATTTAAGGAACAAACGTGAAAGACTTTACTGGAATGTAAATAGTTTTGGCATATTTACAGTGCAATGTTTTCAGTTGTGAAGTTGGTTAGTTATGTAGGCGGGAGCTGTAGGAGTTGTGATAGTCAGTATATTACAAGCATTTTGCAACTCCCTGATTTCTCTATGTTTTTAACAACTATGGTAGCAATGCCTCAAATTTCTGGGATCCTCTGTTACCCCACAGTGGTTCCAAAAGAACTGATTACTTTTTCATTAATCCTCAAGCTATATGTGATAAATAATTGGGAGGATGGAAAGATGATGGAAAAGAGGAAAAACCTTGAAAGATCAACTGATTTTGTTAATACCACACACCAATATGCAGACCCAGCTCTGATCTCTTTTTTTTCTGCATTGTGATATTTGTCCAATTATCTTGCTTCTAAAATTCAAACCTATTATAGCCATTTCATTTTCTGCATTTTTTCTCATTTCAGTGTAAAGGCCTTGTGGGAGAAGGTTTTACTTTAGTCTTTAACTTGGCATATGGAAAAATATTAACTGCTATGTGTATAATAATTCTCCTTTTTTTCCTTAAAATGCTATTTCCTTTGTACTACTAATGTACTTTGATTGGTTGACTGGATATTGAGTGTTAAACTATAGAAGTATTTCAGACCACTTGAGTGATAGCTTTGCTTCATTCTTTCGTGTGTTTCTATATGGTTTTATAAACTAGATAATGCTACACAATAAGGGTTTACTGTGAGCCCTCAGTAAACCCTTATTTTGTAGCATAGCAAAATGTGCTCCAACAATGGGGGAGGTATCTGGCTTTATGCATCCCTTCCGCCAATCACCAGCCATGTAAATTTATACAGTCACATAAGATTTCTGAGCCTTAAATTCCTCATAGAAATAAAAAATACCTGCCTTGCCTATCTCACAAAAGTTTGTGTGGATCAAATTATTTAATGTACATGAAAAAACTCTTTAGACCAATAAAATGTCATATGAATCCAAGGAAGAGAATGATTGAATACTTCTCAAATGAATTAAGGTGACAGTTATCATATAAAAACTTCATTGCTTCAGGTCACTGAGTAAAAATAAATTGGTAACTCTGACTCCTACGTAACTATCCCCAGCACTGTTAGGACAGTGTATGGCTTACCAAGTAAATAAAGAAAACCAGGTAATAGCTAGAACTAAGCAAGAATAATGAGGTGGATAACAGTAGCCTCTCATTTCTTTGAAAAATTTATGTTGTGCTGATCATAAGACAGGCAAGTGCTTTAGTAAAACATACTCAGATCTTAGAATCTTAAATAGTTGGGCCGTTGTCACACATAAGACCCTTAATGTTACAGACTGGAGATTGAATGGGAAGGCCTTACCATGAAGCTGTATAACATGGTTTTCTGCTACCTACTTAATTCGGCATGTTAAATTTAAACAAATAAGCTTTTAGAAAATCATACTAAAGAGTTTCAACAATAAAGAGAGGCTGACTCTCAGAAATATAAGACAACCAGATACAGAAGGCTTTTCAATATTGATTTTTTAAACATAAGAAAACTTTCTAAGGCCATATTAAATGGTTCTCCAATAAAGTGTTTTAATAGCTCCAGTAAGAACATCTGACTGGCTGCTTTCTATGTGAGCAGGACTTGATTGAAATTGAGGAAAAGATGAAGCATCTTTAAGCTAGAGAGCCCGGAGGGTAAATTATTAAAATGAGCTATGGAGAATTGGGGAGAGCTTGCACTCAAATTTAGTTTTTGAGAAGGAAAAGTACAAATCATTCTATACATGGACCAACTCAATTTTGCCACCTGTTACTTTAAAATTTTAACCTGTTTTACTTTGAAAACAATGCTAAAACATAACTTGATGGACTCATAGTTTGATTCCTACTAGGTCGATATTGTGTCTCAGAATTAAATTGTCCATTAATTTTTATTGTATTCTGTAGCATCTTCCACCTAATAGTGATGCAAATGAATTATGGGTAGATGAAGTAATTCTAATTTTCCTATATACTTATAATTCTCTTGGGCTTCCATGAGCAGAATATGTAAGATAATACATTTGAGATACTGTTATCAGAAAATTGGGGATAGGAGAGTACACATGAAAAAATGACATGTACATAGTATTCAAGGATGCCTTCATTCATTCATTAAACAGACATTTATTGGGTGCCAAATCTGAGACAGACCCCTTGCTGGTTTGCATTTAAATATATCGTGGGTATTTAATGAGGAAAAAGGTATGAAATTGCCAAAACAACTTAGAGTAAGTAACATCAAGCTGCCCTCATGGCCTTTCTATACTTCCGCATCTTGGTGGAGGAAGTATTAGTGATAGGGGCTGTGAAGGGCTGTGGTATGGGCATGCCTGCTCCAAGCCCCCAGATTATCTGGCAGAAAAGAACGAAGAGCAAGAATTAAAAGCCCTCCCCAAGGGATCCATTCAAGTAAATGTTTTAGCAATGAGTGAGTGAGATGATGAGGCAGTGTGGGATATTGGGAAGAACAAGAGTTAGGAACTGGGGGAAAAAAAAAAAAGGCTCAAATCCCATCCATGGCCCCTGCAAAGCTCTGTGATGTTGAGAGAGTTACATCGATTTTCTGAACGACTATTTCTTCATTATGAAATGGAGTTTAAAAAATACCTACTACTCAAGCTTGCACACAGTGTCCCGCATAGTTTTTGGCCCATGGTAAGTAATTAATAAATATGATGTAATTAATAAATATGACTTTCCTTATTACTGTATTGACACAACAATATCAGTAGTATAGTTTGATGAGCATCAGATATCCATAGACTTAAATAACAGACAAAATACATCTCCTTCATCTATCTTATTAACTGTAGAATTTCTTTTCACTCATTTTGATTCAAATTAAGTATGGACCATCTGTTCCAGGCTTCAAAAACTCTTTCAAATGAGCAGTGGTTTTACACATGTCATGATGTGTAAAAATTTAGATCAATTTTTTTAGTAATGAGTACAGAGTGTCTTACCAGATATCATTTCCTAAACACTTAGTTGTATGAGCTTTAAGTTACTATGAAGATAAAATAATCTTCACAGTTAATGACACCGAACATGTGAAAGTGCTTTGAAAATTGTCAGGCAATATCCTAGGTCACTTGGTCATCTGACTCCATAGGAAAATATGGCAGCAACAGCTTGCTCTAACCATTAGGGGAAAAGAAATACAATATACCAATAGGTATATTGGTATATTGGATATTGTAAAGCAAATATCATGCTTCACAGTAGTCAGCTGAGAATGATTCACAGGCAAGCTTTGACTTGAGGTTATGGGCATTTCTATACAAAAGAAAGTGTCAGTCAGTAGAGAGTTAGTAGCAATGAAAAGACAAAATGGCAACTTTGTGAGGGACGCTTGACCTCTAGTGCCATCTGGAGTGGGGGACAGGGTGGATATGACCATTTAAACATGATTGAATTTAGAAAGTATTTCCTGATAATGTCATTATTAGGAAATACTTTAATGTAGCCATTAAAACCATCCACTTAACTGGGCTCGGTGGCATGTACCTGTAATCCCAGCTGTTTGGGAAGCTGAGGCAGGAGGATTGCTTGAGCCTAGAAGTTTGAGGCAAGCCTGAGTGAGACCTCATCTCAAAGCAAACAAAAAATCCACTTAACCCCATCTGCACCAAGAAGTTTCCGATTATAATATAGTTATGAATTATTAGTTTGCATATGGTCCAATGAAGTATCTGGTCCACTTGAAAACATTTCTATTTATAAATTAATGACTTGGCATTGTGATCTTAATGTATTAGTCTTATGGTAATTTGATTATATGCAGATTTTCTCCCATGGATGAACAACCAAATTTCCAAGCCCACAGAGTTGAGGAACAGATTCTGAGAAATAGTGATGTCATTATAAGCTAAGGGAGACTATCTGGGGAACCAACCTCCCCCAGATAACCTTGCTGAAAACCTTCTCATTCAAAATGAAGCTATTATATCCTAGACTCAAATAAAATGATTGAATGTACATTTGATTTTGAAGAACTCAGCCCAAGGGAATTTGAATCACTTGTTAGTCTCTCACTCTGTTTGTAAAAATGTATGACTAGGAAATCTAGATTCCCTTGGGTATGGTGATGATTTCTGAGGTACAACACTAATGACATGATCCAAGGAAGAAAAAAAATGATAAGCTGAACTTTATTAAAATAGAAAAATGTCTGCTCTGTGAAAGACATTGTCAAGAGAATCAAAAGATGAGCCAAAGACTGGGAGAAAATATTTGCAAAAGACATACCTGGTAGAGGACCTTTATCCAAGATATGCAAAATGCTCTTAAAACTCAAGTATAAGGAAAAAATAGGACAACTATAGTTAACAATTATTGTTTATTTCAAAATAACAAAAAGAGTAGAATTGCAATGTTTCTACCATAAAGAAATGATAAATGCTTGAGGTGATGGATAGCCCAGTTGCCCTGAATTGATCATTACACATTGTATATGTGTACCAAAATATCACATGCGCTCCATAAACATGTATTAATACAACTATTATGTATTCATAATAATTAAAATCTTTTAAGAAAGCAAACAAAAGAAATAAAATAAACCAATTAAAAATGGGTCAAAGATCTTAACACCACACTAAATAAAATATACAGATGGCAAATAAGCATATGAAAAGACGCTTCATATCATATGTCATCAAGGAAATGCAAATTAAAATAATACTGAGATACCACTACACACCTATTAGAATGGCCAAAGTCCAGAACACTGACACTACCAAATGCTGACAAGGATGTGTGACAACAGGAACTCTCATTCATTGCTAATGGAAATGCAAAATGGTACAGCCACTTTGGGGGACAGTTTGGTGTTTTTTTAAAAACAAAAACAAAAACAAAAAAAAACTAAACATATACTTACCACATGACCCAGCAATCACACTCCTTGGTATTTATCCAAATGAATTCTCACAGAAACCTACCTACTGATATTTAAAGCAGCTATATTTATAATTATCAAAATTTGGAAGCAACCAAGATATCCTTCAGTAGATAAATGGATAAATAAACTGTAATACAGCCAAACAATGGAATATTACTCAGCACTAATAAAAGAGCTCTCGAGCCATGAAAAGATAGGGAGGAAACTTAAATTCATATTGCTAAAGAAGCCAATCTGAAAAGACTACCTACTGTATGATTGAAACTATATGACATTTGAAAAAGGTAAAACTATGGATACAACAAAAAAATCCATTGTTACCAGGGGTTCAAAGGAGAGAGAGATAAACAGGTAGAGCATGGATAATTTTTAGGGTAGTGAAAATACTCTGTATGATACTACAATGTTGGATACACATCACTATACATTCTTCCAAACCCATAGATGTTCAAGAGCAAGAGTGAATCCTAATGTAAACTATGGACTTTGCATTATTATGATGTGTTAGTATAAGTTTATCAAGTGTAACAAATGTAACATTCTTATCTCCCCCTAAATGTTCAGCCTCTTTAGTAGAAGAGCCATGCCTCACTTAGTTTTTGTTTTGTAGGACCTAGAGCAGAGCACTCAATAAATGTTTTTTAGTTCATTTATCAAATAGTTATTCCATTGATTAATCAAGCAAAAGAAAACTGTTCACCTATTTCAGAGTGTTAGTCTCAGCCATTTGTTTTATACATTTCAAAGAAATGTTACTTACCATATGGTCCAGCAATCTCATTACTAGGTATATAGGCAAAGGATGCGAAATCAGTATGTCAAAGAGATATCTGCACTTACATATTTAATATGGCACTATTTACAATAGCTAAGATATGATCTATCAATGGATGAATGGATGGAGAAAATGAGGTATATATACATGATGGAATACAATTCAGCCTTTAAAAAGAAGGAAATCCTGCTATTTGGGATAACATGGATGAACCTGGAGGACATTATGTTAAGTGAAATAAGCCAGGCACAAAAAGACAAATTTGCACAGTGTCACTGATATGTGGAACCTAAAAAAGTTGATCTCATAGGAGCAGAGAAAAGAATGGTGGTTACCAACAGCTGGGACAGAGGGGGTGGGGGTGGAGTTTGAGGAGATATTGTTCAAAGGATACAAATTTTTTATTAGACAGGAGGAGTAAGTTCAAGAGATCTATTGTACAACATGGTGACTATAATTAATAATATACTGTATTCTTAAAAATGCTAAGAGAGTAGATTATATGTGTTCTATTACAAAATCACGAGATATGTGAAGTAATACATGTGTTAATTCTCCTGATTTAGCCATTCCACAAGGTATAGTTGTTTTAAAACATCATGTAGTACATGGTAATTATGTAAAATTTTATCTGTGATTTTTTAAAAAATAAAATAAAACATTTTTAAAAGAAATGTTACATTACAACCTCTAATTGCTTCCACTTTTACATTTAGCTAATTTCACAAGCTGCACGCCATGTTTCAAATTGGTTTTCTTCTAGCAAATTGTGCATGTGTGTATTCTCTCAGATATGACCTTCCAGGTTTTAGAGTCCACTATGTCAAGAAGTAAGACATATTAAGGAATCTGATCTTGGTAAAAATTTCCAGAGTCTACCTACTTGTCTTTTCTAAATTTGTTTAATCAGATGGAATAAATTAGAGAAAAATACTGGTCGTTTTGTGAATTTTTAACAATTCCTTTGTCTTTTTTGCAGTATTTCAATTACATAAGTAGTAAAATTTGTGTTTATATGTTAAGTTGCCTGAAACTGTGGAAAATAGACCTATTTTTATTTATATTAAGAGTTTTTGAGATTTCTTGTTTCAATTTTCATTTATATTCCTGTTTAATTTACATGCATAAAATGACTCTTTTCGTCTTGTCATTTGTTATTTAGGAAGAAGTAAAATTTGTGGGTTTCCAGTATAGTACAGCAGTTAAATTCATATGCAGAGTAACTTACTGAAATGACAAGGTAGATGTTATTGTATTATAATAAGTTATAATAATTATATGGTAATAATACCTTCAACATCAATGTAGTTTTTAACCTGAAAAATTTTGAAGTTCAACGAAACAACAGCTTTGGGTAATAGTGGGTAAATATCCCAAATATTGTGAGGCCTTCCTTGAATATTAATCCAGACACTTTTTTTTTTTTTTTTTTTTGAGACAGTGTCTCACTCTGTCACCCAGGCTGGAGAGCAGTGGCAGGATCTCAGCTCACTGCAAACTTCACCTCCCGGGTTCAAGCGATTCTCCTGCTTCAGCCTCTGGAGTAGCTGGGATTACAGGTGTGTGCTACCACGCCCAGCTAATTTTTGTATTTTTAGTAGAGACGGGGTTTCACCATGTTGGCCAGGCTAGTCTCGAACTCCTGACCTCAGGTGATCTGCCCGCCTCGGCCTCCCAAAGTTCTGGGATTACAGATGTGAGCCACCACTCCCTGATCTAAACCAGGTATTTCTTTTTTTTTTTTTTTTATGCTGTTTATTTTTTAATTTTTATGGATACATAACAATTGTACATATTTATGGGATACATGTGATATTTTGTTTTTTTTATTATACTTTAAATTTTAGGGTACATGTGCACATTGTGCAGGTTAGTTACATATGTATACATGTGCCATGCTGGTGCGCTGCACCCACTAACTCGTCATCTAGCATTAGGTATATCTCCCGATGCTATCCCTCCCCACCCCCCAACCCCACAACAGTCCCCAGAGTGTGATATTCCCCTTCCTGTGTCCATGTGATCTCATTGTTCAATTCCCACCTATGAGTGAGAATATGCGGTGTTTGGTTTTTTGTTCTTGCGATAGTTTACTGAGAATGATGATTTCCAATTTCATCCATGTCCCTACAAAGGACATGAACTCATCATTTTTTCTGGCTGCATAGTATTCCATGGTGTATATGTGCCACATTTTCTTAATCCAGTCTATCATTGTTGGACATTTGGGTTGGTTCCAAGTCTTTGCTATTGTGAATAATGCCGCAATAAACATACGTATGCATGTGTCTTTAGAGCAGCATGATTTATAGTCCTTTGGGTATATACCCAGTAATGGGATGGCTGGGTCAAATGGTATTTCCAGTTCTAGATCCCTGAGGAATCGCCACACTGACTTCCACAATGGTTGAACTAGTTTACAGTCCCACCAACAGTGTAAAAGTTTTCCTATTTCTCCACATCCTCTCCAGCACCTCTTGTTTCCTGACTTTTTAATGATTGCCATTCTAACTGGTGTGAGATGGTATCTCATTGTGGTTTTGATTTGCATTTCTCTGATGGCCAGTGATGATGAGCATTTTTTCATGTGTTTTTTGGCTGCATAAATGTCTTCTTTTGAGAAGTGTCTGTTCATGTCCTTCGCCCACTTTTTGATGGGGTTGTTTGTTTTTTTCTTGTAAATTTGTTTGAGTTCATTGTAGATTCTGGATATTAGCCCTTTGTCAGATGAGTAGGTTGCGAAAATTTTCTCCCATTTTGTAGGTTGCCTGTTCACTCTGATGGTAGTTTCTTTTGCTGTGCAGAAGCTTTTTAGTTTAATTAGATCCCATTTGTCAATTTTGTCTTTTGTTGCCATTGCTTTTGGTGTTTTAGACATGAAGTCCTTGCCCATGGCTATGTCCTGAATGGTAATGCCTAGATTTTATTCTAGGGATTTTATGGTTTTAGGTCTAACATTTAAGTCTTTAATCCATCTTGAATTGATTTTTGTATAAGGTGTAAGGAAGGGATCCAGTTTCAGCTTTCTACATATGGCTAGCCAGTTTTCCCAGCACCATTTATTAAATAGGGAATCCTTTCCCCATTGCTTGTTTTTCTCAGGTTTGTCAAAGATCAGATAGTTGTAGTTATGTGGCATTATTTCTGAGGGCTCTGTTCTGTTCCATTGATCTATATCTCTGTTTTGGTACCAGTACCATGCTGTTTTGGTTACTGTAGCCTTGTAGTATAGTTTGAAGTCAGGTAGTGTGATACCTCCAGCTTTGTTCTTTTGGCTTAGTATTGACTTGGGGATGCGGGCTCTTTTTTGGTTCCATATGAACTTTAAAGTAGTTTTTTCCAATTCTGTGAAGAAAGTCATTGGTAGCTTGATAGGGATGGCATTGAATCTGTAAATTACCTTGGGCAGTATGGCCATTTTCACGATATTGATTCTTCCTACCCATGAGCATGGAATGTTCTTCCATTTCTTTGTATCCTCTTTTATTTCCTTGAGCAGTGGTTTGTAGTTCTCCTTGAAGAGGTCCTTCACATCCCTTGTAAGTTGGATTCCTAGGTATTTTATTCTCTTTGAAGCAATTGTGAATGGGAGTTCACTCATGATTTGGCTCTCTGTTTGTCTGTTGTTGGTGTATAAGAATGCTTGTGATTTTTGTACATTGATTTTGTATCCTGAGACTTTGCTGAAGTTGCTTAACCAGGTATTTCTAATGCTGCTGTGTGATTTGGCAGAGACGGGATAAGCCCTGAGAGAGCACACCCCAGCAGTACCCTCACTTGGGTGAGTTTGAGCAATTGCCAGGAAAGCTCAGCATTGTAAGTTTTCCCAGGAGATAGATTTCCTTTAATAACTATGATATGTGCCAAAAATACAAACATTTGATATTAGTGTATCTGACATATATCATATCTTATATGTAGTAGATACTAAGTAAATATTTATTGGTTGCTTGATTTTGCCATTTTGAGGACTGTATTGATATGTTTGGAATATTAAATAAATTAGTGATGATATAGACAACACAAAATATTTATATGTATTAAGGGAATTGTTCTGATATGGTTTTTAAAAAAATTTCAAAAACTATTTCATTTTTTGAAATAGTCTTCTGTACTTATCATGTTTAGTTTTATGAAAAATACTTGCATTCTGTTGGCTTGAGTTTTGTGGGCTTTATTAACAAGGGATTCTTAGTCCTTTTATGTGCTGTGATTTTGGGAAAATAATTTAACCTTTTCTACTGCATATATTTCTCACCTATCACATAACTTTTTTCCTGTACATAAGGTGATCATATAATTTTTGTCCAGATTGAAATAGTTCAGAGAGAATGAAGTATTATTAAAAATTATACCAGGACAACTGGCTTAAATTAAACCATCCCAGGCAAATTGGAATGTGGGATCACCCAACCATAGCCCCATTTTCATTAAATACCACAAATCTTTATTGAGTACTGTTATTTCCAAGACATTGTGTTTCAGACCACAGATTTTTAAAAAGGAATACCTTTCCCCTTCACCAGCCATCTTCGCCACCAGCCAGCAGTGTTCTGCTTTGATGTAGTATTTTATTTGTTTTTCTTTCAACAATACGTTACCTGCTTAAAGTATTTGAAAGCCACTGATGGATTAGAGTGCAGGAATATGGTCAGTGTCATGAGAGAGATTTAAAATGCTATGATAAACAGAGGTAAAGGAAAGCATGTCTTGTGGAAGGTAGGAGGATGCGGTATTTGATTGATTGATTGATTGATTGATTGATTTTTGAGATGGAGTCTCACTCTGCTGCCTAGGCTGGAGTGCAGCAGCATGATCTTGGCTCACTGCAACCTCCGTCTCCCAGGTTCAAGCTATTCTCCTGCCTCAGCCTCCCTAGTAGCTGGGACTACAGGCCTGCGCCACCACACCCAGCTAATTTTGTGTGTGCATATTTTTAGGGAAGATGGGGTTTCACCATATTGGCCAGACTGATCTCGAACCCCCAATCTCAAATGATCCTCCTGCCTCGGTCTCCCAAAGTGCTGAGATTACAGGAATGAGCCACTGAACCCAGCTGGATGCACTATTTTAAAAGAGTGCTTTTTAGGATGATCCTTGAGGGATGGTGAGAAGGACTGAAGATGGAAATGTAAGTGGGCAAGCACCCCGGGGAAATATCTCTGGCCAAGAGTAAGCCTTCTATTCTGTCACCTTGGCTTGGAAAGCACAAGAGAAGGATAAGATGGATTTGGCGTGTTTAGCGTGTGTGGAGGGGGGAGCTGTAGGAGATAATGCCCTATAGCATTATGGAGGGTTGGTGAGCCAATCTGAGGGATATATACATTTATATATTTATATGATTTATTTGTTATTAAACAAATGATAGTGCTCAGCCCCTTCGCTTGTCCTGGGTGTCCTATCTGCCTTTATACTGACTAGTGTAATCTCAATCTGGGGTTATCATTCATTTCCCTCTGCTCTTTTCAGATCTGCTTCCTCGACGCTCCGCTCAATATGCAGGCATCCTGATTTCTACTGACTTGCAATGTGATAGTCACAGACTTTCTCTTGTCTGCCTCCTTTCTGGGAGGAGTTATCTCTGCCAATCTTACTTAGATACTGGCCTTGCTTTCCTTTCTTTTTCATTTTCTTCTGACTTCTAATTTATCTTTGTTCTTCCATGAGTATTCCTCTCAACAGTTTTTAGTTGACATTTTATTTCATTTAACACACCTGTAATTAATATGTATGTGCAGACAAACATATTCATTTGCCTACAGACAAACACATACATATACCCATACACCAGTGTGAGCATGTTGTTTTTCCTTGTTTTTAAGTAACCTTTATTTTCACATTTTAACTAATCTGAAATAGAACTCTTTTAACCAATACATACCATTAATGTGGTGATATATCTCATCTTCCTAATCCCCATAAAAACTTCCTATATGATCTGTGGCATTTTAGAAGTGTGCAAATATTGGTAGTGTGAAATTTCTAGTTTTCAAGCCTGTGAAAGCAAGCAGTGGCTAGTTGAATTATGTGTCACACACTTTGATACACTTCTGCCGGGTGAGGACCAGCAATATGGTGGTTAGAAGAACCACCTCCAGGGGCACATGGTCTGCTCCTAATGTGTGTGACTTCTGGCAATTGTGTCAACCTCATGTGCTTCATTTCTTTCCTGTAAAATGAAGCTAGGAATGAGAAATTCATAGGTATCAATTGAGGTGGTTTACGTGAGTGTTTAGATCAATGCTTAACACATGCTAAGTTATCTTTGTCACCTTTAGTATGTTACCTCTCAATTTAACAATGAAAAATAAATGAAAAAAACAAAAGTGATATAAAATGCTATCTGGCTATATTTTATTGGACACACCAGAGGTTCTCAAACTTTCTGGGTTTATCCTTATCTCAGAATTTTGTATGGGGCCCCCAAACTAAAATAAATACCTAACATTTTGTGTATGAAATAATTAGGTCCAGACAACTGAAAGATAACTTTTGCCTGATGTCCATCTGATATCAATGTGTTTTCTTTGAAAATTTAAAATTCCCCTGATACCCTGAGGTGCCTGGGTCACAGTTTGGGAATGACAGAGGAACTCATTTGTTCAGCTCTTACTTTCTGACTGCTATTTAACTCATCCAACTTTCAGCAAGTGCTATGTGTTGCTAATTCATGACTTCCCTGTCTCCAAAACATTTTGATCTCTTTAGATAGTTAGCTCAGAAGGCCCTCAGATGAAAACTTTAAAAAGAAAGCTAAAACTTCGGGTAAAGTGTTGTTTTGTGTCCAATAGCCTCAGAGAATCTAAAGCAAAATGGGAGGAAAATAAGAGACTAAATTCTCAGTGTGTTCACTATATCAGTTACAGTTGCCCTTAAAACCTGGGAATACCTGCTTTTATGGTTCTCTGAGGTTCTTTGGCAGGCGTACCAAGTAGGAGCTACTTGAAGGTCACCTGCACAATGATGTGTGTAAAAGGAATGTCTTATGTTTACCATTCCCCCCTCCAGGCTCTGGAAACAGACAGCAATATAACATTAACATTGTCTGCTTACTGTCTTTCAGATCCTTTACAAGCTTTTAAGTTACTGTCTACAGGTATTTGGGGTATAAGAAGCTGATTAGGTCTTTGGGATAAGAAGCTATGCCTCATACACCTTAAACTCTCAGGCCAATTAACCTCTCAAATAGTATATGTTCCATATTAATGCTTACCAAATTGTGTTAAGACTTCAACGAACTTTCACCAGTCCAGAATCCTAAATAGGAGGGTCTGTGTTTATGAAGATCTGGGGGATAGACAGGGACACAAGCCTTTATATATGAACTGATGTTAAAAAATATTTTTTTTCTAAAATGCATTGTGGATTTTCCCACATTCTGGAAAGCTGTAGTTATATGTACAGAAGTACCTGGAGTAGACCTTCAGGCTAGGAGACTTTTTTTTAAAAAAATTGAACTAGTATTCATAGTAAATTTTTCTAAAATGCATTATAAATTATTATACATTCTTAAATGCTACAGCTACAGCTATATGGGTAGCTAACTGGTGGGGACCTTTTGGGTTAAGCAATGTTGCAACTATATTACAATTTAGAGAAAAGCTATTTTAGCCTGCAGAACCATATTGCTTGACATGCAGATGTTAGCATGCTGCCTCTGTCGGGTTCCAGTATGCATTTGTCATATACCTGTATTCCCTGCAGGTGTCTTCTCATTCCTCCTTGTTTTCCTTTGAGTGTCCTCCTTTTATCTCTTACCTTTTCCCTTCTTAACTCATTTTACACACTTTGTTACCACCATAGCCAAGACCATGGTCTATGGACCATCTGAAACCAGACGGGCCTGGGAGCCTATTTAAAATGCACTCCCACCAAATCAGAACCTCTGAGGATGGGCCCCAGGAATAAGCAGTGTAATTAACTTCCCGTTTGATTCTTTCATGCTTATATTAACTAACAATGTCGGGCCACACTGAATTCTCCATTTGAAAAAAATACGTTTTTGCTCTTTTGGGACTCTCTACACATGAATGTGTTTCTCTCCCTTCCTGAGATTTCACTATCTTCCCAAGCCATGCTTATGTCTTCTGGGGGCTTAGGATCGGCTAATTGAATATCAAGGTTATACTTGTTTACATTCTACATTTATATTTATGGTTATTATAAGAGAGGATATTGAAAGAAAAATGGAGCTGGGAATGAAGGCTAATTTAGTATTACATTACCAAAATAGCTCTGTGAAGCAGTGTAAGCTAAAGGTAAGGACACACTCTTAGAAGGCTGCTTTCTGAACTGGGTATCAAAGTAGCTCTGCAAGTTTACATGGTCTTGACTAATATATTCAACCACCCTAAGCCTCAGTTATTTCTTTATAAAAAGGAGATGATGATACCTACCTTGCATAGTCATTATGAGATTTATACCAGAAAATGTTTGAAAGAGTTTAAATCTCTGAAAATTGTAAGCATGTTATTATTACTAAACCCATTTTACAGATGAGTCAACCGAGGACAGAGGAAGTAAGAGAACATGCTGCAGTTCATAGCTCATAAACCACAGGACCAGAAGGCACCTTTCACCCCTACCTGCCCCCTTCTACAGGCTTTTTCTTGCCAGATAATTCATTGCCCTCTAGGAGCTGAGGATTCTGTAGCATCAAGTTTTTGCAGTATTAAGATTTTAGCTCTTTTTGTTTCAGTTTTTGTAGCATTTGATGAAAACTTAAAGCTGATTATATTGTGTGTGGTCTCACTAAAAACAGTGGCTTTTCCCTATTTTTTAAAGAAAAATTTATATTTGACGACCTTTCACCACACACACAGTAGGTGTGCACTGTAAGGAATGAAAGGAGCCCTGAAAATGATCCCAGTTCCCTTAAAGCCTGAAGACAGGTGTCTGTAAGTCCTAACCCTCCCCAACTCCCATCAGTATCCTGACTTATCCACCTGCATCTACAGTATGTAGTTGGCTTATGAATATTGACTGGGACTAAATGAATAAATATTGAATACCTACTATGTGCAACTATATAGTCACTTATAACAGTGCTTCTCATTTATATATAAACAAATCTTCTGGGAAGTGATCAAAATGTAAAGTCCAGTTCAGTAGGTGTAGAATGGGACCTGAGACTGCACTTCTAACAAGCTGTTAGATGACAGCAGAGCTGCTGGTCTGTGGACGAGGTGATTCTGGTGCACATTTAAGTTTGAGACACGCTGTGGTGTCCCATTCTGCCTTTTAAATCTCTGTGTAATACTTTTTGGCATTTCTTCATTGTTCATTTGTTATTTATTACTTACATCCCCCAGTAGAATTTAAGTTATATGAGAGCACAGACGTTTCTACCTTGATCATCACTGTGTTCCCAGCACCTGGAATAGTGCCAGACACGTGTAGGTACTCACAGTAGGGTAGTGGAGCTGATAGCCGATTTGCCCCTGCACACCACTGCTCAGTAATATTTGTGATTCAGTACATGAGTAAATGAATATAGGTATTGGTAATATGCATAGATATATAATAGTTATCTATTATTTAATATACATAGATATATAATATTTATATATTGTTTACATAATCCACATAACATTTTGAGGAATCTATTATCAACCACAGTTTGTAAATATGCAATAATATGTGTCTATTTAGTATTACGGGCAAATACAATAAAACTTACTGAAATCAGGTAACTATTGAAAGTGTTAGGAATGAAGAGCTAGAGCTTGCACTCATCCTGGAAGAAGACAGGCAATTCTATAAATAGAGAGAGAAAAGGAGAAGAGGGTATTCCGTGTAGATGGAATGTAGTGGGATAATTTTCTGAGGTTTTATTCTTAAGTTTTATTCCTCTTGACATCTCCATATTTCTGATCAATTATCCAGTTCCCTAGTTTTCCTGTTGTAGGGAATTTTGAGTGCAAAAAGCAGAAGTTACTAGAAGTTTGTTCTTTCTACGTTTTGTAAATTCCAAAATTTGCTGAAATTATGCTGTGTATCCTGGGGTAAGATAGAAGAGAGATGGCTTCTTTTGCAGACAGCTAGTGGAAAGAGAAATTTTCCCAAGACAGCAAAGAATTCGGTCTGAGTGAGAGGATGATAACTTCAAATATTAATCCTTTCTGCACCACAATCCCCTTCAGCAGTTTGATGAGGATGTCAAAGGAAGCATTATATTAAAAATTGTTTATAAAATACTTTAGAGATTGGAATAAGTAACTTGTGTGTTTGTTTATTAATTCATAAAATATTAATATCTAGCAGCAGATCAAGTAATTAACCTTCATATAGTGATGAGCACAGATTTTTAACTATAAAATTATATAAAAATCTGCTTTTTATTCACTGTAGATTTATAGTTACTACTAATACTATTGTGGTTCATTATCTGCATTTATAATAAAAAATAAATATTAAATTTTCAGTTAGAGGTTAATTAAAAAACGGACATTATTATTTTCCTACTCAAGTCCATGGACCCCTGAGGATGGACCCCAGGTTCAGAAGAAGGGCTTGTACATCACTTTGAGGCAGTGCATATCAGTCAGGATAGTCTAGGTCAGTGGTTCTCAAAGTCTAATCCCTGGACCAATAATATCAGTATCATCTGGGAACTTATCAGGAATATAAATTCTCAGTTCCAATCCGAGTGTTACTGAACCAGAAACTCTGGGAGCAGGACCAAGTAATGTATGTTTTCATAAGCTCTCCAGGTGATTCTGATACATGCTCAAGTTTTAGAAGCACTAAGCTAAATTATACTTTTGTAAACAAACAATTAAAAAAAACAGCCTCAAATCTCAGTAGTGTAAAATACATGGTTTATTTTCCATTTGATCTTCATTTTCATCACAGATAGTATGGACTTATTCTGCTCCATGTCTCCTCAATCCAGGAACCTGGTTGACAGAACAGCCATCATCTCCAACATTACTAGTACTATACCAGGATAGAAAGAGAGCTGGAGAGTCTCACATTGGTGATTCTTGGTGCAGAAGTGATGCATATCGCTTCTACTAACATCTAATTGGCCAGAGCTAGTCCCATGGTTCCAGCCAGTAACTACAAGGAGAGGAAGGGCCTGGAAGCCAGGGAGCTAATGATGACTAACACACTATCAAGATACAGCAAGATCTCAGAGAAGATGGTCTGCTAATATCCCTAGGGAGACTATTACAGTCGCACTTATGATTCCCTTGCTTGCAGCAGGCACAGAAACAGCAGAATCACAGCCATGAAGGATCAGCTGAGACAGTGGGTGAACTAGTGTGGCCCAATGTGTTCCATGCAATCTGTGACGGAGGTAGACCAATGTAAACCAAAGACTGGGAGGGTCAAGGAAGGGGGCACTTCCTTTTGCTTTAGAGATACTTAAGATCCTGGGATTTTTGCACCATTCTGGGCACGGGAGGAAAGCACAAAAGTGATTGAGATTGAATTTCCTGCCACAGGACGCTCAGTGTTAGATTTAAGTTGATTCAGAGAAATGTGATATTTCTGACACACTTCAACACGGGGAGAAAAGTTCATATCCACTAGAGCTGTTATCTGTGTAAAGTGCACTAGTTCAGCACTTAACATGGGGCAGTTTAGAGGAGGATTTCATAAATGCTTGGAAGATGATAAACTCTTCATATACTTTAACACTAAATTGACATATTGACTTAGAAAAGCCTGAGACCTATAATTTTTGTAAATTCATATTGGGGATTCAATTAATGGAGAAATATGAGTCGTTGGTAGTTAGTCACTTTTTGTGATTGTGACAGTTAATTCATTTTTATCTATTAGAAAATTTTACAGGCATTCAGCTAGTATTTTTCTGTTATATAATTTTCCCTGCCTGCCTTGCTTTCATCTCAAAATAAAGAGAAGGTATTAGCCACGTAGTGATGAGAAAGTAGTCATAGTAAAAATTGAAATAATACAGTCTTGGGAAAATGTCTGGCTCATGTGGTGAAGGTTTTATTACTTCACACTTTTGGAAATATTTACTGGAGTCTTAGCCACTATGACACCATAAATGTGTATTTGATGAAGATCAAAATCTACCTCTGAAGTGCACATTTGTATTGAATGACTCTGATGTTTGTTTCAGTTGCATTGTAATGTGTATTAGATGATTAAACCCCTCTTCCTTGGGGGAAAGGTTTATGGTAGAAAAATTTATATGGTCACCATATGTGTGTGTGTGTGTGTGCACACGCGTGTGTGTGTGTGTCTTCATTGCATGTCAGAGAGTGAGGCCAAACATATGTTTCACCTTCTCACTATGAAATATGGACATTTTAATTTCTGCCCACTTGTGGCCCTGTTTTTTTCCCCATTCTTACCATGTATGTGTATTGCTCAGGAAAACTGATTTATGGGATTAATTAATGTACTTTTAACTGGGTTCAAATGTACTGTCTCATCTCTGACTTTTGTATGTTTGACTTTTGTCTTCTGATTATAATTCCATGCTAGAAATTTGCTTATAGTCGTCCTTAAGCAATAGCCACCAAAAGTTCTTATGGAGACTCCTGGAAATATGCTTCTGTTGTTTGCTATAAATTACATTTCACAATATTGTAGTAAAATATAATTTTAGGAAAGTGGTACAATTGCATGAACATCAAGTATCTACACTTATTAACACCAAACATTTTTCTCAAATGTATTTTTGAGGTTTATTGCCTAGATAATAAATCTATACATGGAGTATTCCTTTAAACATAAATCCCAAAACCATTTTGCTTTGCAAATAAATCAATCAAGCGTGTGACTCAGATACAATAAAAATATATGGAGGGAAATATTATATGTGATAAATAGTAAAAATTTTGCTTACTAATGAAGAAATTTCATGAGACAATTTGCAGCCCACATATTGTAGTTTTGATCAAAAAGCTTTATACGAAATCCAGAATCCTTTAAATCACAGCATGGACCATAGAAATGTGTTTTATTTAAGAGACTTTAATTCAAGACTGTTGTTTTAAATCATGATTGCATCTTTATGTTTCATTCAACTCACATGTTAAGCTGTGTGTGTGAGTGTGTGTGTGAGTGTGGGCGTGTGTGCTTGTAAGTGCATGTGTGTGCATGTGTATGTGTAAATTACATGATGCATCTGGGCACTCATTGCAGTATGTCACTTAAAAACTTTAAAAAAATGTTTGGAGTTAATTTTGTTCCAAGATAATTTTATGTGCCATTAGTTCATCTCATCGTCTTATATAACAAGGAACCAACTGATGCAGGTTTTACCTTTTTAGCTAAAGAATTAGGAGATGGCCGGGCGCGGTGGCTCACGCCTGTAATCCCAGCACTTTGGGAGGCCGAGGCGGGTGGATCATGAGGTCGGGAGATCGAGACCATCCTGGCTAACAAGGTGAAACCCCGTCTCTACTAAAAATACAAAAAATTAGCCGGGCGCGGTGGCGGGCGCCTGTAGTCCCAGCTACTCGGGAGGCTGAGGCAGGAGAATGGCGTGAACCCGGGAAGCGGAGCTTGCAGTGAGCCGAGATTGCGCCACTGCAGTCCGCAGTCCGGCCTGGGCGACAGAGCGAGACTCCGTCTCAAAAAAAAAAAAAAAAAAAAAAAAAGAATTAGGAGATGTTTAAATGTTATATCCTGTTTTCCTTGACAACTATAATTTTGCTTGGGAGATGATTACCAGAATGACTGCTAAATTACTATTTTTCTATTGGTCTAATATTTTATTCTTATGAAAAATGTTATTTCTAGTGGTCTTTATTGAAGACCAGTTGATGAGGGTCCTCCTAAGTCAGGGGAAAGAGTGTATACGTTTCATGTAAAATATCCTTCCTCTTTGTAACCCAAACCTTTGTATAGCTTGGTTTCTCTTTCTTAGTCTATGTTGACAGCAGTACAAATAGCATAATAGATTCTTCTCTGTATATTTAGAGGGTTTTTTTCCATAAACTTATGTGATACTTTGCTTTTACTGTGTAGGAATGATGAAAACACACAACAGACCCACCACCACCTCCAAAATTGCTGCTGCCATTAATCAACTCAGTGCATGACAGAAATTATGAACAAGTTTCACAATTTTCTCTTTTCTTCTTTGACTTTTGAATAACTGGTAGAGTTTTATTCTATGTTTCATGTCACGGGAGAAAGGAACCACAAAAATATAACTAATATGAGATAAAGCAATATTTGGGTTCTGACTCCAGCAATACCCTTGAAGTCAAATAGGAGCATGTGTGGTAGAAAAAAGACGTGTTCTCCCCCTAAAACTCTGACTTGCTTGTCACTGTCTCAGCAGTGACTTGCAATTGCAAATCATTGCCTGAATAATTAAGCAGCATTTCTGTGGCCTGTGACGCTGAGAAGTGAATGCTAAATATGTAGTCACTGAGCTTTCATTTGCTTACTGTGCCAAAAGCCAGTGACCCAGGAATCACAAGTGACTACTGTCTAGCTGCTGGCTGTATGCTGTATGGATTTTTGTGCTACAAATCATCATCAAGTGTAGACTACTTAAAGGAGCTCCTGTGAAATTACCAAAGAAATAAAATAAGTTAGTATAGTCATCAAGGAGAAATATAGCATATATTATACTGAAGGAAGAGAAAGACCCTCTCATATTATTTTATATTGTTTTATACTCAGTACCTGTTTTAAGAAAAAACAACAAGGAAGTAAAACCAAAGACAGGCAGTCCGGCGCCAGGCCCGAAACCAGGCCTGGGCCTGCCTGGCCTAAACCCAGCAGTTAAAAATCAACTCATGACTTAGAAACCGATGTTATTCATAGATTCCAGACATCGTATAGAAGAACATTGTGAAACTCCCTGCCCTGTTCTGTTTCTCTCTGACCACTGGTGCATGCAGCCCCTGTCACATACCCCTTGCTTGCTCAAATCAATCACGACCCTTTCATGTAAAATCTTTAGTGTTGTGAGCCCTTAAAAGGGACAGAAATTGTGCATTCAGGGAGCTCGGATTTTAAGGCAGTAGCTTGACGATGCTCCCAGCTGAATAAAGCCCTTCCTTCTACAACTTGGTGTCTGAGAGGTTTTGTCTGTGGCTCATCCTGCTACAATACATTGAAGCGTTACATCCAAGATGTCAATCTTTTCCCTGTATATTTAAAATCTCTGCAGAGAAACTGTCATTTTTTAATTATAGCAAGTGCATAATGTTTTCCTTTTAGTTAATGCAGAGTGAAATATGTGAATGTGCAACAAAATTGCTATATCATCTAAATGTCTGTTCTAAGCACTGGGGATAAATCAGTGAACAAAGCAGGCAAACTTTCAACTCTTACATCATTAGTAAAAGGGTTAAGGTCACAGATGATTCACAAGAAAATGTATCATTGATAAGTCGTCTGAAGAAAACACAAAATTGGGTGATGGAGAGAGTTGACAAATTGAAGTTGGGTGATCAAGGAAGGTCTTTCTGAAAGGGAATTGTGAGTTGAGACCAGCATGACAAAAAGCCAGATGTGAAATTTTAGGGAAGATGGATTTCAAGCAGAAAAATCTTCTTGTACAAACTCATACAACTGCTTCTTTGTTGTTTTTTTAAGGGACAGAGTCTCCCTCTGTTGCTCAGGCAGTGACACAATCAAGGTTCACTGCAGCCTCAAACTCCTGGACTCAAGGGATCCTCCTGTCTCAGCTTGCCAAGTAGCTAGGAAGACAGGCAACTGCCACCACGCCTGGCTTGAAGTTGGTGCAATTTCTCAGAACAGAAAGGAAAGTGTGAACAGAACAGAGAGAGGGAGGAGGAGCATAGAGATGAAGCCAGTGAAGTAGGCAGGGGCCAGGTTATATGGGATCTTGCAGAGTATGGTGAGTGGTTTAGAATCTCCTCTCAGTGGGATGAGAAGCCAATGGAGTGACGGACACGATCTGAATTATGTTTTTTAAAAGCACTTTGCTCTTCGTTTGCAGAATGGAATGAGTGAGAGGAAAGAGTGGAAGCAGGAGAAGGAAGCCACAGTGGTATCCAAAAGAGGAAAAGTGGGTTAGCCTAGGGTGATAGCCAGAGCACTCTTTTAGGAGTCTCCCAATGATCCTTGTTCTGAAATGCCTCCTGCCTCTGCAGAACAAAATCCTTTCCATGTAAATAGTTCGTGTTTTAATGCAAATGGGAAGGATGGTGTACTTCCTCCACATCTGTTTCCTGTTGCAGGGCTTGGGACTGTCAGTGCTTTTTCTCCACATGGAGGTTATTTTGAAACATCCAGGTGGTTTTGATCAAATCATGTATTCTTAGAATATTATTCTTAAGCTTCAATAATAACCCTACAGATAGAAAGATTAACATAAACTGACTAAAGAAATGTTAACTGCCAGGAGATTAAGGCAATATCTCAATTCATAATCTATAGTACTTTGGGGTTAAGCTTTGACTTGCAGGATGTAATTTACTGACCAGTAACAAAGACTCCACCTAGCTGGAACCTCATTCCAGAAATGTTTCTTTTGATAAGATTCTTAGATACTGAAACATCATTTTTAAAAAGCTGTGCTTTGGGAAATCAATTTGGGGGATTGTATCAGGAATTACAGGCAGCAATAGCTTCATAAATGTGCAACCCATGCAGCTTCCCAGGGCCTGTGCTTAGCAAGGCTTCACACTTGGTTTAATGCTGTGCCTTCATTGTCTTGAATTCCTAATAATTTTTTAACAAGGGGCCTCACAGTTTTCTTTTGTACCAGGCACCACAAATTATGTAGCCAGTCCAGAATTCAGGGCTCAAAACACTCTATGAAAATCTGTTCGTCTGCTATAAGATATAGAAAGATAGAGACAGGAAAGGAGCAGACTTGAATAAAGGAATTCTCAGAAAAGCAAATTCATCAATTATAAAATTTGAGACTTTTTAGTCTAGTGGTTCTCAGGTGCCTGTTTACAGTCCATGCCCACCAGATTTTTACCTCTCCATAGCAAAATCACAAGAATGATGATGCCATTGGGTTCTTATTTTTTAGCTAAATGTATTCAACTCAAATGTCTGCTCTTTATTCTGAGATTAGATTCACCTATAATTTTTGCTGTAAAAATATTTTCGTTTTATATAATAACATGTTGGCAATAGGTAGAAGCTTTTTCTTTGTATTTAAAGTACCTTCTGTAAAAGAAAACTTGACCATCTCATTTCAGCTCAATGCTTCTTGGCAGAAAAGAAGAAGTCCTTTATCCCACTCCTGTACCTTTACCTGTTTTTTCTAATCCCAGGCTCACTTTTCTCTTATTGTAATTATTCTCAATACCAATGCCTCACCATTCACAAATAACTAAACTCAGTTTTGTACAACTGAGTAAAAGGTAATCAGAAACAAATCCACACGAATATTAGAACTTCTGGCAAGGCAAAATTGAAATTGGGGAAGGATTACCCTCTTGCAACCAAACTACTTATCTTTTTTTATAGTTTTATTTTATAAATCCATCCTTTTTATGCCCCAAAGGATAGCAACATTTTTCTTTTCATCTTTGTGTCTCCAGCATTTAGCACAGGGCATTGTACTCAATAATCCTTCAATGAATATGTAGAAACTAAATAAATATAAATAAATAAAAATTTTAAACTAGAAATGGAAGGATGTCTCTCTTCCATTTACACCTTCTTTGGCAGTTTCAACCCTTCCTTAGCCAGAGAACAATAATGACCGTAAGAAATGTTAATAAAGATACACTACATCTGTAACAGGAAGTTAAAATTAGACATTTTCTCTATTTCAGCTAAAACTGAGAAGGTACCTTTTACTCCCTCATTTCAAAATGAGGCATGAGCCCACCAAATAAAGCCTTGAAAAGCTGGTAGACAGGGACTGATTTCATGACCCTTGGCTGACCGCCCAATACAACAGTGTGGAGATTAGAGCAAGGTTTTCAGAGAGGGCTGTTGTTGATGTTCTGGGAATCCTGTCCTATCCCAACCCTTAAGGGTAAGGGGTGAGGGATGCCTTTACCTTATCCCAAATAGGTAAGAGCCTTCATTGAAACAAACCAAAGAGCTTGGGGGAAACAATGGCTTAGACTTTGAGTCAAATACGAGAAATGAAAAGGGGGAGAGACTACAGCTGCTTGGAGACCTGACAAGGGGATGTAAAGAGCTGCCATCCGGTGAGTATGCTGAAACCTGCGGGGCAAAGAATGTTTCGTGTTGGCAAGATGTGGCCTTACAAGAGAGAACTGGCCTGAAAGAGTCTTGGATCTTGTCCAGAACTGTCCTGCAAGAATCTTAGTTCTCTTCTACCTGGGGGAGGGAGGTAATGCGAGCAGAAAGAACATGGAGGTCTACTGTCAGAGCCCTGGGAAGGAGCTATGAGTGACCAGTGGGAAGAGCTGCTTTCAGTCACAAAGAGCAAACTACAGATATCTCTCTAGTGAGGAGAAGACAAAGAACTCCTAAAATATCCCACCCAACAAGAGAGAGTCAGCTTTAAACACCTAACAAAATACAAAGAGCTGATGCCAGCAAGTAAGATCCCTGGAATCTAGTACAGTGCTTTGAACATAGAAGGGACTCAACAGATGTTGGGGAACACAAAGACCTGTTCCCTCGTTGGGCTAATGTTGCAGGAATGATTCTCAGCTTTGTACACATGAAGGAATTATGAGGTTCAGGTTAAGTGCCTCACTTCAAAATTTAATTTTTAGTCCAGACCAGTGTTGTTTTAATTTTACTACACTCACAGTTAAGAGGAGTCCAGAGGAGCACCCTTGAAACTATAGTGCTAATATCAAGTTTGTGATGTAGAGCAACTAAGTGTTTCTGAGAGGGCTTCAAGGCATCCTTTCCTGTGCTGTTTTTACGTTCCAGGTTATTAAGCTTATCTTAGGTGAAGTCAAGCTTTAAGTGGTAGTTACTATGTGCCTGGCAGAATACAGGGCACTGAAGGCTCAAATGAGAATAAGACAATCCCTGACCTCAAGTGGCTGATAGCAAATGGATTAAAGGCAATTGTTTATCATTTACTTAATGTATAGCACGAGCTCAAGAAATCTTACATTTCTATAGTTACATTACTGTCACTATAACATTAATAGTTGAACTAGGCTTCCCAACAGATGTAAAAGCCTTCTAATCTAGAGATAAATAAAGATTGTACTTTTTGTTATCATCAGATTTTATTATTCTTTGATGATGATTGACTAAATATACTAATGAGGATTGAAAAATATACTGCTTTAAATAGTTATGTCATAATTTCTATCAGTCATGCAATTAGAAGTACATATATGGATACATATTTTTTCTATTGCCCCTTTTTTCCTGGCTTTGTTAATGTATAATATATTGCTTTTCTGCATTCACTCTCCATTTGATTTTTCTCCTAATGTAATTTACCACCTGCAGAAGTATGAGGCCTGGAAAATGCAGGTGTGAAATGCTCATTAGCACAATACCAATAAATCAACACATGTTTAAAAGAATCTTCTACCTAACCCTATTTCTTAAACTGTGTATTCAGTCATAATTTTCAGATTTAAAAATTGGTCCAGGTTATAGATCAGGAGATAGCTGTATTTTTACATAACTATTAGGAATGCTGTGGTTTTCTAACCAGAGAAATATGACAGTAATTTCTTGCGAAAGATTTGGGACATTGTGACTGAGCCAAACTAAGAATGAAAGAAGATGGAGAAAATAAACATAACCACATGTCCTATAAGTCTTCTGTATGAAGACAGGTGTGAAGCCTATGAGGAGGGGGTCATTGATTCATGAACTGATTGATTCACTCATTTATTAATTCATATAGTATATGTTTTTGGTGTGCATATAATTGCAAAGCACTGTATTGGATACATAAAAGAAATCTACTTCCTTTTGAAGTGACTTCTAAAAGACACTCCCCATCAGAGTGTCTAATGAAATGAGAGAGACAGAACAAAGTGGACATGAACAAATCTGTTGGTAGACTTTATGATAAACACCATGAGAAGCAAATGAGCAGAATGCAGTGCTAAAGAGTAACCTGGGGTGAAGTGGGAGCTAGGGAAGGAGGATGAGAGACAACCTACTTAAAATTGTAGGGATGGTCTTTCAGAGGAGACTTAAAAAATAAGAAGCAATCAGCAATTCAAAGAGCATTCCAGGTGGAGGTAAGAGCATATGCAAAGGCCCTCTGGACAGAAAGAGATTCACATATTTGGGAATCTTGAAGGATATCAAGGCAACTAGGACATGGGCAAGAAAAGTGGCCCAAGACTATCAGGGCACTATGGACCATTGAAAGATGCTTAGAAATTCATCCAACCACAGTGGAAAGCCATTCAGTTCTTTAAAGTCAGAGAACAACCCATTTGCTTGATGTTTAAAAATGCTTGCTCTGGTTGCTATAGCAGAGTAGGTAGTAGGGGACCAAGGTCTAACCAGAGAGAGCAGCATGGAGGCTTTGGTAACAGTCGAGAGAAATGATGACTAGGAAATGAAGAAACTTAAGATATAATTTGGAGGTATAATAGAAAGGGTTTATTGATGAATCAGAGTTGGAAAGTGTTACAAAGGAAAGGATGAAATATCCTTCAAGGTTTCTGTCATGAGCGACTGTGTAGGTGCCTGCTGGTGCCATTTCCAGAGATTGGGAAGACAAGGAGGAAAGTCAGGGTCAAGTTTAGAAATCAAGAATTTGTTTTGGACATGTTAAGTATAAAATGTGTTGCATGTAATGGATAATGCCAAGTAGCTAGCTGAATATTTAAGTTCCAAGTGTTGAGGAAAACTTTGGAGGTAAAAACAGAGAGTTTTGGCCAGGCGCGGTGGCTCACGCCTGTAATCTCAGCACTTTGGGAGGCCAAGGTGGGCGGATCACGAGGTCAGGAGATCCAGACAATCCTGGCTAACATGGTGAAACCCCGTCTCTACTAAAAATACAAAAAATTAGCCGGGTGTGGTGGCGGGCACCTGTAGTCCCAGCTACTCGGGAGGCTGAGGCAGGAGAATGTTGTGAACCCAGGAGGCGGAGCTTGCAGTGAGCCTATCACGCCGCAGCCCTCCAGCCTGGGTGACAGAGCGAGACTCCATCTCAAAAAGAAAAAAAGAGTCTTCAGGATATAAATGTTTAATCCCAAAGAAATAGACTACAATATCTAGGGAAAGAGTGAAAATAGAGCAGAGGGAGGCCCAACTGGACCAAGTGGATTAGGCCCCTGGATATTCCAAAATACTTAGGGATTGAATCAAAATTACAAAATATTTAGAGGTCGAATAGAAAATGAGGACTTGGGTCAGGTGTGGTGGTTTATGCCTCTAATCCCAACAAGTTAGGAGGCTGAGATGGAAGGATTGCTTGAGCTCAGGAATTCAAGACCAAGCTGGGCAACATAATGAGACCCTGTGTCTTCCAGAAAAAAAAAAAAGTTGGGCACAGTGGTGTGCCCCTGTAGTCCCAGGTCCTTGGGAGGCTGAGGTGGGAAGATCCCTTAAGCCTAGGAGTTCAGAGGCTGCAGTGAGCTATAACAGCTGCCCTCCAGCCTAGGAGACACAGTGAGAGCCTGTCTCTTAAAAAAAGAAAAGAAAAAGAGGCTTATTCAAGGAATAGTGAAAAAGGGAATATTTGGAGAATTATGTCAGGGAATCTATGAAAGTAGAATGTTTCAAGATAGAGGGAGTGGTTAAAAAAAGTTGAGTATTTATATGTGCCAGTGTGTATCATGCTGAATACTTTATCTGGATGGTGTTATATTATCCCTCCTATAGACTATTGAGTTGAGTACTGTTATTAGATCCATTTTACAAATGAGGAAACTATGGAGAGATTAAGTAATTTGCCCAAGATCCCATAATAAGAAGGCAAGTGTCGAATGCCAGGCATTCTAACTTCAGAGTCCATAGTCTTAACCCTTGTGCTATTCTCTTCCACAAATACACCCAGCAGGTAAAAGACTGAGAAAAATAAATATCAAAAAGTACCTTTTGAAATTGACTACATGAAGTTACGAAAACCTGAGTTGTTTTGTGAAAGCGGTGAGTACAAAGCAGTATTTTGGAGAGGGTTGTGCAGGGAATCGGAGATGAAGCTGTGTGCTGAAAAGGAGAGAAGAAATTAGAGGAAGGGAATGGTGGCCTTACAGAGAAACAGACTTGAAGTGATGTGAAGTGTTTGCGCTGGGTGAATGCTGGCAGGAATAAGTGAGCAGGGAGCGAGTGAACAGGATAAGAGAGATCACTTCGGAGTAAAGCCTTGAAAAGGGAGTGTAGGAGGAAGTTTTTCTCCCTTTCCTGCATCCCTTCCTTTGTGCGTAAAATAGAAATGTTCTTCCTTTCTGAAGGATTTCAAAGAGAATGTTGGCTTTTCTTTCATTCTCCCTGACTCATGCCTCCCCAGAGGAAGAAAAGTGACTTCTGAGGCTGTGAAAAGGAAGGACTCTGGCTGCATGACCCAGCCTCCTCTGGCTTCTTCTTTTGGGACCTGATGGCCCTCAGCATGTCCATCTTAACTCCTGCTCCCCCTGGGGCAATCTCACCAGGACACTGCTTCTCCAAGTGCCAGCTTGGGGTGGGGTCCTTGCCCCCTGTGTCTATTTCTCAATTAGTTCAGGACTTACAGAAGGAAGAGAGTGGTTAGTACATTAAAACCCCCAGTATAAAGAGGGAATGCAATTAGGTTTAGAGAACATGTGGAGAGATTGGCTTTGGCAAGAAGAGGATCATGTTCTCTTCTGTAATAGAAAGAAAAGTTTTAAAATAATGGGGAAAGATAATGTTTATAGAGTCACTGCTGAGAAGAAGAAAAGTGATTTCTGTAATGTAATTTTTAACATTTTATAATTTTTTTTCTGAATAAAGTCTGAAATCCAACTTGGTTGTATTGGGAGCACTACATAGCTTTCATGTGTGAAGCCACTATCATCTAAGCAGAAGAAAACTAGAACAGATACACCTAGTGATTCTCAAACTGAGGAAGAGGATGTGGCATGCCCTGTCTAGGGTAGCTAATCCGAATTTCGATAGGGCAGCTTTCAAAAGAAATCATTTCAATCAACAATGTAATCAGTAATGCAATCGTACATTTTTAAAAACCACAAAATGTCATTTTTACTTAAAACATTTATAATGACTTAAGGATGTTTTATATTCATCAATAGGATGATTTAGTTTGAAGAAGTCAAGAAACAATGGGTTACCCAGAGTGTTTTCCACCCAATTCCTGAATTAAAATGTAGCTAAGAATCATATTTTCTGTACCTTCTTTTCCTGTCTTTTGTGTCTTCTTTTGGGGAAAGTTAAGAGGGTAGATCGTTGGACTACATTGTCATTTTAACTATAAACCACTGGACTTTGGCCCAGATTATTATTACCTGCAGAAGCTATCTTGATTAAGTTTGGAGTTGCCTTATGTTGTGCATAAGCAAAACTACATTTTAATCAGCTTGTCCATATGATTTATAGAGATAGTTTGTAATAGGCCTTGTTAAAAATAGGTATCTTTAATCAGCAATATTGGATAAAAGCCTAAAGTCTTAAAATAGTCATATTTATTCTGATTCCTTCTTCCTAAAATGAATAAACAGAAAGAAATCGATGTGGCAATAGCGTGTTACAAATCACTCCATCAAAGGTAATGAAATTAAATTTCATCTCTGTGAGTTACTGCAAAAGACTGTTTAACATTTACAAGAATTTGACTTCCAAATCCTTCAAGCCCTAATCTTTGGATTTACATAATGTGTTCCTACTTTCAGCCTTTTCCAGTTGAAAGACTTTGAAGTTCCAAGGCAAAAACTGAAATAAATTGGAAATTTGTGTAATTTCAAAGTGAATGCTTGTGATATAGTGACATAATCAGAAAGCACATGAGGGAAAACCCATACAAATTTTGCTACTATTAACTCAGTGTTTGAAACTTTATAGTAGAAAGATGATATGCAAAATTCTTAAAGATTGCTCCAAGGAAACATGCTACATATTTCTAATCAATAAAATTAAAATATCTGATCACTAGTTTGTTGAAAGCGTTAGATCCTGGACTTAAATCTAGATCTTTGATTTTAGAGCCCTTGCCCTGTTTTGTCCCCCAGGGCACTATAGAAAATTTTTGCATGATGATATCAATTTATCAAAACTGCAGAGTGTTTATTTAGAAATTATAAAATGACTTAGTGAATAAAAAATTGAGGTATTATTTGGATTTATCTTAGTATTAATGGTGGAGAAGAAACTGTTTCTTTTATCTAAGCTCCAACAAACATTCTTTATTTTTTCTTTAATCAGAGTCTCGCTCTGTCGCCCAGGCTGGAGTGCAGTGGCGAGATCTCAGCTCACTGAGCCTCTGCCTCCTGGATTCAAGCAATTCTCCTTCCTTAGCCTCCCTGAGTAGCTGGCACTACAGGTGCACACCACCACGCCCCGCTAATTTTTATATTTTTAGTAGAGATGGGATTTCACCATGTTGGCCATGCTGGTTGCGAACTCCTGACCTCAAGTGATCTGCCCACCTCAGCCTCCCAAAGTTCTGGAATTACAGGAGTAAGCCACTGCACCCAGCCCCAACACATATTCTTATAATGGGATAGGGAGGAGGCTATGTTATGTGGATGCATTAATTTAATCATTATATCCACTACCAAATATCAAGTCTTTTTTTTAGTTTATTTTCATAGGTTTTTATATGTAGACATGCTTTCTTCTTTGTGGTTTTTCCCCTGTAATGAAACCATTCATTCATTCAACAATTTATTTCCTAAGTGCCTACTCTATGACTAGCTCTGTGCTAAATCCTAGGAATGAAATGATGAACAGACTAGAATTTCCATGAATGTAGTAATTAAGTTGATCTGGTGGTGTGCACTTCTAATAGAAAATGCTTCTCTCATATTACCTCTTTCTCTGAACTGATGCAAGAATTGGAATATAAACAAACCAGCTGGCAAACTTAGATGATTTAGATGTCCTTTTCATTAAAGGTCAGTAAGAAATGCTAACGTTTTATGTTAGCATTTATTAAACTCTGAAGAGGCAGAATTAGTTTGGGGTTTAATTTCTAGTATTCATAGCATAAAATTAGGTATAATAGCAGTGAATCTATGTATGCTTCTATATAATTATTATTATTCTTTATACTGGCCTAGCCCTTCACAGAGTTAAATTCAACTACATTTAATGAGAGAATTTCTTGTTTTTTTGTTAGAATTTCTAGCAAACCATTTCTGCATGTCATTGCACCTGTGGCTTAATTCTTACATTTTCTGTTCTCTGAATTTCCAAGATAGAAAAGCATAAATTTCTTAGAGTGAATACAGGGTTAGAAACACATCTTGTTATAACAAACTATCTAGTTTCAGCATCCCATTAACTGTTCCAACACCAATTTGAATTCCCAAAGGATACTTCTGTTGAAGCATTTTTGCTTTGGTTTGGAATTGCAAAAGTAGATTGAGTAATTCCCGATTCCACGTTAATGAGACTTTCTGTCTTAATCCTCCTGTTTAAGGGCACAAAGAATAGTATGGCCACTGCAATTACTGAGTGGGCTAGAATTGGAATATTCTATACCCCCAAGGGATTGTTTTCTTCTTTTAAAGCATAAGTTTCCAATCTATCATTTCTTCTGTGGTTGAGTTTCTGAACATGCTTGGGTTTTGCTGATTTTATGGTTTGTTTTTAGCTGCTGATTTTTAGTCAGACTGTATAGGAGGGGTAACAAAAACCCTTAATTTTGCAATGTGAAAATTCTTTATGCATTTGCTCCCGAAAGCTTATTTTTGAGTAACTTGAGACTTTTGCAGCAGCCACAGTATCCAACTTGGAAAACCTGCATTCTCAGCAGCTTTCCTACTTTAAATAATATTCTTACATTAGCTCTTTTAGGAAGCAAAGAGACAGCTTCCCTAACAGTAACAAGATGTGCAAACCACAGATGGTCTTCTTGCTGGAAATTACTGGAAAGGACTACGAGTGTTCGGCCTTTGGGGCACAGTCATTCACATGCATTCATACACCTCACACACACATACACACACACTCTCTCTCATACACACACACACACACTTGTGTGAATATACAAATGAATAAGGCAAAGTGAGAATGTGTATAGCTACTACTAGTATATAGATTTCTGTGGAATTTTATACACTGCTTTAATAGAAATGAACATATTTTATGTTTACAATAGCTTTCTTAGGTAGAGCAGGCAGATATAGCATGAATACCATTATTGTAGATAAGACTTAGATAGTCCAGGTCCTTGCCCAAGTGTAAGAGCTGAAGTTTATCTATTTCTCCTAATTCCAGAATGTGGCCTTTGGTTCAAAATGCCCTGGTTGTATTTCAGCTTTTCTACTTTCTAGTTCCATTACTTTCTTAAAGCCTCAGTTGATACCTCTACCAATAGGACATATGCTACCTACCTCATAAGCTTGTTGTGATCAGTAAATGAAATATTGCGTGTATAACATGTGGCCTTTTACCTGATACATTATAAATGCTCAATGAATGTTCATGTTTGCTTTTTCAAAGCAAACATTTATACGATACTTATGCCAAATCTAAGTACTTTTTCAAATATTAGTCTAATCTTCATGTCAATTTTATGACAGATATTGTTAATATTCCCATTTTACAGATGAGAAAATGGAGGCAAGGAAAGGTTAAGAAAATTGCCCAATTGCCCAAGGTCACACAGCTGGTAAATGCCACATTATGGATTCAATTCCAGATAATCCAGTCCCCATGTCCATAGTCTTAAATGCTATTCTGTTATTCTCAATGTACACAGTGGGATATATGGAAATGTGAGTTGTATATGCTAATTTTATACTGCTTTAAATTCCTAAGGCCTAGGGAATATTCCCATATGCTATAGTGGGTTTTCTCAACTGTTGCTACTATTACCACCAATATCTTAGGACTATAATAAGTGGATAGAAGAAGATCTGTTTTTTTTTCCAGACAACTACAGAACTCAGGAACATATCCAACTAGTTATAATCCAGGCACAATTTGAATTCCACTTGATGGGAGAGGTGATTCCAGTGAAGAACTCAATTAAATAAAAACACTTTTTTATGCGTTTCAGTCATATCATGATGTAGTTTAGGCTCAAGGTAGAGTTGTATCATGTAGTATTTAGACCAGATTACAAAACTATTAAGAGATGCAGAGCATGATAGACGAGGAAAGATGAAAAGCATTGCTTGGTTATGACGTGAGGGGATGATGATAGAAGGGTGGAGATAGTAGGAAAGAGAAAACCCCACAGATGTGAGAGGAAAAGGGAAGATAAGACAAAAAAAGTAAGACAAGTGATAAATAATGGTTTATAAGGGCTAAAAGTGAAGAAGCTTGAAGAAAGATTTGCTACAAAGAAAGCTATTGAAATAAAGAATTGACCCAGATGTTGGGAGAAACCCTCCACAGTGAGCAGTATAAAGCCACATTCAGTCACTGTTGGCGTTTGCCCTGGGCTTTGGGATGTACGTTCATTCATTTAAGCCAAAAAGTGCATTTATCCTACTCAAAAAGTGATTTAGAAAATGAGTGTAAGATTTCCTATGCTTCTAGTAAAATAGAAATAAATTATGCAAGAGTAAAATTAGCTAATTACTGTAAGAATCATTCTGTTAAAATTAGTGAGTTTTGGATATTTTCTGCCAGTTCTTTTTTTCACTAGTTTCTGTGACTTCAGATTTCATTATCAACCTACCAGGCCTTTCCTGCTCCTTGGAGAGCTGGTTGAAATGGGATTGAACCCTATTTTCACAGAGTAGGAAAGTCAAGATCCCTCCTCAAATTGCATTACCACTTCTTGTCCTTACTTTTTCATGGTTCTCTGGTTTCCATCTATGCTCCTGAGTTTGCTGTCTCAGGTCAAACCTGCGTGGATTTATACACACACACACACACACACACTCAGGTGATCTATCTGATGGGTTTAGTTGTTTTCTGAAAGATTTGGGGATTGTCGTGAAAGAAATACCACATTGCATACCACATAAGGGACTTGTATTCAGTTAGTTCTCTTGTTATCCTTCACTCCTCCCTCAAAACCCACACTCCAGAATGAGTCAAGCCTCCTTCAAAATGCAGTGCAGTCCCTGCAGGTTCAGTGTTTATCGAAAGTGGTACAGGAGGAAAGAAGCCTGAGAAGCGGATATAATTTCCTCAGCATCCCTGGGAATTGTGCAGAACACAATTATAGCATCTTACATACTCTTACAAAATGATTGGAACTTGCATTTATAGAGAGCTTCCTGTGTAGATGCTGTGCTAGGCACTTTCACATATGGTGTTTATTGATTCTTAGAACCTTTCTGGGTATATTTTATACCCGTTTTATAGATGAGGAGAGTGAGTCTCAGAAAAGCACCCAGCATTGTTACCATGCTGAAGGAAGGCATTGGAATACATGTGCAGAGGAATAAGATTGTTCTTTTCTTCTCAAAAGCAGAAGGACAAGAAAAAGCAAAAATTAAGACAAACCAGTCTGCTTATAGGAGCCATGCCAAGAGAGATGTCTTCTTTTCCTTATTTCCTAGTCTCTGTCTAAGGCTTCAGCACCCATTTTCCTTTGGGAATGCAAAGCACATTCAACAAAGAACCTCGCAGTGCCTATTAAGAGCTTATTTTTGTCTTCATTTTTAATGTTTCATTTATTATCAAATAGGGTACTTTATCTCGTGCACACCTATATGTTCCATTATGCCATATTTACATTTGTTTAACGCATTTAATTAAGAACATTGTTAAAAATTTAAAAAGACTTCCCCTTTCACGAAATTTGGAAATTGAAGGTAGCATTTAACGGGTTTCCTTGTCAACCACAATACTCATTTTTAGAATTGTTAGCCAGTAATTCAATTACCCACACAGTTCTGCTTTCTAAGAATGTGCAAATGGAAGTCTTGTCTTATGCAAGCCAGAAAACCTACTAGCAGTATTCTAAACTTAGAACAAAAACGTGATGCCCTTCGAGTCTTGGTTGGGAAGAGTGTTTGGTGAGGAGGGGGAGAAAGAAGAAGGGGAATAATAGTGTCATTTTCTGTTTGTCTTTGGCCATCTGGAGCTCAGTGCCACGTCCTTTGCTCATTCTACGGAGAATATAAAAAGGGCAATGAGATGCTTATATATTTTGTAGTGCTGGCAGAGCATCATTTGTTATAATATCTATCCCTTTATCAAATATAAGCCATCATATAAGCCAATATGAGACTTTAGATCAATTCTAAAATGGGCCAATGTAAAATACAAACAGTTTCTGGTGATAAAATAATCTGCTATGTGAATTGAAGGTAAAACATTTATAAAATGTAAATAATTGTTAATAATGATAATTATTGCTGAGAACAAAAGAGCAGCTGGCTTTTTGTATAATTTCACACCTTTCCTTTAAATATTTACTCCTCTGAAACTGCCTTCCCCCAAAATAACTTACTTTATATTGAAACTTAAATTTAATTTTGAAATAAAATTTATAGGATCAACTATAGAATATTGACATTTTGTATGTCAAAAATGGTTGAATATTAGGGATTTCATCAGGTTCAACATAATACTGTTAGTGCAGTCTAAGTCTTGGCGTGTGTAAGTGTGCTCTCCTGGAAAGCCATGCTGGTCCAAATAAACTTTGTTGCCTTGGTGATCTATAGCTTATTTATCTTCTTTTTTATTAGTTGAAAAATAAAAATTATATATATTTATAGGGTACAAAATGATGTTTTGAAATATGTATATGCTGTGCAATGGCTTAATCTAATTAACATATGCATTACCTCACATATTTATTTTTTGTGGTGACAACGCTGAAAACCTACTCTCAGCAGTTTTCGAAATACACTACATTGGTATTTACCATAGTCACCCATGTTGTATAGCAGATCTCTTGAACTTATTTCTCCTGATAAAATTTTATATCCTTTGATCAACATTATACCCATCTAAATTCCTTATATCCTTCATTCTACTCTGCTTCTACAAGTTAAACTATTTTAGATTCCATATAAGTCACATTGTGTGGTATTTGTCTTTCTGTGCCTGGCTTATTTCATTTAATGTGTTCCAGGTTCATTCATGTTGTAAATGACAAGATATTTTTTTCAAGTTCAGTAGTATTCCGTTGTGTATACATGCAAGTTGTTTCTTAAACTGCTTTTTTTATTATTAATCTTAATGCCTTCTTAGGTGCGTATAGTACTTCTGTAGCTTTTAGCTCTAGTCTGAAAACACCTAAGATAAGAATGGTGTTATTGGGAGGAACAAGGCATTAGGAAAAAGTAGATAAAGCTATACAGTGTAAATCCATGTTTCCTCAAGTATATGACAACATAGGTGATTTTTGGTTACTACTCCTTGAAGGACTCCATTCAGCTTGCTTAACTGTGAGATACAGCTTTCACCCTAATTTCCACAAAGCAGCTCAGAGTGATTCTTTTACCATGTGATGACTGCTTTGCTCAAATCCTCTCTTGGCCTCATTTAAGAACCTTGAAGCTCTATATGATTTGGCCTCACTCCCCTGCCCTCAGGACCATCTTGTTTAACTTCATCTCCAGCTTCTCACTCCCTCTTTTTCTCTGTTCCAGCCATTGTGCCCTCCCTGCTCCACTAACATCACATACAAGTCTATTTCTGAAATGCTGCTCCCTCATAACTGCTCCCTCAGTTATGATCATAGCTCATTCCTTCAGTCTCTTCTCAAAAGTCCAATGGTCTATGAGCCCTACTTGGCTGTCCCATATATAGCAGTACAAATGCATACCTTCATTCCCTATCTCTTTTACTGTGCTTGATTTTAATCCACTGCACTTTTTGCCACCTAATTTGTTATATATTGGCTTGTTTACTTATCACCTGTCTCCCTCCATAAGAATAAGGGCTCTAGGACTACAGTTGTTTTGCCTGTGTTGTTCACTGTGTATCCCTGGTGCCCAGAACAGTGTAGGGTGGAGAGTAGCCATTCCAGGAATGAATGAACAGTTCATTTCAGCTCATGAGAAGTAGGGCGCTGGATAGGGAGAACAGCCATTCCCAGTGGAAAAAAAGGGTTGTTCATTAAATGTCACTCTACTCTGTCAGTTTCTAGGAGTCTGGAATGAAAAGAGCTTCACTCTATTTATTTTTATTACCACCTTTTTGTGGCAAGTAGTCATTGGCACCATATATAATCTTCATTGTAAATGAATACAGTAGTACCACCTTATCCACAGTTTGGTTTTCTGCAGTTTCAGTTAACTGCAATATAGTACAATATGATATTTTAAGAGAGAGAAAGAGAGAGACCTCATTCATGTAACTTTTATTACAGTATATTGTTATAGTTGTTCTGTGTTATTATTGTTAATCTCTTACTGTGCCTAATTTATAAATTAAACTTTATCATATTTATGCATGCATTGAAAAAAACATGGTATGTACTGTATAGGGCTTGTTACTATCTGTGGTTTCAAGCATCCACTGGAAGTTTTGAAATATATCCCCTGCAGATAAGAAGTGATTACTGTATGGTAAAAGTCAATTTCTCATGAAAATGTTTTATTGAAAGTATAACATATACCCAGAAAAATCCAAAAATCGTAGATGGTTAAATGTTCACAAAGTAAATACATCCTGGTACCCAGTGCCCAGATCAGGAAACAAAACATTACCAGAATCCCATAAACCCCTTCATGTTGTTGTCAATGTAATAACTCCCCAATGTTTAGCCTACCATTTTACTATCATAGATAGTACTGCTTGTGTTTGGACTTAATATACGTAGAATCATAGGGCATGCCCTCTTTTATATCTGGATTCTTTGCTCAAAACTATTTTTATGAAAATCATTCATGTTGCTGCTAATAGTCATAGTTCATGCATTTCCATTGCTGTATAAAATTCCATTCTACCATTGATAGACATTTGAGGTTTTTTTCAATTTTTGTGTATTACAAATCCTGCTGAGATTAACATCCTTGAATGCATCTTTTGGTTAACACATAAAAATACATGCCTTGAACTTCATTCAAAAATATATTGCCAGACATTTTTCCAAAGTAATGTTACCAGTGTGCACCACCACCAGCAGGGCAGAATTCCAATCGCTTCTCATCACTGCACTTTGTATCATGTCTTTTACATTTTAGCCACTGTGGTGGGTGTGGTGTGAGTGCAATGTAGTTATAATTTGTATTCCTCAGGACTACTGCTGTTGAACACTTAAAAATGTACTTGTTGCCAATCTGAGTTACGTGAATCTATTTTCATGGATATTAAGATAATATAGGTCGTATATGGATAAGGTAGAAATCATATAGGTCATAATTTAATGACTAAAATTTAGTAGACATTGCTTTCATTAATGACTCTTTTAGTACTTGATAGATTGTATTATCTTCACAAAGCTTTTGCTGTGGAAAATTCAGTTCAATAGAAGCTAATTGTGGGTTAATTATGAATAACCCTCCATGCTGAATGGTGTGAGGCTACCAAGGTCCACGTCATGGGAAGCTTCCCAGATGTCACGTTGAAGCTATGTCTAACAAGCATGAACAGGGTCTGCAAGCAAGGCAGAAAAGGGAAGCCAACGTACTAGAAAAGCCTAAATCATATTTGAAGGTATGAAGAAGTATGAAACTTTTAGGAAATTGCAAGTGTTCAGAAAATAAAGAAAATTGCCACCATCTTGTTTATAGGGAATGAAAGACTTGAAAAATGACACTTAACATCAGCCTGCAGAAGTACCAAGGGCCAATAGTAAATTGGACTTAGGGTTTAATTACATTAGTTGTGTAGCTTGAAATGTTTGAAGTTAACTCACCATCATTTACAATGATTTGTATGCCAAAGGAAATATGCATGAGCAGGGAAATATTTCCTGGATAGCTTTTTGCTTTCCATGTTAGGCCTTATGTCAGCTATCTAAAATGTAGAAGTGAGCAACACATTTATTGTTACTGAGAATGCATAGTAAAATAACATGAATTCTATCATTTTTACAGCTAAGATGCTGTATAGATTAAGCAGAAAAACACTGGCAGCCTCTGATTAAAAAATAATGATTTTATTATTCTTTTTGGAGTTAACATTTATTTTTAACTAATGTTTCACTGTATTAAAAAATTCCTTTCAGAACTAAATACTATAGTCAAATACATTATCTTTGACACTATATTTTAATTGGTTATTGAAAAAATAAAAGCTCTTTATCACCTTATATTTTAATGCAATCTTTCAAAATGATTAGGCAGAAGATATTTTTCCTTCTAGTTTCAAAAATATTTGTAGAATTTTTCTTAAAATACTGTAGGGAATGTCTATCATTTCTGAATAGATGTGGTTCTATCTCAAGGTTAAATATAACTCAATTGTTGAAAAAAAATTATAAACATGGAACAAATGTGTCTCTAGAATCAGGATTCATAGCATGTGGTCTTCTTTACTTGTAGGCTGAAGAAAAAGTCCCAGTCGGTGGATATTAATGCTCCAGGGTTCAACCCTTTGGCTGGTGCAGGAAAGCAAACACCACAAGCCAGTAAGCCCCCGGCACCCAAGACCCCCATCATTGAAGAAGAGCAGAACAATGCAGCAAATACTCAGAAACATCCTTCCAGAAGGAGCGAACTGAAGAGGTTCTACACAATTGGTGAGCACCAGATGTTTTATGCAAGTGAATAGATGAAATCTACCTAAATGGCATTGAGAATTTCTGGGTCTGTTTAGTTAAGTGGCTCCTTGTTATAAAACATGTAAATCTTTCTGATGGTTTATTTGGACATTTTCTTATGTGGTCTGAACATAAAGATGGAAAACTACTGAAAAACTTTCAGCAAAGTTAAATAAAAGCAGGCTTGAGGACCTTCTATATCCTAACCTAGGGGAAGTAAATATACATATACGTACATATACGTACACATATACTATCTCTCTCTCTCTTAGGTTTTTCAATTTTTAACTTTGTGTGCTATTTTCATTTTAGCCATTGTTCAGCCAGCACCTTTCTTGTTTTTTGTTTTTGTTATTTTCATTTTCCCTTCAGGCTCCCAGGTCTCTGAACCTGTTCCGTCAGGTTGTTAAGACTGTGGTTGACGTTAGCCTGTAACTAACAAAGCCAGTAAGAAAGTAACGTTATTACATTCTGAGAGAGGACAGATTACATTGTGGGTCTATTTTGACCTTGCACCTTGCTTTACTTTGGAAAAATTGAATGACATCCAGGCCCTTCATAGGGAAGAGTAATAGGATATGGCTTGGGTTGTGCAGGCATTACATTATTTCCCCCAGATATAATGATATCCTGTAATTTTTGTATTTTAACATTTAATCAGACAGTTGTAGGCAATCAGTCCAAACCAATCAAATTACCAACTTTAGTGTACCATATTAGCCCAGCATGTCTTTGGCCTTGCTTTTTAATGAACAATAGCAGCTTTTAGTGTCTTCAGTCTATCTGAGACAAAAGTTACTAAACATCTAGTATATGGGAAAGAATGGTGTGTAGGGGAGACAAATCCACCCAAAAAGAGTGTGGCTGCTTTGGCCTTGCTTGTTACTTCAATTTGGAGAGATTTGGTCACATCCAAAAGCTGTAATAGTAGAGACTGTGGCTTAATGGGTTAACCAGTGTTACATCAAAGAGGGCCTGTTTTCTTTAAAATTTACCATCCTCACCACTCCAGTATGAGACTGTTTGCTTTAAGATGATTGAAATCTTTTTCTTTGATTTTTTAGTAGCCATTCCTAGAAATGATCATCAGGAGACCAGATTTCTAGTTCTATTGAAATCTTTTTCTTTGATTTTTTAGTAGCCATTCCTAGAAATGATCATCAGGAGACCAGATTTCTAGTTCTAATTCCTACAACAATTTCCTGTGTGACTCTGTCAAGTCATTTTCCAATGTCTTTGGGTTAAATTCCTTCCTTCAAGCTGAAGAAATGCCTCCATGTAGGTTTAGCCTTATTTCAGAATTTGGCTGCTAAAACCATGCTTTCTCTTTCCACCATTTTATGTCCTCTTCTTATATATTCATTCTCAGGCTTCCTTTTTCCAGATGGTCAAGTCTTATTTTCTAAAAGGCAACAAGTATGGTGTCAATGAGACTGTCCATAGTCAGGTAATGAGAATTAATAAAAGTGTAGACAGGCACATATTTCCATTTTTAAAACCTATGCTAGCACAGTTCCTCAAATCAATTGACTAGAAAATCTCACAAAGTCTACATAACTCTCTCCAATTACCACTATCCTTCTCTCCTCTGCAACATGTCTGTCGCCTTCTATTGCTTTTCTAATTAGCGAAAAAGACACAATTAGTATTTTTTCCTTCAGCAAATAAAGCTTATCCTACAAACTCAATGTTCCTTAAAAATTAGAAAAAAAGGGAGAGATACTGACCAACTTGGCCACCATGACTAATGGGCTAAGCCTAGAAAATAGAAGTCTCAAAAGGGGTGGATTGCAAAAAGATGAACGATGAGTTATTTTAAATAATACCACCACTCATGAATTCTTCACTATTGAATTGGTAACAATTTGATTCATAATCAATGGGAGTGGCATGTCTATTGTGTTAAAAGAGACATCTGAACTGTTAAATATACTCTATCTATATAACCCTTTTAGTAATTTGGACCTGGAAACATTATTTTCAAGGCTAACATATTAGCAACCGTATAATCACCGGTATTGAAAGTTCCCTTTACAAAACAAATGTACTTCTATGTCTCTTAGTAAAAGTATTAGTAATAAACAATAAAAATTTTCATTTATTGATAATTTCATATGCCAGGGGCAATTTAAGCTCCTGGGTTTTATCCTCAATTCACCCTCACAACAGCTTGGACAGGTAAGTGTTACACCCTATTTTTATAGATGAGGATAGAGCCATAGATCATTTAAAGATGGGGTCATGAGCTGTAGAGAGCAGGCTCTGCAAATTAAATCTATGTTCTCTTGTGACCCGTCAGAATCAGGCTTTCTCTGACTCTCAAAGGTTGCCATCCCTGCGCTATAATAAGCTGGAGGAGTGTTGTTGTTTGAGACGGAGTCTTGCTCTGTTGCCCAGGCTGGAGTTCAGTGGTGCGATCTCGGCTCACTGCAACCTCCACCTCCAGGGTTCAAGCGATTCTCCTGCCTCAGCCTCCCGAGTAGCTGGGACTACAGGCACATGCCACTATGCCCTGCTAATTTTTTGTATTTTTGGTAGAAACGGGGTTTCACTGCGTTAGCCAGGATGGTCTCGATCTCCTGACCTCAAGATCTGCCCACCTCAGCCTCCCAAAGTGCTGGGGTTACAGGCATGAGCCACTACTCCCGGCCAGCTGGAAGAGATTTTATGGATAATATAGTGGAGTGATATTTTTACCACAAGTCCCAGAGAATCTCAGTGAAGGAAGCCTTGCCAACGAACGAACCCGTCTACAAGCCAATATGCTCATTCATTGAAAGATATTTTTCAATATCTCAGTTTAGAGTTTATACTCCTGGAAAACTCTAGGAGCCCTCTTGTGGCCAAGTAAGTGCATTTAAATTTAGCAATGAAGTTTCATACTATAGTTACTATATACATTCAAGCAATAATTTTAGGGCTTAAAGGATTTTCAAATAAAAAATAATAACTAGAAAAATGTTACAGCCATTGAAGTGTCTTTTAGTGGCTGCAGTGGCTTTTCTAGAATTATTTTCCTAGAAGTACAGTTATTCTTTAGTATTCAGGGAGTAGAGGGGATTGGTTCCAGAACCCTCACAGATACCAAAAATCTGCAAAGCCCAAGTTCCTGATATAAAATGGCATAATATATGCATATAACCTATGCACATGCTCCTGTATACTGGAAATCATCTCTAGGTTACTTATAATATCTAATACAATGTAAAAGTTATAGAAATAGTTGTTATACTGTATTTTTAGTCAGTATTGTTTTATATTGTTGCATTGTTACTGTTTATTGTTTTTACTCTGGAATATTTTCAATCAGTGGTTAGTTGAGTCCATAGATGCAGAGCCTACAGATATGGAGGGATGGCTGTATAATAAAATTCCATTGATTTAGAATAAGTAGGGGAAAGCTAGTCACTATTGATGTGAAATAAATGAATCTTCAGATAAAAGGAAAGTAATCACCATGTCAGGCTGTGGTTCAGGAAAGAGCATTTTCTGCCCTGCTTCCATCACTAACTGTGTAATCTGGCACAAGTTATTTACCATCATTTTACCTTAATACTTACATGTGTACAATGAAAGAGAGAAACCAAATCTTGTCTTTCAGAGTTGTTTTTCTTCTTACTCTCTTTTTATGATCACAACTGACCATAGAAAGTACTGTATAAGTTTTCTATTGCTGTGAAACAAAATACCACAACGTTAGCAGTTTAAAATAACACCGATTTATGAACTCACTGCTCTGTAGTTCAGTCCACACGGTATGACTGGATTCTCTGCTCAGGGTGTCTCAAGGCTAAAGACAGGGGGCTAGCTGGGCTGTGTTTTCATCTGGAGTTTCAACCAGGGGAAAAATTGCTTCTAAGCTCATTCTTATTGTTGGCAGAATTCAGTCCCTTGCAATTGTAGGGCTGAGCTACCCGTTCCTTGCTTGCTGTCAACCAGGGACCACTCTCAGCTCCTAGGGGCCACTTGCTTTTCTTGTCATGTGGTCCCCTCCACCTTCAAGTAAAGAACTTCACATCAAATCTATTTCATTTGGATCCTCTGCCTCAACCAACCAAGAATACTCTCTGCTCTTAAAGAATTCATGTTATTGAGTCAGGATCACCCAGGTAATTTTTCTGTCTTAAGGTCCACACAACCTAATCACAGGAATAAAGTCCATCATAAATTCCAGACCCTGGAGTTATGCAGGTATGTACACCAGAGGGGTGGGAGATCTTGGTGACCATTTTAGAATTCTGCCTATCACATTTTACAGCACCACCTGATATATACACATGCAAATACCAATATATCTCAGATGAAATTTCTTAAAAGCACTTCCATTACTATTTTGACTACTTATAGAATGGAATATTCTATAGAATATGAAATAGAATACAATATTCTATTTCATTTTTTTAAAATACAGTCTCAACTCACTAAGTTTATTTCATAGTCCATTAATGGGCTATGACCTGAAGTTTGAAAAATCACTGGACTTGATATTTGAAATCCTTCAGATACTTAAACTTCTATTATTCTTTGAAAAATAGAATGGTTAATTAGAGCTAGAATAAAAAACATTAACTTAGTGGAGTAGCACTAATAGGTAAATAGAAGAAAATGGAGTGGAAATTTTTTTTTTTTTTTGAGACGGAGTCTCGCTCTGTTGCCCAGGCTGGAGTGCAGTGGCACGATCTCGGCTCACTGCAAGCTCTACCTCCTGGGTTCATGCCATTCTCCTGCCTCAGCCTCCCGAGTAGCTGGGACTACAGGCGCCCACCACCATGCCTGGCTAAGTTTTTGTATTTTTTTAGTAGAGACGGGGTTTCACCAGGTTAGCCAGGATGATCTCGATCTCCTGACCTCGTGATCCATCTGCCTCGACCTCCCAAAGTGCTGGGATTACAGGCATGAACCACCATCCCTGGCCTGGAGTGGAATTTTTTACCACTCCAATTATTGTTTGTGTTACATAAAACCATTTGAATTTGACAGTGAGCATAAGAAACATATCCTTCAAAACCACAGCCCCTACTTAAAGATAGATAATGAAGCCAAATAGTAGACTCAGATATTTGTGATAATCAGCTTATTTCACTACCCTTCATTCAAAGAACTACATATAAGGACTTCTGAAAAATATTGTAAATTAAGCATGGAGGTAGTAAAGAAAACTGTGCACACAGGAACCAAGCATGTACGATTGCTCCCTAAGGTATACCTGTACAGTTCTATGTGATATTGATTCCTCACTTCAGGGAACTGGAGCTGGAATTCATATATCACGGTCCAGCTTCTGCAACTATTAGTAAAAGCTCCTGATGTTTTTCTATATGGAGGACTTTTGCTGGACAGTTAGGAAATAGGACCACTCTTGAATGAATATCCACACGATCAGAATCACTCAGTGACACACCAAACAGTGATTAGTCCCTGATCAATCCCTGCTGTGTGAAGGCCTCATAGAAGATGCTGCTCAGAATAGAATGAAAAATGAAACAGAGAGAGCCCTGCTTTCAAGGCAGCCATCGTATGCGTTGGGAAAGAGCGTGCCTGGTTGAAATGAGCACACCGGTAAGCAAAATAGACAACAGAGAATGTCCTAAATGCCATAGAGATGGGAGAGAGGGTGGTGTGTAATGAATGAGGGAGGGGGCAGCAGGAGCCAAGGGATATTCAGAGTACCCTGGAATCCACAAAATGGAGAAATCTCAGATTGTATAGATGCTCAGAGGGCCTTTATGGGCTCCATAGAGCAAGACACCCTCACCATCCTCCTCTGTTTTTGCTTATGAGCTCCCCTGGCATCTGCACTTCTCTGTGCCTCCTGTTTTCTTGTGTTGGCATGTCTGTCTCCATACTGGTTCTCAGTTCTTAGGAGGAGGGAATGGTGCCTGCAATCTTATTAATCCCAGCACTTAGTGCAGTGTGAGGCACACAGTTAAGTGCCAAATAACTATGGAGGGCAGAGAGGATAGTTAGAAAGGGTTATGAATCTTGTCCTTTGAAGTGGAAGAGGAGAGGAGGGAGTCTGCTCAGAATTCAGTTGGAGGACGAGCTTAACATTTACTGTGTGCCAGGATCTTTAAGCAATTTATTCACATTATCTCACTATCCAAAGCTCAGTGACACAGGGTAATGGCCTCACTTTCATGAAAATCAGAAGTCCAGAGAGGTTAGGAGATTTGTCTAAGGTCACAGCTTCCCCAAATAGCCTAGATAGGATCCAGACCCAGTTTAATGTAATTGCAGAGCAAAGGCTCTTAAACACCACAACGTGCTATCTGTTTACCCCTCACCATAAGTATACAGCTAAAAGATTCTTCTGTCTGTAGTCCATTAGAGAAGGATTGGAATACCTGGTGTAGCAAACAATAAGTAAGATAATTACAACCTTTATGTTTATTTTTTAAAAGTCCTCTTTTATTACTTATGCCACCTAAATGCTCTCTGCAACTTCGTAGAAAAGCCAGAAAAGCTTTCAGTTTAGCCTTTCCTCGGCAGGGCTCCTGAATAGGTCCAAAAGGGGGGCTCCTCGGCTAACAGGTGTTTGAATAATACCTCTGGAACTTTCCTTCAGTTGAAATCTCTCCCTCTCAGTTTCTCACCTTGTCAAGGGAATTGACAGTCTATTTGTCCCTTTTAATCTTGTTTGTCTTCAGGATCAACCTCTCCCTTTTATCCTATCTAAACTAATCTCACTGTAACACCTTCTTGTAAGACACAGTCTACGATTAATCATCCAATGTTCTTTACACAGCCATTTATAGTCATTTAGTTTCAGATAAATGAATTAAATAAATATGTATTGAATGCCTACTATGTTCCAGGCTGTGTTCAAAGTCCTGTGAATAAAAGATTAAACTAAGGCCAGCCCTCAGGTGCTTATATTCTAGTTGGGAAGGCAGGCAATAAATATACAATCAGGTATTTAACACACTGTCAAGTAATGATAAGTTTTTAAAGAAGAATAAAATAGATTAAGTGAGAGAGGTGATATGTTATTCACGTAAAATATGTTTAAATCTTATACAATTTTTATGGACATTCTAGATGATGAATTGTCTCAGCTCTAACTGGGAACTCAATTGGCTGGATTCGATTACAGGACATTAGACGCATTAATAATAGATTTTTCAGAGTTGTTTTTCACCTTCCTTGGAATCAGATTAGCTTATGAAAAGACTAATGGAATTGATATTTGCAGCATGAAGGAGAAAATGATTGAGGGGAAATTTAATGACCCTCATGCTTCCCCACATTGTTTTCAAGAGGAGGTATCCAGATGTCCATTTCTACCAACAATGAATAAGGAGTGTGGATTAAGCTATAATTTAGAGTATTGAAATTAAATATCAGGGAAAATGTAACAAGTATTAGTATATACAGGGAAGTTGGTTTTTTGTTTGTTTTTTGAGACGGAGTCTCGCTCTGTCGCCCAGGCTGGAGTGCAGTGGCGCAATCTCGGCTCGCTGCAAGCTCCGCCTCCCGGGTTCACGCCATTCTCCTGCCTCAGCCTCCCGAGTAGCTGGGACTACAGGCGTCCGCCACCACGCCCGGCTAATTTTTTTGTATTTTTAGTAGAGACAGGTTTTCACTGTGTTAGCCAGGATGGTCTCTATCTCCTGACTTCGTGATGCGCCCCCCTCTGCCTCCCAAAGTCCTGGGATTATAGGCGTGAGCCACCGCGCCATGTATAGCTATTGTCTCTTCAGAGTGGTTTAGGTGTCAGCTTGCCAGAGGGAAGGAGAAAATTAGCTCTCAAAGATCCTAATTTTTTTGATCAAGGCCATGAAAGCTGTGTAGTCATTCAGTGGGTGTTTATTGAGCTCCTTCTTTTGCTCAGGAAGGCAGGTGAATCAATGGTGAGGAACTTGGCCTTGAGAATCTAAAGTCCAAGTTGGACCTTTATATTCCTCCTGCTAGTTATGAGACCATAAACAAAGTAGTTAGAATCTCAAATCCCAGTATGCCTCTTTATAAAAGGAAATAAAACTGTTGCTTACTGAAAGGGCTGTGGTGAGGTGTAAGTGAGGTAATGTATTTAAAGTACTTATATTAGTGCCTAGGACTTGCAAGTTCTCAGTAAATATTAGTGAGCTTGTTGTTGTTGTGAATTAAGGATAGAGTATGAATGAAGCACCATGGTACCTGCTCTCATGGAGCTTATATGAAACAAGCCTCTTGTCTTGACCTTTGTGGATCTGATCAAGTCATCCCCTGTTTAAAACCCGGCAGTGGTTCCCCACTTCCACAAAATAAGGTTGTTACTCTATAGATCTTTCATACTGCGCTTACCTTTCATCAGCTTCATTGCAGACCTCAGCCCTACACTCCAGCCAAGCTAAAAACTCTTTGTGGTTTCTCGAAGTTGTAATTCTGTATGATGTATCTTGGGCTTTTCCTCCTGCCTAGAATAGTGATACCTCCGCCTCTTTTAGCCTTCTGATTAACTATTCATTTGCCAGGATTCAATCCAAACGTCCTTTACACCTGGCCACAACTTCTCTAAATCTGATTAATATGAATACATTTCAAGCATTTTAATATACAGATTGTCAGTCTTTTAGGTGACTAACATATTGAATTTACTAAATTTAATAAATGCTTATAACATTTTTATAGAGTGAGTGGAATTAAGTCTCTGGAAGTTAAATGACTTATTCATGGTCCTACTGTAAATAGTTTCAAAGCCAAGGGAACAATCTAAGTAAAATGGCCAGTGGTAAAGAGCTCATCCTCTACATTGATTTTCAGATCAAATTCTCTTTTCAAAAACAAAAATGAAATTAGATCATTGATGGAGATCTCATTGAGTGGTTCCCCAAGTGCTAGTCTATACCATTGATGGTGAAAACGATGCAATAATAAAAGAACAGTAGTTTTTCATAAGACGATACTTAGTTGAAGTGACTGTCCTTTCCATTTTTTCTTTCTTTTTTCCTCTTTTGTCCCCTCCCTCTTTCCTTTCTTTCTCCCTTCTGCTCTTTCTTCCACCCTGTTTCCTCTCTTTTTCCTTCTTTCCTTCCCTCCTTGTGTTAAAATGAATGGTCTTTTGTGAAATGACTGCTTAGTTATGGTATCAGTTTAGGATATTTGTTTAAGTCTGTTCTTTTAAAATTATTTTACTTGTCAAAATATTAAGTTGGGAAATGGTCCCTAAAATATTCTCTTAAAATTGTGATGGTCTGTGAAATTGCAAATTCTAAAATCCAATGCAATGATCCTGTCTTTTGCCCTGCTTGCAGGATAGAATACCTTCAACATTCCAAACTTAACGATGCACAGTTAAATACAAATTTGTATCTTACTAACCCCAGGCTGCTTACATATTGAAAAGAGAGCCTATGGAATTAGGGGTTCCCTGGGAATTCTTCTCAGTAGTAGGCAAAATTAAAACAGTAATAACTAGTTTGGAAGCTCTGAAGAGAAAAGCAAGACACATATTTAACTGCTTTTTAATTGCAGTACACCAGACACTTTAAAATATCATCACATAACTTGTACGCCTCTCATTTAATAAAAAAGATAACCCTAAAGTAACAATACTATAACAGGAGGTTAAAAAATAAAAGGAAAAAACTAATCTTGCTAGAGGTGGCACATTCTGCAGTGTGAAACTAGGTCACCACTGACCTGGAACGTTCTCTCCAAGTTAGAAGATTCTTCATGGAAAAGCAGGAAGTCTCTGTGATTTAATCAACAGAACTATCTTGGCATGCAGGTCACTGTCTATAAGCACAGAAACTAAAACACATAGCTGCTCTGAGGATTCCAATTAAATTAAATTCTTGAGAACTATGACTTTGTTTGAATTGAAATTTGTTTTGACAGTTTGATGGCTTTTTACATTTTCTGGATCACAAAAATTTTTAGGGAAAATTATTTCATTTGCTGAGGTTTCTTGTTACACATGGAAGCTAAAAGTCCCTAAGTGGACCTGGGCATTTCACAGCTTTTGAAGAGTGGTTCAAAGTTTGTGTAAGTAGCCAATATGGAATTTTTTTTTATCAAGATAGTGGAATTTGAGGATATCAAGATTTCAAGTTTAGTTTTTTGGTTCATTTGTGGATTAATAAGACCATGGGATTCAATATATGTTTCTGACAGTCTACATCTCCATGTGCATGTTTGTTGGGGGCGATATTTGATTGGGATTTTATTTTACAACATTTTTCATTTATTTCATTTAATATCTACTTTAAAACATGAGATTAAGGAAATCCCACAAGCTGAAACTACTTTCAACTCTAAAATTAATATGAAAGCTTTATTTCTTTCAAGATAAATTAGATTTTTTTTAACCAATCATTTATGTAATTTTAACTAAAATTTACCAAGGAACCGGAGGTATTCTCAGAATGAGAAAAAATATGTTTGCTTGATATTCCTATAAATTTGTAGTGCCTATAATTTGTTAAATAAGCTTGCCAACTCTAGTTTTATAGCATTAGTACCTTATTTTATAGATTTGCTTTATTCTTTTTTGCCCTGATTCTGTGATTGTTCTCTGTCAGAAGTAATCAACCCAGAATCAAGAAACACAGCTTAATCATGGCCATGATAAACAGATTAAGAAATGTCAGTAACCCTGAGGTCTCCTTGAGCAAATGGTTTTGGTATTATGTCTGAGCTACAGCCTAATAGTCTTATAACTTATTCAAAAACAAATTATATCTGTCAATTTATTTAATGATTTCTAAACTGCCCAATTAAACCTATACTGGTTTAATTTATGGAATAATTAAAATGGACATTGTTCATGGTTGAGAAATAAGCATGATCCTGTTTGAAATTTCCTAAATCACTATTAAAATTAGTCTTTCACTGCTGTTAGCAAACAAAACTTGCCCTTTTAACCTGCTAACACGTCTATGAACATCCCATTTCACTGAATAATGGTGAGGGGAAGAAAATGACAAATTATTAAGCAAGACCTACTCTATTTTAAACATTTATAGATAGAACTAATGGCGATTTGAACAGTGAAGTAATATGTCTACATTTCCCAATGTTTTCATTTTTTTAGGAGTATGAATTTAAAGAGCTTCTAGGATCTTGCTCACATTCAGAAATGAAACTATTGGTATCTCCTGATTTTTTTTAATTTGCTTTTCTTCCCACGTTGTACCTAAGGATATATATTTTCTTATTTGTTTTTTCTTCTTTTATGAGATGAAGTCTCAGTGTCATCCAGGTTGGAGAGCAGTGGTACGATCATAGCTCACTACAGCCTTGAATTCCTGGGCGCAAGTCAGCCTTCTGCCTCCAGGGTAGCTGGGATTACAGGTGTGCATAACCGTACCGAGTCAAGATATTTCTTTACATGTAAAAATACTACAGGATTTATGCTGGTCAATGAAATTTTGACCATGTTAACAGTTATGACTGAAAGAATATTACTTATGAGAATGGAAAAATAGGTAAAAACCAGACACAACTGGGGGGAGAATCTTCTATTGCTGTTTCTACCAAAGTTTTGAAACTACTTTTACTATAGTTAAAAACTGTGAATTCAACTGAAGATTATAAATGTTACAGTGACCATTCATGATACATTCCCTATATATTATGTGTACATCTACATAGAAGCAAGCTATTAGTAAACAGCTTTAAAATTCACTAACTGAAATTTTGTGATCATCTGAACAAACTGAGATAAAAAGTCTTTGTGTTAGTACAATATGAAAAAAAAATCTATGTGGGTTTATAACTGAAACATGATTTCAGGACACAGAAGATATTAGGTTCAGCAATTTAGCTTAGAAAACTGCTTTTTGGTAGGGAAAAATATGTACTAAGAGAAATTAATAAGTTGGTTTTAAAGTAAGGTTATTTGTTAGTTTATTTTATGTTACCATATATGTTTGAAAATAATAAAGTGAAATTCCTCCAAAATATTACATGAAAAAGTTTAGTTAATTTAGATTGGTATCTTTTGAGGGAGAAAGCCCATAATGTGTCCTTAATTATGACCAACAAATCTTAGCATTCTGTTTGATCATTAATTTGATAAGCCTCTTTCATAAATCTGAACCTTCTGTCTTACAGAAAAAGACTAATATGCTTTGTAGAAAAAACTAATATGCGTTGGATTTAAATGAACTCTTTTAACTAATGTAACATAAACTCTTAATGAATGAATTATTATATTTATAAACCCTCTTAGTATGAGAAACACTATGGATTAGGCATATAGAGGCAGCTCAACCCAGTATACAAATCAGTAAGACTTTTAACAGTATTTGCCTCCCTGCTGCATTTCAATGTTCTCTATTTGCTAGGATTTGTACTCAAAGATTCTTGGAGGTTATTGTGTTGCTTAAATTTTCATACATGTTGATAGAAAGGGCATTGATATCCTCTCTTAGTTTTCTGAGCTAGAGGGGGCAAAAATTATCTTTGATAACATATTGTAGATAAAATATCATAGGTGCCCACAGAGAGTTGAACCTTGTGACTCTGATTTATTGAGTGTCTTACAGGCCAATTCAATAGAATTTCTTTTCCAGTTAGATAGATTCCGTTTTGAAGTCTTTTTCAAGTACTATTTCAAGGGAGGCAAGATGTGGCAAAATCAGCACAATAATATTTACTCTAAGTAAAGAAAAAAGGTACGTGGTGTGCTGTTTGGGGTACAAAGTTTTTACTTCCTGCTTTAAATAATTCTCTCAAGTTGCAGATCTTTTGTGATATGAAAAACACTCGTGTAAATAAACGTATAGTGAGTGGGATGGAATGGGGATAGCCAAAAAGATGCACTTAAGGAAAAGGGGAATATAAATAATAACTCTGTCTCTCCATGCTTTCTTCTTTCTTTTTCACCTCCACCCCTATATAAGCCTGGGTAAACCTCAATTCAGTGGACAATTTTAAGAATGCTTACTCATTCATTTAAAAATATGATTGAATGCCTACATTATCAACTACCAATAGTTGGAAACAAGGCTTGAGAGAGAGGAGAGGGAGTCTTGTGTGCTACACCATGGAATTTGGGCTTACTCTTGGCGTCTTAGGAACTTGTGAAGGGCTTTGCCTAAGGCAGTGTCTTGATGAGATTGCTTTATAGAGAGATATTTCTAGCATCACATGGAGAATGGTTGGGAATTTATGTGCCTACAAAGAGAAGAATCTTTTAGCCATATAGTGTAAGAGCTAAAAAGATAGCATATTATGTTATTTAAGAGCCTTGGCTCTGGAATTACATACAATTGGATTTGGATCCTACCTCTGCTATTCTGGGCAGCTCTGTAACCTTGGACAAGTCACTTAATCTCTCTGGACTTCTGATTTTCATGAAATTAAGGATATTACCTGGTATTACTCAGATTTGTAATATAAGATAATGTATATAAATTGCTTAAATGATCCTGGCACACAGTAAGCACACAATAAATGTTAATTAAAAAGCAAATTATCAGAAGAAAAATAAAGAGGAGTAACAAGAACCAAAACTAAGAGGCAGCAGGACAAGCAAAAGATTCCAGACAGATGCAGTATATAAATCTAGATGAATTCATGACCAGCTAGAAATAAGTAAGAGGAAGATTTTCCAGTCAATGCTGTGATTTCAGGCTTTAAATACTTGAAGCCATAGAAGCTAACCTTTTCATTTAAAAAGATATATCCTCTTTCATGAACAAAATAAATATCTCTATGGGCCAGAAAAAGGATAAAATGCATAACAATAAATGAGTGTTGAAGCTATATGCCTTTTGAATTAATATACATTGAATTTAAAATAACCTTATCATAAATATCAGAAACATCATGCATTGAGCATATGGAGGACAGCCTGTTAGGCACAGTGTTGATACATTGCTATTAATTAAATCCATTCTTCATTCATATTTCCTTACTTTTTACCTGACATCGTTTTTCTTTTCCAGGATCCTATCCAGGGTACTACATTATATTTAGTTGTCACATCTGGGGTTTTTCTCAGCTGTGACAGTTTATGGTGTCCTTTTCCTAGTTACAATGCTAGAGTTGAGCTCTTGGCTGCCCCTGACTATTTCTGGACCAGAGCCCTAAAGGGATAGGAAGAGCCAAATAGGAAAGGACGTTGAGAACCAATGATCAGAGACATAGAAGGCAATCTTTGTTGTTTCTTCCTGCTCTATAATCCAATAAATTTGTTAATTCTTAGCCTCTGCTAGTAATTAGGAAAACAAATGAAACTATGTCATTCATATGATGAAAAGTACAAAAGAAGACGATTAGGATGGGACCTTGACATCCTGGAATTAGAGAATAAAGGTGTTTATGAAAGCTATGTTGGGAATGGTAGCAGGAGAAGACTCTTTATTCAAAGAGAGAGAGGAAGCAGCACATTGGTTTGGTATCTATTAGTTTTTGCACTTAGTGTAAATCACACTTAGGATTCATTCTGTTTAAACACCCTATGTATTGCAGAGTCATACCACATCACACGGCCTGAGACCTTTCTCCTATATTATTTTGGGACTTATAGAAGTCTTAAAGGCAAGGCAGCAGAGAATAAATGGCTCAGGACTTGAAGGCAGTTTTATGATATGCTACCTGAACAGGGCAGCAGTTGAGTTTACTTTTTTTTTTTTTTTTTTGGAGATGGATTTTCTCTCTTGTTGCCCAGGCTGGAGTACAATGGCACAATCTTGGCTCACCACAAACCTCTGCCCTCTGGGTTCAAGCAATTCTCCTGCCTCAGCCTCCTGAGTAGCTAAAATTACATGTGCCACCACGCCTGACTAATTTTGAATTTTTTTAGTAGAGACAGGGCTTTTCCATATTGATCAGTCTGGTCTTGAACTCCCAACGTCAGGTGATCCACCTGCCTCAGCCTCCCAAAGTGATAGGATTACAGGCGTGAACCACCACGCGCAGCCAGGTTTACCTTTTATCAGAGGGACTCAGAGAGGAAAGCTTTAAAGCCTGAAATCTATTCCAAAGAATTGCATTCCAAATTTTAATGTGCACGGGGGATCTTACAAAAATACAGATGCTGACTCAACAGATCTGGGGCGGGGCCTACAATTTTTTCTGCATTTGTAACGAGATTCAAGATGATGCTGATGCTGATGCTGCCAATCCTGGGTAGCAAGACTAATTTAAAGAGCCTGAAGGCTTTCATCATCGAACAGCACACATAAAATACTTTTCACTATTTGATCCCAAGTTATCATCCTGAATCAAGAATCTATTTATCTTAACACGTGTGTTCCTTTCCCAGAACAAACTACCCAGTTCCCAGTCCTTAACACCTGTAAGAAACCTTTAGAGTAAGAAAAAGAATATGGATATTATTACAGAGACATCCCTGTAGTTTTTATACTATAAAAGAAATGACCACAAAGTAGTAATGGATAAAATTGTTTTACTAAAATTAGAGCATTTGAGACACATTAGCAGTTAGCTGTGACAGTATAGTGTAGTGTAGAGCAGTGAAAATAACACAGGTTCAGATGTACAGACACAAAAACATTAGAATTAGCAATTCACTGGCTATTTTAGCTCTATCAGTCATTGGCTGTGTTGGTCAAGTTTGTTGGTCAGTTTTTCAACTGTTAAATGGGAATAAAAGCACTTTCTTCATAGGATTTGTGTGATTATTAAATAAGATAGTGCATGTAAATCTCTTAGTACTGAATCTGACTAGTAAGTACTTAACAAATACTTGCAATTTCATTAAAGAAGCAGAAAGAAAATGGAAAGAGGTTAATAGGGGGAAGTAATAGCTAATCAATAGTAAGTGGTTTTAGCTTGGGAAAATACATTATTGATAAGTTTTTAATACCTATATTCATTTATCCTGAAAGCTAGCACGAGGTTTTTTTTGTTTTGTTTTGTTTTTTTTGAGACGGAGTCTCGCTCTGTCGCCCAGGCTGGAGTGCAGTGGCGCCTTCTCAGCTCACTGCAAGCTCCGCCTCCCGGGTTCACACCATTCTCCTGCCTCAGCCCCCCAAGTAGCTGAGACTACAGGCACCCGCCACCACACCCGGCTAATTTTTTTGTATTTTTAGTAGAGACGGGGTTTCACTGTTTTTGCCAGGATGGTCTCGATCTCCTGACCTCGTAGCACGAGGTTCTTGGACGAGAACTATGATCTGCAGAAATAACAGCAGGCTGGCTCCCCCTTCCCCAGTCTCCAAGGCGATGCAATGAAGGTAGATGTCAGCTGTACCTACAGGGCTTTCTACTGCAAAACCGCTGAAATTATGAATCTGGACATCTGTAGAGGAGCTGGACAGCTGCCCTACTCCCCCTCTGGAAAGAAGGAGAGAAACTTTTGTCCCTAATGTAAAAGAGTCTTCTCTGGGAAAGATCCCTAAGTTTTTACAGTCCTTTGGAATATAAGAAAAATAGCTCAGGGATTTAGCCTCCTTTGAAATGTAAACACAAAGCCCCAAGGAGATAAATCTCTGTTTCTCTCCTGAGCTATCTATTCTATCACCATTTCACCCAGTTGCCAATTTTCTTTGCTCAGAAAGCCTGACCCTGTAGCAACATGAAATTTACATCATTTCCTGATAATTATAACCCTATTATAAAGTTACATTAATGGAGAAAAAAATTATTAACTACCTCATATAATAGAAAAAAAGTAAAACCATCCCTAGCAAATCCTCCCCTACTCAACCTTCATTTCTGATAATTATAATAATAAGAAAAACCCAGGCTTTCTATAAATTTCCTTCAAATTTTTCATTATTAGTGTGTGTCATTCATTCCATACCTCCTAAATAATTCCTAATGTGTGAACTATTTTCCTTGTCATTGGATGAGTAGTTATAAAGATAGAAAACAAATTTTCAGGCTGGCTGCAGTGGCTCACGCCTGTAATCCCAACACTTTGGGAGGCCGAGGTGGGCGGATCACGAGGTCAGGAAATCGAGACCATCCTGGCTAACACGATGAAACCCCATCTCTACTAAAAATACAAAAAATTAGCCGGGCGTGGTGGCGGGCGCCTGTAGTCCCAGCTACTCGGGAGGCTGAGGCAGGAGAATGGCATGAACCTGGGAGACGGAGCTTGCAGTGAGCAGAGATCGCGCCACTGCACTCCAGCCAGGGCGACAGAGCAAGACTCTGTCTCAAAAAAAAAAGAAAGAAAGAAAGAAAGAAAGAAAGAAAACAAATTTTCAAAAATGTAGGAAGCAGTTCTCTAGTTTGACCACAAGGCAGATAACACCTGACCAAATGATGTGGCTGTGCTCTGTATGGTTCCCACCAATGTACAAACCAGAATGGCTTTGAGTAGCAAGGCTATGAATTTGCAGTCTCCCTAACATCAGCATCACCGAGAACACATGGTCATTGCCAAGCACAGAAATGACTGAAGACTAATACCCAAGCAATTGCTAAAGGATAGTTGCCAAAGGGAAATTGCTAAAGGACATGTGTCTCCATGAACATAGTCAGATGTAACTTGACTAAGCTAAGGGCTACTAGGAAATAGCATTTACATAGCAATCTCGCCAGCCATTTTATTTTTTAAATTTTTTTTTTAATTTTTGTGGGTACATTGTAGGTGTATATATTTATTGGGTTAGCCAGCCATTTTTAAATAGGTGGTGCTGGGTCACTCAAAGCAAATAATCTGCAAACATGATAGGGGAAAAAGCAGAGACAAAAGCCTAACAAATGCTTTAAGATTCTGAGACTGTCTCTGTTGCTCAGATTTGTCAGCCATTTGTTTTTTGATTGTATTTTTTCTAACCAAACTCACAAAGGACCCTGACACCAGTGGAAACATTCAATCCTCATGAGAATTCAAATCCACAACATTATCTGTTATCTGAAAAGCAGTTATCTTGGCCAGTTTGAATTGTTATGACAAATTACCCTAGAATGGGTGGTTTAAACAATGAATGTTGATTTTTCAGTTCTGGAGGCTGGAAAGTCCAAAAATAGATGCTGGCAGACCCAGTGTCTGGTGAGAACCCACATGCTGGTTTGCAGATGGCCATCTTCTCCTTGTATCCTCATGTCTTTATAGGGCATTAATTCCATTCATGAGGGCTTCACCCTCATAATATAACTACCTCCCAAAGGCCTCATTACTTAATATCATCACATTGGGGATTCAGCTTCAATATATGAATTTCAAAGGGACACAATATTCAATCCATAGCAGCAATGCATTAGATGATGCAAAAGCTAGTAAGACAAGGCCCCTTTCTTTAGGAGCTGACTGCTAGTACAGTGGAGCAAAGAGAGTGAGGGTGCAGTGATTCTAATAACACACAGGATGTAAATGTCCCAAGGCAAGTGCAAAATGCCGTAAGAGTTTAAAAACGGAGGAGCTCATATGTAATTTAGGAAGAATAAAGCATGGCTCCAGAACAAAGGAAAGTCTGAGGTGGGTCTTCACCTATGGAAAGGATTTCAGTAATAGTTAAGAATCCTAGGGTTGGGGGCTGGGGGAGGGATAGCACTGGGAGAAATACCTAATGCTAATGACAAGTTGATGGGTGCAGCAAACGAACATGGCACATGTATACCTATGTAAGAAACCTGCACATTGTGCATATGTACCCTAGAACTTAAAGTATTTTAAAAAGAAGAAGAAGAAGAATTCTAGAGGCCACTATTGACAGCCAGTCACAGATTTCTACAGTGAAGATAATGAAGGAGTTCCAAATGGAGACTTGACGTAGATAGGTTCAGGGTTCAGAGAGGGGGGAATATACTCTCCATCCCAAAAAAGAAGAATGGATCTTGAAGTAGAAACCTGAATAAAGAGAGGAAGGAGAGAGGAAAAAGAGGGGAGGGTGAAATTATGAGAATGCTGAGCCTTACACCACCTTCCCACCTCCTCTATCTGTGACTCCTGAAATTTTAGCAAAGTTTATACAAGTCATGAAATTCTGGCTGTGATTGGATTTTCTGTGGAAACTGATGACAGGATTAAGTTATTTGTCCTGGCTGAATTAGGCATAAATAGTGAGAAATGGTTACTCCTAGCCAAATGTGTGGTCCTGGACCTGGGTCACAAATATTCAGTCCATAGTGGCCATGTAGGTATTCTCCTGGGATTCTAAATCTCACATCTGGCAAATTATGTGATTTAATATCCTGTGATCCCAAAGACCCCTTTAGGCCTCAAATTCTTGAATTTTAATATTTTTAACTGAGATTCATTTTATTAGTGCTGTATTCAAATGAAATTATTACTTTTTAATTTTAATTTTTGGATACAAGTAAAAATGAAATTATCTTCAGCATTGATTTGATTTTTTAGCACAACGCCTCTCTAAATAAAGCTCAAAATAACATTTGTTTATGAAAACATGTTCGATTTCTTGTATCATCTCTTTTCTACTATTTTTTTTCCCCTCCCATTAAGTTTTGTTGTTCCAAATCTAGGCTTAACTCATTTTCCAAAATGTACCAATTTAAGGTTGGACTTGTTTATTGCTCATTCATAATTCTAACCATTCATCACATTTTGTTGTTTTGCAGTTTCATAAACTTCTTTATTTAGCACAACTCTATTGCTGGATTAAAATGAGCAACCTTTGTAATAATTAAATATCTGTATAGAAAGGGATCTTTTCTCAACATGTATGCTCTTTGTTTTGGTTTCATGCCCCCAGATAGTTCTGACAAACTCAACAATTGTGAATAGCATAAAAACAGGCTTTTTGCATGCAGTAAAACAAAGTTAAAGTTTGCTCAAAAATGCATGCAGAGTGAAATTCTTCAACGTGGGGAAAAGGAAAAAGTATGGAACTGCATATGCTGGATGCTATGCATTATTATCTCATTTAATAATCTTAAAAACCTTATGCCGTAGGTTTTTTACATCTTCATTTTACATGTAAATTTCAGTGATATTCTATGGCTTGCCCAAGGTTGCCTACCTGTAAAGGGGTAGAGTAAGGCTTTAAATCCACATTTGACTTCAAAGCCTGTCTTCCTTCCATTAAATTTTACTTTCTCTGGGTACATGTCATACTATCTTGTGGCCACTTATTTATCAGATGAGATAATGACTGTATCAACTCTGTATAAACCATAAAGTGCTACATAACTATCACTTATGTTGCTGTAGTTGATAAAAGTGAATAAGCCATTTAAACTTCCTAAGTAACAAAAATAAGTAATTGATAAGCCCAATTATGCACTTAGTCTTACTGCCGTAATTTTACTTCTCATGTGTATATCTAAACAGTATTTTGTAATCAATACATTACTGCCACTGAAGCATTGAACATGCCCGTTCCATATTGTCAAGGTTTGAAAATTCATTGTATGATTTAGTTGTGCTGGGGAATTGTGTGTGTCTGTGTTCTTCAGTAAAAACTAAATACGACTTCTATAATTTGCATATTTTACTCCTTAGTAAATTATGAACTGATAAAATTACAGTGGTTTTTTTGATGAAAATCAAAATTAAGCTCGGTAAACATATTGCTAAGGAAATGGTAAATTAGAAAAACCAAAAGAAAAGGTTAGGATCTGCAGTGGGATGTAGTATGAATTCTTTAAGAGTGAATCATGTCCAACAACTTTTCTTAGGAATATGAAAATGCCATAGAGAAGTATGTTGATTTTAGCAGATCCTTTTACAAACTTATGGCTGTCATTTAGAAAGAAAGAGAAATGCACATGAGATAATACTCCTAGTTTTGAAGAGTAATAATAAGGGGTCAGATGGGACAGTGGTCCCTAGCGCTGAGCCAAAGGGCCTGAGTTTCGGGCTGTGTCTCATCTAGAATTCATTCATATCTTTGACTCATAGAGAAAAGAATGAACACAATGCTGAGTGAGATCAACATATGACAAGATAAGTTCACTTTCAATGATAGCTGTAAATAGAAAAAATAATATTTATATAATTGATTCAAACTTTATAAAATTGACTCAAATGGAAAAGTTAATATTTAAGAAATTTAAATATTTATTTCTTTTCTGTCTTTGAAAAAGTCAAGTATACATATACAGATTTCAGAACACTTGGACTAGCAGCAATTTGGGTAAAAAAGATCCAGTGAGTTCATTTGGAAGCTTGTTCTTTGGGAGTGAACTGTCAATAAAGTGACATAGCAAGCCAAAAAAGGAAAATAAAGTTAAGGAATCAGGAGCACAGAGATACATGTTAACAGTGGAACACCCGAGGAGCAAAGATCAACCATTGTTTGTATGGGTTCCATAGGTAAATCTAAAGCCCGTGGGTAAAAGTTCCAGAAAGATCACTATTTAGCTTAATGTTAAAAAGGACTATATGAAAATAATAAATATATATAAGGGATTCTAGACAACTCTGTCCTAGAGTGAATCTATTTTATTCTTTTAAAATAACATTTTTCATTTTTGCACAAAACCATGCTTATATCTGCACCATTCCAGTTTTTAGAATACACAACGTTACAATCAACTTGTTTGCATTTTGATACACTTCTGTTTTCTTTTCCCTCTAGTACTTCTGCATTTCTGCCCTCAATTAGCATTATAAAAGAGGCTAAAAGCCATGGCTGTTGTATTAGTCTGTTTTCATGTTGCTAATAAAGACATACTGGAGACTGGGCAATTTACAAAGGAAAGAAGTTTAATGGAGAACTCAGAGTTCCACGTGGCTGGGGAAGCCTCACAATCATGGTGGAAGGCAAGGAGGAGCAAGTCACAGCTTACATGGATGGTGGCAGGCAAAAAGAGAGAGCTCGTGCAGGCAAACTCCTGTTTTGTGAAAACCATCAGATCTCGTGAGACTCATTCACTATCACGAGAACAGTGCAGGAAAAACCATCCCCCATAATTCAATCACCTCCCACCAAGTTCTTTCCATGACACAGTGGGAATTGTGGGAATTACAATTCAAGATGAGATTTGGGTGGGGACACAGAGCCAAACCATATCAGGTGCACAGCCAGATATATCCTGATTTAAATCCAGGCTTACCATGTACTATGTGATGTTGGAAAGGTCACTTAATTTCTCTGACCCTCATTTTCTACATCAGTAAAAAGATATTCTCTATATCACTATGTTGTTTCAGGACAGTGGACTATGTGCTTTTTAAATTAGGATATCCTTTAAAATATGTTAAATATTTAACAAATAATACCCACAAGTAACAGTTTATAAAAGTATGATAATTCATGTTTTAAAACATTTAGTAGTGTGTCAGACACATAGTAAGTGGTAAATAAATAAAAGTGAATAACTATTATGTTAATGTGAAACAAATTCGTATAATGTTGCTCCTTAAACAGTGTTTCAAATTTGTGAGGACCTGACACAAATCATTTATTTTCACTTCATGTGCCTCTACCAACAAGCATAAACTCATGCTATATGTTCTTCTTAGAAGCACTGTATTGTTTACATTAACCTCTACCAAGAGAAATACAATGGTGAAGAAATGAAAGAACGATTCATTTAAAACATTGGTGCTAGCATGTACTGCATGTTTCAAGTAGTATCATAAAACCATATCTACCCTGCAAATATTTCCTCTTTTAGTTTGATCCCAAACCAAACCTTTTATTCTTGCTTACCAGTACCTCGCCAAAACTGAGTTTAGTAAATTGGTGGCTGATACCTGAGAAGCAAGGAAGCAGTTCCCCAGGGTGTGATTAGCTATGGAAACAGTTGATTTCAGTGAGGGTTGGAGAAGCAGGGAGAGGATTTAACACTGAGTGGTTAAAAATAGTTCCCAAGGGGAATCTAGGGAGGAAGCAGAGATCTTCAAAAGTGCTAGAGAAGAAACACATAAAATGAAGTAGGGATAAGATACCAACATTTTACCCAGGCCCAGTGTTTACTGTATGTATTTGGTCCTGGCTACCTGTATCATTTTGTTTAATCTCAAGTATCTAACTTATGTGTTTTTCACTTTCATTTAGCAAATGGACAAAATTAAGGCTCAGACATGTTAAGGAGCTTGCCTTGAGAGCCCAGTTAGTAACCTAGAGTAAGGACTTGAGTCTAGCTTCTGTACAAAAGCTGTGCTCCATGTCACTGCCTTCAGTGGATAAAGTGACCCTTTCTTTTACAAAGAGGGCACAATTATTTCACAATTTTAATAGGTAGGCAGATTTTTTCCCAAGACCTTTAGAGATAATTTTTTAGATGTAGGCAAAGTGTTCAGCAGCTAAGTTTATACTTGGAGATTACTATGAATATCAAAATCCTAAAATGAATCAAGTTTACAAGAAAGCAAAACAAAGCAACAAGTAGCCTAAAACTAGTGTTTATTAAACTGGTGTTGCACTTGACTGGGGAAAACACTCCCCCCTACACCTAGATGGATTTTTGTTCATCTTCAAAGGGCAACTCTAGGAAAATTTGGAGGCAGAGCTTCCTAAACATGAAATTCTTATTAAGAACTTAAAAAGTTCTTAAGAAAAGATGTGTTTTACTTCCCAATCCATATTTCCACCAACGTTTGTTAAGAAAATTATATATATGCATATATCACATATATGCAATCATAAAATTATTCTGTCTTAGTAAATTTCCAGTACGGGTTAGGCACCTATTTTTTTTTCTTTTTTAATTTCCATTCCCTTCAGTAAAACTGTGGTAGCATTATTGCATAAAAATAGATTCAGTTTAAATGTTTCAAATATATCATGCTGTTAGCAATAACCACGAAGTAGTATCGCTGCAAGAAAGTAAATTTCTCATTATTTAGCTTGATGCCTAGGGTCATGAGAAGAAAAAAAATTAATATAATTATGTGTCAGTTCTGGCATCTCAGAAGAATCTTACTTTAATATTTTTAGCAAACTCTCACCATTCTCTGGTTTGTTCTGCTTTTCATAAATAGATAGTTTGTGTCAACGATTGCCCCCAAAGAGTTGAGGGTATGCTATATTATTTTTTGCCCTTAACTGATTTCAAATTTAGGTTGTAAGTCCATTAGCTTTTGACTTAAGACACAATTCTGAGCTCCTATTTTTATGAGTCCTATTTTATTTTCTGTGATAAAAGGGGCTGCACCTATTGTAGCTTGCTCTGAATTTGTATATTGGAGGAGTCTACAGAGCAGAATTGAGGAAGGAGAAAGAGACTTCCTAATGAGCACTGCACTCATCATTCACAGAATTCCATGAATGTTTTATTGATTAAGTACTGTGCTTTGAATTAATTTAACTAGTTTAATTTATGTGTGTTCATGTCATTGTTTTTTCATCCTTTTTTTAATTCCCCACCTGAGATGCAGTGTATTCATCTTTGTTTTTCTTCCATGTTTATTTCATTTTTGTGGGGGTTAGAGGTTAATGATTCTGAACACTGCATTCACATCAAACAAAAGATAAGACCAACAAAAAATCCTGTAGAAATTGTGTCATTCTTAACCACAACTGGTATGGTATCTTTAAAATTTTATGAAAAGCTACTGCCTTCCTTCCTTAGAGAGGAGAGTTGATTTCTTCAGATACAAGTAAGGTGAATATCCCCAGATGAATATTCATTGATGAGCTGATACTGTGTGTCAGCTAAGGTTTGCTTAGGAAAACTGAAACTGCTCTAGATATTTGACCAAGAAATAACTTCTTAATACAGGGAATTATATGCCTACAAAGCTATGGAAAGGGCTGAGGGTCAAGTTCAGAGGAATTATTGCTGATTTTTAGACAAACCCAGAAATGTCAATATGGCAGGAAGCTATAGCCAGGCTTTCAGCTGCCTGCAGTGCTAAAGTGAATAATTTGTTGAGACCTAACCAAGAAGCCTTTGAAAACCTCCCATTGCCATCCAGCCCTAAGTCTACCATGTCACAAATGGAGGAAAGGAATGACTTCTCCATATCATCTCCTTTCCAAATCTTTTATGAATAACTCTCCTTGATGGAATTTAAATGGAGCCCTTACTATTAGGAGAATTTGGAAAATGTGGTTTTCAAGCTTCTAACTCTTTGGGTCATTGTGCTTAATAGGTCAGGGATGACACTGCATTGACATATATATAATAAAAAGCACACTAGTCAGCTCCTATAAGTCTTATGCAGAATTTTATTTTTTTCCCAAAGCACTGGCCTGAGTAATGTTGAATAAATTAACACTCTGAATGTTTATGTACCCACTCTTATCCTGTCTCTTAATTGTAGAAAGGATAAGCTTTTTCTTTTTCTTTTTTTTTTTTTTTCATTTATAAGATGGTGTTCTTGTCAAGGCATAAATCCAAAGGGAGGCAGATGTGCAACACACAGGTAATAAGGGAGTTCCTTAGCAATCAATGAGATTTGAAATGTCCAGCTTTTCTTTGCCTGTATGAGCATTTTTGTTAGAAAGTTTGATCACATTAAAAGGTGAAGCATGCAGAAACCTATTTCAGTGTTTTCACTTTATCTTGCTTTAGAAGCTAAAAGGTTATACCTCATCATGGAAATGTTCTTTACAGTATATCTGATTTGTTGTCTATTGGAAAGCGATTATGTCTATAACATCAGTGAAAAGAGCTGTAGGGAAAAGAGCAATGCTCTTCTTGTGATGTTTCATTCTTTTTGACTGACATAGCACTACGAAAAAGTATTCTGTTTTCCTCTGCAAATAAAAATAATGGAAAAAAATATATAATGCTGAATCTCGTCATCACAAGAGACGGATTTTCCCTGAAAGTTTGTATTAAAGATTATATGGTTGTGTTGGAACAATTTGTAAAGTTTGGAACAAGACAATAGTCTCAATTAGCTCCAAAGTATCTCCTATTATTTAATTAATTTTTTTTGTGACTATCCTATTATAAGAACCTTCACAATGGCCAGCACACTTACATAGACTGGAATTTCGCCATCCGGATTTGGATTAGCTTATTAGAGTTTATTACTGCAAAAGTGATTATCCAGAAACAATATTGCCCATCTTTTACCATTGTTATTTAACATCTTCTGGAAGTTTGACATTAGACTTTTTTAAACTTGGCACTAACGTCATTTTGGGCCATAGAATTATTTGCTGTGAAAGCGGTCCCGTGCACTACAGGCTGTTTAACAGTATCCCTGGCCTATACCCACTAGATGCCAACAGCACTGCTCCCAGTTGTGGCAACCAAAAATGTCCCCAGGAATTGCCACATGTACCCTGGGGGCAAAGTCACCCCTGGTTGAAAGCTACTCTTCTAGACACTGCCGTATAATACAAAACAGAAGTTTGAAACAAAGGTACTGAAAGGGAGATAAAAATGATTATTTTAGATAATGTGATTGATTGTCTGAAAACAAGACATTCAGCTGGAACGTTATTTGATCTAATGACTTAAATAAAGTAGCCAAAACAACATAAATGTACAAAAATCAATAACTATCAATAACAAGTTAGCAAAGGTAATTTAGAAGTCCGTTTTATACTGGGTAGCAAAAACAAAAGAAAAAACTATAAAGAACACAAGCAAAGTGTGTGTGGATATTATAAAGGAGAAAGGAATGAAAATCATTTCACTCTTCCAGACACACAAGCATACTGTAAACCTATAATAATTAAAACGGTGGTACACAGATGAAGTAACTAACCATTAGACCTTCATGAAATCTTCTTTAAAGTATATCTGACTAGACAAGTAGAACAGAATTGCCTCAAAACTGACTTTGATTTACATAACAAAGTTAGTTTTGAAAGGAAGCCCCACAGATCAAAAGGTAAAGGAAGGAAAATAGGCTTATAACTGTAATCCCAGCACTTTGGGAGACTGAGGTGAGTGGATCACTTAAGCCCAAGAGTTTGAGATTAGCCTGGTGAGCATGCAAAACCTGTCTCTATTAAAAATACAACAATTAGCCAGTTGTGGTGGTGCACAGCTGTAGTCCCTGCTACTCCGGAGGCTAAGGCAGGAGAATTGCTTGAACCCGGGAGGCAGAGGTTGCAGTGAGCTGAGATCGCACCACTGTACTCCAGCCTTGGTGACAGAGTGAGATTCTGTCAAAAAAAAAAAAAAATTGAATGATGCAGGTATAATTGGTTAATCATTTGGAATAAAAATGTTAAACACTTCACACATTACATTTCAACAAAATAAATGTTGACTGTCACGTGTCATTCGGTAGGGTCTCATTCTACCCGAGAGTCTGTCTTGTCTTTTTCACCAGGCTACAGGACATTCACCCCAAGGCGTAGCTGAGTCATTTCGTGCTTTACCCACCACAGTTTTTGTTAGATACCTCTGGCATGTAATTCCACATGGGGATATGCTTAGCTTTCATCGTGAATGTCCCTTAGCTGTTGTCCCTGCTAAACTGTGCTCACTTTGGGGAGACTTCTGTCATTGCATTCCCAGGATCTAACACAGTGGACTTGTTATTTGTTAAGTACATTTATAAAAAGGATCATTCATTTTTAAAATTGTGGTAAACATATATGTAAACCAACATGTGTCTGAGACAGGTCTCAATCAATTTAGAAGTTTATTTTGCCAAGGTAAAGGATGTGCCTGGAAGAGAGGTCTGTACTTTTCTCCAAAGATGATTTTGAGACCTTCGGTATTTAAAGGGGAAAAGCGAGCTGGAAGGAAAAGAGGAAGGGTATGGTCACATTACTGAATCAAAATGTTGCAAGAAAAAAGGAGCAGTTAGGGGAACAGTCAATGATGTATTCCCCTCATGGTCAGTAAATCAGTGCTCTACATAAGGTAAGGTGAACATAGAGAAGCTACCTGTGCAGACAGTTAACTTTCATCTGCAGCTATTTGCTTAGGCATAAAAGGAAAAGCAGTTGCTTGCGTGACTCAGCTTTCAACTTAATTTTCTCCTTTTGGCATAGTGAATTGGGGTTCCAAGTTTTTATTTTCCTTTCACATACATAACATGAAATTTACTATTTTAACCTGTTTGTTTTTATTTTTTAGACGGAGTCTCACTATGTCGCCAGGCTGGAGTGCAGTGATGCAATCTCGGCTCACTGCAACCTCCGCCTTTGGTTTTAAGCAATTCTCCTGCCTCAGCCTACCAAGTAGCTGGGATTACAAGTGTGCACCACCACGCCTAGCTAATTTTTGTATTTTTAGTAGAGACCGGGTTTCACCATGTTGGCCAGGATGGTCTTGACCTCCTGACCTCATGATCCACCCGCCTCAGCCTCCCAAAGTGCTGGGATTACAGGCGTGAGCCACCATACCCAGCCCATTTTAACCATTTTTAAGTGAACAGTTCAGTGGCATGAAGTACACATCGCCACCATTCATCTCCAGAACATTTTCATCTTGCAAAATTGAAACTTTGTGCCCATTAAACTCCCCATTCCCGCTCCCTCCAGACACTGGCAACCATCATTCTATTTTCTGTCCTTGAATTTCACTATTCTAGGTACCTCATAGAAGTGGACTCACCCAGCATTTGTTCATTTGTAACTGGCTTATTCAGTTAGTATAATATCTTCAAGGTTCATCCATTTTGTACAATGTGTTAGAATTTCCTTTCTTTCTTTCTTTTTTTTTTTTTTTTTTTGAGACAGAGTGAAACTCTGTTGCCCAGGCTGGAATGCAATGGCGCAATCTCAGCTGACTGTAACCTCTGCCTCCCGAGTCCAAGCGATTCTTCTGCCCAGCCTCCCAAACAGCTGGGATAACAGGTGCACATGACCATGCCCAGCTAATTTTTGTACATTTAGTAGAGACAAGGTTTCACCATGTTGGCCAGGCTGGTCTCGAACTACTGACCTCATCACCTGCCTCGTGGATCACCTGCCTTGTCCTCCCAAAGTGCTGGGATTACGGTTGTGAGCCACTGCACCTGGCCAGATTTCCTTTCTTTTTAGGAATGAATATTATTCCATCCTGTGTCACATTTTGCTTACTCCATTCATTTGTCAATGGACACATGGGTTACTTTCATCTTTTGGCTATGTGACTGATACTACTATAAACATGGACGTACAAATACCTGTTTGTGTCCCTGCTTTCAGTTCATTTGGGTATATACCCAGAAGTGGCTTTCCTGGATCCTATGGAAATTCTATTTTTAATTTTTTGAGGAGCCAACATATTGTTTCTCATGGTGGGAATTTTAATTCTCACCACCAATGCACAACAGTCCAATTTTTCGTATCTTTGCCAATATTTCTTATTTTCTGTTTGTTGTATTTGTTTTTAATAATAGTCATCCTAATGAGTGGGAAATGCTATGAATCTTTCATTTTTATACCTAGAATGTATCTCAGCAGTTGTCTCATTTGACTTACTCATTACACCTTAAGCAAACCTAGACTCAGATTCATGGGATTTACTCTAGGTTAAACGACTACTTAACATCTTTCCTGACCCCTGGTCCAGTGCTCCTCCCAACAAGCCAAAATGTCCCTATGGTCATACAAGTAGACACAAAGAGGAACAGGCCAGAAACTTTCTATTTTAACTTTATCTTTGCCTCCCTCTTGCTTTATAGCTAAACATTTTCTAATATCTCACTATAAAAAAGAGAGAAGAAAATTATAAGGCTATAGAGGCAACAACTATAAAAATGTTATAATATATAAAAAGCTCAAAAAGAAACATGAGCAAATATTATTTCCTCCACAAACTAATAAGTAAGGATGAATTAAAGAGTAGTTTACACTCTCTTGCTCAACAATAAATTATAAGCAGCCAAAGTAGTTTTAATTTATTAGTATACTGTATGTTTAGGAACTCGATGAAGTAGTTTGGAGGGAATGGCTACATATAAAGGAGTGCTCAGCATATTAGTGGGATGTGTATTGACTATTGCTTTGTCATTTTCTATTAATATGAAGAGATTTGGATTTGATTTTTAGAGTTCTCAAAATATTTGGGAATTCAGAGGTAATGTAGTCTGTGAATATTATAAAATGTGCCATTTCTGGCAGCCTAAAACCAGCTGCAGAAAAAGAATTGCTTGTCTAAACATCCAATCACAGAATCTTTCCCTTTCACTGAAATTGATCACAACACAAAAATAACTTCCGCACATCCATGAATATATTAAAGTGGCATAAAGAAGAAATTCTGTTGCCTGCAAAGATTACACCTGCCTCAAAGTCATGATCACCGGAAAAAAAAACAAAACCAGTGAAATAAATCTAAGATATGGCTATTTCCTCCAGAGAATTGAAACAGCCTAAATAGAAGCAATGCTCCTTGAAGCAAAGGAAATTCTTATGTCACAAATCCTACTGCAAAACCCCCAGGCCCCCTTGTATTTTCCCATCACAAACATATCAAACATTTTTTTTTTTTTTTGCAGTTAGCTACATCCTTATCTAGACCATAAGCTCCAGGAAGGCAGGATTTATGGCTACTTCGTTTATTACTATCTCCCCAGCACTTTACTTGAGACTAGACATATAGGAAATAGTCAGTAAACACTTGTTGAATTTGTGAATAAATATTGAATATTAGCAAATATGTATGAACACAATTTAGAAACTTCTAATTTTTAAAAGCTTTGAAGTTTTATTTCTGCACAGGACACAAAGGGTTTTTTCTTACTAATTTCCTCATATCTATTTTTAAAATGATCACTATCTTAATCCGTTCAGACTGCTATAACAGAATACTATAGACTGGATGGCTTATAAACAACAGAAATGTATTTTTCATGGTTCTAGATGCTGGAGAGTTCAAGATCAACGCACCTGCAGATTTGATGTCTGGTGAGGGCTGCTTCCTGATTCATAGATGACTGTCTTTTCACAATGTATTCACATATGCAAGGGATGAGGAAGCTCTCTGGGGTCCCTTTATAAGGGTGCTAATTCCATTCATCATGGCTCTGCTCTCAGGACCTAATCACTTCTCAGTGGTGTTACCTTCATATACCATCACTTTTTGTGTTAAGTGTCAACATATGACTTTTGGACAACACAAACAATCCTATTTTATCTCCTGCTTTGGAGAAGAGCATTGTTTAGCAGAGGTCACCTTGAATAAAAACAACTGATACTTCTCAACTCTTAGTGTCTGCCTGGCATTGTGCTAATAAACATTTCCTGGATATCTAATTTAATCCTTATAGCAATCCTGTGAGGCAGATGCTATTGTAATTCCTATGCCACATATGAGAAAAACGTGGCTTGAAGAGCTTAAATATCTACCCAAAGTCATTATGCCACTAAGAAGTGGAATTCAGTCACCTGTGGTGTTAATTTTGGTTCCTACTGGTAATGGACTCATCAGATGTTCACCAGCAGATAGTCCCAGAGTGCTGTCTCTGAGGATTCCAATGGAGAAAAATGTTATAGCCACTACTCTGAAAACACGGAGTGTACACTAGACAAAGAAGAGCAAGGGCAGAAATCACAGTGTGTTCACACAACAGCATTCCATGCAATTGACTCATAGTTTTGCATGGCAGGGGAGGCCTCATGAAACTTACAATCATGGTGGAAGGGGGTAAGACCTCCAGAAGCCTCACTCATTTGGATTTCACCTATGGTAGAAACAAATCCCCTGTGATATGGTTTGACTCTGAGTCCCCACCTGAATCTCGTCTTGAATTGTTATTGTCATAATCCCCACACGTTGAGGGAGGGATGAGGTGGGAGGTGATTGGATCATGGGGGCTTTTTCTCCCATGCTGTTCTCATGATAGTGAGTGAGTTCTCATGAGATCTGATGGTTTTATAAGGCAGTTTTCCCTGCTCTTGATCATTCTCTCTCACCTGTTGCCATGTAAGACATGCCTCTTCCCCTTCCACCATGATTCCATGATTGTAAGTTTCATTAGGTCTCCCCTGCCACATGGAACTGTGAGTCAATTAAACTTCTTTTCTTTATAAATTACCCAGTCTTGGGTATGTCTTTATAGCAGTGTGAAAATGAACTAATACACCCTGTCTAGAACAATTAACAGTCCAAACTAAGTGATGACCAAGCAATGCAGAAAAGAACTGTTAAAATGTTTAAGTACTCAATTGTTTATTCTAGAATGGCCCTTTCTTTTATCCTTCAGCTATCTAGACCTGAGAGCTTATTAATGTTCTAAAACTTAATTTAAATGCTACCTGTCCTCTGAAACGTACTCCCAGTCCCAAATAAATCTTTCCTTCCTCAGTGCATCCATTCTGTTATACCTTTGTCTATTTAGGCGTTTAATTGGAGTAATGTAATTCAAAGAGTTTAACATCAAGAGCAGTTACATTTTAAAATAAGTAGGTAAATTATCTGGAAAATTCACTCATTCCAGAACACTATATCTATTTTAGGAAATAGTCAATTAAACATCGTATTCAACCAACAACCAGCCATATAGGGCTCAATAATTGCTGTGATTAGGGAATATTTCTTGTTGAAATGAGCAAAATTTGGTTGAAACATAATGATTAAGAAACTAAATGAGCCACAGAAAATCCACTTGAAAGTTCTATTCACTTAAGGTATAAATACAAAAATATATAAACTTTTAATTAGCTATTTACTTTAGTATATGGTTCACTTTTTTGCTTATATAGGCTAAAATAAAGTAGCCTTTTACTTGAATACTGGCTTTTGGTTGTGATAACAATTCAGTTTCAAATGCTGAAGGCAAGTCTTAGTTTAATATCTTAGAGAAAGAGGAGAGAGGATGAGAGGGACTTCCTGGGGATGTTTCTTTGTTTCTCTGCTAACTAAATTTTTAAGAAGATTTGACTTAGAAGGAGTGGGTATGTCTGGGCACAATGGCTCCCACCTGTAATCCCAGCACTTTCGGAGGCTGAGGCGGGAGGATCACTTGAGCCCATGAGTTTGAAACCAGCCTAGGCAACAAAGTGAGACCCTGTCTCCACTATACATATATATATATATATATATATATACACACACACACACATATATATATGTGTACATATATGTGTATATATATGTGTGTGTGTGTGTGTGTGTGTGTGTGTGTGTGTGTGTGTATTTATATATATATAGCGGCCATGGTGGTGCGCACTGTGGTCCCAGCTACATGGGAGGCTGAGGCAGGAGGATTGCCTGAGCCCAGGAGGTCCTGGCTGCAGTAAGCTATGTTTGCAACACTGCACTCCAACCTGGGTGACAGAGCGAGACCTGGTCTCAAAAAATAAAAGTAAAAATAAAAGGAAGGCAGGGTTCAATAAATAATCATTTGTACCGAATCAGCTAGGGTGATCATTCATACTAGGGGAATACTTGTATAAAGAGAACAGGGAGGATTTATTCATAGTTTGAGATACTAAGTTTTACCTCTGGTAAAAGCTGCCATCACCCTTTCTGCTTGCCTGTAGATCAAGTACATGGCAGAAATCCATGTTGTTGGAAGACTTGCAGCTGAGATGAGAAACCAGATGATGCTTTCTATTATGAGTCTATTCTAAGTAGTCCCATTTCTATGTATCAAATGAATAAATTTTGTTCTTGCCCCCCACCTCTATATGAATATTCTGTGTGGGCAGCTAGCTATGCTTTCTATTCTTAGGCAGAAATATGTGGCTCTCGGGCCTAAACTATTATAACATTTAAAAACCAAATTTGAATTCAGTACATTCAAGCCTCTTAGATCCATAGGGACTTTAGAGACATTAAACCTTAAGGCCTCCTGATAGAGATTATTTTGTAAATTTAGCTCTTAATTGGCCATATATATTGATGGAAAGCCACAAAGCAAAAGTGCATGATGATTTCATTTATTCTCTGTGTCTTCCTGAGAGAGGATTCAGTAACTCTTGCATTTGCAAAAGATAAAATAGATAGCTTTTCTGATGGATGGAGGTGGCTGAAGACTATATTTATCCTTAGATTTTCAGATATGAAATTCATTTGAAATGCAGTTAAGTTCATTTGTATGAATATTTCATTTCTCTTAACAATAGTGACATTGGTGGGTTCTCAGTTTACTTAAATCCACATGTTTTCTCTCAGCCCAAGTGTGGTCATAGTGGTCGATGATTTCAACTTGTCTCTCCAAATAAATAATATCATCCTGGATAACAAAGACTGTTTTATTCTCCTTCTCTTTTATTCCCCTCACACTGATCAGAGTGCTGGGTGTGCAGTAGGATTTTATAAGTATTTGCCAGCATCTTAGGAAAGAAAATTTTTCTAAACCAAAGAGAGAAAAAAAATTGTAGGCATAAATGCTAAATGATGAGTTAATGGGTGCAGCACACCAGCATGGCACATGTATACATATGTAACTAACCTGCACATTGTGCACATGTACCCTAAAACTTAAAGTACAGTAATAATAAAATAAAATAAAATAAAATAAATATATTCATACTGTGGAAAAAAATAAGCCTAAAGTCTTGTACTTTAAAAATCAAAACTCAAAGTAAACTTTTCATGCAATTTTCTTCTTTTTTTTTTTTTTTCCAGACAGGGTTTTGTTCTGTCATCCAGGCTGGAATGCAGTGGTGCAATCTCAGCTTACTGCAGCCTCAACTTCCCTGGCTCAAGCAATCCTCACACCTCAGCCTCCCCCATAGGTGGGACTACAGGTGTGTGCCACCACACCTGGCTAAATTTTTATATGATTTCTAGAGACCAGGTTTTGCCATGTTGCCCAGGTTGGTCTTGAGCTCCTGAGCTCAAGCGATCCACCTGCCTCGGTCTCCAAAAGTGCTGAGATTACGGGTGTGAGCCACCATGTCCAGCTGCAATTTTATTCTTATATAATTTGTATTCCAGTATTAGATTTTAAAAATCACCAAAACATTATATAATACTAAGAGCAAAATGTGTATAATCTATACATCCACCTCCACCACCCCTACCATAAACTTCACTTCTTGCCTCCAGTTTTCTTAAGATTCGGCTCAAGTAGCATCGCTTCCAGGAGGCCTTCATAGTGCCTCCGCATTGGATATCTTATGCTAAAAATACTTTCTTACCCATTACCTTAAGCTCCCTGATGGCCAAGTGAATATCCCATTTATCATTGTTTCCAAAAACCTAGCAAAATGCCTAGCATGTAGTAAACATTCAATTTAAAATGTTAAACCTAAATGCCAGTCATTTATATATGAGTTTTCATTATCCTGGAATTTTTTTTCTCTTTTTCATCATCTCTGTAACATCCAAGTCCCAGGATTTGAGTTACCATGGGTTGCTGGAGACCCTCACCATAACATCCTCTATGCCTGTGGTTCTCAAACTTAACATTAGAGTCACCTGGAGAATTTGAAAATAGATGGATGCTTGTAATAAGACATATCAACATCATGTGCCCCGGATGTGATATACAGAGAGGGGCCACAACGTGGCTTCTGCAGTATCCTTCTCAAAAGTGCATAACCCAGTTTAATCCTGAGAAAACATCAGACAGATGTAATTCAAGGACACTTACAAAATAGCCAGCACTCCTCCAAATGGTTATTGTTTTTTTCCGCAAGGGATTTTTCAAGGGTGAAATGATTCATTTTATGTTATATAAATTTCACCTCCATTTTCAGGATCTAATGCAGGATCCTGGATTGGACCCTGAACTAGAAAATGGACATTACTATGAAAACTGGTAATATTCAAATAAGACCGGTAGATTAGTTAAAATATTCTGTCACATGTCCTAATTTCGATAATTGCACTATGGTTAGGTAACACAATTTTAGAGGAATCTGGGTGAAGTGTATATGGTGACTCTTAATGCCATTATTGCAACTTTACTGTAATCTACAATTATTTTTAAATAGAAACTTAAGCATTTTTACAAAGTGACTTATGTCACCCCCAGATGTGAAACCTGGGCATTGGGACCTTTAAAAATCCCCACAAATTATATGAGAACCAGTGCTCTAAGCCAATGTTAGTTGACCTTGGTTGTCCATTAGAATCAGCAGGGAAGATTTTTTAATATCTTAATGCTCATTCTTAACCCCAGATTAAAGCAGAATGTCCAAGAGTAGGACCAAGGAATTGATATTTTTATTTATTTTAAACTTTGTGAAAAAATGTTATTGTATATATTTAAAGTATACAACAGGATATCTATATAGTAAAATGGTTATTATAATAAAACAAATTAATGTATTAATCATCTCACAGTTACCAGTTTTAGTCCCTGTGGCATTAGCAGTTGTAATGTACTCATTTAGCAAAAATCCTGAATACAATACATTAACTATAGTCCTCATGTTGTACGTTAGATCCTTCGATGTCTCCATTCTACATATGCTATTTTGTGTTATTTGATCTACATCTCCCCATTTCTCCCTCTGCCCTTACCCTTGGAAACCACTGTTTTATATTTTTTAAAAGCTCTTCAGGTAATTCCATGCAAGTCATGGGTGAGAACTGCTGCTGCAAGCTAAGGTTCCCAAATGTGCATGATAATAAGTATATTGTGGAATGGTCCAGGATCATGAGCATTTTAATGTAGAGGCTCCCACTAAAAATCTACTGAATCAATATTCAGGGAGGATAGTATTTTAACATTCACTCAAGATGAGTTTTATTATCAGAAAAGTTTGGGAAGTATTATATGCTGTCTAGAAATTCTAGGTGTGGTCCAGCTTCTGATAGTGAAGTTTAAGGCCCTACTAAGAGATCTTTCACACAGCTGGTAGTAGCAGGAAAATGAAGAGTCTATAGATGAGAAATCCCCAATTCCAATGGAATATAAGTAATTGTGGCCATTATTTATTCACTAATGATTTTCTAAGCGCTTTCTGTGCTCATTACTAAAGACAGAGTAGTAGACAATTAAGTCCCTGACCTATAGAACTTGCATTCCAGTGGTAGAGGGATAGAATGATAAATAAGTATAAATGAATATGATAAATAATTTATAAATGAATATGATAGTTTCAGATAAATTACTATTAAAAAATAATTTTAAAACGGCCCAAATATCCATAAACAGATGAACAGACAAATTATAGTGTGTGTGTATATGTATATGTGTATGTGTGTGTGTATATATATATGTGTGTGTCTGTGTATATGTGTGTAGGCATACGTATATATATGTACATATATATATATATATACACAATGGAATATTAAACTATAAAAAGAAATGAAGTACTGATAGATGCTATGATGTAAATAAAACTTGAAAAAACTTAGTTAAATGAAGTAAGACAGAAACAGGTCACATATTGTATGAATCAATTTATATGAAATATTCAGAAAAGATCAATCTGTGGAGACAGAATGCATATTGATGGTTGCCAGGGCCTGGGGTAGCCAAAATGAGGAGCAACTGCTTAATGGATATGATACTTCCTTTTTGGTGATGAAAATATTTTGGAACTGGATAGAGGTGGTGGTTGCACAATGTTACAAATGCACTAAATTCCACTGAAGTGTCCACTTTACAATAATTTTATGTTATGCACATTTTGCCTTACTAATAATAATTTTTAAAAGTTCCTTATGATGTCATCAGAGAGAGATGTGGGACAGTAAGTGGGTACTTGAGATTGGGCCATCAAGGAAAGCATCTCCAAGGAAATTGCTTTTAATTTAAGACCTAAATGATAAGAAGCCAGTCATGTAAACATCAAGAAGTAGAGAATCCCAAATGAATCCTGCCTCTGCCTTTATTGTGTGTGTGTGAGCTGGGTGGAATACTTAATATCTCTCAGCCTCATTTGCTTCATCTGGGAAACAGGATTATAGAAAGATCTAATTCACAAATTGTTCTAATTAAATGAGATCATGCACAGAAAGATGAGCTTAGTAGGAAGTCATATGTCCTTAAGAATCAAAAGGCAAAAAAGGAATTGAAAACTCACTCCAGCAAAAGCTGATCAGAAGCCCCTTGTTATGCAAGATGACCAGCTAATGCCAAGTCTGTTTTACATAATCTTTCCTCACTGATTATGTAATGATTCTGCTGGTGTTGCTTCACAGTCACTTTTCTGTGTATATGTTTCACCACTAAATGTTCTTTCTAACTCACTGTGTTTCCTAACAGCTAGTCTGAGCTTTCCTCCCATAGCTTTGAGCCGTGGCTTCTTGCTCTCATCATCCAAGACTGAGCAATTCCCTTCCCTCATTAATTTTGTAACCTTGAAGATATTTACGCAGTTTGAACAAATACTCACCTGCAGTTTTCTTTTTTCCCCAAACTCTTATATGAATCTAATTCTTTCTTTTTCTTCTCACACATAATATACAAACTCAAATTCCTTTCTCCCTTTGTGTTTGCTCTAATTGTGGTTAATAAAACATTTCCTACATTGAGCCCTTCCAATTAATTAAGATTATTTTCCTGTTCTAATTGAGGAAATATACCTGAAAAGCTGATCAACAGGATTTAAAGACATCTTTCCACTTTATTGGTACTTAAAACCATTTTCATTTCTTGCTATTCTTTTTAAGGTAAGCTGAAGCATAGGAAATAATTCCATACATAGCTGTAAGGTAATGTTCAGGTTAAAATGAAATTTTAATTATGTAAATCATATAGTTTGGGGTTATGTTATTCATAGAGTTCTAGACTAAAGTTTTTCCTCAATAATGTTGGTGATTGACAGGCAACTCAGGTGAGTAGCATTTCCTAAGCTTGTATATCTGAGCTACAAAATTCTATACCCATAAATTAGCAGAAAGCATGGTAAAACTACTGTTTTTTAGAATTCTACTTTTTTTTTTTTAAATTAGGAATAACTTTACTGCAAGGCAACTCAATTTTTTTTTCCTAGATTCCACATGTTGAATTCATCACATAGGATACTCTGGCAACAAAAAGGAATATTGGGACTTAGCATTTATTCGCTCTCTCTGCAGGCACCTAATGATGAATTTAGCTAAAATGCTGCAAGAACAAGCCCTTACAGTTGTACATAAAATCTGCTGTCCTATGCAGGGTTAAAGGCCACACATGTTGGTAACAGAATTTTTCTCTCAGAAGTGGGTTCTTTGTTGAGACTTGCCTTGTTCCTTTTGTTTTTATTTTTAAGAAGAGACTTCCATCTCAATAAAGAAGGAAAAATCAATAAGTGATAATTTAAACATAACTCAGAAACTGAATTGAAAACTGAAGATATATGAGCAAAGCAAAGTATATTACATTTTACTGTGATTGTTAATCTCTATGATTTGAAGTCAGACTGGCTTTGAACTTCCGCTTTACCACTGAGTAGATTTTTTTAACTTGGAAGAAGTCATTTTATCTCTCTAAACTTCCATTTCACCATGTACAGAGTGGGCGTAACAATCATGGCTTCACAGAGTTACTGTGAGAATCACATGAGTAATGAACTCCTAATTCTAGGACATATGCATAGGAAAAGCTTCCCTCTTGAAGAGGCTACTCTGGGGAGTAAAAGCACATAGCCTTTTCGTATTGCTATGTACCAAAGCAGCCCAAAAGCCAGCAGCTTAAAACAACAACCATTTATCAAACTCAGAATTCTATGAGCTGGCAATTCCAAAGCCACTGCCCTGGTACAGAATCACCACCCTGGATTCCCCCTGCCAGGTGATTGACAGTCCTCTAGTTCCTAGATAATCAGGTGGCCTGGTAGGCCAAATGGAGGATCCGGGACAGCAAGGGAGAGGGCCATTGGAAGGCTAAGGCAGCAGCTATATATTAGCCAGTACAAAGTATTCTGATACACAATGGTTAAATGTTGGCTATGTTAGCCCTGTCCCATTCATATTACAATCCTTTTCCTGTCCAGGTTGCCCCAAGCATCTTGATATCTTATTAATATACCCATAAAATAGCAGAAATCACAGTAAAACTACTGTTTTGTGGAATTCTACTTTTTTTATTAGGAACAACCTTATTGCAAGACAACCGAAAATCTTTTCCAAAATCATAAGATGATGAATTCAACAAGTGAGATGAATCACATAGGATGTGAGGGCCCAATTAGCATTGGTATTCCCTATATCTTCACAACAAGTATACTGCTTATATCCATGTGTCTGTCCATCCCTCCTACCCTAAATGCCAATAAACCCACATCAAGAACAAGCACACATTATATACATACTTCTTGGAAATAGGGCAACAATTCTTAGGAGAAAAGGTGGTAGTGATGGTGTCTTTTCCTGAGAATTTTCCAAATCTTTAAGTTGGCTTCCCTTTTGATTATAAATTTCACCTTTAATTCATTTTTATTTTCTTGCATTTTTCTATAATCAGTGAAGAGAAACCATGCCACGCTCTCAACACTTTACTTAGATATTTATTCTCTGAAATACCCCATTTAATCACTCAGAAGTTCTATCCTCCACAAAACACTGGGACACGAACACAATTCAGCCAGGTTCTTTGTCACTTTATAACAAGGATGGACTTTCCTCCAGCTTCCAGTAGCATGTTCCTCATTTCCATCTGAGATTTCATCAGAATGGCATGTACTGTCCATATTTCTAACAACATTCTGATCACAGTCACACAGGTAATCTCTAAGAAGATTGAGGCTTTCTCTACAGCTCTCCTCTTCTTCTAAGCCCTCAACAAAATCATCCTTACAACTATTTTCCTGGTAATGTACATAAAAATCTCTTCCAGCCTTTATCCATTAGTCAGTTCCAAAGTTGCTTCCATATTTTTAGGTATTTGTTACAGTATCTCCCCACTTCTTGGTACCAATTTCTGTCTTAATCCACTTGGACTGCTACAACATAATATCATAGAAAATAAAAAACAATACTGTAAAACCATAGACTATAAGACAAATTTATTTCTTACAGTACTAGAGGCTGAGAAGTCCAAGATCATAGCACCAGCAGACTTGATATCTGGTGAGGGTTTTGACCCATAGATGGTGTGGGTCCTTTTTGCTGTATCCTCACATGGCAAAAAGGCTAGCTGGCTCCCTCACCTCTTTTATGAGGGTCTTAATCCCATTTATGGGGCGGAACCTCATGACCTAGTCAACTCCCAAATGTTCTACCTCTTAGCACCAACACACTGCAGATTCGATTTCAACATAGGAATTTTGATGGGGCACAGAGAGATGGGTAGCTTGAAAAAACATATTCAGCATTTCAATGATATAGCAATTATATTTGTCAAGTGGGACAAAAACCTCCATTTTTTCAGATAACAGAAAATAAGCTAGTGGAGATTTGCACAGACATGCAGTTCTTGAAGTAGCAAAAGAGACACACCCCATTTCAAAAGACATCATGGGTTAAAACCGAGAAACATGAAACTAGAGATAATATGGAGAAAGCTAGAGGAAATATAGTAATATGAAGAAATCTCTGGGGTACAGCCCAGGAGCCTATATTTTAAATAAATGATTCCTAGTGGTACTAAAGTTGGAAAACCATTGGCTACAAACTATTCACTGTACTGAGGAAATGCAGTTGTAAAAGGGCACTAACCTGGATAATAAAGAGAGGTACTGCAGCTTGCTAAGGCAAGTTCAAGATATCCACTGGTTACAGATTTCTGCCCTGTAAGCTGGGTAGGGTTTTTCTTCTGTGCTTTTTTTGCATAAATCCACCCTTAAGCCCATCTTGATAGCACCAACACTCCCTACTTACTCATTTTACTTCTATGGGAGTTGTGTAAAACTGGCTAGGATTGCTCGAAGCAGACATCCAGATGTAGTTCCCATCCTGAACCTTGACAGATAACTGGTTCAGATTCTTCTGAAGCATCTGTAAGACCTGGAAGTCCCATCTGCTGAGCAGGGGTGCTGACCTGAGTGACTTTGGCTCCAAATAGCACTGAAGTCACAGAACACTCTCCAGGGGCCACAACAAGTAGATCCCACTCTCTGATGAAACCACTCTACTTCAGCCATCTCATTTTTACACAATATGCTACAACAAGCTTGACTTTAGAATGTGTCGAATAGGAACACGTCTGGTCTGCAGCTCCCAGCAAGACCAATGCAGAAGGTGGGTGATTTCTGCATTTCCAATGGAGGTACCGAGTTCATCTCATTGAGACTAGTTAGACAATGGGTGCAGCCCACGGAGGATGAGCAAAAGCAGGATGGGGCATCACCTTACCCGGGAAGTGCAAGTGGTTGGGGAACTCTCTCCCCTAGCCAAGGGAAGCTGTGAGGGACTGTGCCGTGAGGAACGGTGCATTCCGGCCCAGATACTATGCTTTTCCCATGGTCTTCTCAACCCACAGACCAGGAGATTACCTTGGGTGTATACACCACAAGGGCCCTGGGTTTCAAGCACAAAACTGGGTGGCCATTTGGGCAAACACCAAGCTAGCTGCAGGAGTTTTTTTTTCATACCTCAGAGGCGCCTAGAACACCTCAAGCAAGGGAGCCAAGTGGTCTTGCTCAGCGGATCCCACCCCCGCCAGAGCCCAGAAAGCTAAGATCCACTGGCTTGAAATTCTTGCTGCCAGCAAAACAGTCTGAAGTCAACCTGGGATGCTGGAGCTTGGTGGGGGGAGGGGCATCCACCATTACTGAAGCTTGAGTAGGCTGTTTTCCCCTCACAGTATAAACAAAGCCACCAGAAATTTCATACTGGGCAGACCCCACCACGGTGCTGCAAAACTGCTATAGCCAGACTTCCTCTCTAGATTCCTTCTCTCTGGGCAGGTCATCTCTGAAAGAAAGGCAGCAGCACAGTCAGGGGCTTATAGATAAAACTCCCATCTCCCTGGGACAGAGCACCTGCAGGAAGGGGCGGCTGTGGGCGCAGCTTCAGCTGACTTAAACGTTCCTGTCTGCTGGCTCTGAAGAGAACAGCAGATCCCCCAGCAGAGCGATCGAGCTCTGCTAAGGGACAGACTACCTCCTCAAGTAGGTCCCTGACCCCCGTGCCTCCTGAATGGGAGACACCTCCCAGCAATGGTCGACAGACACCTCATCCAGGAGAGCTCTAGCTGGCATTTGGTGGGTGCCCCTCTGGGACGAAGCTTCCAGAGGAAGGAACAGGCAGCAATCTTTGCTGTTCTGCAGCCTCTGCTGGTGATACCCAGGCAAACAGGGTCTGGAGTGGACATCCAGCAAACTCCAGTAGACCTGCAGCAGAGGGGCCTGTTAGAAGGGAAACTAACAAACAAAAAGGAATAGCATCAACATCAACAAAAAGGACATCCACACAAAAACACCATCTAAAAGTTACCAACATAAAAGACCAAAGGTAGATAAACCCACAAAGATGAGGAAAAACCAGTGCAAAAAGGCTAAAAATTCCAAATCCAGAATGCCTCTTCTTCTCCAAAGGATCACAACTCCTCACCAGCAGGGGAACAAAACTGGACAAGAATGAGTTTGACAAATTGACAGAAGTAGGCTTCAGAAGATGAGTAATAACAAAAATCCACCAGGCTAAAGGAGCATGTTCTAACCCATAGCAAGGAAGCTAAGAACCTTGAAAAAAGGTGAGCGGAATGGCTATCTATAATACCCGTTTAGAGAAGAATATAAATGACCTGATAGAGCTGAAAAACAGCACAAGAACTTCATGAAGCATACACAGTATCAATAGCCAAATTGATCAAGCTGAAGAAAGGATATCAGAGATTGAAGATCAACTTAATGAAATAAAGTGTGAAGACAAGATTAAAGAAAAAGGAATGAAAGTGAATGAACAAAGCCTCCTAGAAATATAGGACTATGTGAAAAGACCAAACCTATGTTAGACTGCTGTACCTGAAAGTGACAGGGAGAATGGAACCAAGTTGGAAAACAGACTTCAGGATATTATCCAGGAGAACTTGCCCAACCTAGCAAGATAGGCCAATATTCAAATTCAGGAAATAAAGAGAACACCACAAAGACACTCTTCGAGACAGCAACCCCAAGACAAATAATTGTCAGATTCACCAAGGTTGAAATGAAGGAAAAAATGTTAAGGGCAGCCAGAGAGAAAGGTCGGGTTACCCACAAAGAGAAGCCCATCAGACTAACAGCGGATCTCTTTGCAGAAACCCTACAAACCAGAAGAGAGTGGGGGCCAATATTCAACATTCTTAAAGAAAAGAATTTTCAACCCAGAATTTCATATCCCGCCAAACTAAGCTTCATAAGTGAAGGAGAAATAAAATCCTTTACAGACAAGCAAATGCTGAGAGATTTTGCCACCACCAGGCCTGCCTTACAAGAGCTCCTGAAGGAAGCACTAAATATGGAGAGGAAAAACCAGTTATCAGCCACTGCAAAAAGAAGCCAAAATGTAAAGACCATTGACACGACAAAGAAACTGCAGCAACTAATGGGCAAAATAACCAGCTAGCCACATAATGACAGGATCAAATTCTCACATAACAATATTAACCTTAAATGTTAACGGGCCAAATGTCTCAGTTAAAAGGCACAGACTGGCAAATTGGATAGAATCAAGACCCATTGGTGTGCTGTATTTAGGAGACCCATCTCACGTGCAAAGGCACACATAGGCTCAAAATAAAGGGATGGAGGAAGATTTACCAAGCAAATGGAAAGCAAAAAAAAAAAAAAAAAAGAAAAAAAAAGCAGGGGTTGCTATCCTAGTCTCTGGTAAAACAGAGTTTAAACCAACAGAGATCCAAGAAGACAAAGAAGGACACTACATAATGATAAAGGTATCAATGCAACAAGAAGTGCTAACTATCTTAAATATATATGCACCCAATACAAGAGCACCCAGATTCATAAAGCAAGTTCTTAGAGACGTAAAAAGAGACTAAGACTCCCACACAATAATGTGGGAGACTTTAACACTCCACTGTCAATATTAGACAGAACAATAAGACAGAAAATTAGCAAGGATGTTCAGGACTTCAACTCAGCTCTAGACCAAGCAGACCTAATAAACATCTACAGAGCTCTCCACTTCAAATCAACAGAATATACATTCTTCTCAGCACCACATAGCACTTATTCTAAAATTGACTACGTAATTGGAAGTGAAACACTCCTCAGCAAATGCAAAAGAACAGAAATCATAACAAACAGTCTCTCAGACCACAGTGCAATCAAATTAGAACTCAGATTAGGAAACTCATTCAAAACCACACAACTACATGGAAACTGAGCAGCCTACTCCTGAATGACTACTGGGTAAATAACAAAATTAAGGAAGAAATAAATAAGTTCTTTGAAACCAATGAGAACAAAGACACAATGTACCAGAATCTGTGGGACACAGCTAAAGCAGTGTTTAGAGGGAAATTTATAGTACTACATGCCCACAGGAGAAAGCAGGAAAGACATTGAATCGACATCCTAAGATCACAATTAAAAAACTAGAGAAGCAAGAGCAAACAAATTCAAAAGCTAGCAGAAGGTAAGAAATAACTAAGAGCAGAACTGAAGGAGATAAAGACACGAAAAGCCCTTCAAAAAATCAATGAATCCAGGAGCCAGTTTTTTGAAAAGATTAACAAAATTGATAGACCGCTAGCCATACTAATAAAGAAGAAAAGAGAGAATAATCAAATAGACACAATAAAAAAATGATAAAGGGGAGATCACCACTGATCCCACAGAAATACAAACTACCATCAGAGAATACTATAAACACCTCTACGCAAATAAACTAGAAAATCTAGAAGAAATTGATAAATTCCTGGACACATACACACACACACCCCCGCCCCACCACGACTAAAATCCCTGAATAGACCAATAACAAGTTCTGAAATTGAGGCAGTAATTAATAGCCTACCAACCAAAAAAAACCTGGGACCAGACAGATTCACAAGTGAATTCTACCAGAGGTACAAAGAGGAGCTGGTACCATTCCTTCTGAAACTATTCCAAACAATAGAAAAAGAGGGACTCCTCCCTAACTCGTTTTATGAGGTCAGCATCATTCTGATACCAAAACCTGGCAGAGAAAAAACATAAAAAGAAAATTACAGGCCAATATCCCTGATGAACATTGATGTGAAAATCCTCAATAAAATCCTGGCAAACTGAATCCAGCAGCCATTAAAAGTTTATCCACCACGATCAAGTTGGCTTCATCCCTGGGATGCAAGGCTGGTTCAACATAAGCAAATCAATAAATGTAATCCATCACATAAACAGAACCAATGACAAAATCACATGATTTCCTCAATAGATGCAGAAAAGGCCTTCGATAAAATTCAACACACCTTCATGCTAAAAACACTCAATAAACTAGGTATCATTGGAACATATCTCAAAATAATAAGAGCTATTTATGACAAGCCCGCAGCCAATATCATACTGAATGGGCAGAAGCTGGAAGCATTCCCTTTGAAAACTAGCACAAGACAAGAATGCCCTCCCTCACCACTCCTGTACAACATAGTATTGGAAATTCTGGCCAGGGCAATCAGGCAAGAGAAAGAAAGGGTATACAAATAGGAACAGAGGAAGTCAAATTATCTGTGTTTGCAGATGACATGATTGTATATTTAGAAAACCCTATTGTCTCATCCCTAAAACTCCTTAAGCTAATAAGCAACTTCAGTGAGGTCTCGGGATATAAAATCAAAGTGCAAAAATCACAAGTGTTCCAATACACCAATAATAGACAAACAGATGGCTAAATCATGAGCAAACTCCCATTCACAATTGCTACAAAGAGAATAAAATACCTAGGAATACAACTTAAAAGGGATGTGAAGAACCTCTTCAAGGAGAACTACAAACCACTGCTCAAGGAAATAAGAGAGGACAAAAATAAATGGAAAAACGTTCCATGCTCATGGATAGGAAGAATAAATATCATGAAAATGGCCATACTCCCCAAAGTGATTTATAGATTCCATGCTATTCCCATCAAGCTACCATTGACTTTCTTCACAGAATTAGAAAAAAACTACTTTAAATTCTATATGGAACCAAAAAAGAGCCTGTATAGCCAAGACAATCCTAAGCAAAAAGAACAAAGCTGCAGGCATCATGCTACCTGACTTAAAACTATACTACAAGGTTACAGTAACCAAAACAGCATGGTACTGCTACCAAAACAGGTATGTAGACCAATGGAACAGAACAGAGGCCTCAGAAATAACACAACTACAACCATCTGATCTTTGAAAAACCTGACAAAAACAAGCAATAGGGAAAGGATTCCCTATGTAATAAATAATGTTGGGAAAACTGACTAACCTTATGCAGAAAACTGAAACTGGTCCCCTTCCTTACACCTTATACAAAAATTAACTCAAGATGGATTAAAGATTTAAATGTCAGACTCAAAACCATAAAAACCCTAGAAGAAATCCTAGGCAATATCATTCAGGACATAGGCATGGGCAAAGACTTCATGACTAAAACACCAAAAACAATGGCAACAAAAGCCAAAACTGACAAATGGGATCTAATTAAACTAAAGAGCTTCTGCTCAGCAAAAGAAACTATCATCAGAGTGAACAGGCAGCCTTCAGAATGGGAGAAAATTTTTGCCATCTATCCATCTGACAAAGGGCGAAGATCCAGATTCTACAAGGAACTTAAAGAAAGTTACAAGAAAAAAACAACCCCATCAAAAAGTGGGTGAAGGATATGAACAGACACTTTTCAAAAGAAAACATTTATGTGGCCAACTAACATGAAAAAAAAGCTCATCACCACTGGTCATTAAAGAAATGCAAATCAAAACCACAATGAGATACCATCTCATGCCTGTTAGAATGGTGATCATTAAAAAGTCAGGAAACAAGAAATGCTGGAGAAAATGTGGAGAAATAGGAATGCTTTTACACTGCTCGTGGGAGTGTAAATTAGTTCGACCATTGTGGAAGACAGTGTGGTGATTCCTCAAGTATCTAGAACTAGAAATACCATTTGACCCAGCAATCCCATTACTGGGTATATACTCAAAGGATTATAAATCATTCCACTATAAAGACACATGCACACGCATGTTTATTATAGCACTATTCACAATAGCAAACACTTGGAACCAACCCAAATGCCCATCAATGTTAGACTGGATAAAGAAAACGTGGCACATATACACCATAAAATACTACGCATCCATAAAAAACAATGAGTTCATGTCCTTTGCAGGGCTTGAAACTGGAAACCATCATTCTCAGCAAACTAACACAGGAACAGAAAATCAAACAGCGCATGTTCTCACTCATAAGTGTGAGTTGAACAATGAAAACATATGGGCACAGGGAGAGGAACATTACACATTGGGGCCTGTCGGGGGTTGGAGGGCAAGGGGAGGGACAGCATTAGGAGAAGTACCTAATGTAGATGATGGTTTAATAGGTGCCGCAAACCACCATGCCGCTTGTATACCTATGTAAAAAACCTGCACATTCTGCACATGTATCCCATAATTTAAAGTATAATAAAAAAAGAATAATAAAAGAAAGTGTTCATGTTACCTCTCATGGAATTATTTTGTTTTCAAACTTGGTGCATTTGGTGCAGTGAGGAGAGAGAAGAGAAGAACTTTTTCTTTTATACATGCTTGCTGTGTACATAGAGATTTCCAAGATATTGAATCTATTTAGATTCAGGAAAGGTGGACCAAACACTTCAGGTAAATTCCTCAGGTTTTAAAATGATTACTCATCGCTTCACCAGATTCTCTGAAATTTTATCAGCAGTGTGTGCTTTATACAGATGCTTCCTGAAAAGGGGGAGATACTTAGTTTAATGCCATGGCTTTTGTTTTGTGCTTACTTCAGTGAGGAATGAGTTAAAATTCATTTTTTAGCCTCATCTGTTTACATTTTTTTCTATGAGCAGATGGCCAGATAATTACCTAAATAAGGAGTTACTTTTCTGGAGTTGGCCTGCCAAGATTTACTGTAATACCAAATACAAATGCTATTACAATGAGGAACATTTGGAAGCTTACATTTGTGTGTCAAAATAGTAAATAATTTGAAAGCTGTATCTTTTATGCATCCTTTTAGGACATGAAGTTTTCAGGAAGAGTTGATAAGGGTAATGCAAACCAAATAAAGGTAATGAAAACTAAATAATTTTTAAATAATTTTCTGCAGCTCTCCATTCCAGTTTGTTAATACAGAATATCTTCAATTAAAATGTAAATGGAATTCATTGCATGAAGCGATCTATCTGGATGATATGTCATCATTGAATAATTTACTAACAGCCACTGAACAATGTCTAAAATAAAGTAGAATCATTGCTTCATGATTCAAATTATGACATGTTATAATCATTCCTCTTTAGTACTAGATGAATGTGAGCCTGAAAAAGTTTCTTAGCCTTCCAGAGTCTTTGTGTTCCCATCTACAAAATGAGGAAATGGAAACACATTTCCTCAGGAATACAAGATTCTTTCCTGATCTAAAATTCTGTGACTTTGTTATATCTTGTTTTCTTCTGCACTACTGATCAAGTAACAGAAGGAAGACTCATTTCAGACTCAGATATGAATTTAAATCTTGCTTTCTCACTTCCTAGCTGTATGTACATGAACAAGACACCTTTGCCTGAGCTACTTCATTTGGAAAAAAATGGAGAACACGTACCTCATGGGATTACGATAAATAAACAAGGAAGTATTTAAAGTTCCAATACTGATTCTTCACTTATCAAGTCCTCAATAAGCTGTATTTCTTTTCTTATATTCCATCATTTTAGAATTCTCAAATCTGCCTTTTCTATGAAACCTTCCATCCTCTCCTCCCAATAGAAAAGACTACAATTCTGGAGAATGTACTAGACGGATGATAAAATATAGATGAGAATTATAGCAGATAAAACATAAAAGACAATTTTCCCCTCCTCCTGAGTTGTCTTAGTAAAAAGAATGATGGCAGCTCTTGAAGAGAGTTGTCCCTCCTGCTGTTCCCTTTTCCTTTTGTCACTGAGGTCTCACATCCAGTTTGCTTTTGTAAATGAAATACATCCAAATCACGAGAAAGTGGCATGCTTCCTGTATGATAGAATACCTTTCCTCATTGCTCCTTTCCAACAATTTTTAAATTATTTTTGCTATTGTATATCCCAATTTTTAAAATTAATACCAACATGATTATTTGTTCATTATACAAAATACTAGAAAATAAATAAATGTAAGACATTAAGCATAAACACACCGTCCAGGGAGAGCTACTTTATATAACTTCCTATATTTTCTAACTACATGTAAACATTATGTAAAACGTGTACAAAACAAGAGTTAATACTATATATTTCTAATGTAAGCATCAGAATAAGTGTTCTATAAAGGCTGGGGTGTGCTTTGCTTTGATATCTGTTTTTCAGTAACATGCTGGACACAGGGTACGTACTGGATACCCTTTTAAACTTAGTATATTCCATATATCTTTTTGTGTCAATAAATACAATTCTGCAGCATCACTTTTAATGATCACATAGTATTCTACAATATAGATAAAATCAAAACTTAATTTATTTCCTACTTTGACTTGTCAGGCTTTCTGTGTTTTGTTCCCCCATAACAGTGTTTTAATCAACACCCATGCAAACAAACCTATGCCCCCCTTCTTCTTTCTTCTCAATGATTTTGTTTGGATAAATTCTTAAAAGGAGAGTTGCCAAGTTCAAGTAATCTACTCACAATTTAGGGAATCATTACATATTGCCAATTGTTCTCTAAAAGATTATATCAATTTACAATCCAGTCAACTGAGATTGAGCATTTTTCTGCAATTGCACGTATAGGTATTATGTTGAAAAATAAAAATAAAAAACACATTTAAAAAGCAAATCATCGCATCCTAAGTGTTGAACGGCAAGAACATCCATTCTTCATGCTATGTTACCAGCCCACGACAACTTTCCAAACCCTTTTCCAGATATACAAGATCCTATAACCCAGCGAAGATGCAGTCTCACTAAATCGGTATAAAGAGAGTTCTGTCTTGTCTTACTAATTTGATTAATTTAGGAGAAATGACAGGAAAGTTCATATAAATTGTCCATTGACATTCACATGAATTCTCTCACTTTGACATTTTACCATTCTACGTCAGTATCACTTTCAGTAAATAATGTTTTACATGCAGATAGTTTTACAATGCCCATTTAAATTAATTCTAAACTGTTATGAAATCCATAAAAACCCTTGTGGAACATTTGTAGCTTGTACAGTAGTCTCCCATTATGGAATCAAATGTGAAATGTCTGTGTGGGAGCTGTTTTCCTAAGGTAAATAGATTATTATTTATATCTCTAGGTGCAAATGCTTTTAAATAACCAGAACATACAGCATCTGAATATGCCCTTACATAATTTTCACAGCTGCTGCATTCTTGTCAGTGCACTGTCATGGTGAAGCTTTGATGCTTTGATCTGAGTTTGACCCCTGGCCATGATTCTTGCTTGTGTTTTTATCATCCACTCTTAATGTGAACAATAAATCTGATAATATCCAGTAGTGCTTCCTTATGTTCTCTGACTTTGACATTCAGAAAAATCATTAATGCTGCTTCCACTGTGTCTACATCTCCATACTTGTGATTTTCTTCCCCTTTGAAGATATTTTAGAATACATAGTCCTGGAAGTCCAGGACCAATGACTTTGTATTTTCTGTATTGCATAGTGCTCCGCTTTGTACTTGCCGTATTGCATAGAGCTCAATTTGATATGATCAAATGATGATTACCAAGAGCTTTAGATATGATTTCACTTTTTATGAAGTAACCAACATGAACGATTAGGAAGGAGCCTGAGTGATAGGGTGAAATTGGAGGGGAGAAAATGGAGAATTTAGAAAGATTAAGTAACAGAAACTCTATCTCAAATTGATATAAATAATAAGAGAAGTTCACAGGCACATGTGCCTGAAGTACAGAGGTCAGCTGACTTGAGACTGTTCTCTCTTCTGAAATGGTGCAAGAAGAACCCTTTTCCATCCTGTGAGAAGGACCCTTTTTCATGCTGTCTTCATTTCCTGACTCTGCTTCCTTCATGCTGACTCCATTTTGTGCAGGCTTCCTACCTCATTGTCCCCAGATGCCTGTCTTGTTGACATTCAGGTTTCTTCCTGATTAAGCTGTCCAATCTAAATAGCCAACATTCTACTGTGAACAGTTGGGAACTTGAATCTCATACCTGCTATCTTATTCACATTCAGCAAACAAGAGCACAGGTTTTTCACTCTCAAACAAAATTACTGAGTTTTGACCTAAACAAATCACCCTAGAGCACTTGCCCATTCTATACCAGTAATGCAGCTTGGTATGGGGTCATGCCAATTAGCTTAGACTTGAGTCAAAGATTCTAATTCAGAGGTCAAGCCAGCTACCCTTGAAGCACACGGGACACATTGTTCCAAAGAGTTGGAACCAGTAAACAAATGGAAGTGCTACCACCAAGAGCAAGAGGAATATATGCTAGGTGGCCAAAAAGGCAGATATCCACCAAGGTAGCTACAACTAAATGGAAACATTGGGTTTTACATTAGTTAGTTCGGGCTGCTGTAACAAAATATCATAGACTGGTGGTTTAAACCAGAGAAATGTATTTTCTCACAATCTGAAGTCTGGAAATCAGAGATCAGGGTGCCAGTGTGGTTGGGTTCTTGTGAAGGCTCTCTTCCTGGCTTGTAGACAGCTGCTTTTTCACTGTGTTCTTACATGAGAAAGAGAGACAGAGAGAGAGAAAGCTCTGTGGTACCTCTCTGGTGCCCATCATGAAGGCCTGACCCTCATGACCTCAACTAAACCTAATTATATTTCAAAGATTCCTTCCTTAAATACCATTGCCCTGGGAGCTAGGGCTTCAACATATGAACTGGGTGGCGGCCAGGGGTGTGGCATAATTCACTCCACAGCATTCCTCCCCTGACCTTCCAAAATTCATGTCCTTCTTGCATGCAAAATATATTTATTCCATCCCAACAGCCCCCAAATTATTAACTCATTCCAAGATCAACTCTAATGTCCAAAGTCTTATCTAACTCTCATGTAAATCATAGGGGTGAGATACGGGTGAGACTAGAAGTCGAATTCATCCTGAAGCAAAATTGCTTTCCAGCTATAAACCTGTGACACCAGACAAGTTATGCACTTCTAAAACACAAGAGTGGGCAGGCATAGAATAGACATTCCCATTCCAAAAGAGGAAAAAAAACAGGAAAGAAGGAAGGCATGATGGGTCCCAAGCAAGTCCAAAATGTAGCAAGGCAAATATCATCAGATCTTAAGGCTCAAAAATAGTCCTTTTTGGTTTGATGCTCTGCCCTCCAGGTAGAGATGGCAATGTCACTCCCATGACTTGATGGGGTAGCCCTGCCCATTTGGCCTGGGATTGCTGCCCCTGTGGCTCTCTGCAGGGTCCCCACTCTTTCAAATGGAATAAGAAACAACTCTTCCCCCTCTGCCTGTGATGGGAGTGGCAGCCCTGGTGATTTCGGAATCACCTTCAATATCATCCTTCTCTTTTCTTGAAGAATAGTGCATTTTCACAACCAAATAACTCAATGGTTCCATCCTATAGATTCCAAAAAGTCTGACAGCCTTCCTTCATTTTACCTAGCTTCCATCCCTTCAGTTCAAACTGGTAATGACCCCTATGGTATAATCTGATCTATATTTCTGGCTTCCGCTGGGATGGCTGATTAAATCCATTGTTTTCACCATCTCTTTATCAAGTTGTTTTTAGGCCACATGTTTAGTGTTCTCTTCAGAAAAAGCTTTCTCAATTTTTCACAATATAGGTAGCCTGAAAATCTTCCAAATATCCAAGCTCTTGCATCTATGCTTAAAAATTGCTTCTACAATTTATTTCTCTCTTCTTGCATTTTACTGTTAGCAGTAAGGAGGACCCAAGCCCTACCTTTGATATTTTGCTTGGAAATCTCGTCTGCTGAACACTGAATTTCATCACATGCAAGTTCTAACTTTCACAAAACCCTAGAACAAAATTCAGCCAAGATTTTTTTTGCTTCTACATGACAAAAACTGCTCTTTCTCTAGTATCCAATAACGTTTTCTTCATGTCTGTCTAAGACATCACTAGAATCACCCTTTACATCTACATTCCTGCTATGCATCTCAAAATTCTTCCAGCCTCTACCCATTGCTCAGTTCCAAAACCACTTCCACGTGTTTAAGTATTTGTTACAGCAGCCCCTTCTTATTAGTACAGAATCTATTATAAGGAATTGGCTAATGGAATTATGAAGGCTGAGAACTCCCAAGATCTGTAGTCAAGCAAGCCAATGGAGACCCAGGAGAGCTGATGTGTAGTTCCAGTCTGAGATCAAAGGCATGGGAACCATGATGGTGTAAGTTCTAGTCCACAGTTATTACACTGGAGACTTAAGAAAACTGGGTGTTTCAGTCAGAGTCTGAAAGCCAGAAAAGATTATTATCCCAGCTCAAGCAGTCAGGCAAGAGGGGTTCCCTTTTACTAAATCTTTTTGTTGTATTCAAGTCCTCAAATGATAGGATGACGTCCATCCACGTTAGCAAGGGCAATATGGTTTACTCAGCCTATCAATTTAAATGTGAAATTCATCAAGAACCACCCCACCCCTGCCCCACCACAGACATACACAGAATAATGTTTGGCCAAATGTCTGGGCACCCCATGGCTCAGTCAAGTTGACACCTACAATTAACCATCACATACACACACACACACACACACACACACACACACACACGGAAAGCTTGAAGTGTGTGTTATACTTTCAGGAATTAAATTCAAGGAAGAGTTTATTGAGTGAAATGCCAAAAGCAGAGATGCTGTATTCAGTAATGATTCTGCTAAAAAAGCTCAGAAACACTGGTCAAATACTGACTTTTTGTATACATATTTGTTTTAATTTAATGAAAGACATGATTTGAAGAATCTAGACTAGATTGCTAATATATCCATTAGTTCTTCAAATAAAGCCATTGTAAATGCTTGAGCAGTATTATATTGCTGTGACTTCATGTTTAAGTTCTCTAAGAAGGGACTGTAGTGCAGCATTTTAAGATAAGTAAAGCAAGATGTCTTTATGCTTAAGATGTCTGATCTGAAGTACCCAGATTTCTACTGTGAAGACTTGAGAATCTAATTTTTATTTGGACACTAGAATGGGAAACCATGTAACCTAAAAGTATTCACAACATTTTCTCAATAAATAAATTCCTTGAATGTTCTCCATCAGTTGATTCTGGGCCATGTGGCATTTAATGGGTAATTTTTAATTCAAAAAAAAAAAGAAAGCATTCATTCTTAGAAGAAATTTAGATGGCTTCTGAGACATCTGGTTTCAAGTAGCATGGCACTCTGCACTCGCAAACTGCTATATTAATTGGCCTACAGAATGGGCTATTTAAGATTAGCTATTTAAATGTTGGGAAATGGCTACTAAATATAGTGATTTTAGTTTGGGGGTAATTAATGGTAACTTAATATTCTAAGAATAATAACAAAATCCAGCTGCTTCTGCCAGATAGAAGCAGTAACAGTTAGGATACTAATTTGCTCCTATAAAAAAGCCCCAAAATGTTTATTTTTGTCTCACACAACAGTCTGAAGATAAGTAACCTCCTGGGCAGATTTTTTGGTATCAAGGGTAGATTCTCCTAATTCCTCTGGCTTCCTTAATATTCAACTCCCATCTCTAGGTCTAAAAAGCCTTTGCTGGTAACTTCTCTCCCACTCCAACATCTGCCAGTGGAAAAAAAGGGGGGAAATGAAGGATGGACACAGAACCCTCCTTGTAGAAACATGACCCAAATGTTGCCACATCACTTCTGTTTATCTCTCATTGGCCACAAACATGGCCACACCTAGCACTAAGTAAGTCTAGGAGATAAGATCCTTTACTGGACAGCATTGGGCACAGTTAAACCCTGTATCTTCATAGAAAAAGGTGAGTATAGACAGTAGGGAGAAAGCAAGAAGGCTTTGGCACAGACCCTCTGAAGGACAGGGGCTATGCCCCATCCACCAAAGCTAAGTAAGGGGCATCTGTCCAGATCTCCCAGTAAGTGTGCCAGGTTGTCCAAATAGAAATAACCATGGAAAGAACATAAGATTCTTATACACTTATGAAAATAGTGCTTCTAATGCAGCTTACCATGACTTCTAGATTCCAGCATGTAAAAAATTATAACATGTACTCTTTACTTCTGATGTTTTTGAATGCCCATTTTTAAAAAGTTTGGGAAATACTAAAAATAAATAAAGAAGATGACAATCAACTACAATTCCGTTAGCCAGAGATAACCATTAAGTTATCTTTAGTTGGTTTTTTATGGCTTTTCTCCATGTGACTTTTCATTTACATAATTGGACTCAGTTTTGCATTATTTATCCTGATATTAATAATATACATTTTTCTCACACCATTAAAATGTGATTCTCAATATCATTTTACATTTGCGTTAATTTAACCTGTAGAAGTTCCAGAATTTTTTCAACATATTACTGATGTTAGATGCTTAGAGTTTCCAGTCTTTATTAGTATTAATAATGCTACTATCATCATCTTTATGCATAAATTTTATCTGATTTTGTATTTATTAATATAGAATCTTAAAGGTGAAATAAGCTCAAATGGTAGGGAAATTTTAAAGGCTCTTAATCTATATTGCTAAATCACTTTCCAAAAAGTGTTGTGAAAATTTCTTCTTAAACTAATTCTACTAGTTTTTTTCATATCACCCTCACTAGCATTATTACAATTAAATAAATTTGACTCAGTTAATTAAATGAAAATGGACATTCACAGCCCCTTGATGACTGATGAGACCTCCTATGGTTTCACATGTACCAGCAATGTTACCATGATTAAATTCTCATATTTTGATCATGTATTCATTTCTTGTTTTAATGCAAATATGAACAGTCCTGCCTGTGTTAAGCATGAAGGCAGGTACAAAGTAAATGAAGATATCTCATTTAATGACCCCTACATTTAATGATATACAATTAATTTAATGATAGCAATCAACTTGATCCATCCAAGAACCTTGAAGAATATATTAAAAAAAAAAAAAAAGAGAAAGGGGCTTGAATTACTGATTACTGAAATAAATGACACCTCACTTATGTGCCAAAGCTCATGCAGTTTTCTCAGAAGGAAAGACTTTAAATTCTTATTTCAAAGCACATTAATTCTTAACCTAGATAAAATCCTAACACATTTGATTATATGATTTTCAAATACGTGGCAGATTAAAAACAGCAAAGTAGAAAGGAGCAGCAGACACATTAACAACAAATAATGGTCACTGAGAAAATGACAAAGAGAAGAGATAGAAATGTTTATAACACACACACACACACACACACACACACACACACACAAAACCCTGAAATTATGTTTTTTAAAATGGTGATGTTTTTAATAATAACAGAGTTTAAGTAAATTATAGCTCATCTATTCAAAGATTATTAAGAAGTCCTTATATTATTTTTACAAGAACTTTTAATGTCACAGAAAAAAATCACTTTTATACTAAGAGGGAAAGCTGGATATAACTTTGCAGATAGAATTTAATTACAAATATGGTTTTAAATAGTTGAAGAGATATCCTGGAAGTACTGTTCTTAGGAACAGTAAGATTATTTTCTGTATCTCGTAAATTTTCTAAAATGTATATGATGTATTACCTTAATAAAGAAAATTAACTTTATGTTATTTTTAGAATAACATTCTGGAAATTTTAGGAGTAGAAATTATTCTTTTGTATATTACTAACAAATAGAATTATACAGTTATTTGTGCTTATAATGGTAGCACAGTTATTCAAAAAAAAAAAAAAAAAAAGAAAACATCAAATAGAGCCACAGGCTTTATTGCAGAAGACCTGGGAAAGTTATCTGTTGTTGAAGATTTTTATCCAAAGTAAAAATAAATGTACAGTCTATGTAACATGTAAAGGTAAACAACAGAAATTCAAAACTCATAGTTAGGGGTGATTTTAAAAATCATTATTTAGGCATTGGTCTTTTGAGGATGTCTCTTGAGTAATATTTAAATTATTTGTTTTATAAAATAATGATCATAGTGACTATGATGGCATTAGAAAGAAAATTCTCAAATTCAGTAAGTCAAACATCATCACATATTTAGTGTGCTCATGCTGTGTAAATACTGAAAACACTATAGAAAGTAAAATTACATTTCAAGCTGGTAGAATCCCAACAATTTTAATCAAAATATTTTTAAATTTTATATACACTCATCTTGCATATGAGAGTGGCATGTTTATGTAAATTGTTTTTGTAGTATCTCTTAATTCGAACTTTTTTGTTTCTATTTTGTAGGAGTAACTTTCAACTACCTTTACTTCGAAGAATTTATAGTATTTTCCAGAAAATTATTAAATGTATGAGCTTTAATAATAGTCATCGGCAGACTTTCTAAACTAACATGAACAATTAAACTACAGTATTTGCTCCATGAAATTATAAATTACAATGGATATATATGTCAGTTTTTACATTATTGTCTCACAGACCCAAAGCTATCCGTTTTTTTTGTTTTGTTTTGTTTTTTGTTTTTTTTTTGAGATGGAGTCTCTGTCTGTCGCCCAGACTGGAATGCAGTGGTGCAATCTTGGTTCACTGCAACCTCCACCTCCCAGGTTCAAGTGATTCTCCTGCCTCAGCCTCCCGAGTAGCTGGGATTACAGGCGCCCGCCACTATGCCCAGCTAACTTTTTTTTTTTTTTTTTTTTTTTTTTTTGAGACAGAGTCTCTCTTCTGTCAGCCAGGCTGGAGTGCAGTGGCATCATCTCGGCTCACTGCAAACTCCGCCTCCCGGGTTCACACCATTCTCCTGCCTCAACCTCCCGAGTAGCTGGGACTACAGGTGCCCGCCACCACGCCCGGCTAATTTTTTGTATTTTTAGTAGAGACAAGGTTTACCAGGTCGGCCAGGCTGGTCTCGAACTCCTGACCTGAGGTGATCCACCTTCCTCGGCTTCCCAAAGTGCTGGGATTTCAGGCGTGAGCTACTGCGCCCGGCCAAAGCTACCCTTTTCTGTTCAGCCTCAGGATGCTGGGGCTGAGTTCCTGCAACCCAAGTTTCTGCTTTGCCAGCAGCCACCTGCTAGGCCCTGCCAGTAGGGGGCTCCAGAAGGAAGCTGCAAGGCCGGAACTGGGAGGAGGAATTCACTTCAGGTACGCTTGTAGTTCCTGTATCTCCTCTCCAGCTACCCTTCCTTGCTGTGGCAACAAGGGTTCATTCCAGCAGCAACTACTGAATTCAGTTTGCAGTTTTTCTAACATTTGCAGAACCAGCTCCATTGTACCCTGCTCTTCAGAGACGCCAGCATTAGTTGGCCGGTGCCCCTTTGTAGAAATCTGGGTTGTGGCTTCACAGGGCTAGGGGTGTCACATTTAACATAAAATTATGGGAAACCCAATTTCAATCTCAGGTAAACAATGAATAAACATTTAGTATAAGTATGTTTCCCGATATTGCATATTTAACTGTGCTTACTGTATTTTATCAGCAGCCATGTGCAGGGTTCCTTCTCTAAGCTTCTGTATTTTAATAATTCCAACTATTTCCCTTTGCTGCCTAGCCCCTGAGTCAGTAGCTGTTTTCTGCTATTGCTTTCTTTGTGATAACTTAGTGTCATCAACTTGATACCTCCATTATTCTTTATATTCTGTCCTGTCTCCTGACTACATTGATTGATACAGTAGAGTTTTTTAAAGCAGATACTGGGATTTGACAAGATAATTTTCCTACCAGTTAATATTCCTGTGTATAAGTTAACAGGGATACTCATATGGTAACTCCGATAGAAGCTATCCAAACTTTAACTTGCGAGTAAATGAGTTCATATACATAATATTTGTAGTTCTATGTGGTTCAGAGACATAAGTCATAGTAAATTCTTGTGCATAGCATATCTCCTTTATCAACATTTTAAGGAATTAAGGACTTACTATGTATACTGTGTGTGTCATTGTAAAATTGTGACAGGAGGACAAGAAGAAAAACAATTTACAGATTTAATGTGGTTGTAAAATACAATTATTAATTTGTAAAATAGATTAATTTCTAGTCCACTTGCATCTGAGTTCTAGACTCTGGGCACTAAATTCATTACTTGGCAAAATAGTCAGCACACCTGGTTATATATTCATCAGCTCAGTGGTATTTACATGGTGTTTGCATTGCTCTTATCAAGTTTATCCAGGCTTCCCATTTACTCTTTACCCTATTCCCACCCTGTTCCCAGCCTGTTCCAACCACTGCTATAGTGGCATCTTTGACTTTAGTGACCACCTAGGTAACCTCACTTTTTCTTTCTTTTTTTTTTTTTTTGCCTAGTATGAAAATATACCCAATACCACCTTCTTTATTGCTGACTGGGAATGTCCTCTCAAAGCTCCTAAAATTCTTGACTGTCTCCTTTTTTGCCTTTCTCTAGCTGGACTATTTTGATTATACCCTTCTGAACTGACTCTGGGTTTCTGGCTTGCCTTGGGCCACATTTCTGGCTTACAGTTTGGGTTTCATTGTAATTCCCTATTTATGGCTGTAGTTGGTTGTACAGTGTTCACTTCAAACCCGTCACTTCCTGCCTGAAATCCTGTAATTGCTAGTGTTTGACATTCGAAACTCCTGATCCCTGATTTGCCTCAAACTTCTGGCTCTCCTGTGTGTCCTTTCATCTTACCTGAGGCCCTGGATTAGCTCTGGCCTTGCTGCTTTCCAGGCCTGCTGAAATAAATGAGCAAGCTATTTCTAGCTAAATAAAATGAGCTAGAAAGAATAGGCTGAACTGAGAGAATTAGGTGACTTTATGCATGTCTGATTATCTACGAGAGTGCAGGGAAGGATGTTGCAAAGCCTTGGGACTGAGCTTGCTGGCTCTGGAGCACTTCCTTGCCTCATCTCATGCACTGCTCATGAGAACCCCATAGGGTAGGCATCACCCTTTCACCATCCAGACTTAAGAAAGAAAGATTAAAGCTTAGAAAGGTTACATAACTTGTCCAAAAGCACATAGTAGCTAAGGAGGGGAGCCAGGAATTAAATTCAAGCTGTTTCTGGTCCCACTTTTTTTTTTTAATCACTATGCTATATATGCTTGATTTCATATAATTGAGCCCTCACAATCTGTCTAGTTCTTCAATTCAGTGAGTTTTGGGGTAGTAATGATTGGTTTCAAGTCCAAAAAGTTTCACTGGTCTCATGGCAGCAGAGCAAATGCTTTTATCATCCTAGGCTCACAGCAGAAGCATGTGCATTCTGATTGACCACACACTTCCCGCCAGCTGCATAAAATCACTATTCATGATTTAGATTGGAAAGCATACTGATGGCCAGCATTTTCTTCCTGTGTATGATTGACTGGCAGCTGTGACTCTAAATGCACAGAACTATAGGCATGAGAATAATTTCAACAAGTATCCTTTAAAGCATTATGTCTTTTTTAAACCATCTTAGCCATCTTTAAGTGTATGGTTCAGTAGTGTGAAGAATATTCACATAATAGTAAAAGCCATCTCCAGAACTGTTTTGGTTTTGTGAATCTGAAACTCTATACCCATTAAATCACAACTCTCCTTTTCCCCTCCCTCAATTCTTTTGTTTCTATGAATTTGACCACTTTCTATACCTAAGAAAAGTAGAATCTTACATAGTTATCTTCTTGTGACTAGCTTATTTCACTTTGCCTAATATCCTCAAGGTTCATCCATGTTGTAGTACATGACAGGGTTTTCTTTCTATGACTGAATAATATTTCATTGTACATATATACCACATTTGTATATCTATTCATTCATTGGTGGACAAGTAGTTTGATGCCACTTCTTGGCAATAGTGAATAGTGCTGCTGTGAACATAAATATGCAGATATCTTATAGAAACCTTGCTTTCAATTGTTTGGAATTCATACCAAGAACTGAGATTATCGGATCCTATGGTATTTATTTATTTTTTTAATTTTTTGAGGAAACTCCATACTGTTTCCTATTGTGGTAGCATTATTTTACATCCTACCAATAGTACATGGCAGTTCCAATTTCTCCACATTCTCACCAACACTTGCTATTGTCTGTAAAACATTATATCTTTTTCTTTTTTTAATGATGCAATATAATTTTTATTTCAAGAAATATGTGACTTAAGCTAATATTTTGTGAGCAAAAATGCAGGGCCAATATATTTAAATATTATCCAGCCTTTCAAGTGTGTTCACTTTCAGAAGCTAAATATTTTCCTGAACATTCCTTAAGTAAATGAATGACTTGCTCTTTTGAACCTAAAACACATGCTTGTTTCCTCATTCTTGTGGCTACCACTGTCTTACCCAGCACTAAAAGCTTCTTAAAATTAGTCAGAGGAAGACAAGTGGGAAGGTGTAGACTTCTCACTTCAATAGTCTGCTAAAGATGGAGGAAAAATATGGTGCTATTCAAAGACAGTCTAGACTTAAAGATTTAGAATTTTGGATGGAAATAATCCGGTGAAATAGCAAGAACATTTGAAAGAGAACTTGACAAACCACTGCTGCAGAAAGCTGAATTCCAAGGAAATATGCCCAATATCCATGAAGCTGAGAAGTAAGTTTCTGAAATCATGCCTTTCTATTTTTTTTTAATTTTTCATTTGCCTAAAAAATGTCAACCACTTGTTGAGGCAAGCGGAGTCTTGCTACTGGAATGTATAAATTAACCAAATAGAGTATTATGCAAATAATAGTAGATTCGGATATTTGTTTAGTGGCCCTTTTATGGAGTATTAGAAATTGCCAACTTTTGACTTTGAGAAAAGAATATGTGTGTTGTCAGTAATATTTTGATTCTGTGTTTTTTTTTTAAAAAAAACCTTTTAAACATTTGTCTTATTTCTATTAATGTCACTTGATTTTTCTGGTTTCCAATTCCTGTTTCATTCATAGAAGCTTCTAGAAGTAAATGTCTTTTTTCATTTTAAACATGAACGCAGATGAATAAAATGAACTTCTAATACATTTAATGTCACACTTGAGACAACCATATTGAGATTCTTAAAAAATTGCTTGTATGGAGAAAAGAAGATTATCATTTTCAGGGCCAGGCACAATGGCTCACACCTATAATCCCAACTCTTTGGAAGGCCAAGGCAGACAGATCATCTGAGGTCAGGAGTTCAAGACCAGCCTGACCAACATGGAGAAACCCTGTCTCTATTAAAAATACAAAAATTAGCTGAGTGTGGTGGCAGGTGCTTGTAATCCCAGCTACTAGGGAGGCTGAGACAGGAGAATCGCTTGAACGTGGGAGGTGGAGGTTGCAGTAAACTGAGGTCGCACCACTGCACCACAGCCTGGGCAACAGAATGAGACTCTGTCTCAAAAAAAAAAAAAAAAAAAAACCTAAAAAACAACAACAACAAAAAGAAAATTATCATTTTCTAGCCAGTGACTAGTAAATTTTCTAAACCTATCAGATAATTTATAACAATAATGGATTTAAAAAACAAGCAAGACAGATTTTTTTCTATTGACATATATATATATATATATATATATATGAAGGAACATATATATATATATGAAGGTAAATACTGATCAAAATTCAAAATCCAGGGCAGCTCACTTGGAGAGAAATAAAAATAACAAAGACCTATTAGGTAAAACAAGATTATTTGGAACTATAGGAGTAAGAGTTAAGAATAAACTAAAAACAAAGCACTTGTTCTTTGTGGCAGCTGAAAATAGCAAACCTGGGGACAACAAGGTTTTTCTTCCCATATTCTCTATGCTGGTTAGCTGGCATGATGACTAAAACAGAATTGTGCCTGCCATTGTAGAGCTTACAATTATTTCTTCTTGGTGGTAGTATTCCACAATGGAGAGCGTTAAATAAAAGTAGGCAGTCTTTTACAACATTTTAATTTAGTCTTTGTTAATGTTAAAGAGACAAATTCCTTATTGAGTTTCTGAGCAAAGCTTAATAATAATGAAGTTAGAGGAAAAACACCCACCACATTTTATAAAGTAGTGAAAAAAGCTTATTAAGCCACAGAAGTGTTGTTTTTCCTCTTTTTAGAAAATAACCACTAAAGCTTATCACTTGACAAGCAGGCTTATTTTACAAAGAACTTACTAATTTATAAAATAATAAGACTTTGGAGAAGCATCTTCCTTATCAATTGTCTTATACGTTTCAGGGACATGATGGACCAAACCAATGTCACAGTCTCTTGGCACCACTTTTAGGATATGAATATATTTGGCACCCTCCCCACAGTGTTCAGCCTTGGGGTTCTCAGCCAAAACTAAAACAAAGTTCCATTTCCATTGCTTCTCTACTTCTATGACATAATGTGGTTATGCTATTTTAAACTTATTCCTATTGATTAAGTTTTTAGTTGTTAGGAGGGAGTTTTTTTTGAAAAAGACTAAAATTATTTGTGTCTAAATATATAACTTTCATAAACAGAGTATGAATTAGAAAGTATAGTTTTTCCTTAAGCTTTAAGGGCAATTCATAAGGCTAAGTATTTTTCATATAAAATATAGTCACTTGATTCCACTGACTCGTGACTCTAATGGGTTAAGTTCCCCAAAATTTACTCTCATTTACAAGCCTATTAAACTTCTTTAAATACTTCAAGCTAAATTACAAATTTATATGATTTTTAACAAACACTTTAAATGCCTGATAGGACAAACTTAAAGTGTAATAAGCCAATGCTTGCTAAACACTTAACCTCTGTAAAACTAATAAATCAAACCTATAAATGTAGTAAATTAGATTCTCCTAAGCATTTCAAACATCTTAAAATCAGGACTGGAAGCAAGAGTTCCAGTAAAAGATGGCGGATTAAATGCAACCATTAAGGTCTGTTCCATTTTTATCCTCAACTAAAATGACAGTAAAAGGATTTTCTAAGAAGACATATGCCAAAAGGACCAAAACCAGAAGAGGAGGTAACAGTGATAAAATTTCGTAGTTTGAAGGCAATTTAGCAGACCCAAGAAAGCTAATGCTAACAGTGGGAATAACTGAGAAGCACCCAATTTACAGTGTGGAACTCCTGAAAGTAGTTGGTGATGTTGAGTATTTTAAAAAGTAGGAGTAAAGATAAAGCTAAAGTATCTTTTCGAAAAGCAGATTGACCTAGGAGAGAAGACTTAACGTTACTGACATTAAGAATTCTCTTAGGACCAGCTCAATCAGAGCATGCTACAGTCAAGACCACAGTTACTGCCTCACTTCCAATCTGCTTTTTTAGTGTCTTGTTCTTAAATGGGAAATTTATTGAGGTTCAACTCCTAATATGAGAACACTGACTAAACCAAGGACACAGAAAAGAAAAATTGGAAGGAAAAGAAAATACTTGGGAAGAAAGAAAACCATCTAAAGAGATTCTTAGCATTCTCAAAAGGATAAAATAGATTGTATCCAGGAAACCAAAATAGGGTGATACAAAAAGGGATATTCAGGAAACAAATTTCTAGGAAGTTAAAGGTATAATTGCATAAATGAAAAACCCAGTAAAAGCTTTGAAGGAAATGTTTCTGAAAGTAGAAAAGAGATGAAAATAATAGAGAAAAAGTAGAGAAACCTGAGGGCCAGTCATGGAACTCCATCATCCAAACAGGATCTCCAGAAAGAGATACCAGACTTAAAAAAAGAGAGGGGTGTTCGGGGGAGGGGGGAGAAAAGTCAAAGAAATAATGTGAGAAAATTTCCCAGAACTGAAGGACATGAGTTTCCAAATTGAAAGGGCCCAGTAGCAAGAACAATGAAAAAAAGGCTCACACTCAGGCATATTATCATGAAACTTCAGAAAACTTGTTTCAAAGAAAAGATTCTTAAATCATGAGGGAGACATATTCATTCAATGGATCAAGAATCAGAATGACATAGGACTTCTCTATAGCAATACTAGAAGCTACGAAGTAAGAGTATGCCTTTAAAATTTGAATGGTAAATGGTAAATTATTTCCTATCAATAGTTTTACTATCATTATAAATCAACTATGAGTAGAATAAAGCCATTTTCATATATGCACATTTTAAAAATTTCCCTCCCATTACAGTTTCTCAAGTGCTCCAGCAATATGAGAAAGAAAAAAAATGGAATCCAAGAAATAGGAGATATCCATAAGGAAGAAGTGAAGGGAATCCTGCACAGGGTGATTCTAAGACAGCTATACCACATAAAAACAGTCTAGGCTGGTGCAGGTCTGAGAAAATAATTCAGAGTGGTTGGTTCTGGAGAGTAGGAAAAAGGGTGGGATTGGGGGGATTGCTTTATTTTACAAGTCAATTAGAACTAGCTATTTGCTTCTTTAGTTTATGTGGAACTTTGATAAAAATTTAAACTTATAAAGAGACAAAACATAATTTAAATGCCATGTCAATTAGAAAATCCACTGTTCCTCTATAAACTCAACTTGAATAATGGTTATTCCTTCATCATCTCTGCACTTTTATGGTATACTTTCCTGGGGTGAAAAGTTGCTTATTTGACTAAGGAGAATTTTATCATCATCTCCAGTCTACAACAGCAACTATGACCATAGGTTTGTGTTGTGGATGGCAATTCTAGAATAGGGCTTCTCAGAGATATTTCTAGGAAAATTCTATCTAAAAACAAGATAGCAATCCAAGTCCCTTCTTTCAGTGGGACTTCTAAAGCCCACTCCTTTTCTTACACCCTAGTGCATCCCAGGTTATTTTATTCACTATTTTCCTGTTATCTCAGGCAACTTTAGTCTAAACCAACTTGCTAGGTTGTATATCCATTACCCAGATTAGAATTTCTCTTTTCTACCTGATTGAATTCAGTACTCTTTTAAAATTTTACATTATTTCATTATCCACCATTCTACATGCTATAGTAATTTAATTCAGTTCCTCATGGAACTTATGTTACATATCAGCAGAAGGCAAAAACTATATAAATGAACATGAATGTAGGGCATGAGTAAATTGTAGAGTAAGTTAGGTAACAGATGCTATGGAGTAAAGAAAATGCCAAGCCAGGTAAAGGAAGTCAGAAGTGCCAAAGAGGGGATGTGTCACAATCTTTAATGGTAGTAAGAGTAAGCCTCATTGAGAAGATGACTTAAGTAAGTAAAAAATTGAAGGAGGTAAGGGAGTTAGTAATGTAGATACATTGGGAAATGGCATTCCAAGAAGCAGGAAAGTAAGGCCTTGAGATGGGAGCTTGCTTTGCATATTTCAGAAATATCCAGGTACATGTTACTAGAGTGAACAACAGGAGAATATATGGGAGATGCCTTTGGAGAGATAATGGGGGCTAAATTATATGACATCTTAGAAGCTTTTACTCCCAATTAGACTTTTTACTCTAATTCTGGGCTAGAGTTTTTACTCCCAGTGAAATGATAAGTGATTAGTGATTTTGAGCAATGATTTGGCAAATCTGACTTACATTTTGAGAGACTTGTTCTAACTAGAACGTGGAAAACAAATTGTTGGAACATCAAGATTGGAAGCAGACCAGTTAGGAAGTTATAGCCATGATTCAGGTGAGAAACATGGTAGTTGAGACCAAGATGGTAGTGCTAGAGGTGGTGAGAAGTGGTCACATTCTGTATATACTTTAAAGATAGAGCGGACACATTTTCCTGGTGAATACGATGGGGTGAGTGTGAAGGAGTAGAAAGAAAGAAAAAAAAAGAGAGAAGAAAAACAAACAAAGCAGTCATGTATTCCTCCCCCAAGTTTTGACCTGAGAATATAATGGATTTGACCTCACATACAGTGGGAACAGTGAAGGTGGCACAGGTTTGCAGAGAATTCAGGAGTTTACTTCTGAGCATAGTCAAGTTTCAGGTGTTAGCTAAATCTCTAAATTGAGAAATGGAATAAACTAGCTGGCTATTTGAATGTGGAGTTTGGGGGAGAAACTGTACTAGAAATATTGATTTAGGAGTCTTCAATACATGGGTGATAGCAAAAACCATGGAAGAGCTCAGCAAAGGAGAAAGCATAGATAGATGATCTGTGCTAAGGCCTAGTATTTCCAGTGTTGGGTAGGAAGAAGTAGACCTGGAAAAGAGACTGAGAAGGAGCAGCAGTGGAGGAGGAAAATCAGGAGATTGTGATGTCCTGGGGGCGAGTGAGGAAAGCAGGTGGGAAGAAGATAGAGATAAATGTGTTGAATGAGAACTGAGATGACTGTTTATCAAGGAGGAGGTCATTGGTGACTTCAGCAAGAGCAGTTCAGTGCAGTGGTGGGTCTCTAGGCCCACTTAGAATGGATTTTAAAAAGAGCATGGAAAGAGACGATTTAGAAATGGTAATTAGGGAAAATTTCTAGGATTTTTGCTGTAAAGAGAAGCAGTAGAAAGGAGTGTTCATCCATAGTGTAAATTGGGTCAGGAGAGGGTTTTATTAAGATGAGAAAGTAACAGAGTATTTTTATGTGGATTAATCCAGTAGAGGTGGAAAATTTGATGATATAGAGGAGAGTAAAGAGTTTCAAGATTGTCTCTGAATAGGTGAGAGAGGATGGGGATACATTAGCTTAAAGTAGAAGCATCTGAGAAGGTTGAGTCGGTGGGCACAGATACTGGTAGGTGGGTCGATGTGGTATTGAGTCTGTGGAAGTTCTCTAATTTTTTTTTTTCAGTAAAGTAGGGACCAAGATTATCAGTGGAGATTAAGGATGTTGGAAGAGTTTCTTGGGTTTGCAGGGAAAGAACAAATGGCGTGAAATTATCCTCTAGGAGAGTAGGAGAGTGAATGAACTATGAAAATATACTACAAAGATCAGGCAGCACTAAAGTTTCACTTGAAGCTCACACTCATAAATATCTTAGCAAAGCTTGCTTATCATTATGACAGAGTTATATTTGAAAATACAAAGACATCTTAGTTATGGTTGTTATTTTAAGGTGGACTTTAAATAAAGAATGTTCTCAAATGATGGGCTGCAGCACTTCTCAGAGAAGTCCCAGTAGATAGGTTTGTAATCATCATTGGGGTTCTGGTTGAGGCGTGCTCACACCTGTGGCCATTGCTGTGCCTGAATAAACTATGTAGCATGGTTTTTCCTTCCCTCCTCTTCATGAAACCTCCCTCTCTTCTTGCATGTTTTCTTTTTCTTAAGGGTATAGACTGGAACATTAATATTTGAATCACTGAGTATAATCATTATTTGAGCTGTGGAAGAGGAAAAGAAAATGGTACTAGGATGCCTAGTACAGAGAAGGAAAAGATAGATATTTAGGTAAAGAATTACTTAGAATAATAGATCCGTGAAGGTAAGACCAGTTGAACCATCTTCTAAATATAAACAATTTTTTTTTTTTTTGAGACAGAGTCTCGCTCTGTCACCCAGGCTGGAGTGCAGTGGCACAATCTCGGCTCACTGCAAGCTCCGCCTGTGGGGTTCACGCCATTCTCCTGCCTCAGCCTCCCAAGTAGCTGGGACTACAGGCACCCGCCACCACGCCCGGCTAATTATTTTTGTTTTTGTATTTTTAATAGAGATGGGGTTTCACCATGTTAGCCAGGATGGTCTCGATCTCCTGACCTCGTGATCCGCCCACCTCGGCCTCCCAAAGTGCTGGAATTACAGGCATGAGCCACCGCATCCGGCCAACAATTTTTTTTTTTTTAAATAGAAGAAGAAACTGCAGTGATGGGTTGGAAATTCAATATATCTCAAAGGACTCCTAACCTATTTTGAGTTATCTTTGATAGGACTGCCAGATATTGGGTTAACTGAGCACTGAAGCTCTTCTTTAATGATCTAATGTGCCAAGCAAGGAGGAAAATGTTCATTGGTTCTTGGTCTTCATTTATGTGCAAGAAATTCATATAATTTCTCATTTACTTTTTTTTTTTTTGAGACAGTCTTGCTCTGTCACCCAGGCTAGAGTGCAGTGGCGCGATCTTGGCTCACTGCAACCTCTGCCTCCCGGGTTCAAGCAATTCTCCTGCCTCAGCCTCCCGAGTAGCTGGGAACAGGCATCCACTGTGCCTGGCTAATTTTTGTATTTGTAGTAGACAGGGTTTCACCATCTTGGCCAGGCTGGTCTCAAACTCCTGACTTCATGATCCGCCCTCCTCGGCCTCCCAAAGTGCTGGGATTACAGGTATGAGCCACCGCGCCCAGCCTCTCATTTAATTTTAAACCAAGCAATTTCTTTTAATATGGTATAATAGTTAAAAGCTTCCTATCAGGGCTTGTATATCTCAGCTGCACAATACTAGGCAGATTACTTAATCTTTCACTGTCTGATGTTTTAATATCTAACTCATAACTTTGTAACCAAAATGCAGATTCCATCACACACTGTGTGCAAAGTCCAACTAACAAGAGCGATGTCTGGTATAAAGAAAGTGGCTTTATTCCAAAGCTTAGCTTAGGGAAAGAGGTGCAGGCTCCTTCCTGCCTTTAGTGGACTGCTTCACTTTTGGGGCAGAAAGCCGAAGCTTTAAAGGGGGACTTGGTGTGAACAGCATGCAGGGGAGAGAGCGAGCAGGTGCTGATCATTTTGGTGCCTTATCTACTGGGTGGTGAGCTGGCACCATCACAGGCAGATGTGGGTTGTAAAATGGCCATTGTCTCAAGACACCCTCCAGGTGGGAGAGAGTTCCATCGCAGGGCACACCTTAGGTTGTAAATTGGCTGTTGTCTCTAGGCAGCTTGGTGAGACAGAGTTCTGGCCCTGGAGCCTTTTTTTTTTTTTTTTCCACAGCAGAGACAAGTGAACATTTATTTTTATGCCTTTCTTCCTATGTGTATTTCAAGTCTTTTTCAAAACAAGGCCCCAGGACTCTCCAGATTCAATTATGTCCTTGGGCTTGGTTGACTGCTGCAGGAGTCTTAGGGAGCCTTGTACAAATGCTAGAGTGACTCATTTACCAACAGTAAACCCTAGGATAGATCCAACAAAGCAGGAATGTGCCGATTTCAGACGACGCAGCACCCAATGTAGAAAACGCTGGAATTTTTCCTTGGAACTAGACTGTGATGAGAGGTGCTTGACATGAACATAAGCTACTGTCTTTTCTGCTTTTTGAGATGGAGTTTCGCTTGTTGCCCAGGCTGGAGTGCAATGGCATGAACTCGGCTCACTGCAACTCCCGCCTCCCAGGTTCAAACGATTCTCCTGCCTCAGCCTCCTGAGTAGCTGGGATTACAGACATATGCCACCATGCCCGACTAATTTTTCTATTTTTAGTAGAGTCGGCATTTCTCCATGTTGGTCAGGCTGGTCTTAAACTCCCAACCTCAGGTGACCCGCCCACCTCAGCCTCCCAAAGTGTTGGGATTACAGGTATGAACCACCATGCCCGGCCAGCTACTGTCTTTTCTTTGACCCTTCCTTTCCAGTTTTTGAAGATAAAGCAGGAAATAATCTTCTCTGAAGATACTTGATAAAAATTCCCAAAACGACAAAACACATGCTTCCACTTCATTGATAAAAAATTTAATGCAGTTTGGCACCTAAGAGTATGACAACAGCAATAGAAAGTAATTTCAAAGAGTTACGATTTCTTCAGCAAAATAGATGATTCATATCTTCAAGTCCTTTTTGAAATCAGTTATTAATATTATTCTTTCCCCATTTCCATCTAAATGACTGCGGCAATACAGGTTTTTGGTTTTTGTTGTTGTTGTTGTTGTTGTTGTTGTTTGAGACGGAGTCTCGCTCTGTCGCCCAGGCTGGAATGCACTGGCACGATCTTGGCTCACTGCAATCTCTGCCTCCTGGGTTCAAGCGATTTTCCTGCCTTAGCCTCTCAAGTACCTGGGACTACAGGCATGCGCCACCACACCCAGCTCATTTTTGTATTTTTAGTAGAGACAGGGTTTCACCATGTTGGCCAGGATGGTCTCAATCTCCTGACCTCATGGTCTGCCCGCCTTGGCTTCCCAAAGTGCTGGGATTACAGGCATGAGCCACCGTGCCCGGCCAGCAATACGGTTTTTAGTTACTCGACATCTTTAAGCCTATAACTCTTAGGCTATGCATAGCCCCATGTCCTAATCAGGCATTCACTGATCCCAGCAGGTCTCCATCTATTTGTACCAGCCTCTTCTTTCCTCCCAATCTCAAGGTTACTCTTAAATACTAGTAAATGCAAAAAGAACTTGTAAAGTGGCAAGGCATGGCCTATCAAAAGTCAGCCCAAGGGCAGTTTTCAGCCCTGCCTCACCTGGGTCTAGCTCAGCTGGCGGGTGAGCTGATTGATGTGTTCACCCCGATAGCCAGGTGTGCCCATCTCCTTGAGGAAGCCCACTCTATTTTTGGTAGCATGAGTGGACCTGGAGCTTTTGAGATAAGTACACATTTTGAGATAAGTACATAGTTAGATAAGCTTGCCCTGTGGGGAGCATCTGGTGAAGGGAAGGTAAAGGGTATCATTGCGTTTCTAAAGAACTAAGTCTGGATTAAGAAAATGTGGCACATTTACACCACGGAATACTATGCAGCCATAAAAAAGGATGAGTTCTTGTCCTTTGTAGGGACATGGATAAAACTGGAAACCATCATTCTCAGCAAACTATCGCAAGGACAAAAAACCAAACACCACATGTTCTCACTCATAGGTGGGAATTGAACAATGAGAACACATGGACACAGGAAGGGGAACATCACACACTGGGGACTGTTGTGGGGTGGGGGGAGGGGGGAGGGGGGAGGGATAGCATTAGGAGGTATACCTAATGCTAAATGACGAGTTAATGGGTGCAGCACACCAACATGGCACATGTATACATATGTAACAAACGTGCACGTTGTGCACATGTACCCTAAAACTTAAAGTATAATTAAAAAAAAAAAGAACTAAGTAGGAGGTAGGAAACAAGGGGAAAGGAGGAAAGAAAAATTATTAAAAAATAACTCTTACTCTTAGAAAAATGGGAGTACTTGGTTACAAGTCTAGTCCATAAATTAAATGTATAATTATAGATAAGTTACCTTTTACCACTTATTTCCAACATTCCAAAGGTCACACAGCTGGTAAACATAACACAGCTGGGAATCATAAATATTGCTACCACCACCACTACCCACCCAATTATTGGGGGAGTGGGGAGGGTCCCATGACTGTTTCCCAGTTGGATGAAATAAGAAACCAAAAATGAGTTTTTCTTGATCCTTGAATTGAAAACTCCATTTTTACAGAAAGAAAAGACATTTTACAATCCATTTCTCTGAAAACATCCGTTCTTTATCTCACAGGATGTAATAACTTGATGGGAAATTTAAACGCAAGGTTATTCATAAAATGGTAAATGAGGGGACACCTGGCGTGAGAGCTGCAGCGGCATTTCCGACACACTGCTGCCCCCTGCTGCCTGATACATCGTTTTCCTTCTTCACGTGTACTCAAAATTAACACTGTCTGTCACCCAGATTATAAAATCATACTGAGGAGAAAACTGAGGCCCTGAAAGTGATCTGGATGACATGGATAGTAGAAGATTTAGATTATGGAAAAGTCACTTCTTCCTGCTTTACCATATTGCCTTTTCCCTATTAAATTAAAAGTCAACAAACTACTGTGTGCCTACGTAGAAGTACTCAAAATGGAGAAGTGAAAATCAAGATCTTTGCACTTACATAACTCATATTCTTGTGTGAGTAAACAGCCAATAAATAAGAAAAAATCAATAAATAATTTAAGAGAATAATAGATGTATTAAATAGTAACAATGATAAAGATTTCTGGAGTACTAGGAGAACATGGAATTCAAGGCACTGTTCCCAGTGCTTTCCATGATTTCTTTCATTTGATTCTCACTGCAACCTGCAAATAGCTACTTCACTTTACAGATGAAGATATTGAGGCAGGGCTAGAATGATCCTAAGTGATGGAACCAAGATTCGAAACCAAGCCACTTCTGACTCCAGAAGTGTCTAGGGTAGTCTGCTCTGAGAAGGCAACAGTGAAATGAAGAGAAGAAGCCAGGCTTTTGAAGATCTAAGGGAAGAGCAAGCACAAAGGCCTGGAAGTGGAAGTGAGTTTGGTATAGCAAGGTATAGGGAAAAACAAACAAGCAAACAAAAACCATCCCATATGATTGTACTAAAGGAGCATGCAGAAGACTAGCAGAGGCCAGGTCATGGTAGGGAGCTTGGATTTTATTCTAAATTGCAAGAGGAAGCCATTGAAGGATTTCAATCAGAGCACCAACCTGATTTATGGTATAAGGAGCTCACTCTGGATGTTGAAAGGAAAACAGATGGTAGGATAAGAGTTTCCTGTTTCTACCATTTATATAGACATTGCATAAACGCTAGCAATACTGAACTCCATGTTTTCTAAATGTGACCCCTACAGTCTCCTGTTCCTTTTTCAGGTGTTTTCCTCTGTTTAGAATCCCTTCCTTGAGTCCTCTCCTTTCCATTGCAGCCTGCCTTTTAAGATTTCTTTTGTGAAGCTTTCCCGGATTCTTCAATTATATAATTTCCATCCTTTGAACTCTGTATATTTCAAGTATAGCTTTTCTGTGTTAACCTCTGTCCTAGGATATCTGTTATTTGACTGCCTACCTCACGGACTGTTAGATCCCAATCTTGAGATCAAGGGCTAGGACTTTCAGGCCATCCTGTATAAGTATGCACGTTGACTCCTTCACAAGGGCACCCGACCCGCCGGAACTCTGCTAACCAAACTGAGCTCCCTGACACAGGCTGCACCCATGAAGGGGAGAGTCCTTTTTTGTCTAATTTGTATAGAGATATCATATAAAATAGTGGATCCAGAATTGATTTCTTTCATCTTTGCATCCGAAACAGCACATCACATCTAGCAATAGAAGTATACACATAGTAGATATTTTATCAAACCTTTTTATTAATAATTGATTCTGATTTGGCCAGGCACGATGGCTCATGCCTGTAATCCCAGCACTTTGGGAGGCCAAGGCGGGCGGATCATGAGGTCAGGAGATCGAGACCATCCTGGCTAACACGGTGAAACCCCGTCTCTGCTAAAATACAAAAAATTAGCCGGGTGTGGTGGCAGGCGCCTGTGGTCCCAGCTACTCGGGAGGCTGAGGCAGGAGAATGGCGTGAACCAGGAGGCAGATCTTGCAGTGTGCAGAAATCGCGCCACGGCACTCCAGCCTGGGCGACAGAGCGAGACTCCATCTCTAATAATAATAATAATAGATTCTGATTTAACTAAGTCCAGTTGTGGAAAGTAAGATGAAAAACTCAAGGTTTATGGTATGCTTTACTCATTTACCAAGGCTATATGCAGAAAGGAATGGGATTGGACATCCTGCCAAGCCCCCCTGCACAGCCACCATATCTCAATTGCTTGATAGGCTGTGGTTTGTGTAAAAAGAGGGAAACAAAGCGTAGATGACAGATTTAAGGTACGTCAAACTGGAACAGGCCGTTATGTTGAAGTGTTAGGACACTGCAGTGCACCACAGTCTATGATACCATGGTTTAGAAACCTTGAGGACTTTTGTTAAGATTGCTGATGACATATTTTCAGCAAAGGTCACAATATCCAGGGGAAGTAAAATATAAGGGTGTATTCAATTGCTGAGGCTTTATTTTTTTTTTCTCCAGCTAGCAGTGTAAAGGACATGTGTCTCTATTTTGGGAGCTGATTTCTTCTTAGTCCCCATTAAAGTGAAACTCTAATAAGGGTATGTCAGCACCAATGTTTCTATGTAAGAGGACCTCCTTGTCATCTTTGAAATTAATTTGAAATTAAATGATTAATTCATCGTCTGTTTCCACTGGAAGTTTGTATAAGTGGTCCTAAAACCAGCAAAGCTGGGGATAGTCCTCTTTGTTACATGCAAGACTGGAAGAATCATGTCAGACCCCCACGGAAGCCTTGGGAACCCACCCTTAACTGCTGCTTTTGTTTTCAGAACCTTATTAGTTGAGAGTTGTACCTCCTGTTTTCAGACCTCCTAGTGTTCTCATCTGCCTTTCTGCCTTCAGTGTGAGTACATAATCTCTTCTCAGAGCAAGTTTAGTTGAAAATAAAGTTTTGGCACCTAAAAAAATAAGAGGAGGCGACCAGCAAGACTGTGAGGCATGGAATCTGGAGCACAGGGATACTGATAAGAATGAACTGATTCATATTGCTGCTAAGACTCAGAACTGACCTATGAAACATAGCAGAGTGGGCACAAATGAACCAGAGCCGGGCTCTCCTCCCTTGGAAGGTGCTCAGTATTTACACAATGCCCCTTGTCTGTAAGGGCAAGTACTACATCAGAGGGAAATTGGCAGGGGAATTGTTGGAACTGGAAAGTATCAGAGTGATGAAAGAGGCAGCTCTTGTTTAGCTCTGTTAAGCTGTTGCTCTGCAGATGCCTGCCCATTGCTGCTAGATTTTTCAGTGGAAGTTGATGTTCTGCATTTTTATGAAACACTTTCTATTCTTTAAATGTTGTCAATCAATTCAAAAAAGCTTTTGAAACATATAGGCAAAACCACAGTCTTCTTTGTGTGGACGACCAGTTTGCAACCCTTGCCTTAAAATTATAACCAACTTCTGTTCTCTAGACTCTGAGAAAGAAGCATGCACAGAACTATCATTTTGCTTTGTTAAAAAGCAGTCTGATCATTACCTTCTCTGTTTAAAGAAGTATCATTTCTCCTTAAGAGTGTAGAACTGGCCGGGTGCGCTGGCTCACGCCTGTAATCCCAGCATTTTGGGAGGCCAAGGAGGGAGGATCACGAGGTCAGGAGTTCGAGACAAGCCTGGCCAACATAGCGAAACCCCGTCTCTACTAAAAATACAAAAATTAGCCAGGCATGGTCGTGGGCGCTTGTAATCCCAGCTACCCATGAGGCTGAGGCAGGAGAATCACTCGAACCCGAGAGGCAGAGGTTGCAGTGAGCTGAGACTGCACCACTGCACTCCAGCCTGGGCGACAAGAGTGAAACTCCGTCTCAAAAAAAAAAAAAAAAAAAAGAAAAGAAAAAGAAAACGAAAGAGTGCTAGAACTGTAACTCATGGGGGGAAAATAGGAAGAAAGGCAGCATTTATCTTGTTTGTTTGTTTTCTGGTCACTTTTACCAGCATGGAATAATGCTGGAAATAGCCTTTCTTCCTTGCTTGTAAATAATCCCACATGCCTCATAGAGATGCAGCATATCCCATAAACATTTGTGCCAGGTAAAACTCCTAGAGCAGTATTCAAATTCTCAAAACTTGCTGAAATTAGAATTCAGTACACATTTGAGTATTTTTGGAAATGGAATCTGTAGCATGTCTAGCTACAGGTGCAGGTCAGGGGAGACTGGTGAATATGAACCCTTGAAAAAGAAAGTGTTGAATAAGGATTTAGATTTTTGAAAAATGAATTCTAAATATTTCTTCCTTCTCCTAATTTTGTAATTTCAAGTTATCATTTATTTTTAAATATAAATTTTAGCAAAACTTTCTACTGACGCTTCTTTTCTTTTATTCATTCCGTTTGTTCAATAAATATTTATTGAGCACCTACTAATACCAAAGATCAGTCTAGGCACACAAGATCAACAGGTTATCAAAACAGATGAAAGGGCTGGATGCAGTGGCTCACATCTACAATCCCCACACTTTGGGAGGCCAAGGTGGGCAGATCACTTGAGATCAGGAGTTTGGGACCAGCCTGGCCAACATGGGGAAACTCTGTCTCTACTAAAAAATACAAAATTAACTGGGCATGGTGGTGTGTGTCTGTAATCCCTGCTACTTGGGAGGCTGAGGCATGAGAATCACTTGAACCCAGGAGGCATAGTTTGCAGTGAGTTGAGATCACACCACTGCACTCCAGCCTGGGGACACAGAGTCTCACTCTGTCTCAAAAAAACAAACAAACTTATGAAGAGCCCTGCCATCAAGGAGCTTACAATCCAGTACTAATAAATAATAAATTTATCAGCAAATTAGAAGCAAATGAGTGCAATGGAAGAAGTAAAATTGAAGCAGGTTAAGAGGGATCAAAAATAGAGGGTGTACACATTGTATTTTTAGAGAGGTCAGAGTGGGCCTTGGTGACTTTTCAGCAATGACTCATAGAGAGGAGGTTGGTGTTTTTTTAATTGACTTTCCCACTCCATAGAGTCAATGGTTCTCTCCATTTATCCAAGTAGTATACGTTAAATGGTAAAGAACTAGTACGTGGATGGGGCCGGGTGCGGTGGCTCACGCCTGTAATCCCAGCACTTTGGGAGGCTGAGACGGGTGGATCATGAGGTCAGGAAATCAAGACCATTGTGGCCAGCATGGTGAAACCCCGTCTCTACTAACAATACAAAAATTATCTGGGCATGGTGGTGTGCACCTGTAGTCCTAGATACTCAGGAGGCTGAGGCAGGAGTATGGCTTGAACCTGGGAGGCGGAGGCTGCAGTGAGCTGAGATCGCACCACTGCACTCCAGCCTGGGGACAGAGCGAGACTGCACCTCAAAAACAAACAAACAAAAAAAAGAACTAGTACGTGGTATGTACACCTCATAGAACACATCTTTAAAACAAAGAGGGAAAGTGCTATGGTCTGAATGTTTATGTCTCCCCAAAATTCATATGCTGAAACCCTAAACCCCAAGACGATGCTGTTCAAAGGTGAGCCTTTGGGGGGGTGATTAAGTCATGGGGGCAGAGGCCTCATAAATGGGATTAGTGTCTTTACAAAATAGGCTCAGGAGAGACCCCGTCACTCCTGTGAAGTTAGAGTGAGATGATGTCTGCCTGTGAGAAAGCAGGCTCCTTCCAGAACCTGCAGGCACCTTGATCTTGGAATTCTCAGCCTCCAGAATCATGAGAAATAGATTTCTGTTCTTTGTAAGCCACAATCATTTTATGATATTTTTGTTATAGCAGGCTGAATGGACTAAGAAAGGAAGACAAATTTAACACAAACAGTTCTACAAAATAAACTGCTTAAAGAATATCTGTTTTGGGTATTTTATATTTGTACAATAAGGGAAAGGACTATTTAAAAAATAGTTTTCTCTCAAGCTTTTAGCTTGCAAAGTTCTTCTCACACATTTTTATTTGATGTTCGTTATAACTCATTGAGACAGGTGGAATTATTTCCATATTCTAGGTGAAAAGATGAAGCTTACAGGTTTGCTTAAGTCACTCCCCCTTAAGCGATCCCACATTGCCCCTCGGATTCCCCATTCCCCAGATCTCTGATCACTATTCACAAGGCCCTTCACGATCTGGCTTCTGCTTCATTTCCACAGCATCTCTTGCTAATTTCCTCTTTACTGCCCACACTGCCCCAATATCTAGCTACTTCCTTTCACTATTTGCTAAGCTCTCCCTTTCTTGCCTTTGGACTTTTGCACATACTATTTTTTGTCACCTCCTCTGGCCACCCTCTAAAGATTATCCCAGTCTCCACTTGGGCATCATTTATTTCCCAGTGCTAGAACCTCTCATACAAAATCATCTGAGTCCAGGGCCTTCCCCCTGTTCCACAGGCACCTCCTGGCCACTATAGTTTCTCTTAATATTTCTCCTTTAGAGTCCTACATGATGGTCCCCACCCCTCATCCAAACCTTTTAAACTTGTGGAGGAGCTTGAAGCTTAGATAGGGTGAAATCCGTAATCTAGGTCAGCCTTTTCTCCCCTTTTTGAATTTTTTTCTTGACCTTTCAAGATGAGAGATTAGTGGCTTAACACATGGCTTCTCTGAAAGTTTAATGTCTTATAAGGTATCTCCTTCAGACTCACTTCTGCTAACTTCAGTTTTTCCTGCCAGGTGCTTCCTGTCCTTATCACAGCTCTATCACTACAGGAGGAAAGGTAACTCCTGCCTCTCTTTCTGTGGGCCTCTCTAAAACTCCTCCAGTTTTGATAATAACTTACCAATCAATGTCTGGCAATTTCACAGTTCTGCGATTGTCCTCCCTGCTTCCTCTGTGGAAGCAAGCCCAGTGTGCTCACTGTGGTTTGATTCCTGCTTTCAGGAACCGACATGTCCAAAATTCAAAAGACAACTGTTTTTAAGCTACATATTATATAAGCTGTATAGTAATTCTAACTAATGCCTTTTAATATTTTTGGAAAGTTTACAAATATCCATAGAAAACAGAAGTCATGAGCTGAACAATTGCTAATTTTGAAGTGATTAATATTCATATTTACATAGTCCAGTTGGAATACATTCAGGATGAAATTTTAGTGTAAACTTCACCATTGAACAATATCTTCAAAAACTTAATCTCACAAGTGAGGGATATTTTGCCTCAGAAAAAAAATAAAATAAAACAAGAGGAGGCCCCTGATATTTTAAGCAAATATAATTACCTGAAATAGAAGCTGAATTTGTAAAGAATTATTTCTCGTGTCCTTAATTTTAAAAAGTATTACCTTCAGGTTTCATTTGATAAAACTTGGGAAATTATTTTAAAAATTAGCTTTTATTTTGGAGAAAATTATAAACACATGAGAAAGAGGGGACATTGTAGACAAGTTCAGTGGCTTCATTTAGTAGGCCTCATTTCATTTAAGGAGCCTAGCTGAAAGGCAAATGTGAGGATGACATTGCCTCCTTCTCATGCACAATGAGTAGTTTTCTTTCTCCCCAGTTGCTATTTATTACTGAAAGATGAAAATGTCAGTATTTCTTTTAACAGAAGCTAATGCAGCACCTCAGATGGTGAAAACTGGTGGCAGGACACAAAGTTACTCAACCAGAGTAGTTTAAAAGTGTGCACTTTTAAAATCAAATGTAATTGTAACTCAGTGGTCAAAAATGAAAAAGGATGCTGAGCCTGAATTCAATATTTCATGATTAGAGAGACTTCTTACTATATATATTTTTTCCTTCTAATGTCTGACCTGGATCATATTTATTCCTCAACCAGGAACAAAAGGAGATTCTTTAATTTTCTTTTGATCCACATGTGTATTGGATTGTTGTCAAATTTCTTACTGGAAAAGGTTAGGTTAATATTTTGATAACAGATAAAATCTTCAAAGTAAGCCAGAAGCTTAAGTAATGCAAGTTAGATTTCATGTGCTAGAATGTCAAGGATAAAGCGTAGAGGAAGGATTTGCAAGTCATCCATAAAATGATTATCCTTAGTGTAAAGTTTATATTCCTCCATGCCAACAACTCTTTTAACGTATTACCTTGTCCTTTATATTCAGGTGCCAGAAGAAACCTTAGAGCAGCAGTCCCCAACCTTTTCGGTATCAGGGACCAGAGAGACAATTTTTCCAGGGACCTGGGGTAGGGGTGTTGGGGGTTGGGGAGATGGTTTCTGGATGAAACTGTTCCACCACAGATGATCAGGCATTAGATTCTTATAAGAAGTGTGCAACCTGGATCCCTCACATGTGCAGTTTATATAGGGTTGATGCTTCTATGAAGATCTAATGCTGCCGGTGATCTGACAGGAGGCAGAGATCAGGCAGTAATGCTCACTTGCCCACTGCTCATCTTCTGCTTTGCAGACTGGTTCCTAACAGGCCAAGGGCCAGTACCAGTCTGTGGCCCTAGGGTTGAGGACTCCTGCCTTAGAGAGTCCAAGAGTAGCAAACCCATATACTTATTTGGGGCCAAGCAGTTACAATGGATGAGCATATCTGTCACTTGTAAGTAATAGGAGTAATGGAAACCATGGGAATTTGAGAGCATATGTCCTATTTAAAGATATTCAAATCAACTTAAAAATAAATGTTGTGCCTTCCATACAAAGTCCATCCACAAACCCAATGTGGCCTGTGGCTCTCCAGTTTTCTCCCCTTACAGTTTAGCCCGGCCTAGACTACAGTTTCTTCCAACCTCTCATCCAAGGCCTAGGTTCTTTCTTGAGCACTCCTACCAGTGGCCATTCAGCTTCTGTTTGAGCAATTCCAGTTGCAAGAATTTTGGGGGACTGTCAAGTCCTTTGCCAATCATATTAGTGGTGGTAGTGATGGTAGTATCTTTTGTGCTTTAGGATAAAATCAGAACAGATTAGTGAGTTTTAACAGTAGATTGCTCTGACCAACAAGGATCCAATGGACCTCTTTTTGTTTTGTGATTGTTCCTTGAGACTCTGTCCCTGTTGAGGATTATAATGCTTTGTTTCATGGAAGATATAGTCAGTTTCAGAACTGTACAATGTGATCTTACTTTTTCTTATATTATTCCAGGTTTACTTCTATGGCTCATGTCATATAGGCTGATCTCAGAAGGGCCTGCTTGCCATTAGCATTGGTTCACCCCATCACATGCTTACTGACTGATTTCTTCATGCTAGGCACTGTCTAATTACTGGGATACAGGAGACAAAAGGTCATAAAGAGCTATCCTTTCCTGGGGCTTACATTTTAGTTAGGGAAATAAATACAATCAAGAAAACAAAAACATGGTAATTAAATGTTCTAATAAATTCTCTGAAGGAAATAGAGGCTGGAGGAGGGAGGCAGGAGGTAGCCAGATCATGCAGCCTAGTAGACTTCCAGGCTATTAGGAGTTTGGAGTATTGTAAGAAAATAGTGAGAAGCCACTGAAGGATTTTAAGCAGAATAACTGATCTTAGGGCACTGTTTGCAAAGTGAGAACACTAACATATATTCAGTGTAGAAATTTGAGAAAATACCCAAAAAAGTTAAAAAGAATATCCATTATGCAAGAGACCATTACCCAGAGACAAGTCTGGTGTAGGATGGGAGGTATGGTAGCCAGAATTCTAAAATGGCTCCTGTCTTTATCTGTTCCGGCTGCTAAAACAGAATACCACAGACTGAGTAGCTTAAACAACAAACATTTATTTCTCACAGTTTGGAAGCTGGAAAGCCCAAGACTGAGGCGCAAGCAGATCTGGGTCTGGTGAAGCACTCCAGCTGGCTTGTAGAAGCCATCTTTTCCTTGTATCCTCACATGGAGAGAGCCCGGGCCCTTCCATCTAATATACTAGAAGGACACTAATTCCCTCATGGGTTCCACCCCCATTTCCTAATATAACCATGATTTTACCTTCTAAAGGCTCCGTCTCCTAATATTATCCTATTGGATTTGGGTTTGGGTTTCCATATATGAATTCTGGGGAGTCACAAACAGGCAGTTCATCACAGTTCCCAAGATTCCCATCCTCTGGTGTGCATTCCCTGGGTACTCTTTTCCTCCTGCCTATGGGAATGTGAACATGAATAAGATTTATCATTATTTTGATTAGGTTACATTATGTAGCAAAGGTGAAAGGATTTTTTAGAAATGTAATTAAAGTGTTTGATCAGTTATATTAAGTTTTTTAAGGAGATTATCCTGTGTGGGCCTGACCTAGTCAAGGGAGCCCTTTAAAAGAGGCTCTAGAGGTCAGAGACAGAAGTCAGAGAGATTCAGAGCAGTAGATGCGCTTTACTGTTGGCTTAAAGAAAATTGCTGTGTAGAGAAACCCAAGTGGCAAGAAGTGATGGGTGACCCTTCATTGCTGAGGGCCTCACTCCTACAACCGAAAGGAAATGTGTTATGACGCCCAGTGATCTTGAAGAGGCTCAGATCTGAGATTGCAACCCAAGCCAACACCTGGATTTCAGCCTAGAGAGAACCCAGGAAAGCCATGCCAGGATTCCTAGCCCACAAAACCGTGGGTAGTAAATTGTGAGAGAATAAATAATTGTTTTTTCTAAGCCACTAGATTTATAGTAATTGTTGCACAGCAATAGCAAACTCATACAAAGGGAATGACATGATTTTCTCTGTAACCAAACTGACTGGAGAGGGACAAGAGTAGAGGCCATTGAGAAAGTCACCGTCGTGGTCTAGGCAAAAGATAAGCATGGCCTGGAGTGGCTTGGAAAGAAGTAGACAGACTTTGAATTATGTTTTGGAAGTGAAACAGGGCTAGCTAGCTGATAAATACAGTTTGGAGGGTGAAAGAAATGAAATCGTCAAGAATGATTCTTACAACTTTGGTATAAGCAAATGAGTGGATGGTGGTGCTGTCTAGTAAATATTGAAAGAATAGGGAAGGAATATTTTGTTCTGTGGAGTTAACAAGAGTGGTGGAAGATGGTGTTCAGTTTTATTAATATTCTATTTTACCAAATTAGAAGTTAGGTGAACTTCATATACATATGTATGTGTATATATACATGTATATATGTATGCATGTTGTATTACATATGATTATGTGTTTATTTTATAAAAATTATGATAGTACATTTCTTCATGTTACTTTTTCTCCACTTAACAGTAAAAACATAAATATTAATAATTATAAAATATTCTACCCTGTGCAGTCCCTTATTCCTCTATTGTTTGTTTTTTGTTTTATTTTGTTTTGTTTGTTTTTTGCTTTTATGTTGTCCTAGTGAATATTCTTATCCTTTCAGGTTTATTCAAATGTATTAGATTACCCTTCAGAAAGATGATTTATATTTACATTCCTCATAATGGTATATAAGAAAGCTAGTTGACCCCATTTTCACCACTGGGTATTATTATTTTAAAAGCATCTTTGCCATTTTAAAGGTAAAAAAACTCACTTCTCTATTAATGTTTCATAGCCTGTATATCTTGAAGGTATGCTTCAGTGTTTTGTACTATTTCTTCTTGCCTGGCCTAACATCTCTCACTGTATTTGACATGCGTATGACTGGAGTCAGGTCCTGTTGTTAGTAAGAATGATGCCATTAAGTCACACATCCTCTGTGATAACATGGGTATTACCTCTGACATTTCTTGAGATTGTATCTAGAATCAGAAAGCCTTGATGCTGTCCTTATATACAAATCAGCTTTTTTCTAAAAACATACAGTGTATAGTTATTTTTACACCTTGCCTATATAAAATAAAAAGCAAAAAAAAAGTCAGTAACATTTTTCATCTGGCTTTTCTGTATTTTTTAAATGGTATATGGTAGATAATACTACCATCTTTTTCAGCTAAAACTGTCAAGTAAAACCTCCACAACGTATTTCAAGAATCAGTTATGAGAGGTGTATTAAGTGAATGAGAGTGTGTATTATTTAATAATAGCTCCCTTTGGGTGATGGGTTTATGATGGGTGATTGTTATTTTGTTTTTGTTGCTTTTCTATATTGCCAAAACTTTTAATATGGAACGTGTAATTCTCCCTTAAAAAGAAAGGTTTGAATAGAGCTTTAAATTTTAATAAAGAGTACTTTAAGATGTCTTAGAAAGCAAGTCTGTAAAATTGCTTTAAAAATCAAGAACAGGGCCGGGCACAGTGGCTCACACCTATAATCCCAGTAATTTGGGAGGCTGAGGCGGGTGGATCACTTGAGGTCAGCAGTTCAAGACCAGCCTAGCCAACATGGTGAAACCCCCTCTCTACTAAAAATATAAAAATTAGCTGGGCGTGGTGGTGCATGCCTGTAGTCCCAGCTACTCGGGAGGCTGAGGCAGGAGACTCGCTTAAACCCAGGAGGCGGTTGTTGCAGTGAGCCGAGATAGTGCCACTGCACTCCAGCCTGGGCAACAGAGTGAGACTCCATCTCAAAAAACAAACAAACAAACAAACAAAAAACAGAAGAAACCTGAACACTTGCAGGGATTAAATGGGAAAACTTTTTAAAAAGCAGGTGTATACCGTCTATTAACTGTGTGCCATAGCACTTGGCCACAAACCAAGTATACTTTTGAAACCCCTAACTAATCTTTAAATATATTTTCAAACACCTTTTAAAAATGTGTCAGGGGCAAAAATGTCAAAAGCATTATGACTCCTATGGGTGAAGGGATAAGCCACGATGCTTGAAGTCAGGGGTCTTGGCTTTCACAGGGAAAGACAGGATTTCACCATGTTGTCCAAGCTGGTCTCAAACTCCTGACCTCAAGTAATCCACCCGCCTCGGCCTCCCAAAGTGCTGGGATTACAAGTGTGAGCCACCCGTATACAGTATTATTGATATCCTCCAAACCAGATAGGATATTTAGCTTTTTGTAAAATTCTATAGGTATTAAAGCTTGCAGCATTAAAAAGCACTGCTTTTGAACTCTGACAGATGCAGACAATATATCCAGTAACAAAACTGAGTTTCTTTACTAACATATTTTGATAGCGTGACCTTAAACTTGAGACAAAAAGGAGAGAGGAAGAGTTTTATTGAATAAACGTTTCTAGGAAACAGATGCTTAACAAATGGTTGTACAGCTGTTTGCAATAACATGGAAGAAGCCTATCTTTCGATAATTGTGACATAAGTTTTTCTTGTTTGTTCTCCTAGAGTTGTCTGCAAAAAGTTTATGTAATATGCCTGAAGGTTATACTAAGAAGGAAGCATTTCAGAAATGATTGAAGCTGTTTATCTGTGTGCAAAAGCCTGTAAGTGTGTTTGTGTGGGCCTGGGCACGTGTATATGCCTGTGATTCACACATTTCTTTTCACAAAAGATTTGAGGTCACTCAGGATGTCATTCATCCTGGGTAAAAGCCACCTCAGATTACAAGCAGTTAATAGGTCAGATGCTACATAATGCTCTCTTCAACTTAGATTTCTTAAAATCTTACAAGTTGAAGGAGGTGAGAGCCTGGGACTTTTAATTTGCACTGGGGCAAAATCGTTCCTTTGTGCTGAAAACATGTGGCTGACAAGATGCCACTGGGAAAGCCAAGCTTTTTTAGAAGAGTTTGCTGTATAATTCATAAAGATAAAATCTGTAATATTTTATACTTGAAAGCTAAAATTTTTTAAAAAGACATTATCCAAATCAAAACTCTAGCAATTAAAACACACAGATAGGGTATGGTTGACTTTCTGCAATGCTAATCTGGTTTCTGTCTTAGGTCTATTTGTACAGGACAGATATTCTACTTTATTCTCCAACAAGACTCAGCCTGGAGTTGCCTGGTGACCTGCTTTAATTGAGCCAACCACATTCTGTAGGGGAAAAGCCAGACCAGAAATAGCTAGGATTTAATGGTGAGAACAAAGGCATTCCTAAAATCCTCAAATCTGGGCCTAGCATGGTGGCTCACACCTGTAATTCCAGCACTTTTGGAGGCTGAGGCAGGTGGATCACCTGAGGTCGGGAGTTCCAGACTAGCTTGACCAATATGGTGAAACCCCGTCTCTACTAAAAAAAAAAAAAAAAAAAATTAGGCGGGCATGGTGGGCGCCTGTAATCCCAGCTACTCAGGAGGCTGAGGTGGGAGAATCACATGAACCCGGGAGGTGGAGGTTGCAGTGAGCCGAGATGGTGCCACTGCACTTCAGCCTGGGTGACAGAGGGAGACCCTGTCTCCAAAAAAAGAAAAAGAAAAAATAAAATAAAGGAAACACAAAAAACACCTCAAATCTGATATCTCCCACTTCCTACTTAGGTTGAAACAACATATGACTTCTCTAAGTCTCTATTTTTATTTTCAATAAAATGTGGATGATAATAATAAAATGTGGATGATAATCCCACCTCACTATGGGATGCAAAGTGTTTACCAGATGTATTATGTTTCCTATTGCAGTTGTGACAAGTCATGCAAAAGTTAGTGGCTTAAAACAAATTTATTATATTAAGTCCCAGCATTCTGAAGTCCAAAATGCATCTCACTGGGGCTAAAGTCGAGGTGTCAGTAGGTCTGTGCTCCTTTCTAGAGGCCCTGTGGGAGAATCCATTTTCTTGCCTTTTCTAGCTTCTAGAGGCCCCCTACTTTCCCTGGCTCTTGGCCACCTACCATCGTCAAAGCCAGCAATGTCCCAGCAAGTCTTCCTTAGAGCATATCACTATGATACTCTTTATTTATTTATTTATTTATTTATTTATTGAGACAGAGTCCCACTCTGTTGCCCAGGCTGGAGTGCAGTGGTGTAATCTCGGATCACTGCAACCACCACCTCCCAAGTCCAAGTGATTTTCCTTCCTCAGCCTCATTAGTAGCTGAGATTACAGGCATGTGCCATCATGCCTGGCTAATTTTTTTTTTTTTTTTGTATTTTTACTAGAAACAGGGTTTCACCATTTTGGTCAGGCTGGTACCAAACTCCTGATCTCAAATGATCCGCCCGCTTCAGCCTCTCAAAGTGCTAGGATTATAGGCATGAGCCACTGCACCTGGCCACTATGATACTCTTGATATCATATGATAGCTCTTGCTTCCCTCTTCCACTTGGACCTTTTTGATTACAATGGGCCCACCTGGATAATTCAGTATAATTTCCCATCTCACAGTCAGCTGCAACCTTAATTCCATCTGCGTCCTTAATTTCTCTTTGCCAAGTAAGGTAGCATTCACAGATTCCAGGGATCAATATAAGAATATTTTTTAGGGGGTCATCATTCTGCCTACCTTGTTGGAGTACCTGCTACTAAATAAAAACACCAGGAATGGTAGTTTTTGCTGTTCTTAACCCAAAGGAAGAAAGAGCCCTTCTCTGAATGGTTTTTGTTGTTTAGTTAAGAAAATGCCAACTGACCAATGTCCCAGAAACCAAATGGGTGTAGAGCCCTAGCATGCTTCATTTCAACACCTTTCACAAACAGTAGTTTTGGCACTTTGCCTACCAAGCTGAAAAACAAAGAGCAGGGTTGTTATGTCTGACCTAAATACACATGGTCTGTAACTTTCCTCTTCTCTCTCCATACCTCTTCCCTTCTTGAAGATATTTTACTGCTGGGGTATCAACTTATTTACATGTAGCTGACTCCTCAGAAGCGGAACTTGAATGCCAGCCATTCTGTCGAGCTTAAAGCACCACAATCCAGCTGTGAGCTAGGCAACTTTCCCCTTATATTTTGTGTGCCTCTGAAAACATCTCCAGAATTCAAATGACCATTTTTGACATAAGTTATCCCTTCCTCCCCTCTGATTGCAAGGGCAGCATCACTCTTTCTGCCATGCATAAGTCAACATTTGGAGTCAATAGCCCTCTTGTACTAACACTTTCACAGTCCTCTCAAGTAGCCTTCCTCACTGTATTATCCAAGTTCAAGGATTGCTTACACTTACCTGGACTACAGGCAAAGCCTCAGAACCATCTCCTGCCTTCCTTCACTGATTTGTGTCATCACTCCCTGGAGGTCTCAGGTCCCTCCTTCTCATCTCTTCTTCCTTAAATCGATCCTTCTGCCTTAAATCAGCCCTTCTGCTTAGCATTAAATAAGTCTTTGTCAGCATGCCAAAGGGTGCAGGGAACTATTTTTAAGCAGCCACCATATGCCAGACATTGTGCTTAGACATTTTGCATACATTATCTCATTTAATCCCAACTTAATGACCTAGCAGGTCGATGTTATTTCCTCTTTCTTTTTCTTTTTCTTTTTCTTTTTTTTTTTTACTAGTGAGGTAACTGGGACATAGAGAACTTTATGTAATTCAGCCAAACCTACACAGTATGTAGCAAAGAGTTCAGACTCGGCTGTGTCTTTCTTTAAAGCCTCTAGTTTTACCACTACATTAGACCCGTCATTTGACTTTATTTTGAAGGTATCTATTTTATTAGGGTGGGCACTGGGCACTGTGGCTCATTGCTGTAATCTCAGCACTTTGGGAGGCCAAGGCAGGAGTATAGCTTGAGGCTAGGAATTTGAGGCCAACCTGACCAATGCAGTGAGACCCTCATCTCTAAAAAAACATTATTTTTTTTAAACTGGTCAGGCACGGTGGTATGTGCCTGTAATCCCAGCTATTCAGGAGGCTGATGCAGAAGGATCATTTGAGCCCAGGAGGTCAAGGCTGCAGTGAGCTATGATTGCATCACTAGACTCCAGCCTGGGTTACAGAGCGAGACCCTGTCCTCTGTCTCTAAAAAAGCAAAAAACAAACAAACAAAAACGATGAAAAAAAAATCCATTTTATCAAGGCTTACCTGTGCTCATGTACTTTATGGGCAAATCTTTCAATGGCCTAATGACAAACATATTATGGTTGGGTCATCTTGGTGGTGGTTTCTGTGGGAGGCTAAAGACTGCTATGTGTACTATTTTTTATCAGAGATCTAGTACTGTCAGACATCTGCCTTTGAAGTGGCTTGTGGATTAATCCAGGTACATTTCTCATATTTTTTGAAAAGGATGGGTTCTGAGGGAAGGAAATAATTTTTCTATATGCGAGAGGCTTTGAGTCACAGTAAGTTAGAGCTCTTGTGGAGGTAAATAATCTTGATAAATCTGTTCTTTGTCATTAGAGATCAACTCTCAGTACCCAGTGACAGGCCCAAACATGCTTTTATTCTTTGACCAAAACACCCACAAAGGAAACAGAAACCAGTTTAGCAACTTTGCAAGTGGGTGCAGAAGTATTCCTATAAATAAAGCTGCTCATTGTGCTTCTCTGGTCATGTTAGGTTTGGAATGCTGATGGGTTTATATCGTCCTACTCTGAATTCTTAGTGACAACATTGTGAATTTAGTTCTAGCTGATGCTTGCTACATTGCATTTTTTAGTATTTGAATTCTGCTACTCCTTAAAGGTGACTGAAATCATAAAGCCCATTTTGTAGAATGAACTTTGTTCCCCACTTATCACTCCACCATATGCTTTCCTGATTGCTTTCTGTTTTTACTTTCTTGAAGAGAGAAAAACATAACATAACTCAATCTTAGTTGATCTTAGTAAAAGGAAGAATGTGTGGGCAGTGGGACGTGGTGGGTCATGCCTGTAATCCCAGCACTTTGAGAGGCTGAGGGGAGAGGATCGCTTGAGCCCAGGAGTTTAAGACCAGCTTGGACAAAAAAGAGCCCATCTCAAAAAAGTAATAATAATAATAACAACAACAATAATAATAAAAGGAAGAGCACTTCCTGGGCCTTGAGAAGTCTTCTTGCTCACAAAGAAGCATCAAAGCAAGTGCTATATACACAGGAGGTCAGTTTGGGCAACTCTTTTTTAATCACATAGTAGCTTTGCCCTCATGGATTCTAAGTAGATAGATAATAGAAAAGTTGTAAGAAATGGTCTTCAGTAATATAAGGAAATACTCTTTCAAACCTATTACTTTTTTATCGGAAGGAAAATTTAAACAGAATCAACTATTCTACATAGGTCTTAGGTTTTTGTGTAATTGTGAAAACAACATAGCAGAAGAATTAAGACTTTAACCTGAAAATTAAAAGTGCTCTCTGGAGTCATTATTGGGTTAATTGTCAAAGTTAGAATGCAGATGACAGATTACAGAAAAGTATTCCATTCATGTGAAATTTTCCAAAGTTGAAAGTTACACTATGGTTATATAAAAGACTACCCATATTTATAGGAAATATACATTTCCTATTTAGAGGTAAAGGGCTATGATGCATGTAATTTACACTCAAATGGTTCAATAAGTATATATGTGTGTGTGGTATGTATATAACACACACACACACACATTTATGAGAGAAAGAGAACACAAACAGAAAGCAAATGGGATAAAGTATGAACAATAGTTGAATATAGGTAAAGAGTATATGTTTTTCCTAAACGATATCAGTTCACATCTGTGGGAAGATGATGCTCAAATTTAAATTTCTAGCCCAGAAGATTATCATAAACTCTAGACCCATAAATCCAATTGTTCACTAGTAATATACAGTAAAATATTTCACAGGTGTTTTAAAATCAACCTTTTGATTTTTTTTTTTTTTTTATAATTTACCCCTTTAAGCCAGTTGCCTTCAGTGTTCTTTGGCACCAAACTAGATTCTTTCCTCTCCCTCCCAAGTCCCCACCAACACTGCTACAATCCAAAAATTCTGTCTATTCAACCCTGCAAATTCTCATCAGTTGATCCACTTCTGTCAATCACTGCTGCTATTATTCAGCTTCATATATCACACAGTTTATAATCATCATCTTCTAAGTAGTCCCCTGCATTCAGGATGTGCCTCCTCCAATCCATCTTCTCATTTGCAGCTAATTTCAGATGTTCAAATCTGATCTTGTTCATGCTCTGCTTAAAAGCTGAAGTATCTCTCTGTTACCCTCAGATCAAAATCCAAATCCTCAATACAATTACAATGCATGTGAAGACACTGGTTCTTGCTTATTTTTCTAACCTCATCTCTCTCCTCTCATCCTACCATCGTTTATCCTATCCTGTCTCGTACCATGCCACAGTCTCATTCGACTCCTTTCAGTGGAAGTTCCTCTGGCTGCCAGGCCTCTGCCCATGCTAGTCTCTCTGACTTGAGCACTTTCCTTTTCCCCTGCTCCCAACTACCTGTTCAATACATAATCCTACTTGCCTGACTTACTCTTTCCTCCTTTAAATCCCAACTTAGATGACATTATTCGAAGAAACAATCATGACATCCCAAGTCTGATCCAACCAATAATTAGATGCAAATTTAAAATAAAGTAATAAGATTCTGCCTGTTTTTAAACTAGCATAAAGCATGTACACAGTCCTTCCGTCAATAAGGTTTTCCTTAAACATTTATTAAATATCTGTTCTATGCCCAGCAACTTCTGATTGGGTCATTGAACAGATATTTATTTATTGATCTCCTACAGTGTTCCAGACACTATTTTGGGTGCAGTGAACATTCTTAGAACTTAGATTCTAATAGAGGTGACTAATCACAAACAATGAGATGGGTAGTATCAGTTAGTGATAAGTGGTACGAAGAAGAAACTTGTACAGGGTGCTGACCTAGATACAGTAGTCAGAGAACACCCCTCTAAAGAGGAGGTATGTAAGTTGGGACCTAAATAGAATGGCAGAGCAAGGGCTGGCCAATGTCTGGGGAAGAGCATTCTAAGAAAAGAGAAACTGCAAGTGCAAAGGCTTTAAGATAGGAGCATGCTTGGTGCATTCAAGGACCAGAAAAGAGGCCTGTCTGTGTTCAACTCAGTGAGCAAGATGTGTTGGTGGAAAGGAGTCCTGAAGGCCAGAACCTGGAGTGTTGAGCAGTGAATGTGCTTTGTCAGGTTCAGTTTAACTCTGTACGCATTTCATTTGTCCAAATAACTTTGTGAGTGAATGGAGAACACAAACTGGGCTGCATTTTGTATGGAGGTCAAGGGTGATCGAAAGAGAGCATCCCTAGTAAAAAGTTATTTCCCTAAGGGTTAAAGATTGAGAATTGGATAGACCCTGGAGAACCAGAAGGGTGATGTCAGAAAGGTAGAAGTAAGTAGATCAAAGTGTTTGTCCCACGCAAATTGGCAGCGCTTGTCAGAGTGTCTTGGCATCTAATCTCTCCCCTCTGCCCTTTCCCACCCCCATTCATTCCTAACTGTTCCAAAATTAACTTAGAACATCTTTATTCTTTGCCAGCATTAGGTGGGGATGGAGAGTCCTGTTGCCTGTAAACAGCAGTGACTTTTGTAAGGAAGTATAACATATTGTTTAAAAAAATAAAATAATGAATTCAGTTTTTACATCAGTTTTCGGCACAGTGGCCTAAATAGACCAAATGTAGCATACTTTTAATTTCTATACCTTTGTATGGTAAAAACACATAAAAACAAAAAAAAAATAGGTCATTCTGTTTTTCGTGAGAACTGCCTTATTTCCAGGATTAATTCTGTATGACTGAGAGAGCTTGAATTATTTCCAAAAGGATAGCTTTGCATTTTCTTTTCTTGTTAATCAGTCTCTACTCATTTCATAATTTTCTCCTTCAGTTTTTTTTTGTATTTGAGCTTTGCTTTTTCCCTTTTCTCATGTTCATACCTTAAAGATTGTCTACCTTTTGTAGAAAAAAATATTATTCTGATAGGAATACTTTTTAAAATTTGTGTGAAAGAAATGTAAATACATATATAAGATAGAAAGGAAACTGGAGAAGAAAATAATATGGAAATGAAATAGTATATATAAGGCATATAGGTTAAGTCCAGTGAAACTGTATAAGGTAAACATATACACTGTTAAGCAGTCTCCAAAGCATGATTGATGTAAGTACCTAAACAATAACTTTATATAATTTTGGGGGGGTATAATAACCTTCATATATAACTTGTTACATATGTATCATTCATTTTCTTCAGATGACTTTTTATAGAAGCTTGAAATTCAAGCTCAAAACTCATTTCTTATTATGATCTGAGAATTTTTTCTTTAATTCATTTCCTTTCTGCATCTCTTATGACAATTTTGTATTTTCTAAGTCAGATAGTTAAGAAAATCTTTGTTTTCAGGAGTTCATCATAATGCATTTCTATATGTTTAGGACTGTATTAACATTGTTTATTTTGACAGAGCAGGCAAAATGTGAAGTACCTACATACACTTTTATGGCTCTCACTTCTTGAAAATTTTAAAGCATTTATTGAGTATTTATTACATTCCAAGTACTATTCTAAGTATCTTACATGTATTAAATACTTTAATTCTCACACAGCCCTACGAATACTAAGATTCTAGTTTTACAGGTGATGAAACTGAGAGGCAGGTGGGTTAAGTAATTGGCCCTACACCTCAAGGCTAGAAAGTGAAGGAACTGAGATTTGAACCCTGGTCAACTATCTTCAGAATCATAACTGCTCATCACTCTGCAACACGTGCTTTCAGGCAAGCGTTAGTCAGTGCAGCTCAGGGAAAACAGGAGGCAAGTTGACTACTTATGCAGATTGCTGAGAAATATAACAGGAGGGAAGAACAGAATGGAAAACATGCTTCTTACCTAATATGAGACATTTTTCCCTAGGGAAAACAGAACTTTGGCTATTTCCCTTCAAGCAGAAGAAAATATGTTCACACAGAGGGAAAGAGGAGGAAATGAAAAGGGCTGTTTGGATCAGATGGCTGAATCGCCAGTAACCCGAGTGCTTAGCGTAGGCTGCTCTCAAACGTATAGTTGCTCATTAAACTTTAATTTTCATTGCATGCTACCTGATCTGGTTTAGTGAAGGCTCTTTTATGCAACCTAAACTTATGGGAATTTTGTGATGTATTTAATTTCCACAAAACCTAACATACTTGATATGTCCTTCTTTTTGAGTCAGAGTTTCGCTCTTGTTGCCCAGCCTGGAGTGCAATGGCACGATCTCGGCTCACTGGAACCTCTGCCTCCCAGGCTCAAGCAAGTCTCCTACCTCATTCTCCCAAGTAGCTGGAAATACAGGCATGTGCCACAATACCCAGCTAATTTTTGTATTTTTAGTAGAGACAGAGTTTCACCATGTTGGACAGGCTGGTCTCGAACTCCTGACCTCAGGTGATCTGCCCACCTTGGCCTCCCAAAGTTCTGGGATTACAGGCGTGAGCCACTGAGCCCAGCCTGTTATGTCCTATACATATCAGCCAACCATAACTGTCAGTGTAAGTAGTTCAAAATTTCTCCTAAGAATTACTCTTAAACACCTACTCTCTTCCCCTGAAAATGAGTTAACTACTTAGTAAGTAACCTTTCTCACAGAAAAACTAGATGTTTTCTCTGGAATTCTTTCCCTTGCAGCCATCCCCTGGAAAGCCTTGTTTTAGAACTGACACCATTTATATGGCTTGGCATCTCGACTGCATTTGTTTCCCCATCTGGCACTTCTCGGGGTGAAAGTGTTCATTTTGGTGTTCTGCAGAGTGCATTTTGAGAAATGTGTACACACTACAAGTGAAATTCACATCTCAGGCTAAGACTATACCCTCAGCATTGCAATGTGATATTAGCAAAAGTGCTTTTATAATCCTACCTGCCAACAATTCACATCTATAATTAGGAAAACTACATGATTTCAAAATTACCCAAGTCTTGGAAAGGCTTGTTTTTACCATATGTTTTTCTTTTGTAAAAGGTCTATTATTTTCACCGTCTTAAAAAAGGTTCAGTTTGATCAAGTTCTAATTATATTCTCAAGCACATTTTTCAATCCCATAAAAATAAATCAATAAACCTAGACATTTAAGTCACTTTATCACAACTTGGTCAATCTACATGGTGTGACAACAGATATAAGGAAAGTAGATAAGTCCGCTAGGATATAAAGAACCAACTTACAGTAAAATAAATAACTAAACTAGAAAAAGAATCTAGAATAAAAACTAGAGATGTAGAAGCAAGAGCATTTTTGACTGCCGTAAATCAGAGCTTCTTAGCAGCCCACATCCCAAAAGTGGTAGATAGCCAATATTTGTCAGAAATGATGATTGTATACCTAGTGGACAGCTCTAAGCACAATTATAAGATTGATTTCGTTTTACAAAACCTTGAAAGAAGTAAACTTAACTGACCAGTGACTTGAGTCTAGCTCCTATCAGATTCCCAATGAGAGCAAAGAATAAAGAACAAATGGCCAAATATTGGGAAATAGGTATCTTATAGATATGACATATAGATAAATAGATATATTTACTTATATACATACTGTCATATGACCAATTCATAGGTGTGTTTGATATGGCAGTGTGTGTGTGTATGGTTTTATAACTCTCTCATTCATATTCAGACACAATGCAAATGTAGATAGTATTACTATACCATCTATTTGAGATGTAAATATTGTAAAAGCCCTCCTTTGCATATTCCGCAGATGCTAAAAACCACATGTATTTATGTTTTGTTTGGGGTGCTGCTTCTGTGTGTATGAGTTTTATTGTTACATGAAGTCTTGCTTTAAAAATTTGGCTGGGCATGATGGCTTATGCCTGTCATCCTAGCACTTTGGGAGGCCAAGGCTGGTGGATCACTTGAGCTCAAGAGTTTGAGACTAGCCTGGGCAACATGGAGAAAAATAGGCCAGGCGCGGTGGCTCGTGCCTGTAATCCCAACACTTTGGGAGGCCGAGGCAGGTAGATCACTTGAGGTCAGGACTTTGAAACCAGCCTGACCGACATGGTGAAACCCTGTCTCTACTAAAAATACAAAAAATTCAGCCAGGCCTGGTGGCACATGCCTGTAGTCCCAGCTACTCAGGAGGCTGAGGCAGGAGAATCACATGAACTCAGGAGGTAGATGTTGCAGTGAGCCAAGATTGCGCCACTGCACTCCAGCCTGGGCAACAGAGTAAGACTCCGTCTCAAAAAAAAAAAGAAAAAAAGATGGCCGGGATGGTGGCAAGCACTTAAAGCCCCACAGCTCCAGTAAGTCCGGAGGCTGAGGTGGGAGGATGGCTTGAGCCCAGGAGGCAGAAGTTGCAGTAAGCCGAGATCAGACTGCTGCACTCCACTCTTGGCAACAGAGACAGAATCTGTCTCAAAAAAAAAAAAAAAAAGGAAAAAAATGCCAATTCATTCTTGCTTTCTACCTGCTGCTGTTGTTTTCCAGAAGTCTGCAGCTATGCTGAATGATTTGAACAGGAACATCAAGGCATCTTCAAAACATTTCTGTTCTCTCCTTATGCTCACCTTATAAAGCTGCAAGGAAACATTGTGTCATTAATTTTCTATACATAGCGTGCTTGGCAAATCTTGGAGAATAAGCAACATCTCCCAGGGTGGTTGTGTGCATAACATGAGAATATTCGTTGAAGCACTTTGTAAACGATAAAACATTACACATAGTAAGTCATTGTTATCATTGGCATTACTTTAATGTAGTAGAATGGAATCCAGGACTGGAATAAGCCATTCATGTCACTAAGGAAGAGAATGGAAATTAATATCCAATGAAACACCTTCTTTTTTTTTTTTTTTTTTTTTTTGAGACGGAGTCTTGCTCTGTCTCCCAGGCTGGAGGGCAGTGGCAATGGTGCGATCTCAGCTCACTGCAAGCTCCGCCTCCCAGGTTCACGCCATTCTCCTGACTCAGCCTCCTGAGTAGCTGGGACTACAGGTGCCCGCCACCATGCCTGGCTAATTTTTTGGAATTTTTTTTTTTTTTTTTTTTTTTTTGTAGAGACAGGGTTTCATCATCTTAGCCAGGATGGTCTCGATCTCCTGACCTCATGATCCGCCCACCTCAGCCTCCCAAAGTGCTGGGATTACAGGTGTGAGCCACCGCGCCCAGCCAAACACCTTCTTATAGCAGAGTACCAGGAGCTTAACTAGAAGTTTTACATAAGTTACCTCATGTATTGAACAGCATTCATAGGAAATACTGGAACTCTTAAAGGAACCAAATAGAGTTTGTATTGAATACAAATGTAGCTCCATAGAGAAGATTAGACATCATGAATTTTCATTTGAGAATGAATCATCTTGCCAATTTATATCATTTTCCTGCAAAAGCTTATTGGCTTGGTCATGTACTTTACTAGTCAATGACCAGTTATTATGGAGTTGTCAGAACTTGGCCAAGACCATAAGCTCTATATTACATGCAAAATCTTAGTATTATTACTATTTATACAACTTCAGCGTTGTGAACTGGTGGCACCATGAACTCCATTTTCTTCGTGATCATTGTCACTTCATCACCTTGTACTAACTCTGCACGTGGTTTTTGACAATTTGTTTATCTTTTAAATTTACCCCTGAAGCCCACCTGTTTGGGCATCCATTAGTTCTTAGACTCATGAAGATCTTCACCCACTGACTTGACATTGTCTGTTCTCAATGGTTGTGATCTCTGCCCTCAAATAAAATATGATGTTACAGTATGTATATATCTCAGTGAGTTGCTGTTGAAGGGTCTCATAAAAATGTGATGACAGGGAAGAAGGAAAGGCAGTTTTCCACCACAATCCTCTCCAGGATTCTAAAGTTTAAGGACATAAACAGTAAGTCAGAAGCAGCCGGGCTATAGGTGCTGCCCTTTACTTCTACCGGGATAACAGGGAATGTGGATTAAAAGGGGGCTAAGGGCTCATGCCTGTAATTCCAGCATTTTGGGAGGCCAAGGCGAGTGGACCACCTGAGGTCGGGAGTTCAAGACCAGCACTGACAACATAATGAAACCCCATCTCTACTAAAAATACAAAAATTAGCCGGGCATGATGGCGTGTGCCTGTAGACCCAGCTCCTCAGGAGGCTGAGGCAGGAGAATGGCTTCAACCTGGGAGGCAGAGGTTGCAGTGAGCTGAGATGAAGATGGCGCCACTGTACTCCAGCCTGGGTGACAGAGCAAGGCTCCATCTCAAAAAAAAAGGGGGGTGGGTGCTAAGTACAAAGAAGGAAGTTATTACTACTTTTATCCATTCTTTTAATTACTAAGCAGTTAGTGCTGTTGTGTGGACTTTCTTCTTTCCCTCCTAGGGAAAAAAGACTAAAATAAATAACTATAATGCAAAGCAGTGTGAACTATATCCATTATGATGCAATTGGAAGTTCTGGATGCAAAACATCAAAATTATGTTCTGACAATGGCTAGCAGTATTTACATATCTATAAAGGTACAGAACACCAGCCTGGTTCATACTCAGCTTATCAAATCTGCTACCTGTTGTTGCTATTAGGACTATAAAATAGAGATTTGTTAAAGGTGGCCATGCCATTTATTTACTTTATGATAAGAAATTGTACAGAGGCTAGATATTGAGTCTTGTGATCTCACTCCATGATAGACTTTACAGTATCAACTTAGTAACGTATCATACAGAGCATGTCGTCGTCACCGTTTCTAAAATGTTCAGTGAGCCAAGAGCAAGTCCACAGTCACAGGGCAGGTACAGTGAGTTTCCTGTGTGCAGAAACAGAAACCTCTGAATCTTGCACACTGCCACCAGGGGTCAGGGACCGGGCGGGAGGAGAAGGCACTCTGGCAGAAAGGAAATGTTATATTACCCTGAGAAGCACAGGAATCAAAATTCCTGTCTCCTCTTCTTGAAAGCAGCTCACTGCTAGCTGAGCAAGGTTCGAAGGAAGGACCTCAGAAATGTTCTGCCAGCGCAAAGGTATGTGTAAGTGCTCTCTTAGTGGCTTTAAATAAGTTATTTTGGAAAGTCAGATACAGCGGACATTAAAGGGCACACTTTATGTTGCATTTTCAAAGTCCAGATGAGCTGTATGGATCTGTGACGATGCAGTTGGAGGTTCTATAGCTACTGCCTCCAAAATGCAAATGTTTGGCTGGGGAGGTTAGGAGGGATTAAACTGTGTCAGAACACTGAATCTAAATAGAATATCTTTCTAAAAAGACTTTACATGTGTGTAAATTATTTCTCTATGATTTGCTGTAGATACTGCTGCTAATTATGATTCCATAAGTACTCCCAGAAATAGATTCAGACATAATGATTTTGAGTCTCTTCATGTCCAGTGGCCATTTGTAACAAGTCCTTAGCGATTTATTTTTTATTCATTCATAGGACAACATTTGTCAGTAAGATTTCCATGTTGCCTTACCTTATTCTTCACTCAAAAATTGTCCCTAACTCGGGTAATGGCAGTGATCAAGTCACATGCTCTCACTTTTGTCACCACTGTATTCTGGGTTTCAAAGACTTGTAATTCATTTCATTAAGACTCTCCAAACCATCCCCTTAAACATTTGTTTAAATGTCTCTGTTCTTCATTAGCGTTTTATTACGTTACATTCTCTAGGCTCCAGAAAAACGAGGCAAGAAATAGGAGGATTTTTTTTTTTGCCTTTTTTCTTTTTTTTGGTTGAAGTTTTGGTCAAACAAGCCAAAATAACATTATCATTAAACAGATCGACCTGTACTTTTAAATGGAAGGAATAAAGATATAAAAAGAACTGAGGCGTGTAAGTAACCTCTTTGATTTTTAATGGCATGCAGCAGATGGAATTCATTATTGACTTTAAAAAATGAAATTGCTCTGCATTATTATTTATTTATAGTTTTGCCTTTCAAAAGAAGTAATTACCATTACTAGGTTAGTTTTTCCTCAATCACAAGCAACTGTGTGACAGTATCAGAATGTATAATATACTTTACCACTTATTTAGACATGAGGCTTAATGATGTTGCAGGACATTATCCCTTTTTAAGTTAGTAATAAATTTATGAGCATAATGCACAGCTAAGAGGTTGACTATCTTTTCTTTTTATCTGGGTAATTTCAAAAGCAATTATTTCATATCATAAGACAATTTATTTATGAAATTCTCATTGCTGAAACAAAAGTGTTTTTAATTAGAAATAATCTAATTTCATTTTTCCAGTTCAGCACACAGATACTGTGATGATAATCATAATTTATACAAAATTATCAAGTGAAATGTTTAGGTGATTGGTTTTGAGCCCAAACAATTTTTTAATTTTAATCACAAATTCTAAAACTTTTAAGTCATTGGGGAGGTTGATAACCAGTCATAACAAAATTTAATTTTTAAGCAATGCCAAATATTTAATCAATTATATCTAGTTCAAATTTGAGAGGTACTAAAATTGCCTTTGTAATAAAAAAATACACAAGAAAGGATAAAAATTTTTAGTATTAAACATGGAGCTGTCAACGCTATAAAAATGTATGAACCCCTTTTCAAAGCTGATGTTTTAAGGTATCATTTCATATACAGGACAGCATTTATATTTAATAAGATCAGGAGATTTGGCGTGAGCAGGATTCAGACCACTTTTGAATTTCAATGAAACTCCTGGTTCAATTAGATCCCTCTTCCCATCCTTCTTACCCCTCCCCAGCCCATTCTCCTTTCCCCTTGCTGCTTCTGCCTCTGTATTCCTCTCTCTCCTCCTCCCTCCTATGCCTTATATCCTCTTGGCACTTTTACACTGAGACATCTACAAGTGGATCTGCTGTCTTCAGCAGTGGTCATTGTTGTGAAACTGAAGGATAGCAATGAATATTTCATATATAGCACTTAAACCTCTTCATCTAGATTATGCATTTTGCTTCATTGTACCCATCCATAGGCACTTAATAAGTGCTTATCGATTGTCTAGTGAGATTGTATTATAACTGATTTTGAGACTTTTCATACCCTCTGCAGTTACTAGTACTATATTTCTTTGATTCTAAGATGTACATTTTTTTCAAATTTTAACTTTTTAAAATCTAAAATCACCTTGTGATCAAGCTGTATTGTGATTTAATTGACAGTTTTTTTTTCAATCTTTCTTTCTTGGTCATGCGTCTCACAATCAGTGGTATCTTAGATTGATGAAATGCAGCAGTGAAAATATATACCTAAGTTTGTGACTTGTATAATATGTTAAAGGCCATATATTTGGAACTTCATAAAGTCTTCTTTTTTCCTTACGTGGCTTATCTGTGGCCAATTTTTGTCTCTCCTCACTACATTCTTCCACTCTGGCTTCCTGGCACTGTGGTTCTAACTGTTCTTAGGCCACTGTCTTGACTGAACTCCCTGGAAAATACTCAGAGAATTTTATTAGTAATTACCAATATTCAACTGTAATGAAATGGACAGGGAACAAGTTTTTAAAACTGAAGACCCACATTCAAGTTATGTTTCTGCTCATTAAAAGCTATGTGTATTTAGCAATCTGATAATTATTCCCAGAGCTTCAAATTACACATCTAAAGAAGGAAATAATACAAATAATTTCTTTATCTATAAATTAAGACAATTAGTAAAAAATATTGTACCAGTAAAAATAGTGAAAATGAAATGTGTATGACAGTACTTTTTAAGCCATGAAGTACTGTTAAATTATAAACCATAAGGATCAACATTAAATGAAACATTATTAGAAATGTGTGAGTAGAAAGTTAGGGAAAGGAAAGAAGGAAAAATTAAATAATTCATTCCAAATTAGAAAGTTTTAAATTATCATTGGAAATGATGATACGACCCATTAACTAGCTTTCTGAATTTAGAGGAGAACCGTGAAATCTATCTTCAGATTATTTCTTGCATATCAGAGTCCTGTCTGTTCTGAACTCCAGTGCTGAATGCATGCCAATCTCTGAGAGCTTGTATCCTTTATTGAATTAGCAAGCCACAACCCACAGTATCTCTGTGGTATTAAAAATAAAAGAGATTACTTAGATTCCCCACTTCCTTTCCTGCCTTGATTCTTTCCATTTAAAAGTGAGACCCCTGTCTCTACAAAAAATTCAAAACTAACTGGGCGTGGTTGTGCATGCCTGTAGTCCTAGCTACTTAGAAGACTGAGGTGAGAGGATTGCTTGAGTCCGGGAGTTCCAGGCTGCAATGAGCTATGACGGCACCAATTCACTCCAGCCTGGGCAACAGAGTGAGATGCTGTCTCTAAAAAAAACAAAAACAAAAATGAATTGTATTGGTTTTCACAGTTTCAAAAACATTCAATAAGAGTAAAAAAAAAAAAAACTTGTTATTTTTGCATCTTTAAAAGACAGGATACTTCAATGGCACTTGAAATAGTACTGTTGAATAGAAATTCCATTGCAATAGTAACTATAAAACACAAGATTATCCATTAAAAGTTAATATATTTAGTATATGTGTTACTTTTGAGGATAGGGATACTTTGAAAAGGCAAGAATAAAGAAAAGAAGGAAGTGCCATATTAAAGGCATGTGCAGGTTAAAAGGGGAATTGAAGGAGAGGGAATTCTTAGTCATTACTTGAAAATTATATTTTTCTACTATACTACATCTGTCAGTGGAAAGTCTAAATCACTTTATTTCCAAAGACCACAAGTTGTGACTCTGACATGAACATTTAGTCATATACTGGGGTTTAAAAAATGTTCCCATTTCAATGTATTATTAATAACAACAAACACATCAGACCCACTTGATGTTAACTGCTATACTTAGTGCTTTTAATTCACCAATTCATTAACATGTTAACACATTTTGGCATGATAATATATTATTCATATATTAAACTATATTCTTATTTCCATTAATGGAAGCATCATTTCTCTAGCTATTCAGGCCAGAAACATTGGTGTAATTCTAGGCCTTCTCTTTCTTACTGACCCTGCATCTAATCAGCCCAGAGATCCTGTTGGCTCTCTTCTCAGAATAAACCCAGAATCTGTCCAGTCCTTACCACTTGCACTGCTTCCTCCTCGGTCCAAACACCATCATCTTTTGACTGCACTGTGCAAGAGACTCCCAACCGGCCTCCTGTCTCTGCTTTTGCTCCCCAATCCCCACCCCAGTCAGTTTTCAGTGAGGCAACTGGGAGGAATGTGGTTCAAACATGAATCTCATTGTATCGCTCCTTTGTCCAAACCCAAAGTCCTAATCATGGCCCACAGGGCCCTAACTGATCACCCCCAGCACACACACACACACACACACACACACACACACCCCTTACTTCATATAATTCCCCCGCCATTACTCCACTCCGACTTCACTAGTCTCTTTGCTATTCCTTGAACACACCATGCCTGCTTCTTTCTCAAGGCCTTTGCAATTTGTGTGCCCTCTACCTTGAAGGCTCTCCTCCTAGAGATCCACATAGCCAACTTCCTCACTTTCTTCGGGTTCTTATAAAATTGTCTTTTCAGTGAGACCTTCCCTGGCCACTGTACCTAAAATTTCAAATCCCCTGCCCATCAACAGTTCACATACACTCTTCTCTGCTTTTTTTCTTTTTCTCCTTACACTAACACATATTTATCTACCTTATTGGAATACAAACATTATAAAAAATGAATTTTTGTCTTTTTCCCTCCATATTCTAGCCCTTGTACCAAGAGCAGGGCCTAATACGTAGAATGTCTTCAAACATTATTTGTTGAATATATCCTCAGTTAACCCTGTACCCTCAATAGGTACAATTATTACCCCCATTTTACAGATGAGGAAGTTAAGGACAGAAAAATTAAGAAACTTATTCAAAGTCAAACAAGCTAAGCAAGCGTCAGAGCTAAGATTCAAACCCAAGACCCTGGCTCCAAAATATATGTTCAGATCACTGACTGAGTAGATTAATTAGAAGAAGAGAGCTACCTATAGATTCCTCTATTCCCTGAGATTTTCTTCAATATGGGTTCCATCCAGTTAAATGGAAAAATTGTGTCATCTGCTACTGACAACATAGTCAGATATAGTAAAGCTCCTTTTTCTCATTCCTCTTTAATTTCTTTTTGTAAAAAAAAGTATGAGACCTTTTAAAAATAGAAAATATATGTATATTTTTTAAAAGCAACCCTAATCCCACCCCTGTGGACATTAAAATAGTAATAATAATGTTAACTTACACAATAGTAAAAAAAAAACACTAGGGAAAAGTATGAAATGAAAACATGCATTGAATGCCTATTATATTCTGTAATAAGTCGGCACTCTGAGGACATATTTGTTACATGGAGTCTAATGAGAGAGACAGACACATACTCAGACAAACTCTAAATTGGAATTCAGAAGAAAAAACATCAAACAGAAGTCTTGTGACAGCTGAAAGTGGGGCCTGGTAGAGTAAGTTGTGGGGCAGGTGAATAGTAGTGGTGGAAAGGGATTGAAGAACTGGAGACTGAAGAAACAGTTTCTGAAAGAGGAGGTGGGAGAGTACCAAAGAGAAATGTGACTTACCTCACTATTTTGCTATAGAGGATGGGACTTAGTATGAGAGAAGGTTTTTAAATAACATTTTATATGCCGTAGAATAGAAATTACAGGAAAATCAGTTATTGAAAGGCTGTGTTGAATTTAACTTGTAAAAGGGTATCATTACTTATCCAAATGCATCATGTGAGAAAATTGTCCAGTTCATTTCCCCAGACTACCTCAATCTATTCCTTCTGACAAACCAGAACAAGAAATTCTGTTTTCCAAATTGTTATTTTTGCTAACACATTAAGCCAGCTTCAGCTTCCTACAGCACACATACACACACACTATCCTGTGTTATCCTGTGTCTGTTTAGTGTTTTCATTCACATGTGTGTTTTCTTTCCTCTCCACCCTTGTTTCTCTGGAAAGTCAGGTTTTCGACCAATTATTTCCCTGATTTGACAAGGTCACTCTGAACTTACTTTCATTGAAACCATTGGCAGTATGGTCTAGCTTAGTGACAGACTGCTGGGTCACTCAGGTCCTTTGATAAAAGGGCATAGTGCCCTTGTATGGTGGCCATTCCAAATAAGGAAGTAAAGAAGGAGTAAGATATTTAGATAACAAATGTTAAGAAGAAAATAATAGAGTAATGAGACTGGAGTAGGGTAGGGCAGTGGTGCAATTAGCCTGGCTAACGATGGGGGCATCTCTGAGAAGGTGTCATTAGAATTGAAACCCAAATTGTGAGAAGAAAGCAGAAAAACAAGGATCGGGAAGAATAGCTAACCAGGTAGAGAGAAAAGCCAGGTGGTAGAAATTAATTTGCTTTGTTCAAGGAACAGAACAAATACCAGTAAGATGGGACAGAGTGGTAGGGGTACAAAAATGAGGTCTCAGAGATAGCTGAGGGCTGGGTATACACTCAAACTGACCTTCGTTTACATCTACAAGCACTGGAATTGCTGTTTTTCAGGTGTGTCCCAATTGTAAATCTACCATTATTTATTGTAGAAAATAACTTCACATTGCTCTGCACTGTAAAAAACCTTTGACATACATTCGCATTTTATTTAACATTTCATAACATCACTTTGAAGTTTGCAGACCTGATGTTTGTTTTTGGTTTTGTTTCTGAGACAGGATCTCACTCTGTTGCCGGGCTGGAGTACAGTGATGCAATCATGGCTCACTGCAGCCTTGACCTCCCTGAGCTCAAGTGATCCTCCCACCTCAACACACTAAGGAGCTGGGACTTCAGGCATGTGCCACTATGCCCGGCTAATTTTTCTATTTTTTGTAGAGATGGGGTTTCATCACATTGCCCAAGATGGTATCGAATTCCTGGGCTCAAGCAATCCTCCCACGTTGGCCTCCCAAAGCGCTAGAATTACAGGCATGAGCCACTGCACCTGGCCAAGCCTAATGTTATTTCTGTTTTGTGGATAAGGAAATTATGATACCAAAAGGTTACATGAATTCCATAAAAAGGTCAACTCCCCTTCCCTCCCCATACCCCACATGTTTTGACATGCTATGCTTGACACCCATTTTGACTTGCTAGGCTAAATCAAAATTTTCAAGCTGGGAGCAGTCGTGTGTACCTGTAATCCCAGCTTGCTGAGGCAAGAGAATTACTTGAGACCAGCCTGGACAACAAAGTGAGACCACCCCCTTTCAGAAAGTCAAAACTGCCTTTTAGCTTGGATAGAAAATGGATTTGTGACTTTGGTATAACTAAGGGCTCATTATTGCTCAAAACAGGAAAACAAAAAGAATTGCTGCAATGAATGAAAAACAGGCAACCTTGGTTTGTTCTAATAGCACATGTGTGTAGAGCAAGAATCTACATTCTCTGTTTAGCCACATTTTTTATTCTGCTGGGTGGCTAGTTTATAAATCATGTGTTGGTCACTGTCAGATTTAAGTTTTAAGTAATTCTCTCTGAAACATGTATTTGAGGAGAGCAGGACAGCTTAGGCCTGGTGAGATATGTTGACAATCTGAACTAGGGTAATGATAGTTTAGGTCTCCTCGCTTAGCCATCTTAGTCACTAAGGTGTGTCTGCATTGTATAATCAATAATGTTTCCCAATCTTGTTGAAATGACCTCACATGTGATAGCACTTAAAAATTCAAAGAAGTGAGCTATAGTTACTTTTCTTCTATTTTTCATATATTTACTTTATTGTAAACGTATATTAGATTATATATGTCTTTTTAGGAATTTCAGTTATATTTAATACATATTTTTTTCTCTATATGCTTAAAATTGCTTTTAATTTTATATCTTTTCAAATACTAATGTATAATTTTTAGAATTAAAAAATATTTTCTATCAAGAAGTACTATTGTGCTCTGTTCTGCGTTTTGTGTGTGTGTGTGTGTGTGTGTGTCTTATAGCATAAGTTCTTACAAGAAAAAAGACAATTTTCTTAAGTTGAAAAAACAATCTAGATACATTAAAAATATTCCAGTGTTGAAGCTATCAAGCCTACTTTTTAGAGGCAAAAGATAGCTAATCCTGTTTTTCCTTGTAAAAAAAATTTTTAAAAAGATATTATATAGAAGTATATTATTTACTGACTCAACTATTAACTAAAAAGCCGTTTCACCCTATGCAGATGATAAGATGAAGGTTATCTTTAAAATTCATTTTCTAAAAAAAAAAAGTCTTTCCTGTTTCTTGCTTATTGTTTTTATAATTTTAGTTGTATTTCTACACATGTCATTCTCTGTATGGCATGGCCTTGATTGAAGTTTGGTGTCTTTTCCCTTTTCATTCAGTCCTTTTCATATTTTTACATTAATGTAATTATTTTTGCTTTGGTTTTCTGGTTTATTAACACCTTCTCTGTCTGAATTATTAAATCCATGTTGTAAATTTTTTTTTACCTTAAAAGTAGCTCATTTTCTTAGGTTTTTTTTTTTTTTAACACTTACACATTTATTAAGCTTGAGGTATGTGTTTAATAATATCTTTAAAAAAATTATTTCACTTTTCTGCCAAGTCTCAAAGCTGCTTTCCTGATTTAACATTGTAGATCCCTGTAATAATTTTTTACAAATCACTATTACCAGATCTTAAACTTGAGGAAAAAATTTTGTGGTTATTATTCACTAGCGTTGTGATAAATATTTCAAATTAATTTTTAAATATATATTATAATTATCATATTTTAAATGCATCATGATTTTAATGTGCTCAATAACTTTTGTAAAGCACTAGGATATATTTTTTCTTATATTATTTAAAATATTCGAGTCCTGAAAAATATGAAATGCTTGGATACATTTCCTCTATTATGTTTCGATGCTTTTCTCCGTAGTTAACCTCTCGTGTCTACAACAACCTGTATCTCAAAGTACATGCACATGTTATGCAAACAACTAAAACCAAGGCAAAAAAAAGTACATTCTATTAAGCAAAATTGGATTGGAAGCACATCCGTAAAGGGAAGAATTCAGGATAGAATAGTGATATTTCAAAAGAAAACTTGGTTTCTCACAGATTCCTCATGGTATATATTCAGATGTTGTTACATAAGAGAACATTCCTTCCAAATTATTTAGTTTCTGGTGTTTTGAGAGAAGAGTAGCCTTCGACATGTCTTAAACTTCCCTTGCATTCATTACTTTTTAAATGTATGCATTTTAATATGGAGACTCTCCCACAAAAATAGTGGAAAAGGACTGGTGTTTTACAGTGGAAATACTAAATGCTGTTGAGATAAGGAAAATCAACTTTTTGAAAGAAAAAAAGATGAAATGATAGCCATCTGATGGTTAAAAAGTGGTAACGTGAGATATTCTATATTTGTGTTTTACATCAATTCTATTATGTCTGATTTACCCTTGAATCAATGTAGTGGCTTAATGATGATGACATCATCAACATATGAAGATGACAAAAAAAATTAAGCTACCGAACTACCCAAATGTTTTTAGGGAATCTTTCTACTTCTTCCCCGCAGCCAAGAAGCAATTATACTGACATTTAGTTCTTTCATTTCCAGCAGGAAGCTTACCTACTCTTTTTTCGGAGATGATTAAAACCTCATGCCACTTAGCAATAAAGAGACCACCATTACTGGTGGGATTCATAGTGGAAAGCATTAAGCATTTTGGCAGTGAGTCCTAAAGCCTTTACCATAGCAGGATTGATATAGGAATAAGTGGAGATTGAGGGCACAGGGGATCCACCAGCTATCCCTTCTGCAGGTCTGTATGATTGCACTTAGCAGATTTCCCATGCTTACTATTACACAGAGAGATTTACTACATAGAATTCCTAACTGGACTCCTACCTTTCAGGTTTCTCCCTGCCTTTCCAATCCATTATCCACACTGCCATCTTAACAGTATTTCTAAAACGTAAAATTCATTGGTTCTCTCCTTTAAAAATCTTTGGAGATTTCCTATTGCCTTCTTCATGTGGTCCAAACTCCTTATTATGGCACATGTGGGTCTTTCAGGGTTTCTAACCTATATTCCTAGAACCTCCTGTTTTCTGTGTCCTTTTCCCAAAGAGCTGACATTAGGAATGCCTGTCCATTGGATTGTTGCAAGGGTTCGATGATAAAATATATAGAAATATTTCATAATAGCTAGCATTTATTGACCCTTTATCATCTTACCAGGTGCCAAAGACTGGGCAGGGAATTTATACATATTCTCTCATTTAATCTTCATACAACCCCAAGAGATGTAAATGCTTTTATAAACTCCATTTTATAAATGAAGAAACAGATTTTGAGAGGTCAGGCAACTTTCCCAAGGTCACACCTATAGATAGAAATGGAGTTGAATTTTATCTCTCCAACTCCAAAATTGATGCTTTTATAGATTTTACTGTTGCTTGGCACATTTCCTAGTGTACAATTCCATTTGATTAAATATTCATTTTTTAAAAACCATTACTATAAAACTTACAGTATCTAAAAAATATTTTGGTTTGCTTTCCTTGCCCTCCAAGGTTAGCTGATACCTCACTTCTTGGACTCTTTCTAGATGTCCCATCCCCTCTCTGCTATCCTCTTCCATCTTCACACGCATCATACTTCAAGTGTAATGGTTGACCTGTATATCTAATGCCTCTGATCTGTTGGCACTTCACGTATGCAGCACTGTGTCTCCATTGTCTTCGTACCCTCAGGGATTAGCATCTTGATGTTCAGCATTCAATATCTGTTGAACAACTGAAGGAATAAAACAGACTCCAAGGATAATTTTAAAGTATGTGGGCTCTCTCTTTTCTCACAACTGCTGCATTTCTGCTTCCATTTAATGTTTAACTGCACTAACACTTCAACTAACACTCAGCTAGATTATGAAAGAGCAAAGACAGACTTCAGAGCGTAACAGAGTAAGAGAGAATGAAGAAAAGACAAAATCACCCTCTTTTACTTCATTCCTCTCCCCCACCCTCCAAACTTGAGAGATTGTCTTGCCAGATGAGGAAGAGACAAAGTTGAAGGAGAGAAAAGGTGTGCTTAGATAGTAAAATAACATTTAAATTTTTTTAAAGATTAGTTATACCTTGTGTTAAGTCTGCTATTCAAGTCTGTTTTTTTTTTTCCTCATGGTCCTTTTTAACAATATTTTGCAAACACAGGAAAACCTACATTCATGGCATTTCTGAGAGGTTGGCAAATGAGGAAACACTCCCAAATTCTCTCCTGAGAACTTACAGGAGATCAACTGATGAGCACATGGTCACCAAGTGAGTCAGTGTAAGTTCTATGAATAGGGCTTGGATCTTCTGACTACTCGTCTAGGGTCCTAGTCATCTAGCTACTGCCATGTTCCCTGAAGAATTTGGTAAAAATAGCAGATGGCATAACTGACAAAGTAAATCATTGTCATTGCCACTGTCCATGTTCTATTTTTCCATGTTCAGTAGCATAATTTAAAAACTCATTAATGCATGTATGCTATTGGTTATTATGTAATAATATGTAAAAAACACCAGTACAGAAATACTTCTATAATTTACATTATACCTTTAAATACAGAGAACCCACATAATATCACCACAAAGGCATTTCATAAATTATAGAATAAAACACATAAATATTCATTCTGCATTATTATTCTGCTAAGGAAGAGCGCAAACATTATTTTTAACAAACTGCTCTTTAAAAAAACTTGTGTGGTAGGATTCTCCATCTGTGAGTGAGATTCAACAACTATAAGGTCCAAAGCAGATTTGGTACTCTGGGAGAAAATAGTAATAATGTAAAACAAAATAATAGTCAATGTGATCTAAATACAGTATATCTATAAAGTACAATCTCTTTCTTAAGAGAGAGAAACTCCTGCCTCTGCCTTTACATTTATTAGACAAACATTAAAATCTCACCAATTTACCCCCTTTGTCTCTTCTTTATATAGGGAGATTGTGGCTTAGCTTTCTCTGGGAGATTGTGGCTTAGCTTTCTCTGTAGATATAAAAGGCAAATAAAGCCTGGGTTTGGGTCCTAGCGCTGCTACCAGACAAATGTGGAACAGTAGAAAAGTCCTACAATCTCCTTTAGCTTCCGTTTCTTTATCTGCAATGTGGGGATAATGTTACTTACTGTCCTTCCCCTCAAGGTTGTTGCAGAGATGAATGACATAGGTGTAAATAGGGCTGAACTCATTCAATCTCTGAACAGAGAAGGATTCTTACAACATGGACTCTAACTTCGCCATTTTTCAGCTAAGAAAACTGGGGCACAGGAATGGTAAAGGTCATGCGTGTCTAAGACACTTGGCCAGTGAGTTATACATCTATTATAAGACTAGAAACTAAGTATTTTGATTCCGTACTATGTTGTTGTGTTTTATTTTTGTGTTTTATTATTGTGTCGCTGTAAGGTTTCTTTGTCTTTTCACTTACTAGGCACAACAGAACTCATATGCACGTGCAAGAAGTAAAAGCTATGATAAAATTATCTGGAAGGGGAAGCGGGTTGTTTACACAAAGTAACATGATAGCAGATGAGCAAAGAGGAAGGTACAAGGAAGAATATTTACTAGAGAGTTTACAGCATGCCAAACATAGAGTAAAAAGTGAAAACCTTTTAGCCAGATTTGTATACCTGATTAAATATCTACTAAGGGTATTATTTTTAATGTATAGAGTTATCAAAAACACATTCCTTGCTTTCTGTTTCTAACACTTCTAGTTCTAGGGCTCAGTGGCTCTTAACAATGAGCACCAAAACCCTGCTTCATGCTGTGTTGCTGCCTGTGCTAGCTGAGGGCAGAAGGTGCAGTGAGAAAATGTAAGGGACTTTTGGGGGTTGGTCGGAAAGAGATGAGGAATAGTTACTGGGCATGAAGATAATTGGAAAAGAAGAAAATATTGACTAAACATGTCAAATACTCATTCAATAATGAAAAGTAAGAAAGACCAACAATATGTGAGTGGTTGAGAGAGGAGAGGCAGAAAAGGGAACCAGGAGAGTGGAAGTGCTTGAAGCTTTTTAGATGAGAGTAAGAGCTGACTTAACCCTGTGTATGTTTGATCATTACTAATCCTCCTTATACCCTAGTTCCTTCCTTTATTTCCTTAATTTCCACATCTATATAAATAGAATATAAATACAAATGTAAATGTATTATCTATAAATAGAGATAAACGTAAGTATTACATTATCACCTGTGGTTTTCTCAAAGCTCACAACTATTCTATGGCAGTTCTTGATGGCATTAAGTGAGGATGTTAACCTGTTGTTTTACATGCATATGGATGGAACACAAAATTAAGGTGGCAATGTAAAGCCTTTAGAAATATTCACCCTTCAACTGTTTAAGCAACCCACTTTGCATTTATCTATTAGTCTTTTGTTTAGCTGCCATAAAAGCCCTATTAAAATGTTTTTGTGGTCTTAATTTTTAAGTTGTTGCAAATTGAATTGTTAAAGGTAAAATATTTTATGGTGTAAGCCTATAGTGAGAGCAATAAGTGAACATGTAATATGTTTTAATTGCATTCTGTTACCGTATTTATTTCACTTCACAGATATTTATTAAATGGTTACTATATGCCAATAATGAGCTAGATCATGTTGTAAAGGATCATAATCAGCCTACTAAGAAAGATTTGATTCTAATAAGGTCATACAGATGTTCAGTGAATTTACTTGGAGAACATATTGCTGAGATAGGGATTTAATTGCCAACTGAAAAAATCCCTTCAGTAAAGTTCTGAGAAAATTGCTATGTCTGCTATTTATTACAGCACCTTATATACTACTATATCCCTCATCAAGATATAGTACAAAAAATATACTAAATACTTAGTTTGGAAACTGAAATATGATCAGAGGCCCTGGGAATATTTTAGTTCTTATCCTAGACAAGGAGACCAAAAAGTGTATACTCATTGAGAAAATGTCAATATGCTCGCTAAACCTAAATATAGATTAGGAAGACAGAAAGTTTTCTAGATATGAAATGAAGAAAGATACAACATGATCCAAATAGAGCTACCCTTCAGATTTTAATGAAAGGTTTAGAGAGAAAAAAATAGTGTTCTTCAAGCTTAATGTGAAAACAAATATTACCTTCAAGTGGTGTCTTCAAGTACATACCTAGTTTTGCAGTAGCATCCATTATTGAAGTGATTACATAAAACATGTTCTGTGTCTTTTATCTTTATATGGACAGTTTTTGGAAAACTGTTATGGCCTAAAATCTGAACATGTTTTAAAAATGTTATTGTGTTTGTTTCTGGATAATCTTATTTCATCTAATTCATTTTTATGTTCAGCTTTTAATCAATAATTTCAGGTTAAATGCAATTAAATGTCTGAAAATCAAACAAGCTGTCAAATTAAATGCTCTACTATCTAATAATTGATGGGTTTTTCTTGTTGGCTAATGCTTCTTCTGTATTGATCTTAATTTTGGTCCAGGCACTCAAAAGAGGGGAACACTTTATATACCTCTTTTTTTTTATTTCAATTGTTTCTGCCTTTTGTCAAGTTAGACATAATTTTGTAGCCTGTCATACAATTTTTACTTATGCTTTACTTGCATCACAATGTAAATAGTATGATTCAAAATATTGCATATTCCAGCATGGGCAACTGGCAAAACCCTGTCTCTACCAAAAATACAACAAAAAATTAGCTGGACATAGTGGTGCATGGCTGTGGTCCCAGCTATTCAGGAGGCTGAGGTGGGAGGCTCACTTGAGCCCAGGAGGCAGAGGTTGCAGTGAACCAAGATCACACCACTGCACTCCAGCCTGGGTGACAGAGTGAGACCCTGTTTCAAAAAACAGCCAACCGGCCGGGTGCGGTGGCTCACACCTGTAATCCCAGCACTTTGGGAGGCTGAGGCGGGTGTATCACAAGCTCAGGAGTTCAAGACAAGCCTGGCCAAGATGGTGAAACCCTGTCTCTACTAAAAATACAAAAATTGCCAGGCATGGTGGCAGGTGCCTGTAATCCCAGCTACTCGGGAGGCTGAGGCAGAGAATTGCTTGAACCCGGGAGGCAGAGGTTGCAGTGAGCCGAGATTGCGCCACTGCACTCCAGCCTGGGCGACACAGTGAGATTCCATCAAAAAAACAAAACAAAACAAAACAAACAACAACAAAAAAAAAGCCAACCAAAGAAAATATTGCATAATAAAAAACACTACAAAATTATGTTAATAGCACTACTCTACTCTGCTGTTATTATATGGCCGTCTTACAAATAACTCTTCAAAAGTTATTGATTTTCAAAATATTCCCTTCAATTATTTTACTTTGGTCTTAGTGCTCTTTGTCAATTTTACCATCGTATCTTACTCTTTGTATCATTAAAGTAAGATAATACATCTCTGAAAGCCATAGTCTTCTAGAAAAGACATCTGAAAAACTCAAGCCCAAAAGGAAAAAGAAAAGACCAAAGTGTAGAACAATGTTGGGCTTATTATCTAATTTATTTTTGGCCCTGATCATCTGAGCCAGCAGTTGCTTCTTTTGAAAGGTGGCTCAAAGTTACTCTGTGCTGATAGAATTTATTACAAGGAAAGGAATAATTTCCTCGTCATGGTGTCAACTTATAATTGCAGACTTCAAGTTCATATAAGTCATCTGCTATGTTCCTAAAGTCATAAGACAATTCAGAATGTACATTGCTGTTTTGGGTCATCCTAGGCTTCCTTCTCTAGCTTCTTAGATTTCCCAAAGTGTCAAGTTTAATTTGAGGATTTGCTCCAAACTGCAGGAGCTTATTAAACAAAAGTAAGGAAATATCAGAGGTCCCATATGCTTAACTTCAGCAATTTCCTTATTAATAATGACATACAAAAAGGCTACATAATTCATATTGGATTTACCTGAATCGACAATAATCTCCCTTGGTTTTCTAATATCCACCTTAGGATGATTTTGAACCATTTTACATAGTACCATTTTGTTACAAAATTTCCATGATAAACTATCAGAACTACTACTCTTTGAAAGACTTACTTGAATGCGTTAACATAAGATTTTTTGAAAGTCTTATTTGTAGGCTTTATGAGCCAGTATAACGTGAAAGGCAAGTTAAAACATGAAAAGGAAATCCTCCAAAAACTAACAATATGCTCCCTCTGAGGGTCCTGCCTAGTTCTGTGGCATGCAAAGCTATAGCTGATTTATAGGAGAGCCTCAAATGAACAAAGGGCTGAAAAGCTAATTTTAGAAGAAAGGTCCCAGCAACTAAAATATTTTAGCTCAGAGTAAAAAGGTTACAAAATCAAGTTATAGTAGCATATATTTATTGACCACTTGTCACATGCCCTATAATGTAGGTACTATTATACCCATTTTACAGATGAGAAAACTGAGGTTTAGGGAAATTAAGTAACTTGCACATACAAGTAGTAAGTGATGGAGGTGGAAGTGGACTAATAGAAATATGACTGTAGAGCCCTCTTTTTAATGCTACAGTTATTACAAAGTATAAGGATGATATTCCTACAGATCAAGTAGTTAACTGAATCACATATCTCCTTAATAAATTATTCCCAAAAAAGATGAGCTTGAATCTATTCAAGTTTTTTAGACTTAACATCATTTACTTAATTAGAAATTAAGGGTAATAAAGGAGGAATATGTTAAATAATACCACATGGAAGCAAACATGCAAATCTAGACCAGGATAACTGACCTATTTCTGTAACAAGCTCTTGGCATGCAAAAAAAAAAAAAAGGCCTTTGCTAGGATCTTGCTAGTGTGGTCCACTTTGAGTCCAGCAACATTGGCACTACCTGGGAGATGTTAAAATGCAGTAGCTCTAGCCCTCCCCAGACCCTACTGAATCTTAAGATCCATAAGTGATTCATTTGCATATTAAAGTTTGAGAGGCACTGGTCTTAATGACAAAGACTTAATCAGTTATAATATGTAGACCTTGTTTAAATGATTTAAAGAACCAGCTGCAAAAAGATATTTTTGCCAAGAGAGGAGATTTGGTCATTGACTTGTTCATCGATTCTACCAAAGAATGACTGTTAATTTCACGAGGTGTGATAATGGTGCCTCCTGGATATGAATGAATGTCCAAATCTTTTAAAATTTAGGCATGCATAGTGAAGTGTATATGTCTAGAATTTTCTTTACAGTGTTTTATCAAAGAAAATAGCAATAAGTGATGCAAATATGAGAAAATCTTGAAAATTGTTGCATATGTGTGATTGGCCATTCTACTCCTCTATTTTTGAGTATATTATAGAGCTTTTCATAAATTTGTTTTTATTTTAAAGATTAAAAGAAATGGGTTTATGCCTTAGGAGAGGTGCATTTGTTTTTGTTTTTGTTTTTTTGACATAGTCTTGTTCTGTGGTCCAGGCTGGAGTGCAGTGGCACAATCTTGGCTCATTGCAACCTCCGCCTCCTGGGTTCAAACGATTCTTGTGCCTCAGACTCCCAAGTAGCTGGGATTACAGGCATGCACCACCACACCCAGCTAATTTTTGTATTTTTAGTAGAGACAGGGTTTTGCCATGTTCCCAAGGCTGGTCTCGAACTCCTGAGCTCAAGCAATCTGCTGCCTGCCTCAGCCTCCAAAAGTATTGGGATTACAGGTGTGAGCCATTGCACCCGGCCTCGAATTTTAGAAATAACTATAAGAAAGAAGTTTCTTATAGTAAGAGTGATTAATCACTTAAAGGGATGCCAGAAAATCTTTCTCCAAAGGATTTTTTACAATAGGACAAATTCATTGGTCTGGGGCAGTTTTAGATATAGTCTTGGTAAAAGCCAGAAGACTTAAAAAACTTTCAAGTTCTCTTTCACAAGAAATGATTCCATGGTAGATGTTATACTTGTGAATACTTTGGGCCATTTGCGTCAGATTTAATGCCTTAGTTATGATTTTCTTAAAAAGCAGTTGATGATGGCTCTGTTCTAGCCCTGTACTTACTCTCATGGCATTCTTCACTGGCAGTTCACTTTAATGGTTGACCAATGGAATGCTGAGCTACCTACTTGTCCACATCAAGCATTTAATAGAGTCCTGTACTAATCTCATTCTTATAAGTGCGAACTAAGGCCTTTTGATGTTATGTGATCAATAGGAAACACTTTAAGCTGGTATGTGTTTGTCATATAGAAAAGCATTCCTTTTAACATCATATAAACCCTTTAATGTACTTACTCACTGTAAAGCACATCATTTTTTTTTTTTTATTTCTGGACAAGGAGGGCAAACAGGAATTCCACAAGCTATTACCAGCCAAACCCTTTTGCAACTTATTAAGTGGCAGTATTTGTGCTAGTATGTCTTATATTTTGTGGCTCCTTCCTATAGAAACCCGAGAATAGTTTTCAAAAACTAAAATAAACTCAGCCATCATCCCCAGAGATAGACACTATGCTGTATGCAGATGAACCACTAATGCCTGACTGGTTTAGTAGATGCCATGTATTTATAGAGTGAGTCAGTGGGACAGCAAAAATTTGCTTCCAGAAACCTTCCTATTTAAAATACAAATAGTTTCTCCTATATGGTTCTATGTTTTGGTCTATTTGTTTGGGCTTCATGGGATAATACAAAGGATCTAAGTTTTTCTTTAAACGAATACCTATTAGGAGGAATAAATGAGTAGAATAGGATAGTGAAGGGAATTTTGGTTTCAACTGTGAAGCAGAGTCACTGACACTCAGACAGTGCTACTTACATTCCTGTCATTTAGGTATGCCCATGGTGACAGGCTCCCTATTTATAGGAAGCCGCATTCTTAGATGTGTATGATTTTCAATTTTGTAGATATTTGTTTGCTTTTCCTCTTCTTTATTCTTCTAGTCACCTAGTCTCTCTCTGTTCCATCCACAAGAGCAGCTCCTGCATAAAATTTTCTCCATTGCTCATTAGCCCTCAGTGAGTACAAACAAAATCTGGTAGTCAAATCGTAATCATTCCTTTGGCATACTGCAAACATGCCCCACACACCCCTCTACTCCTCAGCTTGTTTGTTTTGCTATGGTACAATATTATCATCCTTGGCTAGAGAATTGTAATTAAAATAATTTGTTGTTTCTCCTAACCTTGTTGCTACTGTTAAAGATTGTTCATGATTATAAAATATAATAACATTTCAAGATACCTAAAATTCTTCTACTACTGTAGGAGCATGATGCTATTTTAAAATTATGTTATGTCAAAAGAAAGAACTTTAATGTGTGTGTGTATATATATATATCCAAAATGGATTCTACAGTGAAATAAAACAATGAGTACCATTTAAGGATCATTTTCCCCAGAAAACATAAGATTAAGACAAAAAGATGAACACGTGTTAAATATTTTATTTCATTCTGTAATGAAGGAACCAGTAAGATGTTACAGATAGTTCAAAGGGGAACTCAAAAACCAGACATATTTATAAATCAAGACGACTGAAATGAAAGTATAGACGGTACATTCTTCCAACCTTGGGGAGGAAAGTCAATTCAAAGTCTATTGGGTTGAATTTGCATAGACAAGAATGTCATTGTTTATAGACAAAAACCGTTTTGTCTTGCTACCAGCTTTTACAATTTATAGAGTTGTAAATTAGCTCCTATCAAATCAGAATCAGATAGCCCTAAGAGTATACTCTAGACACTACATAGTTTCGACTTTTTTTTTTTTTTTTTTTAGACGGAGTCTTGCTGTGTCACCCAGGCTGGAGTGCTGTGGCGCGATCTCGGCTCACTGCAAGCTCTGCCTCCCGGGTTCACGCCATTCTCCTGCCTCAGCCTCCTGAGTAGCTGGGACTACAGGCACCCACCACCATGCCCGGCTACTTTTTTGTATTTTTTTTTAGTAGAGACGGGGTTTCACCGAGTTAGCCAGGATGGTCTTGATCTCCTGACCTCGTGATCCACCCGCCTCGGCCTCCCAAAGTGCTGGGATTACAGGCGTGAGCCACCGTGCCTGGCCCGATTTTTATTTTAACCAGCAGTTTTGTATTCCTAAGGGCAGGATATCCATAGTTAGTCCCTCCTGCCAAGAAAAAGAAGTCCAGCCTCCTTAGGCTGACGTTCACAATTTAGCTTCAGCTTCTTTCTAACATTTTCTTTTATGAATCCCACCATCCCTATATCCTATTTTATTCAGTCAAAGTTAACTACATATTCCCAAATTCTAATTAATCTTTCAAGTCATTGATAAATCGTCACCTTCACCAAGAAGCCATGTCGTATTTTATCTATTCTAACCGGGAATTACTACCCTCCTTTTGATACTTACGCATTTTTTAGTACTTTTCTTCTATATTGACTATCTGCTGTTCTCAAACTTGAAGGCATCAGAATCACCTAGAGTACTTGTTAAAACACAGATTGCTGAGCCTCATCTATCCTCTGTATCACTGGATTTGAGGTGGGGCCTGTGAATTTGCATTTCTTACAAGTTCTAAGATAACATTGATCCTGCTTCTCTGAGGACAACACTTTAAGAACCACCCACCCAGGGATGTCAAAAAGCAAATACCCGGCTGGGCGCGATGACTCACACCTGTAATTCCAGCACTTTGATAGGCCGAGGTGGGCAGATCACCTGAGTTCAGGACTAGCCTGGCCAACATGGTGAAATCCCATCTCTACTAAAACTACAAAAATTAGCTGGGCGTGGTGGCACGTGTCTGTAGTCCCAGCTACTCAGGAGGCTGAGGCAGGAGAAATGCTTGAACCTGGGAGGTTGAGGTTGCAAGTGAGCAGATATCGTGCCACTGCACTCCAACCTGGGCGCAAGAGTGAGACTCCATTTCAAAAAAAAAAAAAAAACCTATAAAACAACACAACAAAAATCAAAAAAAAATTCAGTTTAAAAATCTAATTGGCTTTTTTCTTTCAGCAGCTCATGAATGGGACAGCATCCCATCTATGAAATAGAAAGGTGCTTGAATGAGTTGGCTTTATAGGAAGAAAAGGGCTAAAGAAGTGGAAACAAAAAGTAGAGTGGTCATTTTGAAGTTACTTTCCTTATAGAGTTAAACCAGAGGGGACTTTCCTATCATACCACTTCAGGTTGACTGGACCCCTTCTGACTGGTTGCTATGAATCTTCCTTTTTTTTGTTTTTGCTTTTAAACTGGTTCATTTTAAATTTCAGTCTGATTGTGCGGCACCTAGCACATGTCACTCTATTCTGATTTGTTCTGGTCTTATGGGGCCTACTGCAGGTGCTTCCATAAATGGCCTTAAACAATTGCCATTAAACAATGGCCAACCTTCCATAAAACAATGGCCTTCTGTAAATTTTATTTTATACAGAGAAACCATGTAAAAAACTGCAGACAAGAAGATGAATGAGACATATACCCAGCTCTTCATGAGTTCACAATCTAACGGGAGTGTTGAAAGCTGGCTCCCCAAAATATCACTGATATTACCTTTTTGGTAAGACAAAACAAGTTCATTGAGGTATGGAGAATACCACTTCAACAGAGCCTTTGTAGTGCCTAAAAAGAAGGAAAAGGGTGGGACATAGTTGGAATATTTGAGATTTTCAAGTCTAATTTAAGGCAGATCTCTCAATAGGGCAACTTGGCTAAGATTGGGTAAGGATCATGATATGATAGTTTAGGATTGATAAAATAAGATGTGGCAAGGGATTCAAAGAGTCCTAGTGTATAAACTATTGATTAATGCTTTCTATTGAAGAATTGATGTATCATTCCAGATGCTCCTAGAATAAACTAGGAGACAGTAGAGTGAGTGTAAGGTCATGTTAATGTAGACAAGTATATTAATGGTTTCCATTCTCAGAGACAGACACATAAACAAAAAATTAGTATGGTAAGGTAAGTATAATCAAGGTAGTCACAGTGCCCTTTGTGAGCAAGTATATCAAATCTTGTAACCTCCCTGCCATCTGCCACTGCCAGGAATTCCAAGATGGTGAATGTCTTACTTTGGTTTATCTCTGGTATATCAAGGAAAAGGCACTGATTTTTAGCAAGGCAAAGTTTGTCCTTGTTTCTTTCTCTTTCTTTGTTTATACTGTTAACAGCCTCAGAACTGATGTGTATACTTTCACATATTTTATCTTACAAACAATATCAAATTTGTGGGGAATGAAAATAGTTCATATTTATTAAAGACCTACTATATCATACAACCAATGCAAATATATATATATGTTTGCATATATACAAATATATACATTTGTATATACGTATTTGTGTATATATACTAATACATATATTTGCATATTTGTATATAGATGTATATATACACAAATATATGCATATGTATATATACATATATATTAATGAACTATATTTTATATTTTCATGTTAATTATGATTTTCCCCTTATAATGCAGATAATCATCATTGAGACCTTAAGGATAAGCAGGCATCTGTATGGCGCTCTTTTTATTTTATCTAAGACATATGGTCTCTTCTTTTGAGGAGAAAGTAGTGAGAATGGCAGAGGAATCCTCTCTTTAATAATAATAGAATAAGTACATGTATATTTAAAGTGTGAATAACATGTAATCTTTACTTTGGGAAGTAACTTCGATAGCATAAAAATAACATTTATTTCTTTGCAAATCAATTTTTAGAAATACCCTAAACTGATTATATTTAAATTACATCTGAGAAAGACAAATTTAAAATTTTGAAATTCAAATTTTGCCAGTGATTCAATGTTCAAATTCTTGCAATAATAGTTACAACTTTGTTTTTAACAAATACACCCTATGTTTGTTCACAATACTTGAAAGAATACATAGCATGCTTTTTACTAGTTCCAAAATCAAACTAGAACATATGCATACTATAAAGTAAATTTACTTCATTTATTTATGACAAGCTTATATGCATGTTGCAGAAATTCACTGAGGTAAAACTCACTTCTATACTTTTTAACTAAAATTTTAAGAAAGCATCTACATAGACAGTAGTATAACTCTACAAGTTATCAAATACATCCAATCATGCTAATGACATTTACAACATATAAATTTGCTAGCTAAAGAAACATCATTCTGTTAGCCATAAACTTTTTTGCACACAGCTGTCTTCTTCTTTTTGCCATATGAGCTTACAATCACATCTTTCATTCCCAGATTTTTCTGTGCCAATTGAAGCTAAGTCAAACTGGTATAAAGAAGGCTTTAGAGAGTAGGATGTCTTGAATGGGACCTCATAGCTTTTGAAGCTAGTGAGTGAAAACGTGGGGCTGAAAGAGCAAGCCCAGAAAGATATGTCAGGAAGTGGCAACAGCCTGCCCTGCATCTTCTCTGTAAATGAGATGGAGAAGCATCAGGATCAATAGAAGCATGTTATCTCCACGCACAGCATACTAAAGTACGAGTGTTAAAGAATATTGAATATTGTGTCTAGATACAGGATGAAATAAGGCTTTTTACAAACAGACTATAAAAGTTGCCAGAGGTGTAAGGTGGTTATGGGAGCGCTGAATCTTTCTCAACATCCAGTAGAATAGGGTTTCTTAATTGAGTATTAGTAGCATACCCAAAAAATCAAACTCTGGCAAACAAAGTCATGAGTAATCTTAATAAGAAAGCAAAATGGGGCGATACCAGTGTGATTTGGCAAGCTGTTTTCTGAGCTTAGTTCTTAGAAGAAACAAAAGAGGAACATATTACCAGGGACAAAAAACAAACAAAAAAGACTGGCATAAAACTGTGAAAGAGTATCAGGCCAAAACATAGAGTGAGGTTATATAAGCACCAAAAAAACTAGTGAAAAGGAAAGTCCTACAATAAAGGAGAACAAGATGGATGGGTGAGGCTTGTGTTGTTTAACAATTTATTAAAAGAAAGAGTAAGTTTAATGCCTATTTAATTTTTTTTTTAAGAGATGGGGTCTTGCCATATTGCCCTGGCTAGGCTTGAACTCCTGGGCTCAAGAGATCCTCCCAGCTCAGTGTCCCAAGTTGCTGTGACTACAGGTGTGCACAACCACACTTGGCCACAGTTTTGCTTTATTTTTCTCAATTAAGAAGAATGAGCTACAAGGAAGTACAAAACAAATACTGTAAAATTGAAATTTTTAGGCTAAGGCACACAGGGATACAGTGAAAGAACACCTACATCTACTTTACATGAATTGAAACCTCTTGGTCCAGAAAACCAGAATATTTTCCTATGTGGTCACAAAACCTTTGGTAGTAACCTTACAGGAATCATAGTGTATTTTTGACAGTTATACTCCCTCCTGTAACAAACTTCAAAATATATAAAATGGCTTAAATACAAGAGAAGTTTATTCTTGTTTGAGTCTACATTTGGAGTTCCTGGGTGGTGGTGGCTCTCCACTAAGGGTGGGTTCAAGGACCTAGGTACCTTCTATCTCAAGGCTCTGTCATATTTAATAAATGGCTTCTCAAGTCACCATGTTCATCTGCTACAAGTATGTGAAAAGAAAAGAGCATGGAGATCACCAATAGGGACTCTCTGGCCAGGCCTGGAAGTAGCACACACCATTTTTGCAGTCCTTCCATTGGCTAAAAAATAATCACTTGAGCACTGCTGCCCAAAAAGGAATCTGGGAAATGTAGGCTCACTATGTGCCCAGAAAAAAGAAGAATCAGGTTTGGTTACAGCTAGCCATTCTGTAGCTGGATAATGAGACATCTGCCAGAAAACTGTAGTTAGGCGAATAGCCCGAATTTTTAAAATGCTATTGAAATGGAGTTGAAGGGTATAGAAACATCATAGACTTGAAACCATTTCAGAGGGGAAAGCAGTGATCACTTGGAGTCTGTACCTTATCTTCTGCGTATTAGAAAGATGTTTAACTAATATGTGGCATTGTTGATAAATGAGTTCTGGGTGATGGTAGCATTTAGTGGATTCATACTTCTTTAGATTAATGTGTTCAATGAGTGGTAGTCATTGTCATCCTTGAAGGTGTCAGTTGACCTGTGTCTTGTGACTTTCCTTTCTCATGTCTCATTAAATATTTTTATGAACAACCTTAACAGAGGCAAATTTATGGTTGACTCAGTAATTAGGGATACCGAATGTCACTGTGGGTGAAAGAATCAAAATGATCCCAACAGTTTAGAATACAGTCCAACAGAATTTTTCTGAAAAGGGCCAGGGAGCAAATATTTTAGGCTTTTTGGGCCATAAAGTCTCTGTCACACTAGTCAGCTCTGCTGATATAGTCCCAAAGCAGCCGCAGACAATACATAAATGAATGGGCATGGCTGTGTTCAAAGGAAACCAAATTTATAAAAACAGATGGCCGGCCAGATTTGGTTCATGGGCCATAGTTTGCTGTTCCCTGGTCTAGAAGAATAGGCTGAAATTCTGAAGGGAATCAATAGAATTTTTTTTTTTTTTAATTTACAGCCAAAGAACAATGGGCCTAATACATACATCATGTCCTTTCTAATAATAGAAGAGCTCCAAGTTAGGCACTATTTGCTCTTATTTTACAGATCAGAAAGCTACATCTCAATACATAAATAAGTCAATAGTTTGACCTAGCTTTCACAGCCAGAAAACCCGCTGTGGGACATCATGCCACTTTAACCAAATGTTTGGGTGAACTGAGAGAGTAACAGTTAATTGCTTGAGTAAAAGATGGAGGGAAATGTCATGTGGCAGCATTTCCCATGGGCAAACCCTGCGTTCTGGCTCTGTTCTTTTCCAAGTGTGTGACCTTGAGAGGTACACTTGACCTCTCTCGGCCTTGATGACCCAATCCATAAAAATGAAAGGCTTGACTAGATAAACACCAAGGCCCCGCTCATGTCTTATGGTTAAGGTTGCGATTAGTATGTTAAGGGCATTGTGTGAAAGACAATTGAGATGTATTCTTTGTAGCTCTTAAAGTAATTATTTTCAACCATTTTCTAGTGTACTTTTATGGGAGAACAGTATGTAAAACATAAAAATGGCATTTTATGAGCCTACATGTGTTTTACAAGTTCAAATTTACATTTTGATTATAAAGATATTTATTGAGAGAATAAGGCTGATAGGAAACCAAATTTTTAAACTGGGAGGATAAATGATCGACAGATTCTTTTTAGCTTCAGCAACTCCGCATTCTCCCCATTTTGCTTTTGTTGTTTGTTGGTTTTCCTCTGGTTGTATTAAGAAAATACTTATTCACATACACAAAAGGTAAATGAATAGTTTCGCAATCTCAGAATACTTTTCAGAATATAGACATGGCAAGAGACAATTGAAAAGCAAAATCATTAACAAATCAGGTGATCTTTAGCATATTAATATATCATTAAAAATGTAACTTAATCATTTGCAAAATCTATCAGTCAAAATAAGCTAAGCTTATTCTGTGATGCCAAATGAACCCCTAAACCTAAGTGACTTGCTGAAATAGGTGTATATTTCTTGATGTATTTCTTGTTCCTCTTACATATCCAATTTTGGGTTGTATTGGGAGCAGGGGCTCTGATCCATATAGTTACATAGGGATCCAGACTGATGGAGGCTCCACCATCTTGTAGCTGTACCGTCCTGTGCACATCATATCCTTAGCTGCTGAGGCAGGGGCTGAGGCACCTGGAGCGTAAAACACTGGCAGTTTTAAACAGCGCCTGTTCTTTGCACACGTATGTGAAACACATACATCACTGCTCGGTGGTTGCCAGATCTAGTCTCATGGACCTTTTTCGGAAGTCATTGTGTGACTCATATGAACTAAATATGCAAAAACCATTTGGAAGAACTAAAGTAGCAGGCCGCAAACGTGGCTTATAATTTAAAAATTGAGGTTCCTGAGTTCCCCACCCTACAGCCATGGAACCAGAATCTCTGCGTATAGTTGGAGAATTTTAATTTTTTAAAAAGTTCCACAGCTGATTCTCATTATCAACAGGCAGCTGCTGCTGTGAACAAGGAGTGTTTTTAAAGCGGAGAAAAGGCAATACTTAGATTGGCGGATTTAAGATTACCCTGGCTGCAGTGTTGGAGATCGATTAAAGAGGGGGTAAAGTAGAAGCTGGGAGATTTCATTTTACTACATAATGTATAGGCTCTAATGAGCAAACACAAATGCATGTGCTTACATATCATGCAGTGTGTTAGCAGAACTAGCTCAATCTGAGGGCCTAACAATGTTGTTGATGTCTCTGTATATTTAAGAATCTTATCCCCAACCCTTCCTTCCGGACTCCTAGAAAACCAGTAGGGTAGGTACAAATTGGCTGCCAACCAGTCCTTGTTCAATGCATTTGATAAATTCTACTGGTGGTGGTGGCTGTATAGCCAGCTTGGCACCCATATGAGTCTGTGGATAGTAGGTGGGGCTGAGGTGCCTAGGCATGCCCTGCTTCTCTCTTGAGAGGCAATTAGAAATGATCCAACTTTCCTTCAAGCCTGTTAGGGCAGCATAGATTTGAGTTTTGAATCTGGTTATATTGCTGTGTCTACTGTTCTCTAGGAAGACTTGAGAATTTAGAGTAGATCTGCAACAGAAGAAAATGACCAGTGCATGATTCTGCTTGAAAACTAAACCTGTCTAGTCAGTGCTGGATCATTTAAAGATTGACCATCTAGGTTTGAATTTCTCTTCCTATATGCTGACTGCCTTTGGGCTGATTCACCTGGGGATATTAGCATCTTTCCCAGATTGTGTTTGGTATGGGGAGGTGGGGAGTTAGGGAACTCCCATCTACTTTGGGAAGAGGAATAAGTTCTATTCCTTTCAAACATTATGTACAGCACTTAGGAGTTTGCTGTTCATGCATCATGGCTGAAACATTTGGACAATTGATAAAAATTTGTCATTGCTGCCCAGCACTTTCTCTGAGATGGATGAACTTATAGGTAGGCTCTCTTTTTATTGTACTTCATTTCATCTTGTATTGACACAGCCCCAGTTATAGACTTTCCCCCAACAGAAGGAACAACAACAACAAAAAACTACCTAACTACTGGTTACAGGTTAAAGCTGGAAATGTGCTGGCAACAGATTTAGGTTTTTCCAATATTATTTTGCCTGTTCATCTTCTTTTTTCTCTATTATCTTTTTTTTTTCTTTTTTTGAGACAGAGTCTCACTCTGTTGCCCAGGCTAGAGTGCAGTGGCGTGATCTCGGCTCACTGCAACCTCCGCCCCCCAAGTTCAAACGATTCTCCTGCCTCAGTTTCCCAAGTAGCTGGGATTACAGGTGCACACCACCAAGCCTGACTAATTTTTGTAATTTTTAGTAGAGATTGGTTTTCGCTATGTTGGCCAGGCTGGTCTCAAACTCCTGACCTCAGGGTGATCTGCTCACCTCAGATTCCCAAAGTGCTGGAATTACAGGCATGAGCCACCGCGCTTGGCCCTATTATCTTTAATAAAAACAAAGATAGGGAAATTATCCAAAAAATTAGCTAAAAGCTATATAACTTTAAAATATGTGAAATTAATAATTTCAATAAAGTACTTAATATACCACAAAACAAATGTTTTCACTTATCAGCTTTTCAGATTAAGTATCAAAATTCTATTCAAGTAACATGAGAAGGTACAGCAATATGTGAAGACCCATTATAGAATTAAGAGAGGAGAAGAGGAAGAACAAGGGTAAAGAAGGGCCCAGAAAGATAAAAAGACAGAGGGTAAGACCTCCTTATAGCTATGCATACAGTACCTTCTGTAGACACACACTCTCTACTGCAACCTCAAAGAAAGTGCAGGCAGGAAAAGAAATCTGCAGAAGAAAGAAAATGAGAATGTTTGTCTTCATGATGTAACATTATTCTTTGGGTGTCCTGATGAGCTATTGTTCCTCAAGGTTTTTAAAGCTTTATTGAGTTTTCAGAACTTTAAGCACCATTGGTAATACCAATTGGCACTTGTCCAATGAGCTGAGTGAAACTGATCCAAAAGCTCCAGAAGCTGCCACATTCCAGGTATGGAGTATTTGGGGGCTGTAATTATACCATTGTAATTACTGTCTTTAATAGGATTAAAAATAGAACTGGAATAATTCTATGGTAAGTTGATGTCACTTATTGTGACCCAAGTTTCAATTATAATTGTTAACGATGCTATTGCTGAGTCCTTGTTTGGCTTGACTGCCATGCAGTGTTTTTCTGATGAGTGAAGGAGTTAACACCTTTTGGACAATTTTCAGAATTGAAAGAAAATTACTTGGTTTTTAGTAGGGTTTGTAATTATTATATCCAAGGTTGGTATCTTCTAGAGGGGAACTTTTTAGAAAATTAATATTAGACTCTCTCCCAGTCTATTGAAAGGCCGTATTAAATCTCTATCATATACTCTTCAATGCTGTGATCATGATTATATTCAAACGATAACCCACATTCTTCCTCTTTGTGGTCATTTGGGACACAGGTGGCAGTCTCACATATGATAAGGAATTTGAATGTTAGCATAAACCATTTTAGTGGCAAAAAACACACAAATGCTTTATATAAAAAAAGAGTCAATTTTAAGGGTATCAAATTTGTCTATGAAGTTAAGCTTTAGGTTTACTGGCAGATGCAGATGTAGTGACTGTATAATAGATTCATGCCTTAGTTTCTAAACTTACAAAATCTGTTTGCTTAGTTTAGTGTCAGATTGTCAGTCTGCTTTATTGATTCCATCAGTGGTTTGGCTTATCATATCAGAAATTTGAGTGCTGACTTCTGGCCTCAAGCGATCCTCTGGCCTCAGCCTCCCAACGTGCTTAGATTACGGGTGTGGGCTATGATGCCCAACCCTAACATTTCTATCTTATGAAATAGTTGACAGGTAGATATAATTTGTTACTGGAGAAGATTATTTTTTCATTTTGTTCTTTTAAGATCCAATTGTTATTTTCTGAGTTTATTAACATAGCTAGCCTTATAATGAGAACACAGCTCTCACTTTTACCATTTTGCTTAAAGATTTGCAGATGTGTCGTGCTCATATACTTCAATGTCTCTGTGTTTTCTCAGGATGTTACAGTTCTGCTTCTTTTATTTCCTAAAATTCAATAATTTTATCTGTGTTAAAAAGTATTTTAAAATGTAATGAACACAATGTTGTGGCTACTCATAATAGTTTTAGTGAATCAGGAAGTATGCCAGGGGATGGTTGTTAGTAGAAAAACCATTTCATGTCATCTTCAGTAAAAGATAAAGAAGTGAGCTTGAATTCAGAGAGCTTGGTATATAGGATGACTGACAGAGATAGGAGCTGGGGCAGGAATAAAAAGATTGAGAAGATTGAACATTAAACAGAACTTCAGTCATTAGCCAATGTAAACAAGCAATCAAAGAATAGTCCCCTTAAAATAGGAATCATTTAATTCATCTAACAATTAAGAAAATATAAACATTACAAACCAATGTTTTTGTTAATCTGGTTCTAATTATTTTTAGGTTACTGATGATATTCTTTTAGTATAAAAATATAAAATCAGAGCCATTTGCCTAGTTTTCATGTCATTTTTCTTCATATTTTCAGAAATCATTGTCTTACTTGAAAGTTTTCTACTTAAGATTCCACAATTAAAAGAACAATGTTTCCTTTAAGGAATAGTGCTGCGGGGGCAGGGGCAGAATTTCTTAAAGCATTTTGGGGAGTGGTTTAACTAAATAACCTACATATAGTAGTGCACAAGTTTCCAACTTATTAATAGTTGCTTTCCAGTGAGTTTTTAGCTCCTACATTTTTTTTGGAAGTAAATGTGATGTAATTAAATTAAATATTCTAGCAACTAACAACAAAAGGCTTTTTCAACAGATAATAATAAATTGAACTCGGAAACTGTAAAAAGAATGAAGGAGAACTAATAGAAATTGATATGGAAAGGTGTCTAAGACAAAGTGAAGTAAAAATATTTGTATAAAACTATGGACATTGGCCAGGCATCTTGGCTCATGCCTGTAATCACAGCATTTTGGGAAGCAGAGGCATGCAGATCGTTTGAGCCCAGGAGTTGAAGAACAGGCTGGGCAACATGGCAAAACCCTGTCTCTACAAAAACTACAATAATTAGTTGGGTGTGATAGCATGTGCCTATGGTCCCAGCTACTTAGGAGGCTGAGGCAGGAGGATGGATTGATCCCAGGAGGTCGAGGATGCAGTGAGCCCTGATCACACCACTGCATGCCAGCCTGGACAACAGAGTAAGACCCTATCTCAAACAAGAAAACAACAACAACAACAACAAAATTGTGGACACAATATGTTCCCATTTGTGTGGGTTTTTTTTTTAAAGAAACACACATGCATATATACACATACTAATCCCTATGTAAATATATGCATACAAAATTTACAGAAGGATATACACAAAGCTGTGGAGGTTGATTCAGGAAGGATGTAACAAATTTACTATTATATAGCCTTCTGTACTATAGTTTTGTTTTCCCATATGCATGTACCCAGTTATATATTGTCCTTTTAATTTAAACATCTAGTAAAAAATAATAATTTCAATGAGACCAGAAATTACTAAGCAAAGGAAATGGCAAGGTAGTTCTACTTTTTTGGAAAAAAAAAAAAAAGAAAAGATGGTCATTGTATTTGAAACTTAAGACAAGATAATAACACGTATTATCTGGTTAATGAATGCCTGTCCTGTCTTCACAAGGATTTTTCCTGACATAAAATTCTAAATATCTGTCAAAAATATATATATATATATACTTGAGATGGAGTCTCGCTCTGTCGCCCAGGCTGGAGTGCAGTGGCGCGGTCTCGGCTCACTGCAACCTCTGCCTCCCAGGTTCACGCCATTCTCCTGCCTCAGCCTCCCAAATAGCTGGGACTACAGGCACCCACCGCCACGCCCAGCTAATTTTTTGTATTTTTAGTAGAGACAGGGTTTCACTGTGTTAGCCAGAATGGTCTCGACCTCCTGACTTCATGATCCGCCCACCTTGGCCTCCCAAAGTGCTGGGATTACAGGTGTGAGTCACCGCACCTGGCCAAAAATATTTTTTAATTATATACACTAAATAACAACATAATGAATAATGTCTTCAATATCAGTTCCTCACACAATTATTTCTTGCGTTGAACTTCAATAAAATTCAGAATATAACACTAATGGTATAACTTGATAAGGTATTTTATAGGAAGCATTATAGCTCACATTTACCAAGGCTTAATGTTTTACAGGCACTCTTGTAGGCATATTGCTTGCATGATGTTATTAAATCTTCCCGACATCTCTATATGATCTCTATTTTACAGGTAAGGAACCTGAGGGAGAGAGAGGCTAAGTCAGTTACTTTCCCATTACGCTGCTAGTAAGTGGCAAAGCCAGGATCTGAAGTTAGACTAAGGGCCCATGTTCTCAATGATGAGACATGCCTTAGGTATACTGACTGCAGATGACCTAACTTGATATGCCTGTAACTCTTAGACAACTTAAGAAAGATCACATTTTTCTTACTGATGATTGAGAAATGCAGTCTATCTCAAATGCCTTTCATAGGAGCTGAATGACAGTCAGATTGGCAGTGGACAGTCTAGCAAGCTCCTACAAGATAGAATGGGCTTATGGGAAACAGGTCCTTTTTAACTTAAAAAATCATTTTCGAATAGGTGATACATGCATATTATACACACAGTGAAAATTAAGGCTCTCTCTCATCACACCCTAAGCCACCCACTTCTTTTCTCAGAAAGCAACCACCATTACTAGGTTCTTATATATACTAACAGAAATGTTTTATTTGTATGTGGATAACTACACATACTTCACATTGTTTTCAAAAATTGAAGCATACGACATGTGGTGTTCTATATCTTCCTTTCCCCCTTAAAAATACTTTTCTCAAGATTCTTTCATAATCAGTTATACCAGGAACTGTGTAGTTATTTTTAATGGCTGAATAATATTCCATTATATAGACATGTCATATTGTATTTAATCATTTCCTTATTAGTCACCACTTAGGTTATTTTCAACATTTTGCTATTGCAAATAGAAAATTGCATCATTTCATACATCAGTAGGATAAATATCAAGAAGTGAGGACACTGAGTCAAAAGGAGTGTGCTTTAAAAATGTTGATAGATCCTGCAAAATGACCCTCTTTGATGATCCTGCAAAACGGTAGTACCATTATTCGCTCCCCTACTAGTAATATATGAAAGTGGTAGTTTCCACCCACTGTTAGCAAAATGGCTTGAAACTTTTTGATCTTCACCATCCTGATAGAAGAAAATGGTATTTATTGGCAGATATTTGCATTCCTCTTATTAGTAATGAAGCAAATTTGTTGTTTATGCCTTTGGTGTAATCTCTGAGTCCACTGCCAATTCCAAGATCATGAAGATTCACCTTATGTTTTCTTCTAGGAATTTAATAGTTTTAAGTCATACACTTATGTCTTTAATCTATTCTGAGTTCATTTCTGTCCACGGTGTGAGGTAAGGGTTTAATCTCATTCTTTTGTATGTGAATATGGAGTTGTTACTGCACCATTTATTGAAGCCACTATTTTTCCCCATTAAATGGCCTGGGCATCATTGTTGAAAATCAGTCTGTTTTCCCTAAATGTATGTGTTTACTTCTGAACCCTGAATTATATTTCATCAATCTGTACATCTATTCTTACGCCAGTACTACGGTTTTTGATTACTGTAGCTTTGAAGAAAGTTTTGAAATTGGGAAGTATGAGTCCCCCAACTCTGTTTTTCTTTTTAAATATTGTGTTGGTTCTTTGGGGTTCCTTGCAATTCTATATGAATTTGAGGATGGGATTTTCCATATCTGTAAATAAAACAGGGGAATTTTGATAGGGAGTGTATTGCATCTGTATATTGATTTCTGAATTGCCATTTTAACAATATTAAGTTTTCTAGTCCATGTATATGGGATGTCTTTCCATTTATTTAGATTTTCTTTAACTTCTTTCAATTATGTTTTGTATTTTTCAGTAAATGTCTTGCTCCTCCTTGGATAGATTTATTTCTAAGTATTTTTGTCTTTTTGATGCTACTATAAATGGAATTATTTTCTTAATTTCATTTTTGGATTAGAGATGCCTTTTTGTAATGTGTCTATTTGCAGGGGTATCTCTTTCTAATCGCACAAAAACATCTTGTGCTGGCACTGGTGATCTTTGGGAGTGTAACATCAGCTTGAAAGTGCCATAGAAATAGGGACTCTCTATCTTAGTGCTGAGTAGGCATTTACTAAAGCTGAATGAATGGATGACAATTTGCTGAGAGTGAGCTTGGGTAGGAGCTTAAGAGAGGCAGCAAATATGGATTTTCAAGAAATTCAGTGATGAATGGAAGGCCTTAAAAATGAAGGAAATGGAATATTATCCAGGATAGACTATAAACTAGGCCATAAAAAAACTCAATGATTTTGAAAGGATGGGGGAATTGTACCAAGTATGTTCTCTAACTACAGTAAAATTAAGTTAGAAGTCAAAAACACAAAGAAATTTGGGAAATTCACAAACATGTGGAAATTAAACAACATACTCCTAAATAGCCAATGAGTCAAATAATAAGTCATAAGGAAAATTACTTTGAGATAAATAAAAACTAAAGTACAATATACCAAAATTTGTGGGACAGAACTAATGAGGTATGTAGCTGTAAAAACCTATATTATTAAAAAAAAAGAAGATTTCAAATCAATAGCCTAACCTTCTGCCTTATGAAACTAGGGAGGTTGGGGGGCGGCGGGGGGAAATAGAAGATACTAAACACAAAACAAATAGAAGGAAATTATAAAGATTAGCATGGATATTAATGGAATAGGAAATAGAAAAACATTAGAGAAACCTCATTAATGAAACCTCAAGTTGGCTCTCTGCAAGGAGCAACAAAATTGACAAAGATTTAGATCGAGCAAGAAAAAAACAGAGATGACTCAAATTACTAAAATTAGGAGTAAAAGAGCTGATATTAATATAAATCAGAGAAATGAACAGGATTATAAAGGAATACTATGAACAACAAATTAGATGACTTACATTAAATGAACAAATTCCTAGAAAGACAAAACTACCAAAACTGACTGACACAAGGAGAAATAGAAAAAAAAAAAAATATATATATATATATGGTAAATGATTATAGTAATTTAAAATATTACCAGAAAGAAAAGCCTAGAGCCAGATGGCTTCAATGGTGAATTCTACCAAACATTTAAAGAATGATTAGTAACAATCCTTCAGAAACTCTTCCAAAAAAGTGAAAAGGATGGCATACTTCTCAATTCATTGTCAAAGGCCAGTATTACCCAAATACCAAAGCCAGACGAGGATATCACAAGGGAAGAAAAGTATAAACCAATGTAATATCTATTATGAATATAGACAAAAAATAATCAACAGAATACCAACAAACCAAATCAAGCATCATATTATACATTCTGAAGGTTATCTAAGGAAGGCAAGGTTCATTTAATATACAAATATTAATTAATGCAAACACTATATTAACAGGATAAAGGACAAAAAGCACAATATTATATCAACAGAAGCAGAAAAAGCATTTGACAAAATCTAACGTCATTTATGACAAAAAAATTAGAAATTAGGAATAGAATGGTGCTTCCTAAACTAGAGTAAGGGCATCTACAAAAAAACGATGTATAATATCATATTTAATTGTGAAAGACTCAATGCATTTTCTCCAAATTCAGGAATAAAACGATATCTGCTCTCACAACTTCTATTTAATATTGTACTGAAAGTTCTAACCAGGGCAATTAGGCAAGAAAAAAAGGCACCTGAATTGGAAGGGAAAAAACAAAACCACCTTTATTTACAGAAAACATGTACTTATATAGAGAAAATGTTAAGAAATCCATTTAACAATGAATAGAATTTATTAATGAGTCCAGCAAGGTTGTAAGATACAAGAACAGTATTCAAAAATCAATTTTATTTCTGTATACTAGCAATGGCAATCTAAAAAAAATCTATTCACAATATCAACAAAAAATAAAACACTTATTAATGTATGTCACAAAAAAGTACAAGATTTATACAATGAAAAGCACAAAACATTGCTGAAAGCAACTGAAGATCTACCTAAATGGAAAGACATCCTTTTGTTTATAGAAGATATAGCAATACTTCCCATATTGATCTACTGATTTAATGCAATCCCTATCAAAATTACAACTGACTTTTTTCTTTGAAGAAATTGACAAGGTAATCCTAAAATTCATATGGAATGAAAAGGATTCAAAATAGCCAAAACAATCTTCAAAATGAAGAACAAAATGGGAAGACTCACACTTTCCAATTTCAAAACTTACTACAAAGCTACAGTAATCGAGATAGCATGGTATTGGCATGGGTTTAGGAATAGAATTGAGAGTCCAGAAATAAAACCTTGTATTTAAGGTCAATTAATTTTTGATAAAGATGCAAAGACAATGGGGGAAAAATCATCTTTTCAATAAATGGTGCTGGAACAACTGGATAGCCACACATAAAAGAATGAATTTGGACCACTTCCTCACATCAAACCTGAAAATTAACCCAACATAGATCAAAGACCTATATAAGATCAAAGATCTATATTAGACCTATATTAGATCAAAGTCCTATGTTAGATCAAAGACCTAATATAAGAGCTAAATAAAATAAAACTCATAGAAAAAACATAATAGTTAATCTTCGAACTTTGGATTAGTCAGTGATTTCTTAGATACAATGCAAAGCACGGATGTGATAAAAATATTGATAAATTTGGACTTCATCAAAATTAAACCTTTTTGTACATTGAAAGCCACCATTTTGACCCAGCAGTTTCACTTCTATGTATATATGTGAAATGAAAACAGGTCAACAAAAAAACTTAATTACCTAGATGTTCCTACATTATTCACAATAGCTGCAAGGTATGAACAATCCAAATATCCATCAATGGATGAACGGATCAATAAAATGTGGTATATCTTATACAAAGTAATGTTATTTGGTGGTAAGAAGGAATGAAGTACCAATACATGTTACAACATGAAGAAGCCTCAGAAACATTAAGTGAAAGAAGCCAGACCCCAAAGACCAAGCATTATATGAAATGTCTATAAAAGGCAAATCCACCGAGGCAGAAATAGACTAGTGGTTGCCTAGGGCTGCAAGTGTGACTGGGGAGTGACTACAGATGGTAAAAAGTTTCTTTTTGTGGTGATGGAAATGCTCAGGTTCAAAGATTACATTTTGATGATGGCTTTATAACCCTGAATTGTTATCAGGTGAACTATATAATTTTAACACGTGAATTTTACAGTACTTAAATTACATATGAATAAAGTTTTTTTTTTTTAATGAGGCAAAAGGTAGCGTGAAAAAGCAGGCATGGCATATAAGCAAGCTTTTTTTAAGGCTGAGTGACTTATGTGGCTGATAGAGGAAGGATAAGAGGAAAGGAAATATAGTGAAAAGGAACAGAGAGGAATAATAAAGCTGGCAAGTCACAGACAACATAATTAGACTATCAAAAGAAAATCTGGAAGAAAGGCATGGACAGGAATAAAGACCTCCTTCTAAAGCAAGGTAGGGAGAGCAACTTGATGTAGATTGAAGAGAAAAAGGAAAGAAAAATGAATGTTCATATTTGATGGCCTATGATTTTCTGGGTCATGTAGAAGGCAAAGTAACATGTTCAAGTGATGAATTTGGTAACTTTAGGATAATGATGACAGTTCAGACAACAAATACAGAGAATAAAAGAGAACACTGACTATATGAATAGAAGGATTTTAGAGACATTACGACTCAGCCGAGTTTAAATCAAAGATTGTAAGGCATTCAGTCATCAAGGTTATACATTTTTCTCCAGCAGCTCTAGCCTTCTATGAAATAGAAGCAGAAAAAAAACCCAAAACAGATGGGTTAACTACCTGTAAATCTGGATTTGAACTGGTAGAATGAAGCTTCCTGCAAATGTTGGATGTAAAAGTGCAGATCTAATCAGGTAAAATCTCAAGCATTAATTGGATATGCTTATAACAAACCGGTAAATTTTTAGAAGATGTAAAACATATCTTAGAAAAATAATTTAAATTATTAATGAGAATTAGACTAAGTCATTGAAATTTGATTTTTAAAACTTACCGAGCCTCTCTTTCATTGAACTCAGAAGTAGTGTGAATGGTAAGTCTTCCTTGTCAAATGGAATGCTACTTAGCAGCTGTCTTAGCTCGTTCCAGATGCTATAATAAAGCACCATAGACTGACTGACTGGTTTATAAACACACATTTATTTCTCACAGTTCTGGAGGCTAGAAGTCCAAGATCAGGGTGCCAGCATAGTTGGTTTCTGGTGAGGACCTTCTTCTGGTTTGCAAACTGATGTATTTTTGTATCCTCCTGTGGCAGAAAGATGGAGACAGCTCTCTGGGTCCCTTTTTTATAAGGGCACTAATCGCATTCATGCGGCCTCTATGCTATGAATTACCTCCCAAAGGCCCCATCTCCTAATACCATCACATTGGGGTTAGGATTTTAACAAATGAATTTAAGGGAAAGCACAAACATTCCGTCCACTGCAACATCTACAAAATAGGTCCTTAGGAAGTGCAGAAGTCTGGAACAGTTCTTTCCCAAGCCACAACCCTGAAAACATGGATTGCTGGGTATGCAGATTCTCCTGGGTCCCTTTCCCATAAACACCGAATTAGACACTCTGAGGATGCAGCCCAGACATTCTGTATTTTTCACCAGGCATAATGGTGATGGCTGATATTAGAATGGTGAAATTTATCCCACCTAGTAAGAATCTAAACTGAAAATGGTGATGATGCAAAAAAGATCTGTCAACCAGTTAAAAAAAAAAAAAAAAAAAGAGGGTGTGTGTTTGTCAGGAGGGATAGTCTTTAGTAGTATGGCCAAAAGCTTAAGCCTGATTTTCAGGGCTCTATTGTTGGAGTGGGTAGTTCATCAACTTCCTAAGTAATTCAAATCTTTTTCCCCCCAATATATTAATATATTGGTGATTCCAAGAAAGAGGGTTTAATTTATTTAATGCCTGGGAAAACTAAAAGAACTACAAACAGATGTGAAAGGAAGAGAATAACCACATCTCACAGGAAGCAAAATTTCTGTCAAAAGTTACTGTTCTTTCCCTGTCTAGGTTCTTTGTCCCTGAAAGGTAGATCCGCAAACTAAATCCCTCAATAACGTTGCCTAAACAGGACTGGGATCATAGAATGTCCAACACTAACATGAGTTCATAATGGCACAACGAACTTAAAATGTTACTATTCATGTTTTAATTATGATTGCAGTCTTACGTTGAAGGTATCTCCGCCGTCCTTAAACATAAAAAAAAAAAAAGGAAATACAAGCTGCAAAAGTTTTATGTAATGCACTCCACCCTCTTTTTTCCCCAAGCCAACACACACCCTTCAAACTTTTTGACAGTTATTTTCAGACCCCTCCTAGGCTCCCGAACTCCATGCAACTCCAGCAGTCTCCCCTGGGCCATTTTTAGCCTCTGCTCTGACCTGGCGGGAGGCTGGGTGTCCACCCTTTCCCCTGCAGTCCTGAAAGTCCGGTCCGAGCGCGGACGGGGCGGGGAGGGGCTGGGCGGGCCAGGCCAGCTCCATTGGCGCCAGGCGGGTGGGGGAATGCGCTGAGAGGACCCGTCCAGCTTGCTTAAAAGCCATCAGTTTTCTGACCCCGCATCGGTTCCAGGAAGAATACACCTATGTGACAAGCTAAGTTCTGCCTCATTTTGCATTTAGAAGCCACAAGAAAAACTTTTCGAAAACTTTTGTCCGTCTTTTGCTCCCCCGACGCGTGGTTTCCTGATGGTCCGTCCCCGGGCAGAGAGAGGGACGCCCCCTCCTCCTCCCCGCCTCTTGTGAGGCGCGCGGAGCCGCCTCCCCTGGGTCAGGTCTGATGGGCCGGTGGGCGCGCTAGTGGTGGCCGCCACCGCCGAAACCGTCGACCTCCTGGGCCCCAGTTCCGCGTCCAGCCCCGCGGCAGCATGGACTACCTGACGACGTTCACCGAGAAGAGTGGGCGCCTTCTGCGGGGCACGGCCAACCGCCTGTTGGGGTTCGGGGGCGGCGGCGAAGCCCGGCAGGTGCGCTTCGAAGATTACCTGAGGGAGCCAGCCCAGGGGGACCTCGGGTGCGGGTCCCCGCCCCACCGGCCCCCGGCGCCGTCCAGCCCGGAGGGACCTGGTGAGCCCACCTTTCTTTCGCCTCCCGCGCGGCCGACCTGGGCTGAGGGCTGTGGGGAGGCGGCGGTCGTGGCGCCGGGCGGGGGTCGCTGCCCGGCTCTGGCAGGTGTGCCTGGGCCGGGGCGGGCAACGTGGCCGGGGTGGCGGCCGCCGGGGGCGAGGAAGGAAGGACTCGTTCGGCTCTGGGGAGGGAAGACTTTCAGCTGCGTGCCAGCTCTTCCTGCTCTGCTCTTCCTGCTTTCCTCACCTAGACTTGATTTTCTTTCCCCGCCAAGTATTTCAAGGGGACGATCCATTCTCTCTTTCCCTCCCACTGGGAGGTGAAGACTGAACCAGTTATGACGTCCGTGTTTTCAGTCTTGGATTCTTGAAGAGCGCTGTGCCTGCTTTGGTTTTGGTTTGGGTCAGTCTTTCCTTAATATTTCTCAGTTGTTAGGATTCACTTCCTAACCGAAAAATAAAAAGCCAGATACTTCTTTGTAAAATAAAACACTTCATTAACATTGGAAGCTAGTTGACATTTTGCGTCGTGTACTTTTTGAACGGCTGCACGTTGTCTTGTGGTGGCAGAACCTAGAAACTTTCTCAGTTCCTGTTTATTTTGTGTTGTGTTGGCCGATTTTTTTCACCACAGTGGCTTTGTACCATTCTTTAAAACAGTCATTTGTAGCGACATGATATTGATAACTTAAAGAATTTTTGAAAGTGCTGCTGAACAGTTTTAGCATAATGCATAGGGTAACTTCCAGTGTCCTTGGCTTCGTTTAACAGGTAGCAGACATCCTAGCCATGTCTGATTTTTATTTTTGTTAATTGCTTTAATATTTGAGGGTTATGAAAATAAATGAGCATTAGAGAGTTTAGAAAATAGAGATAGGCACAAAGTGTGTAAAATCTGTTTATAACTCCACATCGTGCCAGTCATTTTATTTTAAATTTTATCTTACTTTATTTTTGTAGAGATGGAGTCTCGCTGTGTTGCCCAGGCTGGTCTTAACTCTTGGCCTCAAGTGATCCTCCTGCCTAGGCCTTCCCAAGTGCTGGGATTACAGGCCTGAACCACCATGCTGGGCCCTGCCAGTTGTTTTAAAGCAGTAAAACAGTGAGGACATTTTTGATCTATGTGTGTAGGTATGTAATTTAAGCTTTGAAGAAATATTAAAGTCTCATTTTAGCATAGCCCTTTAAAATAAATTTTCCTTACTTTACATAAAATATTTTTTATCTTTAGAAATGCTGTTTATGGAATTAGGAAATGAAAAGGGGAGGGGAATACTTTTGTTTCTGCTCTGAAGGACGTTAACCAAATGCAGAATCCTCTTAAAGGTGGGACCAGGCATAGGAAAGGGACTTTAAAGTGTTCAAATCAAGGACTTTTTAAAATGAGTTTTCAGTAGCCTAATTGAAAACAGTTGATGTGTGACCAGCCTTGAAATGGGTGGAGAATTCAGAAATATGTGGGGTAACTTAACTAAAAAGGAATATGGTTAGTATTTTAATAAATATGGCCAAACACGTGTATCTGATTCATTCGGTGGCCCGTGTCTGTAGTTCCAGCTACTCTGCTCAGGAGGCTGGGGCGGGAAGATCCTTTGAGCCCAGGAGGAGAATCCAGACTGGGCAGCAGAGAGACACTTATGTGTTTATATATGTGGAGCACACAGCTATATCTGACACCCTCCTTCAAAGTGGCGCTTCTGAAGTGATATGTATTCCTCTTCTGTTGAAGCTGCCTTATGTATTCATTGCATATTCTTTAATAGTCATGGTGCCCCCAAATCTCTGACACATTAGAGAGGCGTTGTGAGGTCAAAGTATGACCACAGTCATGTGGGCAGGTACGTCCTAGCATTAACTTCCTGAAAGAATTTGGACAAGTTACTTAGTGTCTTTGGGCCTATATTTTCTTCTTTGTAAATGAGGTTGGATTTGGTGATTTCAAAATTCTCTATTCTAGAGCATTTTCATTTGGAGCAGAATTAGTGAAAACTAGCTGACTTTTGAGAGGCAACGTGTATATACACAAGTGAAAAATAAATGATTCTTCATATGTTTCCAGCTAGCCTTTGTTTAAAATGAGAATTCTGTGCTTTGCAGCTGCTTCTCAGATGGATTTTGGCTCTAGGGTTGTTCTTTGTGTTTGTGTCCTTTAGAATGAGTGTCTGTCAGTCTGTTTGAAGGATTTCTTCTGCTCTTTCTACTCTTATTTCAGTTTCTTAATAGCTGCTTAAGTTTCCTGCTATCATTCTTTCTTCAGTTCTTTAAGAAGCCCTGTGTATTATAGGAGTATTTCTTGTTACAGATACTTTCACACATGTAAATTGACTGCATTCCAGGAAACCCTTTGTTGTTAGTGATCTTATTCCTCCTTTCATCCACTAAGATGAAAAAGTAGAACCTTGTTTCTGTTCCTTCTCACAACCCAACATCGGAGGAGTTACGCATCAAGAAGGGGTGGAGGGAGTCATGTTCAGCAATGATGTTGATAAGATAGTTTCACCATTGACAGATTAAGGATAGACCAGATAAAATTTTGGTCAAATGTCAGCCAGTTGCGGTGGCTCACGTCGGTAATCCCAGCACTTTGGGAGGCCGAGACGGGCGGATCACCTGAGGTCAGGAGTTCGAGACCAGCCTAGCCAACACGGTGAAACCCTGTCTCTACTAAAAATACAAAAATTAGCTGGGCGTGGTGGTGCGTGCCTGTAATCCCAGCTACCCGGGAGGCTGAGGCAGGAGAATCGCTTAAACCCAGGAGGCAAGGTTGCAGTGAGATCGCCCTACTGCACTCCAGCCTGGGCCACAGAACGAGACTCCATCTCAAAAATAAAACAAAAACAAAAATTAGCCAGGCATGGTGGCACACTCCTGGAATCCCAGCTACTCAGGAGACTGAGGCAGGAGAATTGCTTGAACCTGGGAGGTGGAAGTTGCCATGAGCCAAGATCACACCACTGCACTCCAGCCTGGGTGACAGAGTAAGATTCCATCTCAAACAAACAAACCAAAACCAAAAAAAACTTTGGTCAATGTTTCTGAGTTTACCCTTTCTATAAAGAAACCACTTACTGAACTGTTAATGTCTCTCCTTCCTTTACTCCTCTCCAAGGTGGCTGCTTTTGCTCTTACCAGCTTTTAGTGCTTGCTGGCTCCATCATTATAGCCCTCTCAGGAAAACCATAATTGAGACTTAGACATATTAAGGACATTATCACACCATTGATCTAGTTAATAACAATTACAAAGGAAACATCTTAAAATACAATGCTTGTTCCTGATTAACGGGTACATTATGCTTTGATTTTAAAAAATTGTTTTGAACTTTAAATATAGCTCTTGTTTGGGGGCATAACTATAACTCATAATGTATAATCTTTAAAAGTACTCACTTCACTAGATTATATTGTAATAAATATAGATAAATTTTACTAGTGTAGACTCTCAACTTACTGTCGTATAAACATGAAATCGTTTTTATCATAAGCGTCCTATTATATCAACCTCATTTTCCCACTTGGTGACAGGATTCTTTGAGCACAACTCAGCCCTTTTACATTTTCTTTTCATTTATTTTTAGCAATTAAAACTATCTTTCAGTTATTTAAGACTTGGTCCATTTATTTAAAAATTTCAGTCTCATATTCAATTTATATCTCCATTTACCTTTCTACCTCAGTTCCCATTCCAAGTTAGGTTGGTAGCGGAGAAGAGGTGTGGTCTAGCTCTCACAAACTCCCCTCCACCCCTTCTTGATGCATTAACTCCTCTGATGTTGGGATGTGGGAAGGAATAGAAGCAGGGGTCCACTTTTTCATTTTAGTCCTTTTTGGCCCCTTAGTGGGAGGATGACAATGGTGGATAGCAGTAGTAGCAGCAGTGATGGAACAGTTCTGCTAAAATGGCTACTCCTATGCAGAAGTGCTGACTTCAGTAGCCAACAGTTCTTTCAACTTTGAATCTGGGACATTAACATCTGGTAATACCAACCATAGACCTTAGTTGCAAATTGTTGTACTAGGCACCTAAAACTGCTCTGCCTCATAGCATATATGTTACTGGTATGTGTGTGTATATCAATAGAGTTGATGAAAAATGAAGTTAAGTGGGAATGTATTACATTTTTATGACTTGAATTATTTGACATGTCAAGGAAAAACTATTTAATAATAATATTTTTTTAAATGATTATCCCTGTTGCTGAAGTTTCATTTTAGGTTTACATTAAGCAAATCCTATGTACTGAATGTATGTAACTGAAGGAGAAGCGTTTAGAAGCCTGAGATTGATATTCTTGTTACTGGTTCACTTTTGATAATCATGGAAAATGTAAACCAAGACATGGAATAATAATTATAATAGACAAAACATATAGTGCTTGCTGTGTCTTACGCACAAGTTAACCCTCAGCAACAACCCTATGAGGTAATTAATAGTAGCATTTTCATTTTACTGGTGAGGGTACTGAGGTTCATTAATGATCCTGTCTAGTTGGGAAAATAGACATTGGACAAAGAATTTATAACTGTGTTGGTTATTGGGCATGGAATGTAAAATATATTATGGGAGTATATAAGAAGGGTTTCTAACCTAATATTGGGGGGTGTAAAATATCATGTTTTGCTTGGATTGGGGGTAATGTCTATTTCAGTAAATGGGATGATGATGATGATGATGATGATGATGATGATGATGATACTTGTAGTAATAACAGAAGTAGTAATACAGGTTGAGCATCCCAAATCAGAAAGTCCAAAATCTGAAACTTTTTGAGGGCCTACATGATGCTCAAAGGAAATGCTCTTTGGAGCATTTTGGATGTTTGGATTTGGGATGCTCAATCAGTAATGCACATATTCCAAATCCATCCTATCCTTTAGGAAGATTCAAAAAAATCCAAAACACTCCTGTTCCCAAGCATTTCAGATAAGTGGTACTCAGCCTATAGCAAGAATGATAGCTGTAATGGGGCAGGCTCTGAGCAAAAGTTTTTTATTTAATCCTAATAAAAACCTGATGACATAGTACTATTATTATCCTATTTTCCTTTTGAAAAATCTGAGCCAAAGAAAGAAGTGAGAAATTCAGAATTTATTTGGGTGTTTTCTTAGTATTTGCAAGAGTTACAGTCCTTGAGATAGGGGAAAAATGTGAGAAGAATTAAAATTCTATCATGTAAGGTATTAAAGTTAAATTAGTTAAGATTGTAAAGGATAGAATGGATTGTCATTGAAGGTTCTTTAGAGTTAGAAAGATAGTAAAATGACAGAGCTGGAAATGCAAAATCCAATGAGGGTGTGAGAAAAATTAGGTATATATTAGGTTGGAAATTGCCACCTCAGATGATGTGTTAAGAGTTAGATGATGGTTTATCTTGAACCCAGGAGGACCAAGTGCCTCTAAGGCAGGGGTCCCCAGCCCTGGTCCATGGCCTGTTAGGAACCAGGATGCACAGCGGGAGGTAAGCAGCAAGCGAGCCAGCATTACTGCCTGAGCTCTGCCTCCTGTTAGATCAGTGGGGACATTAGATTCTCATAGGAGTGTGAACTTTATTGTGAACTGCACATGCAAGGTCTAATCCCTGATGATCTGAGGTGGAACAGTTTCATTGAGAAGCCATCTCTCTCCCCATCCCCCACCCCTTGCCCACATGTCCATAATCCATAGTCTTCCATGAAGCCTGTCTCTGGTGCCGTAAAGGTTGGGGACCACTGCTTTAAGAGACCTGGAGTGTACCAGTTGTTACAGTAACTTTTTAAAACAACCACCACCACCACAAAACAAAAAACTCACAGTGTTGGTAGAAGATAACCCTAGCTGGCCCCAGTTTTAGTCTCTTTTCCTAAAGCCGGATGGGAGGAAGAGAATACTCTCTACTTGATCGGCAACCTCAGTGGGCTCTAGTGGTAACTCCCAACTAGTTAGCCTTTCTTAATAGTGTATCATTTAGTTCAGTGGTTCTCAGGCATGAGGTTGATTTGCCTGTTTTAGAATTGCTGCTTGTCTCACAGGATAGCTGATAGGAAGTTCTGTATTATCTATGTTGTAGAACAAAACTGCCTCTAAAATAAGCTGATGATTCTCAAACTTCAGCATGCAACAGAATCATCTCCTGAAGGGCTTGTTAGAAAAATATTGTTGAATACCTCTCCTAGAATTTGTGATTCTGTGTGGCTGAGAATTTGCATTTCTAACAAGTTCTTAAGTAATGCTGATGCTGCTGGTCTGGCAACCACACTTTTCTTAGTGGGTAAGTCTTTTATCCATGGGAAGGTTAGAAGTAAATATAGAAATGATGAAATTTATTAAATGCTTATATTAATAGTTTTGTTTTAAGTCTAGGAATAATCAGTGTATTTGGTCTTTAAGGTATTTGTTCTGTTTCATAGAATTAGGCCTATAAAAGTGGCCAACAAATTAGTCTTAAGAGTATAATTTAAAATGCATACTTGCGTAATTGTTTTTTGACTTGGGATTTTAAGTTGAAAGGTGCAACAATTTGGCTAAACTTAGAAACCACTGGAATGTTTAAGAACTTAACATTTATTATATTTAAAACTTAGTATAGGGTTTTTAATATTTTTCTCAGGAGGTTTACTTGTTAGAAGCAATGTGTTTAAAATAGAATATAGTAAATTTATAAATGCAGTTTAGTATAGTAAGTCCTCCTTTGACATCATCAATAGGTTTGTGGAAGTTGCACCTTTTAAGCAAAATGATGTGTAAAGAAACCAATTTTACCATAAGCTAATTGATGTAAACAAGAGTTAGGTTCCTACCATATATTTCTGGTCACAAAAACATTAGCAAACTTGTAAGTAAAGACCTAAAATACTTCCATTATTAAACATTGAAATAAATGTGAACTATGCAAACATTAAAGAAAGATTAATAAAGACAAGAGAATTATTTACTCAGTTATTCCAGTCAGAGTCACTGTTGGCTGGATCCTGTCCTGCTCATGGCACAAGGTGGGAACCAGCCCTAGACGGGACACCATTCCACCTCAGGGCACAGTCACACACACACACACGCACACAAACACACACATTCATACTAGGACAGTTTAAACACACTAATTAAGCTAATGTGCACATCTTTGGATGTGGGAGGGAACTGGAGTACCTGGAGAAAACCTATACAGATGTGGGTAGAATGTGTAAACTCCACACAGACAGTGGCCTTGTCTGGGAATTGATTTTTTGTTCTTATCAAAGTTATAACAAAACAATGATAACAAAACGATGTTATTCAAGGACCTGTAATATATGTAAGAGAACTTAGTTACCCATGTTTATAACAGGATTATTTAGGGATATTTAATTTTCCAGTTTGAGTTGGTCAGCTATTTAAAGCACCTTAGAAAGTGTTAAAATTTGCTAGATTATAAATAGAATGCACTTTTTATGGTAGAAGACAAGGGAAAGTAGGTTTTTATATTTTTAACTTCAAGAAATCTAACATTAAAAGTAAAGTGACTGCAGATAGTGTTTTTCTGTGTGTGAAGGCTTATTTCATGGCCACTAGGAAACTTACATTAGGAGACTCTTTATAAATGTTGTTCAATAGGTGATACTAGTACAAAAAGGAATGTGTTTTAGGGTCAAATACATACATTAGAGAAAGGACAAAAATTGGCTTTTATTTTCTAGCAGTAAATGGAAAGAAGGAAATGTAATCAGCCATAAATCACAGTGTCCCTAGGATAAAGATAAACCTGTTGCTTAGGCAGCCAGGAGAAACACAGTTATTCCTTATAGTGAGAATATAACAAAAAAAAAACTCATGGAACTCTGTAATAAAGCAAAACAAACCAAAAAGCTTATTTTTATGGTAAGTACAGACTTCAGTTTCAAAAATCTATTTTTAATTTTTTTAAACCCATTAAATCTTTAATGTAGTTCAATGGTGTAGCTCTAAACTGCAAGTTAGTAAAAGCACTTCTGTACAAGGGGAAAACAATTAATCCAAATATGCAGTTATCTAACAGTCCATCTTAACTGAGAGGTAGGTTTTACATTTTAAACTATAGATTTTAGATAGTTACGACTCTCTGTTTTGGATTTTTTTGAGAGTACTACTCAATAGAATTTTTTGAGGTGATGAAAATGGTCTGTATCTGTGATGGCCAGTATGGTAGCCACTAGGCAAATATGGCTATTGAGTATCTGAATTGCAGCTAATGCAAATGAGGAACTGGATTGAGAAAATTGGATTCAGGATTCTGTATTTGCTCTATCTAATATGGTAGCAACTAGTGTTAAAGGAAAAATTATTTGATAATACTTCCTAAAGCACAATAAGACAGACTTTATTCAGGACCATTGCAATAGGGATAGGGACTGTGGCAATGAGATTTTGTAGTTGAGGAGAGAGATTGGGCTCAACTCCAAATACAAAATGGGCAAGTGGGAATTTCTAGCCAAGGAGTAGAGTAAGGATAGATGGATGGACAATTGCTAAGAGGTAACGTCAGGAATAAGGGGTATTATGGTGAAACTGACCTACCAGGATTCTTGCTGAAGGCAGGCCAGAGTAATCAGACTTCACCTGGACAGTGGAGGATGAGAAAACTGATCAGATACGGAAGGTAATCAGATATCCAGGATCGGGGTGGGGGTTCCTGCTACACTGACCTTAACATGATTCTTGCTGAAACTCGGTTTTATAAGGAAGTGAACAGATTGGCATAGGAGAAGGTTCAGCAGCCTGACTAAAATTTGGCTATGCAAATAATCTTTGTGACTAGGCACATGTAGCTATTTTAATGTAAATTAATTTAATTAAGTAAAACTTTAAATTCAGTTTTCAGTCTCACTAGAGACATTTCAAGTACTCACAAGACAGATGGCTAGTGGCTACCATATTATACAAGGCAGATATAAAACATTTTTACCATTGCAGAAAGTTTTATTGGGCAGCATTGATAGCAATGAGTCCCAATGCAGGGTACACATTAGAATTCCCTGGGTAGCCATGAAAAAATTTTGATGCCAAGATCTGATTATAATCAAAGATTTGATCTTGAAATCTCTGTTTAAGATCTCCACTTACAGTTTCTTACGGAATTCTAATATGTAACTAGGGTTAAAAACCACTGACTTAGGATGTGAAGGACTCTACATCATTCTGTTTTCCTTAATGATATTTCTCTCAATCAAACTCTTGCTGAATTTAGCAGGTTATTATTTATTTATTTTTCTTTACAAGTACTTGGGGCATGCACCTATTTTATGATGCAAGTTAATAAAAGAAATGCATGTTTAAGTTTTCTGCCAACCTCTGGATAGTATTGAGACCTTAGGAAAGTTGAGGTGACTTACAATGAAAAGTTCCTAAAAGGAAGACATGTTTGTATGCTGAGAGAAAGATGCTGAAGATAAAATGACTGTGTGGCAAGGTCCTTGTGGAATAAATAAACTACTGGAATTATGATCATTCTTTTTTCACATGCCACAATTAAGAGCCATTAATATTGTGGAATATTTGCTTCCAGTCTTTTATACGAAATTAATTTTTAAAATAAACCTGATATATACTATATATAAATAAGTCATATGTTGCAAATACTGAACTTTAAAAATCACCTCTAATCCAGTCACCCAGAGATACTGTTAATATTTGGGTAGGCATTACTGCCAAGTAATGTACATCACTTCTATGTGTATGTACATATAGAAGGATGGATGGGTGGTTAGAAGGAGGGAGTGACAGAATGAAAGATAATACTTATTCACCACAAGAGGTTAATTCCTAAGGGGTGTGTCTAAATTTAAGCAAATTCTAAAAAAAAAAAAAAGAAAAAAAATTACAGATACTGTTATTACAATCTTGTTTCAGTTTTAGGTGGGATATATTTAACCATGCTTTGGTATGACATTAGCAGTTTCATTTCTCATTTTTCTCCTCCTCACATCCTAATATTTACTCATTTTACTATTTTTACATTGTCCATGTTTGTAACATTCATACTTAGTTTTTCAACCACTTTTTTATAACTTATTATTGTTCTATATTCTCTAGTAACCTTTTAGAATGTCCTCCTTGATTCTGGAGTTTTTGATACAATTGGCATAATTTCAGTCTTATAGCACTGAGTAATGTTTCAGTAGAGAAGTCTCATGCAAGCCAGCCAGATTCTTTTCCATTTCCCCTAGTAGATGATTTGCTTTTTATGCATGAATTGTTGAATAATTTTTTAAGCTCCCAAGCATAATAATTTAACTAAGAGTAGAAATGGGAATAGCCTGACTCATGTGCCCACATGTGTCTATGTGGAATAATCTTTTAGGAATTACACCTTTCTTCTGGAATACATGTTGATGGAGCAGCCACTATATGGAAGATCTCTGGTTTTGAGATAGAAAAGAGAGCTAAGAAGTACAATTTTGGCTCCAAACACTTCCACCTGGAAGACATATATGGTTCATTGGGCAAAGCAAGTTGGCCATGTCTGACATCAATAGGATGGTGAGGTATATTTTATATTCCTCAACAGGAAGGAATACAGGCTTAGTAACAATAATATAGTCTATCACCATGACTAATTTAGAAACCATTATATTAGTTTGACAGATTTGAAAACTGCTGGTGTTAACTGTCACAAATATGAAGTTATGTAGGGAAGCCCATTTCTTCTGTCACTTACGCAGTCTGCAGGTCTTTGATCTCTTCAGAAGCTCTATTTGTATGTCTCTCAAATGTGTTGTGCGTGCAAATCAATAGTAAATCTGTAGGTCCGGACTGAGCCTCAGATCTTACATTCACAGTAAGCTTCTGGGTGATGTCAATGCAGCTGGTCCCTGGAACACACTTTTAAATAGCAAGGCTCTATAGCTCTTTAATATCATGGATCTTTTCACTTAGAAGAGAGCCAACTTTAAGGTCTAGATGGAGGAAAAGGGGCAGTAAAAAGGAACATTAATGGGTATGAGACCAAGAGGAGTGTGAAATACTTTCAAATAAAGGGAAAGAGGAACATGCAGAAGAAGTCTCTTGGATGTTTCACAGAGATCAGATAAAAAAAAAGTGGAAAAGCCCATCAAATTTGCCATTTAATTTATTCATTTTAGGGTGGGGATTGTGAACTGGGGAAGAGAAGATATTACAATACATTGTGGATTCTGTAGGAGATAATGGAGTAAAGACAGTAAAAGTAGATTTCTACTTTCAAAAATTCAACTGAAAAGAAGCAGAAAGATGGAGTAGTATCTAGAAAAAGATAGATACTAGATTTGAGGGAAAATTGAGGGGTTTTGTTTTGTTTTTGTTTTGATCGTGGATAAGGAGTCAATAGTGAAATGTTGAAAATACAGGTTTTTTTCCCTAGTATCTCATTATTGAGAGAATTATTAGAAAAGCTACAATCAGCAATCTGTTTTTTTTTTAGTTTAGAAGATACTTTTAAAGTGTTTGAAGTTTTAGTATCTATATTACTGTTTTTGAAAATACTGACTTGCAGCTCAATGTTTTAAATAGTCAAACTTTTTATACATAGCTATTATCAATATTGTAATATTCAGTTATTATAGGAGTCTTTTATTACATTAAACCTGATCTCATAGTACGTTCATTGATGATTTCCAGACTTTCTACAGCATACCTTTCCATTTCTTTACCAAAATGATTTTTTTAAAGGTTTTATACTGCTCTGTTAATTCTCTGCTTGAAAGTCCTTCAGGAGTTCTGAGTCTAGTAATAGCAAGCTAGGTAATTCAGACTATCCTGCTGAGAACAATTTAAAAAGCTGGACACAAAGCAAACATTTTATTAAGGGTATCAGAAAGCTAAGTGGTATGGGTAGGATAGGATCTGAATGAGGACAAAGGTCTAAGGAGGGAGAACTCCAATTTGATTGCTTTTTACCCCAGGGGTAGTGTTGATTCCTGAAACAGGAACTGAGAGACCAAAAGGTGCATTTGACAGGCTGTGGGTATAATGGAACCGGGCCAGAGTGCAAGGCCTGTCACAGGGGATGGGTGGCCCTAGTGATCTCTTCTCACTTTGGACCCCAAAATGTTGTACATTAGGGAGAAAGATAAACTGAAGTAGCTAGGCCTCCCTAGGAAGATACTTCAACTTCAAATTATCAAAATTTCTGTAACTTAATTAATAAGATCTGGTATTACTAGTGTCCTCAGGCACTTGACAGAAGCAAACATTAATTCTTTCTGGAGAATTACCAGTTTCTACATGTAAAAATGTTTTGTCAGACGATTTTGCAAATTTTATGTTCTGCACACAAAATAGGCACATGACAAGATATGTGACACAATAGAGAATAGAAACAGGCCCACGGTAACTCTAGATATTCTAGTTATCAGATTTAAAATAGCTATGTTGAGAATTTTGACCTGATTAAGAATTTTGTAGAAAGTTACAAACTATGAGAAAGAAAAATGGATATTCTAGAAGTGAAAAATACAACCCCTCTAATTAGGACCTTTGTAGATGGATTTAGCAGCAAATTAGACACCGCAGAGGAAAGAATTCCCTAACTGAAAGGTAAGTCAAAAGGGAATGTTCAGAGTAAACAGGAAAGAGGAAAATATAGGAGAAGGTAAGTTCAATACAAGATACAGTGAGAAGTTCTAATATGTATGTACATATACATATGAATCCTGAAAGTAGATGAGAGATAGAATGGGCAAAAGCATTATTTAAAGAGAGAATGGCTGGCCAACATGGGGAAACCCTGTCTCTACTAAAAATATAAAAATCAGGCGTGGTGGTGCGTGCCTGTAGTCCCAGCTATTTGGGAGGCTGAGGCACAAGAATTGCTTGAACCTGGCAGGCAGAGGTTATAGTGAGCCAAAATTGCACCTCTGCACTCCAGCCTGGGTGACAGAGTGAGACTCTGTCTCAAAAAAAAAAAAAAAAAAAGAATGGCTGAAAACGTCCAAACTAAAGAAAAACTTTAATTCAGATTCAAGCATCCCTATCAACCTCTAGTGGAAACCACACCAAAGGCAAAAAAAAAAAAAAGGAAAAAATAGTGTTTCTACCTTCAATCATACAGCATTAAGATGGACATTGATTTCTCAACAGACACAGTAAAAACTAAAAAACTGGGAACCTATAGATTTAAAATGTTAAAAGAAAGTACCTGCCACCTAGAATTCTGTGACCTGTGAAATTTCCCAGAGATACAATAATAATCATAAATATGAGAGCAAAACTAAATCAACCTTGACTATCTTAAAAATAATGTTTTTTAAATACGCATGTATTCAGCGTGTAAAACTGTTTCATATATCTTGGCAGTGGCAGACAGTTTTTAACATCCTTGCATTGTCTGGGAAGAGGATAAAAGTACCAGTTAATATTAGGCTGTGAGCATATGTTTATTGCAGCACTATTCACAATAGCAAAGACTTGGAACCAACCCGAATGTCCATCAGTGATAGACTGGATTAAGAAAATGTGGCACATATACACCGTGGAATATTATGCAGCCATAAAAAATGATGAGTTCATGTCCTTTGCAGGGACATGGATGAAGCTGGAAACCATCATTCTCAGCAAACTATCACAAGGACAGAAAACCAAACACTGCATGTTCTCACTCATAGGTGGGAATTGAAGAACGAGAACACTTGGACACAGGAAGGGGAACATCACACACCAGGGCCTGTCGTGGGGTGGGGGGAGGGGGGAGGGATAGCATTAGGAGATATACCTAATTGTAAATGACGAGTTAATGAGTGCAGCACACCAACATGGCACATGGATACATATGTAACAAACCTGCATGTTGTGCACATGTACCCTAGAACTTAAAGTATAATAATAATAATAATAATAATAATAATAATAATAATAATAAAAGGCTGTGAGGAGTCAGTAATTCAGACTTTTTATCTCTGGGATGACCACTAAAAGAATTGTTTAAAAAAATGTGTAACTTTCAGATATGTGGGGAAAAACCGGAGTTAATAAATACTGAATCCAAGGAAGGCAACAAAGGAGAGAAGTCTAAAAGAACAGGTAGACAGATAGAAAATAGAACAAATAGTGCTGGGCACAGTGGCTCATGCCTGTAATTCCAACACTTTGGGAGGCCAAAGTGAGTGGATCGCTTGAGGTCAGGAGTTTGAGACCAGCCTGACCAATATAGTGAAACTCTGTCTCTACTAAAAATGAAAAAAAAAAAAAAATTAGCTGGGGTTGGTGGCGTGTGCCTGTAGTCCCAGCTACTCAGGAGGCGAAGGCAGGAGAATTGCTTCAACCTGGGAGGTTGGGGTTGCAGTGAGCCAAGATCGTGCCACTGTACTCCAGCCTGGGCAACAAAGTGAGACTCCATCAAAGAAAGAAAGAAAGAGAGAGAAAGAAAGAAAGAGAGAGAGAGAGAGAAAAGAAAAAGAAAAGAAAGAGAGAAAGGAAGGAAGGGAAAGAAAGAAGAAATAAACAAAAAGGACCTGCTTAGATACACACCAGAAACATAACGTCATATGGTTAGGCTTTGTGTCCCCACTCAAATCTCATCTTGGATTATAATCCCGATAATCCCCACATATCAAGGGAGAAACCAGGTGGAGGGAATTGGATCATGGGGGCAGTTTCCCCCATGCTGTTCTTCTTGTGATAGTGAGGTCTCATGAGTTCTGATGGTTTTATAAGTGTTTGATAATTCCTCCTGCCTTTATTCTCCCTCCTGCCACCTTGTAAAGAAGGTGCCTTGCTTCCCCCTTTGCTTTCTGCTATGATTGTAAATTTCCTGAGGCCTCTCCACCCATGCAGAACTGTGAGTTAGTTAAACCTCTTTCCTTTCTAAATTACCCAGTCTTGGGCAATTCTTTATAGCAGTGTGAGAACAGACTAATACAGTAAATTGGAACTACAAAGTGGGGTACTGCTATAAAGATACCCAAAAATGTGGAAGCGACTTTGGAACTGGGTAACAGGCAGAGGTTGGAACAGTTTGGAGGGCTCAGAAGAAGACAGGAAGATGTGGGAAAGTTTGGAACTTCCTAGAAACTTGTCGAATGGCTTTGACCAAAATGCTGATAGTGATAATGGTAAATGAAGTCCAGGCTGAGGTGGTCTCAGATGGAGATGAGGAATTTGTTGGGAACTGGAATAAAGTTGGCTCTTGCTATGCTTTACAAAGAGACTGGTAGCATTTTGCCCCTGCCCTAGAGATATATAGAACGTGAGAGAGATGAAATAGGGTATCTAGCAGAAGAAATTTCTAAGCAGCAAAGTGTTCAAGAGGTGACCTGGGTGACCGTAAAATCAGTCAGTTTTATGGATTCACAAAGAGATGGTTTGGATTTGAAGCTTATGTTTAAATGGGAAGCAGAGCTAAAAAGTTTGGACAACTTGCAGCCTGACAATGCAATAGAAAAGAAAAACCTGTTTCTGAGGAGAAATTCAAGCCAGCTGCAGATACTTACTTAAGTAACGAGGAGACAAATGTTAATCACCAAGACAATGGGTAAAATGTTTCCAGGGCATGTCAGAGACCTTCGTGGTTGCCCTTCCCATCACAGGCCTGGAGACTTAGGAAGAAAAAAATGGTTTCATGGGCCAGACCCAGGGCCTTGCTGTTCTGTGCAGTTTCAGGACACAGTGCCCTGAATCCCAGCTGTGGCTAAAAAGGGCCAACATACAGCCCAGGCCATTTATTTAGAGGATACAAGTCCTAAGCCTTGGCGGTTTACGTGCGGTGGTGTGCCTGTGGGTGCCCAGAACTCATGAATTGAGGTTTGGGAACCTCTGTCTAGATTTCAGAGGATGTATGCAAACACCTGGATGTCCAGACAGAAGTTTGCTGTAGGGGTGGAGCCCTCTTGGAGAACCTTTGCTAGGGCAGTGCAGAAGTGAAATGTGGGGTCAGAGCCCCCACCTAGAGTCTCTACTGGGGCCCTGCCCAGTGGAGCTGTGAGAAGAGGCCTACCTTCCTCCAGACCTCAGAATGGTAAATCCACTGACAGCTTGCACTGTGCACCTGGAAAAGTTGTAGGCACTCAATGCCAGCTAGCGAAAGCAGCTGGGAGAGGGGCTGTACCCTGCCAAGCCACAGGGGTGGAACTGCTCAAGGCCATGGGAGCTCACCTCTTGCATCAGTGTGACCTGGATGTGAGACATGGAGTCAAAGGAGATTATTTTGAAACTTTAAGATTTAATGACTGCCCTGCCAGATTTTGGACTTGCGTGGGACCTGTAGTCCCTTTGGTTTGCCTAATTTCTACCATTTGGAACAGAGACATTTACCCAATGTCTGTACCCACATTGTGTCTTGGAAGTAACTAACTTGCTTTTGATTTTACAGGCTTATAGGCAGAAGGAACTTGCCTTGTCTCGGGTAAGACTTTGGACTTGGATTTTAGGGTTAATGCTGGAGTGAATTAAGACTTTGGGAGACTGTTGGGAAGGCATGATTGGCTTTGAAATGTGAAAGGGACATGAAATTTGGGAGGGGCCAGGGGCAGAATGATATGGTTTGGCTTTGTGTCCCCACCCAAATCTCATCTTGAAATATTATCCCCATACTCTCCCTGAGTTAAGGGAGAAACCAGGTGGAGGTAATTGGATCATGGGGGTGGTTTCCCTAATGCTGTTCTTGTGATAGTGAGTTCTCATGAGATGTGATGGTTTTATAAGTGTTTGGTAGTTCCTCCTGAGTTCATTCTTCCTCATGCTGCCTTGTGAAAAAGGTGCCTGGTTCCCCTTTGCCTTCCGCTATGACTTAAGCTGAGGCCTCCCCAGCCATGTGGAACTGTCAGTCAATTAAACCTCTTTCCTTTCTAAATTATCCAGTCTTGAGCAGTTCTTTATAGCAGTGTGAGAACAGACTAATACATAAGGATACAGAAATGTTGAGAGTAGAAAGAAAAAGCAGAAACTAATGAAAAGAGAATTGGTACATTAATATTAGACAAAGAATACTTTATGGAAACAGTATTCTGAGAAAAAGTTTAATTTTCCAGGAAGATATAATTTTCGATTTGTATGAGCCTAATAACATGGTCCCAATGTATAAAAAGCAAAGTAGGGAGACCTACTGGGAACCAAATAACCCATAATTTAGAGTGAGAGATATTAACAACCTCCATTGGTAACAGAATAATCAGACAAAAACAAATCAATACAAATATACAGAATTTGACTAACACAGTCCACAAACTTGACCTCATGGATATGTAAATACATGTGTGTGCATGTATGCATACACATATATAAAACACTAAACCCTGCAGTGCAGAGTATACATTATTTTCAAGCATATATGGGGCATTTACAAAATTTATACATCTTATAAGTTTCCCTCTTAACACTATCTTAGCTGTGTCCCAGAGATTCTGGTATGTTATATCTTTGTTCTTATTAGTTGCAAAGAACTTCTTGATTTCTGCCTTAATTTCATTATTTACCCAAAAGTCATTCAGGAGCAGATTATTCAGTTTCCATGTAATTGTATAGTTTTGAGTGAATTTCTTAGTCTAATTTTTCTAATTTGATTTTGCTGTGGTCCAAGAGACTGTTTGCTATGATTTTAGTCCTTTTGCATTTGTTGAGGAGTGTTTTACTTCTGAATACGTGATCAGTTTTAGAGTATGTGCCATGTGACAATGTATATTCTGTTGTTTTTGGGTGGAGAGTTCTGTAGAGATTAGGTCCATTTGCTCCAGTGCTGAGTTCTGGTCTTAAATATCTTTGTTAATTTTCTGTCTCAGTGATCTGTCTAATATTGTCAGTGGGGTGTTAAAGTCTCTGAGTATTATCGTTTGGGAGTATAAGTCTCTTTGTAGGTCTCTAAGAACTTGCTTTATGAATCTGAGTGCTCCTGTGTTGTGTGCATATATATATCTAGGATAGTTAGATCTTACGAATTGAACCCTTTAGCATTATGTAATGCCCTTCTTTGTCTTTTTTGATCTTTGTTGGTTTAAAGTCTTAGTTTAAAACTAGATTTAAATCCTAGTTTTGTCAGAAACTAGAATTGCAACCTCTGCTTTTTTCTGTTTTCCATTTGATTGGCGGATTTTTCTGCGTACCTTTATTTTGAGCCTATGTCTGTCATTGCATGTGAGATGGATCTCTTGAAGGCAGCATATCAATGTTCTTGGTGTCTTATCCAGCTTGCCACTCCGTCTTTTCATTGGGACATTTAGCCCACTTACATTTAAGGTTAGTATTGTTATGTGTGGATTTTATCCTGTCATGATGTTAGCTGGTTATTTTGCAGGCTTGTGTATGTGATGGTTTTATAATGTCCCTGGTCTGTGTACTTCATTGTGTTTTTGTAGTGTCTGGTAATGGTCTTTCCTTTCCATATTTTAGGGTTCTTTTAAGGCAGTTCTGATGCTAACCAGTACTCTTGGCATTTGCTCTTATGGAAAGGATCTTATTTCTCCTTCCCTTATATAGCTTAGTTTGGCCAGATGTGAAATTCTGGGTTGGAATTTTTTTTAAGAATGATGAATATTGGCCCTCAATCTCTTCTGGCTTGTAGGGTTTCAGCTGAGAGGTCTGCTGTTAGTCTGATGGACTTCCCTTTGTAGGTGACCTGGCCTTTTTCTCTAGCTGCTCTCAAATGTTGTGATTATTTGATTGTACTTTCATATTGATGGAAGAAAACAAATAGTTTATTTTATGTGCTTTGGTATTTAGATCTGTGAATAAACATTTTAATATTAATTATTAAAATTTAGAACTGTTTTTATAATATGTAATTATTGCATAATATTTTATAATTTTTAATTAGTAAAGAGAATATTTTCCATTTGTTTTTCAAACTTTAAAGTGTAGAAAGTTAGTACATTAGTTTTCTTGCCCTGAACTGCATTCTGTGGTGAGCTTTTGAAAATTACAGAGCAATTGCAAACTTGCAAACATGTTTAATGAATTATTGGGATATTATGAAACACAGATCGAAAAGCTATTAGGCAAAGTAAATACAAACTAACGGTTACTCCTAAAATCAATTAAGGAAGGGTATATTATTAGTTAAAGGTAATCTGTAATTGTATATTGCATTGCTTGAGAAGTTTAAATTGCAAGTTTAATTTGCTATTCAAAGAAATCATTTAAAAATTATTTAAAACATAAATTATTCAAAAATAAATCGAATTTTATTTTAATACATTTTCAGTTGTTTAAAATAAAAATAAATTCTTTAAAACTTATTTTATCTTAAAATAGTTTTAATGTTTGCATTTTCTCATTAGAGAAGCAAATTTAAATATAAACTATTCAGTGTAGAAGAATTAGAATACTTTGATAAGCAAAAATAATATTCTTTATAAAAATTCTACCATATTGCATTGCCACCAGGAATGCAGAAGAATATCTCATTTCCTACTGTCAAACAGTATGTGACCAAACTTCTTTTGAGTTTTTACCAACCCGATAGGTGTGAAATGATATTTCAGTATAGTTTAAATTTGCATTTATCTAATTATGAGTGAGATTGAACAACATTATTACATGTTTAAGGACATTTTTACATCCTCTTGTGAATTGTCTGATTATATCTTTTGTGCATATTTTCACCTGCATTATTTTTTCCCTAGTTTTTAAGAGTTCTTTAAATATTTAGGATACAAAAGTAGAATATGTGTATGTATGCGCACGCGTGTGTGTGTGTGTGTATCTCTGCATACTATTTTTCCTAGAGTTGTAATGGATGAACCATAATTCTTTCTCTACTTTTCTTTATGGAAAATTAATGGCAGTTCATAATAGTTTTGGTAGTTCAAAGTATAGTTCAAGTTGTTGCTTCAGAACATTACTTTATTAGATGCTTGCCATGTGTCAGGCCCCTAGTTAGGCACTGAGGAGGCTTTGTGGAAGAAAGGCAATGTTTTGGAGGTTACAATTTAGTGGAAGGGATTTAAACCCAAATATTAACTTAACACTGTGTCAGATGCTGTGAAGGAGACATAAAGATGCTATGTGACTAATAACAGGGACTTGGGTTAGCTGGGTGATCAGGAAGGTTTTAGGATAGTTTTTTAAAGCATTGCAGAGGTAATTGTCCTTTTTGGGGATTTTGATATTATTATTATTTTTTAGTGCTTGTTTAGAACCATTCACCCGACAGCTGAGATGATTAGGTCAACATAAACTCTTGTATGGTCAAAATGCCATTTAAGTTTAGATAGAGGGAGAACAATGAAATAGATATTTTCTAGATTATATGGTCTTAGGTTGAACCATAAATTTTCTTTGAAAACTATAGTTTTTAATTTTGGTAAATTTTGAGGGTAAAGTAAATGTAGCATTTTGCCATGTTTACTATCTTATTTAATTTTGTGATTTATTTAGTTTTTTAGATTTCATTTTAATAATTTTTATGTTTAGGTAGGAGTGGTGTTTTATTAATTCAGTGTTGTTATTACATGAAGTATAGATGAAAAGGTTAACACTAATACAAAATTTAAAGGGAAGCAGTTTCGCTAATCTTGATGATAATGAAACATTCAAGGAAGTCTTGATAAGCAAATGAAAAATATTAATAATTGGCATTCAATCTGAAAGTAAATGTTCAAATGTATGTTTCTATATGAAAGCACACCTTGATTTACTTCATGGCATGTTAATATGAAAGTTCATAATTTAATCCCATAGAGAAGACTATTTTTCATTATGACTTGTAGAAAAATTTTTTCCTGTGAGAACTAATGTTACAATTTCTTATTTGGAAAATAATGATATATATCTTGAAAGATGTATTTTAAAAATATATAATGTATCTTAAAATGTGTTGGTATTATAATCAGGTTAAATCTGTTGAAATAAATTGTAATTTAGTTTTTAATGACTTCCTTTCTGTTGACAATTATGTTTTGCGTTGACTTGCAATTATTCTATTGGTTCATACTAGTTAAGTTCCTAAAGCAAGCAAGTAGGAAGTTCAGTTCCTTTTTTTTGACAGTTGCTTGATTTTTACAGCAGAGCATCCCAGGGAGTAAGCTGTATTACTAGTAAATTAGACATCTGCCCAAAGAGCTCTATTCAGTAGTCCTTGACATTACTCTGAAAGAAAGATGAATTTAATAGGAATTTTGCCTTTTTTTCCCAGACACTGGCCAAAAGAAGACCCTAGACAAGAAAGATGGAAGACGAATGTCTTTTCAGAAACCTAAAGGGACTATTGAGTATACTGTAAGTTATTTGCTTTCGAAAAAGCTATTTTTCTTTGTAAGAGTCTTCTTTAAGACATTCTCTGTTTATACTATAAATAAGACAAGCATTGTTAATTGCCTTATTTTTAAAAATCTGTATTTCACTTTGGATAATTGTTTTATTTTTTAGTTGTTGTTTTTTTCTTTAAAGAGAAATTTTACTGAGATATAAAGGTAGTTATCCTAGAAAATTTAATTTAATATAGATGATAGTTTACTGAGAGAGTTCCCATGGGCCAATAATTTTTATTAGGTTAGGCTTTTAGGAAAATTTTTAGTTCTTTAGAAATGTGATCTTCATTATATTCGCAGCAGTGCTAGTGATAGTTATAATGGCAGATGGGATACATAAAAGAAAAGTTGATATTAATCTTCCAGTATAACCTTCCACATTAAATCATTTGTATTTATTTATAGCTAACTCCCTTTAGCTCTAAACATTGAGCTTTTTTTTTTTTTTCTGTATTCTTGAAATGAACTTCAAATCTTCCTGCAGTCAGCTGGCTTTTCACATTTCTGGTTACTCTGGGAAACTGAAGTGAGAAATCAGCTTTGGTATATGGTATGCTGCATATTTGATTGAATGTAAAGATTGTTTATTTGGATAATGTTAACGTGTTGTAAAGCACTTTTAACTGAGCTTAATTTTGTTATTCTGTGTTTTTCTAACATAACTGTATTAAGGAGAACAGCAATTTTAAACATTAATTTAGCATTTGTATCATTATGAAACCGTCCAGTCTTGGTTTGACTCTTATTTTCCATGCATCTTTAAAATTGAACAAATTATCAAAATTCTAATTTATACTCTATTTTGATATACCATTCATATATAGCGGACAGTGTGAGATTTTAAATATTTTTAAAAGGAATCAGATAATTTAGGATGAAATAAAATTTACTAATATCAAGATAATCTCACAGCATATTTTAAACTCAAATTGCGTGTGTTTGTACCTTCTCTGCATAATTGAGAAAATAAGTTCAAATAAGTTTTTTATAGGTAACCTTTAAAATTTCTTCGTCTTTACAATTCTGCAGTGCCAATATGAAAAATTTAGATATATACATGTTTTTATCATGTTTATTGTGTTTCTTCAGCCTAAGAAATCATGTCACTCATAAATTCTAGAAAAATTCTTGGTAATTATCTTTGATTGCCATTTTCTCCTCCTTCCTCTATTTTGTTTCTCCAGAACTCTAATTTTTTATTGAAACTAATTGTACTACATTTTGCTATCATTATGCTTTGTTGACCTTGCTATTATTTTGATTGTATCTTCTGTCTGCTTTGCTGGGTGTTTGCCTCTTCTTAATTCCCAATGTGAGTGGTCCCTTGTTTCTTTTTGCTTTTCTATTGACATTCTATTACTTGGAGTGCTTAAGAACTTTATAAACTACGTGGAGTGAGACCCAAACTTTTTTTCTATCCCTCCCTTTCTAGTTGCTTGCATTTCCTACTATCACTTCATACTAAACAAATTATGGAAGCCTCTTACCAATTCTTCTTCCTCCATCCTTCCACAATTCCTGATTTTCTCATTTCCGTTCCCTTTCAGTTTGTTATTCATTCAGGTTGCAGTCTTTAGAGTCAGCATCAGTTTGCTCATTCACATTTGCTTCCCTGACCTACTGCTACTGCTGTCACCACAACTCCATTCAATCCATGAATGTCTTCTCTTGAGTCTTAGTTGAAATCTTGTACCTTAATTTCTTTCTTTACATTTTTATTACTTTAAACCTTATCTTTGTTTTTCTGCATCCTTTCTCTTTCTTGTTCCAGTAATCCTAGCCCTGATGCCAGTAATATGAGATGCCACTTGGGCTGTTTTGTTACCTTCATCATCTCATTTAATAGAATCACTGTGAGAATAAAATGTGTTATTATTAATTATGAAAGTACTTGGTAAACTTACAGATTTTACTGCAAAATATCATTTGTTTACAGAGACCTTTTATATATATTATCTCGGTAACATAGGTTTTATATCAGTACATTGTGTAGATGGGGAAGTTTGCATAGAAGGATGTAGGCAGAACTAGATTATTATTGTATTAACCCAAATATTTGGCATAAATTTGGTTTTATAAAACCATTAAGGAAAATATGTATATTATTGTTTTACATACACAAACAAATGCACACGCACCTGCTTTTCCTGACTTTTGAAATCTTCTATAACCTAATTCTAAATGCCTCTTTTTTTATTTTATTTTATTTTGTTTTCTGGAGACAGGGTCTTGCTTTGTCGCCCAGGCTGGGGTGCAGTGGTGCTATCACAGCTCACTGCAGCCTCAACTTCCCAGGCTCAAGTGATCCTCCCACCTCAGCTTCCTGAGTAGCTGGGACTACAGGCATGCATCACCACGCCCAGCTAATTTTTGTATTTTTTGTCAAGATGGGATTTTGCCATGTTGTCCAAGCTGGTCTTGGACTCCTGGGCTCAAGTGATCCACCTGCCTCAGCCTTCCAAAATGCTGGAATTACAGGCATGACCCACCATGTCTGACCTCTGAATGCCTCTTTATCGTTTTTAGAGACTTAACTCCATGTAATCACCTTCCCAAAAATTTGTGCTTCATGAGTCTACTCTGGATGGTTTAGGAGGAAGAGGACAGTATCCCACAAATATGTTATGCTTTTCTGTCTCTTAACTATGTCAGTTCTGTTATCTTCACTTTGAAAGTTCATTCCTTTCTCTCTACTTTTCAAATTCCCAACCCTTCTTCAAGGCCCAGCTTTAAATCATTTCTTTTCTGTAGTCTTTTCTGGAAAATTTGGATTACATGGTGCTTTTATTCATACTCAAAACTTCTATTGCATTCATTATTCCATTTTAAATTGTTCATCTTTTGCATAACCTTTTCTATCTTAGTTTCCAACTAGATTGTAAATTCCTTGTGCAAAATGACTTTTAGTTGCACTTATTTGTGTTTTCTTCAGAGCTCTCTCTTTTTTTTTTTTTTTTTTTTTGAGACAGAGTCTCGCCCTGTCGCCCAGACTGGAGTGCAGTGGCGCAATCTCGGCTCACTGCAAGCTCGGCCTCCTGGGTTCACGCCATTCTCCTGCCTCAGCCTCCCGAGTAGCTGGGACTACAGGCGCCGCCACCACACTCTGCTCATTTTTTTTTTTTTTTAATAGAGACGGGGTTTCACCGTGTTAGCCAGGATGTTCTCGATCTCCTGACCTCGTGATCCACCTGCCTCGGCCTCTCAAAGTGCTGGGATTACAGGTGTGAGCCACCGTGCCCGGCCTTCTTTAGAGCGCTCTTAATGCCTTGTGTAATGGGGACTTTAAGTGGTTATATTATATTGGCCAAGTGACATTTTCTTTTAGGGTAATTGATGAAATCTCATTATTTATGATTTCTACACATATGATCATGGAAACGTACGAATGATTCAGAACTAAATAACTCAACTTTAGTTCAAATATTTTTCTAATTTATATGTGCAATGACAGAATATATGCATAAAGATCATTTTGAGTTTAATACAGGTGTACTTTGCAAAAATGAAATTAGTATGTTGCTAGAAGTCACATATATTTTAGAAACTATTCAAAGGAATAGTGTATTATTTTAAAACCTTTGTAAAATGAAAATAATCAGTTTTTGACTTTTAAATTATGTTTTGTATTTTGAAATTACTTGAAGTAGAGACCTACATGTAAATGTATTGTGATGAAGCCTTTACTCTGTATTGTAATAGATTAAGAGCATTTGCTAACAAAACACAGTGTTTCTTGACAGTTATTTTCAAAGATGACAATACCAGTTGTTAATCAAATGTAAGCTGGTCCCTAGATATATTAATGCTCATTAAATATTATAGTTTAGTTTTTCTGTTTTAAACATTGAAATAATTTATTTTTTCTTTTAAACAGGTTGAATCAAGGGATTCTTTGAATAGCATAGCCCTGAAGTTTGATACAACACCTAACGAACTTGTTCAATTAAATAAGTTATTCTCCCGAGCAGTTGTTACTGGACAGGTAGTATCTTTTTTTTAATGTGCTGATGTTTAGAAACATTAAACAGAAAGGCAGAAAGTATTTATTGTACTGTAGTTAATAATATAGAAAATTTGAGAATAATTTTATATGTGCTTTTAACAAATCATATTGGCCATGTAAGAGAAAATTAACTGTTTTATGTCTGTATTAGTTTCTTTTTTAATACATATTGAAAATAATTGTAGATTTTTCTTTTTAAATATAGTTACAAAGAGCTTTTTAAAATATTCAGAACAATATATGCATATGATAAAAAATTACTTTATCAAAGTAAGGCATCCCTCCATCTCAAACTTTCAGTTTCTTTTCCAGAAGCAACCAGTTGGCAGTTTGCATTTCTTTCAGGAATAATCTAGCCTACTTTTGTTGTTGTTGTTGTGTTTTAATTTAACTTTGATTCTTGGAAAGTGTTGTATTTAATCACAGTTCTAGTTCAGACTTTTTCACGCGTGCATGGTATTACATTGTATTGATATATCATACTTATTTAAAGCATTAGACTATTTCTACTCTTTTGCTAAGGTCAATAGTGCTGTAGTAAACATGCCTGTACACATCTGTTTTTCTTTAAATGTAAGTATTTCTGTAGGGTGAATTCTTAGAAGTAAAGTTACTATATCAGAGGATATGTGCACTTTAAATTTTGCTAGCTATTGCCAAATTGTCCTTTAGGAGTGACACCTCTATAGTGTATGACAATTAATGTTTCCTCACCCTATTCCAGCCGTATATATTATCAAATGTGTCTAAACTGATTTTAAAGGTTCTTTTTTAAAAATGTTTTTATATTCTTATAATTTGAAAATTTTTATGTTTTTCTGTTTAATTGGTAATTGTTAATAGTGCTTGCTTATAGAACACCATCTAATTATTAACACTTCATTTTAACTAAATCTTTGTGTGAATGTTTTCTTACAGGTTCTGTATGTTCCTGATCCTGAATATGTCTCCAGTGTTGAGAGCTCTCCATCTCTAAGCCCCGTAAGTCCTCTGTCACCAACATCATCTGAGGCTGAATTTGATAAGACCACTGTAAGTATCTCTGCTTTGCAAAGATGGCGATGAAGAAATCTCACTTTGTCTACATTGACTGTCTTGTTTTTTACATTCCATTTTGACTATGGTTAGAATGAAATATTTCCTTTTTATTTTGTTGCTTAAGTTTGTAAATCCCAGCTTTAAAAATAAGACATTCTTATGAAACCATATAGCTTAAATTGACTTACCTTTGTAGGTGGTGGTTGTGGGCCAAAAATATTCATCAACTCTTATTTTTTAAAGAACATATATAATTTAACTTACAAAGGAATCTTACCCAAAAAACATGACATTATCACAGTAGAGGAAGTTCATGTCCAATTTGATGTTTATTTCATCTATAAATAAATGAGTATATAGTACTTAGAACTCTTGAGTTTAATTTTGACACATTGCCTTTTAAAAAATAATTTATCATCTTAGTCATCCAAGAATTGACATAGTAGATTAATTTATCTAGCATTTCTAAGGAATGAGTGTTCTAATAACTTACATTTTACAAATGAACTTCAGGGAACTAAACTTCATTTAATAATTTTGATTAAAATCTTCTGAAAGGAATTATATATTATATATTTCTTTGCCTTTCATAGAATAAATTACATGATATTATTAATAACTATTTTTCTCCTTGCCTGGGAACTTTTTTCTGCATGTGTGTGTGTTTGTGTGTGTGAGAAAGAGAGAGAGAAATGAGGCCTTTTTCATTTATTTGATGGATATCTTCTTTATATAATTATGGCAATACTATGCTTTAGAATGCAGTCACATGAAAGGAATATATTACATTTGTTGTCATCATTGATAAGAATAAAAGTCAGGTTTTAATGGTAGGTATTACTTACCAAATGACACAATACCTTTTTGAACATAGCCATGCCATTTTCCCATGGGACTTACAAAGAGATGTACTCATAAGGGGCAATGACAAAGTAACTACGTAGCCTTAGGTTAATTTAGCCTGTGTTTCAAACCCTAAAGCAGAATGATGAAAATCTAAGCTGTAGCATCATGCCTGACTAGAAACCTGTGGGGTCTCTTCCTGTTCCTCGGCTTTAACCTAAATCTGCCTGTCTACTGGCTTTCTTGGAAGGTATAAGATCAAAGAAAACAAAATGTTGAAAGTTAAGGGAGCAACAAGGCCAGGCCTCAACCTGTGTGAAAATGTACCCCTTCTTACTTTTGCCATTTGACTGAAAGAGATGGAGAGGATAAAGTTATGTGAATGATCTTTTAATCCTCAGTGACTTAGCTACTGTCAAAGATGGACCAAAAAACTTCCTGTAATTTGGCCAGTGATATGAGTAAATTCTTTGTCCCTGGGATAGATTAAAAAAAAAAAAAAGAGGTGAGAGATTCCTTAAAGAACTAAAAGTACACCTACCATTTGATCCAGCAATCTCACTACTAGGTATCTACCCCGAGGAAAAGAAGTCATTATATAAAAAAGATACTTGCACATGCGTATATAGCAGCATAATTTGCAATTGCAAAAATAGGGAACCACCCCAAATGCCCATCAATCAACAAGTGGATAAGGAAAATGTGGTATATATATACCGTGGAATACTACTCAGTCATAAAAAGGAATGAAAGAATGGCATTTGCAGCAACCTGGATGGAATTGGAGACTCTTATTCTAAGTGAAGTAACTCAGGAATGGAAAACTAAACATCGCACGTACTCACCCATAAGTGGGAGCTAAGCTATGAGGATGCAAAGGCATAAGAATGATATAGTGGACTTTGGGGACTCAGGCAAAAGGGTGGGAGCAGGGTGAGAAGTAAAGGATTACACATTGGGTACAGTGTACACTGCTTAGGTGATGGGTGCACCAAAATCTCAGAAATCACCACTAAAGAACTTACTCCTGTAACCAGACACACCTGCTCCCTGAAAACATATTGAAATGGAAAATAATTAAAAAAAAAAAAAAAAGAGGTAAGAGAAGAGTTTGTAAACTTCTCTTTACATGGAATGATACTCTTTACCTGCCATCAAAGAGATTATGGGCAATAGTTAGAAATAATTCTTACAACAGTTGATTGTGTAAATTTTAGTTGTATTTTTTTTACCTAGGATTATATTCATTACCAGGCTCCAGGATAATATTTCTATGACTTTCTGCATATCTCAAGTGCCTATATTTCTATATTTCTAATTATTGGGTTTTATGTCTCCCATGCTGTATAAATCCCTTAGAAATAAGGATATTATGTTTTATTAGATATAGTTTACATTTTCATTACACTAATTAAAATAATGTCTATTAGTATTGTTATTATATGTTTTTCCCAGAAATTGTCAGTTTATATTACCAGCAACCACTGATAAATTTTTTGAATGTCCAGCTTAGTAGTGGTTTACTATGAAGCTAAAAATATGTTCCTGGCTTTGTCGGCATAAAGACTTTCATTGGTAATAATTCGTTTTCACTTAAAAATATTGCATTTTGAGAATTTCCATGGAAAACTATTTTTTCTTTATTTTTCACTTTTTTTTGTTCACATATGGAGGAAGAAATATAGAAGGAGATAGAACCAAAGTAATGGTAAAAATCATAAAAATAGCTAAAATGTAGTATTGCAACAGGTATAATTCTAAGCACTTTAAAAGTATTATTTATTTCTTATCTCAAATTTATGAGGTAGGCACTTGGCCTGGGTTTCTGTGTTTGTCCCTCCAGACTTACTCTGTATTCTCTAGTGTCCTTTGGGTGGTAGACTGCATCAGTGCACTCTCTCTTGCCCTTTTGCTTCTGTTGGTGGTTTTCTTTCTGGAGCAGTTGCAGAAGATAAGGGGGAAGGAAAGAGAGAATAAGATGGGGACATATTTATTCTCCTAGCTCCTTCCCTGTAAGGTTACTCCAGAGTGACCACATTCTTCAGCATCTCATCTTATCTTTTGTCAGCCCTTTCCACAGAGCCATCTCTAAATTTAGGTATCTGTTTCTCCCCCTTACCTCTTTAGGGATAGAGGAGTCTTCTGTTATTGTTCACCCTGGGTTTTTGTACACCATATGTACCTTTGTAAATAGTTCCATAATTAAATCCTCTTAAAATTATTCAGTTTCTACCGGGCATAGTGGCTCACGCTGGTAATCCCAGCACTTTGGGAGGCCGAGGCAGGCAGATCACTTGAGGTCAGGAGTTCAAGATTAGAGCGGCCAACATGGTGAAACCCATCTTTACTAAAAATACAAAAATTAGCCGGGTGTGGTGGCGGGCACTTGTAATTCCAGCCACTCAGGAGGCTGAGGTGGGAGAATCACGTGAACCCAGGAGTCGGGGGTTGCAGTGAGCCACGCCACTGCCCTTCAGCCTGGGTTACAGAGTGAGACTCTGTCTCAAAAAAAAAAAAAAGCTCAGTTTGATGTGCCATCTGTTTTTTCTAGTACCTGACCAATAAGTATTGTATCCATTTTATAGAGGAGGAAACAGAGGAAGAGAAGTTAATTATTTTGTGTTTAAGGTCACTCAGCTAGTAGCTAAGCTAAGATTCTAACCCAGATGGGCTTGGTTCGGAGCCCATATTTTTTATTACTACTTTATAGCTGGAAAATGATAACTCAGAAACACTACTCTTGCCCAATAAATAATTGGACCCAAAGAGTTAAGTAATATTTAATCATTATAAAAGTCGATATAGTAATAGCTACCATTTCGCACTATCATCTTCCTAAGATTCTTTAAATCTCTCATTTTTTGAATAAATATAGAAACCTGCTTTTGTTTTGTACACCTTTGGTTTTTCTCCTTTGTACTGTAAGTTCACCCATTATGCTAATGCCATTTTAGGGTAAAACTGTTAATGTGTTATATTCAGGATGAAGTTCAGTGGAAAAATGTTTAAAATAAGTAATATGAAAAAACGAAATAATTTTAAAGTACTTATGTTTATATTAATATACTCTATTGAAGGGTGGGATATGCAGATAGTCATATTCTCTTTAAGATAAAACATGGTATAATACTCTAATCAATCTAAAATATGATAAAAATAGAATATTAATAACACTTGAATTGGATACACATGATGATAAGACAATATAATTTTGAAAAAAAAATACTTTTAAGAGATTCTGAGGAAGGCCTAGGAAGTCCTAAAGGAGGAAAGAGGAAAAAGTATAAAATAGCAATAGAATGTAGGCATATTAAATCTTCCTTTTTAAGGATAGGCTGTGATTATACTGCTACAGTAGCTATTGTTTTTTTACTTAAAGAGTGCTTACTATGTATTTACTGTGTTCATTTCAGAATTTTAATCTTTAACACTTTAATAACATTTTAATTACTTTAGACTTTTAATTAATCTTTAACCCCATGAGGTAGGTACAATAATCATGATCTGTATTTTTAAAAATGAGGAAAGTAAGGCATAGAGAGAAGAATGATGGTTAGTAAGTGGTAGAACTGAGACTGAAAACCTGGCAGTCAAGGTCTAGATTCTGTGTTGTGTTCTTAACTACTTTTTGTACTGCCTAAGTAATGAAATGATGACTACTAGCAAGTGCAGGTACTCTATAACTGAGACATATGATCTAAATTAAATATATGTGTCACAATTTATAGGAACTAGGAAGTTTGTAGTAAAGAACTGTGTGGAAGTAATGCATGAAATTTTTGCTTGGCCAAAGCAAAAATAAAAATGTAGAAGATTTAGAAATGTTCTTTAATTACCTATATTAGTTTCCTAGTATTATCATAACAAAGGGTGACAAATTGGGTGGGTTACAACAAAAGAAATTTATTACCATACAGTTTTGGAGGCTGGAAGTCTGAATTCAGACTATTGGTACGACCATGCTCCTTTTGAAACTTGTAGAGGAGAATCATTTCTTGCCTCTTCTAACTGGTGTTTGCCAAGTATCATTGGCATTCCTTATCTTGTAAATATATCACCACTTTCTGCCTTCCTTGTGACAAGTGGCCATCTACTTCCTGTATGTATGTCTTCACATGGTGGTCTCTTCTTTATATAAGGAAAACAGTCAGATTAAGGGCCCACCCTACTCATGTATGACCTTACCTTAAATTAATAATTACATCTGAAAAATCCTATTTTCAAATAAGGTCACATTCTGAGATACTGGAGGTTAGGGCTTTAACATTATCATTTTGGGGGAGACAGTCAAACCATAACATTGCCTCATAAAATTATAATTATAGAGAATTTATATTATGGAGCTTTATTTATATTCTAGAATTTTATATTTTTTGTCTTTGAAGGAAAGGGGAAATTTAGAAAACTTTCTAATTCTAGTCAAGTAAGATTTTCTAAGAGATGTTTAGTTAATTTTCTTCATTTAAGATATGTTGAAGGGTTAAGTTAATTTCTCATAGGGTTTTGGGAAGCTTGTGAATATTTGTAAAATATTGTGAAAACTTTTTTAAAAACGTCTCTTTTTTAATCATGATAGTCACATAATTAATTGGCATCTTGAAGTGGTATGCCTGTATACCTGAAAATAGACATTAATTACAAGTAATAGCAGACATGCAAGAAATTAAAACAATTTTAGTTAGGAATATCAAAGTAGTTTGAAAAGGTTAAATATCGCCTGTGCTTCAGGAATTGCTTTCACATATGACATCCTTTAACAATTCACAAACATAACCTCTCTTTTCTCTCTGTGCATATATAGAATATATATTTTTTAACTTAAAATTAAAGACACTAATATCTATCATATACAATATTATATGTTATATATAAAACATGTTTTATCTCTTTTATAGAATATATAAATCGTAATTTTTTCTAAATTATGATTTTAACTTCAATGCTTTTAGACTTCAATGTTAATATAAATATATACAACTTATGTGATATATAACTTATATATTAAATGTAAGCTTATGTATTATAATAAAACTATAAATATCAATACCACTCAAATGTGTAAATAACACATAAATCATATATACTACATTCATATTATTACATATAATTTAGCTTTGATGCTTTTAAACCTATTTTAAATAACAACTTAGTAAGGAATTGTTTTTTAATATGTACTTTTTAATAGATTATACTGTAATTATACCTCGGTCTTATATTCTTAGAACAAAATTTTATGGTTAGTATCTGAAAAATTAAACTTTATAATAGGACTTAGTGTTTGCGAAGATTTTAGGAAACAAATATTTTATATAGAAGAAATCCCTGTATTTTTAACATCACAAGAAATGGGTAAATTACTAGATGAGAGTTTTTTTTTTTTTCCTAGATTCCAGATGGAAACATTATTTCCATAATTAGAATTAAAAATTGATCCCGATATTTTAATTTTATTATTTTATTCTGTATTTGATTTTAAACATTCTTAAGTTCTTGGTCCCAGGAAGTAGAGATTATTGAACATAATTTATAGACAGTAAATGGCAATCATCGTATATATTGGATTGAAAGAAAAATACAGCATACACTGCTTCAAAAGTAAATGTTTTCTTTAAAGGATATATAGTATATACGTTGCATGAAGTAAATACAAATGTTGGTATTTCTGTGCCTGTATGGATTTTCCTCCTCAATCTTCCTTTGCCCTACCTATGTGTTACTAGAGAACATTTCTACAAATTTTCAATCGCAAAAGAGGAAAAATACAATAAAGCCAAGGCAAGAAGGGAAGTGGACAGTTTGGAGTTGCTAATTCATTTATGGTAATGGTTTATAATAACATACAAATCATATTGTATAATATATTCTACAAAAAAAGATAACTCTAGGTGATTATTAAACTTTTTGTAAATCATTTGCCCTAGCAATGCTTTGCTTTTTTACATTTGAATATTTGGGGCAATAATGAGGCTAGATAGATAGATATAGATGTTTATATTTCTATATTTTTAAGGACCTTCTCTGGTGGCTAAAACAAAATTATGCAGGGAAGCATCAGCAAGCCATCAAATGAGCTGCAAAACCACCTCATTAATAATCACAGTTTAAAAATAGCATTCAAAACCATCTACATAGAGATACTAATACTTTGAATAGTGTACATTTATGTAAGTTACGGTGAGGTCTGGTAATTCCTCTGAACAACTTTGATCTTTTTTGAAAGTAATCTCCTTTTTTGTGCTTTGCTTTGAGCATTTGCTAATCTCATATTCTTTTTAAAAGAATTACATTGACAAATTGGTATTGCTATAGATACTGAGTTCAGACTTTCAGGTAACCTCAGAGATCATATATTGTTCAAAAAGGCATATCTTCATTTAAGGAAAGCATATGACAATGTGCACATATATATACATATATATATATATATATATATACACACACATATATTTATATTTGTGTGTGACTAATGCGGTTAACTCAGTTTTGGGGGAATTGAGGAATCACAAAATTTGTTGATAGCTTTTTGCCAGTTTGCAGGGGACCCTCTTATAGCTCTGCATCAGCTATTTTTTTCTTAGCATATTTTTGAGTTGTTTGGTAGAAGATTTGAAAGGGAAGCGATACAATATTACAGTTAAGCTCACTGGTTTGTGTGTTGATAACATAGGTTTGCATCTTAGCTCCTTACTCATTTGTCAAGTTATTGAACTTGGCTAAGCTTAAGTTCAACAAAAAAAAACCAAGAAGCGTATATATGTGTGTGTGTGTCTATATATATACACACACACACACACACATATATATATACACATATATATATAACTATACCTCTAGTTTGTTTTTAAAAAATGTTTTAATACCATGTTGTTTCCATTTGTTTTTCCTTATAATTCTCTATTTTATTTTGACCATTCCAAAACATTCTGAGAAGCTGGTTCATAGGCTTCACTGTAAGAATGGTCAGTAGCACCAAAAAAGTTAAGAAACTTGTGATCTAGTGGAATGGGATTTATCAACTGTAGCTCGAGATTTAAAAGGCTATTCCAGTGAATGGGTTCTGCTGTATGCTTAGGTACTAAGGTAAGCTTTCCACCTTTTTACTGCTCCCAGCACCTGATGGATATTATATTATATGGTCTTATCAGAGTCAGTGGTTTAATTCAGGAGCATCTGAGTGTGTGTGCACGTGTGTGTATGTGTTGGGTGTGGGTACAAGAGATGTAGTGTTCACTGTTCTCCAGATTATTTTATTTTTTAAATTTATAGATATGTGTATCTCCCTATTAAAAATCACTATAAATGTAAGTTTAACCTGTGTTTGTGATCTTTATTGAATATGAAAATAGTGCCACTTTTGTCCTATAATTTGTACGTAAAAATATTTCGGGCTGACTTCCAGAATGCGGTGAAATGAAACAACACTTATTGGGGAAAGCTATTCATTTGACTTTTTAATAGTGTGCTCATTTTTATTTTGTTTTCTGCTTTTTTTTTTCTTTCCTTTAAAAAAAAAAAAAAGAATCCTGATGTCCATCCAACAGAAGCAACTCCCTCATCTACTTTCACTGGTATTCGACCTGCACGAGTTGTATCTTCAACTTCTGAGGAGGAGGAAGCATTTACTGAGAAATTTCTTAAAATTAATTGCAAATATATTACCAGTGGCAAGGTAAAGAATGACACTTTAGAGAAGACCTTTAATCATGCTTTAGTTATTACTAATGTATGATAGTTTGGCATTTACATTTTAAGTCATCAATGTCAGAAAATGCTTGAATATTATAGAAAGGTACTAGTGATACTATTATTTTGGGTTAGTATGGATGTTGCTTATAACTTAGAGTCTGGTGATCTGTTGTAATTGTTAAAAGTAATGGAATATAAATAAATTCACTAAGGCACAGCTAAGTTGCTGTTGGTAGGATATTTCAAAAGTGTGAATAAAATGACTGCTGCCAGGTACTGTGTGGAGTGTGAACTTCTGTATAACTAGTATAGCACACAAATAGGAAGATATCTAGTATTTATTGAGTACCTTCTATATGCCAGAGAGTATTTGAGGTATCTTAATTATTTTATCAATTCAAAACAATCTTGTGAAATAGGCAGTCATATTTCTTTTCCACAGGGAAAAACAAAACAGGAAGGGTTCATAGGAAAGGTTAATAGGTCCAAGATCTCTCTATAATGGCCAGAATTCAAACCTAGTCAGAATCTTTTTTTTTTTTTTTTTTTTTTGAGATGAAGTTTCGCTCTTATCAGCCAGGCTGGAGTGCAATGGCGTGATCTCGGCTCACTGCAACCTCTGCCTCCTGGGTTCAAGCAATTCTCCTGCCTGAGCCTCCTGAGTAGCTGGGATTATAGGCACTCGCCACCACATCTGGCTAACTTTTTGTATTTTTAGTAGAGACAGGGTTTCACCATGTTGGTCAGGCTGGTCTTAAACTCCTAACCTCAGGTGATCCACTTGCCTCGGCCTCCCAAAGTGCTGGGATTACAGGTGTGAGCCACCGCACCCAGCCCAGAATCTATTTTGTCTGCTTCACTTTGTTGCTTTTCTAAGCAAAAACTTCTAATCTGAAAAGAGAATATAGTAAAGTAATAGAGTTGGAAAATAAACTCCAGATTTTGCTCAAAAAATGTCTATAACATGATACTGCCTTTAGAATTCACACATGAGAACTATTTCTTTGAAGTATAATTCATAAATTTATGAGTATTTGAAACACATAATAAGCATTTAGTGGTATGCATTTTGCCCTAAATATTGTTTTAAATGTTGTGTTTTCATTTTCATTTACTTTAAAATATTTTCTCTTGATTTCTTCTTTGACCCATTTGAGAGTGTTTTATTTTTCTAGATAACTGTCTTTTACTAATTTCTAATTCGATTCTGTGTGATCAGAGAACACACTACTATTTGAAGGCTTTATTTAGACCTGTTTTATGGTCTAGAATATCGTATGTTTTAATAAATGTAATGTGTGCACTGTAAGAGACACATTATATTTGTGTTGGGTGGAATATTCCACAAGTGTCAATCAAATCAAATTGAGTGATAGTGTCCTGTATTTCTGATTTTCTGTCTGTCAGTTGTTGATAGAAGAATTTTGAACTATCTCACTGTTATTGTGGATTTATCTGTTTTTGCCTTTCAGTTTTATTTATCTGTTTTTGCCATACATTATATATTTATATATATATTTATATATATATTTAATATATATAAATATATTTTTATATATATTTGATATATAAATATATTTATATATATATTTGATATATAAATATGTTTTTATATATATTTGATATATAAATATGTTTATATATATTTGATATATAAATATGTTTATATATATTTGATATATAAATGTTTATATATATTTGATATATAAATATATGTTTATATATATTTGATATATAAATATATGTTTATATATATTTGATATATAAATATATGTTTATATATTTAATATATAAATATATGTTTATATATTTAATATATAAATATATTTTTATATATTTATATATATATTTATATATTAATATATATATTTAATAGATAAATACATATATATTTAATAGATAAATACATATATATTTAATAGATAAATACATTTATATATATAATATATATATTTAATATATAAATACATTTATATATAATATATATATTTAATAGATAAATATATTTATCTATTTACATATTTATATATATTTATATATATATAAATATAAAATATTTATATATATTTACATGTATATTATAATATATATCTTTAATATGTCACATTCTCACTTTAAGTAGCATTATATATGCCACTTTACATATAGTACACACACCTTACAACAGTATACTTTTATTTCCCCCTTCCAGCCTTTGTGTTCTTATCGTAACACCTCTTATTTCTACATGTTATAAACACAATTCATTGTTATTATTTTTGCTTTAAAAAGTTAATTTAAAATAATTTTTAAAATAAGGGTAAAGTCTATTATATTTATCCACTTACTTATTCCCTACACTTGTCATTCCTTTTTTATAGTTGCAGATTTCCATTTGTATCATTTTTCCTTTTATATAAGGACTTCTAAATTTCTTACAGTGTAGGTCAGCTAGTGATAAATTCTTTCAGTGTTTATTTGCCTTGAAAAAGTCTGTTTTTCCTTATTTTATTAAATGTTACTATCATGTTTATGTATATTTTCTTTTTTTTTTTTTTCTCCGAGACAGAGTCTCACTCTGTTGCCCAGGCTGGAGTGCGGTGGCCTGATCTCAGCTCACTGCAACTTCCGCCTCCCAGGTTCAAGCAATTCTCCTGCCTCAGCCTCCTGAGTAGCTGGGACTACAGGCACATGCCACCACGTCTGGCTAATTTTTGTATTTTTTTAGTAGAGAGGGGGTTTTACCATGTTGGCCAGGCTGGTCTCGAACTGCTGACCTCGTGATCCGCCTGCTTCAGCCTCCCAAAGTGCTGGGGTTACAGGCGTGAGCTACCGCACCCGGCACGTTTATGTACATTTTCAAAATTATATGTGTGTTTATAAAAAAGGATCCCTAACTTTTAAATTTTATGCCACTTTATCTTTTTTTGGTCCATTGAATTTTTTTTAATTAATATACTTTCATTTTTAGAGCAGTTTTAAATGGACGGAAGAATTGAGCAGAAATTAGAATTCATATTTATACTCTCCCCCTTTCCCCAGTTTCCCTTATTAACATCTTGCTTTTGTGTGCTATATTTGTTTCAATCAATGAAGCAGTATTCAGGCACCAAGGAAAGCCCATAAGATTCTCTCTTGTACATTCTGTGGGCTATAACAAATGTATAGTGACATTTATCTATCATTACAGTATTACCAGATTAGTTTCATTGGGCTGAAAATCCTCTATGCACCACCTGTTCATCCCTCCTTCCCTTTCTTTCCCTGAACTCCTGATAATTAATGGTCGTCTTACTCTCTCTGTAGTTTTGCCTTTTTTTAGAGTGTCATATAGTTGGAATCATAGAGTATGATTGAATGAATTCATATTGGCTTCTTTCACTTAGCAATGTGTGTTTAAGATTCCTCCATGTCTTTTGCGGATTGACACCTTAATTCTTTTTACTAATATTACTGAATATTCCACTGAGTGGATGTACTGTAGTTTATCCATTCCACTATTAAATGACATCTTGATCACTCTTAAGTTTTGGCACTTGTAAATGAAGCTACTTTAAACATTCATGTGCAGGTTTTGTGTGGTAAGTTTTCATCTCAGGTAAAATATCAAGAATCATGATTACTGGATGGTATGGTAAGACCATTGTTAGCTTAGTAAGAAACTGAAGAACTCTCCTCCAAAGGACCTGTGCTATTTTGTATCCAATAAGCAATGGGAATCCCTATTCCACAGCCTCACCAGCATTTGATGTTTTCAGTGTTTTAGACTTCAGCCGTTCTAATAGATCCGTAGTGGTAATATCTCACTGTGTTAATTAGAAATTCTCTAATGGCATATTATATTAAGCGTCTTTTTTTTTTCCTATTCAGAAATGACAAATTCTTTAAATCGACAAACTCATCTTCCTCAAGCCCCAGACCATGGTAGGCAGCCCTCCCTCTCCGTCCCCTCACCCCACCCCTTAGCCACAGTGAAGGGAATGGAAAATGAGAAGCCATGAGGGCCTCTGCCAGGGAAGGCTGCCCCAGATGTGTGGTGAGCACAGTCAGTGCAGCTGTGGCTGGGGCAGCAGCTGCCACAGGCTCCTCCCTATAAATTAAGTTCCTGCAGCCACAGCTGTGGGAGAAGCATACTTGTAGAAGCAAGGCCAGTCCAGCATCAGAAGGCAGAGGCAGCATCACTGACTCCCAGCCATGGAATGAACGGAGGGCACAGAGCTCAGAGACAGAACAGGCCAGGGGGAAAAAGGAGAGACAGAACAGGCCAGGGCATGGCGGTGAGGGACTGAGGCCCCTAAATTTTGATCCCAGGGGAAAAGAAGAGGCCAGTTGGTCCAGTTTTGATGGGTATGGGGAAGGGAATGTATTAGTAAGCACGGGGGAGAGGCTGCCAACAGGCACCTCAGAGGTGATAGGACAGGCTGAACCCCTCACCCTGACAGAAGGGAGCTTAAGAGCTCTGGGGCTCTCTGGGAATGTCACTGCTAAAATATATATCTACATGTATATTAACCACTCGTGGGAGGGCAGGGGCAAGGCCTGGGGTGGGATCAAAGGATCTGGTGTGGCATCCAGTAGCCAGTCATGCCTGCCTGAGATGCCCCCCATCTGTAGCCCGATCACGTTCTTGCCCTCTTGCAGCTGGTTATCCGAGAAGTTCCGAGGATTCTCCTTGGATTTCTTAGGGAACCAGTTGGGATCCCCAGAGAAGAGCCCATCATCCCAGGCTACTGCCAACCCACCCAGATTCCTCAGCGTCCGCTGCACACAGGCCATGTTCTTTCCTTCCCAGAGGTCCACAGTTTGGAAGATGTCAGTGGTGTTAATGCCATAGCGCTCAGCTGCTTGCAGGAACTGAGAGATCTTCTCCATCTGCTTGAAGGCCATGGTGGAGGCCTGGATCTTCTTTACTGGGACCTGCCCCTTGGGGTACAGTGCATTATTGAGCTCACATAACACCGTGCCATCCTTGAGCCAGTTCTGGAAGTTCTCGCGTCCAGGCTGGGACCGGCCCACATCCTTTCGGCACTGGGTGGTGATCCACTGGATCAGGATCTGCTCCAGATCTGCATCATACTGTTTCTCAATCTTCTGCTGCACCTCCTGGCTCAGGCCATAATGCAGGTCCCCTGTTGGCCATTCCAATGGGTGGCGGTGGCTGCGGGGAGCGTTCAAACGGGCTGGAGAGCGGCACACTCACTCAAGGCAATGGCTGCAGCTGCCGAGCTTCTTCTTACATGCTTATTTTCTACCCAGATATCCTCTTCATTTTCAAAGGATATTTTCACTAGACAGAATTTTCAGTTGATGAGGTTTTATTTCTTTTCAGAACTTTAAAAATTTACTCCATTGTTTTCTGGCTTGTGTTTTTCTAAAGTGAAGTCTTGCATTATTTTTATGTTTGGTGTTCTGTTAAAAAATGTGTCTATCTTTGGTTGCACTTAAGATGTTCTATTTATCACTGATTTTGAGCAATTTTATTAGGATGTGCCCTGGTATATTTTTTTCTATTTGTTTTGCTGGGGGTTCCTTTAGCTTGGTTCTGTAGGTTTATAGTTCATGCCAAATTTGGAAAATATTTGACCAGATTTCTTCCAATATTTTTTGCCTCCCATCCTCTCTTTCCTCTTCTTTGGGAACTCCAATTCTGCATATTTTAGGCTACTTAACATTGGGTCTCACAGCTCCCTCATACTCCATTCACTTTTTTCCTTCTCTTTTCATTTTGGATAATTTTAATTGCTTGTTTTTAAATTCACCAATTTTTTTTCTGCCATGGCTAATCTACTCTTAATCCTATCCAGCATATTTCATCTCACACATTGCAATTTTTCTCCCTGTAAGTTCATACTGGGTCCCTTATATTTTCCATATCCATACTGTGTATAATCTTCTATATTGTTGAATATGGTTATAATAATTGTTTTAACGTCTTTTTTTTTGTACTCTGTTACTTCTGGGTCTGTTTGCGTTTATTGATTTTTCTCTTTAATGTGGTTCATTTTTTTCTGTTTATTTACATGCCTGGTAATTTTTGATTGGCTACCAGACATCATGAATTTTATGTAATTGGATACTGAATATTTTTGTATTCCTACATATATTCTTGCACTTTTTATCTGGGACACAGTTATTTCTTGATCCTATTGTGGCTTTTATTTCTTTGATGATCACTTGGTAATGGCTTGTTCATAAGTTTTGTTAGGACCAGAATAGCCTTTAGTGTGTAGCTAATTTTTCTCCTTACTAAGACAATAATACACTTGTAAGTATTCTGAGGCTTTGTAAATACAAGATTTTTTTTTGCTTTAATGTTTAGTGAGAACACGAACTATTCTTACTGTGTGGGCGCTGACTATTGATTCTTCTGCTCCTTTCAAGTACTCTCTTCTTATCGTTGGATAGCTGCGATACATGTAGGTGGTAATCAGTACTCAGTTCAAAGCTGGAAGGGAACCCTTTGTAGACCTCTAAAGCTTTCTCACTGGACAGTGCTCATTTCTGGGTTGTTTGTTTGTTTTGCTTGTTTTTTCTCTGCCTGTGGACTGGAAACTTTCTCCACTCAGTATGCTTCGGTAATCAAAGAGCTGATCTTATGTGTTTCTCCTTATTCAGGTATCATTGCCTAGCATTCCGGTGTCTGAAAATATTATGTCACATATTTTGTTCGTGTAAGTTTGGTGTGTGTATGCATGTGTGTGTTTATTGTAGTTTTAGGCAGCATTAGTTCTTGACTAGAAGCAGAAGTTCATTTGATATCTGAATAAAAATTTTATTTAAAGATCAAAGCAAAGATAAGGTCATTGGCAGGATTAGGAATGATCTGCAGCCTAGTGTTTTTGGAACGTAATCCCTTGTTATAGGCTGGCTCTGTGCATTCTGCTGCACAAAAGGAGATAAGCAGGAAGTGGTGCTTTCTCATGGAAGTCGTTTTTTCTTTTTTCATCTTCCTACAAGTTGATTATACAAAAGATTATTTATGTAACAATTATGGAAACTTATTAACAATAACTATAATGGCTAAGTTATTGTGGATGTAAGACTGAAAAAATATCAGTACAAGCTTTTCTCTTTGCTAGGATGGATTCCCAATTATAATGATTTTATCTCTTAGTATTTGCAGAAATATTGTAATGTAAGTGGTAATTTTTCTTTTGCAGATAGACTTTATTTTTTTTACTTTATTTTCTAATAGAAATAATTTCTCTTTAGAAGATTAGTCAGGTAATTGCACGTAAGGAAATGGAAGTTGTTAATACAAAAGAATAATCTGTGCTTAAAGTTTCTGAAGTTCATGTGGATTAAGTAGATACTTTAATTGAAAACGTCTTGCTCATAATAGTCTTAATATAATCCTGATAATATGTAGGAGTTATGAAATATTTTAAAAATAATGAGATGGGAGTGCTTTGGTATAAGCTTATGATTTTCAACTTGATCAAATGAATTTGAGAATTTACTTTTTCAAGACATTTTCATGAATTTTATGTTGAAGAAATGTTTCTCTTGGCAAACTCTTGATTTATGGAGAATGATGTCTAACAGATTACCGCAGAAAGCCCCAGCTGTATGGGAACTTTGAGTGTGTAGCAGAGGGAAAGAAACTTAAAGAATATATCAGTGTGTCTTTTTAGTAATAGCACATAAGGGAGATTCCTGGAAAGTAACATTAGCAGATTGATCAGTCTAGTGGGTAGGACTTCAAACTCTTTCTAATCCAAAAAGTAGACTCATGGTTTTGAGATGCTTTTCAAATGATTTGTATAGTTACAGTACTAGGATTAAGGTATTAAGGTATATAGAGAATTAAAAGCATTATCAGTATACTGAGGCTTTTCTGTCATACATAGCTAGTTATCACTGTCTTTGTGAAAATCTTCCTAAAAGATAAAATGTAGTATTATGCTAGTGAACCAAATAATTGGTTAAAACTAATGCAAAAGTGAAATTTATGAAATGGAGAGTAACCTGAAGTGTTTCAGAGAATTTAGAGCTTGATTTTTTTTTTATTTCTAGTTGATTGCTTGGTTTCCTTTCTCAAATAAGTTTACAGAAGATGGGAGAGAGAAAGTTATGAAAGATCAGAAACCTTTAAAGTTGTTTTTTTTTAATATCAAATATACTCTATCCTTGATTATCTACATCTTGGATTATCCTAGACAATGTAAATGTTCTCTACAATGTACTTTACCATCTCTCATTGACTTGAGTTGGTATGTGACCCAGGAATACAAACTGATGTGTATGGATCTCATTAAAATATTAATTGAAAGAGAAATAGGCTGTAGTTTATATAAAGTTACTCCTTATTTAGGTGGTCCACGTCCTCAACTAAAAGAGGTGCTATTCAGAGTTTCATATGGATTCCCTCTCCCTCACCAAACTGCACACACACATATACTCTTCTCTCCAATATTGTGTGCATTAACTGTATGTGATCTTGAACATCCGCAGTAACTTTTTTTCACTTGTGATTGGATGACCATTTTCTGTAGATTTACTTTTTATTTTATCATTTTTAAAAGCAATATCTGCCATAACTTAATTTTTATATTCTTAAAGTTGAACCAGGTGAATTCACAGAGCTGAATATGGACTTGGGAGGAGGATGTGATGCCAAATCAATCAGGATTTGAGTTTTTCTTTTTCTTTGGATAAGAAGCTATTTAGTTTATTTTTAAAATTCTTTCTGGCTCTTCATTTTTACAGTTACAGGATATATAGTGGACTGAAAATTTGAAAATGAAATTAAGGAATGTTGCACCCTTGGAGTGATTATGGATTGTGACTTGGATACAGAGGAATTATATATAGCATAAAGCATGAACTAGCTGGACTTCAAATCCTAGCTGTTTAGGACAAGTTTCCAGGTGTTTCTCACCATTAGTTTCTCTATCAGTAAAATGGAAATGGTTTTACCCATCTCAGAGCTATGATTGTGAAGATCAAATAAGCAATATGCATATAAAGCATGGTACATATAAAGTATTCAATAAATATTCATGTTAGTATGATCAGCTGCCTGTGGACCCTAGTTTGCTCATTTATAAAGTAAGAAGGTTAAACTTTTAAGATTTGTATCACTATTTATTTATTTATTTGTTTTATTTTTTTGAGATGGAGTCTCACTCTGTTGCCCAGGCTGGAGTGCAGTGGTGTGATTTCAGCTCACTGCAACCTCTGCCTCATGGGTTCAAGCGATTTGCATGCCTAAGCCTCCCAAGTAGCTGGGATTACAGGCACATGCCACCAGGCCCAGCTAGTTTGTGTTTTTCAGTAGAGATGGGGTTTCACCATGTTGGCCAGGAACTCCTGGCCTCAAGTGATCCACCCACTTTGGCCTCCCAAAGTGCTGGGATTACAGGCGTAAGCCACCGTGCCTGCCCTGTATCACTATTTATATAAATATATTTAAAATTTTATAGCTTTTCATGGTGAGTTAAAAGTATATATACACTATATACTTTAGATGTCATATAATCTACTTAATTTTACAGATGAAGAAATAAGCCCAGAGACTCCTTGCCCAAGGTCACAAATCTAGGTAGTAGTAGAGTCAAGTGGAAACAGATTTTTTAAAGAGATGTTTTAAAGATATTATACTCTTTTCCTTTTATAATATTATCAACATTATTTATTGAGTCTGCACTGTATACATGACACTGTATTTGGTACTTGTAGTGAGGGAATAACACAGGAAGCAGTATGCAAATTAACATAAAAGGTGGCGCTTCTTACCTTACTGAAGTTACCTTTCTGATATGAGGTAACTCAGTATTTTACTCAGTTTGCACATTTTATTTCCTTACTTGATTGTCTTTGGGGAAATATGATATTCTACCTCTCCTAAAGAGGAGAATTTACTGGGAAAACTTGGGTTTTAATAAAAATGGTTTCATGAGAATGCCACAGTTCCTGAGTGTACTATTTTTATATATGGCCTAACATCAGAAGAAAATTAGTAAAAATAGCTAGATAATTTTTGAAGTATCAACCTTGAGGATTAAATGTTACTTTCTTTTTTCACCTTAGGGCACAGTCAGTGGTGTGCTGCTAGTTACACCAAATAATATAATGTTTGATCCACATAAAAATGACCCTTTGGTTCAAGAGAATGGCTGTGAGGAATATGGCATCATGTGTCCAATGGAAGAGGTGATGTCAGCTGCAATGTACAAAGAAATTTTGGATAGCAAAATAAAGGAATCTTTACCCATGTAAGAGTGATATTTATATTCCTTTGCAACTTTATTGTATCTAGATAGTTGACCCTTGTCTAATACCTTAACTATTTTTACTAGTTTTCTTATAGCTGCCTTTTATTTTGTCAATAATGAAACGAAAATATATGCATTATTGAGAAGATTATTCTTAATTTGCACCTGGGATAGTTATGAATTATCTTAGATTTGTATTTGTGTATGTGGTCAGAGAACCAGATATTTGAAAAGTAACCTATAGTGCCCATTTAATTCAGTGTTTACCAGCCTTTTTATTCAGACACAGCTTCCAGTCTTCTAAATTACCCCTGTGAGCAATCACTGTTGGGATAATTTTCAAATTTCCCTTGGAAGTGACTGAAGAGCTGTGATTTGAGAGAGGCCACATGAGCAAAGAGCTGACATTGCTGTGGGCAAGACAGCTTTTTTTTTTTTAATTGATTGATTTATATGTTTGCAATCTTCTCTCCCAGTATAAAATACAGTGTAAAGTACAGGGAAGAAAACCCACAACTTGCTCAAATATAAAGAGTTAACTTTGGAATATACTGGTCAGAGGATTTGTGTGATATGTTAAGATAGCTGTGAGACTACAGTTTGGACACAGCTTTTGAAAGTAATATGCTTGTCCAAAGTAATGGCCAGAAAGAAAAGGAGGAATGGGAAATAAAAGGAGAAAAAGATAAAAGATAGGTATAAAAAGAAAGGAAGGAGAAGTAGCAAGGAAGGAAATTGATATGTACTAGGAAATAACCTCCTCATTCCTTCATACATGACTACCAACATTTTAAAATTGTCTTCACTTTAACTGATACTGATATTTATATCCCTGTATTAGCCCACAGGAATGATAGCTGTTTTAAAATTAACCCTTGTGGGGCAGAGCAACTTACAAAGGAAAAAAGGGACAAATTATTTTTGTTTCTGAGGAAGACTAAATGAATTGGTAGAATATCTGTGACAGAATAAAATCCTTTGCTCAAAAGTCTCCACTGTACCTTCCACCCAACAGATATTATTTTGACTTGGTAGACTAATCTTTAGAGCTGCAGATAATTCCTAGAAGGTGTTAGTATCCTCTGTATTAGTTATATTTGTAGATCATCATCCAAGGCCAGTTTCAGCAAATAAGGATTATTGGGAGGTGGATAATGGGATGAGACAAAGGTAAAAGAGTGAAGGATTACATTCAAAGAAGAGGAAGGATATATACATATATGGAGAGAGAGAGAGAGAGAGTCATTGGTGAGATTCTGTTGTCCTCCTTTTCTTTCTTTTTCTTTTTCTTTCTTTCTTCTTCTTTTTTTTTTTTTTTTTTTTTTTTTTTTTTTGAGATGGAGTCTCGCTCTATCACCCAGGCTGGAATGCAATAGCACGATCTGCAACATCCACCTCCTGGGTTCAAGCGGTTCTCCTGCCTTAGCCTTCCGAGTAGCTGAGAATACAGACACCTGCCACCACATCTGGCTAATTTTTGTATTTTTAGTAGAGACGGGGTTTCATCATGTTGGCCAGGTTGGTCTCGAACCCCTGACCTCAAGTGATACACTGGCGTAGGCCTGCCAAAGTGCTGAGATTATAGGTGTGAGCCACGATGCCTGGCTTTGTCCTTTTCCATTTGCAATATGGTACTTTGGGGTTCTCTTATTCTGAACAATCCATCACTGTTCTACAAGGATGCTGTATAGCTCTTCCCTTTCAAATCACTGTTTTGTCATTCATTGTCAGCTGGAAAGTGTCACCTGGATTTAAATATTTAAAGATATTTCTTCAGAAAGAAATATCTTTAAATTCTGCCTTATGGATTGATTAAAAACAATATTTGGCACAAAATTAGATAAATAAAACAAATGTATGCCAAAAATGAGGTATAAGATTTGATTGCTTTTCTTCTGTCTTATGCTCCTTGGGAGGTTGATTTCAAAGGTATTATTATGGTATTACATTCAACAGTAGTAACATCATTGACATAAATGTTTAGCCTTTCAGCATATTAAATCTGAAGAGTATAGCACTTTTCTAAATATATATCCTGTCACGTTTGTTATGTTTATCTCTTACCTAAGGGTCTTCTAATTCTTTAAATGTACAGATAAAATTTCTCAAAACTTTTGCCCGGTTCCAACACCCTATAGATGCAGTATGAGTGCATCACCAGTAGATGACACTATTGTATATTTAATAACAAACTAGATTCTTGTTTTTTTAAGATGAATCAGATACAAAGGCAGCAGAGATATTGACTTCAACTAATTAATACTTCAAAAATTTATCCATCCTAGTTATAGAAATTATGCATACTTGTTGCAGAAAAATTGGAAAATACTGAAAAGCGGAACAAGACAAAGAGTTACCCAGCTTCACCATTCAGAGATAGCCAATTATTTTTGTGTTGACTTACTTTACAATCTTTCCTTTTCAGCATATTTTACATGGTTCTCAAACTATGTATGTATAAATGTTAATGCTTTTTTCATTAAGAACTCATATAATTTTCATTTATCACAGACTTCTTGTAACCATCATTTTAAATTAGCAACTTACATTTCATGGTATAGAGGTTTACACTCCCTCTTTCCAGAACTTAACTTTTGAACATTAGTGTTTACATATACAAATGTCATTAAATCTGAAAGTCTAGACCCAGTTATGAACCATTCATTTGTCTAGTATCTAAACTTTTCACCTGAACAAGTTCTCTTAGAGGTATTAAAGAGTATAGTTGTTAGCCTGAAGATTTTCTCTATATACTTTTGCTTGAGTTTTATTCAGATTGGTTTTAAGCCTTACATTTGAGCCATATATTTTAATTTAAGCTCTATTTGAATGTAAATAAGCACTGTGTGTGTGTGTATATCTATGGAAATCAGTTTATTTTTACTTTATTGGGAGATTTAAAATTTTAATTAAACATTTCTCTGTGTTTATTTTCCATATTCCATCAGTGAGTAAATTTTAGTTTAGAATTACAGCTTTACCCAGGGTTTATGTCATCAAGTTCCCTTCAAGTGGATTACTTGCAAGGAAATCTTACTTTGATATTTCCTAAATATTAAGCAATTGATATAAAAGTTTGACTTAATTACTTGATTTATAGAATTACTTGGTCTATAAGGTTAATTATTTGGTCATATTGAATAAATCAGATTTTTTATATTCTTTGGAGATACGTGCTACATCCTTTTGTTAAAAAGTCTTTTTAGTGATACTAATTCTGTGTTCAGTGTGTGAAAAGTAAAATACCACAATTTTAAAAGTCTAATTATTTTTAATTTTGTTTAATGACAGAGATATAGATCAGCTATCAGGAAGGGACTTCTGCCATTCAAAGAAAATGACAGGAAGTAACACTGAGGAAATAGACTCAAGAATCCGAGATGCAGGTAATGATAGTGCCAGCACTGCTCCTAGGAGCACTGAGGAGTCTCTTTCTGAAGATGTGTTCACAGAATCAGAACTTTCCCCTATACGAGAGGAGCTTGTATCTTCAGATGAACTGCGACAAGATAAATCTTCTGGTGCGTCATCAGAATCTGTGCAAACTGTCAATCAGGCTGAAGTAGAAAGTCTGACAGTCAAATCAGAATCTACTGGTACTCCTGGTCACTTAAGATCTGATACTGAACATTCTACAAATGAAGTTGGGACTTTATGTCATAAAACTGATTTAAATAATCTTGAAATGGCCATTAAGGAAGATCAGATTGCAGATAACTTTCAAGGAATATCAGGTCCTAAAGAAGACAGCACAAGTATAAAAGGTAATTCAGACCAGGATTCTTTTCTTCATGAGAATTCGTTACACCAAGAAGAGAGTCAAAAAGAAAATATGCCTTGTGGGGAAACAGCAGAATTTAAACAAAAGCAAAGTGTTAACAAAGGAAAACAAGGAAAGGAGCAAAATCAGGACTCACAGACAGAGGCAGAAGAGCTACGCAAACTTTGGAAAACCCATACTATGCAACAAACTAAACAGCAAAGGGAAAATATTCAACAAGTGTCACAAAAAGAAGCTAAGCATAAAATTACATCTGCTGATGGACACATAGAAAGTAAGTGTTATAGAGTAAATGAAGTTAGTTCATCCAATTGTATGGTGTCTCCGTCTTTCCTCACTGACTCAAAAGCCGCTGTACCTTAGGGCAACCTGAAGGATAAGTGAGTGACCCTTGACCGGTGATTCTCTGGGGACAAGTATATACAGTCTCCAGTGTCTACTGTCTTTTCTTATCCCACAGGTGGATTGTACACATAATGAGCATCATTGCTACCCACCATGTTTAAACATTCTTGGCTCACTACATCGTATCATTAAACAATTTATTTCTTGAGAAATTGCACAAAAGCTGTATAATACCTTTGATCACTCCATTTTCTCTTAAAAAGTTTTTGGTGTGTTACCATTAAAAATGTCTTTTTTCATATATAACATTTTAATTGCCAAAGTTGTAATCCCATCTTTTATAAAATGTACAGTTAAACCTAAAAGTGTACTTACAGAATTCTTCCACGTATCGAGAAGTTTCATCATCATCATCTAATTATTTTCTTTTAAAAACCTGCCCTCAGGACAAATAAAAACACTATTTTATCTGTCAGTTTTCTGGTACTGTTTACTTCTGAAAATTACACTATTTTCAGTCTTTTATTTCTAATATACTGTGCTTCTGTTAATAAATTATGGGTTAAATGGGGTATAACAACTAACTTAGCTAACATTTCTGATATTCTATTAGAATGTTTATCCCAGACTAGTCCATTCACATGTGAACTTTTCTTTCATTTTTTAAATTCAAAGATTTTTGTTTTGCTGTAATACATAAAATAAAATTTACCATTTAACTTTTTAAAATTATGGTAAAATGTAACGTAAATATATTATTTGAAGCATTTTTATATCTACAATGCAGTGGCATTAGTACATTCACATTGTTATGCAGATCATCACTACTGTCCATTTCCAGAGCTTTTTTCATCTTCTAAAACTGAAACTCTGTACCCCTTAAACAATAAGTTGGCCAGGCATGGTGGCTCACTCCTGTAATCCTATCACTTTGGGAGGCTGAGGCAGGCAGATTGCTTGAACCTAGGAGTTGGAGAACAGCTTGGGCACCATGGCAAAACCCTGTTTCTACAAAAAAAAATTACAAAAATTCGTCAGACATGGTGATGGTGCACACCTGTAGGCCCAACTACTCGGGAGACTAAGATGGGAGAATTGATTGAACCCAGGAGGTCGAGGCTGCTATGAGCCATGATCATGCCACTGCACTCCAGCCTGAGCAACAGAGCAAGATGCTGTCTCAAACAAAAAAATAAAAAACAAAAACCAGTAACTTGCTTTTCTCCCTTCCTCATAGCTTTTGGCAACCAACATTCTACTTTGTTTCTGAATTTAACTACTCTAGATACTTCATGTGAGTGGAGTCATACAATATTTATCCATTGATGTTTGGCTTATTTCACTTGACATAATGCCTTCAAAGTTCATTTATTCTGTAATATGTGTCAGAATTTCCTATCTTTTTAAGGCTGAATAATATTCCATTGTATGTGTGTACATTTTGTCTGTTCATTTGTTGCTGGACATTTTGGTTGTTTCAACCTTTTGGCTATTGTGAATAATGCTGCTTTGAACATTAGTGTACAAATATCTGTTTGAATCCCTCCTTTGAGTTTTTTTTGGGTATATTCCCAGAGTGGAATTCTGGATCATGTGGTAACTCTATGTTTAATTTCTTGAGGAACCTCCGTACTGTTTTCCATAGTGGCTGCACCATTTTACCTTCCCTGCGGCAGTACACAAGATTTGGGTCAGTTTTTAAAATACCGAATTTTCTTTTCATCATGCAGTTGAGATATCCTGAAGACCTAAGGGCTGTGTTCAGTAGATATTAAAATAATTCATATATTAATACTTGAACCAAGTTCTATAAAAGATTTAATATTTTTCTTCTGTAATATTTTTTTAATTCAAAACTAATGCATGTTCAGTAAAGAACATTTGGCAAACATAGGAAGATTCTAGAAAATTTATAAAAATCTTCTGGAATTCATCACCCAGAGATGATCATTGTTAACATTCAATATATCTGTCTTTCTTATAGAACAAAATCATATGTGTTAATTTGTTATTTACATCAAATCAAGATTATACTATACTGTTGTATCCTGCTTTTTTATGTCATGAACCTTTTCCTATGTGATTACAGTTCTTTGAAAACATGGCTTTAAAGGCCCTAAAATTTATTTAACCATTTGCTTATTAAGACATCCAGTTGTTATTAACGATCTGTATTGTTAAGACATTTTAAAGAATGCTGCCCAGCATTCTTCAAAACATCAAAGACAGAAAATGCATCTGATAGTTATCTTATATTTTGAAGATCTTTGACTGCATCTTTGACTACATCTGATAGTTACCTTATATTATAAAACCTTTGAAAAAGATAAAATAATCTGTTTAAGCTGATGATGTGGTGGACCAATTTTGTTGTGGGGGTTGGGGGTTTAATGGGGTTAGGGGAGGTTATTATAACCAAATATTAAAAGGACAAAAATTGATAGATGTTTTTAAACAGTCATCTCTAAACTGTTACCATTTGGTTTCTTCTTTTTTTGGAATAATTAGTTTTAAGTAATTTTAAGTTACTTAATATTCTGTAATAGAGAAATATTCAAACTTTCTGATCTTTATGACTTTATAATAAAATTATGTAATAAATATAAAAGTGTCTAGTCCAATTATGAGAAGAATGGTGAAAGCTCATCGTTTTAACCACATGAAAATAGTGGGGTTCCCATAGATTATCTACCTTGTGTAATACTGCACAGAAAAAGCCATGATGAGTACCCAGGTCTCCTGACTATAAGTGCTATTTCCTCCAGTGTGCTGCCTTGGTAAGCTAATCAATGTCTGGGTTCCTAAATTCACCTATATATTCAGACCCTCAGTATACTCTATCAGCACCTCTGGTTGAAAGAGTTAGAACTAATTCGTTCTTAATTAACTGTCCAAACAGGTGGCAGAATCTAACATATTATTGACTGTTTTATTACAATTTTGTATACATGTAAAAGCATTAGAAACTTCATTAAATTTTTGTCTGAAACAACCATGTTAAGTATACCTTTAAAACTTCTACAGTTATTTAGATGTCATTCAAAAAGACTGATAGAGAATATGTAGAAAATTATATATATATTATGTGTGTGTATATATATATGATTGCTTTAGTATGGGTGTTGAAAATGTAACAATGTTTCTGAAACTTTTACTTTTTTTCTTAATGTCCTTAGACATAATTTTTATTCATTAACTTGGCTCTTTTGTTAAGTTTAGTCATGTTGTATCTGTGACTTTACCTTTGAAGGAAAAAAAATATAAATTAAGAAAATGTACTTTAGCACCACTAAAGTGAGGTTTTATTCTGTAACTATTTGTCAGAATTTTGAAGGTAAAGTTAACTAAACTACCTAAACTTGGTGTGTGAGAATTGAATAAACACTGTTTGCATCTCAATTCTAGGTTCTGCACTTTTAAAAGAAAAGCAAAGGCATCGATTACATAAGTTCTTGTGTCTCAGAGTTGGAAAACCAATGAGGAAAACGTTTGTATCTCAAGCAAGTGCTACAATGCAACAGTATGCACAGAGAGATAAGAAACATGAATATTGGTTTGCTGTGCCACAAGAAAGGTAAAAAACCCATACGACACCTTGAGAGCATTATTGAGATTCTTTGAACTAAAATTATTTTGTGTGTCAAAATACCAATGATAAACTATTGAAACATAGTTTATGATTAAAAGCAGACAATAAGTCTATTTGAAACCATTTTGCCCCTACTTTATAATTTGCCCCATTTTTAATTGCATTCCCTTTTGTAGTTTATTATTTAAAAATGTGAACAAATATCCAATTTGGGTAGTAAAGAGACTTAAGATACCTTGGAGCAAGAAGATTCATCAAAATATTATTTGATATAGCTCCTTCCTGAAGGCAGCTAATGGTGTATAATTCCTTTATATTAAAAATTCTTCAAATATTCATTAAATATCTTCTATATACGTGACACTAAATTAGCTACTAAAAGGATGTAGTGGTCTTCACAATATTTGTGTGTACCCTTTGCACAATTAGATTTTTCATCATAAGTTTTAAGCGGTTGTAAAAGATGTCTATTGTACTATCTTGTCAATTTTTACATTTTAAGTAAATAGTGTTACTTATACCCAGTAGAACTGAAACATTATAACAACTTTCCCTGTACTATTATTCACTTAAAATTACTTTAACAGTTAGACATTGCATCATTACTTTTTCTCTTTAAACTTCTATTTCCATAATACCACCTCACACAAACTCATTACAACGTACTATATTTTTATCCCCATTATAGTTCTTTGCAACAAACTACATATACTTAACACATTTACATATCTGTGTGTGTATATTGAAATTGCATTTATTTTAACATTTTCTGTGACTTTTGTAAAAACAGTAAAGGGTTTAAGGTTTTAGGCTACCTGCAAGCCAACAACTTAGTCTGCCTCCATTTGGTGCATGCTGGGAGAAAGCACAAACATCTGTACAACAGCAGTAATCAGAACATCAGCAATTGTGTGATTTCTCTGTACCTCCTTTCCTACAAAGGATGTGAAAAAGGCCAAGTGACAGCTGCACATACCTGGGGTTATTTTACAGAAGAGGAACCATAAGTTTAGGGAACCTGAATTTTTATAACAGACAGTAAGCATGGTTACCCTTTGCTAGACAGTAAGATACTATCTCTACTTCTAAGATAATGCTACACTAACATACTTGAAAAGATACTGCTGAGCAAAGGTATTACACATAAAAAGTAAAATATCATAGGAAATGCCTGTCTTAAGGAGATAGATAGACCTTTCCTATATCCATTGATAGATTAATATGTTTCATTGAAAGGATGAGATAGGACTCAGCATCAGTTCTGCCTCTCCCTTTTATTTTTCTTTATAAGTACTGAGAAGCTTTGTTCATAGAAAAGTCAGTGAGACTGAAGAGAGTTTCATTTTAATAATGTCATTCAATTATTTAAACTTGTTTCTATATAATTCCAAAAATTAATCATTTTTGTCACAATATTTTTAGTGATCATCAGTGGACAACTCCATTGAAAACTCCTTCAGTTTTGCGGAAATCAATTAATGAGAAACAACCTGACATACAGAAGGACTTATTACCCAGTCTTTATAATCATTTCCTGTCTCAACACCAATCTTGGGCAGCCTAAAAGTTTTTATACTGTAGGGCATATCCCATTGTAAATTCTGAGTAGGTGAAGATATGCCCTTCTTTTATAAATTAGAAAAAGTGCTTTAGTGAAAGCAGATAACAGGAAATCTGTAAAATATCTTGACCATACTGTTTTTAGGCAGATTATTATGAGCAAAGAGTAACATATGGAAATTGGAGATACGCGAATTGATTCCCTTAGCACCATCTTACACGTTTGTGTACCTCTTGGAAAATCTTTATATGTTGCTTTGGAAGACTACAGCTTTTAGGCATAAAATGATAATGCTCTTTTCCCTTTTCCCACTCCACCATATATAGAGTAAGTACAATGTGTGTCTTCCACAACATTGGCTTAATCTTAAAATATGATTTGCATAATTGATGAATACCTGAAAGGGACAGAGCCTGATATTCAAACGTTCCAGTGATGTTGAAATCACTACAATGAGAAATGTAACTATATTTAGTTAAAATGGACATAAAAATTTAGTTTTTCTCATTATTCTTGGTTTTAATGTTTACATGGAATTCCCTATTTTAATATTCATTCTTTTATCTTGGTTAATATTCATTACAAATTAGTATTATTAGGATTCTGATCTTTATTGTAGACATAAAACTTAGGAAAACTGCTGCATAGATAGTGAGAAATTGATAAAAAGGTAAGATGTTACATTGAAAGATAAAATGTAGCACCTTTTAAATATGTTAGCTGCCACGTAAAGAATGGCAATTTTAAAAATCATTATATTGAAAATATAATTTCTAGAACCATGGTTATTAACTGGTATATGTTAGCTGAAAGTTATATAATCAATTTTCAAAAACATGTTAATTAAAACCAATAAAACGTAGATATTTGAAATGTGTGTGTGACTCTCAAATACATTTATCAGGGAATGTAACAACTGGCTTTAGTGTAGTAAACAAAACATTGAAAAGGGGAACCTGAGATTTCTAAGATTAGATCATCTGTCTCTCAACACTGTATGTTCCTAGTATCATTTAAAATTTAAGGACATTACATTTCTATTAACTTGGAAAATTGTATATAATGTCTCAAAATAGGCCATTAATAAATTGTTTACTTGTATTTTAGATCATTAGATTATTGTAGGAATGAGGTCAAAGTTGTGTATCTAATTTCCTTTTCCATCACTAGTGTCTTTAAAGAAGAAAAGCTTTATAATATACAACATCTGAACTAGTCAAACACATGCCAAGGAAAATCTTAATTTGGTTTTCTAAAGAACAACCTGACAGAATATAGCCAAATAAAATGTTTAAGTTAATGCCTTCCTGATAGTAGACCTTTTATATTAATATAAAACAATATATTTTGTGTATATTTTAAGTCTTCAAGATTTATCAAGATATTTTACAAATATAATTTTTTAATTCTGGCAGCACAGAATACTAGGTATATTAATAGTCACTTCTCCTAACAGGACAGATCACTTGTATGCCTTCTTCATTCAGTGGAGTCCAGAAATATATGCAGAAGATACTGGCGAATATACCAGAGAACCTGGATTTATAGTAGTAAAAAAGATTGAGGAGTCTGAAACAATTGAGGATTCTAGTAATCAAGCAGCAGCCAGAGAATGGGAGGTAAGGAGAAAAATATGAAGATTTTAGTCATCTTTTTAGTTTGTATGAATTTATAGCTTTATGGTAGTACAAAGTATAAGTGATGTTTCCACAAAAGAGGAATTTTTTTAAAGGTCAGGTTCACTATCCGTGTTTATTTGTGGTTATTGAATGAATCTGAATAGTGACTTTAATACTATATTTGTCATTCTGCTTTTGCTTTAAAATACTAGAAAACCCACTAGCAATAAAATGACTTTTATTGAGTGTCTTATAGAATATTTAGTTTAGGAAAGATTAACATTATGGCAAAGAAGGAAATAATTTTAATTTTGCTGTTATATTAATTTTCATAAAACATCGATTTCACATCTGATTTGTTTTAATTTCATCTCCTCCATGGAGGAGGTACGGCAGTCATTTAACACATCTGTGCATAGTATTTGCATAGCATCTATACAAATTACTACTCCTTTCTATGTTTCAGACCTAAGCATTATCTTGACTTAAATTTTTCAATAATAATTTTAAGGAAATAAGCAGGTGCTAATTTTATAAAGTAGTAGAAATTTTATATGCTCAGATTTACTGAACTTGTTTAAATGGTCAAAGTTATACTAACAAACTTTTTGTAACTCCTCTTAGATATATCTTAAGATTACATATTACCTTTTACATGCTTTGTCTTATAAGGTTGGTAGGGTGGCAATATCTGTTGGTGTTGCCTAGATTAGTCTCTTCTTGATGCATTAGAAAATGTAGAGCAGATGCTAAAATGTTATAATAAATGTAATCAAATTTTTTTATTCATTGGGTGTTAATGTTTGTGGCTGTTAATGTGATATGAATGTATCTTGCATGCACTTAACATGTATAGTAATTGAAGGTATACATGGCTTGTCTTTTGTTTAAAATGCAAACTGATTTGGAATGTGTCTAATGTCATTCTGTGTAGTATATACAGCATCAGTTTCTACTGTGACTCCAATATAAGGGAGGGAAAGAAGAACATATCGACCATGTATTTTGGGTTATTTTAATACTTAAACCAACATTATCAATCTTCATACCAGCTTTATTCATAATGGCCCCAAATTGGAAAGTCTCATTAGCAGGAGAATGGATGAATACATTTTTGAATACTTACAGAATTCCAAATAACAATAAAAAAGATCTACTGGTACAGGCAATGACATGGATGAATTTTACAAATAATATGTTGAGTAAAAGAAGCCTGACACAAATGAACATATACTATGTAATTTCATTTACACGAAGTTCAAAAGGGCAAAACTAGTCAGAAATCCATCACACTACTTGATACTGGGCTGTGACAGGGTGGCTCAGGGACAGGAGGGAACTTTATTGCGTTCTGGGGATGTTCTATATGTTACTCTCAGTGGTGGTTACTTGGGTGATTACATATGTAAAATATATATAATATATATAATACGTATATAATATATATATGTATCTTATATATATATATATTATATACATCTATGTCCCTGAGCTGTGTTTTTAAGATTAGCTTTAGAAGGTACTTAAAATAGCCCAGGTGATCAAAGATACGTACCTAACTAAGGCAGCAACAGTTGAAGGTAGAGTGGAAGGTGATGAAATAAAGCTAGAAGAAAAGGTATTAGCTAGCTAATTACACAGGATTCAGTGACAACCTGGTAACCATAAAGTTATCTCCAGCTTGGGTGGCACGGTGGATGGCAGAATTGTCAGTCATGAACGGGAATTGAGAGCTTTCTCTCCATTGGGGTTGGAGTACTTAACTTTGGAAATAAGAGACTATTGACTATTTTGATTCAAAGGAACTGTCTCAGTTTCTGTGCAAGACTCTGCAGGGTATAATTTCTAAAGGAAAAATAAATCTCCTCACCAGTCCTTTGACCGGAATTGGTGCAGTTCAAAAGAAAATGGAAGAGAAAAAAATAATTTTGGAAACTCCTTGCTACATTGTCTGAAAATATTACCGCAGTATCCAGTATAGCAGCACTAGCCATATGTGGCTATTGAGTACTTGAAATTCATGTAATGCCACTAAGGGACTGCATTTTTAGTTTTAATTATTAATTAAAAACCGATACTTGGTTCCATTATTGGACAATTTTTAAATATATTAGGAATAACTTAGATATATGATCTACTTTTTCAACTGTAAATTTCATGAAATCTAAATATGATCTAAATCAGTCTAAATCTAATTAAGGTCAAGTATTTCCTATGAAAATTTAGTGCCTGAATTGAGATGTGCTGTAGTGTAAAATATTCTACTTCCTATAGCCACTAGCCACATGTAACCATTGAGCATTTAAAATGTGGCCAATCTCAATTGAAATGAGCTGTAGTATAAAATACACACTGGAGGCCGGGCGCGGTGGCTCACGCCTGTAATCCCAGCACTTTGGGAGGCCGAGGCGGGTGGATCATGAGGTCAGGAGATCGAGACCATCCTGGCTAACAAGGTGAAACCCCGTCTCTACTAAAAATACAAAAAATTAGCCGGGCGCGGTGGTGGGTGCCTGTAGTCCCAGCTACTCGGGAGGCTGAGGCAGGAGAATGGCGTGAACCCGGGAAGCGGAGCTTGCAGTGAGCCGAGATTGCGCCACTGCAGTCCGCAGTCCGGCCTGGGCGACAGAGCGAGACTCCGTCTCAAAAAAAAAAAAAAAAAAAAAAAAAAAAAAATACACACTGGATTTTAATGACTTAGAATGGAAAGAAAAAAGAATGTAAACATCTTGTTTGTTTATACTGATTAATATTGAAGTGATAATATTTTGAATACATTAGGTTAAATAAACTATATTAATACAATTAATTTCACTTTTTTAATGTGGTGTCTAGAAAATTTACAATTGTAATGTATCTTACATTATATTGCTCTTGTGCAGTGCAGGTCTATGCCTCATGGATACTAAGTGCCTAAAAAAATGTTTGTTAAACTAGGGAGGCCGAGGGTAACAAATAAAAAATGTTAAACTAGGGTGGATCACGAGGTCAGGAGTTTGAGACCAGCCTGGCCAATATGGTAAAACCCTGTCTCTACTAAAAATACAAAAATTAGCTGGACGTGGTAGCACACGCCTGTAGTCCCAGTTGCTCGGGAGGCTGAGGCAGGAGAATCACTTGAACCTGGGAGGCGGAGATTGCAGTGAGCCAAGATCACACCACTGCACTCCAGCCTGGGCAACAGAGTGAGACTCCATCTCAAAAAAAATAAATAAATAAAATAAAAATGTTTGTTAAACTAATGAGTACTCATTTAAGTGAAAGAGTAATTTTAAATGTTAACATGATTTATTTTAAAACAGGAAGAATTTGGCTAAAGCCCTTATATAAAACAGTAGTACTTCAGAATGTGCCGTGATGTTTTTTATTTTTTTGTTCTACAAAGGAATGGAGAATAGGTGTCCTAGAATTTAGGATGAACTTGTTATGGCTACCAACTTGGGCATCAGTTAGATTTAAACTAACACCTCTACTCACTGTTATTCTGCTTTAGTGATACTTAAAAAAGATCTTTATTATCCCTGACTGTTACTCAAGCAGAAATATATTGCTAGCCAGAAATGTATACATTGACTGGGGAAGTTTGTATATGATAAATTTGGTAAACTTATTGTTTGCTTTTTTCTCCCTTTCCCTATGTAAGTGTCATAAGGCAGGGATTTGTCAATTTCATACACTATTATATCTTCAGAACTAAGAATTGTATAGGCATATAGTTCATTCTCAATATTTATTAATGGATAAACTTGGGCGTAGATTAAAATTAAGGTATAAAGCTTCTAATCTTTCAAGATTGCTCTATTTCCTGAAATAAGTTCTTACATCAGTTGTAGTAAATATTTTCATAAAGCCATAGATTCTGGACATTTTAACTAATAGTCCACAGTCTGTCATTTACATTTTTTTTTGTTCTGTTTAAACATATTCAGTGAAAGGGAATTTGTTACCTCAAAGGGCAATACTTTACATTTTAGGACAGCTCTGTTAGAAAGTTATTTGTTACAATAAGCTTAAGGAAACATATCTTTGTAAATTGGATTCATTTATCTTTATTCTGTCTTCCAATGCAAGTCAATAACAACAAGAAACATTTTCTATTTACTGCGATAGTGTGAAAATGTTTGTCTTCCCTTTTAATCTTGTTTCAGAATTATTTTTTCCAGTACTTCAACTGTTTAACTTTATGAACTCTATTCAGATCTTATTCATATCAGTACCCTAAAATATGTTAAAAGAGTTCATAAACTATGGCACCCCAAATTACTAAAATGTACACTTGGGATAGCAGGAAAAATTCCGTAATATTTTTAAAAATTTTAATTTCCAAATATGAACATTGAAGACCAGTCCTATTGAAGACAGACAGAAACATATATTTACTAAGAAAAAGAAAATTTAGCCAAATTTTAAGGTGGTCAGGAGTAAAAGTTCCTAATGATAAATCAGTTCCTAAGTATTTGGATAAAGGATCTGAGAAATACTATTCTTACTGCTCACGATGTGTAAAGGACTGAATTTCCTCTTTTTGTAGTGTTACTTTGTATGCCACATGATAAAGAGTACTTTGGTGTGGGTCGGGCGTGGTGGCTCACGCCTGTAATCCCAGCACTTTGGGAGGCCGAGACAGGTGGATCACGAGGTCAGGAGATCGAGACCATCCTGGCTAACATGGTGAAACCCCGTCTCTACTAAAAATACAAAAAATTAGCCGGGCGTGGTGGCGGGCGCTTCTTGTTGTAGCTACTCGGGAGGCTGAGGCAGGAGAATGGCGTGAACCTGGGAGGTGGAGCGTGCAGTGAGCCAAGATCATGCCACTGCACTGCAGCCTGGGCGACAGAGCGAGACTCCACCTCAAAAAAAAAAAAAAGGAGCTATGCCTGAATTAATTGCGTCAACATGGCTGCTATTGATAAGAAAGCATGTTTTTAAACAATCAAGGCACAAAATGATTAAGGAAACCTTTCTTCATAGTGAACCAAACTTATGTTTTTGGTGTGATACCCAAATAAAAGAAATATGCATTATGAGTCTTGCTTTTGGGGATCTGATAACCTTATTTGATAACTGAGAAGGAACTACTTATTACAGTCTTTCCCCTGATTTCTGCCGGTATTCAACACAGGAAGTCAATAAGTATATCCAGTGTTGTGAGGATACTGTTTGATGTGGGGCTTTGCAGTTCTGTGATAAATATTACTTTCTGTTTTTTGATACAGATTTTTTATGCCTTTTCACTGAAAAGGGAAGTGCTCTAATGGCATTTTAACAAATTGTCAGGCAAGTCCTGAGGTGAAGATGAGGCAGAATGCCTATTGACATCTGCTATTTCGTGATGATCGCACTTTTGTTCAATAAATATACAAAAATAAAAGATTAATAGTAAAACAAATTCACATGTGCCATTCAGCTTCATCAGCTTATTTCTTCTGTGTCCCTCCTTTTCTCCAATTGTTCATAGTTATTCAAATGTCATAAAAATATTTAGAATACATGTAATATGTACAGTATGTATTTTTACAATTTGTTTTTTGAGTCATGATCCAACTAAGTTCTCAAATGCTGCAGTTAGTTAAAATATCTCTTAAGTCTCTCTAAATGTAGGTTCCTCCTCCATTGCTTTGCTTTGCTTTTTTATTTCAGTTTTTAAGAAATCAGATTTTTTTTCTGTAGAATGTCACACAGTCTGGAATATGCTGTTTGCATCCCCATAGTGTCTGTTAACATGTTATTCTACCACTTGAATGATTGATAGATCTAGAGCAATACACTTAAGTATAGATTATCATCTTTATTTTACAGATAATTTCTTTGTATTTTTTTATTTATTTTATTTTTTTTGAGATGGAGTCTCCGTCTGTCGCTCAGGCTGGAGTGCAGTGGCGTCATCTTGGCTCACTGCAAGCTCCGCCTCCTGGATTCACGCCATTCTCCTGCCTCAGCTTCCCGAGCAGCTGGGACTACAGGCGCCCGCCACCACGCCCGGCTAATTTTTTTGTATTTTTAGTAGAGACGGAGTTTCATCGTGTTAGCTAGGATGGTCTCAATCTCCTGCCCTCATGATCCGCCTGCCTTGGCCTCCCAAAGTGCTGGGATTACAGGCGTGAGCCACCGTGTCTGGCCCAGATAATTTCTTTAAGCTGGTTTTTTATTTGGCTAAAATTCTCTTAGTGGTTAATCTCTAATTCAGAGCCTATACCTTTTCCACCATACCAAGTACTCAACTTTGGCGGAACCTTTGCATCATGATGGGGAGCTTTCAAACATATCATTGCCAAGGTCACAAATCAGACCAATTAAATCAGAATAATTGGGGCTAGGACCTAGTTATCAGTGTTGTTTAAAGCTACCTAGGTAGTTACATTGTGCAGTCAAGGTGCGAAAACTAGTATACCACCATGCCACAACTTCAGGTGTTGTGTTAAACATATACAATATTAAGACTGTGGAAGACTCTTTAGACTATATTGATTATAATATAGATCAGCTTTTGAGTTCCTGTCATGCAAGTTATATGAAATACTTTTCATATTCCTTTCATCTGGGCTGCTGCATCAAAAACATAAATTTGGTTCACTATGGAAAAAGGTTTGTTTAATCATTTTGTGCCTTGATTTTTAAGAAAACATATTTTCTCCTCAGTAACAGCCATGCAGATACAATTGATGTTGTCATAGCTCCCTTACATACCACAGGACTTCCATCATGTTGTGTACTCAGAGATACTACAAGGAGAGGAAGATCAAAAAACATACCAGGCTGTAAGTCAATGATCTTTGAACTTTGTCTTCTTCAACTTTGTCCATCAAATACCCTTTAAAATTTAATATATTTGGCAAGTGCCTGAGGATCCAGTAGTATAGCTTAAAGGAGTGACCACCACAATAAGCTCAGATTCATGTAAAACTTTTCATTCAGCTTTATAATTTATTTGTTGTAATATAAAGATGAATTTGGAATTTCTTATCATGAAGTCAAAATGGTAATACTGTAAGTTGAATCGCTTTTATCCTGCCATCATTTATCATGAGACATTACATGCTGGACAATATCAGCATCCACCCCAAGTACCAACTTCAAGAGGCTGTATACTAGAATTTTCTGAAAGTCAAGGATTCATTGTGTCACATGTTCAGTATGCCAGTCTTGCTGCTTGACCACACAGGCCTCAAAGGTGGAGCTTTTTATGCTAACATTGCTTTTTGGTTCCTTTCCTTTGGATTGACTTTTCCAGTCCTTTTGGGATAAAAGCTGGCAGAGAAAGCTTTCCAAAATTTTTCATCTCTAATTTTATACCACATGTACTTCAGTATCTTTCATACTACAAACCTAATTAAAGTATCCAGTTCTCCTAGGATGATAAATAAAAACAGCTAAGAAACTGGTTTTATTAAATCAACTTTACTTGATTTATTTAGTCTCCCACACATTTACTTGATTAAATTTTAAGAACGAATTTACTAAGATTATGTGTTGATAGGGTGTGTAACAGTATTTTTCATTCTTAAAATGATTCGTATTTGAATAAAATTGCTCTGGCTTCCCTCTTGCTTCTCACCTTTGCCAAAATACTGATAAAAAGACATTCTGTACAGTTTTGGGGTTTTGAAACAACCTGTATCTTTTTAGGTACATGACATTAGTCACATTTTCTCAATAATTGAAGTTTAGATTATTTAAGTATAAATGTAAATATGTTAACTACTTACTATATAAACCTCTATACTATTATTCAAAATATGTTAGAATCTGCCTTTCAGCTTAGTTTTTAAAATAATTTATAGTCTTTCCATTTTGACTTTAGTATTTAGTGCTGTCCCTTTTAGTTATATAAGTGTAAAATATGTAACCCGTTCTTAGCATTGTAGGCCATAACATTTATCACATTATGTCATTGTTGGATTTGGTTTTTCACTACTATGTGGTGATTGCCTTGTGGAGCCAGTTCTGTTTTCACAGCTATCATTAAGTAGAGTTATGGTCAGGATCATTCATTAGGTTTCCCAGAAAACTTCTACAACCGTGGTTATTGCTGCAACTTTTAAGAAACACCTTATCAGGAGACTTCCCTTGTTTGGTTAATATCTTATTTCCTAAGCTGACAGGCAGTGAGTATTCTGGTGATCATTTTATTAAACATATGTTTTCTATTATTATTAAGGTACAAGTAACACCAAAATTAAAACTGAGTTAATATGTTAAACGCACAAAACCCTCATGATCTCTTCTCAGTCTAGCCAGCAAAATCCACATAGAATTAATTTTGTCCAAAAGTGAAGGAATTCTTTGTGTATAAAGTCACTACATTGAGAAATCACATTTCTCAGATAAAGGGAATTTTTTTAAGTATTCTTTTTTTTTAATACTGATCGAATAATCAAATAATATTACAAATTATAACTCCAGAAGAAATTTAATAAATCTAAAAAAGAAATCAGAAGGATTAAACACTTAATTAGAATTTATTAGTTGATAGGTACTGACTTTCATAATACGGTCATGCAGCACATAATGACATTTTGGTTGGTCCCCTGAGATTATAATGGAGCTGTCTCTTAGTGATGTCATAACATCATAGTACAATGCATTACCCTCTCTATGTTTAGATATATTTTGATACACAAATCCTTATCACTGTGTTACAGTCACCTATAGTATTCAGTACAGTAACGTGCTATATGGTATGACCTAGAAGTAATAGGCCATACCGTATAACCTGGTTATATGGTAGGCTATTCCATTTAGGTTTGTGTAAGTACACACTGTGATGTTCACAAAACGAAATTGCTTAAAGATGCATTTCTCAGAACATATCCCTGTCATTATGTGATATATGACTATATTTCTATGTTGAGAACCTGTATAGTTACAAATGAAACTTTTAGACTGTTTATGTTTTCTTTTATTAGCATTTGGCACCCAGGTTTTATGCCTAATATGGTCTGTTTTGACTACTGATTATGTTATCTTAAAGTTGTTATCGACCTTAGGAGAGTTTTGAACTAGTGTTTTGCTTTCCCTGTTAAAAATATTCTTCAATTGCTAGCCCAAAGTTATGAGCTATAACATTTCCATTAAAAATCTTTATCTAGGCCAGGCGTGGTGGCTCACACCTGTAATCCCAGCATTTTGGGAGGTCAAGGCAAGCAGATTACCTGAGGTCAGGAGTTCGAGACCAGCCTGGCCAATATGGTGAAATCCCATCTCTATTAAAAATACAAAAATTAGGCCAGGTGCGGTGGCTCATGCGTGTAATCCCAGCACTTTGGGAGGCCGAGGCAGGTGGATCATGAGGTCAGGAGATCGAGACCATCCTCGCTAACACGGTGAAACCCCGTCTCTACTAAAAATATAAAATAAAATACAATAGCCAGGTGTGGTGGTGGATGCCTGTAGTCCCAGCTACTCAGGAGGCTGAGGCAGGAGAATGGCATGAACCCAGGAGGCGAACCTTGCAGTGAGCCGAGATCGTGCCACTGCACTCCAGCCTGGGCGACAGAGCAAGCCTCTGTCTCAAAAAAAAAAAAAAAAATACAAAAATTAGCCGGGCGTGGTGGCGCACACCTGTGATCCCAGCTACTCAGGACTCTGAGGCAGGATAATCACTTGAACCCAGGAGGCGGAGGTTACAGTGAGCAGAGATCATGTCATTGTACTCCAGCCTGGGCAACAGAGCAATACTCCATCTCAAAACAAAAAACAAACAAACAAAAAACCTCTAATATAGACTGTCAGAAGAGGATTTATGGGTGACAGACTAGTTTATGATTTTAAATATTAAAATTCTAAAATATTACTTTATTTTTAAATTTATTATTATTTTTTGAGAAAGGGTCTTGCTGTGTTGCCCAGGCTGGAATGCAATGGCACACTCACAGCTCACTGCATCCTCGAACTCCTGGGCTCAAGAGGTCCTCCTGCCTCATCCTCCTCAGTAGATGGGACTACAGGTATGTGCCACCTCATCCAGCTAATTTTTTTTTTTTAGAGATAGAGTCTTGCTGTGTTGCCCACGCTGGTCTCAATCTTCTAGGCTCAAGTAATCCTCCTGCCTCAGCCTCCCAAAGCACTGGGATTACAGCCACCTCACCTGGCATAAAATAATAAATAGTGAGTAGGGTAAATTATATATTATAGCTTCTATCATACCATTCCCAACTCAAATAGGAAGAGATATAAGGTAATTTAATAACTTCAGTTCGAATAAAGTAAAGGAAAAGGATTATTAAATTGAATATCTGAATTATGAGAACAGATTATGTTCAACTTGTAAACTGGTAGTGTTTTCAAAAGTGCTTTGTTTTATATCCCATCATGTTATAATAATAACAATTGACATCTGCTTCAAATTCTTGGATATCTAGGCAAATTTAAATGACTTAGCAATATGTATTATAAATACTACAAAAACAGAAAGGGCAAGAAGGAGACTTACTGAGCTCATTTTATGTTTGCCTGACACTGTATTTATAAATTTGGATGACTTCGAGAAACAGAAAACCACACTCAGAATAGCTTAAACCTGTTGTTTCTCGAAGTGTAGTTCCCAGACCATCAGCAGCAGCAGCACCTGGGAATTTGTTAGAAATGCAAATTCTCAGACCCCATTTGAGTCTGATTAATTAGAAACCATTTTTGGAGCCCAGCATTCTGGTATAACAAATACTCCAGGTGATATTGATGCCGGCTAAAACTTGAAAGCCACTGATTTAGGTCTCTAATGACTAGTTCTGTCCAGAGATGAGAGCCAGCCTCCTCAGAAACACATGGCTGGAAGGATACCTGAGCAAAATCAAGGCCACTTCAGGAAGGAGTTGTAAGGGTGGATATTGAATAGGCAACCAACAGAATAGACTATGCCATGCTTGGTGGTTTTTGGTTTTGTTTTTAATATCTCATTTAAACCTCATTTTGGAACACACGTCATATTTGTTATTTTAGAAAATGTAGCTGGAAGTTATGACAAGCTTTCAAAATGCTGCTTCCACCACCACCACCACCAAATTATATAATATTGCTGATGGTTGTTAGGAGAGTCTGTGATGGAGGGGTGGAGTGTGACCACAATGCACTGTATGTAGAAGAGAACTTTCCTGGTGTGAAGATAATGATGGTGTTCCTATGAGGGACTGTGGGAGAGATTTTAGGGTAAATGTAGTGGGGCTGAATGAGAGGAATAGGGGAAATGGTTGGTATGTGGGGGAGGTAGGGTGTTACTGTGGGGTGTGCTGTGCCCTGTGTGAGTGCATGCTGGAATGTGGAGGAAGGAGATGGGAGTGGGGGTTTGGTTGGGATGCAGTATTGCGTGTTAGAAAGGTAGTGTGTGTGTGAAAAGGTGGCATCATGTGTGCATACAACAAAGTGAAGTGGAAGGAGCTGCTTTACCTTAAAATGGAAGAAATTTTCAAATGTATCATCATGATATTGATATTCTGATTAAAACTGAATTCTAGATAGTTTTAGTTTATATGTATTTGTAGTTTATATTTAATCTTTAAAAAATTCACTTCTTTGCTTATATTCAAAATATCACTGGTTAGTGAAGTATATGTAGGCATAGTGAATATAACTACCTTTTCAAGAAATTAGATGTTAGAAAATGCAATTTAAAAACAGACTGTGTAACAGGCAGAGGGATTTTCAGGTCACTTTGAATATTTGTGTAGGATTTATTTGTAGCATATTGGCTTGGTTTTTACACAGTCATTCTGTAAAATTTTAGGGTGGAAGAGTCCACAAAAGGCATCTTATTGCTTAAAAAATGTTCACATAAAAGATACAATCTTATAGTACTGTTAGCTGTAAGTAAGGAACATAATTTTATGACTATATGAACAAATAACAAAATGTTCATTCAAATCATTCATGTGCTTTAAGAGACTCTGGAAATTATATTTACTACTTTTTTGTTACTGGGTTACTTTTAGTATATTCATGTACTGATGTTTGGAAATATAGGCTCTGTGTCTTTAAACTTTTGAGCCCTTTCTTTGCACATTTGGGTACAGTGCAACCAAACTTAAGCATGGGAAATTCTCTCTTCCCTCCCCAGCTTTACAGCCTCCACTCAGGACTATCATTGCTATGGATACTACTTAGTGATTAGCTCTCTCTCTTGTCAATCAAATCTTTGTCTCTAGCAAACTGTTTTGTCACTGTAGTAAGGCTCTAGTGCTGGAAATTTATCTTTGACAGAGGAAGAATGCTTTTGAAAACAGTTCTTACGTGATTTTATGTAACTTAATTTGCCCTGGAAAGGAAATGTCTCGTCTCTGGTATGGGAAAAAAGGGAGAAGACATCAACCAATTAATCATAAATACACTCTGGTAAATCTTAGTCAATTATTTTAATTTGTATATATACTAGTCTTTTCATGGTGACATTATGAAAAATTATACAATTTCTGAAAGTTTAAGCATAGAGGATATTTATAGAATACAAAATTTTATGATTGTACAAAGTACCTTGAAGTTGTTTCTGTTAATTCTGAGTATCTTCAAAAAGGGAAATTAATAAGGGACTGTAATTTTGTTTCATATTAAGTGTTTTGTATGTTCTACACCAACAGGAAGATATCAAATCTTAATTGTTGCCTTAATGTTTTTTATTTTAGCTTAACTTTTTAGAAAAATATTCAGAATTTTCTCTTGCTTGAAAATAAATTGAATAGAACAGAGTAAATTAATTATTATTGACTGGATCTCAAACCAGATTCTTTTATGATATTGTTTACTTAAGGGTATAATTTTAAGAATCTGACTAAAAGGTTTTTTAAGCTGTTCAAAAAGTTTTCAGGCAATGCTACCTAATACAAATCTTCAAACGATATCCTAGTAAGGAAATTCAGTCAACCATACTATTGTAAGAATTTTATTTATTTTTCTGTACGTGTACATTGTTATAAAATGTATTGTCCATTGCTCTTTCTGTGGTAATTTGGGATTATATTTTGCTTATGAATGTTTATTTTATTTTCACTTAATTGTAGATGATTTAAAATCCAATAAGGACTTTGGAAGATGCCCCCAAAGCAGCTTGCCGCCCTTAAATGTTAAGTGTGTCAAAATATTAAAATTTTAATAGGTGTTATTTTTAATTGTAATTTCAAAATTCATTTATATGTTACATCAGCACAGAGGGATTTAGGCACCTGAAATGATTGAATTTTTAAAATTTGTGATTAGATTTACCAGATAAATCAGTTAACACCGTTGTTTTTTTTTTAAACCAAGAACAATGAAGCTATTCATACATTTTTTTTATTTGAAGTTTGAATAATCATTTATTCTTAGTTTGCAAAGACTTCAATACAGTTTATTACAAATACAAGCAAAATAAATTGTGGTTATTCTGAAATTTATAGGTCAATCTAATTAATGTGCATCAAACACTTACATTTATTACAGTCACCACGTCCAAGGCCTGTTCATTCTTTATTTTTATTTTTATTTTTGAGACAGGGTCTCACTTTGTCACCCAGGTTGGAATGCAGTGGCGGGATTTTGGCTCACTTCAACCTGGGCTCCTGGGCTCAAGTGATCTTCCTGCCTCAGCCCGGCAAGTAGCTGGGACTGCAAGCATGCACCACCACAGCCCGCTAATTTTTTTGTATTTTTTATAGAGACTAGGTTTCGCCTTGTTGCCCAGGCTGGACTTGAACTCCTGAGCTCAGCTCAGGAGATCTACCTGCCTTGGCCTCCCATAGTGTTAGGATTCCAGGCCACTGCGCCCAGCCAAGTTCTGTTCATTCTTATGGGAGGCTATATAATTTTGTCAGATACTTTATTTCATGCCTGAGCAAGAATGCTTCCTACTCATTGGTCATTAGCTCTGCCCATACATATATGTTATTTAATTGAACCCTCACAGTAACCCTGAAAGTTTAGTAGAATTATTTCCCATTTTGAAGACTAGTTGAAGCATGGAGTGGTCACTGAACTAAGTTGTCATGTAGTACAGAGACAGCTTGACCCTAGCACATATTGTAGTTCACCAGGATGACTTTGAAGTTTTTCTGAAATAGAACAATATGATGTGTTTTGTTGTGTAGACAAGCTGAAGTCCCAGTTTTCTAGTTGTTTTCTTTGTTTTAAAGCAGAGATTCTAGGAGCTGTAGGGCAGGCAGCTCTTAAGAAAATTGGGATGAAAAGGATTAGCAGTTCTTTTACCTGCTTTGTAGATTGAGAGCCCTGTAAGATTTTGCCTGACAAGGGGCTCTTATGCTTCTAAACTGGAAAAAAAAAAAAAAAAAAAAAAAATTCTAAGAGAATAACCAGTATTTCAGAACAAATGAAATTTGACTTTTTGGAGTTTATAATGTGTAGCTTTTTAGAATTCTTCGTCTTTACCCAACAAATAATATGGCCATATTATTACTACCTCTGTAAGAGAGATTATCACTGAGGTATCTATAGATACCTTGACAGTTTTCCAAATGCCTATGTATGTAGTATCACATGACCTTACAGTAACCCTGTGTGTTAACCAGATTGTTTTGTTTTATAAGTGAGTTAATTTACATCTCAAATACATTAATAACTAATAAGCAGCATACACTCCTAACAAAATGCATGGCATGAAATTAACCTTTTGCCAGTTAGCTTCGATGAGAACCATATTGATCAAGCATGCTTAAGTTTTGTTATCTTTTATTTTTTAAAGGCCGTTTTATAGTTTATTCTGATAACTTAAACTTTAATCATTCATTTATTTGAAGCTATTCATGTATTTGATATATTCATGTGCCATACTCTACCTTGTTAGTGTCTGTCAATAAGTCGTAATTTACTTGAAATTATAAGCCCATTTTATAATAAGGATTTAGTCTTAATCAAAGTCACAAGTCATTAAATAGCATCAGTGTTTCATTGCCTTTATCAGTAGTCACTAATTTCATCACCATTTTCTTAGTTTAGGCCGTCATATATGAACAGACTTTTTTTAAATTTAGGCTTTCATATATGAAAACACAGGAGAAAAGTTTGTATGTCGAATTGTTTACATCTGTTCAAGAATTAGCTGACAGGTGGATTTTTAGGAAGAGCTAATTTAAATGTAAAAATCTTTCCAGTGACTTCAGCCTGAGATAATAACTATAATGATAAAAATAATTACTTGTACTGACAGTGTATACCAAATATTGTTCTAAACACTTAATATGAGTTACCTTATTTAATTCTCACAACCCTGTGGAATATTACTTTATCATCTCCATTTTACAAGTGAAAAAACAGGGACATAGCAATCATACTACAACTAGTGCAAGTCAGAGCTGATTTTTTAATCTAGGCATTCTGGCTCTAGCTGATGCCCTTAAACTCTTTGCCATACTTGCCCTCAAAAATCTTCAGAATATAACAAGAGGAAGAGAATTATTTATTTCATATATTTAATGTATCAGAACCTATTTTATATATACTTTATACATATTATTTATTTCTCATAAAATGTAAAGTATTTCCATTTGAAGAATCAGAAATGGGGAAACTAAATGAGGCTCCCTAAGTTCACAAAACTAATAAAAATCAGAATCAAAATTAAGGTAGCAGTCTAAAACCAAAGCCAGTATTCTTCAATATTATGCCGCCTATCTATAGTAGATAGTCATAAGACATTTATTAACCAGTATTTATGTATGTCTTATGGTAAGTGAAACATCTTCTGCTCTCCAGTCACAACCTAGTTGAAAAAAGTATACACATATATTCAATGTAGAATATTTTTTCTTAATTTATTTGACTCAATTGTTTTTTATTTTTCATTTAAAGAAATTTAATAGCATAGGGGGCTTTCCAGTGAAATTTAATAGCATAGTGGTCTTCCAGTGAAGACCAGAAAACCTGCTAGATAAATTCTAAGAGAGCTGTAACACTGACTCAGTAGTTGAAAAGCATATATCTTATGTATGCAAGTTATGAGGCATAATAGTAAAATGAACATCTGTGATGTACCACTACCCAATATTAGAACTAGAATATCACTAATGTAGCTGCATCTGTCTGTGTGTTTTTTCTCATCTTGTGTCACCCTCATATTGGTAACCACCTCTCTGGATTTTTTGTTTTATTATCCCCCTAACTTTTTTTAATTATAATAGATTTCATTTTTTAGATCAGTATTAGGTTTACAGAAAAATTGAATGGAAGGCATAGAGAGTTTCCATATACTCTCTTTTCCCCAAAACACAGTTTTCCCTGTTATTCACAAATGACATTAGTGTGATATATGTTACAGTGTATGAACTAATATTGATATATTGTCATGCAGAGTCTATAGTTTACATTAAGGTTCATTCTTTGAGTTGTATATTCTGTGGGTTTTGACAAGTGTATAATGACATGTATCTAGTTGTAGAATCACATGCTATAATTTTTCTGCCCTAAAAATTCCCTGTGCCACAGCTATTTATCACTCATTCCCTTCCAGTGAACACCTGGCACCCACCGGTCTTTCCACTGTTTTGCGTTTTGCAGAGTGTCATATAGTTGGAATCATATAGTACGTAGCCTTTTCAGATTGGCTTCTTTCACTTAGCAATTTTTATTTAAGACTCCTTCATGTCTTTTTGGCTTGACAGCTCATTTCTTTTTATTGCTGAATAATATTCTATTTTATGGTTTTATCCACTTCTTTACCCATTCACCTGGTAAAGGACATTTTGCTTTCTTCCACCTTTTGGCACTTATGAAAAGAAACTGTTACAAACTTTTAGATGTAGATTTTGTGTGGACATAAGTTTTCAACTCATAAATACCAAGTAACATGATTACTGTATCCTATGTTAAGGGTGTGTTTGCTAGGCCAGTGTGGTGACTCACGCCTGTAATATCAACACTTTAGGAGGCTGAAGTGGGAGGAGTTTGCGATCAGCCAGGGCAACATAGTTAGACCTTGTCTTTAAAAAAAAAAAGAAAGAAAGAAAAAATAAGAAACAAAGAAAGAAAGTAAAAAGAAACTGCCAAACTGTCTTTCATCTGGCTGTACCCATTTTGCATGGCATCCACAACAAATGAGAATTCCTGTTCTCCACATCCCTGCTGACATTTGCTGTTGTCAGCTCTTTGGATTTTAGCTTTTATTTAAATAGATGTGTAGTGATATCTCAATCATTTTAATTTGCATTTCCCTGGTGACATATCATAGTGAGCATCCTTTCATAGTCTTATTTTCCATTTGTATATCTTCTTTAATGAGATGTTTATTCATATCTTTTGTCCATATTTTAATCAGGTTGTTTGATATCTTACTGTTATGTTTTACATAAACATAGAGATAGAACAGACCATTGTCTCCTTCCTTCCTATCTGTATTCCTTCATATATTTTGGATAACAGTCCTTTATCATTTATATATGTTGCAGAGATTTTCTAGTCTGTAGCTTGTCTTTTTCATTCTCTTGACAGTGTCTTTCACACAGTAGAAGTTTTTAATTTTAATGAAATTCAACTTAATAATTTTCTTTTTCATGGATTGTACTTGTGGTATTTTATCTAAAAGTGCACCTTCAGACTTAGGGTCACCAAGATTTTTTTCCTGTGCTATTTTCTAGGAGATCCATAGTTTTGTGTTTTCCTCTGTAGTCCATTTGGTATAAAGACTTTGTCTCAATTGACTGTTCTGCAGGTGGATATCCAGTTGTTCCAATACTATTGGGGTAAAGACCATTATTTCTCCTCTGAATTGTCTTTACTCCTTTGTTAAAAGTCAGTTGACTGTATTTATGTGGGATATTTCTGAGTGTTTTATTGTGTATCATTGATGTATTTGTCAGTTCTTTTGCCAAAACCATGATGTATTGATTACTGTAGCTTTATAGTATAGTAAGTCTTGAAGTTGAGTAGTGTCAGTCTTCCAACTTTGTTCTTTTTCTTCATTGCTATCTTGGCTATTCTGTGTCTTTGCATATAAACTATTTCTATAAATTTTAGAATCAATTTGCCTGTATCTACAAAATAGCCTGGTAGAATTTTGATTGAAATTGTATTGAATCCATACATCAAGTTGAGAAGAACTGACAGCTTGACAATATTGAGTCTTCCTATCTATGAATGTGGGATATGTATTTAAATCTTTTGTTAATCACAGTTTTCTACTTTTTTTCACGTAGATCTCTATGTATTTTGTTAGAATTATATGTATTTCATTTACATTATGCTAATATAAATGGTATTCTTTTTAACTTTCAAATTCCAAGTTTTCATTGCTGATATAAAGACCATTGACTTTTGCATATTAATCTTGCACTCTGAAAGCCTGCCATGATCACTTATTCCAGTAGAGTTTTGGTTGATTCTTTGGGATTTTTTATACCAACAATCATGTCATCTGCTAACAAAGACAGTTTTATCTCTTTCTTCCCTATTTATATAACTTTAATTTTCTTTGAATTTAATTTATATAACTTTGTCTTATTGCATTAGCTAGGACTTCCTGCATAATGTCAGGTAAGAGTACTGGCAAGGGATATCCTTTCCTTGCTCCCAGTCTTAGTGTGAAAGGATCTTGTTTCTCACTATTATGTGTTGTATTAACTGAATTTTTTTAATACATGTTCTTTATCCAGTTGAGGGAGTTCTTCTTTATTCCTAACTTCCTGAGCATTTTTATTAGTGTTGGATTTTGACTAGTGCATTTTTTGTATCTGTTGATAAGATCACATGATTTTTCTTCTTTACCATGTTGATGTAATAGATTACATCAATTGATTTTCAAGGCTGTACCAGTCTTGCGTAGGTGGGATAAGTTCTACTTCGTCGTTGTATATAATTCTGTACATTTGTACATTGCTCAATTCAGTTTGCTAGTGTTTTGTTGAGAATTTTTGCATATATGTTAATGAGAGATAATTGCCTGTAGTTTTTCTTTCTTGTAAAGTTTTTATTTCTATTAGAGTAATGCTGTCCTCACAGAATTAGTTAAGAAGTATTCCCTCCGCTTCTGTTTTCTGGAAGAGATTGTGGAGAGTTTGTATAATTTCTTCGTAAATGTTTGGTAGTATTCATCAGTGAGTCTATCTGGGCCTTGTGCTTTCTGTTTTAGGAGGTTATTAATTATTGATTAATTATTTAAATACATATCTTTCTTTCTTTTTTTGAGTTGGAGTTTTGCTATGTTCCCTGGGCTGGTCTTGAACTCATAGGCTCAAGTGATCCTCTCACCTCAGCCTCCTGAGTAGCTGAGATAATAGGCATGCATTATCTGTTTCTTCTTGTGTGACTTTTGGTGGTTTGTGTCTTTCAAGGAATTGGTTTGCTTTATCTAGATTATCAAATTAGTGAGTGTACAGTTTATAGTATTTCTTCATTATTCTTTTAATATCCATGGGATCAGTAATGATGGCCCCTCTTCATTTCTGATATTTATTCTCTCACTCTCATCTATCCTGGCTAGAGGTAGAGGTTTATCAATTTTATTGACCTTCTGAAAGATTACAAAATTGGCTTCTGGTTCCATTGCTGTTTTTCTATTGATTTTGTTTTTAATCTATTGATTTCTGCTCTAATTTTATTTTCCTGTGCTTCAGATTTAATTTGATTCCATATTCTTTCATCTCTTAGCATCTCAGTTATACTTTTTTAAAAAACTTTTTTAAATGGTTCCTCTAGAATTTGTAATACACATTTTTTTTAGTATAGTTTACATGGTGAAACCCCGTCTCTACAAAAAATACAAAAATTAGCCGTGCGTGGTGGCACACACCTGTAGTCCCAGCACACATCTGTAGTCCCAGCTACTTGGGAGACTGAGGCAGAAGAATCACTTGAACCCAGGAGGCAGAGATTGCAGTGAGCCGAGATTGTGCCACTGCACTCCAGCCTGAGTGACAGAGGGAGACTCCGTCTCAAAAAAAAAAAAAAAAGAAAAGAAAAAAAAAAGGATATGGGGATATGGCTCCCTCCCCTCTTCCTTCCCTTTTTTTTCCTTTTCCCAGTATTGATGAAAGACAGGAAGTGATTTTAAATGCAGATTTTTTCAAATCAAACTTCACTAATAGAATTAATTCTGGATTTTTTTTTTTTTTTTTTTAAGACAGGATTTTGCTCTGTTGCCCAGGATGGAGTGCAGTGGCTTGATCTTGGCTCACTGCAGCCTCAACCTGCTGGGCTCAGGTGATCCTTCCACGCCACCAGGCCCGGCTAATTTTTTGTATTTTTTTGTAGAGACGAGATTTCTCCATGTTGCCCCGGCTGTTCTCAAACTGGAATGTTATTTTGAAAGCAGTAGTTTTAATTTGGGCAAAATGGGGCAAAGTTTAACATAATTCAGGTCTTATTTTGTAATAAAGACTGTTAATATATGATGAGATATAGTAGAACAACGGCTTATGTGACTTCAAGGATGCTGTTGTATGCTCTTTTTGTTTGATACAGAAGCTCAGAATTATATTTCCTTCTTTAACATATTTTTTGAGACCAAAGTAAGTGTAAGTGGCATTGATTAGATAGTATTTCTTTTTCTCTTGCATTTCCATTTACTGAGAAAGTAGTAAAAATGGCACATTGACATATAACTAGCAGATTTTTGTTAGTGTGCAAGACATTGAAGAAAGGGAGATTTGGGGTTTGTTTTGGAGTAATCTTGGGGAAACACTGGAACGTCCATAAGGTATTGTTCTTTATATCTAAGAGATGAACGTGTTCTTAATCATGGGATTGGCAGCAACTGTGAATTTTCTCTAGTCTCTGTTTTTGTTAGTCCATTTGTAATAGTGATGGGTGGATTTACCCCTGCCTTTCCATTGGTAATTCTGTAGAAGTAAAGGCTTAGGAAAATACTTTCTCTTTGTGAGGGTCCTTTGTCAAAGACTGAAAAGACTAGAGAGTGGCATTTAATTCTGCAGAGTATAGGTCATGGTACTTAGTTCCTATAGATAGGAGTTAGCAGTATATCCAAATACTTTATTCCTTAAGAAACGATTTTTTAGCCAGTGAATGCACTTTTAATTGGAAGGTCTTGGTTTTCTCAACTGTTTACTCCTAATAATTCAGAGCGTGATAAGGGATATTTTGGAGAAATGTATTCATTTTTTATTTAGGTTTAATCTTTTGGGTAAAGTAATAAATTGTATACATGGAGTATGGTTTACCAAGGGTTTAAAATTAATGTAAGAGTAATTCCAGTTTCCTCATATATACTGGGAATATATAGCTCTTTTATCCCTTTATTTTGAGAGAAGGAAGTATATTTCTGTACTCAAATTCAAATCTCTTTTTTCTATTAACTCACAGACTTTTTTTTTTTTCTTACAGTTTTCTGTATCCTCACCCATCAGGGCATGAGTAAATGTTTAAGGTTAAGGAAGCAGAAAGTTTTTAAGTCCTAGAAAAAAATATAATTGAAAAAAATAAATTTGAAAGAGTAGATTTGTGACATGAAAGAAACTATGACTTTATCAAGTGTTATTAAGATAAGCTTAGCCTTATGGCGATTTATTGTTCTCTTATTAGTAACTCCTACTCTCAGCAATGCTGATACAATTAGGTTATGACTGATCTCTTTTGTAAGCATAATTTAATTTCACTTCCACCCAGGAAGTGTTTTTCTTATAGTAAATGAAGGAGTTTTAGAATATAGATATAAGATAATTGTTAACTGGAGGGATAGAAGGAAAGCAGAGAATTAGATAAGTTATTTTTGACAATCCTTGTCTAGGAGACTATTGGATTGAAGGCCATGAAAAAAGAAAGAAAAATATAATTGGCCATTAAATATTTCTAGAGACCTGTTTTGCTGGGCATAGAAAAGCAAGCCCATGATGTTTTTTATTTTTAGTACCTAATTTTTCTTTTATCTTTATTGAAATCCTATTGTTCTTAATTGAAAGTCCTTCATTATTTTTATCTAATACTGAAATATAAAAATTAAATTCAGAATAATCAAAATGTTAAAAATAGTTGAGATGTCAAACCTGAAATATTCTCATTCAAAAATAAAAACCAAAAATTAATAAGGAGGCTCTTTGGCCATTATCATTTAGTCTCCAGGGTAATTGGTGAAAAGTAATCAAGTAAAAGTCATATGAATAATAGTAGTTCTCATTAATATGTTCTGGGCACTATACTCAGTCCTTAATATGCATTTCCTCAGTAATTCACATAAAACCAGATTTGATATGCACTTTTACTATTTTCATTGTTTTATAACAAAATTGATAGGCAATGGGGAACCCAGGTTTATCTGACACCCCCCCCCATCCGCCCCCAGAGCTAGAGAGAATAACAGCTTCTGGTTTCTAAGTACAGAGTCAGCTAACATATTGTATGCTTTGTTGCTTCACAAAATTCAATATAATAATAATGGCCAGAATGGAAATCTGTCCAGCCTCTTTTCCTTTTTTCTATTCTCATGTCTTTCAGAACTTTCAACAAGTTTACATAGCTTTTCATAGTTACCTTAATGTTTACTGGTAGCCAGTTCCTTTTAGTTGGCTAAATAAAAAGCCTTTAAAACCTAGGTTCAAAATCTAAACTCTTTATGAGCCAGTTGGATTAACTCATTTTGTGGTCAGAGCCTCTGTGCATTTTTGATTGATTACAAGAGGAACTAGTCATAGCTCAAGAGAATCGTCACATATTTATCACACCATTAGCGTTCACTGTAGTATGGTAACTGTTTTTAGAATTATGTCATGATCTGAAAAAGCTGTAACTATTATGTCAACCTGAGGAAACTTACCTGTTTTTGTGGGCTTTCTGTAATAGTGTTTATCTGTCATTTATGGCTTTCAAATTTAATACTGTGCAAGAGCCTGGTCTAGGCAATTATAGAAGATAGAAAGTTTTCCTTTGAAAGTTAAAATGTAGGAAAGTTGTTAAATTTTAGTCACAAATAAATGATACAGTAAAAACCATAAAGAAATAAAACAGGAGAGAGGCAAAAAGTGGAAAAAAAAAGTCATTTAAAGGGCTGAAGCAGACATACTTAGAAGGTACTTTTGATTAGACATACTTTTGAAAATCTAATTTTCTACTTTCTAGAGCTTATTTTTCTTATTGCCATAGGTTTTAAAATGTACTTCTATATTGTTTTCTTGCTCTTCTCTCCTCTGTTGTTTCTGTTATAGATGGGTATGTTTGTCACCTGTGCCTAGAAGAAATTCTTCCAGCATGGCCATTAGGATATAATGTTTGAGCTCACCTGATTTGGAGGGGGTAGTTGAAACTACCACTTCCTTTGTAACTGCAAGACCGTTTAGTTTTCAGACGTTATCTTTAATGTTAGCAAAGTATGTGTTTTATATAGTGTTTTCTGTATAAAAAACTATAATTTCTATTTACTAAGTTGAATCTATATGGAATAGTCCATAAAATAAACCTTACATACCAACTAGTTGGATGTAGTAGTGAAAATCATTCATGGATATTTCACTCTAGTTTGATATATAAATCTCTTGGATTTTCAACATAGAGTGGGGAAGAAATCCTAATTACAGTTCTCTTCCCATTTTAATTTCTCCTCTTTTTTTTTTTTTTTTTTTTTTTTTTGCTGTTTTTCTCAACTGTCAGTGGAATTATTGTCTTCCTGTCTCCATATTTAGGTAGTGTCAGTGGCTGAGTATCACCGCAGGATCGATGCTCTAAATACTGAAGAACTGCGCACACTCTGCAGACGCCTCCAGGTGCCCCCTTCAGTAGTTTAAACCCCTCCAGAGACTAAATACTCCCTGTTTTTAGTGTTCTTTGTCATGGCAAATCTCATTTGAAGAATTTGCTTTGACTGCAGCACTAAAATTAAATTCCTTTTTGTATTAAAGGTTATAGTATTGCCGTGAAGAGCTGTGGATTATCTTTTCTGTCATCTTTTCATTTGAAAAATATTCTGAAGAATGTTCTGTCACTTCAGAATTATTCTCAGTATTGTGTGTTTCTTTCAGCGATGAGGAGTTTTCATTCATTTAACGTTGGAAGAATGGTGTTGGTTTTGAGATTGAATCTTTTCTAAACAAAATCTGAAAGATATGGTACTATAGGAAAACTAATAAAAAATTTAATAGCAAGGCTTAAATATTTTATTTAAGGCTATTTCATTTATATCAGCGTCACATCAAATATCTCAATAGGATAAACTGTTCTTGAGGCATTCTTGGTTGGTATTAGGAGTACATTGGAATAGTACAGTTTAGACACAGAACTGGATAAATTACTTAAAATTCTGTGAAATAATCTTTGTGATTTTTTTTTTAGAAACAAGAAAGCAATGTAATTGAAAACTCATTTTTAAGTTGTGTCTATTATACTGTGTTTCTTTCTTCTTAATAAGATATGCTTTCATGGCTCTGCTAGACCTGAATTTTTTCTTTTAATGCTTCTAATGCTGCCTTGGGTTTCTTTTTCTTTTTCTTTTTACCTTTCACATCATCAAAATAAGGGTGAAACATGATGATATGAAAGAATGAGTATTTAGCTTCTTGTCAAAAAACAATACACTTATAGAACATGTATTGGTTGCAAATATATGCTGCTCAGGTTTGTTAAGAAACCTGTTAAAGGAACAAAATAATTTAGCAAGAATTTCATTCCCATATAGAATCACAGTTGCTGAGCGTTGCTGCATTTTAGTTATCTGCTCCAATAGAATTCTGCATATTTTCCAATTTAAAAGTTTCATAATGTTTCATTTCTTTTATTTTCTAATATTATTATGTTTTATATATTAAAATAAAATTAATATTAAAAAGTAAGCACCAATAGAATATATTGTGCAGTAGTAAGCTTTATTTTTACTTAGTTAACATTCTTATCGTTTTAAGAATACCAGTGAAATCATTTCCACCAAGCAAAAAAGCATGTATTCTTTGTAATGCAACACATTAATCTAATTTAAAAAATAAATTTATGAACAAATTAACAGTAAAATTTATTGTTTGGTCCAAGTAGATGAAAAAAATTAAATGTTTAGAAAGTTATAAAAAGAAAGCATTTAAAAAAATGGTAACGTTTGTCAGTGAAACAAATACATGCACAACTCACAGAAAATAGTTATTTTTTTTTATTCTACTATTCTTTACATTAAAATTTTGGCACCCAGGAAGTTTTGTTCATTATTTTTGACAAATTTTGTGTTAGCATGAAAGAATTCTATTTTAAATAGCATACACACACACACACACACACACACACACACACACACACACACACAGCGCAAGCCAGCTAGCTGACTTTTGCCCTTCAAGGGCTTAATTAAAGATGCATGCAACTATCTTCTTTACACAGAAATATGGGGATTTATCATTCCTACCAGTCGTTCCTCATGTAGTGGATGAGAAAACGTCTGCTTATATTGTTATAAAATCTTTTCCTACATTGGCTACATCATAGATATTAGATATGGGCCATCTTTTGCCCTATAAAATCTTAAGGTTAAAGATTTAGCCACATTTTCTACGATATAAAGCTTTATTTATCTGAAAAGTCTGACAATTTTGAAAGCATGTCACAAGTTTACATTAATGCACTACCTCTATTTACTGTTTTAGATTACTACAAGGGAAGACATAAATTCAAAGCAGGTTGCTACAGTGAAAGCAGACCTGGAGTCTGAATCTTTTCGACCAAACCTAAGTGATCCCAGTGAACTTTTACTGCCAGATCAAATTGAAAAGGTATGACATGCTCACATATGTGCATTTCTGAGTGTGAGTGTGTACCCATGAGAGTAAAACAGCCTCTTTTTAGTTGTTTCTGAAGCAACAGCGTTAATGCTATTACTATTCCACTCCAGTGAAAAGAAAGAGTAAGCAAAACATAGCAACTAGTGTTAATTAAGATGTTAGGAGATTTAGGTAAGCAGACACTAAAAGCCAATATTTGTTTTATTGTTGTGTGCTTGTTACTTGCTTTATGTGGATTATTTCATGTAGTTGTTACAACAGCTGTAGAAATTGGATGCTCTTATTATGCACATTTTTTATTAAGTTAAAAAATCGGGAGCACAGAGCGATTAACTTGTTCAAGGTCACACAGGGAGAAGTATTAAAGCTTGATTCCTAACTTGGATAGTCTGTCTCCCTAGCCTATTATTTAAGAGATATTTTAATAATCAAGCTAATAGTCTATCAAGTATTTTTGTTAATTCAATATGGAAGGCAAAAGCATTAAGTAATCTATGTTTCTTATCTCTGTTCTAATCTGTGTCTGGTTCAGGGTGATTCTTTATTTTCCTAATAGACAATTAATATTTTATTCTGAGAAATGTGTAATACTTTTCAATCATCTTAGTATCTTTGAGAATAATAATTTCTACTGTTAATTTATTTTTATAGCCTATATTATATAGGCACCATTACATTCCAGCTGGCATTAGTATTCTACATAATGAACAACAAGCTATCAAGTAAATACTAACACTTTGTTTTCTAAAGCTTACCAAGCATCTTCCACCAAGAACAATTGGCTATCCATGGACTCTTGTTTATGGTACTGGAAAACATGGCACAAGCTTGAAAACTCTTTATCGAACAATGACAGGTTTAGACACCCCAGTGCTGATGGTGATTAAAGACAGTGATGGACAGGTATGAAACACCAACTGCATAGATTGCTTATCCTTTAAGAGCAGTAACAGTAACTTTTAGCATATTTATTTGATAAACATTACTTTATTAGTGCATTTTATTGTTTAACTGATAATTACTGGGTACTTTTAATATGCAAGGCAATGTTGAGTATTACAGAGGATAGATATGAGCATGATGATTAAGAATTACTGCCTTCAAAGGGATTATAGAGTGGTAGAAAAGAACATTTGCACATACCAACATCTCTAATGGTGGGGAAAATGGTAGGTTTCTTAGAACCTAGAAAAAGTGAGGAAATAAGAATGAGGTTCATGGGAAAGGTAGAAATTGACAGAATCTTGAATAATGGGTGAAGTTTTGATTAAAGATAATTGTTTGAAGGTGATAGCCAGAACAAAAGCACAAATAAGAGTAATATTGGTTTGTTCTTCAAACAGCAAGTTCAAGTCAGTTGTAATTGGAAACTAATGAGAAGGTAAAATAGCAATATTAGAACAAAACACTGGTATTACTAACACTTTTAGTGTTTTATGTGTCAGGAACTTGACTAATCACTTATGCATTATGTTATTTAATCATGAAAGCCCTATGAGATTGATACTGTTATCTTTATATTAAAGAATGAGTCAACTATGACATAAGCTCATCAACTTGCCCAAGGTTACATACCCAAGAAAAAGTATTTGCACCAATGAAAATGAATGAACTGCTGCTACATGCCATGGCATAAATGAATGTCACAAACATAATATTGAATTAGAAATCAAACACCAGAGAGTAACTTTCTTATGATTTCATTTATAGAAAGTTTTATCAGTGGGCCAAATGAATCTATAGTGGTATTAGGCTAGTAACTCCTTCAGGTAGTTGAGACTATTGATGAGAGGAAGCACAAAGAGAGCTTCTAGAACTAGTAGTGTTCTGTTTCTTGGTCTGAATGAATGTTGCATGGGACTTTGCCATGTGATAGTTCTAAACTGAGCTATGTGTTTATGTTTTGTGTACTTTTCTATAATGTATATGTAAAATAACCTTTCAATAAGGAAATATTTTCAAAATTAAGACTATAAAGATAGAATGTCAGGATAGACAGTGACTGTACAGATTATCTGTCAGACTCTCTGCACTCCCATTTCTGATGTGGAAACTTCAGCCCATAACACTGAAATTACTTGGTCAATCTCTTATTCATCAATTTTCTCATTAGGGTACTGTGTGTCTTGTATAAGATCATGCACAGGGTTAAAGGACAAAACAATTCACACATAACACCTGCCCTCATGGAATTTACTGTATAATGATAAAGAAAAAATATCATATTTTAAAAGTGATAGAATGTTTCCCTATACTGAAGGACTTATTTTATTAAGCACCGCAATCCCATAGCATCATGTTATCCATATCATACATACATTGTACATATAAGTCGTCCTGAAATGTGTTAACCACTTTTTAAGATTGTCTGCTTAATTACTTTAAATAAAATCCCAAAATTTAAAAACTAGGAAAAAATCTGTATTTCCATTGAAAAACCAATATACTTCATATTTGACAATAATGTAAATTATATAGCAGCTAACCATTTTTCCCTTTTTAAGTATGATTAGATTAAACTATACCAGATTTCTATTTTTTGCATTTTATTTAAACATATATGATGAAATAATGCTTACTGGAATAAATTTGTTAGTCGTGTCATTGAATATGCCTTTTTTATCCTTAGGTTTTTGGTGCGTTAGCATCTGAGCCACTGAAAGTGAGTGATGGCTTTTATGGTACTGGAGAGACCTTTGTTTTTACATTCTGTCCGGAGTTTGAGGTAAGAACCACTATTTCAATATTTTATTTATAAAGAGTTGACATAACATACTGCCCAAAGCAATTTATAGATTCAGTGCTATTCCCATTAAACTACCACTGATATTCTTCACAGAATTAGGAAAAACTATTTTAAAGTTCATGTGGAACCCAAAAAGAGCCCAAATAGCCAAGAGAATGCTAAGCATAAAGAACAAAGCTGGAGGCATCACGTTACGTGACTTCAAAGTATACTACAAGGCTACAGTAACCAAAATAGCATGGTACTGGTATAAGAACAGACACATAGACCAATGGAACAGAATAGAGAACTCAGAAATAAGACCTCACACCTGTAACCATCTGATCTTTGACAAACCTGACAAAAATAAGCAATAGGGAAAGGATTCCCTATTTAATAAATTGTGCTGGGAGAACTGGCTAGCTATGTGCAGAAAATTGAAACTGAACCCCTTCCGTAAACCATATACAAACATTAACTCAAGATGGGATAGAGACTTAAATGTACAACCCAAAATTATAAAAACCCTAGAAGAAAATCTAGGCAATACCATTTAGGACATAGATACGGGCAAAGATTTCATGACAACAATGCCAAAAGCAGTTGCAACAGAAGCAAAAATTGGCAAATGGGATCTAATTAAAGAGCTTCTGTACAGCAAAATAAACTATCATCAGAGTGAACAGACAGCCTACAGAATAGGAGAAAATTTTTGCAATCTATCCATCTGACAAAGGTCTAATATCCAGAATCTACAAGGAACTTAAGCAAATTTGCAAGAAAAAAAACACCATTGAAAAGTGGGCAAAGACACTTTTCAAAAGAAGACATACATGTGGCCAAAAAAACCTGTGAAATAAAGCTCAACATCACTGATCATTAGAGAAATGCATATCAAAACCACAATGAGGTACCATCTCACTCCAGTCAGAATGGCTATTATTAAAAAGTCAAATAACAGATGCTGGCAAGGTTGCAGAGAAAAAGGAATGTTTTATTTTGTTGTTGTTGTTGTTGTTTTTGAGGCAGAGTCTTGCTGTGTCGCCCAGGCTGGAGTGCAGTGGCATGATCTCAGCTCAGTGCAGCCTTTGCCTTCCAGGTTCAAGCAATTCTCCTGCCTCAGCCTCCCAAGTAGCTGGGATTACAGGTGTACACACCATGCCTGGCTAATTTTTGTATTTTTAGTAGAGACGGGGTTTTGCCATGTTGGCCAGGCTGGTCTCGAACTCCTGACCTCAGGTGATCCACCCTCCTCGGCCTCCCAGAGTGCTGGGATTACAGGCGTGAGCCACCACGCCCAACTGAAAAAGGAATGTTTTTACCCTGTTGGTGGGAGTGTAAATTAGTTCAACTGTTGTAGAAGACAGTGTGGCAATTCCTCAAAGACCTAGAGGCAGAAATACCACTTGACCCAGCAAATCCCATTACTGGGTATTTACCCAAAGGAATGTAAGTCCTCCTAATATAAAGATACATGCACACAAATGTTCATTGTAGCACTATTCACAATAGCAAAGACATGGAATCAACCTAAATGCCCATCGATGATAGACTGGATAAAGAAAATGTGGTACATATACACCATGGAATACACCATATACACCATGCAAACTAATGCAGGAACAGGAAACTAAACACCACATGTTCTCACTTATAAGAAAGAGCTGAATGATGAGAACACATGGACACATTTCAGGGGAACAACACAGACCTTGTGTCTGTCGCAGGGTGAGGGTGTGGGGAGGGAGAGGAGAGCATCAGAAATAATAGCTAATGGATGCTGGGCTTAATACCTAGTTGATCGGATGATCTGTGCAGCAAACCACTGTGGCACACGTTTACCTGTGTAACAAACCTGTGCATCCTGCACATGTACTCCTGAACTTAAAAGTTAAAGGAAAAAAAAGAGAAAGAGATGGCATAAATGAAAAAACCATGCACTTTGGAGTCATGCAAGTTGCATCTGTCCCCTATCTTTGCCTTTTACTCCCTGGTAACTTTTCTTTGACCATTTTGAACTTCAACTTTCCTGTAGATAGAATGAGGAATCATAAAATATGGCATGATCATTTAATAATTAAATGAGGATCATTTATATATAATACTTGGGATGGCACCAAACACAAATTATGGACTTAGTAAAGAATATACATTATCATTACTATTCTGTTTACAAATTGTCATTGTGAAATTTCCAGAAACATTTAATGACTAAGCTTAATGATGTAAGTCATGAAAGCATAAAAAATAAATTATTTGGATTTAAATAACAAGTTATTGACTGGTTTCTTTTTCTTTACCTGTGTGGCTTTACTGTGGCTTGACTAACACAAATTGAATACATTCTCATGCCAATAAAATCTAAAATGTAAAGGTATAAATGAATTTTAGTGAATGTGTGACTATTCTTAAAACATTGAGTGCAATATTAGTATCTCGGGCACATTGGAGTGTGGCATGTAAAACCTTCATTTTAATCTCAAGAAAAGGAATCAACACCATTGGTTATAAAAATAAATGAAGAAAATAGGAACGATTTGGTAACACAATAAAAATTCTTTTAGCAAATTTGTACTTAACTAGCTCACCAGAATAACCAATGCTTTTCATTCCTTCCATAAAATATGTCAACTGATAGCAACAGCTACTTGAAAGCTTGTAGTTATTACAGATTTTCTAAGCATCAGTGGTGCCTATTCTCAAACTTTTTATGTTACTGCTACCTGATAAGTGTAATAATGTAGTCAATTAAATGTTACATAACTATGAAAAACGAGTGCTAAAAGAAAGTTTTATTGAAAACTGTAATGAACACATTTTAAAAACTTGATAAAAGTAAGTTGCTAGAAATTGCTACTATGTTAGGTTTAGGTAAAACACCCATAAAAGGTTAGAAAAAGATATTTAAGAATATTCATGTCTAGTTTGCTCTTGGATTTCTCAAATGATTTTAAGTTCTCACTGTTTAAAGAAATTGAAACTGAAAATCATAAATACCCATTATGGTCATGGTTTATTTAAGAACTGTGATCAGTAAATATATATGCAAAGAAAAGGCCTTGGCCCTATGTTAAAATATTATCCAATTAACATACATTTCTGTTTAATGGTAAAAGTTAATGGCATTTGTGTCCGATTTTTTTTCAACTCATTTACTTCTTTCTCAATTTTTTCTATTAACCGTCCAACTCTTGGTGTCTGTAGAGTCAGGAGAAAGAAGTATGTGTGAAAAGTTAACAAAATTTTGAGAAATTGGAATTGAAAGTTAAGTGATAGAGTGTGTGCTTTCAAATTTAGTCATATAAACACTGAAACCCAAACCACCAGAGCCTTCTGTGCGGAGCTTTTTGTGGTGTTCTTATTCTTATACTGCCAGTCTTGGCTTTGTTAACTCGTTTGAGTTTTGGAGAACTAACTCTCTATAATAACCATTTCATCTATATATTTAAAGCTTTTTTTAAATTTATATAGGTCTTTAAGTGGACAGGAGATAATATGTTTTTTATCAAAGGAGACATGGATTCACTAGCTTTCGGTGGTGGAGGGTAAGTCTCTTGAACATTTCACTATGAGATTTTTGAAGAACTTTAAAAATGCATTTGGATTATTTATAAATTCAGTTGTCTTTAGAAAGTGTTGACGTTAGAATTCAAATTTGTATATTATGAAAAAGAGAGTATAATGTATTTGCAAGAAGTAGCTCAAGTGTAGTTATTGAAACTATTGATGGAGTATTTGTTTCTTCATTTTAAAATACTGTTCAGTTTATTCACTGTTTATTAAGACCCATCTTTTTCTTTAGAGCACAGTGGCTCTTTGATAATATAAAGGGAAATATCTCAGTACCTTTGAACTTCTCTAATTTTTAAATAACTGTGATGGAATATTTTATTTCTCCCAATGCATAGAACAAGTCCAATTGTTTTCATGTTATTCTACTCTGGAGACCATTTGGAATGATATTTTAGACAATAATGGAAATGGGGTTTTTGCTTGCTTGTTTTTTAACAATTATGAATCAGACAATAATGTGATTATCTTGGCATTGCAAGTACTGTGAGGAGCTTTGTTTTTTATTTGGTATCCCAGCCTCCTTTAATCTTTGCATTGTTGGGAGGTAGGCTGCTCTGGTCCCACCTAGCCTGGGCTTAGCAAGCAACAACTCCTTCCTTTGGTATTTCTGTCTTTCAGTATTAGACATGGGTATGCTAAATAATTTTCAGACTTGTAAAAGTGTTACATTATTTGTATCCCACAGTTGAGGATATATAATGATAATTTATTCAGACCACCAAAGAATATTCATCATCCCAGGTTATTCTATTATTAACAAATTTTCTTACAACTTCTCTGTAAGTAGGTGTTTGGAGGATATAAGTAGGGTGATTAAAAAGTGATCATGGTTATTGTAGCCTTCTCTGTTAGTTTTAGTTGTTGAACTCAGCATGTATTTACATGGTCCAATTATACCTTTTGGGGGGGGTATCATTCAGCCCTCCCCTAAACAGTAGTCTTACATGTGATTCTGTTAGCTCTCCAACAGGTCCACTCAATCTAGTGGCTTATAATTTCAAGATTTTATGGGTGCTTTAAGTCTTCAAAAATGTCATACACAATGCCATTAGATGTCTGCTGGAACTAGATTTTATTGTACAACATGATTTCACCAAGCTAGAGTAACCACTGGGTTATTTGATAATAAATTAATATAAGTTTTCAGTGTTTAAAGGAGAGTACAGCTTCAGAAAGCAGAAACTACAGGGAGTTGATATTCCAGAATTCCAAGGGAAAAGCACCCCAAAAGAAAAATGATGTAGTGGACTTAATGTAGGCTTTGGAGTCCAATAGACATGATTCAGATTCTCACTTCAACATATGCTGTATGTGGTACCTTGAGCAAACTCCTTAACAAATCTAAACTTTCCTTAGCTATAAATTGGAGATTAAACCAGTTTTGTAGAGAGATTATAAGGAATTCACAAGGATATAATTTTTGTGCAAATCCTAGTATAGTATCTGGCATATAGTAAGTACTCAACAACTGATAGCCACCTAAACTGATAGCCACCTTTACTCATTTTCTTTCATCCAACATGATCTGTTCCCTTCTGATACCAGGAAGAATTCTGCCTGCAGTATCATTGGCTGCATGAGCTATAAGACATTAATTAAAGATTTAGAAGACTACTTTTATTCCTTCCACTTCCTTAGCCATTCTCTTTTCAGAAAGTCGTATGAATCATCTTTGAAAGCATTGCTCATATAAAAATACACTTTCTGGCTTTCTGGGTGTTTCACCTGGGACAGATCTGTAACCTCTTAAATACATTTACTTAAATATTTGGATATCACATACCTTTTTGAAATGCTGATGAAATGCAGAGGTACCCATTGTCCTAAAATGAATATACAAATAATCCAATTTTATATGTGATATTAAGAAATTGACAAAAATGTTGAAAGCTTCTACTCAGGGCTTCAGAAAATTCAGGTTACCTTGGAAAAAACTATTCATACTTGGTAATAAAACTTACTGCAGCATCAGTGACATTCATGAATCTTGAAGGTCAATTTTGAGGTACTACTTAGATGCAGTCATCTGAGATTACAACTAGATGTCTTAATCTTTTATTAACCCTTTCATATTTAGCAGAAGGTTTTTATGAGCAAGTCTGACCCTTTCATATTCTCCTTTCTAATAGATTGGCTATGATAGTCTATTCGCGCTTTTAAGGCTCATGGATTCAGATATCTCTTTAAAGGCATGTTGTTGCCAGTAGAGTTAGAGTCTCTAGAAGTCTATTGTCATAAGACCATAAACTTTTTAATTCAAATGCGTTTCTAATTTATCTCTGTATTTTCCAGTGCCAGTGTCTGAAACATGATAAATGCACATTTAAAGTTGAACAAATTAGACAAATATGAATTTCAATTTGAACCTTAACAAATGATGGCTTCCTCATGGGACAGGGGGCATTTTGGGGACGATATAGTTTTGCAGTGCTTCTGTATCACAGACTCTGGATTGTTATGATTTTCAGGGTGTTCTTGTATCTTAGCAAAGTCCCATTTTCATTTATAGAAGAGGTTCATCAGAACGTCATCACTGGTTATCCCATTACAGTTTTTTTGTACTGTCAACTCTCTTCTTGAGTGACACTGGATGATCTCTTTACCTGGTCATTGTGAATTACTATACTGATCTGTCTTTTCTGTTTTGTTGTGAAGTACCAACTCTTTTTTTTTTTTTTTTTTTTTTTTTTTTTTTGAGATGGAGTTTCACTCTTGTCGCCCAGGCTGGAGTGCAATGGCACAATCTTGGCTCACTGTAACCTCTGCCTCCCAAGTTCAAATGATTCCCCTGCCTCAGCCTCCCAAGCAGCTGGAATTACAGGCGCCCACCACCACGCCTAGCTAACTTTTGTATTTTTTATTAGAGACAGGGTTTCGCCATGTTGGCCAGGCAGGTCGCAAACTACTGACCTCAGGGGATCCACCAGCCTCAGCCTCCCAAAGTGCTGGGATTATAGGCGTGAGGCACTGCACCCGGCCCCAACTCTTAAAGGAACCATTCTACATGGTCACTGTAGCCACCTTCTCTACTTAGAAACACATCTCTATACTTAAAATTTGTATATGTAATTAATATACATTATATATTTGATGCTGTTTTTTATTACAGAGTATAAATAAATAGTTCCTTTCTTTTGTTCTAAGATAGTGTTAAAAATAGATCAGTTCCAGGCCAGGCACGGTGGCTCACGCCTGTAATCCCAGCACTTTGGGAGGCTGAGGCGGGTGGATCACAAGGTCAGGAGATCGATACCATCCTGGCTAACACAGTGAAATCCCATCTCTACTAAAAAACAGAAAAAATTAGCCGGGCGTGGTGGCAGGCACCTGTAGTCCCAGCTATTTGGGAGGCTAAGGCAGGAGAATGGCGTGAACCCAGGAGGCGGAGCTTGCAGTGCGCCAAGATCACGCCACTGCACTCCAGCTAGGGTGACAGAGCGAGACTCTGTCTCAAAAAAAAAAAAAAAAATAGGTCAGTTCCTCTCCCACACAAGTCAGTTAACTCTGTAATGCCATGTGACTCCTGATGGCAAGCCTGAAGGTCAGAGGTTATAGCCACCCAAATTATAGAGTTGTGTAAGTCTTTACAATTACCTAATATGCTTTTCTTTTTTGTGTGTTTTAATATAATTGACAAACTCTACCCCAGAGAGGTTAAGTGACTTAACTAAGTTTGACATAAGTTGTGGCCACTGAGTTGACAGACAAGTCTTGATCCCAGACCAGTTTTTTTCTTTCAATGAAATATAACTGCCCATATTTTTTAAAAAAGCCTCCGCCTCCTAAACTCTGGCTCAATTCTGCTGACTTGATATATTACTTTAGATTTAGAGAATCCCAAGGGATAGCTCTCTGGATATTATGTTAATTAATAGTCTTTGCCCCCTCTCCTCTTCTATTAGGTAGGAAAACATTTTCTAGAGAATAGAAAGAAGTCCTCTCATAACCTGGTGTTTTCCCCTCTCGGTTATGTATTAGATAATTAGATAAATTGGACCTTATAATCTATCTGTTAAGTTCCTGTTATACCTAGATTATATCTTGGTTCTTCTGCTTGAATCTCAACATCACATATTTGTCCATTTAAAGTCCTTTCAAACTGAGCTCTTTTGCAAACAGCTTCCTATGCAGGAAACCAGAGTTATTTACTAGGTCCTTAACATGAATCCCCAAATTTTATTTTAGATGATACTGAATTTTTGTGCCTTTGCGAAAGTCATGTTAAATATGTTAAAACCATACCGAAAAGATAAACACACACATACACAAAAAAAAAACCATACTAAAAAAAATACCCAAAGAAAAACTCATAATACCAGGCAAAAAATTACAGCGTAGTACCTGTCTCAAAAGCTAATCCTATATAAAGTTCATTATAGAGGACACTGTTCCTGGTCTGTATCATAAATAATTTTTTTCTTTTCTTTTCTTTTCTTTTTTTTTTTTTTTTTTGAGACAGAGTTTCACTCTTGTCGCGCAGGCTGGAGTGCAATGGTGCAATCTTGGCTCATTGCAACCTCCGCCTCCTGGGTTCAAGTGCTTCTCCTGCCTCTGCCTCCCGAGTAGCTGGGATTACAGGCATGTGCCACCGCGCCTGGCTAATTTTTTTTGTATTTTTTAGTAGAGACAGGGTTTCTCCATGTTGGTCAGGCTGGTCTTGAACTCCCGACCTCAGGTGATCCGCTGGCCTCGGCCTCCCAAAGTGCTGGGATTACAGGCATGAGCCACCACACCCGGCCCATAAATAATTTTTTAATGGAATAGGAGTAAAACAAAATTGTGTCAGTGTGGAAAGGAGTAGGGAAGGATTTGAGAAAATTAATAACTTTAGGGTTGTTAGGTATTCAAAGTCTCATTTAAATTGTTTTATAACTTAAGGCATAAATATTAACAGATTATTATTTATGTATTGCAGAGGAGAATTTGCGCTTTGGCTTGATGGAGATCTCTACCATGGAAGAAGCCATTCTTGTAAAACGTTTGGGAATCGTACACTTTCTAAGAAGGAAGATTTCTTTATCCAAGATATTGAAATCTGGGCTTTTGAATAAATAAAATGCTCTCTGTCTTAGCAGGAGAATGGCCCAAACCTGACATGGACAAGCATTGTTTGGAAAGTTCAAGAAGCAATACAGTGTAACATGTCACTTGTGCTTTAAAATTAGTCTGTATCACCATTTATTACAGTTATAATTTTGGAGTTTATTTTTCAAATCATGTTCTTGTCCCAGAGTTCTTTAGGTTAACACTAGGGACTGCGTCCATGTACTAGTATAACAGCTTGGGTTTGTTAGAATTTGGGCAACATTTTGATTATAATGACAACTTCATTTTCACATGTTACTCAGTTCCCTAATAGGATGGTGCTCTTTTGTTGAACCTGTATTGATTTTTTTTTTTTTAACTATATTGATTCGTTTACTAGAACAGTCTAATTGGGGCATTGAGGAAATGAAGACTGGATACTTCTGTATCTGTGAAGTTGGCACAGGTAACATTTGGACATGTTCATCTTATTCTTAGGAAGGAAAAAATCACTTGCCAAAATAATACATACTTCATAGACCACTGAGTTCTAGTTTTTATTCACACTACAACATTCTCTTTAACGATGTTGCAGGTATTCTCAATTTCCTTTTAAGAAAAATGAAATGTGAGGAGAATTCTGGTTGTAATAGATGACAGTACATATGATCTGCAGGTTTGGGCATATGCTTTCATCATTAAATTATCTGATAAAGTTACAAGTCACAAAGGAGAATGAGAACTTAATGATTCTATTGGATTTAATATATTAGCAAGAAAACATACTATTTACATATGTGTAGCTTAGTAAGGCATTAACATAAGTACAAAAACTATGAAACAGATGCATATTTCCTCAACATACTGTGTCAGGTATACTGTTTTATAATTTGGTTGTTTTAGCCTTATTGCACACCAACTCCCAAAATATAGGTTACTCTTGTTCAAAAGGAAAAAAAAAATTGTGATTTTCTTTGAGTGGTATATGTTATTAATTACCATTAGCATTTGCTCTTATAAAGGGCAATGATTATAGTAGACAATATTGTAACTCAGTAGACTTGTTGAATATGCAAACTTACTGTCAAGTGACCTCAAAAAAAAAATGAAAAGATAGAATACACTAGTAGTTCTTATCCTCTTTTGTAGGAAACCAATAATAGCCATTGTGGCAATAATTCATCAGTTGATTTTAAAGCTTCATGTTATGCAAAAAAGAATCCTGCTGTTATACATGTGACAGTGACTTTGTGCTGAAATTTCAGCTATTCCAGATAAACATTGTATATCTTGTAAATTAATGTTTAAAGGTGTAGTTTTGTTCTTACAGAAAGTGTTGATTGCCAGGTTGCTTATAGCACTTTAAGTTATTCTAAAAATGAAATTATAAGCCAAATATTTGGCTTAAGTAGATTTAGTTGTATAGCACTTACATATTTAGTTCTTTTGAAAGTTTAGATAATTATTTAAAGAAAGCATAATGCTAATGGAAAAGAAAATCTGATGTTCTATTATAATATGCTATTGCTGAATATGAATAGAAATACAGGGCATCATTTCCTTGTCTCATTATAAGTTAGTAACAATATATAGATTAAATGTTTACAATATAGGGAATTGTAAATAAATATATCAGTTTTTTTCCCCTTCGGTCTTCCACAGCAGTATTATTGTCTTTGTGGAGTTGACTAATGATAATTTAAAAATCCTGTAATGGATTTCTACTAAAATAAGGTCATAGTGGCATATACCAAATAAAATCAAATACAGAAATACAAATGAGTTTGGATTTATTGAATACTCATTTTCTTAACAAGTCTTTGATTAAGCCTACTACTATCTTTTTTTTTTTAATGCTTCTAATAGCTTACATTGTGGTGGTGGTGGTCATGGTGTTAGGAGTAATAGTGATAGGAGAATGCATTCAATTAGAGGGAGCATTACATTTTTTAAAATGGAGATGGGAGAAGGCACTTGACACATGGGAAAGTGTAAGTTATTTGATATTTTTAAAGTACATTGTTTTCATTTTGGGTGGAGAATGCATAACAAGCTAAGCCCCTTATCATAAACAGTTATGTGTGTGCAATGCCAAGAAATTTTGATATTTTGTATCCCGTAGGTTCAGTTAACATTTGAGAGGAGGAATGACATGATCAGGTGTATACTTTAGGAAAATATCTGTGAAAAATAGATGAGTAGAAGGAACAACTAGAGACAAGGGGAAAACAAGCCTTTTATAAAGTCCAGAAAAAAAATGATTAGGCCCGAATAAGAACAGTGGTAATGGTAATAAGGAAGCATGGATTTGGAAAGGATTTATGAGTTAGGATGAACAGGAGTTGATTATTGATTGGATGTCAGAAAAAGTTAAAGATAGCTCCCAGGATTTTGATTTAAGAGTTTAGTTGTATTATTTATCAAGATGGGCAAGGTACATAGAGGAAAAACAAAAAAAAGCAGGTGGCAAAATGAAGTTAGTCGTGGACTTTATGAGAGTATGATGTGAGAAACAGGAGAATAAACTTTTTGGGAGTAGGACATTTTATATACTATTCTGAAAGATGAACTTTAAAAGTCAACAAAAAACAATAAAACTCTTTCACTTTTTATATGCAAACAAATATGAAATTTATGTATTACCATTTGTAATACCATTGAAAATATCAGATATATAACAAAGTGAAGACCAAAATAGGAAGGATATACCATATTCATTACTGGCAGACAATATTGATTAAAAGATATCAGTTCTCTTAAATTATATTGACAGTGAAAATCTCACCCAGGCTTATTTTTTGGAAATTAAACTGATTGTAGAGTTTATATGGAAATGTAAAATCAAAGAATAGCTAAGCCATCATGGAAGAATTGAGTGTCTGGTCTTCAGTATCAGATAATCATGATTTATTAGAAAGCTGAGTAAGAAAGACAATATATTGGTCAAAAGTTCAGAAAGAAACTGATTTCTGAAGAAGGTGATACTGCTGTCTGCTCAGTAAAGAAGACAGTCTGTTCAATAAAAGATGGTGGATTAGGCCGGGTGTGGTGGCTCATGCCTGTAATCCCAGCACTTTGGGAGGCCAGGACAGGTGGATCACGAGGTCAGGAGATCGAGACCATCCTGGGTAACACGGTGAAACCCCGTCTGTACTAAAAATACAAAAAACTAACCGGGTGTGGTGGCGAACGCCTGTAGTCCCAGCTACTCGAGAGGCTGAGGCAGGAGAATGGCATGAACCTGGGAGGTGGAGCTTGCAGTGAGCAGAGATCGTGCCACTGCACTCCAGCCTGGGCGACTGAGCAAGACTCCGTCTCAAAAAAAAAAAAAAAAAGATGGTAGATTAATTGGATATCTATATGGAACAAAAAGTCTTATCTCACACCACAAACAATTAGAGATTGAAAAATAATTGTGAAAAGCAAAACAATAAAGACATTAGTTTATATAGGAGAATATCTTCATGACCTTAGGGTAAGCATATATTTCTTTAATGGGACACAAAAAGCACTAAATATAAAGGAAAAAAATAAATTATGCTACATTAAAACTTTAAGCACTTCATCAAAAGACATCATTGAAAGTAAGAAGGTGTCCAATAAGAGTGAAAGCTGTTGTTTTCTCCAACTTTTATTTTTGGTTTGAGGGTACATGTGAAGGTTGGTTTCATAGGTAGACACGTGTCACAGGGGTTTGTTGTACATACTATTTCATCACCCAGGTATTAAGCTTAGTACCCAACAGTTACCTTTTCTGTTACTTGCCATCCTCCCACACCCCCACTCCAGTAGACCATTTTGTCTGTTGTTTCCCTCCATGTGTTCATAAGTTCTCATCATTTGGCTCCTACTTATAAGTGAGAACATGTAGTATTTGGTTTTCTGTTCCTGCATTAGTATGCTAAGGGTAATAGCCTCCAGCTTTATCCGTGTTCCTGCAAAAGACATGATCTCATTCTTTTTATGGCTGCTTAGTATTCCATGGTATATATGTACCACATCTTCTTTATCCAGTCTGTCATTGATGAACATTTAGGTTGATTCCATGTCTTCGCTGTTGTGGATAGCGCTGCAGTGAACGTTCATATGCATGTGTCCTTATGGTAGAAAGATTTATATTTCTCTGGGTATATACCCAGTAATGGGATTGCTATGTTGAGTAGTAGTTCTGCTTTTAGGTCTTTGAAGAATCACCCCGGCTTCCTTACACCATACACAAAGAGCAGCTCAAGATGGATTAAAGACTTAAATGTAAAACCCAAAACTGAAAGCTGTTTTAAAAGGGAATGTAGAGTGGAACAACCTTGGAAAATGTTTCTGGCAGTATCCACTAAAGCTAAGTATACACATGACTTTGACCAGCAAATTTAATTCAGTGATATGTACTGAACAGTAATATGTATATGTGTTTACCAAGAGATGTGCTGGAATGTTTACAGAACTATTTGCTTGCTCTCTTCACTTCCCATCCTCTCTCCTCCTGTACACATACCCACACACCCTACTTATTAATTTACTGCATCTCATTGTTTCACTTTACCTATAAAGATGTGTATGCATTTCCTAAGAACAGAGATGTCCTCCTAAATAGCCAAAGTACAATGATCAGATTCAGGGAATTTAACATTAATACAATAATATGGTCTAATATGTAATTCATTTCAAATTTCTCCAGTGACCCTAATAATATCCTTTCAAGCATTATTTTTCCTGGTTCATGATCCAAAGATCCTGCATTGCATTCAATTGTTCTGCCCTTTTTTTTTTTAATCTCTTTTAACCTGGAAGAGCTCATTATTCATTGCTTCATGACAGTTAGTTGTGTGTTTGAAAAATTTCAGGATTGTAGAATGTGCTTTGATGTGGATTTGTCTGAATTTTTCCTTATGCTTAAATTTTGGTTATGCATTTTTCATAGGAAAACCAAAGAAGTGTTGTCCTCTGCATCAAATCAGGGTGCACATAATGTATGTTTATCCCTTTATTGGTGATATTAGCTTTGATTATTTGATTAGATAGTGTCTACCATGTTTCTCTCCTGCTATCAGTTTTCCTTGTGTAATAAGTAATATGTAGAGAGATGCGTATTTTTAAACTTTTTCATTCCCAACACATTAGTTGCCATTGCCATTTACTACAAGGAAGAGCTTTCCTTTCTCCATCATTTATGAATATGTATTATCAGTATGAACTAATGAATTCTCTTTTTTCTTTTTCTTTTTCTTTTCTTTTCTTTTTTTTTTTTTTTTTTTTTTGAGATGGAGTCTCGCTCTGTCACTCAGGCTGGAGTGCAGTGGCGCGATCTCGGCTCACTGCAAGCTCCGCCTCCCGGGTTCATGCCATTCTCCTGCCTCAGCCTCCCCAGCAGCTGGGACTACAGCGCCCACCACCACGCTCGCTAATTTTTTTTGTATTTTTAGTAGAGACGGGGTTTCACCGTGTTACCCAGGATGGTCTTGATCTCCTGACCTCATGATCTGCCTGCCTCAGCCTCCCAAAGTGCTGGGATTACCGGCGTGAGCCACCATGCCCGGCCGAATTCTCTTTTTTCTAATTCAAAAGGTTACGTAATCAATTTCTATCCTAGACTTAACCAGTCAGAACCCCATCGGTCTTATTTCTATGAGTTTTTCAATTTTCTTGAGCATTTGCTTACTCCTCGTTTAACAAAAATGTTTTAGATTTATTTGTACTTTCTGTAACCCAATCCTAGAATCAGCCATTTCTGAAAGGACCCATATTTCCTTTGCAGGAGAATATTATTTAGAATCAGGGGCACTTGTTGCTACTAGGGTGGTATCACTTTAGGGCCTTTCAGGAGACATCTAAATACAGCATAAATTCACACCAATACCACTCCTTGCAATCTCACATCACAGAGTTCTTGCTTGTCTTCCCTCATTCCATGTTTGTCTCTTCCCCCACAGTCAGGACATCTGTGTATTTACTTGTTTGCTTCATTTTATGATACACACCTTAGAATTTCAGAATTGCCAAACCCATGCCCTCCCAAACACCAAAATTAAGTAGAATTTGACATTTCTTTGTAGTTCTTTTATGTCTTTAGACTGAAAGTATTTATTCAAAAAGTATTGTATTCAAAAGTTGGGTACATTTCTTTTTTCTTCCTGTGTAGTTATTTTAATAAGATAAAATAGAATTCAGTTTATTTGCTTTGTGTCCAATTTTAGTTTTTCTCCTACTTCTATTTGATTTTACTTTATTTCATGCATAATATTTAAGTTCCCAAAAGTCAAAACCTCTAACCCTATAAAGAGGTATACTCTGAATCTCACTCCATCGCCCAGGCTGGAGTGTGGTGGCACAATCTCAGCTCACTGCAAGCTCTGCCTCCCAGGTTCACGCCATTCTCCTGCCTCAGGCTCCCAAGCAGCTGGGACTACAGGCGCCCTCCACCAGGCCCGGCTAATTTTGTTTTTGTATTTTTAGTAGAGACGGGGTTTCACTGTGTTAGCCAGGATGGTCTCGATCTCTTGATCTCGTGATCCGCCTGCCTCAGCCTCCCAAAGTGCTGGGATTACAGGTGTGAGCCACCGTGCCTGGCCCTCTATTTCACTTCTTAAAAGATATTCCTTTTCTTTCATGGCTGCATCTATTTTGTGCATATGCCATACTTGATTTGACCATTTCCTATATGTTTTAGGTTGTTTATAGTATTTTAAGTTAAAAACAAGGCACAACACATTATGCATATGTATTTTCACATTGCTTGAGTTGTATCTTCTATAGAAATTTTAGGAGTGGGATTTGTTGGTCAAAAAGTAAATACAATGTAATTTTGTTAGATACTGCATGCCCCCCAAATCTGGGCACATAGTATTATTAGATAATCCTTATGGGAATGATAGCTGGTGGATGGACCACAAAACCTCTAGGCTGAGAGGTTAGGTCATAGAGCACATTTTTAAATTAAGTAACAGAAATTGACTGTGTACTTCTTATACTAAAAATATAGGTACTGGGAATGAAATTAAAATATTCTAGGAATCCTGGGGGACATCTACATTAAGGGGTCACTTCAGTATGGACTCCATGGTCTCCTGCTCCTCTTATATACCCATTACTTATATACCCATTACTGTTCAGTAATGTAATAGAGAAGTTCCCACTGACAAAATTCTAGTTTACACAGAATTGTTTCTATATCATGTGAGAAACAGCACTGGGTATTCTTACGTTTTATCAGTTAGTAGTGATTAGAAAAAGAAGGAAGTAGAGCTTGGGAAGGGAAAGGAAAAAGCAGAAGGCAAACCAAGAATAGATGCAGCCTCATCTTGCAACACTGTGGGAAGAAGAAAGCCCACGCTCAGAACCTCCCTCCTTGTGATGTAAGTCGGCAGAGTGATGAGGTGAACTTACACAACTTTAAGTTATGAGATAGAAGGGGTAATAAAGTACAGCACAGAAACCCTCCGAACATCTGATTGAAAGTTTGGAAAAGGAAAATCCTGAAGATTGGGAAATTAGTTGTATATTGCCTGTTATTGGGAATTTAGAATTATCAGTAATAAAATAACATGATTTCATATATTATTTGGTAACTATAAAAATATGAGGACTTTCTTTTTTTTTTTTTTTTTTTTTTTTTTTTTTTGAGACGGAGTCTCGCTCTGTCGCCCAGGCTGGAGTGCAGTGGCGGGATCTCGGCTCACTGCAAGCTCCGCCTCCCGGGTTCACGCCATTCTCCTGCCTCAGCCTCCCAAGTAGCTGGGACTACAGGCGCCCGCCACTACGCCCGGCTAATTTTTTGTATTTTTAGTAGAGACGGGGTTTCACCGTTTTTTAGCCGGGATGGTCTCGATCTCCTGACCTCGTGATCCGCCTGCCTCGGCCTCCCAAAGTGCTGGGATTACAGGCGTGAGCCACCGCGCCCGGCCCAAAATATGAGGACTTTCATTACCTTGTTTGCCACCTGAGTTCTTTTATTTTTTGTTTTAATTTTTTGTCAAAATATCTTAAGTTTTTCCAACTATGGATATTCCTATCATGGAGTTTGTAGGATAATAATATTTTGTTTGAGGAGATATTTTTGGATCCCAATTCAGGAAACATTAAGATGACAAATGGCCTTAAAAATAAATAAAATATTTATCAGAAGAATAATACACAATAAAGAAAAAAGTCTACAAACCACAAGCTAGTATCACAAGACACCTCTTACGATGATATCTGTCTCACAAGGTGCTTGGGAAGATGTGCCTATCACACAGCAGGCGTTTTTATCTAAGGAAAGTAGCTTTCTCACTTTACAGCCAGGCCTTATTCAGAAGAGTGTCAATGTCTTAGAAGCTGTCTGAGAAGAGGCCTTTTACTCCATCCTTACACTCAAACAAATTGAACTTTGAATAATCTATGTCAGTGCCTGCATAACTTAATATTATTCAGAATTGAATATGAGGAGACTCTTGAAACCTTCATCTATTAATACATATTCTACTGATACTATAAGTAACCTAAGTTGCACACTATAATTTTATTGTATTTCAAACAGAAGAAAGTGTATGTGGAATATAACTTATAAATACTATAAAAACAAGAACAGAAAATACAAGAAAACATCTTTTATTCTTATGCTATTTGTCTTTAACATTTGGCGTAGGTTTCACTTGTAATAGAAGTGTGCATCTTACATGAAATCCTACTTAGAAATATTGGTCATTAACTTATAGCTTTATAAATACGGTATGGAAACAAAATACGCATACTTTCTTAAGATACCAGAACCTTCAGTTTGAAAGAGACTCATACATGAAAACAAATATAATTCTTATAGCAGTCTAATACCTATTATTTTGAGGTATCATATTTAGACATTAATTTTTACATTTAACACCAAAGTGCTATACTATCAATGCATTTTAGTAATTTCATTGAATCCAGTAAGAATTGCAATCTCACATTCCATTCCATTTGTTTTTAAGATCACATAGGCACATTAATGTCCAATGATTTTCTCCTTGCCATCATCATTGTATATTTTTTACTTTGGCAGAACTAATATTGCAGTTTTATGACTTAAACATTTCATAAAGTTTTCTTTGTTACAGTATGAGGAACATTAAACTGTCTCAAATCTGTTTTTAATTCACCAATGATTCTATGGGATTTTTCTAATACTGAACATTCCACTTCATAGATTTTCTGTATTTCTCCATTGTTGGAGAAATACATATCATTGCATTGATGTTAATGCAAGCAGCTTGACTCGTTATATGCTGACATGTAATGAAACAATAAACTTCTCCAAGAAGTCCTACAAAGGCAAGTAAATCTGAATCTCTCACCTCTGCTCTACTTTTAGTGAGGGTGTGCCTTCCTTTGTTGGTACTAAGACAGGAAGTGTCTGTTTTTATGTGATTTGCTGAAATCAAACAAGAGGAAGGTGAACTCTTACTGGAAACCTGTTAGAATCCAAGCCCACAGAGGAACTTCAACAATTTCAGCAACATCTTGACAACTTTTTATATATGTGCTTGTTTTGTAAGTGATGCTATGATATAAACAATAATACAAAGTCAAGCTTCTGAAAAAATTTTAAGTTTAGTTTTACCAAACTTAATGGTATTTTCTTTTTTCCAAATAAAGACACATTATTATATGTTCTACTGATATTTATCTCAAGTCAGCATTCTTCTTAGATGTAATGTTTAATTAAAAATCTATAGTAGTTTCTACAATGACTAGCTAAATATTTTGCCTAAAATATACAAGTGGCTGGGTGCTGTTGCTCATGCCTATAATCCCAGCTACTTGGGAGGCTGAGGTGAGAGGATCACTTGAGGCCAGGAGTTAAAAGACCAGCTTTGGTGACATAAAGAGAATCTGTCTCAAAACAAAAACAAAAACACCCTGTGGAATTTCAACTATTAATACTATTATTATACATTAACATTCTATGTGCTTTCTGAAATGCTTTGTGCCTTCTCAAAATCTCCAAAATTCCTCATTCTAGATAGAAATAGAATGCCAGAAAGTCGTTTATGTAAAAATTGTTTAATATTTACTAACTTATTACAGAGAGTTTGCATTTTCATTTTACCTACATGAGCATTTAGCATTAAGACCATAGTGGGCCAAATTTGGCTTTTGTTTTTGAAGGTTCACTTGAGTAGCGTAATCACAACATGGTCATCTCGGCCTTGCCATAGCATCTCTCCTTCAAAGTCTACCAGTCCATGTTTCCTGGCACGCATGAGAATGCCCACTACTTTATCTGAAATACGAACGTATCTGTCAAAGAGATCTCCAAAAGTAACCTGGATCTTGCCATCTCGTCTGTGGCGAGCCATTGTGCAGATAATGAAGCACATGTCCATCATTTCCCTGTAGATGTGCTCCTCAGCACGCTTGGCCCTTTCAGCAGTTTTGGTTCCTTCTTTGGGGCGGCCATAGCCCTCATCTCCTTTGTGTAGGCGGGTGGACATGGCCAGCTCGTAATCAAACTCTTCACTGAAAGGATTGAGCTTCTGGGATTGTATGTGTTCATCAGCCCACTGCTGCCATCTCCCTTTCAAGTTGCCCACTGGGCTATATTTCTGTTGGGCTTTGCAGTTGAGTTTCTCTGTAAATCTGTTTACCCTAAAGTAGAGAGAGGGTGAACAATCAAGATTCAGATATGTTAACACCGAGTGTTGTTTTCCCTTTGTACTTCCCACACATATGCATCTTTAATGTAAGTATAATTTTTTCACTACAAAAATAAACACAATATAAAAAATTAGAAATGAAAGAAGAAAAATCATACATAGTCCCACCGTTGTTCTTAGTTTGGTGCATATCCTTCTAGATTGTTTTCTCTATGAATAACGATTTTAAGCATTATAATGATATTAAAATCTATTTTAAGAAAAAAGCTTCCCCACACAAAGTTAATGCAAATGTGTATATCTTTAAGTTGAGTATTGGTAACATTTTAGAACTGAAATCATGTAGGTGTTTTCAGGAATCTAGTTCTTAGAGGACCTCTGAAACCAATTATTTCCCAAAGGTAAGGACTCTACCACTACACATGCAGTTTAATATTTAATCATATATAGATTTTTATATGTGGATTTTTCAGTGAGAGCATATATAGACTAGTATCAATGATGCCACAAACTTCGAAATATGAAGTTGTACAGATAGAAAACACTAGCTAGCAATAGTAACATTTACTGAACACTATGTACTGGCATTCTTCTAAATGCTTTATTAATATTCCCCACAACCATTTCCTGAGATAGGTACTACTATTCCTACTTCACAAATGAGGAAACTGAGGCCAGAGAGATGAAGTAACTTCTTAAAGTCACAAAACTGTTAAGTGGTAGAACTAGACTTTGAACCAAAGTTAAGCTGGCTCCAGAGCCTGTCTATAACTGTGAAATACTGCCCTAAATAGGTGACGTTGCAGGATTCAAACGCAAGACTGCCTTAGACCAAGGTCAATGCTCTTTCTACTATGTAGTGATGCCACTCAGCAGGCCCATACAGTGTCTAATAAAGGAATAAGTTGCGTTTTAAATGTGTATATCTTTGGAATTCAGAATGCATTTTCTATTAAAAAACCAACTCTGGAAAGTGTAGACTAGTAGTATCGTGAGGATGCCAGCCTAATATTAGGATGGGGCAGCAAACTAACACAGGAACAGAAAACCAAACACCACATGTTCTCACCTGTAAGTGGGAGCTGATCTATGAGAACACATGGACACAGGGAGGGGAACAGCACACACCGGGGCCTGTTGGGGGTCAGGGGGAGGGAGAGCATCAGGATAAATAGCTAATGCATGTGGGGCTTAATACCTAGGTGACAGGTTGATAGGTGCAGCAAGCCACCATGGCACACATTTTTCTATGCAACAAACTTGCACATCCTATCCTGCACGTGTATCCCAGAACTCAAAAAGACATCCCTGCCATTTCTCTGTCTCCAATTGCCTAGACTTTTTCCCTAGGTCTCTAACTTAACAGTTAAAACACGAACTCTTGAACTATCTAAAAGAGAGTTGTACTCCTAACCATCACAAGCGTCCCACCCTCCCTTTTTCTCCCCAGTAACAAGTGGCCTCATGCCTGGAAGCATTGGGATTGCAGATGTTCAAGTGGTGCTGAAAGTACTTGTGTGAATGGCATGCCTGAGCTATCCCAGCTCTCACAATTTACTATTCAAAACCCAGGAACCAATCAGATTTGGGTATCCCTCACCATCCAAACTCACTTCCCGAAATCTGGTTACCCAAAGGCTGGAACCAAACACGTGGACCGGGAGGAATACATACTTACATTAACATTGTTTTCAAAAAAGAAATGACATCCACTAGATGGCGAACTTTCATCAATTCTTATGCTTGGTGTTTCCCAACGTCCTACGCTTGCTATATCGTTTCATAGCACAATAGAATTGGAATTGGAAATACTCCTACATGTAACACCACTATCCTTTATACACATGGATAACAGTGTATGACAAAGTTAATTAGTAAAAGAAAGCACACAAAAACCATATACACAATTATTACAACTTTATAAAATATATGTGTGAAAAAGTGCTAGGAGCTCACCAGGCTGAAGTGTAATGGATTTCCCTCAGCCCTCCTTGTCAGTTGATTCCCTGCCTCTCCATCGACTTTTCCTGTTCAGCTGCCCTCAGTGTGGGCTGCTCAATCTCATTATCAAAAGAGAGCAAATACCTTGTCCCTTGTGAGCCATGCTAATCAATGACTGATCACCATGTTGATCAAAGGCATATTCTTCAATATCAAGCCCAAGGCCATCCTAGCAGAGCATAAATTTCATGCCAGACTTAACAGCTGAGGTGTCCTGCCAGAGAAGAGGCTTGAAGTATCTCAAATGAAAGTGAATGGTGTGATTTATTAACTCATACTTTGTCTCCTGAGCACCAACTGTAGTTCTGCCCTATTGTATAAATCCTAATGCATCCTGGCTTTAAACAGTTTTTGAGCATGTTTACATCCCTCCCATGCTTTGAAGTATTTATTTGTGATACTTACTGTGTGCCAGGCACTTTTTAAGGTACTTATTGGATATTTTATAATGAAAATAAAGTAATATAAATTTGGGTTTATGGTACAATCACAACTCTGTAAAATGTATAAGCACTAGGCTGAAGAATTTAATAACATTTGCACAATTGAAAGTAATTATGTCGGTATCCAGATAGCAGTTGGTTCTTTTCACTTTTCAAAATTCTCTTATATGTTGGTATTATACTGATTTTGTAACAAAGAAAGCAAAAAATAGGTAAATACTCAAATTTGCATCCAGAGGTAATTTGTTTAAACTGCACGTTATATGGGTCTCCGATTCTTTGATGTAGCCTTTTTTTCTTCTAATTTTTAATTAGGAACTTAGTTTCCCTAAATGTTGAAACTTAGTGTCATTTGGGATAACAGTTGGGATTGGTGTGTGCCAATAAATCTGTGAAGAGCTTCTAGGCCAGGCACAGTGGCTCACGCCTGTAATCCCAGCACTTGGGGAGGGTGAAGTGGGCAGATCACTTGAGGCCAGGAGTTCGAGATTAGCCTGGCTATCATGGTGAAACCCCATCTCTACTAAAAATACAAAATTAGCTGGCATAGTGGCGCATGCCTATGGTCCCAGCTACTCAGGAGGCTGAGGCAGGAGAATCTCTTGAATCTGTTAGGCAGAGATTGCAGTGAGCCGAGATGGTGTAACTACACTGCACTCCAGGCTGGGTGACAGAGACTCTATTAAAAACAAACAAACAAACAAACAAAAAAGACTGTAAAGAGCTTCTAAAAGAAACACCATTTAAATATTAATGTCTATTTGTTATATTGTCAAATTGTAATGCCCTCTAATTGGAGGGAAGAACACCAAAGAAAGTTGGTCCCATAAGGAAGAATTAGAAAATAGGGCTAGGAAAAAAAAGAAGGAAACTCATCCTAATGAGCATCTAATTTTCTCTATTTTATAAACATTCTGTATTGTTTTTATATCTCCAATTTTTAAAAGGTCAAAGTGTATTTGGTTTAACTCAGGGTTAGAAAGTCTTATACACTGAATTTTTTTTTTGGTCGTAAGTACTATAAATGTAAGAATCGATACCAGATTATGCTGTTTTTAAAAATTTCAGGGAAAAATGTGAGTGATACTTTAGATTGAACTTTAGAAAGATAACCTAGCGTAAATTGAAAGAAAGCAAAGCGATATTTAAAGGCTAACATTTCACCCGCATTTTACAACAGCAGTCCTAAATCCAGACCCACCTTCTCAGTTTCTTCATTATTAGTAAAAAAACTTTCTTATAGTCAATCAAAAATATAAATTAGCCAGGCCTGGTGGCACGTGTCTATAGTCCCAGCTACACTGAAAACACTGGCACTGAAAACATTTCCTGGTGGTTGCCCTTCACTTGAATCACCAGCTTCAAAATGCATGGGACGCCTAAAGGCATGATTTTCTCTTCTGTCTCCGATCTGTATGGAGAAAGTGAAAATGGGCTTTCACTGCCAACTCCATAGATCTTCCTGTAGAGGGAGTATTTCTCCTCCTCATGCAGGCACCCTCCTCTGTCAGGAAAGCAAAGAGTCTCTGCTACCCTTTCCAACTTCTAGGAGAAATGCTGCATTGGTTTGCTTGTCCTTCCCTACAGACAGTTTAGCCCATTTGATTACTGAGAGCGTGACATCAAGAGGGGCACATTTATCAGAAGCAGAGTGACAGCATTCAAAAGGCAATATGAACATTTCTGCTCAGCAGTTTTGCTGTCTGTCATTTTCAGCTTCGTTTGAGAGCCAGGCCTGTGATTCTCCTTGCAGATTGAACTGTCTTCAGAGTCTATTGAAAGTGTTCGCGGCCCTAGAATTGGGCACAGGCAGAAGGACAGCATAATTTTGCCTTTGTTTCTTGTGAGATCCTTCAATACATTTGCACCAAAACCCTGAACTTTGGGAGTCATTAGGATTTCACTAATTAAGCCCACATTTTGATCTCCATTTTGGTCCTTAAGTCTGTTCTCTACTAAGAGGGACAGTCTAGCATAGTGGTTAAGAACACAAGTGCTGGCATCAGCCTTCCCAACTTCATCCCTTCCTCGTTCTGTGACTTGGATTATATGTTTCTTAATGTCTCTGTGTGTCAGTTTCCCTATTTACAAAATGGCAGCCTCCTGCTCAACTGCTATTATTTTCACTGAATTAAACATGGAGGACAGGATGGATAAGTGATTGGTACTTTAATCTTGCACCTTTATGAGAGAGAGATCTAATTTCTTTTGTCTAAAGGAACTGGATTGAACAAGTCACATACGATCAAAAGACTGAATATTTTTAAAGCAAGACAAAATATGAACCATTTTCATAGTAAAACTCCAGTCAGAAGAACCACTGTTGGTAAAGAATTTATCTACTTTTTTCACAGTTGATCTGTTTCTACTATCCATGGAACATCTTAACCACCAAGAAACTTTCTTTCCACCTAAACATCTGTGATACATAATTGTCTCCTTATTGGCAGATACAGGGAGAGAAGGGTGCCTATAATTAAAAATAAGTGGACAAAAAGGCTTTCCAAATTGGCTTAGTAATGCTGCTTTCATTTCTCAAGCAATATTTGAGAGTATCATTGGGCAAAAATTCCCATGAGGCTTCTGCTGAAGTTTCCTGAGCACAGCTAGGATTACCACTGGAATTAAGAGCTGCTGTTGCTGCATATAACATTCTGGTACCCTATGTACTCTAAGACAGAGGGAAAGGAACCAAAAAAGGAAAGAAGAGATTTAACCACCACTACTACTCTGAACCTGCAGAGCCAAGCTCCTAGCATCTTGAAGGGCTGGGATCACCAAGCCTGGCTTCCTGTATTATGATGAGTACAATTTGCTAATGAGGTCCCCTGAGTCTATCACTTTACATAGCTAATATAAAAATAACCCCGTGAGATATGAGTTATCACATCTCTTTTTTAGATAAGGACCGAGAGACTCAGGATTACCAAAGTAACCATGATTCAAATCTAATTGTCTCTTATTCCAAGCGTAGGCATTTCAACACATTAAGAAGGTGCCCATGTGCCAGCCTGATTTGGGGAACCCCAAGATGGGTCCTGTATCCCACTCCCCACTTTTAGGTGAGACAGTTTACTCAGAGCCAGAATGACTGAGTTCAAATTTCATGGGCTGTAAAATCTCATACAAATTCCCTAATATTTCTTCATCTCCTTTCTCCATCTATCAAAGAGGGATGATGATTATAACCTATCATATGAGGATATTGTGGGATTAAATAAATAAATATATGAAAAGTGCTTAGACAAGTGCCAAAGAATGTCTAGCTCTACTATGCATTCAGGATCGGTCCCAGCTGTCACCTCCTTACTTCTAGTTAATTTAAAATGTGCTGAGAGAAAGATCTTGTCATTGTGCCCCCTCAGTCTTTATTCTTTTGGACCCCGTTATTCCATTTCTAGCACACATGTCCCAAGATCCAAAAGGCCAGAGTTTGGAATATGGTTCCTCATGTTCGGATAGCATAGTTACTTCTGATCATGAACTCCTACATTAAGCACAAATCCAGACCTCTGAATGCATCCTCAAGACACTGCATGAAGGTTGGAACCATGTCTGGTTTTAAAACATTGCATTTGGAGTAGGGCACGTCTTAGCTTTGTCACTAATTTGCTGGGCAAACTTCCCCTCTGAGCTTTGGTGTTCTTATCCCTGAAATGAGTGAATAGCTACTCAAAGGATTATGAGAAGTGAAGCGACAAAGCATTTAAACACCTACAGCACACACTGAACACGTGACAGATTATTGTAATTACCCATTTGCCATTTTATTTTTCTTGAGAGCTGGCAGTGTAGTAGTTCTAATTCTTTCAAAACACCTTTACAGTCTCAAACTATAAGACAGCTCTTTAGGCCGCGTGCGGTGGCTCATGCATCCCAGGACTTTGGGAGGCCGAGGTGGGTGGATCACCTGAGGTCAGGAGTTCGAGACCAGCCTGGCTAACATGGTGAAACCCCATCTCTACTAAAAATACAAAAATTAGCTGGGCGTGGTGGTGTGCACCTGTAATCCCAGCTATTCAGGAGGCTGAGGCAGGAGAATCACTTGAACTCAGGAGATGGAGGTTGCAGTGAGCCGAGGTCGTGCCACTGTACTCCAGCCTGGGCAACAGAGTGAGACTTCATCTCAAAAAAAAAAAAAAAGGAACAGCTTTTTGTCAAATTAGGTAACAATTTTTTTCTTTATTTTCTTATTGTTTCATAAGACTTGAAAAACACACTTGCACATCAAACTGTCCCCAAAGGGAGTCAGTCTATAAATGTAATGACATCAGACATTTTTCTTATATTTTGATACCCTGGCATTGTGGAATAAGAAATCCTGACTTTCTACCATGTGGAGTTACTGTCTTGAAATAAAGCACGTGTTTCTTGTCTATATACATGTTTCAGTTTGAGTAAATGTGTATGTGAGTGTATGTATGTGTATTTACCATCTAGATATTTTAATTATTGCTGTATTTGTTTACAAATAGGACAAACTGTTTTTGAAAATTTGAAAAGTTGCAAAGTAACCAAATCTATGTGAATAATAATAGTTTTCGTGTATTGAGCATATGTGACAAGCTCTGTGTTTGGTAGCCCTAATCTCATTTACGTTTCCCAATACAATAGAACTTCTCCCAAAAGCTTACTGTTGCTGTCATTTTACAAATGAGGAAATCTGCTTTTTTTAATTTTTATGTGAAACAGAGTCTTGCTGTGTTGCCCAGGCTGGAGTACAGTGGCATGATCTTGGCTCACTCCGACATCAGCCTCATGGGTTAAAGCCATTCTCATGCCTCAGCCTCCCGGGTAGCTGGGATTACAGATGCACAACACTGTGCCTAGCTATTTTTGTGTGTTTTTTGGTAGATATGGGGTTTCACCAATGTTGGTCAGGCTGGTCTCAAACTCCTGGCCTCAAGTGATCCGCCCTCCTCAGCCTCCCAAAGTGCTGAGATTACAGGCTGAGCCACTGCGCCCAGCTGATGAAATCACCTTTAAAAATGACTAGTTAGGGGCAGAACTAGGATTTGAACTTGGGTCTGTCTGACTTCATTCAGAGCCTGCTTTCAAATTAGACAGCAGCCTCCACCTGTTTAGAGTCAGAGATTTGTATTCCATGGGTGTTATTGAAGCAGACGTATCTCCTGATAATAGCATAGACATTTGGGACAAGGTAAAAGTTTCCCCAATGAGTCTATCAGAAACCACTCTTATCTCTAAAGAAATAAGCCAATTTGTTACTCATTATAGAACTGACTTAAAGAATTCACGAAAAACAGGCTTCCCTCTCTGATGGCTTCATCTTTGTTGAGGCTAAGACTTGAGTGTTCAGTTCAAAACAAAAACGAGAAACAAAATAGCGCAGGCCCTGACCAAAAGGTCCATGTCTAAGGTTGGCACTGACCTTCAGCCCAGGGACATCCCTCCTCTACAGTACTCACTGCCTGTCCAGTCTTTGAGATTCTCACTCTAACCCTGGCAGGACTTCATCTGCTGCCTGGATTCCCAGACTTGGTTGGGGCTCAATAGTGATCCTGACACAAGGAGTGGGAGAATGCATTCACTTACTGGGAGGGCAAGGGGCGCTTGATCCTGACCACAGCCACCTGCACTCCATCCTGCTCGGGCCTCTCCTCAGCCTCTCCTCCATAGCCGCTGTCCTCTGTGTCTACGCTGTCACTCCTCCATGTGGGCTCCTCCTGCTCCATCACTCTCCAGCCCTTGGTTAGCTCAGACACCAGGTTGGCACATTTTCTCCTCCGCGTTGGGGAGCCGTGGCTGTGGAGGATTCTGTCAATGTCATTCTCTGGCTGCCCAGGTTCAAGCACACCAGCATCCCTCTCGTACCTGTGGCTGAGGTGGCTCACGTCCCCTCCTCTCTCATAAGTCTTGCTGACCACCGTTTTGGACACCTCTTTCTTTTTGATGTGAGAAACCTCAGGGGCTTTCTCTGAGCTTTGTCCATCTCCATGTCCTTCTGGCAGGCGGGGTGGCGACTTTGGGGCACTCTGAGCTTTCTGGTGTGAAGTAGGGGGTGTGATTGGTTTAGGAGCTTGAGGTGAGTCCTGGGTCCCTCCCGGCAGCCAGCCTGTAGGCTCCTGGGCCTGCCTGATGCTGTTCTCATTCGCCCACTGCTGCCAACCTCGGGCCAAGCTGATGACCAGGGTGGCTGTGCGTATCTTCCGGAGGGCGCTCTTGGCTGGGCCCTCCCCGCTTTCCTTTTCGCCCGGAGCCATGCTGCCCACCTGTCTTTCTCTGCTGATAGCCTGGACACTGGCTAAAATGAGTGTGGTCCAGTGGAGTGCCTGGGATTTAAATAGAAGCAGGGTGCGGGGTGGGAAGGAGAGCTTAGTGACGATGGAAACTATGTGAAGCATTTCTTGCCAAGATGTGGCGCCTTTGCCCTGATGGTGTTCTTTTTATAAATCATGACAGCTCCAGTTTCATCACGGCAGAGGGACATCTCTGCTGGTAAGGAACAGTGATATGCTCACTCTCTTCTCCAAGTGCCAGAGTGGAAATTACTAGATCAAGTCATGTGCTCAGCCTTACGTTTGTCTGACCTTAATATGGTCCTACCATTTATAGGTGCATACATATTATCCTGGGAACATTATAGGATTGTTCCCACTTAAACCCCAGCAGCCCTCAGTACAGCTCCTAATTAGTTCCACTTTATAGCTAAGTAAAATAAAATCTAACTTCCAGCAGCTAATAAAATATGAGATTCAAATCCATCTCTGTGTAATTCAAAGCGTGTGCCTCCTTTTATTCCAGTTATCAAAGATCCTAAGTTGCCTTTTTCTTTTTCATTCAACTCCATTAGAAATAGACCTTAGAAAATCAACTCATCCAATCTTCATTTTCCAAATGAGAAAATTGAAGCCCAGATACGAGAAAGACCAAAGTCCAGATAGTCAAAGACTAATTACTTTCTAGTCCCAACTTTGAACTATTGTATAGATAACTCATATTAAAATACAAAAAGGGAGTCAAAATTTTGGTCCAATCATTAAAAAATGTTTTTAAAACCTGTATACACATTGGATTTTAGAAATTATTATTGGAGGCCGGGCGAGGTGGCTCACGCCTGTAATCCCAGCACTTTGGGAGGCCGAGGCGGGCAGATCACGAGGTCAGGAGATCGAGACCATCCTGGCTAACATGGTGAAACCCCGTCTCTACTAAAAATACAAAAAATTAGCCGGGCGTAGTGGCGGGCGCCTGTAGTCCCAGCTACTCGGGAGGCTGAGGCAGAAGAATCCTGTGAACCCGGGAGGCGGAGCTTGCAGTGAGCGGAGATCGAGCCACTGCACTCCAGCCTGGGTGACGAGCGAGACTCCGTCTCAAAAAAAAGAAAGAAAGAAAGAAAGAAATTATTGTTGGAATACATATTTTGAAATACTTTGTTTGAAAAGATCATCTAAGGACAGAATTCTAAGGACAGAATAAATGAAAGCTATCGGTAGCTCACTTCTTATCCCCATCCCGCCTACCCTTACCGTTTGGTTTGTGGTTGTTGTTTTGTTTTGTTTTTTGAGATAAGGTCTTGCTGTGTCCCCAGGCTGGAGTGCAGTGGTGTGATGATGGCTCACTGCAGCCTTGACCTCCTGTGCTCAATCAGTCCTCCTGCCTCAGTCTCCCAAGCAGCTGGGAATACAAGCATGAGCCACCATGCCTAGCTAATTGTTTTTGTTTTTGTTTTATATAGACGGAGTCTCGCTATGTTGCCCAGGCTGGTCTCAAACTCCTGAGCTTGTGCAGTCTTCCCACCTTGGCCTCCCAAAGTGCTGGGATGACAGATGTGAGCCCCCACGTCTGGCCCCTTTTGTTTTTAGTAACACAATCTTCCTTAGCAGGACTTTATGTTCATGTAGGCAAAGACAGTTTTTCAACTCTCACAAGAGGGACTGAAATATAATATTTTTTTAAAAGGACTGGAAAGACAAGCATGTGGACAGAAAGAGAAACATCTATGCAGTGTATTAAACCAGATAAAAATGTCCAGGGCTCAGCAATGAATAATTTCTTAAAGTAAGACGGAATTTTTTTTCATTCAACAGGTCTGTTGGCTTTAAAACTATATCCTTTCCTTCAGTCTTGCATGCAAGTAACCATACTGATTGAAAACTGCTGTTTAAGAGCACAAAAAGGTATAAAAGTTAATTATTTCAGAGAGTGAGACATTTATTTTGGAAAAAAGTTGGTATTAGTTTTTTGTTGTTGTTGTTGTTTTGTTTTTTTGTTTGAGACGGAGTCTCGCTCTGTCGCCGAGGCTGGAGTGCAGTGGCGCGATCTCGGCTCACCGCAAGCTCCGCCTCCCAGGTTCACACCATTCTCCTGCCTCAGCCTCTGGAGTAGCTGGGACTACAGGAGCCCGCCACCACGCCCGGCTAATTTTTTTGTATTTTTAGCAGAGACAGGGTTTCACCGTGTTAGCCAGGATGGTCTTGATCTCCTGGCCTCGTGATCCTCCTTCCTCGGCCTTCCAAAGTGCTGGGATTACAGGCGCGAGCCACCGCGCCCGGCCGCTATTCGTTTTTCATCGTGTGGGTTATTTACCTCTTAGGATAAAAAAAATTGGGAAGTGATTTAATACTTAATCTACAGATCTGTCAGAGGTGTTTCCAGAGTTCAACGGCATCTGATAACATTAACTGAGGGCCAGAAATGCGGAGAAAAAAAAAAATCCCTCTTGATTAATTAAGAGGAAATTGGATCACAAGGAAAGAAAACTATTACAAACAAAGATTTCAATCTGAGCCTGAAATTTCTGGCATTCCTCCCAGCAATGCAGATTCACTGCAGCCTGTTTGGTTCTTATCAGAATCTCTTCATCCCACTTGGAAGGTCTTAGGAAAAAATAGAGTTCCTCTAAGACACCCATACGCTTAGCCCAGAATCAGGATAATTTATAGCTTTCAACGGGATTTTCCTGCTTGCCTGTCCACACCTGCCCCAGATTCAGTCCTGATAGAGGGAGAAGAAAGGGAAACAGCAAATGTTAACAGTCTTTCACGTATTAACTGGCATTGCAGTCAGCTACTGGGGTTTGGGGATGTCAGCAGATGGTCTTGGCTGAAAAACAGGAGCAGCTTCTAAAAGAACCTAGTCATTCCTTCTGAGATTTAGCCTCCATGGCAACTGCAGTCCTTCATTCATCACTCTACAGAAGAGAGTGTAAAATCGTTTTCCTCCTCACGCGTGCTTTGGGCCTTTCTTCCCTAAAGCAAGGTCTGTATGCTACCTCCCATACATCTTTGATTACTATAGAAATATTACGTTCATTGTCTCAATCGAAATTCAAATTCTTGGGAGTTCTAGATTTTCCTGTTTCATTTATGTTAGAAATGAAAATAAAACCTCAAAGACAAAAATAAAATGAATTAAGTGTTTTACAATGGGAGCTTCCTAGGAAACCTTGAGATTTGAAACTGTTTGTGAAGATGCAGACCTGATTAATGAGATCATTATCGCCTAAGAAGTCTGTCATAAGTGAGAAAGTATCTTGAAAATAGTATTTGTTATTTTTTGATCATATGAATAGTAGAAAGAGGAAGGAGAGGTATTTATATATTTTTCTGCATGATACACTTAGAAGTTAGGTAGAGCCAACCCTCATAGCCAGCTGTATAATCTGATTAAAGAGACTTTAGGAACCTACATTTGCTCAAAGCTATATGAAACAATCGCTTTTTTTTTTTTTTTTTTTTTTGAGATGGAGTTTCACTCTTTTGCCCAGGCTGAAGTGAAGTGCCATGGTCTTGGCTCACTGCAACCTCCGCCCCCTGGGTTCAAGTGATTCTCCTGCCTCAGCCTCCTGAGTAGCTGGGATTACAGGCATGCTCCACCACACCTGGCAAATTTTGTATTTTTAGTAGTGACGGGGTTTTGCCATATTGGCCAGGCTGGTCTCAAACTCCTGATCTCAGGTGATCCAGCTGCCTGGGCCTCCCAAAGTGCTGGGATTACAGACGTGAGCCACCACACCAGGCCACAATAGCTGCTTTTTTAAGTTGTTTTATTGTGTATATTTGAAGTTTACAACATGATTTTATGGAATACATGTATAATAAATAGCAAAATGATTACTATAAGAAAGCAAGGTAACATATTTATCATCTCACATAGTTGCTTTTTTGATAAGAGCAGCTAAAATCTACTTTAAAATTTCTAATGCACTTTTATTAACTATAGTGCTCTGTTGTACATTAAATCTCTAGATTTGTTAATCCTACATATCTGCTACATTGTATCCGTTGACCTGTTTTCCCATTTCATCCCCCAAGCCAACTCTTGTAACCACTATTTTATACTCTATATATTTGACCTTTTTTAAAAAATCATGCAATATTTTCCTTTCTGTGTCTGGCTTATTTTGCTTAACAAAATGTCCTTCTTGTCCATCCATGTTGTGCCAAATAGCAGGATGCCATTCTTTTTTCTGGCTGAATAATATTCCATTCTTTCTTTATATATAGACACACACATATACATATACACACACATATATATACACACATACATCTATATAATATGTATATTATATGTTATATATATGCATACACACATATATACATATTCCACATTTTCTTTATCCATTTGTCCATCTACAGACATGTACGTTGTATCCATATTTTGGGTATTGTGAAAAATACCACTATAAATATGGGATTGCAGATATCTTTATGAGGTAGTGATTTCATTCCCTTTGGGTATAGGCTCAAAAGAGGGATTGTGGGATCATATATAGTTCTATTTTTAATTTCTTTAGGAACCTCCATACTGTTTTCCATAATGACTGCAACACCCTACATTTTCACCAACAATGTACTTTTCTCCACATCATTGCCAACATCTATTATCTCTTGACTTTTCAATAATAGTCATCCTAATGGATATGAAGTGATATCTCATAGTGGTTTTGGTTTGCATCTCCTGGATGATTATTGATGTTGAGCACATTTTCATATACCTACTGTCCATTTTTATATTTTCTTTGGATAAATATTTCTTTAGGTCCTTTGTCTATTTTTTAATGAAGTTATTTGTCTTTCTGCTATTAACTTGTGTTTTATTTATACTTTTAAAATACTTAACTCTTTATCAGATATGTAATTTACAGATTTTTTTACAGATATTTTTCCCAATTCATAGGTTGCCCTTTTGTTTTGTTGTTTCCTTTGCTGTGCAGCTTTTTAGTTTGATATAGTTCCATTTATTTATGTTTGATTTTGTAGCCTGAGCTTTTAGTATAATATATTTAAAAAATCATTGCCAAGGCCAGTCAATGTCCAGGTGCTTTATTCCTATGTTCACTTCTAGGAATTTTATGCTTTTAGGTCTTACATTTAGGTCTTTCATCCACTTTCAGTTGGTTTTTGTGTACGGTATAAGATAAGGGTCCAATTTTATTCTTTTGCATGTGGAAATCCAACTTTCCCAGCACCATTTATTAAAGAGACTACCCTTTCCCCATTGTGTCTTCTTGATGCCCTTGTCAAAAATTTGTTGGCTGTATATATTCATATTTATTTCTGAGCTCTCTATTCTGTTTTTTTGGTCTGTGTTTCTGTTTTATGCCAATACCATACTGTTTTGATTACTATAGCTTTGTGGTATAATTCTTATTCAGGAAGTGTGATGCCTCCAACTTTGTTTTTCTTTCTCAGTATAGCTTTGGCTGTTTGGGTTTTTTTTTTTTATGGTTCTTTAAAAATATTAGGATTGTTGGCCGGGCGCAGTGGCTCATGTCTGTAATCCCAGCACTTTGGGAGGCCGAGGCAGGCGGATCACGAGGTCAGGAGATTGAGACCATCCTGGCTAACATGGTGAAACCCCATCTCAACTAAAAATACAAAAAATTAGCTGGGCACGGTGACAGGCACCTGTAGTCCCAGCTACTCAGGAGGCTGAGGCAGGAGAATGGCGTGAACCCGGGAGGTGGAGTTTGCAGTGAGCCGAGATTGTGCCACTGCACTCCAGCCTGGGTGACAGAGTGAGACTCCATCTCAAAATATATATATATATATTAGGATTGTTGTGTCCACTTCTGTGAATAATGTCATTGGAATTTTAAAGCTGATTGCATTGAATCTGTGAATAATGTCATTGGAATTTTAAAACTGATTGCATTGAATTATTCTTGGGATAGTATGGACATTTTAACAATCCTACTTCTTCTGGTCTGTGAACATGGGATATCTTTACACTTAGCTGTGTATTCTTCAATTTCTTTTATCAATGTTTTATAGTTTTCATTGTAAAAATCTTACACCTGCTTTGTTTAAATTTATTTCACGTATTTTTATGCTATCATAAGTGGGATTGTTTTTCTTGATTTCTTTTTCAGCTAGGTTATTTGTGTATAGATACCTAAAAGTTTTTATATGCTGATTTTGTATTCTGCAACTACTGAATTCATTTATTAGTTCTAACAGTTTTTTTATATGAAACTTTGGGGGTTTTCTACCTATAGGATAATATCATCTGCAAACAGAGATTACTTCTTCTTTTTAAATTTGAGTGACTTTTCATTTTTTTTTTTTCTTGTCTGATTGTTCTTGCTAGTACTTTCAGTACTATGTTGAATAGAAGTGGTGACAGTGGGCATCCATGCCTTGTACTGGATGTTAGTGGAAAAGCTTTCACTTGTTCCTTGTTGATTACAATGTTAGCTGTGGATTTTTCTTTTTCTTTTCTTTTTTTTTTTTTTTTTTTTTGATGGAGTCTCGCTCTGTTGCCCAGGCTGGAGTGCAGTGGAGCGATCTCGGCTCACTGCAAGCTCCGCCTCCCAGGTTCACGCCATTCTCCTGCCTCAGCCTCCCAAGTAGCTGGGACTACAGGTGCCCGCCACTATGCCCGGCTGATTTTTTATATTTTTAGTAGAGATGGGGTTTCACCGTGTTAGCCGGGATGGTCTCGATCTCCTGACCTCGTGACCCACCCACCTCGCCTCCCAAAGTGCTGGGATTACAGGTGTGAGCCACCGCGCCCGGCCAGCTGTGGATTTTTCTTAAACTGCCATTATTATGTTGAGAAACTTTCCTTCTATACTTAAACTGTTAAGAATTTTTATCAAGAAAAGATCATGAGCTTTGTCAAATGCTTTTTCTGCGTCAATTGAGACAATACTGTGGTATTGTTCATTCTGTTAATGTGATGTATCTTTGATTTGCATGTTTAACCAGCCTTGTATGGCAGAGATTAATCCCACTTGATCATGATGTGTAATCTTTTTGATGTGTTGTTGAATTCTCTTTGCTAATATTTTTAGAGAAAGAATAATTTTATTAATCCTTTTTATGTGAGGTCCTTAAACAAATAAGTCCCTTACTTGTTTGGACTTATTTGTTTGGTAAACTGGTAACTTGCTTAGTTTCACACAGTTGGTCATGAAAATACTTTAATAGAGTAAAAAAGAGCTTCTTATTGCAGTGGAATTTACCATGCTCAATGTTCGTGGAATGTATACAATGGGTGAAGACTGATGGTAAACAATGTGGGATAGGGTATAAAGATGAACAAAAGAGAATCTACTTTCATGATTTTTCCCAATCTAGCCAGGAGAACACATACATACAACTACCTTTAATAGTTAGGAGAGAGCTCCATTAGAAATATCACAAAAAAAGTTACAAAGGCATGAAGATATTTGGTATACCTAGAGACTTTCTAATGGTCTACAGTAGGGATCACAAACTCAAATGTCAGGCAGGTCACTTAAAGATGCGAAGTGAGTTGGGTTGGAGCCACAATAGGGTGTGGTGAGAATTGTGGACAACTTATAAAATAATGTTTCAAAGAAGTAAGAGATCTGTATTTTCGCTTGAGTGCTCCCATTCCTTAAATGATAAGACTTGTGTGCACACACACACTGGTATTGGGTGAACCAAAACAATGTAGCATGTCTTTGGGTTGGATCCTGCTTGTGTGCTCCCAGTTTATGACCTTTGGAGAACATAGTGTTTTTGGGGTAAGGACAAGGGGCCAGAGAGTGGTAAGAGATACCTCTAAGGAGATAAGTTGGAGCTATTTTGTGAGGATCTTGCTAAGAAATCGGTGCTTTATCAAGTAGGGCTCATTGAATCCCTCAAGGATCTTAAGCCTGGATGTGGTATCAAATTTGTGTTATCAAATGATCAATCTAGAACCAGCAAAAAAAAGTTTGGATTTGAGAAAGATAAGACTAGGATAGGAAGATTATGTATAGGGATTACTAAAATAATCTTGGAAAGAAACAAATGAAGGTCTGAAAGAAGAGATCTGAGAGCCATTAAGAATAACACCAAAATGACATAGAAACTGACAAGTTGCCATGAGTGAGGGCAGTGAGGAGTGATCCAGAAGCTTCTGAGTTAAGTGACAGCAGGGAGAGGGCAGTGGAAGAGCAGGATTTGTGGTGAGAGGGAAAAGTTTTCATGTTGAGTTGGGGAATCTCTGGGACTTGGTGTGGAGCTGTTAAGTAGCAAGATTAATCAGGAATCTGGACCACGTGGTCAGGCAGAACCAGGTGAAAATCCAGGCTCTGCTGGTTAGCACAGTGACCCGGGGTGTATTATTTAACTTATCTAAGGTTCTGTTTCTTCCTCTGTAAAATGAGTATTAGCACAGCACCTAGCTCACAGGGCCTGTGTGAAGATTAAATGAGTTAACACGTGTAAAGTACTTAGCTCCATGCCTGGCAGATGTTAATTCTTGATATGCGGTTACTATTAATATTTTAATGTTGAGTCATGGGAGTTAGCAAACAGACTCCTTAAATTCTCTTTGACCAAGGACAGGGGTGAGTCTTCAGGTAGGAAGGTCATGTATGGTCACCTGTAGAGACTGGAGGCTGCAAGGGAAAACTTATTTTTAGTGTTTTATTTTAAGGTAATTTATGGTGTGGCTTTTAAGGTTATGTCTAAAAGGTTTCTCTCCGCCTGGTGGATAAGGTCAGATGAGGTCTCAATTACTTGGGAGTGTTGCACACAGACTCTCTCCTGGAGCCTTGTGGAATATAGAGCTCAGCAGTTTCCAATCACTGGGGATCACTGAGAATTTGAGATCTTAAATCACATTAGGATCACTTGTGGCACTTTCAAAACTACAGATGGTAAAATGCTGTCTCTGGAGACGAGTCCTGCGTGGGATCCTGGCACCAGCTTGATCTAAGCATAGCATCAGGGTTGAGAACCATGGTTCCAGCTGCTGGAGTGCTGTGGGTCTAGCAGACACTTGACTTGCAGGTTTCAAGAGTGTAACACGATGTGGGTTCAGGAAGATTGATTTTGCATTCTGGATATTCTTCTAGAAGGTGTCTACCCTTGGAAGAGTTATTTAACTTCTCTGATAGTTGATGGACTTGTCTGAAAATAGTAGTAACATTAACCTCCTCCTGGCAACATGTAGCTATCAGGTTTATATGAGCCCAAGTCTGTGACGACATTAGCCTAGTGCTTAATACACCATACAGGAGCATCACAGGGAAGCTGTTAATATTGTTATTTATACTATTATTGAGGGTAATGATGCCACTTTGTAAATAAATGACCTAGATTCATAGACAACATACTAAACTTCAGTATGAATAATGCATTTAAACTTTTATGTTATAAACAATCGCAATTTACATACATTGTCAGAGCCTAAAGAACATTTCAGGGAACAAATGCCACAGGATCCCATGGTCTAGTAAACGATACTCACATTAACTTAATTCAGGAAATGAACACATAATCGCCTGGCATACCTAATTTAATCTGAAAAATGGTGCCTCAGAAACTGGTCTTGCAATTATGATTCAAACTCACTTCTCTTTGAGTAGCAGTTGCTAAGCCTTCGCTATGTTAGTAACACTAAGTTGGTTCAATTAATGCCCAATTAACTCCACACTGCACTAACTTAAACGTGTATCTCATAATACTGAGGAATACCTTAAACCTAAGCTACCCTGACTTCTGACTTCTTTTCTCATTGAGTTGCACAGCAAAACACAGCCATGTGGTACCACATCCTTCATGCCCACACACACAGCTGAATGTGACTAGAGAAACACATGGAAATTTGCTGTCTCACTTTACAATTTTTGACCTCCAACCTCAGATGCTGCTCAGCTCTCTACTGTATTTCCCTTGTCCCTTCATTCTTCCAGTGTCCTGGGTGACTGTTTAATGTTTTCCCTTCTCTAAATGGTCAATGCTTCTTCCACCATCGTCACTCCAGCTAGTGAGTTTGCTGTCCATTTCACATAGAACCAAGAGCACTCTTGAACTCCCACTCTGAAGTCTACCCGCCTTCCTGCATGTGTCCATGCACCCTGCCTTTGGCCCTGATGTTATGGATGAGTGGTCAGATCTCTGATGAAGGCCATCATCTCTATTGGCACATCCTCTCACCCCGTCATGATACTGCTGTATTAGGTCTTTTTTGCTCTCTTTCATCACAATTTCAACCTCTCTGTATCTTTTCCATCAGACAAAAATACTGCAATTTCTTTTGTCTTAAAAAATACACTCCCTTGACCCCATGGTCCATCCCATTCCTCTCCCCCCACCCCACAGCAGCAAACTCCTAGGAAGAATTGTGTATACTGCCCACTTCAGTTTTTTTCTCCCATTTCCTCTTGAACCCAGTCCAAACACGTTTTACCTTCATGATTCTCTAAAACTCCTTTTGTTCTATCAGCAATACCTTCCACATTGCTAAATCTAATGATCAATTATTGGTCCTAAATTTACTTGTCCTATCAGCAGTATTGGACACATTAGAACACTCACCTTTTCTTTTTTTATTATATTTTAAGTTCTGGGGTACATGTGCAGAGCATGCAGTTTTGTTACATAGGTATACATGTGCCATGGTTGTTTGCTGCACCCATCAACCCGTCACCTACATTAGGTATTTCTCCTAATGCTATCCATCCCCTAGCCCCCCACCCCCCAACAGGCCCCAGTGTGTGATGTTCCTCTCCCTGTGTCCATGTGTTCTCATTGTTAAACTCCCACTTATGAGTGAGAACATGCGGGAACACTCACCTTTTCTATAAGTGTTTTCTTCACTTGGTTTCTGGGTCAAAACTCTCTCTCTGGCTTTCTTCCTACATCACTGGATGCTCCTTCTCGGCCTCCTTTGTCATTACTTGCTCTCTTCAACTTCTTAACATTGGAGTGTGCAGGGCTTAGCCTGGGTTTTCTTCATTGCTCAATCTATACTCCCTTCCTTGGTGGGGTCAGGCTTTAAATACCATCTTATGATGACAATTCCCACACATGTATCCCCAATCTGACCTGTCCCTTATACTTCAGGCTTGTATACTAAACAACTTGCTAGGTATCTCTGTAGGATATCTGTCTAATGTCTAGCTCAACCCTAATGTGCAAAAAAGTGAACTCTCAATCTTCTTTCCAGCTTGAGCTTTTCATAGCATTCTCCTTTTCAGCCTAGAGTCAACTTTGTTCTGCCCATTGCTCAGGCCAAAAATCTTGAAAAAATATTTAACTCCTTTTTTTCTAATGTATCTCACATACAGTCCACTATATCCTGGATCTACCTTGAAATGCTTCTCACCATCTTTACCACCATTAACCGTCTTCCACTGCACCCACCCTGGCTGTCCATGGCTCAAGCCACATCAAGCCTTGCATGGATTATTGCACAGTCTACTTAACTAGTCTCCCTGCTTCCACTCTTATCCAGACAGGATGCTTTCAAAATTAGCCAGATTATGTAAAACATTGTCAGATCAGATTACTTTGTTCAAAACCTTTCTATGGCTTTCATTTCGAGTAAAGGCCAAAACCCTCATAATGTAAAATCCTACAACTCCCTCCCCTTGTTAGCTTCCTGACTACCTCTGCTGTCACCTCCTCTACCCCATTATTTGTCCTGCCCCAGTCATACTGATCTCCAAGTTGGCACCTGCTTCAGGACTTCTGCACTAGCCCCTTAACCTCCTTATTCCCCACCAGACTTGCTGCCCTTGCTCCTGCATATTCAAAAGACTTCTTAAAATCTTTTTCTAAACAAGGGAAGTTCTCCTCTTAGGAGGAATGCTTCCTTTTCTGTAGAATAGGGGGTTGGGGGTGGAATTGTGCCTTCTTTTATTTTGTCTGTCTGCAATGGAGACTGAGGAAGGACATACAGTGTGGTCTGAGGATGGAGAGTCACACAGCTAGGATCAGATTGTTGAGAAACATGAATACCCTGACAAGAAATGTAGGTTTTCATCTGCAGAATGGCAGGATGAGCATAGAATTTTAATAAACTCACTTTGTTGATGGTGTAGAGGATGATTCAGGAATGGTGTGTGGGCTAGAGTAGAAGCTGAGATAAGAATTAGGAAGTGATAGCAACAACCTGGCTAGGAGATAATTAGAACCTGCTCTAAAATCGTAGCAGTAAAGTTAGAAAGGAGGACATAAGTCCTACAGGTGAAACTAAGAGAGGATTGATATGAACTAGTCACAGTTAGATGTCAGATATGAAAGAAATGAAGGCATTTGGGATGAGTATGTGCATCCTGGCCTGGTTTTCTAGGTAAATGGTGGTTTTAGTCATAAAGAATAAACATACAAAGGGTAGGGGCAAGCTTGGGGATTGGACAAAATATTAGATCACATTTTGGACATATTGACTCAGAGGTACCTGTAGGACATCCACGGGAAATTATCCAGTATACAGAGATTGAAGCTAAGGAAAAAGATCTAAGCTATTACATAGATTAGGGCATCATTTAGATCAGAATGACTAAGTCATGCCAAGTCATATGCCAACAAGAGTTACAGAGGGGCCAGGCGCAGTGGCTCACACCTGTAATCCCAGCACTTTGGGAGGCTGAGGCGGGTGGATCACCTGAGGTCAGGAGTTCAAGACCAGCCATGGCCAACATGGTGAAACCCCCTCTCTACTAAAAATACAAAAATTAGCCAGGCATGGTGGTGGGAGCCTATAATGCCAGCTACCTGGGAGGCTGAGGTAGGAGAACTGCTTGAACCCGGGAGGTGGAGGTTGCGGAAAGCAGGAGATTGTGCCACTGCACTCCAGCCTGGATGACAGAGAGAGACTCTGTCAAAAAAAAAAATAAATAAATAAATAAATATATATATATATATATATATATATATATATATATATAGAGAGAGAGAGAGAGAGAGAGAGAGAGAGAGAGAGAGAGAGGAGAGTTACGGAGGGATCAAACCCAGGTGCTCTGGCTCCAGGGTCAGGGCTGTTGACAACTGTGCTCTAACACAAATTCCTTCCTTCCTTCTTGCTCCTCACCCCCACTTTGAAGGGCAGAACTTTACAAGCTTGTGACATCACTCCCTAAACAAGCTTCTTACAGGGATCTAAATATAGAGTTTCTCAGCAATGACTTTCTATTTGATTCTGTAAAATTTTCCTTTCCTTAATAGCCAAGAGTCTTGCAAAAGTAGTCTACACTCCTTAATTTATCACCTCCTGCTCACCCTTCAACTCACTCCATTAAAAATTCTGGTTTCTGCCTACAAACTCAATTTAGTCAAAGTCATACAGAAAGTCATTGCCAAATCCAAGAAAGATTTTTAGTTCTCACTTATTTTAACTGTTTATAGTACAGTGTTGGATTTTTTTTTTAATTTTTATTTATTTATTTATTTTTGAGATGGAGTCTCGCTCTGTCACCCAGGCTGGAGTGCAGTGGCACATCTCGGCTCACTGCAAGCTCTGCCTCCTGGATTCATGCCATTCTTCTGCCTCAGCCTCCCAAGTAGCTGGGACTACAGGCACCCGCCACCACGCCTGGCGAATTTTTTGTATTTTTTTTAGTAGAGACGGGGTTTCACCATGTTAGCCAGGACGGTCTTGATCTCCTGACCTCATGATCCGCCCACCTCGGCCTCCCAAAGTGCTCGGATTACAGGCGTGAGCCACTGCGCCCGGCCCAGTGTTGGATATTTTTGTACACATCCTTTTCTACACACAGTCGTGTGTGTGTTTATATGTGTGAATCGAGGGAGAAGGAGTCATGATAGAAATAGAAAGTTTAGAAAACCAGAAGGAAATGGCCAATCATAATTACGCCACACTTATGAAGCTCGTGCATAAGCGTGTATATTTCATATCTGGTTACAATCTACTCCCAATCCTGAAACTGATTGTGCTAGAAGTATTACTTTCAGTTCATTTTGAGCAGTAGTTGAGATAACCCATTAAACATCGATTTGTATACCAGATTTCTCTCCTCTTCTGGAAACCATCCAAAGGTAATAAGTAGAATCTTTAAAAACTCTCAAATTCCAATTTCAGTAAAATAGGACACAGATAATCTGCAGACTCTAACAACGACCACTAAAACTATAATCTGCAGATTCTAACAATGACCACTAAAACTAACTGAGACCTGGTTAGATTTCATCTAGAAGGAAGTCAAAAGGAATACTTAGAAGTCCTGGAAGTGATGGATTTTGCAAAAACACATTTTCTAAGAGGAAGAGGTCCACCCTCTAGTGAAAAAGCTACATGGCTTGTTTGCTACAGTGAGTGAAGAAATCTGGTGGCAAGACTCGAATAAAAATTCTCCTGGACTTCAACTTTGAAAAGCAGTGGATTTGAAGATGCAGAGGCAGTAAAATCACACAGTGCATGACATGGATGTGCCATCTTTGCAGAAAAGCTGTCTGTGTGGTTGCATTGGAAGGTTATTCAGAGTTTGACACCTGGAAGCTACTCTGGTCCTTCTTCCTTCCCCATAGGAACTTATTTAAATGGCTAGTCCAGAAAAATTTAACTCATTCAATGATGAATACTTTTTTCAGAGTATAATATCAACCCAAGACACTCTAAAAAAACTAAAGCCAAAAGAATAAACCAAAAAATTAAAATCAAAAAAGAGAATTTAGCTGAATAGTAGGGTAGAAAAGGAGAATGTAGAAAATATCATTCATATATTTCACAAAATCATTTAGAAGATATAATGAAAGGAATGAACCATTTACAATATCAGCAATAAAAATAAAATACCTATGAATGAACTCACTAGAAAATATTCAAAAACTATATGAAGAATACTTTGAAAGATACTAAATTCAATCAAACAAAGAAAAGATAAAGCCATAATCTTGGATAGGAGAATTCTACATAGTTGAAACACGATTTCTCTCTATGGTAAGTTTAACTTTATTCCAATGAAAAGTATCAATTTTTTCTTTCTTTAGAAAGAGACAAACTGATACTAAAGGTTGTATAAAAAAATGAAACAACCAAAAATAGTCAAGAAAACATTTAAAAGGAAGAAAGCTAAAATATTAAATAGTATTGTATTGACATATGAACAGACAAACAGAAAATAGAACAAGATAGGAAATAAATAAACCCAATGACATACTAATAACATCATATGTTATAGGGGTGTCATCAGAAATCAGTAGGGAAAATAAACCACTCAAAAAATGGTCACAGACAAAAGCCAGAGAGCCACCTAGGGGAATAGTTGGATTCATCTTTCACATCGTATGAGAATACATTCTAAATAGATCAAAGACTTAAATGTAAAATCTGAAATCATAAACCTACTAGAACAAAATGATAAAATTGCTTTTTAAATTTGGGGTGTGTATAATCTTTTAAAATATGACTAAAAATCCAGAAGCCATAAAAAAGGTAAATGTTACTATGTCTTAAAAATCTGTAAGGCAAAAAAAATTATTTTAAAAAGTCAAAAGACAACACACAGGAAAAAATTTATAATTCATAAAACAGAATAATCTCTGTCATATATAGAAATCACATAGATATTGATGAGAAAAACACCAACTTCCCAATTGCTTGCCCAGTTATATTGGGAAAAAAATAGTAAAAGTTTATTGGAAAAGAAATAAAAATGGCTTTTAAATACATGAAAACTGTTGACTGTTATTCAAAATAAGACAAATGAAAATTTAAAATTACATGGGATTATCATTTTTTTTAAATCATAATGGCTAGAAACCCCACAAATTTTTGTTTGACATCATAGTCCATTGGCAACCTGTGAGAAAACAGGAACTCTCCATTGTTTTGGGGAGACAGACATTAGTAAAACCCCACAGAAGGCAATTTGGCAATATTTGTCAAAATGATTTATTCATATGTCTTTGACCAAGAAATTCCTCTTCTGGGAAATTATCCAAGGGATTTAAATGATATTTATACACAGTTAGGCATTACAACATTTCTCAAAATAATGAAAACAACCTAAATTCTATCATATGGAAAAGGTGAAATGAATTACTGCATAGCTACCCAAATAGGTTATGCAGGAATACAAAAATAAATAAATACATAAACTTTCTGATAAAGTTATTGGATAAAAAGCTCTAAGATACATTAAATGAGAAAAGCAAGATGTATATAATATACAGTCTTTCAAATTGAAAATAAGGGAAAATAAGAATATATGTTTGAATTTGTGGATAAGTCCATAAAGAAACCCTGGGAGGACTCAGAAACATCTAAATATAGAGGTTGTTGGGAAAGATACTTTCTTGGCTAATTTCTTTCACTTCTTTTAGCCTTTAGAAAAATCTTCCCTTCTCAAAGAGGATTACCTTGGCTAGCTGCCCAGTTGAATGTGAAGGCCATGAGGATTATTGCTTTTGTCTGTTTTATTCCCTGGTATGTCCCAAGCACCAACAATAGTATACACAGTAGACACTCCAATATGTGTTCAATGAATGAATAGGTAAGGGGGTGGGAAACTTCACTGCATACTTTTGTATATTTTAATAATAAATTTTTTTGAAAAGTAAATTAAAAGTAAAACCAAAAAGTGAATAGTAGTAGATGTATTCCCACTTTTTTCCCATTTCAGTATTTGTTGAAATCACTCTCCATTTCGATGTTTGTTTTGATTAAACAAGGGCCGAAAATGTTTGGTGGCTCTGACGTTCCCGGGGCCAGCTTCACCTGCCCCTAAAGGACGGAGGGCTTCCTGGCCTTCTTCACAGTTCTGTAGAAGAGCCACATGGATGTTTGCCACCTGATCTGGCTCCTTTACAAGAATTTGACTTGCTTCATTCTTCTCTGTATGTTCCTAGATGATTGCAGGCCTGCGGTCTCCACAGTCTTCACTCACCAGTGTTCCTGCTATTTCAAGTTGACAAACATTCATTGAGATCCACATTGGTGTCATGAATGTTAGAGGCACAAAGGTGAATGTTATGTCATCTGTGCCATCTCAGGGCTTGCAATTCAGGAGGACAGGCACAAATAATAATTACAGGGGACTGTTGGAGTTCACCTAAAGATTTTTTTTTCTCAAGTCTTCGTACGGTTATGTGTTGCTTAATGACAGGGGTATGTTCTAAGAAATGCATCGGTAGGTGATTTTGTCATTGTACAAACATCATAGACTATGCTTACACAAACCTAGCTGGTATAGCCTACTATACATCCAAGCTAGACAGTATAGTCTATTGCTCCCAGGCTACAAACCTGTACAGCATGTTACTGCACTGAATACCATAGCAATTATAACAGAAGGGTAAGTATTTGTGCATTGAAACATATCTAAACATAGAAAAGGTATAGTAAAAATACAGAATAAAAGATTAAAAATGGTACACTAGATAAAGCACTTACAATGAGTGGAGTTTGCAGGACTGACTATACATTGCTCTGGGTGAGTCAGTGAGTGAGGGTGAGTGAATGTGAGGGCCTAAGACATTACTGTCCACTCCTGTAGACTTTATAAAACCTGGACACTTAGGCTACACTAAATGGATTAAATAATAGTTTTCTTCAATAATAAATTAACCTTAGATTACTGTAACTGTTTTACTTTATAAACCTTTTATATATACATTTTTTTTTGAGATGGAGTCTTGCTCTGTCACCCAAGCTGGAGTGCAGTGGCGTGATCTTGGCTCACTGTAAGCCCCACTGCCCAGGTTCATGCCATTCTCCTGCCTCAGCCTCCCGAGTAGCTGGGACTACAGGCGCCCACCACCACGCCTGGCTAATTTCTTTTTGTATTTTTAGTAGAGATGGGGTTTCACTGTGTTAGCCAGGATAGTCTCGATCTCCTGACCTCATTATCCGCCCGCCTTGGCCTCCCAAATTGCTGGGATTACCGGCGTGAGCCACTGCGCCCCAGCTAAACCTTTTATTTTTTTAGCCTTTTGGACTCTTTTGTAGTAAGGCTTAGTTTAAAACACAAACACATTGTACAGCTGTGCAAAAATATTTTTTCTTTATGTCCTTATTCTATAAACTTTTTCTATTTTGAATTTTTTTAATTTTTTGAACTTTTTTGTTAAAATGAAGACGCAGACATCCACATTAGCCTAGGCTTACACAGGGTCAGCATCATCAATATCACTGCCTTTCACCTCTGCACCTTGTCCCACTGGAAGGTGTTCAGGGTCAATAACACACACGGAGCTGTCATCTCCTTTAATAATGCCTTCTTTTGGAATACCTTCTGAAGACCTGCCTAAGTCTGCTTTACAGTTAACTTTTAAAAAAATAAGTAGAGGGAACACATTCTAAAATATTAGGTTGGTGCAAAAGTAATTGCTGTTTTTACCCTTAGTGGCAAAAAAATGCAATTACTTTTGCACCAATCTAATAGCAATACAAAGTATATTATAGTAAATATATAAACAAGTAACATAGTTGTTTATTATCATTATCAAGTATTATGTACCCTAGAGAACTGTATGTGCTAGACTTTTATACGACTGGCAGCTCAGTAGGTTTCTTCACACCAGCACCATCTCAAACACATGAGTACCGTGTTGTTCTCTGATGTTGCTGAGAGGTGAAGCCAACTGGACTTCCTGGGTCAAGTGGGGACTTGGAGAACTTTTCTGTCTAGCTAGAGGATTGTAAACACACCAATCAGCACTCTGTAAAAACACACCAATCAGCGCTCTGTGTCTAGCTAAAGGATACACCAATCAGCACTCTGTAAAATGGACCAATCAGCAGGATGTGGTAGTGGACAGATAAGGGACTAAAAGCTGGCCACCCCAGCCAGCAGCAGCAACCCGCTTGGGTCCCTTTCCATGCTGTGGAAGCTTTGTTCTTTTGCTGTTCACAATAAATCTTGCTGTTGCTCACTCTTTTGTTCTGTGCCACCTTTAAGAGCTGTAACACTCAGAGTTACATGAAGGTCCATGGTTTCATTCTTGAAGTCAGCGAGACCAAGACCCACTGGAAGGAACCAACTCCGGACATATCTTGGCGACCCAGATGGGACTATTGCCAAGGAATGGGTACCATTGGACCCCTTTTGCTTGCTATTCTGTCCTATTTTTCCTTAGAATTCGGGGGCTAAATACTGGGCACCTGTCGGCCAGTTAAAAGCAACTAGTGCAGCCACTGGACTAAAGACACGGGTGTCAGGCTTTCTGGGAAAGGACTCTCTAACAACCCCTGACTCTTCAGAGTTGGGAGCATTGGTTTGCCTGGAACCAGCTTACACTTTTCCTGTACTTCTGGGCTAAACCGAGGGTTGACAGAGAGGAAAACCATTCAGCTCTGGGGTCCCGACAAAAAGTTGGTTGACCCTGTAGCCATGAGTGGAACTCTCAAAGTCATGTCACCCAAGTGAGACTCGTCCATCTATCCTATCTATCCTGACCCTTGCCTCCTGGGTCCTAATGCCTGTCAGACAACTTCTTCCTGTCTCCCTTCTCCAAGGCTAGTCCTGCTTCTAAAAACCACTCCCTGTCTCTGGTGCTTTTCTAGTTTATCCTATAAGAATGATTTCTAGTATAAACTTCAGGACTCTGTTCCCTTCTTTACGCAACCAGGCTCACCAGGCAGAGAGACATAATTTTTTCCCAAAGTCCCATTGGTGGGGGGGGACTATCTGGAATTTTAGGATCCCTCCTCAGACTAACAGATCTAACAAAAGCTATTCCTGAAGCTAAGATATGGGGAGCCTCAGAAATGATATCCTTCCTATTCATATGATGAGAAGTGAGGACAAAAGGCATCACTCTTCCAACCCTGGAGATCCCTTCCCTCCCTCAGGGTATGGCCCTCCACTTCATTTTTGGGGCATAACATCTTTATAGGACAGGGGTAAGGTCCCGATACTAACAGGACTCTAACAGGTTTTCGAGAATGCATCTGTAAGGGCCAATAAATCCGACTTTCCTCGGTCCTCTTTGTGGTCTAAGAGGAAAATTAAGGTTTTTGCTGCTGTGTCAGTGAATGCAACTATTCCAATCAGCAGGGTCCAGGGACCATTTCGGGTTCTTGGGCAAGAGGAGTTTCTGCTGCTGCATCAGTGAGCACAACTACTCTGGTCAGCAGGGTTCAGTGACCATTGCGGGTTCTTGGGCAACAGGGGTTTCTGCTGCTGCATCGGTGAGCACAACTATTCTGAACAGCAGGGTTCAAGGACTGTTGTGGGTTCCCATGAAATGCATCCTAAACAATTAGGACCAATTTGACCTGCAAATCCTGAAAGAGAAGTGGCTCATTTTTTTCCGCACTATGGCCTGGCCCCAGTATTATCTCTCTGATAGGGAAAAATGGCCACCTAAGGAAGTATAAATTACAATACTATCCTGCAGCTTGACCTTTTCTGTAAGAAGGAAGGCAAATGGAATAAAATACCTTATGTCCAAGCTTTATTTTCCTTGAAGGAGAATCCACAGCTATGCAAAGCTTGCAATTTATATCCCACAAGAGGACCTCTCAGCTTACCCCCATATCCTAGCATCCCTATAGCTCCCCTTCCTATTAATGACAAGCCTCCTCTAATCTCCCCCGCCAGGAAGGAAACAAGCAAAGAAATCTCCAAGGGACCACAAAAACCCCTGGGCTATTGGTTATGTCCCCTTCAAGCTGTAGGGGGAGGGGAATTTGGCCCAACCTGGGTACATGTCCCCTTCTCCCTCTCTGATTTAAAGCAGATCAAGGCATACCTGGGGAAGTTTTCAGATGATCCTGATAGGTATGTAGATGTCCTACAGGGTCTAGGTCATACCTTCGACCTCACTTGGAGAGAAGTCATGCTATTGTTAGATCAAACCCTGGCCTTTCATGAAAAGAATGCGGCTTTAGTTGCAGCCCGAGAGTTTGGAGATACCTGGTATCTTAGTCAAGTAAATGATAGAATGACAGCCGAAGAAAGGGACAAATTCCCTAGCGGTCAGCAAGCCATCCCCAGTATGGATCCCCACTGGGATCTAGACTCAGATCATGGAGACTGGAGTCGTAAACATCTGCTCACCTGTGTTCTAGAAGGACTAGGGAGAATTAGGAAAAAGCCCATGAGTTAGTCAATGATGTCCACCATATCTCAGGGAAAGGAAGAAAATCCTTCTGCCTTCCTCAAGCAGCTACAGGAGGCCTTAAGAAAATACACTCCCCTGTCACCCAACTCACTCGAGGGTCAATTGATCCTAAAAGATAAGTTTATTATCCAATCAGCTGCAGATATCAGGAGAAAGCTTGAAAAGCAACCCCTGGGCCCTGAACAAAATCTGGAGGCATTATTAAACCTGGCAACCTCGGTGTTCTATAATAGGGAACAAGAGGAATAGGCCGAAAAGGAAAAGTGAGATCAGAGAAAGGCTGCAGCCTTAGTCATGGCCCTCAGACAAACAAACTTTGGTGGTCCAGAGAGGACAGAAAATGGAGCAGGCCAATCACCCAGTAGGGCTTGTTACCAGTGTGGTTTGCAAGAACACCTTAAAAAAGATTATCCAACAAGAAACAAGCCACCCCCTTGCCCATATCTACTATACCTAGGCAATCACTGGAAGGTGCACTGCCCCAGAGGACAAAGTTTCTCTGGGCCAGAAGCCGCCAACCAGATGATCCAACAACAGGACTGAGGGTGCCCAGGGCAAGCGCCAGCTCATGTCATCACTCTCACTGAGTCCTGGGTATGTTTAACTGTTGAGAGCCAGGAAGTTGACTTCCTCTTGGACACTGGAGTGGCTTTCTCAGTGTTAATCTCCTGTCCTGGATGACAGTCCTCAAGGTCCGTTACCATCTGAGGAATCCTGGGACAGCCTGTAACCAGGTATTTCTCTCATCTCCTCAGTTGTAATTGGGAGACTTTGCTCTTTTCACATGCCTTTCTTGTTGTGCCTGAAAGTCCTATACCCTTATATTAGGGAGGGACATATTAACCAAAGCTGGAGCCATTATATACATGAATATGGGGAACAAGTTACCCATTTGTAGTCCACTGCTTGAGGAGGGAATCAACCCTGAAGTCTGGGCTTTGGAAGGACAATTCGGAAGCGCAAAAAATGCCTGTCCAGTCCAAATCAGGCTGAAACACCCCACCACTTTTCCTTATCAAAGGCAATATTCCTTAAGGCCTGAAGCTCATAAAGGATTACAGGATATTGTTAGACATTTAAAAGCTCAAGGCTCAGTAAGAAAATGCAGCAGTCCCTGCAACACCCCAATTCTAGGAGTACAAAAACCAAATGGTCAGTGGAGATTAGTGCAAGATCTTAGACTCATCACCTCCTCCCTACTTAATAAACAGTCCAGGTTTTCTAATGGCAAATATACTCCCTGCATGACCATTCACCCTTCGACCCCCTGCAGCAGCACCCCCACCACTAGTGAATTCCTTCTCATCCCCTTTCAATCACACTCTCGAATGGTTCCTAGTAGATACAAAACGGTTTTTTCTCCAGTGGGAAAATAGAACACAGGGAGCCACTCAGTTTGCTCCCAATACCCCTTTCCAGCCACTCACCGGAACTACCTTAGCAAGTACTCTAGGAGTATGGGAAAATGAAAACAACAAACTCACATACCTTTTTAACACACACAACCAGTTCTGTCTACTCAGTCAAGGCATATTTTTCTTATGAGGAACGTCAACCTATATCTGCCTCCCTACTAACTGGACAGGCACCTGCACCTTAGTCTTCCTAAGTCTCAACATTAACATTGCCCCAGGAAATCAAACCCTATCAGTGCCCCTCAAAGCTCAAGTCTGTCAGCACAGAGCCATACAACTAATACCCCTACTTACAGGGTTAGGAATGGCTACTGCTACATGAACTGGAATAGTCAGTTTATCTGCTTCATTATCCTACTACCGCACACCCTCAAAGGATTTCTCAGACAGTTTGCAAGAAATAATGAAATCTATCCTTATTCTACAATCCCAAATAGACTCTTTGGCAGCAGTGACTCTCCAAAATCACTGAGGCCTAGAGCTCCTCACTGCTGAGAAAGGCAGACTCTGCACCTTCTTAGGGGGAGAGTGTTCTTTTTACACTAACCAGTCAGGGATAGACCAGTCAGAGATGCCGCCTGGCATTTACAGGAAAAGGCTTCTGAAATCAGACAATGCCTTTCAAACTCTTATACCAACCTCTGGAGTTGGGCGACATGGCTTCTCCCCTTTCTAGGTCCTGTGACAGCCATCTTGCTATTACTCGCCTTCGGGCCCTGTATTTTTAACCTCCTTGTCAAATTTGTTTCCTCTAGGATTGAGGCCATCCAGCTACAGATGGTCTTACAAATGGAACCCCAAATGAGCTCAACTAACAACTTCTACCGAGGACCCCTGGACCAACCAGCTGGCCCTTTGACTGGCCTAAAGAGTTCCCCTCTGGAGGACACTACAACTGCAGGGCCCCTTCTTCACCCCTATCCAGCAGAAAGTAGCTAGAGCAGTCATCGCCCAATTCCCAACAGCAGTTGGGGTGTCCTGTTTAGAGGGGGGATTGAGAGGTGAAGCCAGCTGGACTTCCTGGGTCGAGTGGGGACTTGGAGAACTTTTCTTTCTAGCTAGAGGATTGTAAACATACCAATCAGTGCTCTGTGTCTAGCTAAAGAATTGTAAATGCACCAATCGGCACTCTAAAAACACACCAATCAGTGCTCTGTGTCTAGCTAAAGTACGGTAAACGCACCAGTCAGCACTCTGTAAAATGGACCAATCAGCACTCTGTAAAATGGACCAATCAGCAGGACGTGGGCATGGACAAATAAGGGAATAAAAGCTGGCCACCCCAGCCAGCAGCAGCAACATGCTCGGGTCCCCTTCCACGCTGTGGAAGCTTTGTTTTTTCACTCTTCACAATAAATCTTGCTGTTGCTCACTCTTTTGTTCTGTGCCACCTTTAAGAGCTGTAACACTCACCACGAAGGTCTGTGGCTTCATTCTTGAAGTCAGCGAGACCAAGAACGCACCAGAAGGAACCAACTCCAGACATATTGCAATGGTTAGGATATCACTAGGTGACAGGAAATGTTCGGATCCATTCTAATCTCATGAGACCATGGTCTTATATGTGGTCAGTCAGTGATGGAAACAGGAGGTGCATGACTATATTAGTTTGCTAAGGCTGCAAATAACAAATTACCAAAAATTCAGTGGCTGAAAATAGAAATTTATTGTCATACGGTTCTGGAAACCAGAAGAAGATCAAGGTGTCAGCGCAGCCATGCTCCCTCTGATGGCTCTAGGGGAGAAGGCTTCCTTGTTCTTTTCCACCTCCTGGTGGCTCCAGGCCTCTTTAGCTTGTGTCAGCATCACTCCAATTCCTGCCTCTGTCTTTACGTGGTCATCTCCTCTGTGTCTCTGTCTTCTTTTCTGTCAAAGTCAGATCTTTTTCTGCCTTTGTCTTACAGGCACACGTGTCATTGAATTTAGGGCCAAGCCAGATAGTCCAGGATATTCTCATCCTGAGATCCTTCAATTAATTATATCTGAAATGACCCTTTTTCCAAATGAAGTCACATTCATTGAATCCAGGAGTTAGAACATGGACATGTCTTTTAGGGGAACACCATTCAGGCACTTCAGAAGAAAGCAAGTGTCCTCTTTCTTTTAGCATCTTGTGTATTTAGTCTTCTTTAAAAGCACTATATGTTGACTTTGGATTGAATTCTGCCTAGCTGCTAGTTGTGTGACCTTGGGCATGTTACTTAACTTCTCTCTGCTTGAGTTGTCCATCGAAATGGAAGCTGTAAATGAGCATTTGACAGGATTGTTGTAAAGATTAAATGAGGCATGGAAGGTAAAGTTCCTAGGGCAGCTCAATAAATATGTGAAGATATTATTTTGTTGTGGTTAGCAATCTCTAACAGTAGAGACCAGGAGGACTCCAGCTTTTCAATGTATGGTTATACAAGTTATACAAGGAGGCATTTATCTTGGTTCCTCTGCCTTCAAGTTCCCAATGCTAAGGTTAGCATTGGGGGTTTACTCCAATCTTGGAATCCTGGCTTTGCTTTGAAAGCCTTGCAGCTTGCTAGCAGACAATTGGAAATTCACTATTTTAGGATTTAGGACACTGGCAGGAGGTCTGAATTATGTTAATTTCAGAGGCCTCTGACAGGCTTATCTTGCAATTTTCTTAAAAAATAGAGATTGGAGTTTACTTAAAGAATCAAAGGAAGCTGTGTGGGAAGGTATCTTTGTTTAACATCTGTCTGCCATTTACCACCATTTGTACCCCACAGGGAGAAAGGAGAGGCTGCCTCAGAGCTAAATTTAAGTTGCAAGGGTATAAGCAGCACTTTTAAAGGAAGACAGATAACAGCTTCCTGTCTGGGAAAGATTACTGAAAAGGAAACTTTGATTCAACATTTCCTTACTCTTTTGGTGAGAATGATTCCTACTCCCTACATAAAGTCCAGGGAGGAGCTATTTGTAGCTAGTTAAGTAAGATGTTTTAAGTCCTCATAAGTCTTTTCTTCAAAGTAAATATTTATTCTCTTCAAAAGCCAACTAGTGTTTAAAATCTTCGCTTCTTTTATTTTCTAAAAAAAAGGAAATGTTTTTCTGGTAAAAACACTTAGGTCAAACGAAAAGTCTCTAGGAGACCCAATTTATAAAACAAGAAGAAACTTCTTTTGATGAATCTGTAAATTTGTTTGACTGTAGTAATCATTTTACCATTTATATGTATGTCAAAACATCATGTTGTACACACATCTCAAATATATATAATGAAAAATAAATTTGAAAAGAAGAAGAAACTTCTTTGTTCTAGTGAAAGGTGGTGATGGCCTAGACACTTGTCCAATACTCCTCAGCAAGTAAAACATGGGGCCTCTAGAACAGGCAAATCTTCCCCCTTCGGAGTGTTACCTAGCCCAGAGCAGATGGTCACTTGCCTGAGGAAAGGGATAGAAGACATCTGGGCCAGCTGGAGAATGCCTGAGCTTTGATTCAAAGGCCACGTTTCCTGTGGCAAAGCTTGTTCTGTAAAACCCCATAGGCCAGGTGCAGTGGTTCACACCTGTAATCCCAGCACTTTGGGAGGCCGAGGCGGGTGGATCACAAGGTCAGGAGATCGAGACCATCCTGGCTAACACAGTGAAACCCCATCTCTACTAAAAATACAAAAAATTAGCCGGGCGTGGTGGAGGGTGCTTGTAGTCCCAGCTACTCAGGAGGCTGAGGCAGGAGAATGGCGCGAACCCAGGAGGTGGAGCTTGCAGTGAGCCAAGATAGCACCACTGCACTCCAGCCTGGGTAACAGAGCTAGACTCTGTCAAAAAAAAAAAAAAAAAAAAACCCATAAATGTGAAAAGAGACAATTAGATGTCAACTACATTGACTACCTTAGGATAAACGTGGAACAAAAATAAAACTATATCCCTTATTGATAACGACCTTAGATAAAGTCCAGGGAGAGTTGACAAGTATAGGGGAAGTGGTTAAGAGTATCTGACCTGGAGCTGAAACTACTGGTTCCAGTCCCAACTTTATGGGGTTTTGGTGGTTCCCAGACCAGCCAGTAGCATTAGCATTGTGTAGGAGCTTGTTGGAAATGTAGATTCTCAGATCACATCCCTGACCTACTGTATCAGAATCTGCATTTAACAAAATCTTTGGATAATTTGTAGGTACATTAAAGTTTGAGGAGCACTAACCTAGTGTCACAGAAACACCCTGGGTGACCTCCAGTAATTCCCACCTCCTATTGTTCATGCCTCTGTGTACCCCATCCCTTTGGGTATGGATGGGGCTTGTGACTTGCTTCTACCCAATGGAAGAGGGCAAAGGTGAAAACGTTTTGCAGATGTAATTAACCCCCCACATTAATTGGTTCTGAGTTAAAGGGAGAGTACTCTGTGCAGGCCTGACTTTATCAGGTGAATAGCCTTTAAAAGAGGGACTGGACCTTCCTTGAGGTGAGAGACTCTCCTTTTAGGCTTGATGGAATAAATGAAATAAATGGCTTTGTGTTGGAGAAGCCCACATGGAACTGCTGGCAGCCTATAGGACCCGAGGGTGACCTCCAGCCAATAGCCAGCAAAAAACAGGGTCCTTCACCATATAGCTGCCAAGATACGATTTCTGCTAGCAACCTAAAGGAGCATAGAAACAGATTCTTCCCCAGTTGAGCCTACAGATGAGAATACAGCTCAACTAACAACTTGATTACAGTCTTGTAAGACTCTGAGCAAAGGGCCAGTTAAGATATGCCTGGAGTTCTGACCCACAGAAACTATAAGTTAATAAATGAATACTATGTTATGCTGTTAAACTTATGCTAATTTGTTCCATGACAATAGAAAACCAATACTTCTAGGGCAATTTGTTTATCTGCTTTTGACAGGTTTGTCTAAATATCAAAAGAGTATAAAATTAGTATTAACCATAGGGTTATTTTGCAGATTAATGAGTAATATGTGTAAAATGCCTAAAACTGTGCTTGGCACATGGTAAGTACTCAGTAAATTTTATTATTATAGCATTTATCTGATACAAACAATTACATGATTTAATTATTTTGAAAACTACTTTTTTTTTTTTTTTTTAAGACGGAGTCTCTCTCTGTTGCCAGGCTAGAGTGCAGTGGCATGATCTCAGCTCACTGCAACCTCCGCCTCCTGGGTTTAAGCAATTCTCTTGCATCAGCCTCCCAAGTAGCTGGGACTAGAGGCACAAGCCACCACGCCCAGCTAATTTTTGTATTTTTAGTAGAGACGGGGTTTCACCATGTTGGCCAGGATGGTGTCAATCTCTTGACCTTGTGATCCACCTGCCTCAGTCTCCCAAAGTGCTGGGATTACAGACATGAGCCATGGAGCCTGGCCGAAAACTGCTTTTTAAGGGAGCTGAAGCAGTGTGTGAAAAATGAATGAAGGTCAAAAAATTATGTTGCATTTCGTGCATATGAGTTTCTAGGACATTAAACCCAAATGTGTCTATTGAATTAGCTTCACTAAAAATATAGGTAAGCACTGCTAAAGTCTATGTCCATGTTTGTATCAGGTTTGTTCACCTAAAAGAATCTGTTGAAGCATCTGTTGGTTACAATCCAAAGTGTGAAAATATGCACATTATCTTCATTTTATAGACAGTTAGGTGGAGCTGCAGAGGAAATGATTTGTGCATGTCATGGAGGAAATTGATTGCATAAATGGAATTGGAATTTAAGTCCTGCATCTTTTTTTTTTTTTTTTTTTCTTGAGACAGAGTCTCGTTCTGTTGCCCAGGCTGGAGTGCAGTGGCGTGATCTCAGCTCACTGCAATCTCTGCCTCCCGGGTTCACGCCATTCTCCTGCCTCAGCCTCCTGAGTAGCTGGGAGTACAGGCACCCACCACCACACCCAGCTGATTTTCTGTATTTTTAGTAGAGACAGGGTTTCACTATGTTAGTCAAGGTGGTCTCAATCTCCTGACCTTGTGATCCGCCTGCCTTGGCCTCCCAAAGTGTTGGGATTACAGGCGTGAGCCACTGCACGTGGCCAAAGTCCTGCATCTTGATTCATGCCTGTATTCTCACAACATCATGAGCTATTTGCTGTTTGGCAAAGGACAAATTAAGGCGGAGGATGGACATTTCTCAGGGAAAATTTCAGCTCTTGTGTCTTTTTTCTGGGTCTACCCCTCCCAACCTGCCAATCAATAAACCATCCATTGTTTCTCTTTGACAGAAACTTTGGAGACTTGTAAAATGTTAGTTCTGATTATACACCATTGCTTGCAGGTATCAACAATGCAGAAGCGAGGGCAGGTCTCTGAGCCTTTGAGTGGCAACACAACTGCTGTCGTGACAATAAAATTAGAATGGGAGATGAATTCCATCTTTTCTTCTGATGCTTAATTTTTTAGCCTCTACATGAACCTTCATATGCAATGCAGTTCCAGACACCTACATTCTTAGTATCCCTGTCATTCTTTTTCAATGCCTGGGTTACCTTCTTATTGGAATGACCTTGTATGTTGTATTTAGAATTCTGTTTAGATATATTTAATTATAATGCCCTTTCAGGACGCTTGTATTGGCAGCCTCCTGTGATATTGCTATTTGTTTTGAAACTCAATATTCATTTAGAAGTGCTTTTTGTTCTACTCTACCAGATGCTCACATTTGGTTCTTAGCAAATACCATAGATGAGGTCACTCTATAATCGAACTTTCATAAATCATCCTTTGCAATGTGCAGCCAACTTCCCACAATCTTTTCTTCTCACAGAAACCTTTCCTAAGCCACTAAAGGATACGATAAAGAAGCAGGTTTATCTCTCTCAGTACGTGTTTTACTTTTCATTCTTTTATCAACTAAAGCTTTAGGTTTTGTTGCTAATGCAAATATGGTTTTTTTACCTTTGCCTGCTGAAGAAGTGGCTGAATTGTGAAATTATGTGTTGTCCTCAGATATGCATGATAATACAATAGACTGTATTCATATGTACATATATTTATTTCATATTCACTAATTAATTTAATGTGCCAGTGTTGATGATTACAAGTTACGTCTCAATTAATATACAGGTTACAGGTGTCTACATATACATAAATATTTATTCATTAGGTTGTTGCAAAAGGAGTTGTGGTTTATGCCATTAAAAGTAATGGCAAAAAACACAATTATTTTTGCAACAACCTAACAGATCCATGTATTATAAGTCCCTGGATTCCTAATATATTTTAACCCTAAGAGGCCAACATCACTAACTATGGGTTTTGTAGTTGTTTTGGTGACAAAAGCCACAATGGAGTATGTTTTTAACCTACTTAAAAACACTTAATTTGGCTGGGCGCAGTGGCTCACGCCTGTAATCCCAGCACTTTGGGAGGCCGAGGTGGGCGGATCACGAGGTCAAGAGATCGAGACCATCCTGGCCAATATGGTAAAACCCCGTCTCTACTAAAAAATATAAAAATTAGCTGGGCATAGTGGTGTGCACCCGTAATCCCAGCTACTTGGGAGGCTAAAGCAGGAGAATCACTTGAACCCAGGAGGCGGAGGCTGCAGCTAGCCGAGATCGTGCCACTGCACTCCAGCCTGGTGACAGAGTGAGACTCTGTCTCAAAAAAACAAAAAAAAGAAAAAAGAAAAAAGAAAACTTGATTTGGTGATAGTGATAAAAGTGAACATAAACTTTTCTTCATAACATTATTAGAGACTGAAGATATCTAAACAATATACACACAATATAATAATGATATTGATGATAACAAGTAGACCTTTTTTAAAAAATCTAAATCCAGCTAAATTTGTATGTAGGCATTTTTAATGGACTATGTTAGGAAAGTTACGTGACAAAAATTCCTAAAGAACTTTTTAATGACAAACAATACTACAGAGTTACAAAAATATTTTTAGATGACATATTTTCCTTCAGAAAGCTTTCACCATCATTGTATTTTCACAATGCCTTGACTTAGGGTGGGAAAAATTATCTTATACAAGGGAAACTAAGACATGAATTGATTAAGTAAATTGTACAATCACATAAGAAAATCACAACAAAGGTACAGAATCTAGATTATATGCTCATATTTGTTTCTTGTTGTATCTTGTAATAAACAATTTGGGGGGCAGCATGGGATAAACAGGAATAATATGAATATGGAATAATATGATTCAGGTAAACACAGTCACAGCCATCAGAGTTGCTTAAATTGTTAAAATATGTGCCCATGTTCAACACCCCCCCTGGACACCCCAGATCCAGCATTCAAAGGTCAACACCTGGTGCATAGTGGCACCCTGAGAGTCAGCTTCAACTCAGTGCTCAGGCTGTCCCAGTGGTTCAATATTTCGAGTGTCACCCATGGACAATGTTATTTAATAACTAGTTTTGATGCTGGCGAAGTTTCAGTGATTCACCTTTTTAAGACCTAGAGCAGTATTAAAAAAGATTGTGATGTGTTTGCTCTTCTTTCTGTTGTAGCGTGCTTCCTTATTTTTTCATCTCAAACTCTAAAAATGTCAACTAATCTGCCTCTGCTCTGTGAAGTTCCAACCTGGAAAACTTCTTCATGGGGCCTGATATTTGGAAAAATGAATACCTTAATGGAGCTGCTAAAAAACTCTTGCTGAGTCCCTCTGAATGCTTTAAAACAGTAATCTGATGAGAGCAAAAATATTATCAGAACCACTTCTTGGAGAATGCCAGGATTTGGCTGCGTAGAAACAAACCTTGCTGGTTATGATAAGCTGGCCTCAAACACATAGGAAGAAAGAAGAGATCTTCTCTGGGAGATAAACAAAGACAGTCTGTGAATTGAGTTAGATAAACCTCATGAGTTATTTTTCTTTAAGTGAGGGAAGACTGGTAACTGAAGTTTCAAATATCAATAAATGAATCACTCGTCTTTCTGCTGTGATAATGTGACAAGGTTAAAGCAACATTTCATGTAGTAAAGATTCACCTTAGTTTTCCAACATATCTGAATGGCTCCAATGTCAAGACTAGTTCACAGGGAAGGAGACTGAAGATTAAATATTTAGGCATTAGTGTCCATCTCAATGGTTGTTCAGAAATGCCATCTTAGGATAGAATTATTTCAACCTGTATTCTCTATGGCATCAAACTGATTCTTTGCTCACTGTGAGAGTAATTGTTTTGCATCCCTAATCCCCATTTTCCAAGTAAAACTTTATTTTAGTTGGTAATGGCCAGCCCACATTCACAGAGGTATATATGGTTCACCGATGACCGGTTTTATTTTACTATTTTCCAGGGCCACCTGTACTCTGGTTTAGTGAAATACACACTCTCATTACCTTTCTCTGCCTATGCAAGGTGGCTTTCCAGTTCCCACTACTGAATGCTATTGGTGAAACTGTCAATTCTGATACAGTGGCAGACCCTAAGAGCACAGCCTGACTTTTCAGTCAGTAGATGGACAATATGATCTCATTTTTCCCTCTTGTTACATTCCCTCACTAGACTAAGCTTTCAGAAACAACTCAGTTTCATTTTAGTCTAAAAATAAAGCTGAGCTGCTTGACTTTTCTATTCTTCAGAGTCTCTTGGAGCAAATTGAGCTATCAGCTACCTCCTTTCACATTTCATAGCAACAGGCAGAATATGTTTTTATTCATTGCTTTTCTAGCTACCAACTGCTTTGCTCAGCAGGCAGCTATGTTGTGGTTGGAAAAGGTGCCCTTCTAACAGACCTAATACTTATTTAGCTAAAAGCAACTTCTGGGGCTAATGTAAAATCATAGTGAGCTTCAATCAAACATTTTCTGTACATCTAGTGTGTCTTAAGCATGTCAAGAACTTGTGATTTGAAACCTCAGTAGTGTGGGATTTATACTCACTCAGGCTCCTGAGTGCCTTTGGGACTCTTAGGTTACATGTGGGACATCCATGAAATATGGAAAGGAAATAGAAGTGCACCAAATATTACAATACAATTCAAGATATAAGCCAAGATCTGTGTCAGAGGCAAGTTCCTTTAGTTAATTGCCATTTTTGAATGCATTTAAGTAAAAGTAGCCTTTTTTTTTTTAAAGCAACCAGGCATAGACTTAAATGAAAAAAAGTTTAAATAAAAGCAAATGAGAATTTTTAAAAGGATAAACTATGAACCTCTAATGTTTCAGACCCAATGTTTGGACAGACTGAGATTTAAAAAAAAAAAAGTGTATTCTAGGTTCTTAGTTTTTATTCCCCAGAGATCAACTTATTTCTTAAACCTGTTCTCTTTATTCTCAGAATTATCCTAGAAAATGCAGGTATCAATCCAATGTAATCCATAACTCTCCCACTTTAGCTAATACCCTGATCCAGCAGAGGTGGCTATTTCTCAAACACTATATATCTGCTTTATGAACTTCCTGTCTTATCTGTTCAGGCTGCTAGTAAAAGAATACCATAAACTGGTAGCTTATGAATGACATACATTTAATTTCTTACAGTTATGGAGGCTGGGAAGCCCAGGTTCAGGACACCTGCAGATACTGTGTCTGATGAGGACCTGCTTTATCTTCTCTCCATAACCTCACATGGTAGAAGGGGCAAGGACATCTCTGGACTCTTTTAAAAGAGCAGCAATCCCATTCATGAGGGCTCCACCTTCGTGACCTGATTACCTCCTCAAATCCCCACCTCCTAGTATCATCACATTGGGGGTTAGGATTTCAACATATGAATTTTAGGGGAACACCTGCTTCCCCAGTCCCTCTGCTACTCCTTATTCAATCCTCACTTCACATCTTAGGCTTTGAGCTCTCCTCTGTATCTTTATATTCCTGGTCATTGAAATAAATATTCTCCTAGAGAGTAGAAGCTGTGTAACAAGCCACATAACAATATCAATCATCTATAAGAAGTAGGTGCTGGTGGTATCACCAAATCCAGTGAGTTTTTTAGTATGAAGGCAAAAGAAAAGGATTCACCTCTTGGAACATTCATTCTTAGGATGCTTCCTCTAGGAACACAGCTATTGTGCTGGGAGAAGCCCAAGCCGTGGGGATTGGCCATATGCAGGCACTTCAGTCCATAGCTTCCAGCTGAACTCCTGGTCACCACCCAGCCCAACAGTCAGCCCTGTGAGTGAGCTCTCTTAGATGTCATCCTTAGTTGAGCAATCAGAAATTCCCAACCCCAGCAGCCATACCATTGTACCACATGAGAGAGCCCAAAGAGAACTTTCCAGATGACCCTAGTCAAAGAACAGACCCCTCTATCCAGTTGGCAAATTTACCCTACATTTTAACAAGGTGAAGATCATCTGAAGGGTGCAGATTTGTTAAGGCTCCTGTAAGACTGAAGGTCATAACTCATAGACCCTTTCAACTAGACAAGAAGCATTCTAAGAATCTTAAAAGCACTGTCTCACCTATGGTTGACACATAAAATAGAACCTGCAATATTCAGCAATATTAACCCTAAAAATTTACTATCTGAAATTCAAATTTAACTGCCTTCTATTTTTATTTGCTAAATTTGGCAACCTAGCACAGGTCGCTGAATCTCTATCCGAGAAAGAAAGGGGCTGGTCTCGAAGAAATTAATCATCCCCTTCCATATTTTATTCCTTGGCTTTTTGTTAAATCGATACAGAAAGTAGATTCCCTGGATCAATCAAATCTACCTATGAAAATGCTACAAACCTTTCCCCAAGATCCTCTAAGCAAATATTCATTCCTAACATTCCCCAAACTTTTATAATATATTTAGCTGAATCCCATAGAACAAATTGAAAGGCAAACTAGAACTTGGACTTTGGGAAAATCAGATCAAATGCAAATAAAGACAAGCTTTCAATAAAACAAAATATTACTGATTTTGATTTGTCTCAGAAAAATACAACGAAGGGGGAAACTCATGGATTTAGATGATTTTCAGCAGCAAAAAATACGACAGAGTTCATGGAAAAATAATACTAATCATATTTAATTTTTTAATATTGATTCATAGTTTACATATGATAGATTATTTAATTTGAATTTCAAAAGAACCCATGTAAAGTAGCAAAGCATAGATCATTTTTGAATCCTGTACAACTTAACACTGACTAGAGTTCAATACATGTTGTTAGGTTGAATCTTTACTTCTGTTTTACATATGTAGAACCTGAGGTTCAAAGAAATCATGTTACTTTGGGAGGCTGAGGTGGGTGGATCACGAGGTCAGGAGATTGAGACTATCCTGGCTAACACGATGAAACCCCGTCTCTACTAAAAATACAAAAAAAAAAAAAAAAATTAGCCGGGCTTGGTGGCGGGTGCCTGTAGTCCCAGCTACTCAGGAGGCTGAGGCAGGAGAAGCGCTTGAACCCAGGAGGCGGAGCTTGCAGTGAGCTGAGATTGTGCCACTGCACTCCAGCCTGGGCGACACAGCGAGACTCTGTCTCAAAAAAAAAAAAAAAAAAAGATGTTAATTGCCAGATAAACAATATGTGAGAAAGGGAGGACTTGAACTTGGTATTCTGACACTTGATTAACTGGTTTTCCTGATATACCATGCAAACTCTAAAAATTCTGTAAGCAATGAAGGTCAATTTTAAAAACAAACTAAAGGGTACCCTAGGTGAGGAAAATGCTGATTCAACTAATATTATTGAGCACCCATTATATTACATGTCCATCACTAAGCTAGGTGGTTTTTATACACGTTTTCTCACTTCATATGAACTGTCAATAATAGTTCACGTGGAATCCACCTATCTAAATCTTCACTATCTGGAACAAAGCCAAGAGTATGCAAGTACATTTATAAGTTTCAGACAGAATAAATGACAAACTAAAAATTCAGTCATTCTACACATATGTATTGAGTGCTGATTATATATTAGATACTCTATCAGGCTCTAATGTAGACTTGGCCTCTGCTGTCTTAGATTTTAGAGTGCAGTGGTTGACAAAAACACAACCAATGCACTGAAACTGTTATGCCTTATTCATTACAGAGCCCCTTACATGATCACATGAAATCTAGGTACTCTTATTTTAGAGAAAAGTCTAACAAACCCAATTGTGTATTATCCCTTCTCTAACAAATTGGAAGCCACACAAAAGAAAATATAGCCCTAAGAAGCCTCAGTTGATCATCTCGCAATGGCAGAGGCCACAGCAGACACAACTCTAATAATGTGTGAGTTTGAAGTCATCTAATCTATTGGCTAACAATCCTTGGAAACTTGAGTAAGACATAAGCCCTGATGCTGCCACTGATTCTGGTCATAGTAATTTAATTTTTTTTTGTCTATGATCCAGATATGTATGTTAACCCAGCTACTAAAGAAAATAATGCATTTTAGAAAAATATGTCAAGGAAACACGTAATTAAAATAATCGACTGGAAAAATTTCCGATGTTGAATATCTATCTCATTTTATGACAATGTTAAACAAGATAGTATTGTATTAGGACCATTAAAAGGCAACTACATGTACTACATGTATAAAGCAATGAAATAATTATTTCTACCCTTATTTTCATGCGTGAATCTTTTTTTTTTTTTGAGATGGAATCTTACTCTGTTGCTCAGGCTGGAGTGCAGTGGCGTGATCTCGGCTCACTGCAACCTCTGCCTCCCTTGTTCAAGCAATTCTTCTGCCTCAGCCTCCTGAGTAGCTGGGATTACAGGTGCCTGCCACCATGCCCAGCTAATTTTTGTATTTTTAGTAGAGATGGGATTTCACCATGTTGGCCAGGCTGGTCTCGAACTCCTGACCTCAGGTGATCTGCCCACCTCGGCCTCCCAAAGTGCTGGGATTACAGGCATGAGCCACCGCGCCCGGCCAATGCATGAATCTTTATGCAAATTACATTCAGTAGATATCCGTCACATCTATGGCAATTTCTACATAATGTGCTAATGTATGTTGAAAATCTAAGAAAAAAGATACAGGATACTCCAAAACACTGTAAACTAAGGGTCCAGAAAAATCTTTAGTGGGCTGGAGGCTTACCTTATGGCAGAGTTGGGGTACCCTAAGGTTTAATCTCCAGAGGTTTCAAAGCAGCTGTCAAACTTCTATCTGCTTTCACACACGATAGAGGGCAATTTAAACAATGTGGATGTTAAGTTGAAGCAAAGTTTGCATAAGTGCATCAGAGTCAATGTAGATGTGGATATACTACTTACTCTTTCTGCATTTTCCCTTTCTTCCTTGTTCAAAGCTTATCTATTAATAAAATGAGAAAACAAGTTCAAAGGAATTATGAAATTATAACCCACAAATACCACTGTAACTTATAAAGCTGCTGCTATCGTGAAAGTCAGAAAAAAAAAAAAAAGATAGGCTTCGCTTGTACATGCATTTCACAAATGCTTTTGCTAAAACTCCACCCTACGGTATGGAGTTAACTACTGTTGGTTTTGTCTGTCTCTTATTTTTCTTTTTTTCTGGAAATAGAATCTCAATTTTTCTTTAGGAAATCATCTTACTCCTTACTTATGTAGTTGAATGGGACTGAAAACCCACCACCTACCTAGTTCTTTCCCTCCCACTGGATTAAGAAATTAGCATCTCTTATCCCCCTTGGAGGCAGGAATGAACACGTGATTCTATTGATACACTGAGACTCAGTCCCTGAGTTTTGCTGGAATTACCGGGAAGGGGAGATTTTCTTACTGTGGGTGTTGCTAAATAATGGGTACTCTGTTTTGCCAGTTCACAGAGAAAGCCTATATAAAAATCAAATCAACATAAAGGAAAGCAAAGCCAAAAGATGGAGTCAGATTCCCGATAACATTGGTTTAGCACCTTGACCAAACTGTATCTGAAGGTGGTAGTCTCCTGAGACTCTTCAGTTTGTTAGTCAATAAATTCCCTTTTTTGTTTAAGCCATCTTGCAAAAAATTTTGTCATTTAAAATCAAGTAAAATCTGGAATTTAATAAAATATAAGCCAGTGAGAGTGACATTCTAGGAATAACCATGATTCTGCTTTAAGAAAAAAATCATGTAAATGTTTGTTTTCTTAAATGCAATTAGATATTATTTTGTGCCATTTATCTAATTACTATGGGATGTCTTTTAAGGAGAGCATGAGTCTGGGCGATAATTTGTCTATTTCAGAATTTAATTAAAGAAGGAATTTACCACACCTAAGAATGTCTTATGGTCAAGCATTATAAAAGAAATTGGCCACCATCCTTCATGAAAAATCTCAACACAAAGTACAACAGAACGCTAAACCTAATAGGTCTTCTTGAAACACATAATATAATGCCCCCCCGCCCCTAAAAAAAAAAAGAATTTATGAACTGAGTATAGTCAACCCAAATAAGTATCAAAAACCAGGAAATAAGATACCTTATTTACTTTCAAATGCTTCTTGTCAGGTGGCACAAATGTTATGTCATGGAGAAGCTGTCGTTTAATTAACAACTATACTGTGCTGGGTACTATGGTAAATCTTTGCATGGAGGATATTGCCTGCCACAAGATTGCTGTTCAAGTGGTATTAGGGAGGTAAACATTTACATCTCTCAAAAGTGAGGATTGCATTCGGCCTTTCTGCCAAGTAACTTGTCCTTTAGGGTTAACAAGGACCTTGTAACCAGATCCACTTAAAGTCCACTTGCAGAGAAAAGATCAGCCTTTCTTCTTACTCCTGAGAAAGACTCTATTTGAATGAATTACTCCTTTCCTAGTTTCTTCTCAAGTCATATGTAGCCTTCTTGCCCACATACTTGCAGGCCCAGATTTTTTTTTCTCCCAGAGTAGGAAATAAACTCTTTGGCAAGTTAAGAAGTCAACTCTGCCTTAGATTGGGCTCTCTTCTGAATTCTAATCAGAAGATATTTTTGACTCAGCAATCATTTTTAGGGATTCTTTGATCTTCGTCTCTTTCAAGTCACCGAAATCAGTGTGGGGGGTGTGTGTGTGTGTGTGTGTGTGTGTGTGTGTAAAATAAGTGGCTACTTTTGGATGTATGAGTGGCTCTTTGCCATACCCCAGGTTGGAGCTCTGTGAGCTTCTGCATGAAAAGGAATTTCACAGCACTAGAGGTTAATTGCAGCGAGGGAGAAAGGACACAGCCCATGACTTGCCTGATGAATCAACAAAAAGATATGTATTAATACTTACTCGGTCAATGCCAGAGAGAACATGGTCTCTGATATATTTCATATACCTCTGTTATATTTAATACAATGGGCTTGTGTGCTGGTGAAGAATATATATTCTAGGGTTATTCATATCTTTTAAATCCAGGCTTCTCCATGATCTCAATTGACCCCATGATTTCAGCTGTATGATCTCAGGTGACTTTCTGAATCTCTCTGTGCCTTAGTTTCCTTATTTGTAAATTGGGAAGACAGTAATAAAGGGTGTTGAAAGATTTTCACGTGATAATGCTGGCGAAGTGCTTAGCACCCAGCAAGTACTCAATATTTCATTGTTAAACTCCGCTCCTACCTGAAAGTGGCCGGGCACTGGCCCAAGTGGTCAATTTCTATCTGTCCCCTGATACAGTTCCTCAGTGGCAGTTGAAGTGTGACATGAAAACTTTACCAGAGTTTTTACAAACAGAGCTCTAAGAATTTGGATTGTGACACACACCTAAATTCTAAGTTAGAATGAAATGATCAGCTCGCTGGAGTAGTCTCTTTTCTCTTACATTTGAGAGAAAGCTCAAACTATAGGGTTAGGAGCCGCTTGAATTTTGCCACATCTGTCTACACCATTGTTTTAAAACTGGGCATCTCCAGTCCCTTGGGTTTCTATAGTGAAACTTCTGTCTGCTTTTTTTTTTTTTTTTTTTTTTTTGGATGAAACAGGCCCTCAATAGAACAGAAAGAATGTCTCTGAGAGAGTTCATATTATGTCTCATTTACACAGAAACTCAATTGAGAGATCCTAGGTTACTTGGAACTGTATCTCTGTCCTTAGGCAGAACTAGACTCAAAACTTTTCAGAAAATATGTAAACTTTTTTGTTGTTGTTCAATACTGATCATGTACAAGTAAACCCAATAGTATTGTTGCCAAGAAAGAATATATAATATTTAAGATCTCTTTACTAATTTTAGCTTCTTTGTATGTGATCTAATTTTAATTTTCTGAGCCTAAATTTTCACTTACCTACAATCCACAGTAGCAGGTGTTCCAAAATCAATCTTTGATTTGTTGAATACAACATGTACTATGAAGGCTTTGTTCTTTTATTCATGAGGTGAAATGGTATTTATTAAAGTGTTTTAAAAGATTTCAGATATTTTAAAGCTTTTGAAGAGCTTATATATTTACTAATTATATCCTTTAAAACTCTATATTGGGCAAAGTTACAAATGTAGCAAAAGTAGGGAGTATAGCATACTACATTCTATTTACCCCGAGTCCCCATCACCCAGACTCATAAGCTAATGGCCAAACTTGACTCATCTACCTACATACCCACCCTCTCTCTATTGTCAGATTCTATTGAAATAAACCCTAGAGAGCATATCATTCTTTTGATAAATATTTCAGCCCATCTTTCTAAAAGATAAATCTGTTTTAAAATATATATATATATAAAATACCATAATCACATCTAAAATAAAGTATTTTCTTTTTCTTTTCTTTTTTTTTTTTTTTTTGAGACGGAGTCTCGCTCTGCCACCCAGGCTAGAGTGCAGTGGCGTGATCTCGGCTCACTGCAAGCTCCGTCTCCCGGGTTCACGCCATTCTCCTGCCTCAGCCTCCTGAGTAGCTGGGATTACAGGCGCCCGCCACCGCGCCTGGCTAATTTTTTGTATTTTTTAGTAGAGACGGGGTTTCACCATGTTAGCCAGGATGGTCTTGATCTCCTGACCTCGTGATCCACTTGCCTTAGCCTCCCAAAGTGCTGGGATTACAGGCGTGAGCCACTCCACCAGACCTAAAATATAATATTTTCTTAACATCATGATCAATAAGTCAGGGTCCAAATTTCACCAAATGAATCATATTTTTAACTTCAGAAAATTGTAGCTTTTTTTCCCCAGGTGTCATTTCCAGAACGAATTGTCAATCTGTGTGGTCACCCGCTAGATGGCCACTTTATGCCTAACAAGAACCTTTGGCAACCAAGTTGATCCACTAGGGACATTCTCTGGGAATATTGAGTGCCAAGGCCCAGGAGAGCTGCCAGCTATGAGAAAAAGGGGAGAGGCATGTCCTGAAAATCTACATTCACCCATGAGACCCTGAATCAGCACTAGTGGCTAAGTGTGAGAATCGAGTGAGCTTTCTCTTTCCTTGTTAGTAAGCTCAGTGATGCACAGGAGTGGACGGGCCCAAATTCTAGATGAGGGAGACCTCATTGCCTACAGCCACCTCCACTGTTTCCCCACCCTCCCACATTATGTACCCTGGGAGGAAGGGTGCCAGAGAGAGGCTAGCATTGGTATCTGTCATTCCAGAAAGACCTTTCCAGTCAACCCTGGCAAGGAATGCAAAGAGGAAACCCTTCAGTATGGAAGGGACATGCTGTCTCACTAACACTCTCCTCACCAACCTCCCTCTCCAGGTGAGGCTATGCCTTGAGAACAATGCTGATAGGTGGGTGCTCCCCACTGAGGCCTCTGCTCCAGCCTGCCTACTGGAAATGTTCCTGCAGGTAGTACCAGAATTAGGGAGGTGGGGTGGACCTAGAGCCTGTGCTGTGCAGTGTACATCACCAGTAAGCCCACTCTGAGAGAGGGGAGAGTGTAAGTGTAGCCTTTGGTGGGAACTGTGGAGAAATGGGGCACAGGGACAGTCACCGACTCCACCATCAGTGTCATCTCTAGGCTGCATGGAGGAAAAGTGTGCCCAGAGCAGATTACCTCCTGGGGTTGCTTGAACACAGACAGGGTTGTTTTACAGCACTTGGAGGGTGGTGCTTTCCTAGTTCCCACTATAACAGGCTTAATGTGGCTACACCACATGGTTACCAAAGGGAAGAAGGACATCCACCCACCTCTCCAGCCTCATTGCTTAGGGCTCCCCGCCCCCGGGTCCTCTGCAACTCAGCCATGGACAGCTCCTACCACCTCCTCAAAAGCACGTAGCTCTCTTGTCTCCTGGCCTTCATGCTTTTCTCTCTGTTTGGAACAGTTATTCTTTTCTTTGCCTAATTTTCACTCCTTCCCCAGGGCTCAATTTAAAGGGCCCTGGCTCCGGCAAACCCCTCCCAGAGGTGAGAGGCATGCTGCCCCTCACTCCCCTAAGGCCCTCTGTTGCCCTTCTGACACCTCACTGATGCTGCTGCCTGCTTGTTTCCATGTATTCTCTGTTGACTGTTAACACCTTGAAGGGCAGGGACCACCCTATATTGCTCACCATTTTAATTCCAGTGCCTGCTGCAGTATCCAACATGAGTAGATTCTTAATGAATATTTATTGAAAGAATGGTTTCAGTTTGTAATATACAAAGGGAACAAGTGAGAGCTGAAATTGTGAGCCAACTTAAAAACATCAATAAGAGAACTAAATTATTAGGGATTGAACCTTAGCTGAATTACCCCCCCACCAAAAAAAATATTGTCGAGAAGAGTAAGAGGTAGAGAACAGAGAGGATGATGGGCCTTTCCTCATCCCCTGCTAACCTGTGCAAACTGACAGTTATGTGCTCAGTCATACAGTGGCTCCATCATAGAAGTAAGGACAAGCACCCTGTCACCGATTCTTCTGCGGGCAGTAGCAGGTTCCTCTGGGACTGGGGGCAGGGAAAGGTCATCTGGTGTCTTAGAACCCAGGACCCCGAAGCCCTCAATGACAGTCACTTCTTGGTTGCTGTTACCTTACTGTAGACCCCCCAAAAGCATGAAGAGGCCACGTGAAGGGCTGCTAGTCTAACCTCTCATTTAAATCAGGGCTGTCACAGGCACCTTTTTTTTTTTTTTTTTGAGATAGAGTCTCACTCCATCACCCAGGCTGGAGTGCAGTGGCATGATCTCGGCTCACTGCAACCTCTGCCTCCCAGGTTCAAGCGATTCTTCTGCCCTAGCCTCCCAAGTAGCTGGGATTACAGGCGCATGCCAGCTAATTTTTGTATTTTAGAAGAGACGGGGTTTCACCATGTTGGCCAGGCTGGTCTCGAACTCCTGACCTCAGGTGATCCACTGGCCTCGGCCTCCCAAAGTGCTGGGATTACAGGCATGAGCCACCACGCCCGACCACCATTTTTAATAAATGATGATGCAGCCCCTTCTGGAAACTGATTCACAACAGAGTTCAATCCCTTGTTAAGCAATTTTTATTCAACAACAAGGGCAAAAATGTTTTTTGGTATTTTGTTCTGAAACCTGATTTTCTAAAACTTCCATTCATGGGCCCTAGTTCTGGAAAAATACATAAGGACTTATTCCCCCTTAATGTAATAGATCTTGAAATGTACTTTACAGAAAATGCCAATTTTGAAAAGTCTCAATCCCACAAAAGAGATCCAGACAAATTTATTATTGGTCTGAAAAAAATGTCACCCAGATCTTTAGCTGTTTTGCTATAGACTCAAACCTTGGATCATTTGCTCCACTAATGTATTAATTTGGTTAATATGATTGTGATGATAGATTACATTTTGCTCTAGGTTGAATTCTTCCTTTTGAAATTGCTGTCAGTTGAACTCATATGCTGACTTATTTACAGGTTACAAACAACTAACTCAGTTGCTTTGTTTAGTTCCTAAATCACTTCCCTATTTTTAGATCATTGCCGTGTTTGAGAAGAATAGAGAACCTTTGATTTCCTAGGCATGTGGCAGCTTGAGGTGCCAGCATTTAGGGCTATTGTAGCTAAATCTCATTCATGGAATGAAAGTATGTGGCTGGTTGTAGTTGTGACATTGAATTCAATTGTTTTTGTTCTTTTCTAGGAAGAGATTCCACCTAATAGTTTTAGTCTAAGTTAATTTAGCTATGTTGAAGGCCTCCACCCCTCTCAGTAGGTTGCTCTATGATGACACACCCACTGTCTACTGGCCTCTGCTGTGTAACTTGAAGCCACCTGCAGTTGGTTGTGTTAGTGTGTAATATCCTAAGAAGTCATGCCATGTCCTTACAAGTGAAATCACAGTGCCTAGCTTCATTTAATGCCATTCCAGGTCACTTTGCCAGGAAAAATCATTGACTCATGGAAAGAAAGCTTGTATTAAAAGTGGAGGAAAGCACAGAGAATTTATTCAAGAAGTTATTGATACCTAAATCACTTGGAAATGGATATTTACGTCCCTGATTCTTTTTGTTTCACGTACCAGAAGTGTAAAGGCCTATGGGATTGACATATATCCTCCCAGTGTTTACTTCTCAACTAAACATTTCATATCCTGAAATATCCTAGTTATTTTTATAAGACAGCTTCCTTGCTTTTCTCCAAGAGATTTTTGGGATAGAACAGTGGTTCTCAACCACAGGTGATTTTTTCCCCCCAGGGGACATTTGGCAATATTTGGAGATATTTTTGGTTGTCACAGGTGAAGGGTTGCTACTGGCATCAAGGGGGTAGAGGTCAGGAATTCTGCTGAAAATCCTACATGAGGAGGACAGCATCCCACCTCCAACAAAGAACTGTCTGGTCCAAAATGTCAATAGTGCCAAGGTTGAGAAATCCTAGGTTAGAGAATCTATTTCTAATTGATTTAAATATTTTCTCTATTGACTTCAACCTTATTTACTGATTTAGATGATTTTATTGAGTTTGACAATGACTGGGGTTAGGAAAGAGCTGCTGCTTATCAAAACCCACTAAACCACATCCAAGATGAACTCACATTACAAGGATATTTCTGGGTGAGACTTGCTCCTCCATGCCTTCTGCACTCTTTATGTAAAGACACTGAAAGGGAATAGGTTTTAGTTTTCTATTGCTGCCATATCAAATTGCCACAAATTCAGGAGCTTAAAGCAACACAAATTTTTTATGTTACAGTTCTGCAGGTCAGATGCCTGGTACAGATTTCACTGGGCTAAAATCAGGGTGTTGGCAATGTAGAATTCATTATGGATGCTCTGGGGAAATATTCATTTCCTTGCCCTTTTCTACTTCTCTAGGTGCCAGCATTCCTTGGCTTGTGGCCCCTTTCTCCATAGGCAGTAATGTGCAGCTCTCTGATCTTTCTTCTATAGTCATACCTTCCTCGCAGCCAGGAAGAGCTTTCTGCTTTTAAGGATGCTTGTGATTGCATTGGGCCCACCCAGATAACCCAGGATAACTTCCCCATTTCATGGTCCCTAACTTAATCATATTTGCAAAGTACCTTTTCCCATGTAAGGTAACATATATATTCATAGGTTGCAGGGATTAGGATATAGATACTTTTGGGAGCCATTATGTTGCCTATTACAAAATAAGACTAATTTTGGCACCACCTAACTTCCATTGGGCTATTGATGTCCTATAAACTGGGACAAACTAAAGAACAGAGGCTTTGGGGGATGTGCTGATATCACGTCATAGAAAATTCCTGGGAGCAGTTCAACTGCAGCCTTGAACATAGGAGTAAGTTTGCCTCTAATGGAAGTGGATATTTCAATTGTCAATCATTTTGGAAAGAAGTCATTCCTGGGTGAGTCTTAGAAAGGGTGAGGAAAACACCTTTCTTTTCTCTCCAAGGCCTGGGTTAATTTAGCCTAGATCTGGAGCGAAAGGAACCAAGAACGCATATAGATGTTGGGGGTAGGATAAACCCCTGGGCCTGAGCAAGTGGCCTGGGATAGAAGACACGGTGTCAACTTACTTTGTAAGGGACCTAGAAGAGGGTGGAGACTGTGCAATATGTTGGAAAAGTCTTAGTTTTTCAAAAAGTATCTTGTTTCTGCAATGCTGTCAGAAATGGAAGGAAATAGCTTCTGCTGTACTTGAAGATGGCTCCCCTAGAATGGGAAGACATAATCTACAGAGTCCAGAATCACATGGCTGCTGAAGGCGGCCTGGGGAAGGCAATGATTAATTTTATATGTCAACTTGACTGGGTTAAGGGATGCCCAGATAGCTTGTAAAACATTTTTTCTGGGTGTACCAGTGAGGCTATCTCCAGAAGAGATTGGCATTTGAATTTGTAGATTGAGTAAAGAAGCTTCACTTTTGCCAATGTGCACAAGCATCATCCAATCCTTTGAGGACCCAAAAGGGTAAAAAAGGCAGAGGAGGGGCAAATTAGCTCTGTCTTCTTGAGTTGGGAAATCCATCTTCTGCCCACAGACATTAGAGCTCCTGGTTCTCAGGCCTTCAGCCTCAGACTGAATTACACCACTGGCTTTCCTGGTTCTCCAGCTTGAAGATATCATATGGCAACATGTCCTGGTCTCCATAATTTTGTGAGCCAATTCCCCTAGTAAATCTCCTCTTACATATCTCTATATTTGTTTTTTGAGATGGGGTCTTGCTCTCTCGCCCAGGCTGAAGTGCAGTGGCGAGATCTCAGCTCACTGCAAGCTCTGCCTCCCGGGGCTCACGCCATTCTCCTGCCTCAGCCTCCTGAGTAGCTGGGACTACAGGTGCCCACCACTACGCCCGGCTAATTTTTTGTATTTTTAGTAGAGATAGGGTTTCACTGTGTTAGCCAGGATGGTCTCGATCTCCTGACCTCGTGATCCACCCGCCTTGGCCTCCCAAAGTGCTGGGATTACAGGCGTGAGCCACCATGCCTGGTCACATATCTCTATATTTCTTATTGGTTCTGTTTTTCTGGAGAACCCTGACTAGTACAGGGAACACATCAGAAACTGAGATATTCAGAAACTGTTAGAAGAAGAAAACCTGGCAAAAGACTGAACATTAGAAGGATAAAAGGTTCCAACTATTGTGATTTGTGTGTTAAAGGAAAGTGGGACCTCACGGATTATGAAGTCTGGGCTATTTATGTAATGTACCAAGATCTGTTTTATAGTAATCAGTACAAGTATGAGATTTGAGAGCATTTTGGTAATAAATATGACATTCCTGATTCACAGAAAACTCTCTTAAATCACAAGATTTTACAATGTGATGCTGCAGGGATTGCTTTGTTTTTCTTTTGAAGGTATTGGCTGGGGTGGACCTTGTGGAAAATACCTTGGACTGCTCATGAGGAGACTGGGTTGTGAGTCCCCTGTTTCCCCTTTGCACATTGGACCTGAATGAACTCATCCACTTGTGGATTTATCCGTCATTATATCTGGATGATTCTTAGTGTAATACTTCAACTTTGACCTCCCAGTTGGAAAACTATAGCCCCTGACCTCAAGGAACTCAGACTTGTTTATATCTCCTTTGTATCCTCAGTCCTCAGCATAGGGCCTGGAAATATTACTAAATGATTTTTTGCTAAATAACTATATCAAGTATATGACTCTCACTAACTGGCTGTGTAAACTTGGTGAATTCACTTTACTGAGACCCAGGTTCCTCATCCAAAATGAGGTGCTTAGAAATCTTAATTCTAAGGTAATTTCTGTCTCTAACATTCTATAATCTTTTCAGTGTGTAAAGTGTCACTTCACCCTGTGATGGTTTTACACACTCTCTTTATTGTTTGACAAAGTAGAAAAAGCATTAATTGTCTTCCAGTAAAGTGTCAGATGTTTCACCTGACAGGTAACCAGGCTCAGGGTAGATGACTCTTTTGTGTAGATTTGGCTTCTTTCGTTCCAATCAATTCATGCTATGTTTACAAAACATTAAGTGCAATTGAAATTAATTTCACCCTGGGTGCCTTGCCATACAGAATCAAAGGAAGCAGTTTTTGGGTGCTGCGTCAGACAAGGGTTTGGGCAAAATGAGGAACAAGATGAGACACTGATCTTTTGCCCTTTTGTTCTACCTTGCTGTCTCCTTAGGCTTCTTTGTCAGGGACATATATCTGGTCCCAGGGATTCCATTCCCCTCACCTGAACTCCCTTAACTCTGCTGAGGCTGTGTGGTGAAAGGGTTCTTAATTGCGTTTTCTTCCAGGGACCAGGCAGCTGTCTTTCCTCCAACGCACATGTAGCTTTCTTCTGAGCTTTGGCATGTGGGTGATGTCAGAAATATGCTGGTTTACAAATGCCAACACCCAAGGCCACCAAGGGGCGCAGAATTCACCTGCCAGAGTGTTTGACACTTGTGTCAGGAAAAGGCAACAGCTGTGAAAAGCCCTATGAGAAATACTTTCTCACATAGGTGGGAAAGGGTGTCTAGAATTGTAAATCAATTTGAGGTCTACTTCTTCCAGCGACTTCTCCCAAGGGTGGAGAAAATTGGAAACTCCTCTAGCTCATTTGGCGATTGTGTGGAGAATGATAGCCTACCAATGATGCAGCAGTACATTTTCACCATGGGATACAAGACTCTGGTTTCTCTACCTGAGAGGTTTGATTAAGACTGAGACACCAATTTCTTCTAAATGTAGATTTTTGTGTGCAGTCACCTCTTTTTTTTTTTTTTTTTTTGACAGAGTCTAGCTCTGTCACCCAGGCTGGAGTGCAGTGGCGCCATCTTGGCTCACTGCAAGCTCCGCCTCCCAGGTTCACGCCATTCTCCTGCCTCAGCCTCCCGAGTAGCTGGGACCACAGGTGCCCGCCACCACACCCAGCTGATTTTTGTATTTTTAGTAGAGATGGGGTTTCACCGTGTTAGCCAGGATGGTCTCGATCTCCTGACCTCGTGATCCGCCTGCCTCGGCCTCCCAAAGTGCTGGGATTACAGGCGTGAGCCACTGTGCCTGGCCCGCAGTCACCTCTTTGTATATAATATTAAAGATCACAAGCTTTGAGCATGGCCAAAGAGACCAACTCTTTTATTTAGACCAACCATAGCGATAGTATTCAAATGTCTTTCCTTCAGCTCTGCCTCCTTGAAGGTCTTAGAGAACATTTCATTTTATTCGTGATGGTATCCAGCTTCCTTTGGATACTAATAGGAAGTAGGTTATACATCTTGCTGATAAATAGAAAGCCTTCTGGTTTTAAATTTAGTAACGAATTAAAGCAAGGTAGGTGGACACAGCCCTTTGTCCAGGATTTAGTCACTCAGAGGTCGTGGGCGCAGCATCTACATTGATACAAAGAGAATGTGTATATCAGCATATCTTTGGTAAGGAAGTCTTCTACCCAGGAAGTCAGGCTTGTTAAACCTGGAGACCTGCCAGAGTGATCCCAATGAACCTGAAATTCTACGTGTAACGTGTTTGAACTCAGAGACTCATATAGGCCTATTTAAGTAGTAGTTTTACATTAAAAAAAATACAATCCAGACACTCAAAAGGAATCTAGAAAAAAATTCAAGTATTTGGGCTACTTTGAGAATATTAATAGGAATGAATATAATGATACGGGAGTGCTGGGAAGGGAAGAGCGTGGTCCTTCTAAATGATATGGAATTGGGGAAGGGAAGTGCTGGGTAGAGGAAGGCATGGTCCCTGGCTAGGGCTCTACCCCCACGGACCTAGGTGAGGACAGGCACTTCTGCCTTCGTGCCCAAATGTTGCATTTTTCAGGACCACCCCGGCCTGCCACGCCCCCATCCTGGGCCTATAAAAACCCAAGACCGTAGCACAGCAGAGACAGAAGAAGCTGCTGGATGGCCAGGGAACACATTAGCAGCAGAAGAACAGAAGCAACTGGACGTCGTGAGGGCGTCAAGAGGAGCACGAGGCAGAGGAGTGCACTGACAGCCACCAGCAGGCCGGCAGGCCACTGACTGGTGCAACAATGTGGAGTTTGGCTGGGGCAGTCGGAGGAGAGCCTGGGCTGCTCAGCAGCCTGACTCCAGGGGAAACCGTCTCCCTTCTGGCTCCCCCATCTGCTGAGAGTTACTTCTACTCTATAAAACCTTGCTCTCATTCTCCAAGTCCATGTGTGATCTGATGGCAAGAAACCCAGGGATACAGAAAGCCCTCTGTCCTTGTGACAAGGTAGAGGGTCTAATTGAGCTGGTTAACACAAGCCTCCTACAGACAGCAAAATAAAAAGAGCAAAACTAAAAGAGCACCCTGTAATGCATGTCCACTGGGGCTTCAGGAGCAGTAAACATTCACCCCTAGACACTGTGGTGGGGTCAGAGCCCCACAGCCTGCCCATCTGTATGCTCTCCTAGAGGTTTAAGCAGCGGGGCACTGAAGAAGCAAGCCACACCCCCATTGTGTGCCTTGAAAGGGGGACAAGGGAACTTTTCCCGTTTCAATAGTATACAGTAATACTTATTAAAATATCGATTCTATTCATTTATCTAGTTTCTCCAATCTCTCCCAATAGTCTCACTTCCCAGTCTAGAAGATTCCACATTCTTGGCAATAATCATCTTCCTGTAGGCCCAAAGGAGAAAGCTGCTTCTCACTAGAGCGTGCATTCCACACTGAACTCACTGTGAGGTTTCTGACAAGAAATATACATGGGGGAAAGTAAAATTGACCTGGGCTATGCCATCATTTCTTCAGTTTCAGCACACTGTTGCACCATTATTTCTCTGATTGCTATCATAGAAATCTAGGTAAATGACAGTTTAGAAGTTTGTTTGCTTACTTTATACCAATTAATGTGTTAGGCCAATGGTTCTTAAATTGTTTTAGGAGATACAGTGCTCAAATTTTATGGTACTTTTCAGAACGCCATGAAAAGAAGCACTAGTTAATTCTATCATATGTATTAAGAGCATACTTTAATTTGTAGCATAAAATCACAATCGTGGGCATACATGTCCATGAAATAAAGTCATCGAACCAGCATGGTTAACTTCTTCCTAGGTTTCCTTCTTTAATATTGATTGCCATTTAGTCCCTTATTTCTCATCCCTTATCACTTCAGAGCAGAAGTATGGAGTGAATGCCAAAAATGTAATACAAATATATGAGACAAATGAAATTAACAAGATATCACCCTTTATTTTTTCTTGCAAGTTGGGGAAAACTACCAGTGTTTTATTTCAAGGTGCTACAATGCCTTTTGTCCAACTTGAATTATTGAAATATATCAATTTCTTTCTTTCTCTCTTCCTTCCTTCCTTTCTCTCCCTCTTTCTTCCTTTCTTCCCTTCCTTTCCCTTCCCTTCCCTCCCCTCCCCTCCCCTTCCCTTCCTTTTCTCTCTCTCCTTCTCTCTCTCTCTTTTTCTTTCTTTTTCTTTCCTCGCTCTATTGCCCAGACTAGGGTGCAGGGGTGTGATCTCGGCTCACCGCAACCTCCGCCTCGGCTAACTGCAACTTCTGCCTCCCGAGTTCAAGTGATTCTCCTGCCTCAGACCCATGAGGAGCTGGAATTACAGACATGTGCCACCATGCTCAGCTTATTTATTTATTTATTTTTGAGACAGAGTCTCCCTCTCTTGCCCACTGCGCTCTGGAGTGCAGTGGCATGATCTCGGCTCACAGCAACCTCCGCCTCCTGGGTTCAAGCCTTTCTCCTGTCTCAGCCTCCCAAGTAGCTGGGATTACAAGCATGCACCACCACACCTGGCTAATTTTTGTATTTTTAGCAGAGATGGGGTTTCACCATGTTTGCCAGGCTAGTCTTGAACTCCTGACTTCAAGTGATCTGCATACCTCGGCCTCCCAAAGTGCTGGGATTACAGCTGTGAGCCACTGTACCTGGCCTTGAAATATATCTGAATTTCACAGGAGACTGCTTTGATAATCTTTGTGTTGGATTCTGTGGAGGGGTGCAAAAGAAGGTTTTATTCATAAGGATGGGCATAGGAACCCCTTATTCCTCTAAGCCTATGTTTTCCTTTCTCTCATCTACTTCTTATTTACAGTTTTGGCCTTGTTTTCATTCTTTTAGTTTTTTCAATCCTCGTTATTCAACATACACTTTTAGTGTGCGTTTTACATATGTACTCTGTAGCTTTTCTTATCTTTAATTATACCCTCTTGGATATTTCTCTCTCTTCCTTGCCTTCTGTGGCATTAGTTTTTACAGATTCTCATCCTACATCTCTATCTGTCCTGATGACTCCTTGTTCTTGTTCTGTCTCCTAGGGGTCATCAGCTGCTCCAAAGCTGACCATGCTTCATATGATCAATCCTATTCATTTTGACATTTTCTCTATAACCTCTATGGTGATTCTTTGTAATTCTCCATCTAAGTTTGAACCATTCTTTTAACTCTCAGACCTTGTCTCTACTGTCTCTAGTTGACCTTCTCCCACACATTGCAATTATTTTATTAACAAGAATAATAAATATTTCTTGAGAACTGACAACATGACAGTAATGGCATAAGTTCCCTGCCCTCAAGTTGTTCATGATTTCATGTTGGAGATAATTTTTTTGACTGTCCTTCCTAGAATGTAAAATCTTTGGATATAGAAATTGTCTTTGTTTTGTTATGTGTCCTGATTCTACCAGTAATTGGCATGTTGAGATGTTCAAAAAATGTTCACAAAATTAGTCAATGAATCGTAGACAAATTGAGGGCAAAAGGAGCCTTATTGTGTCCAGAGTTGGTTCCTTCTGGTGGGTTCTTGGTCTCGCTGACTTCAAGAATGAAGCTGCAGACCTTCACGGTGAGTGTTACAGCTCTTAAACGTGGCACAGATCCAAAGAGTGAGCAGCAGCAAGATTTATTGTGAAGAGTGAAAGAACAAAGCTTCCACAGTGTGCAAGTGGACCCGAGCAGGTTGCCACTGCTGGCTGGGGTGGCCAGCTTTTATTCCCTTATTTGTCCCCACCCACATCCTGCTGATTGGTCCATTTTACAGTGTGTGGATTGGTCCATTTTACAGAGTGCTGATTGGCCCATTTTACAGAGTGCTGATTGGTGCATTTACAATCCTTTAGCTAGACACAGAGCACTAATTGGTGTGTTTTTACAGAGGGCCGATTGGTGCATTTACAATCCTTTACCTAGACACAGAGTGCTGATTGGTATGTTTTTACAGAGTGCTGATTGGTGCAGTTACAATCCTTTAGCTAGACACAGAGCGCTGATTGGTGCGTTTTTACAGAGTGCTGATTGGTGCATTTACAATCCTTTAGCTAGACACAGAGCACTGACTGGTGTGTTTCCAATCCTCTAGATAGACAGAAAAGTTCTCCAAGTCCCCACTCGACCCAGGAAGTCCAGCTGGCTTCACCTCTCATTACCTTTAACTCCTTGCTCCAATTAGATATTTAATTCTCCTCTAAAATGTCTCAACAATTGGTCACCCAGGTTCTGTTGGCATTAGAGGGTTATTGTTTGTCATTGGTGTCCATAGACTTGATCCAAAATGGCTTTCCTAGGTTTCTTCTTTCATAATGAAAAAGAAAGAAGTGAATACTGAACCAAGAAAAGCCTAGAGAAAATCCCAGGATATGTGAACAGAGGTTGAAAGAGATGACCATTATGCAATGAGGAAGTCATATAAACAGGTTAGAAGAAGGAATTGAACTATCCACCTCATGTAGTACCCATTCAAAACAGAGGGTCTATAGCTACAGCTGTTTCAGTTTTGCCAATTTTGCCCTCCAAATTAGACACGTGCCTTCCATTGACTTTAATAGGAGCCATGTGTGTGCAGTTGATGGCAGTACTTATCACTAAGGAAGCAAAGTGCTGAGTTCCTGCCACCCACCCGCATCTGTGGCTTTAATAACCCACAAGCAAATGAAAAACAAACATACTGCTGGCATATTAGGAAACCATGGGGATTTAACAAAACCAACTAGTAAAAAAAAAAAAAAAACAGACTCTGGTGTGGAGACTGTGCTGGTGGGCTCCACAAAAGGCCGGGACCTCAACTCACTATCCATGGGGCACTTTGCTCTTCCATCAGTGGAGTATTTGGTTGGAGTATTATGGAGGATATTTATAAGACCCTCAGATGAGGGAATAAAGTATGACACTCATGGTAATAATGATAGTCATCAATTTGTTTATTGAACAAATGCTTTTTTTGAGCCTAAAGAAGTTGTCAGCTAGGATATGTTAACCCTTCCAATAGTACCAGGTTTGAGCCTTCAGTAAAAATCTATTTCCATAAATACAGTAAAGTATATCTGTTGGATCATTCTTTATGATATACCTAAATTGGATAGCAGTCGTGGTTAGCAATAGTGGACTTGAAAATAAAGATAAATAGTGAATTTGACAAATAAATTATACAATGAAATACCATTTGCAGAAATTAATGTGCGAGAGTTAAGACAGTAAAGACTAGTACAGACCTTTTCACAAGATACAACCTACCACTAACTGAAAGAAGAAAAGCTTCAGAATGATACACATATTGACCTTTGTTTAACAGACTGAGAATTCACTGAAAACACGTCTCTTAAAAGTTTGGAAGGTGTGTCCATTTTAGTCCTGATAAGGTTAATTATCTTGTCAATTCAGTGTCTCAGAATTTAGATTCGGGACAATGGGGCCTAAGGAGAGCTCTGCACGTTAGACCAGTGATTAGCTTCATATTTTCCAGTTCCACCTTTGTCTCAAGATAGCTCAAAAATTCTATCTTATCTGTCCCTTGTTGCCAACCTGCAGACCAATGATTGGCTTTTTTCCTTGGGGTTATCTGCTATGTTGACAGGGAGCTCATAGGTCGGGGTGCTTAAAAGAAGCCCAAGGGAGGATGGTGTTGACTCTTCCTCCTGGGTGTCTATCTTATCTCCGGTTCCACTTTTAGCCTCAATTCTAACTTCAATGTGGGGCAAAGAATTTAGTATCTCTAGCCCTGCTATAAAAAGACAAACAGGTTCTAAAACATCTTCAATTACTTGTGGACAGGAAAAGTCTTTCTTAGCAAAATGTTACTGTTTTCCCTCTCTGTCTCCAGATAGGCTAGCATGCATATAAGTTCTTCATAAACAAAGTCTCTCTCTTGCTGGATTTCAGTGAAGGCTGCAAGGAGTAATCAATGTATTCCTACATTCTAGAGTTTTTCTGCCAAGTTTTCTAACATTCTAGCCTTGTTAGGCACATTATCTGTATCCCGAGGTACAATAAGTGACAGGTCAAGCACCTTGTAACAAACATTTCCAAATCCTTAACATAGTAAGGATATGGGTATTTTTACTGCCATCTACCATATCACAGCTCAGCCAGTTCCACATTTTATGGATTTATTTATAACACCTTATTTCCAAGTACTGGTTTCTGTATTAGATGTAACTCTTTCAGTGTCAAGTAATAGAAACCAAACTCGGTCTACTTTAAAATAGTTCATTGTCTTCTATATGTACAACACAGGATAGTTTTTCTGGAAGCACAACTGGATTCCATCAAAAGCTAAGTAGGTTTGGGATTAACCTACTAGAGTTATGTCATATCCAGGTGTACTTTCTTTCTACCCATAAATTCTATTTCCTTATCATTGGCTTCATTCTTAGAATTCTCATAGTCACTTTCAGCAATTATAGACTATCTATTCCTAAGACTATTATCTTCAGAAGAAAGCAAGCTTCTTGTCTAACAATATAAACAATCTTGGAATTGTTCCATTGCCCTTAATTCACCTTGCTGGGACATTTGTTCATCTTAAACAGATCACTGTGGGATGCAGATGACTGACCAGATCTCATGCTTGGCCCTCTGATGGTTGGCCCTTGAGGCAGGCTTGGTCAGCTCCACTGGAAACACTTTTAACAGAGGCAAGGTTGATTACTCTAAGAAAAATGCTTTTATCATTACCAGACTAAGAAATGGAAGATGTTGGCCAAAGGGTACAAAGTTTCAGTTAGGATGAATAAGTTCTGGTGACCTACTGAGCAGCATGGTGATTATAGTTAATAATATTGCACACTTGAAAATTGCTGAGAGTAAATTTTAAATGTTCTCACCACAAAAAGATAAGCATGAGGGGAAACAGATATGTTAATTAGCTTGATTTAATTATTTCCTGATGTATATAGATATCAAAATATCACATTGCATACCATAAATGTACACAATTTTATCAATTATACCTAAATTCAGCTGGGGAAAAAAGAATTTATGGATACTGGGCATAAAATATAAAAGATATTGATGACTGGTGAAATATTAAAGAGACAGAAAGCTGTATATAGGAGAAAGGAATGGATTTGAAAAGGAAGGGAGAGAGAACAGAAAACCCTGAGTACACTGAGCTTTTGAAAGACAGGGTATTGGCCAGGCGCAGTGGTTCACACCTCTAATCCCAGCACTTTGGGAGGCCAAAGCGGGCAGGTCACGAGGTCAGGAGATCAAGACCATCCTGCTAACATGGTGAAACCCCGTCTCTACTAAAAATACAAAAAAAATTAGCCAGGCATGGTGGCAGGCGCCTGTAGTCCCAGCTACTCAGGATGCTGAGGCAGGAGAATGGTGTGAACTCGGGACGTGGAGCTTGCAGTGAGCCGAGATGGTGCCACTGCACTCCAGCCTGGGCGACAGAGCAAGACTCTGTCTCCAAAAGAAAAAAAGAAAGAAAGAAAGACGGGGTATTTAGAAAGAGCAGGGAATTGGCTGGGCGCAGTGGCTCACGCCTGTAATCCCAGCACTTTGAGAGGCCAAGGCAGGCAGATCACGAGGTCAGGAGATCGAGACCATCCTGGCAAACACGGTGAAACCCCATCTCTATGAAAAATACAAAAAAAAATTAGCCAGGCGTGGTGGTGGGCACCTGTTGTCCCAGCTACTCGGGAGGCTGAGGCAGGAGAATGGCATGAACCTGGGTTGCGGAGCTTGTAGTTAGCAGAGATCGCGCCACTGCACTCCGGCCTGGGTGACAGAGCGAGATTCTGTCTCAAAAATAAATAAATAAATAAATAAATAAATAAATAAATAAATAAACACAAAGCAGGGAATCAATATTAGAGGTGTTTGCTATACTATACTATAATGTAGGATTTTGAGGTGACAGTATTTTAAAGCATACGTTGCTACATAGTTTTCTCTCTCAATTTTCAAGAAATACAAGTAAAGACTTATACTATCTGTTAAGGCTTTTTGGCAGTATCTTTGAGCTGTCTTGTGGATTCAATACTATGCTGGTTCTGGTCTAGAGGGTACCCAGTTTAACTTGGGTTACATAAGATTCTTGGAAGCCATTGTCAAGTCTTTAAGGAAAATGACTAGACTCAGGATCATGTTGAGTACAGATCTCCACTTTCAAGCATCAATTTCTTCTCAGAGTTCTGTCTTTCCTAATAGTCTTCAATGTTTCCTTTCAATAAGGATTTAGGGCCATTTTTAGTACCAATTGTAGCAATACTTAAAGATGAATGATAGGGGTGAACAGCCCTATAGTATGAGAAGGCATTGAAAACAGTTATTTACTCTGAAAACCAGAAGAATTTATTATAGATAAAAATGATATAAAGCATAAGTTCACCTAACTGCACATTAGAATCATGAGAGAGATTTAAAAAATACCAATGCCTGCATCTTACCCCTAGTGATTTGAATATAATTGGTCTGGGGAGGGCTTGGCATGACTATTTTTTATAAACTCTCCCAGTGATTCTAATGTGCTGCCAGACTTGAGGACCACTGTTGTAGAGATTATCACCACCAAGCATGCCAATGAAGGCCACAGGCATATCAGTCACATGTGTGGAGAACTCATACATTTTCTCCAACACCCTTCTGTCATTCAGCTTTAATATATCACAAGAAAGCCCATCTCTAGTGCTTCTTTAGGAAGTAAAGATACTGTCAAGTCAAGGAACTTTTCTGGGTTGATATGAGTATCTAGGAGTTAACATGCAGAATAACTGTGACCTCAAAAAGAAACTTCATGGCCACATTTAAATGTTGCATTTGTAATAAATGGCAGAATTGGCCCAAGGTTCAAGGCCAGTATGCAAATGTCGAAAATCTGCCACAAAGGCCACTGAGTCCTACAGAGCAAATCAGACATTCGGGCAAAGCTCACTTTGATGTTCTGCAACTGTAGAAAGGAGGGCCTGGGCCACTTAGTTCATATTTGCCCTATGTGACAACACGAATTCCACGTAGGAGAGGTGACACAGATGTAGGAGACACAGTTGATGTTACTTTGAGTAAGAAGCTCTGGTATTCCACTTCATTCCCCCTGCCTATCCCCCTAGTCCCTCCTATTGTGCTCACTGGCTGGCCCCCACCCTGGCATTCCTTCTCTCCTGGCACTCCTGGAGTGTCTCTCATTGGCAGGTGCTGCACTGGCCATTCCTGAGACTGCTTTGTTGCCTGCACTTCTAGCATCCTCTAAATTAGATCTGGGAAGCAAATGCATCCTGTCCATTTCCTGCATTTGATGTCTTTCAATCCGCACACTTCCTGCTGCAGTGACTAAAAGGAGTCACCCATGAATGTATGAATGCTTTATATGTCGCTTAAAAACAACAACAGGCCAGTCGCAGTGGCTCACGCCTGTAATCCCAGCACTTTGAGAGGCTGAGGCGGGCAGATTGCTTGAGGCCAAGAGTTCGAGACTAGCCTGGCCTACATGGCAAAACCCTGTCTCTACTGAAAATACAAAAATTAGCCAGGCGTGGTGGCACACACCTGTAATCCCAGCTACCAGGAGGCTGAGGCAGGAGAATCGCTTGAAACTGGGAGGCGGAGGTTGCAGTGAGCCAAGATTGTGCCACTGCACTCCAGCCTGGGCAACAAAGTGAGATTCTGTCTCAAAAAACAAACAAACAAAAAACAAGACAAAACAAAAAACAACAGAAGAGACTAGTGCAATTTATAATAATGTTGTATTGAAAATTACCCTTTGGATATTGTCATCTTCCAAAATATCATTTTTTCACAGTTATTTGGTAGTTTTCTCCCTTAAAATTGCCATTTCTGAGGGTAATGGCCACTAGAATTTCTAAACAGAAGGATAAGAAAGTGACTTGTTTTGTACTGGGAAAGTTTGACAGCTGAGCTCTGTAGGAGAGAAAGTGCTGTAAGAGGCCTGCACTTACGATGGAGAGAGGAAGCGGGAAAAATGAAATCAGGGGCTTTCAGGGTCACCAAACTGGACTAAAACACATCAATTGAAGTCCTTTTCCATGCGAATAAATAATCCCTCTCAGTCCCCTTTTCTGATTAGTTGTGGTTGAAGGACTTTTTACTTTTAATGAAGTCTGTCTCAGGTTATCTATGACTGTGTAACAAAACTCCCTCAGATAACGGCTTAAAGAAGGATCACTGATGATTATTATCTCTGAAAGTGCTGAGGTTTGGCTGAGTCCAGGTAGGTGGCTCTCGCTCAGGTTCTCTCATGGGACTGCAGTCCCATAGTGGCTGAGGCTGGGTCTTCTTGAAGGCCTCCAAACTCAAAGGTCTGCTGTAGGCTGCGTCTGCCACACTGGGTCTCCTGGGCATCTTTCTCTGGGTCTCTGTGGCCTCTCCAAGGGCTCTCTTCAGCATGGTGGCTTCAGTTTTCAGACTTCTTACATGGTGACTCAGGGCTCCAAACACATGTGTCTCAAGAGACAGCCAAGCAGCAGTCATGTTGCTTTGTATGACCTGGCCCTGGAAGTCATGTCTTCCACATTCTATTTGTTAGGAGGAAGTTAGTAAGCCTGGCCCATGCTTAAGGAAAGCAGGATTAAGATCTGCCTCTGCTGGGCGACATGCCAAACAATCAGCGGCATGTTTTACAACCACCGCAGGGTCAAATTCGTTTCATTTGCAAAGGCCTTGCTCTTAGTATGAAAAAAACTCAAATCCTTGCTCATAGTAAAGCCTGTAATTTAGATCTGTGGCCATAAGAAACAAATTTGCCTTCAGTACCATGTCAGGCGTGTGGTATCGTTTGAATGTCTGGAGCCCAACATTCCCATAGTGACATTTTATGCATCACTGTTCTATAAGTGGTTTGTGCTCTGGAGATTGTTGGTAATGATCTGAAGAGATACAATTGCATTCTGTCTGCTCAGAACCATTGGCCCATCTGAATCTGATGGATTTTCCTCCTTTTCATCTCTGTGTGCCCAGGGATTACCTATGGGGCTTCCTTAGCTGGGAGCCAGAGCTGGCCATCTTGAAATGCATGACAGATGAAGAAATATACTAAAGAAAAACAAAAACCAGAAAATCCCAAGACATCTTTTCTTCTCTGAGTAGGATCGGATATAAAATTTCCAAAGTGAGAACCACAATTTTGCTTAGAAAATGCCTGCTTTCTGCACTATCAGTTCACAACAGACCTGACTGCTTTCCCAACCAGGTTCCTCCTTCAGCTTCTCTGTGTTGTCTTATCAACTTGCAATAGTCTACCTTTTCCAATTTTTCAGGCTTTTTCTGATCATCTTTTTGTTCTCGCATGAAGACCTCGTCCTTCAGAAAGGTTTCACTGAAGTTATCATCTCTTTGGCTGTGATGAAAAAGCTCCAAGGCCTATATGTACTTATTTTCTTCCAGCTTCCCAGATAGCCCCCAGTGATCCTGCCTGCTAATGTGGGCACTGGTATTTATACATGTTCCCTCCCACATTGTTCCAGGGTTGGTCTATATGATCAATGGAATGTGGCAGAAGTGCAGGTGTGTCACTTCTGTGATGGTAAACAACACTGTGGCTTCCTTCTTGGTTGCTCTCTCTTTCTCTTAGATCACATGCTTCTATGGAGGCTGGCTTCCATGTAGTGCTAGGGAGAGGCCCATGCAGTGAATAACTGAGTATTAGGGCCAAAAGGCCCAGAAGTGGGACTTTGGAAGTGAATCCTCCAGCCCAGACTTCAGGTGACTGCAACCTCATGAGACCCCTTAGACCCAACTAAGTCACTCTAAGATTCCTGACCTTTATAAATTCCTGTTTTTGTTCCAAGCTGCTACATTGTAGGTGAACTCATTACACAGCAATGGATAACTAATATGATCTCTTTCTGTCCTTTCCCCAGTCTCCCTTTGTCAATGCTGAATAAGTTGTCTTTGGCCCTCAAAGGTGGTCCATTGTCTCTCATAGCACATACTTGTTTTTCTTATGGGAATTTTATAGGTCTCTTTTGATTGTCTCAACTTTCTATGGAATTGAAAATTGCCAAAGACTATTATTTAAATCTACACTCACATCTATTATTCAAATCTATACTCAATAAGTCAGTGGTATACACACATAAATACATTCACACACACATTATATATGTGTGTGTATCTATATATAGATATAGATACTGCCAAATATATTTTATATCAGAAAGGATTCCCTTTCTAAAATAAGTTAGGTGGTTTGTGTTGGCCTGCCATATCCACGTGTTATGTAAATGCTCCTAGGACAAGTATGCCATAATCCTATAAAAACTTTAAAAAAATTCTGACAAGTTACAAATAAGACTATTTGCTGTTCATAGCATTTATTTATTTTTGCTTATTCTCTTCTCACCTTTTTAAGTCAATTTACTTGATATCTAGGAGTTATAAAAACATTTTAAGATAGCCTAATTTAGTACCCAATAGCTGGATTATAGTTTTGAATTCTCCCATAGAGGAAAAATGTTAATGTCTGAAAGTAATGTTTATGCCAGTTGACTCTATTAAATGTATATATTTTGGATCTCTACTGCCTAAAATATACCTTCTGCTATTTCTGTTGAGATGTGCTAATACCTCAGTGAAACCTAAGTTACACCAGAAAAAGCAGTTTTCTCAGGATTTCTTTATAGTCAGCAACAAGAGGTAAAAAGGTGAGTGAAAACATTCTGGGTGATTTTTCTAGATAGTCCTCACCTGCTGTAATTCTTAGCCAGAACTACCTTTGTTGAGAAGTCCCTTTTTCCCTAGCTCCATCAGAGCATGCGCCTGGCGCCTTTCATCTCGCCATTCACTCAGCAGAGGTGTGATTTAAGCAATCAGTTTGGGTGAAGACCTGAGTATACACGGCTCAGTTGCTTCTTCTTCGCTCAGGAACACCTAATGTCTGGTCTCTCTGCTCTTGGCCATGTGGTAAGCTTAGAGTGAAGTGCCTGCCTTGTGTGTTTATGTGTGTGTGTGTGTTCACGGGGGCGGGGGCGGGGGGATCCTGAGTTTGGCCAGTTCTGCCTGTGATTTTTTTTTTTTTTTGAGACAGAGTCAGAGTCTCACTCTGACTGTTGTCCAGGCTGGAGTGCAGTGATGTGATCTTGGCTCACTGCAACCTCCGCCTCCTACGTTCAAGGGATTCTCATGCCTCAGCCTCCCGAGTAGCTGGGATTACAGGCATGAACCACCACACCTGGCTAACTTTTGTATTTTTAGTAGAGACAGGGTTTCACCATGTTGCCCAGGCTGGTCTCAAACCCCTGCCCTCAAGTGATCCGCCCGCCTCTGCTTTCCAAATTGCAAGGATTATAGGTGTGAGCCACCATGCCAGGCCCCCTGCCTGTGATTTGATGGATACAGCAAATGCTGCCGCATCCCCATCCTTCTCCCAGTGTTCACCTCTACACACAGAAGAGTGTTTATCATAAACACCTGCACTTTATGTTGGAATGTTTTTGTTGTTTTTTTTCTGGCCACACGAGTATTCTTGGCCCATGCATAAGACAAGCTGTACTTAAGAGTTCATGTCCCTAGAAGTAGCCCTCAAACAAGGACGGCCTAGGAGTTAATGAATAAATATGCCAGCTTCCTGGAGTTGTGTTCTGTGCTTTCTCCCAGCCTTACCCAGATGGATTGAGCTCAGGCTGCCTGCAACAATAGCTGGCTTTAGAACATTCTCTTTGTTGGCTTTCTTCTCTTCCCTGTCTCACTCCCTCACTCCCCTTCTTGGATTGATTCCCAAACGAACTACTTCTAGTCCAATCCTTGGCTTGGGTTCTGCTTCAGGTGAATCTGTTTAGAGACCATCATTTAGGCAACGCTGCCTCCCGCCTGCCTATGCTGCCTTCTCCCACAGCTCATAGTGATAAAGCAGATGTTTCCAGTCCCATCTGCCTGACCTCAGGTGGGTAAATGGTTTATATTATTGGTGTTCCTTCTCAAGTCTTCAGAATTTTTACTTTTCTGCTTCTTTGAGTTTCCTGGTAATAAAATTGAAAAATTTAAAATTTATCCTTTTAAATAAACACTGAGTTTGTTTCACAACCCACTCTGTTTCTGCCAAAGACATGAAAAAATATGTAGCTGTTTTCTATTTTGTTTATAGTGCTATAGCCTCATGACAGATTTAGTCTCCTTGCTAAAATTTGACTAATATTGCTTTTGTTCTCAGTATTGAATTTTTTTTTCTGTCAGATAACCAGATTCACATTTGTCTCTTTATTCTACCTTTGTATAGTGGTTTTCTCTGGAAACAGAAAACATTTTTTATAACGTGGCTCTTTATTTATATTTGCTCTTGGAGCTGAGTCAGAAAAATTTACAGATTGGAAATTGAGGCTAAGAAGTTAACAGTGTGCAAACTTGGATGAATTATTTAGTTTCAATCTCATTTATAAAACAGGGATGATATTATTTTACCTGCAAAATAGAATTGCTGCTAATGTCAAATAATATGAGTGAATGTGTTGTCCTATAAGTATAAGGTGAGATAAAAAATGCTGGTTTTTATTTACTCAGGAATGATTTTGGTTTTGAGGCAAAGACAGGCAGTTAAGTCTTAAGAACAGGGCTAATTTGAAAGCACAGGTGAGGCCACTCAGGGACCTATTGGCTTCTAAAGTAGAAAGATAGAAAATTGCTTTCTAGGAAGTTCTAATCTATTCTAAGCATGGTAAGTTTAAGATCCATGGGGGGAAAAGGGAGTTGATTGTTTTCACTAGATTGTTTCTGGCACAACAATTCATGAAATAATACTTTCTCTAAATAGTCATTAAGAACCTGAAGCAAGGTCATTAGCTTGGGGGAGGGCAGTGTGGTATGGAAAAGCCAGCTAAAATTCCTTGGAGTTAATCAATAGTCGGGATCCTCAAACAACTGCCTCTTTCACATGATGCTTGCGCTGATCCTGGGTGGGGATGCATCTGACAGTCGAATTGATTAAAATAATTTTACTATCTCCTGCATCTCTAACCAATTGAAAACTTTGTTTCTTCATCTCAAATGTGGCATTGGTTAACTAAAATAGACATTCTCTGATATGTAAAAAATTGGGAGTACCTCATGATGTTTATTAACAAACTTTTTTGACATTTGTGAATTTCTGTATTTGAGATTTCCTATATTTGAGATTCATCATTTTTTAAAATCTCAAACATGTCCAGAATGTTATCTCCTCATGTAAATTTAGGCAAGCTATTTTCAAACAAAACAACAAAAACGCCCAAAGTCTTGTTTTTATTTTCTAGCTTTCACTGACACCTGGTGGTCTCTCATGTTATGTGAGGAAAGAAAGCCATTCTAGGTTGTGTTTTGGGCTGGCCAACAGCTTGGTGTCTTCTGACTGTGTCATGTATTTGGATCTCAGAGAATCCTTAATTTATCCCTCAAATTGTACAGCTCATCTAGAGCCCTTTGACATGACCACCTAGCTTGCGCATTGTATTTCTAGTGATAAGTTTCATTTCTTTGCTAAAGGTCCTCAATATTAGAATTTTTGTTTTTGCTAAGATTGAATTTATTTTCTAGTTTCTATAGCTATGTACCTATTTTTTCCTCTCATATTTCTTATCGTTTTCCCTTTAATAGATTCTCACTCCTGCTATTTGGGAGTAAATTGGAGACACATAGATTTGTCTGGTATTCTAGACTCTGATCTGCCTTCTGAACGATAGATTTTGCATATATTTAGGGAGAGGAGGAGTTAGAGCTAAGGGATTCAAGTGTTCACTCTAATTCTATGTTCTTTCAACCACAAAGTTATAAAAACATGTCCTGAAAAGTACAATTGAGCCAATGTAGAAATGGCCTTCTAAACCTGTTGGCATCCAGGGGTACCAAGGAATCACCTCTCTTCTGCTGTGGGTGCTAACAAGTACAAAACAGATCCAGATAAATGAAATTTAATTATTAGTTTTATTACCCCAAAGCCCATGGCTCCCTGATTGGCAATTAATGCAATATTAGAGGCTTCCTACTACCTCCATCCAAATGGCCTTGAACTGGCCCTGGAGAAGGTTGATTCTGCAAAACATAGAGTGACCTGATTCTACTAACTACTTGGAGGATCTTGGGCTGCCTTACTGCCAGTAGCAGTGCAGGGAGAAGAGAAATATTCCCATATGAGTTTGCTCTAGTCTCAAGACTATAGTAGTCTTAGAATAATAATCCTATAACATATGCAGGACAAAATGAAAACTCATTCATGGTGAATATGTATCCCATAGTACTTTTTGTCTTAATCCAAAGACTGCATATGAAGTTCACAATCGTCCCCTTGTGTGTGATTCCATTCCATTGGTATGGAATATTTGACACATAGGGTGGAAATATCAGACAGAAAAAAGCTATCTGCCTTAATGACCTTAGGTGGAAAACGTCAGATTGACTTTAGTTTGCAAAGTGAGAGGGTGAGTGATAAAAATTTATTAATGATTATGTAGAATTGCTACATGCAAATAGGATGGACCTAATAGGCACTGAAAAAAGTTCTATATTTAGAAATTTAATTAGAACTGTATAAACTGGGAGAAAAGTACCTACCAGTTTTCCATGAAAGCCCACATTCAGGACTAAATTTACTGTCGTTCTATAGTAGGATGAAATTAAATTTACTGAGTGCCTACCATATATTAGAAATTAGAACTTATATTACTAAGATTTAATGGAGCTCATTATATTCTGGTGGTCACACTAAAAAGGCTGGGCATCTTAGAGGAAAGGCTGAGGATGGGGTGGGAGATTTGGCTTAAGAATACAACATTTTTTAGAGTTAGAAAGAAGTTTGGAAATTAAGCTCAGTTTCTAACTTTCAGATGAGGAAACCAAAACCACAAAAAGTGATGGGATTTTCTCACAGTCATTTGAGGTCATTAATAGCAAGGGAGGACCAAAACCAGGCCTGACTATTTCCAGACAGTGTGCTTCTCGTGTTTCCAGATGACCTTTGTCATTTATTGTTTGCGTCCATGCCCACAATGAACACATATATAAACTATGCACCCAGCACCACGCTTGATGTTTGCTATTCGAGATCTTCAGTCAAAATCCCTGATACTTGGTGTATAATTGCTATTTTTATCTTTTCATGGGAAACAAATAGGATTAACTGTACCCATTGTTTAGTGTTGTTAATAAGTCATTGTGAGATAAATTCTACATATTGCACAGGGGAGTGAACATATTGATCTTATAAAATGTATGAGAGGAAACTCTATTTGTCCAGAGATTGCCTGCTCTTTTTTCTTTTTTGAGATGGAGTCTCGCTCTGTCACCCAGGCTGGAGTGCAGTGGCGCCATCTCGGCTCACTGCAAGCTCTGCTTGCTGGATTCACACCATTCTCCTTCCTCAGCCTCCCCAGTAGCTGGGACTACAGGCGTCTGCCACCAAGCCCGGCTAATTTTTTTTTGTATTTTTAGTAGAGATGGGGTTTCACCGTGTTAGCCAGGATGGTTTTGATCTCCTGAGCTTGTGATCTGCCCGCCTCAGCCTCCCAAAGTGCTGGGATTACAGGCGTGAGCCACCGCGCCTGGACCAGAGATTGCCTGCTCTTTAATGTTTCTAGAAGATGTTAGAGACTTGCCCCTTCACGACTCAAAAATAAGTAAAAGTTGTGATTAGATAGCACAGTTTGAGGCTCAGGAGACAATAAAAGAGAATATAGCACTTCCTCAGCTTTTGATGCCATCAACTTGGTCAAGGCCATGAAGTTTGGCTGTGGAATGTGTGCCATGAAGTTTGGCTGTGGAATGTGTGCCTGGCCTAGGGTGGGGATGACACCCTCATGCTCAGAGCAGGGGCAAAGCTAGTATTATCGAAGTACTGCTTGGCGCAGCATTTTGTCAGCCATAAAGAGACACTAAAGCCCATTTGTCTAGTCTCTTCTAATTTTCCTACATTTCTATCTCCTTGTGATTAAACAATGCAAAGTAAGGCCCTGCCTAGAATGGAGAGGTGACTCTAATTTTGTAAAGCTTCTAAAATGTTTTGCATATAATTTTGGCAGACACTAAAACAGCACTGGGGAGATACATTTGAAAGATACCTTGTTCCTGCGAATGCCCAGTGTCTGTTTTTCTGTTGGACTATGATAGTTCCTTGAAAGCAGAAACCATATCTTAATCATCTTTGTATTCTAGCACCCAGCACATCAGTAGGTACACAACAAGATAAGTGGGTAAAAGTCGGAGCTCTCTGGGGGAGAAGAGGGAGATGAGTCTAGAAGGATAGAATGCCTCTAAGCAACTCAAGGAGAGTCTTCAATACACATTGGCTAACGTGGTTGATTTTTAAAACAAAAGAAGTATTATTTAGTTGGATATTTGAATCTGAAACTATAACATTACTTAAAGTCTACTAAAGGCCTGCAAATGGGGGACTATGGTAATGAGGCCTCCGTGTGAAATTTATGAACACATCTAACTTAGAGTAGCGCTTAGACTATTGAGAACAGTAGAGACTTACCAATGATCTTACCAAAGTCTCTTGGCATCAGGTGCTCATGCGCACTTAGGGCCAGGGTTGGATCACGGAGAATTCCTGCCTGCGTTCTTGGAGTGCCCAAAGTACCAGCTGCTTGTGGTTTTCATTAAAGATAGATCTATATGCCTTACATGCCAGACTTGCAGATGGCAGAGTTGACTTTCTGCCCTGTAATGTTAACAGCCCTGGCTTTTGTGCTTACATACAAAGGCTCATCCCACAGCTGGGAGGAGGTTTCAGGGCTGCCTAGGAGCAGAGGAAACATTTTTGCTAATTTTTTTTTTTCCTTTTAACATGGCCTAGGCCTTTAATCCACTAATTGTTTATGGCGGCATTAGTCTTCATACTTTTTTACAAAATGTTTTCTTTGAGAGGTATTAAAACTTTGTCAGAGATGGTCACCAGTCTGGCTACTTCTTTTGGCTTACAGTTGGAAGAAAGATTTAGCAAAAATTATACACGAGGAGAGGACATTTTAGCCTGGGCTTCCTGAAAAGGGTGGGGGATAATTTAATTATGTTTACTAATGAAACTCTCAGTAAAGGAGTGTTTGATAGCTGCTTAGATGCCCTACCAGGACTCCATTCAAAAGAGAATTACAGAAACTTTAGAACTGCCAGATCCATTTACCCTGCTGCTTAAAATTCTTTAATGGTTCTTTATAGTCTTTGGGTAATACGCAAACTCGTATGATGTTCAGGCCTCTTCCAATTTGGTCCCAAATTTCCTTTCTAGTGTCTTTATGCAACTCCTCCTCCCATCAGCTTGTTCCCCATCCCTCCAACACCTGATACAACTTCACACCTCTCTAGGGCCCTCTACTATGTTCCCAGAAGGAACTCCAGATTTAAAAAATTGTGGTAAAACATATTCAACATAAAATGTACCATTTGAACCATTTAAAGTGTAAAATTTAGTGCATTAAGTATATTCATAATGTGATACAGCCATCACCACTATCTAGTTCCAGAACTTTTTCACCACTGCTAATGGAAGCTCATACACAGTAAGTATCCACCCCCTTTTTCTCCTCCACACACCAGCCCTTTCTGTCTCTATAAATTTGACTATTATGGATGTTTCATATAAATGGAATAATACAAGATATGGCCTTATGCAGGTGGCTTCTTTTACTTACCATAATGCTTTCAAGATTCGTCCATGTTGTAGCATGTAGCAGTGCTTCTTTCCTTTTATATCACTGAAGACTCTTCCATTGTATGTATATACCACATTTTGTTTACCCATTTGTTTACCCATTCCATTGTATGTATATACCAAATTTTGTTTATCCATTATGAACACTTTGGATATTTCCACCTTTTGACTATTGTGAATAGCTGCTATGAACATCTGTATACAAGTTTCTCAACATCTGTTTTCAATTCATATATATGTGAATTTAAATATGTATTTAGAATACATATAGAAGTTTCAACAAGAGAACATTCAATTTATATAAACATATCCTATATATAATTATATGTATGAATTTATTGAATCCGTCGATAATTTATATGTATACTTGTATATAAATCCATGTATATATACACACACACATGCAATTGGGTTTTGTTTGTATTTTTTGTTGTCAAATTGTAAAAGTTCGTTATGTGTTCTTGATACTAGACCCTCATCTGAAGTATGATTTGCCGATATTTTCTCCCAGTCTGTGGGTTGACTTTTCACTCTCTTGATAGTGTTCTTTAATAAAAGTTTCAAATTGTGCTGAAGTACAGTTTGTCTTTTGAAGTAGCAGTTAAAGTACAATTTTTCTTTTGTTGCTTTTTGGTGTCATATTTAAGAAATCATTACTAAATTCTGTGTCAGGAAGATTTTACTCTGTTTACTTCTAATAGTTGTATAGTTTTAGTTCTTATATTTAGGCCTTTAATTCATTTTCAGTTTATCTTATATACGGCGTAAGGTAAGGGACCAATTTCATTCTTGTGGCTATTCCATTTACTGAGCAGCATTTGTTGAAGAGACAACCTGATATGGTTTGGCTCTGTGTCCCCACCCAAATCCCACCCTGATTGTAATAATCCCCACATGTCAAGGGCAGGACCAGTGGAGATAATTGAATCAAGGGGGGGCGGTTTTCCCCATGCTGTTCTCATGATAGTGAGTTCTCACAAGATCTGATGGTTTTATAAGGGGCTTCCCCTTTGCTGGACACTTCTCTCTCTCTCCTGCCACCATGTGAAGAACTATTAAGGGGTGGGTCTGTGTTCTTAGAGCTCCCAAGATGGTGGCAGGCCACTCCCAAGATGGTGGCGGCTGCTCCCAAGATGGCAGCAAACCTTTTGTTCTCTGACCCGGGGTTCTTGGCCTCACGGATTCCAAGGAATGGAATCTTGGGCCATGCGGTGAGTGTTAAAGCTCTATTAGAAGCCGTGGGTCATGCAAGAGAACCGTGGAACCCAGTGACTAGTGTTCAGCTCGATTAGGATGAACCCGGGTACTTAGCCGTGCAGGAACAATGGCGAGCCTTTAGCCCAGTTGAGAGCAGCAGTGGGCACCTCGCTGAATCAGAAACACAGTGGACACCCTGCCGGATCCTGAGGGGTGGGAGTCAATGGCAGGTCTGCAATGGCGGCAAACAGCAGCGGTGGACAGTGAGTGAAAGCTCAGCTTGAGCCGGAACAAACATGGACCAGAAGAGTGTGCAGTTGCAAGATTTAACAGAGTGAAAACAGAGCTCCCATACAATGGGAGGGGACCCAAAAGGGGTTGCTCACTCTCGGCTCAAATGCCTGGGGTTTATATCCCAATCATTGTCCCTCCCGCTCTGCTCTCAGATGACAGATGATTTGACTATTTCTTTACCTCCTGCTTTTAGCCTAATTGGTATTTTAGTGAGCCCTCTTTACTACCTGATTGGTTGGGTGTGAGCTGAGTTACAAGCCCTGTGTTTAAAGGTGGTTGTGGTCAACTTCCCCAGCTAGGATTAGGAATTCTTAGTCAGCCTAGGAAATTCAGCTAGTCCTGTCTCTCAGTCCCCACTCTCAACAGGAAAACCCAAGTGCTATTAGTTGGCCTAGGAAATCCAGCTAGTCCTGTCTCTCAGAAGGATGTACTTGCTTCCCCTTCCTCCATGATTTTAAGTTTCCTAAGGACTCCCCAGCCCTGTGGAACTGAGTCAATTAAACCTCTTTCTTTTTAAGTTACCGAGTGTCAGGTATTTCTTCAGAGCAGCATGAGAACAGACTAATACACAACCCCATAGTTTCAGTATTTCTCTGGAACACTTTGTTTAAAGAACTTTAGTTCTCCCCAATAATATATCACTTCCTGGCTGCCCTATTAAATAAAGGATTTATTTATAATTTCTCATGGATCCTGGAAAGATCAAACATGTTAAACTCCCATTTTCTGCTCCTCCCTCACTGTACTCCAGCTTATTCGAATTTGTTTTAGTGTCTTTCTCTGGATGCCCAGTATTTTCCACTTAGACCATCTTCTCTCCATCCTCATTGCTATGATTCACTAATTCCATCTGAAAGATTTCAACAACTTGAGAAGAGTCTTTCTCTACAGCTGAATCACTGTTATCATATTTGCAGAATTCAAACACTATGTTGATGACTGGCCTCTCTTCCTTGACTTTCACAATGCCAAGATTTTGGGCTTCCTTTTTTAAAACTATCAGTATATTAGTCAGGGTTCTCCAGAGAAACAAAACCAGTAGGAAGTAGGATACACATTCAGTCATCCCTCAATATCTTAGAGGTATTTGTTTCAGGACCCCCTTGGATACCAAAATCTGTGGATGTCCTAGTGCCTTATATAAAATGGTATACAACCTACACACATCCTTCCATATACTTTAAATCATTTCTAGTATACTTATAATACATAACACAATGTAAATGCTATTTAAATAGTTGATATACTTTATTATTTGTAATGCAGTATATCAACTATTTTAGTTGATATTAAAATATTTTTTAATACTTTTTTTTAATTTGTGTTTTTATTTTTACAGTTTTTTTTTTTTTTTTTTTTTTTTTTTGAGACGGAGTCTTGCTCTGTTGCGCAGGGCTGGAGTGCAGTGGTGTGATATCAGCTCACTGCAAGCTCCACCTCCCAGGTTCATGCCATTCTCCTGCCTCAGCCTCCCAAGTAGCTGGGACTACAGGTGCCCGCCACCACGCCCGGCTAATAATTTTTTTTGTATTTTTAGTACAGACGGGGTTTCATTGTGTTAGCCAGGATGGTCTCAATCTCCTGACCTTGTGATCCACCCGCCTTGGCCTCCCAAAGTGCTGGGATTACAGGCGTGAGCCACCGTGCCTGGCCTATAATGTTGTTTTTTAAAGTCTAAATATTTTTGATCCATGGTGGGTTGAATCTGCTAATGCAAAACCCATGGATACTGTGAACCAACTCTACATAGAAAGAGATTTATTATAAGGAGGTGACTCATCATTATGGAGGCTAAGAAGCCTCATGATCAGCCATCTTGCAGCTACACCCAGGAAAGCTGATGGTGTAGTTCCAGTTGGAGTCTGAAGGTCTCAAAACCAGAGGAGCCAATGGCATCAGTCCCCGTCTGAGTCTGAAGGCCCAAGAGCCAGGAGTATGAATGTCTGAGGGTAGGACAAGATGGATATCCCAGCTCAAGCAGAGGGAATAAATTTGTCCCACTTTTTTGTTCCATTCAGGCCCTCAGTGAATTGGATCATGCCCACTCACGTTGGTGAGAACAATTTTCTTTATTCAGTCTACTGCCCAAATGCTAATCCCTTCCAGAAACACCCTCACAGACACACCCACAAATACTGTTTTACCAGCTATCTGGGCATCCTTTAGCCCTGCCAAGTTGATATATAAAATCATTACCGTAAGTAAGGCCATAATTTAGACTGTATCTTCTGAAATAGCTTCCTTTATGAGGTAAAACTCTGAGGTTTCTTCTTCTCAGCACACACTTGAATTCTCTTATTCTTACTTGATATTAGCTTCTGGCATTATTTATGACATCTTTGCTGCTCCCAACTCTTCTAAAAACAATTGACTTTTAATACAATTTCAATGTCATAAGAAAGTTGCAAAAATAGTACAAACAACTTTCTTCTCCATATTCATATTCAGCACTTATTAACACTCTGCCCTCTTTGCTTTCTCATTCTTTTTTTTCTGATTTATTTAAAATTAAGTTGCAAAGTACCCCTTAACCCCTTAAACATTTCTGGGTGCAGTTCCTAAGAACAAGGACTTACATAACTACAGTAAAATGATCTAAATCAGGATCCTAAATATTAAATATCTCTTATCTAACTCACATATTCAAATTTCTAGTTGTCCCAATAATGTCTTTTTCTTCCTAGCCTAGTATTCCACTATCATGATTTGTTTTTAGTTTCCCCATATCTTTAGTCTCCCTTAGCCTAGGACATTTCCTCAGTCTTTTTTGTCTTTCTTGAGCTTTAAATATTTTAAGAGGACAGGCAATTAATTTCTAGAATGTCCTTCAATTTGGGTTTATCTACAGCTTTCTCATGCTTAGATTCATTTATGTATTTTCAGCAGGGAAACTAGAATAATAATATGTTTTTCTCAGTATATCATATCAGAAGGCATGTGATAAAGTGTTGCCTACTATTGGTGATATTAACTTTGATTTCTATATTAAGGTGTCCACCAGCTTGGTCCACTGTAAAGTTACTATATTTCCCTTTGTCAGATACTCAGAGGTTATGTAAATACCCTGTTCCTCATCAAACACTCCACTGGTGATTTTGACCTAAATCAGTTCTTACAGGGTGGTTGCAAAGTGATAATTTTCCCTTAACTCTGTCATTGCTTTTACATTTATTAGTTGTCATTCAACTCTAAGATAAAGCTATTCTTTCTCCTGCATATACTACTTATTCATTTATGTATTTATATAAGTGTTGGTTTACGGATTTTTGCTTTATTCAATGGATTATTATCTATTCTCATTAATTATTTTGCTGCTCCAATTTCCCAAGAAATATAGCCATTGAGAGCATCTTTATGCTAATTCTTGCAGCCTTTTTGTATGCTCCCATTATTCTTTGAGCAATTCGTTACTTTCTGGAAAAAGATATTCCAGGTTTATGACATACTTTTGGTGCTCCATGATTTCCAAGATTCCCTGGTTCCTTATTGTGAGGAATGCTATTTTGAAATCGAAATGTATATGCGAGGTGAGCTCATTTCTCCTGGGGTGTCAATGCTACTGTCTTTTCAGCAGAAAGAGCTGTGTGTGTCTGTGTGTGTCTGTGTGTGTGTGTGTGTGTGTGTGTGTTGTGTGTAACTATTTACATTCCATCTATTATCTATGTCAAACACCATAGTTCATACTAATGTTTTCCATTCCAGTCTATACTTTTTCATTCCCATATTTGTAGCTTTTTCTCTAACAGAGATGTCTGGTTCCCATGATTATCAATATATTAACCATTTGTTCAATCCTGAAATATATATAAAATAGTTTCAGAATTGCTAATTCATATCACCATGAAAAACAATCTATTAAATAGAGTTCAGTATTTGTTTGCATTTGTTTTCATCTTTAGACTGAGGGAGGATTTTGAGTTCTATTTGGGGCAATTAAATTTGAGGTGCCTATTACATATTAGGATAGAGATACAGAGCAGTCTTTCTGGATCTCAGAGTAGACGTCAAGAACAGAGCTAAAGATTTGAAAATCTTCAGCTTATAAATGATATTTAAAGCACTTAAAGCAAGAACATTGAGAGGGCTCATTAGGGAAAGTGAGGATAGACAAGTGTTGGCTGAGGAAGGCCAGGCACGGGGGCTCACACCTGTAATTCCAGCACTTTGGGAGGCCAAGGTGGGCGAATCACGAGGTCAGGAGATCGAGACCATCCTGGCTAACACGGTGAAAAGCCCGTCTCTACTAAAAATACAAAAAATTAGCCAGGCATGGTGGCAGGCGCCTGTTGTCCCAGCTACTTGGGAGGCTGAAGCAGGAGAATGGCGTGAACCTTGGAGGTGCAGCTTGCAGTGAGCTGGGATTGTGCCACTGCACTGCAGCCTGGGCGACAGAGCGAAACTCTGTCTTAAAAAAGTGATAATAATAAAAAGAGAGTTGGTTGAGGAAGAAGAGCCAGCAAAGCCAGCAAAAGAGACTGAGAAAGATGGATCCATGAATAGGAGTCATATTCCCAGAGTGTAATATCCTGGAGAACAACTGCAGAGAATTTTTCAAGGGGAAATAATCAGCTATGCCAAATGCTGCTGAATGGTTTTAGTAGATGAGCTGGGAGAATTGACCTTCAGATTGTCCACTGGTGATCTCAAGTGAGGTTTCCATAGGGTTATTAGGATAACTTGTTTAGAATGAATTAAAGCATAGCCAGTGGCTTTCTAAGAATGGGAAGTGATGAAATGGAGACTGTAAGTACAGACAAAATCTTGAGAAATTTTTCTATAAATAGGAAGAGAGAAAAGGGTTGGTAGATGATATGGTTTGGCTGTGTCCCCACCCAAATCTCACCTTGAATTGTAATAATCCCCACGTGTAAAGGATGGGGCCAGGTGGAGATAATTCAATCATGGGGGTGGGTTCCTTCATACTGTTCTCACAGTAGTGAATAAGTCTCACGAGATCTGATGGTTTTATAAATGACAGTTCCCCCGCACAAGCTCTCTTGCCAGCTGCCATGTAAGAGAGTGCCTTTGCTTCTCCTTTACCTTCTGCCATGATTGTGAGGCCTCCCCAGCCACGTGGAACTGTGAGTCCATTAAACCTCTTTCCTTTATAAATTACCCAGTCTTGGGTATATCTTTATTAGCAGCATTAGAGCAGATTAATTTAGTAGATGTGGGGTCTTCTGAAAGATGGCAGATATTGGGGCTGGGCGCGGTGGCTCATGCCTGTAATCCCAGCACTTCGGGAGGCCGAGGCAGGCGGATCACCTGAGGTCAAGACCAGCCTGACCAACATGGAGAAACCCCGTCTCTATTTAAAAAAAAATACAAAATAAGCTGGGCTTGATGGTGCATTCCTGTAATCCCAGCTACTCGGGGGACTGAGGCAGGAGAATCGTTTGAAACCAGGAGGCGGAGGTTGTGGTGAGCCAAGATTGTGCTATTGCACTCCAGCCTGGGAAACAAGAGCAAAACTCCATCTCAAGAAAATAAAAACAAACAAACACAAAAAACAAAAAAAAGATGGCAGATATTACAGCATCTAAGTATGTTGATAGAAAAGACCCCATCAAGACAGTAAAAGGATGGCGTAGGAGAGAAAGGGGGTCTATTCAGAAGCAAAGTCTTTGAAGGGTAGGTAATGTAAGGATCCATTGTACCAGTGGAGTGGTTGGCCTTGGATAGGAGCTGGAAATTCATCTGTGACAAGTAAAGAGAACTAAGCATTCTGAAGCGGGTGTTTCTGCTGCTGAGTCACCATACAATGGCATATTAAATTCATTATTCTATACTCCTGTAAGTTACCGTTCAGTATGAATTTCTTGTTATGTCTATCTCTCCTCAAATACCTTATCCTCAATTTACTAGTTCATGGCTTTATATCATATGCCTGCCTCCTTCTGAAAATGAGTTAAAAAGTAAGAATCATAAGAATATATTTTCATTGTTTTTTAAATTTATTTTTATTTTTTATTTAAGCCTCCAGTGGCGATAAATATATTTTGTTAATCTCCTACTTCCTTTTTCCAGCCAAGATTTTTGTTCCCAGCTGTTCTCACCCATGGGTTTCTGGGCTGTTGACAACTAGAGATGGCAGTCTCCTTAGAATAAAGGCTCAGAGATTCTTGGGCTCCATTCCTGAGGTCCTGTTTTGTTTTGCCTGTCATCCCATCACCCACCCCATCCACTAAGAAAGAGTTGACAAAGACAGACCAATTTAAAATAAAGGACCTGAAAATCTTAATTTCACGTGTAAAACTAAGGGTACATTCTACCAGATGTAAAGAGCTATCTGTGGAAATAAAATGAGTTAGATAATAGTTAGTGGGGATGTGGTACCCTGACTTAACAGCCTCAACACCCCCTACCCTCCACTGCCATAGGATTTGAGGACTGGAGAGAGAATGGACTCGTCTACTGCCTGTTTGAGATCTTGAACAGTAGCAGCCATACCTTTTCTCCCCATACCACTGAGCTCAGTATGGGGGGAGAGAGCTGAAAATGCAAATGTAACGTATTTGAGAATCAGAAGGTCAGGGACTGCCCTGTCCTCATCTCCCATCTGACTTTCTCACTGTTCTGGAGAACTGGCGGAGTCTCAAAGAATATGCAAGAGGAAGTGTTCCTAGGCCTGCCACCAGGTGGCCATGAATAGAAGTGGGAGAGAGTGTGATATATAGTTTATCTCAGGTATCATCAGAAAACTTCGTTAGAATTCTAGTAGATCCCAAAACCCAGGGAAGAGGGAAGAAGTGGAGTCAGTTAAACTAAGGATACTATTCGGGAGAAACATGCCTCATTTGTGCCCCGGGGAGAAATGGGACAAAAATTCAGTAGCTGATACTAGTACCTCCCTGGTACTGGACTACAGAGTCAATCCAGGAACTGGATAAAGGAGAAATCCCAAAAATTTGGGAGAGAATTTTGAGCCTGGGCCTGAACTGAGTATTTGAGCTGAACTGAGAACTGATCAAGAATTGGCTAATTTTCCACCATCAGCAGAAAAGGCTATGAAGTTAGTCAACTTCCAGTATAGAGAAAAAGGCTACATTTTTGCACAGCCAAGCATGCACTTAAAACGCTTGCAGGTTCCAACAGATTTAGAATAATTTCAACCTTTATGAAATTTAAAATTCTAAGTAAGTTTGTAAACATGAGACCTGATCTCCATTTCTATATTGTTGGATTTTGTAAAATATAAAAACTTTCTAGAAAATCACTAAATCTATATAAATGATTTATATGAAATCTAGTAGAATATTGAATTCTTAAATGATCAAATATCCTGTTCAGTTATTTTTTAGTAAATTTCTGAATGTGGATAAATTTGTGTTTTGGTAAAGTTTACATTATGTTGTCTAAGTTAGGAGCTGGAAAACCTTGGTTTGTGGGCAAAATTGGTTCCGGTATCTGTTTTTGCAAATAACAAAGTTTTGCAAATAAAGTTTTATTGGAACACAGCCACTCCCATTTGTTTTACATTGTCTATGGCTCCTGTTGCAACAGAGGCCATATGTCTCACAAATCCTAAAATAATTATCTGACCCTTTACAAAAAGCTTGCCAACTCATAGACTAAGGCTTAGTCAATGCAAAACATATGTGTGGTCTTATCTTTTGAAATACTGAGTAGAGCCTATGTTATTTCTCTTAGAACAATATAAGGTCTTCACTAGGGCATGGTATTTTCCAAACATGATTCTTGAAACATTGCAAAAAAAAAAAAAAGGAATCTTTAAAGATCTTTCCCCACAAAATGGAGGTGATATTCAAGTAGAATATTAATCCTAGGACTCAAGATGACATTTGTAGGTGTATAAATGCAATGTTCTTAAGCTTGTCATAAAGATTTAAGTACCTGTAAGAGGTGCTGGAATAGAATATGACATTTTGTGAGAAAAGAGTTCCATGAAGAACCCTCCTGTGTCACTTTCACTTTTCATTCCATACTCCACCGCTCTTACTTTGCAGCATGGCTCTCACACTGACCTTCAGAACTAGTTTTCACAGAGTATTAAAGTTACATGAGGTGAAATTATGATGTACTGTTTGGTAAAACATCATCAATGCCTTCCTCTTAAATGACTCCACATTACCTTATGAAGATCAAGTCCATGTTGCAAATCCTAAACCTTAAGGCCTGATTTTATATTGATTTCCTTTTATTATCTAGTCTTATAATGTAATTATGAAAAGCATCTCCTATTCTAGTTGGATCAATTTCTTCTTGTCTCCTTTATATACAATTCTGATTTCCCTTTTCAAACTTTAGGGTATAACATACCTAAGTCAAACTACTCTTTTAAGAAATTGGGCTGAGCGTCAGAAGTTGGTCTCCAGGCGTAAGATCTGAAAGTCATCGTATCTGAGACTGAACAAGATTGGAATAATTATCAATGTTTCTAAAATAGAAATCCATATTCATTTTAGAAAAAAGCATGTTTGAAATAATCGAAATGGGAAAAACAGAACTTATCCATAACGCCTCCCCACTTCCACAGAGTTACTGATTTTTACAGTTTTTGCATATAGATCCTTTCAGAAATGTCTCTATGGACACAAATTTAGAAAACCACAAAAATTGGATGATGCCATTTGTGTTATGTAATATTATAATAAATATCTTTCTATATTGGTAAATAACAACTAGCAAATTTGGTTGCATGTTATATACCTGCCACAAAATTTGTTTAGAGTATTACTTCATTTGACCTTTAGTTGTTTCCAGGTTTTCATTATTATTCATGTTGCTGTGAAAAAACATATGTGCCTAAGTACTTGATCAAATACTTCTTTAGGCTAAATTTTGAGGGGCAGAATTACAAGATCAAAAGTTCCGAATAATGTTGAGACTTTCAGTACACCTATTGCCAAATTACCCTCTAAAATGGTTGTACTGTTTCATGTTCTCTCTTGAAGCTTATGAGAATGCCTTTTTCCCCCACACTATCATCATTACCAGAAGTTTGTCTAATCCAATGGCTTTCCAAATTATCTTGAATATAACCCAACAGTAAGAAAAGACAAGTTTTATATTGTAATTTACAACACACACACATTGTTATACACATAATAAATGTATGCACATATATTTAATACAAAGATCTCACAAAACAATACTTTTACTCTGTGAAATACATTTAATATTTTATCCCATTTTATTAAAAATGCTGGTTGAGACCTCAGTTGATTTCGTGAATTTAAGATGGAAAAAAATGGTAAAATTTTTGAGTAACAGACATATAATCGAAAAAGCATCTCAGCCAGAGCAAAAGTCTGTAACATGATGAAATTTACACAGATATCATAAGGCTCCCTAATTGGGATGAAGACCTCCACCACCACCTGTGATTGTGCTTTCCATCCATATGATGCTTGTCCCACCCTTGCTAAGAACCTTTTGAACTTTCCGAAATATTGCTCAATGCTTATAGCAGTTGATTCTCCATCAAATGTGCTTTATTCTCTTCAGTATACTCCCTGGCTTTTTCTTCTTTCCATCTATATTGATGATGATCCTGGCAGCAATCTAACATCATTCTTCAATTTCCTCACTTTTAAGCAGTCATCTTCAAATTTACTTCAGTGACTCTTCTTTGTACTTATCACTATCAGGAAGCATTTTTGTCACTAATATCAGACTGACATTCTGCCTCTGACCATAGTCACTTATTTCTTCACCTTCCCCCTGCCCTATGTGCACTAATAACCTTCATAAAATCTTCTCAGCTTGACTCCCTCTCTCCTTAGAATACTTGAAGACACTTCTCAAATCCTAAATCAAATGGACTTGTGTCTAGTCTATCATATGTGCTTGCGTATTTCAGAATTACCCACGTTATCCCTTCCCCACCACTACCATTTCCATGGAGACCTTCTGGGAAATTGACTACACTAAATCACTTTGCCAGAGTCACCAAAACATGATCTTTCTGGTCCTCAGAAAGCAGTATACATCACCTCCAGAATTCAGGAAGACTTCCCATTCAGTTAAGCCAGTGCTTTTCAAACTGTGGTCTGGAGGCCTGTGAGTTGAATAGAGACATTTATGGATTCTCTTAGGGAAAGGAGAGAGAAAAAAAGATTGAGGGGGTGTGTGTGGTGCTGGTAGTGATGGTGGGAGACCAGAACTCTGCAGCCCCTTCAGTGAAGCCACCATATTTTTAATATTTTTTATACACTATGCTTCCACATAAAGTCTTCTTTTTAACCCTCTATAAGTAACTTTCATAGAATTTCCAATTCTAAAAGGCAATGTGAAAATATATTACCAAAAATTATTAAATACTTTCAAAAATTCAGCAAGCAGTGTATAAAAGACAGCCGGTCCCATTAGGGCATTTATATTGCTCTATTAGCTCTCACATGGGTGAGTGAGTGAGTGATGGGAACAATTTCTAAATGATCCAAGGGGATGTACGCTGGTGGTCTTGCTGGCATCATAATAGTTTTCAATTTTATATGAGCAAAGTGGCGAGCAATCCAGATGTTCCCTTTTGTGATTTCTGTCATTTCCTTTGACATAAAGTGAATAGAGTGGAATTGGCTTTAAAGCTTTAAACTTGTACTTGGTCCTTTATTACATGCGATTTGTCTGCAGAGTTGATACATATCCACTGTACCCTCTCCAAACCGTCCATTCCAATTTTGTATCAGCTCCTCGCACCTGAATTGTGGCACCCAGCTATGACAGCCTACAGAGCCCACACCAAGCCCCTACACATACAATTCTACCCCTAATGGCTTCTCAGAAGCTGGTTATGTGGGAGGTATGACAGTAGGTCTGAACACAGGATGCCTGGGTTCAAATCCCAACACTGCAAGTTCCTAGAAGTGGGTCATGGGACAAGTTGGAAGATTTCTCTGTGCTTTGGTTTATTCATCTATAAAAGGGTGCTGATAATTATAGTACTTGACACATAGACGTATGATGAGGATTATGTATACATAAAGCACATATAAAAGTGCCTGGTACACAGTGACTTCTCAAGAAAAGTTAATTTTATTATTCCTAAATAATTTTAATTCCAATCTAATATTGAGGTTTTCCTATAAGAGAAGGCTGCCAGCATGTATTGCCGTGTCAAAGTAGAAAAAGTGTGAAAAAATACATATATGCTCAGTACACACACACATTCAGACATTCAGATATTACGTGGAAATATATATTTTTGATTCATTTTTTTTTTTTCTGAGACGGAGTCTTGCTCTGTCGCCCAGGCTGCAGTGCAGTGGCACAATCTCCGCTCACTGCAAGCTCCGCCTCCCAGGTTCACGCCATTCTCCCGCCTCAGCCTCTGGAGTAGCTGGGACTACAGGCACCCGTCACTACGCCCGGCTAATTTTTTGTATTTTTAGTAGAGACAAGGTTTCACCATGTTAGCCAGGATGGTCTCGATCTCCTGACCTCGTGATCCGCCCGCCTCGGCCTCCCAAAGTGTTGGGATTACAGGCGTGAGCCACCGCGCCCAGCCTGATTCATTTTTTAATGCATGTGAATCTATGATGAGAATAAAATGAGTCAATTTGGTGTGCTGTCTAGCTTTATACATCATCATATCCCTTCCACAGAGATATTTTGAGTTTGACATATTCTAAGTACTTCAAACATTTTAACAAGAAAAATCCTCTTTTGATGAAATAAATGGCTTTTTATACACACTGATTTCCTCTGTCTTGTCACTACTTTCCCACATCCTCTACTGTCATTGCAAATAGCTTTTTAATGGTGTCAACCAAAAAGTCCTTTCACATTTAGAAATATAAAAAGCACAGCAACATGTTGAGCTGGAGGGAAAAATTGAGATCATCTAGTCCAAGCAGCCCCATGTGCTAGAACTTTTACTTCCTCCTAGAAATGAGAGGTGTCAGTGCAAGGTAATTCTCCTCTTAATAACCCAGGGAACTGGTGAAATCATTGCGATAGAAATCTACATAAAATGTTGGTTCTGATTCTTGCTTGGTAGATGGTCAGCGATGTCTGTTGAGTAGATTGGGTACTAATAAGATCACTTCCACATCGTCAGTGATCCATGGACTGGGGCATGCCCTCTGTGATTACACTACTCTGTCTTTTCTGCAGCCAGAGGTGATACACTAGCTGCCATATTCGTTTAGGGTTTTCAACAACCGTATTTCTATGACTGGATATTTCTGTTCCTATTTATTTAGGATAAATGCTAAATTTTATCATATATAATAAGATTTATCTTGGTAGTATTTTTTTGAGATGGAGTCTCGCTCTGTCGCCAGGCTGGAGTGCAGTGGCGCGATCTCGGCTCACAGCAACCTCCGCCTCCCAGGTTCAAGCGATTCTCCTGCCTCAGCTTCCCAAGTAGCTGGGACTACAGGCGCCCGCCACCACGCCTGGCTAATTTTTTTCTTTTTGTATTTTTAGTAGAGACAGGGTTCCACCATGTTGGCCAGGATGGTCTCAATTTCTTGACCTCATGATCCACCTGCCTCGGCCTCCTAAAGTGCTGGGATTACAGGCGTGAGCCACCATGCCCGGCCGGTAATTTTTTTTTTTTTTTTTTTTTTGAGACGGAGTCTCTCTCTGTCGCCCAGGCTGGAGTGCAGTGGCGCAATCTTGGCTCACTGCAACCTCCGCCTCCCCGGTTCTCGCCATTTTCCTGCCTCAGCCTCCTGAGTAGCTGGGACTGCAGGCGCCCGCCACCACGCCTGGCTAATTTTTTTTTTTTTTTTTTTTGTATTTTTAGTAGAGACGGGATTTCACCGTGTTAGCCAGGATGGTGTCTATCTCCTGACCTCCTGATCCACCCGCCTCGGCCTCCCATAGTGCTGGGATTACAGGCGTGAGCCACCGAGCCAGGCGGAAGAGGTTTTAAAGACCCGTGTTGTATTCAGCAAGATCAGAAAACCTTCTACGCTGACTACTACTTCAGGCTCAGACTCATCACTAAAAGTAATTGTTCTTTGTTTTTCTTTTGTTTGCTTGCATTATCAGGTGACGCTATCCCACTGCACCCACCCGAAACCCAAGTAGCTGTGGCTGTGGTTAACATTCTCTACTTACTAACTAGCAGGGATGTAACTGCTTTCAATAGTTTTCTCTGTGTTATACATACTGGTTATATACAGAGGAACTGAAGATATGAGAGAGGACATGTCTTAGTTTGTTCAGACCTCTATAACAAAATACCATAAACTGACTGGCTTATAAATGGAAATGTATTGCTCATAGTTCTGGAGGCTGGAAAGTCCTAAGATCAAAGTGTCAGCAGATTAGTATTTGGTGAGAACCCACTCCCTGGTTTATAGATAGCCATCCTGTCACTGTGTCCTCACATGGCGTTAAGTGGCGAGTCTCTGGAGTCTCTTTTATAAAGGCACTAATGCCAGTTATAAGGGCCCCACCTCCTAAGACCATCAAATTGAATGTTAGGTTTCAACACGTATACATAAACAGTCTACAGCAGGGGACTAAAAGATTGGAGAGAGAGAGAAAGGAGAGACAGTGGTATACAGCTTTTGTTTTAGTTGAGATTATTTTGGTTAAAAGGAGCAGAAACCGATTTAAATTTCAGCAAAAAATTTCACTATAAGATTATTGGGTATATCATGGAATCAAAGAATAGTAATGCCCTGGGCCTCTGGAATTCATTTTAGGGATTCAGGGACCTGAACCCCTATCAAGGCGCTTTCTTTCTACTCCTTACGATGTTTGGGTTTACGTTTTCCTCTTAGTATACACCAGCGTTTTTTGATCCTCTGTCTACATGGTGGGACACGGCCACAACTCCCAGGGTTTGTGTACGACAACACGGGCTTAGACTATCTCAGTTCTCTTGACTTAGGTTCAGCTTTTCAAAAGGGAGGAAACTCATCGGCCGGTGGACAGGTCACATTGTAACCCGACAGCTCTTACAACAATCACACACATTGTGGAGAGACATTGGGCAAACCATCACAAAATGATCCCTTAGCATATTGTAGTCAAAATTCTTTTCCTCAAACCAGTTTTGATTTAGCCTCTACAAATTTCTGATTTTTATCACCCCCTCAGTTCCAAAATTTAACCAGTTGAAAGAACAAATATTTAAGTATATCATAGCTCTACTTCATTCAGATTTCAAACAGTATTTTCACATTGCAGAATCTGATGAGTGACTCTGTTTATCCATGCTATTGTTTTATTCATTTTCCTGTTCCCTTTCCAGCCTTGCCTTTATAAATCTACACATTCCAAACTGTCAGCACCCTTTCTCCTCTGATCTTTTTGGTTGCCCTTCTCTGAGCATTTTCCACTTTATGAACTTTGAGTTTTTGACATGAGAAATGATTTCTCATAAAATAGTTGTGTTATTTATTATAAAATTCAAGGTGGCCAGTCGGTTCAATTTTTAAGTGTATACATTTTACCTGTATCATATCCTGTGTTCCCTGGTACAGAAGTATACTTCATTACAGACTGTGATGTGTTCAAGAAATTTGTATGGTTCAATTTTTGAAAAGAGACAAGAGGAGGCAAAATTATTCTTGATTCATAAAGGAGGGTGAAAATGTGACTTTCTCAGAATTTGCTAGCCTCCCTTCTCAGAGTTCCTGCATCCTTTCAGATTAGAGTTCATTATCTGGGCCATCTGTTGGTAATTAATGGTGATAGCTGGATTCTGAGTAGGGCTGGCTTAGCATATACCAGACTTGTTTATTTCAATATTTCAAGATTGAGTTTTTGGATAAGGCAGGATGCCTTTCCTTTTTTATTTTCATATTGAAAGAGCAAATTTTATTTTAGTGAGATGACTTTTCAAAGTGTAAAGAAAATACGATATCAAAATTGATACAGATAATTCTAAATCAGAATCTCCATCTATATACAATGAAACCATCGAAGAGAAAGGCAAGCTAAAAATACTTTCTTTAAATAAGAACATCTTTCTCTCAATATAAAGATTTCAACTGGTCGGGCACGGTGGCTCATGCCTGTAATCCCAGCACTTTTGGAGGCTGAAGCTGGTGGATCACCTGAGGTCAGGAGTTTGAGACCAGCCTGACCAATATGATGAAACCCCATTTCTACTAAAAAAAAATATTAGCCGGGCGTGGTGGTGTGTGCCTGTCGTCTACTCAGGAGGCTGAGACAAGAGAATTTCTTGAACCCAGGAGGCAGAGGTTGCAGTGAGCCGAGATCTTGCCATTGCACTCCAGCCTGGGTGACAGAGCGAGACTCTGTCTCTAAATGAATGAATGAACGAATGTATTTCCATCTCTGGACTTACCCCCCAAATAAAAGTCTTCAAGAGGATCTTTTTAAAATTTTAAGATAAGAGATGGATCATTTGAGTATTAAAGAACTAGAGAAAAATGTTTGGATTGAGGATGCCTTTTCCTTTTTCCATTTCCCTCCCTGATATTTCTCTTCTATTTTCTCATTTTCCACAATATGTTTTATTCCTGTGCTTTTTTCTTCTCTCTTTAACCTCTCTTTCCTCACGATCTACAAAGCATATTATTAGAATGGGGTACACATGCCCCATTCATGCAAGCCACATGATAGGATGTAAAACAAGGTATCCATGAAATTACCCACGAGAATGGTGTCATATTAGTCATATTTGTTTTACAGTTATTAATAATTGCACATTTTAAATAAGAAACGAGTTTACAGGTAAAGCAATGTGGAGAGGGTTTCCACCACCATACCAGATTGTGTACTTCATCAATACAACTCTTCTTTGTTTCTGCCATTATTCCTTTTGTTTCTCCACTTGACCTCTCCCTTCTTTGCTTTTTATACCATTTCTCTCTCACTCACATTAATTTATTTGATATACTTTTATTTCTTCCAAAGAAAACTGGCCAGTTGTGCTCATAATCTCAGCACTTAGGGAGCCCGAGGCAGGAGGATTGCTTGAGATCAGCCCAGGCAACACAGTGAGACCCATCTCTAAAAAGAATTAAAATTAAAAAAGAAAACAAGAATGGTACATTTTCAAAATGTATAGTAAAGACATATTTTGTAATATAACAATATAATTTTTCTACTAGGCTGTCAACAACTTAGGTAGGGTGTGTGTCTTCAGCATCCAGATCATTATCTGATATGTGGGAGGTGCTCAACAATGTTGAATAGACTGGGCACTAATATTGTTTTAACTTTTTATTTTGAGATAATATTAGATTTATAGAAAAGCTACAAATATAGGAAGTGTCTATATAACCTTCACTTAGCTCCCCTTTTCCTAGTATTAACATGTCACATACCATAGTTCCTCAAAACTAAGAAATTAACATTGATACCACACTATTAACTGCAGACTTCATTCAGATTTCATCTATTTTTCCGCTAATATCCTTTTTTCTCTTCCCAGATAAATTTAATCCATAAAACCATTTTGCATTTGGTCATGTTATTTTAGCCTTCCCTAATCTTGGATACTAATCTTAAATTTTATCTTTTATAATTTTAATTTAATTAATGATGTTAAACAGCATGGAATGCTAAGAAAATGAACACGTGAAAAGCTGTATTATATATAATTTTTCAGTGACTTCAGTTTTGCTTAAATCTAGGTTGCCTCATATCGGTGTGGTAGAAAGAAAACTTATTTAAATTTTAAGATTCTGGAAAGAACGTTTTTCCTGGTATCTCTTGACCTTTCAAATTTCCCGTATTTTAAAATATAACTCTATTTATTGACTTTTGTAACATAGTGAAGATTGATTTCTTAGTATTGATCATTCAAACTGTAATCAATAAGCAAGATTAACATTGGTATCTGGAAAAATATTTTATAATTTTATTATTGTAAACAAATTCCAAAGGAAATATTTTTGGGAACAAAAGAGGGTTGGGATTTTGAAGTCAATCTCCAGATTTTTGTGGTAATCCTGGTAGGTTTTAAAAGATGTTCCAGGTATTCCCAGTCACTCTCATATGCTGACTATTGTCTTATGTGTTTGTTACTTTACATCCATGCTTTTTAGTTGCAGCATCCTGTGCACAGTATAATGACATTATACAAAAGTCCCTGCCTTTTCTCCCACAAACCAAAAACACCCGGTGCTTTTTTTTAACCATGTGGTGCATTAAGGCACTTTGAAAAACTGAATAGTATTGCCCAACAAAATCTCGCATAATCTTTGGCACATAATATGCATTCCAAAAAGATTTGCTGATAGATTCAGTAATCAGTAACAGGAGACCTAACTCAGAGAAAAAAAGCTGTAAAAAGGCTTTGCTAGAACCCTGAAGCTCAGTCTAAATCCCCGCCTGCCATCTTGAGGACATAGTCAGAATTGCATCAGATTCGATCTAAACCATGACTGCTCAAGGTAATAGCAAAGCCGTGTGTATTGAACCAAGGAGGAAATATTGTGGTTTTAAAAATGGACATGAATTATTTAGATGGTTAAGATCAAAGTGAGTTTTTACCTAAATATGTAAATTATTGAAGCAATTTCAAACAAAATTACCAGAAAACTATACTTGATCTGGTTAGATTGGAGGAACATACAGAATCTATGATGTTTTCTTAACTTCTTTAATATCTATGGGTCAAAATATATTTTATTTAGGTAGTTTGTTTAGTTTTTAAAAAATCTATAAATCATTAAAATCTATAATGGTTAGGTTTGAAACAAAAAAGGCTGTTGATAATAAACAGTGAGAGAAGATCAGGTAGAGAAGCACATATGTATAAAGTACATAAGTGCTTCACCTTTGGCATTTTTACTTTGTATAAACATCACAGGAGCAGAATGGGGTGGGCCAGGTTTGTGGCCAAATAAATGTGAGCATAACCATTTCCCACCTCTTCCTACTCCTTCTGTATCAACACAAACCTGTACCACTCTTAATTTTATTCCCTTCCAGAATCTTTTTTATATGTAGAGGGGCAGAGAATCCCTTTCTCTACATTCACTGTTGATTTTTTTGTTTGTTTTTGTTTTTGAATTTAAGAAACAGTTTTTGCTGTGTTGCTCAGGCTGGACTTGAACTCCTGGACTCAAGAGATCCTCCTGCTTCAGCCTACCAAAAAGCTGGGATTACAGGTGTGCCCCACCATGCAAGCGATCGATTATATCTGGTGATGCTTTGGGCCTCTGTGGTGTTCCGCACACAGTAGATGCTGTCTGTGTGAATGCGGAGTGAGGCAGCGCCTCTGCCCTGTCCTTTAATGTCCTTCATGGGACGGTTGACTCCTTAGCATTTTTATTCTTTTGCAACCTGTGTTCTCTTTACTGAGTCCTTTGAAACATCATAGGTCTGTTTCTCTGGAACAATCAGTTCACTTCAAGTCTGTTCTGTTGCTTGGCCCACAGCCCTGTGCCTCTCCATCTTCTATCTCATTTGCCTTTTCGGTACAGCTCTCTATCCTTCCAGAGGTCTCAAATTCCAAACACACAGCTGTCTTTTCATTTCATTGTTGCTCACTGCCAGCCAGATAGTAAGGATACTTACATCATTACTCACCCATTTTCCATGGGAGGATTTTAATGGGTGCGAATATACACCCTGGGATTTACAGAATTGTTAGAACATGACGTCACGGGTAGCACACAACCAAAGACGAAACAGCGCTGTGGAGGCAGTTTCCTCAGTGTGGAGTGGATCATCTGCGCACCAGGTGGTATTTATTGCTCTAGTTGTTTCAGTTCCTATTTGACAGGGCATAGATCTGTACAAATGCTAAGGCTGCCAATCTCACAATCTCCTTCAAAGCTAAAGTTTCCTTAAAACAGCCACCATGCTGTATAACATCACTACGTGCCAGGCATTCTTGCAGATTTATTTATTTTATGCTCATAGATAAATTTATTTTATGCTCTCAGCCCTACGAGGAAAAAACTGTCATTATCCCTATTGTAGAGATGAGACCATTAAAGCTTATGAAATACTTCCTTCACCACAGCCCCAGAGGGCCTTCTCCAAAGCAGGCATCTAGGTAACAATACTCCTAAGAGGGGTGGAGCCAGGATTTGAGCCTGGGCAGTCGGGCCCCGGAATCCGTGGGCAGAACCTTTATCCTCTGGTGTATCAAGATGCCTTCTGCTGGTGAACTCCTCTTGGGGTTGGGGTGGGAGGAACATTTTATAGGCTTCATTGGCTTTGGAATGCTCTAACATGCTCCAGACGTCAACTTGAATGCCAAGTTCAGAATCTCAAGCAGAATGTTCTCATGCTGTCGTTTTTTTTTTTTTTTTTTTTTTGAAACAGTTGACCTGAATAGAGTGTTCCTCATTTAAAGATAAGAAATCAGATAAAATAAATATTGTACTTAAGAAAGATTGTACAGTGTAAAGAATGAGAACTTTTTTTTCAAATTGTAGAGGAAAATTCTGAAAAATACTAAAGCAAAGTTTATAAGCTTTTCTGTGTAAAACACAGAAAACTTCTATAAGAAGATGCTTAGCATATACATATAAGACAAGAAAATATAAAAAAGGAGTGGCTTTTGTGGAGGTAAAAACAATAAAAATCATATACAAAACCGTAAATGATGTAGCATGACTTATAGTTTCAATAGAAGCAATGAAGGACATAATAAATATTAAAAATAACCTCAGAATCAAATCACTTGAACCTGGAAGGCAGAGGTTGTAGTAAACCAAGATCGTGCCACTGCATTCCTGCCTAGGAAACAGAGTGAGACTCCATCTCAAAATAAATAAATAAAATAAAACACATGAGAACATAAAGCTTTACTGACCTAAGAAACACCATTTATAGATAAAATAGGCTCATCAAATAACAAGTAAAATGGATTAAAACAACCCTTAGTCATACCCTGATGAATTGCTAAATTTCAGAGACAGCACTCTCTTTAAGTACCCAGGCAGAAAAAAAAAAAAACAACACAGAAGCATACCAGAGTAGTTACAAATGAACGGAAATGAAACTGGTCTCACATTTTTATTTATTTATTTATGTTTTTGAGGTGGAGTTTCACTCTTGTTGCCCAGGCTGGAGTGCAATGGCGCAACCTCGGCTCACTGCAACCTCCGCCTCCCGGGTTCAAGCGATTCTCTTGCCTCAGCCTCCCAAGTAGCTGGGATTACAGGCATCTGCCACCACACCCTGCTAATTTTTTGTATTTTTAGTAGAGATGGAGTTTCTCCATGTTGGCCAGGCTGGTCGAACTCAAACTCCTGACATCAAGTGATCCACCCACCTCGGCCTCCCAAAGTGCTGGGAGTACAGGCGTGAGCCACCGGGCCCGGCCCACACTTTACATTAGAGTTAGGCCAGATGTGGTGGCTCATGCCTGTAATCCCAACACTTTTGGAGGCTGAGATGGGAAGATTGCTCGAGGCCAGGAGTTCAGGACCAGCCTGGCCTACATAGTGAGATTCTGTCTCTATTTAAAAGAAAAAGAAAAAGAAAACATTAGCATTAGACTCTAAAGGCACAACCCATTATCCATTCTTGGGAAAAATTTGTGACCCAGTTTTTTGCTCTTTATCCAACGTATATGTGAAATGTGAAAATGTAAGTATATGAAATATAAAATAAAAAAGAAAGTCTCATAAAGTAAAAAATTCAAATATACCACCTATCTACTTTTAAAAAATTAATTTAAATATACTTTGGAATAAGACATAATAAAATAAAAAAGGACAAATAAGATAATAAAAAGATGGATATTAAATACTGAAAATAGTAACATATAGATGCAAGCCTAAGTTCTTACTGTAAACAAATACAAAAGTAGTTAAAACATAAAAACATGTCCAAAGAAAAATATATAAAATATATGCCTAAAAAAGCCATATTTTATAAATAAAAGAAAAACATGCTATATAAAATTTTATTTATAAAAATTCCAAGTAGGTAGAAGAGAATTAAGGGAAACAAAAACATGCTAATTTCTTATTTATGTGGGAGGGATGTTACATTCTTGATATTGATGATTGGAGAAGATGATTTCAAATACATTTAGAAGACACTTTAGATAACTTTTAATAAAAGCAGAGAAAATGTAGCAGATACACAAAGAAAAAGAAACAAGGTGATAGAAAAGTATAAACAAGAACTGTATTAAAAGACATACACATAAATAGCAACAAACTTGTCTGTAACTTAAATATAAACAGATTCTATTTTTAAATAAAAAAGAGAAGGAGGCCGGGTGCAGTGGCTCATGCCTGTAATCCCAGATACTCAGGGAGGCTGAGGCAGGATCATTTTGAGGTTGGGCAGATCATTTGAGGTCAGAAGTTCGAGACCAGCCTGGCCAATATGGCCAGTAGAAACCTGTCTCTACTAAAAATACAAAAATTATCTGGGCGTGGTGGCACGTGCCTGTAATCCCAGCTACTTGGGAGGCTAAGGCAGGAGAATAATTGAAACCTCCTGCTTGAAACCAGGAAGTGGAGGTTGCAGTGAGTAGAGATCATTGTGCCACTGCACTCCAGCCTGAGCGACAGAGCAAGACTCTGTGTCAAAACAAACAAACAAACAAGCAAAAAAACCCACCAAAGTCAAATATATACTGCAAGGGACACAGCTAAAGTGAAATAACAAAAAATATTAAGAATAAAAGAAATGGCAAGGAATTGTCAGGAACAAAGAAATTCAAAAGGATAATGACCATGTTAACATGTCCTGAATGGTATTGCCTAGGTTGTCTTCTAGGTTTTTTATAGATTTGGGTTTTACATTTAAATCTTTAATCCATCTTGATTTAATTTTTGTATATGGTGTAAGGAAGGGATCCAGTTTCAATCTTCTGCATATGGCTATAGCCAGTTATCTCAGCAACATTTATTGAATGGGGAATCCTTTCCCCATTGCTTATTTTTGTCAGGTTTGTCAAAGATCAGATAATTGTAGGTGTGTGGTCTTGTTTTGGGGTTCTCTATTCTGTTCCATTGGTCAATGTGTCTGTTTTTGTACCAGTGCCATGCTGTTTTGGTTACTGTAACACTGTAGTATAGTTTGAAGGTGGTTAGCATGATGCCTCCAGCTTTGTTCTTTTTGCTTAGGATTGTCTTAGCTATTCAGCCTCTTTTTTGATTGCATATGAATTTTAAAATAGTTTCCTCTAGTTCTGTGAAGAATGTCAGTGGTAGTTTAATAGGAATAACATTGAATCTATAAATTGAGCAGTATGGCCACTTTAACAATATTGATTATTCCTATCCATGAGGATGGAATGTTTTTCCATTTGTTTGTGTCCTCTCTGATTTCTTTCAGTAGTGTTTTGTCATTCTTGTAGAGATCTTTCACCTCCATAGTTAGCTGTATTCCTAGGTATTTTATTCTTGTTGTTTCTGATTGAGTTTATTTGAAACTTCTCTCCTTTCTTATTTATTAGTCTAGCTAGTGGTCTATTTTATTAATTTTTTCAAAAAAGCAGCTCCTGGATTCATTGATCTTTTGAATGCTTTTTTTTTGTATCTCAGTCTCCTTCAGTTCTGCTCTGATTTTGGTTATTTCTTGTCTTCTGGTGGCTTTGGGATTTGTTTGCTCTTGATTCTCTAGTTCTTTTTAGTTGTGATGTTAGGTTGTTAACTTGAGACCTTTCTAACTTTTTGATGTGATCATTTAGTGCTATAAATTTCCCTGTTAACACTACCTTAGCTGTGTCTCAGAGATTCCGGTATGTACAACAACTTTTCCAAAGCAAAAATGGTGCAGACAATATCCTTTGACTACAGGACAAGTACCCCCCATAACCAAAAAAAAAAAAAAAAACCCACAATTAAAACACCCAAAATGAAAATCATGCACACCCCTGGAAATTAATATTTGAAGTACAGTATATATTTACTGACCTCCCCTCCCCTCCCCTCCCCTCTCCTCTCCTCTCTGAGATGGAGTCTCGCTCTGTCGCCCAGGCTGAAGTGCAGTGGTGTGATCTCAGCTCACTGAAATCTCTGCCTCCCAGGTTCAAGTGATTCCTGTGCCTCAGCCTCTCGAGTACCTGGGACTACAGGCACACAGCACCATGCCTGGCTAATTTTTTATATTTTAGTAGAGATGGAGTTTCACTATGTTGGCCAGGATTGTCTCGATCTCCTGACCTCGTGATCCGCCCACCTCAGCCTCCCAAACGACTTGTTTACTTTGTACCAGTTCAGCCTCTTGTAGTGTCAACTGAAACTGCTCTTTTAAATGTCCTATCCTTCACAACTGATTTCCATGTTTTATAGTCTTAGCGCCACACCTCTTATTACCTACTTCTGTGCCTCTTTTTCTACTTGCTTAATCTGTATTCCCTCTCTACACTGTTATGCTGTGTCTTTGGTTCTATTTTCTTTGTTTGACTAACCCTTGTTTCTCTCCCTCATCTCTAAGTATAGGTTCTCCTTAAGACTTAATAGATTTCTCCCTTTTTCACACCACTGCACTTCAGCCTGGGTGACAGAGCAAGACTCTGTCTCAAAAAAAAAAAAAAAAAAGAAGAAAAAGAGTCAGTAAATATGTACTGTACTTCAAATATTAATTTCCAGGGGTGTGCATGATTTTCATTTTGGGTTTTTTAATTGTGGGTTTTTTTTTTGGTGTGGGGGGTGCTACTTGTCTTCCTAATCTCTCTCTTCCCAATCTCAATCTTCTATCTACTGTCACTGTTTAGAGTACCCCACCTCTCATCCTGATCTCTTAACAGCTGGATTGAAATTTCCACCATCTCTGCCTCCTTGGAAGGATTTCTGGAGCATCTACTATGTGACATATGATATTTTAGATATTTTCATGTATGTGTTATTTCATGTAATCTTTGGGAAAACCTGCAAGGTAGATGTCTTCATATTTTCAGATAAGGACATCTAGTTTAAGATGTTTAAGTAGCTTATCTAGTAAATGGATATCAGAAACTGTATTTAAATCATATTGTGCCTAATTCCAATGCTCAAGTAGAGGATTGATGAAAAATAAATTTTAGGAATATTGTACTTTTGCCCTTTTACTTAGAGAAGACTTAATTTAATAATCAAGTTCCATGGAATGAGACACAAGGAAAATATTTTTGAGTACTTACCCTGTGCCAAGCACTATGCTACATTTTGCATCTGGGATTTAATTTGTCTTTTAACACAAGCAGGGGTAGACAGGGAAGGAAACTTGGAAAGATCACATAGCTGACAAGTAGCAGGTCAGGGATTTGATTCTGTGTCTTTTGCATCTGGGATTTAATTTGTCTTTTAACACAAGCAGGGGTAGACAGGGAAGGAAACTTGGAAAGATCACATAGCTGACAAGTAGCAGGTCAGGGATTTGATTCTGTGTCTTCCTCTCATCATATCACTCTGTATTAATTAATTAGCTGTACTTTTGGGATTAAGTTGCTTTCTCTCCTAGTCTGTACCCAGTTTATTTTTAAAGTGAGATTGCTTATATCCAAAGCCTCCTTTGGTTCTATTATTATAAAAGTCAATAGCTCTAAATAGAGAAGCTGGTTTCTGAGCCACCAATTAGATGCATTAGTAACAGAGCTGTTAGTAACAGGATGTTGTGCCTCAAACTCCACCCTTAGCATTCTCGTTATTCCTAACCTGCTTCTTCTGTGGTTTCCACCTCAGTTAATGGCACCATAGTCCACTGAGGTTATGGGACCAGAGACCTTCATGTGACCCATCCTCACCCCTCCGATTCAGACAATTGCCTAGTCCTATCAACTCCTTTGTCCATCATAACTTTCAAAAGTGGCCACTGCTGGTCTCAAACTCCTGACCTTGTCATCCACCCACCTCTGCTTACCAAAGTGCTGGGATTATAGGCTTGAGCCACCACGCCCGGCCTATGATAGTCTCTTGAAATTGCCTGTTTATTATTTGCCTTCCCACTAGGTTGTAATTTCCTTTTAGAGGGAGAGTATGTACCAAACCCAGTGTTTAGCATAGCAAAGGTGCCTAGTAATATTTGTTGAATGAATGAATAAAATACTTTCTAGAAGAGTCATAGTCCCCTTTTATATCAACTAATCTCTTTATCACAAAAATGTTCTTGGAGTTCATTTCTGTTCCTCTCTCTTTCTGGGGAGCGTCTGCTAGGAATAATGGAATAATGAGGAAAGAGAGGTCAGAGACGAGAAGGTGATGATGTTTGACTGAAGGAGAATAAAGAGCAAATAAACTTCAGAGTAGAGTGGGCCCATTCCAAGATGATCTTTTGGAAGAGGACCAAACCCAGAGGCATGCACTCAGTTGTGCCAGGTGAGATGCCTTTTGCTGGAGCGGTGGGAGGAAAATGTCAAAACCAAAACCCTGGAAGACCTGTTTTCAGGATCCATTTAAAATTCAAGTTCAGGTTTTCTTAGATTGTAGATTCTAAAGAAAACTTTTCCATCTTTATTTGTTCTTGTGCTTTACTTTCCTCTTCTGGAGGTGGCACCTTCTCTGCTCTAAGGCAATCATCTGTTCTCTCATGTATAGCAATGGTGCTTATTAGGGCCGGTCCCCCTACTAAGCAGTGTTTTAGCAATCTATGCGGGTATTTTGTTTTTGTCTGAATGTTTAAAATGTCTTACTGCCATTTAGAGAGTAGGAAACTCAGGAAGCTAGATGTTGAACAATGTTCAGGAGAGTCCTACATAATAAATAATCATCCTATGTACTGCTGACCTTTTTTTTTTTTTTTTTTTTTTTTTTGAGCCAGAGTCTTGCTGTATTGCCCAGACTGGAGTGCAGTGGCGAGATCTCGGCTCGCTACAACCTCTGCCTCCCGAGTTCAAGCCATTCTCCTGCCTCCAGCCTCCCAAATAGCTGGGATTACAGGCGTCTGCCTCCACACCTGGCTGATTTTTGTATTTTTAGTAGAGACAGGGTCTCACCATGTTGGTCAAGCTAGTCTCAAACTCCTGACCTCAAGTGATCTGCCCTCCTCAGCCTCCCAAAGTGCTGGGAGTACAGGTGTGAGTCACTGCACCCAGCCTGTACTGCTGACTTTTGAAGTCCCTTCAGACATTTATATATGCAAATAATTTATTTAAAACTATCTGAAGGAATAACCAAATTTTCTTTTCACATATAAACACATTTTTTAAAATGCAGTTTATTAACTCAATTTGCTATTCCTGCTAGAATGCAATTATTGTGATATAGAGAAAGATTTTACTTTGATTTGGAACTCTACCAAGAATTGTCTGTTATTATGTTAAATCTCATCACTGATGACAATGCTGCTTGTGGTATTTGAGTTAAAAATGCAATGCACTTGTATCAGCTTGCAGTTTTGACTGTTTAGATCATTATTGCTTCCTCAGTATTTACATATTGAATTTATTATTTTACTGCAAATTGCTTTCTTTTTATTTCTTTTATATGATAACTAGGATGTTCTATGTTTTTTAAAAGTTATACTTGTAGGCAGATTACATTTTCTATAAATTATGTTTTAGAATAGTGAAAACGGAGTTACACAATATTTATTTTTAAGTGGGTATTTGATTTGATAGGGTTGACAATCATTGATCTATGTAGAAGGGCACAATGATTTAAGAGCAAGGACTATGAACTTGGCCCTGGGATGAAATCTCATCTCTGCCACTTGCTGGGAGGACCTTGGGAATTCATTCCTATTCTGTTTGATTTAGTTTTCCCATCTGTGAAATGATTAACTCATAGTATTGCCATGGTGATTATATAAGTTTATACAACAGAAAGTTCTTAAATCGGCCTGGTGTGGTGGCTCACGTCTGTCATCCCAGCACGTTGAGAGGCCAAGGTGGGTGGATCACTTGAGGCCAGGGGCTCAAGACCAGCCTGGCCAACCTGGCTAAACCTTTTCTCTATTAAAAATACAAAAATTAGTCAGGTGTAGTGGCGGGTGCCTGTAATCTCAGCTACTTGGGAGGCTGAGGCAGGAGAATCGCTTGAACCTGGGAGGTGGAGGTTGTAGTGAGCTGATATCCCGCCATTCATTGCACTCCAGCCTGGGCAACAAGAGCAGGACTCCATCTCAAAGCTTAAATCTGGGACTGGTACATAAAACGTTTCTGGTAAACATTATATACAATTATTGTAAACATTGACTAAACTCTCATTTCTTATCTATTTTTTAATCTTATCTGAATGCATGTGTCATTTTTTGGTTGACTTTCCAAAGTATTTTAATCTTTAAGTATGAACTATAACTTGTCAAACTATTAATATTCTGCAGTTTGAAGTATAAAATCAGTCACTTAAATATTTTTGGAACACATATATAGAGGGGAGAGTTTACAATCTTTCCAGGAAGTTATTGTCAAAGTAATTAATAAGTACAGATTATTTATGTGGATGATAAATAAATTTAAGATTTGTGTCTAAGTCTTCTTTTGGAATGGTGACAAATGTGAAGATTAATTGCTGGAGGAAGGATGAGAGTGCAAGGTATGAAGGTGAGGTGACCTTAATTAATCCAAGAATTCATCTGAGTTCCCTGTGAAGATAGCCTGTAGATGTCCCCAAACACATGTTGTGTCAACGTTTAAAGCTCAGCTTTGCTGAAAGCAGCCATCACATTTATAAATTTCCATCAGCTCCGGCCAAAGGGTGCAGGACAGATGAAGGCAATCAGAGGAGGCCCAGACAGAGGGAGGAGGAGAGTCCCAGAAAACAATCATGGCTGCCAAAGAAAAGGAGAAGGAACAGAGGGAGTCAGGGTTTCCAAGGAAGAGCATCAAGTGTGGATAAGAGGGCCAATAAATAGATTTGTTTGCTTTAGGCTACGCTAAGATAAAGCATATTTTAATTAATTGGCAAGTTAGAGGTTTAGATTTTTTTTTTTTTTAAATCGAGACAAATTTTTTTTGAGGCAGAGTCTCGCTCTGTCCCAGGCTGGAGTGCAGTGGCGTGATCTCCGCTCACTGCAAGTTCCGCCTCCCAGGTTCACGCCTTTCTCCTGACTCAGCCTCCCGAGTAGCTGAGACTACAGGTGCACACCGCTACGCCCGGCTAATTTTCTGTATTTTTAGTAGAGACGGGGTTTCACCGTGTTAGCCAGGATGGTCTGTATCTCCTGACCTCGTGATATACCCGCCTCGGCCTCCCAAAGTGCTGGGATTACAGGCGTAAGCCACCGCACCCGGCCAGAAAATTTTAATTATACAATTTTGTTGGCATATTAAAACATGTAACGAATCATGATAGTCCTTAATTTGGGAAAGAAGATGTTAAAATTATTTAAATATATGTATGGGCAAAGTACTTTTTGAGTTTGACTTATCCTTTAAAAACCTTCCACAAAATGTGGCATTGTATATGTATATTTTCAGTGACTTTTAGCATCTAAAAATCCTGAACTTTGTAGAGTGTATTAACCGTTGTAAATAGGAAGCACTGCACAGCCTGAGAAACGTCAATTTCATCATTATAATTTATTAATCCGTGAAAGGCTACTGGTGCATTTTACTGACAAGAAAGTGAATACTTAGCATTTGTTTACCTCTTTGAGGAGTTCAAGCGAATTTGGTTTTTCAGAATCTGATCCTACAAGAGAGTGATATTGTGAACTTTCAGCAAGAGTCCAGCTGAAAGTAGCTAGAGCTTTTGCAGCCCCGGGACCTAAGTGGAAGGAACAGTTACTCTAACTTGCTTCACAAGACAGCTGAATATGTGCTTGCTATTATTTTCATGGTGAGAGCATTGCTGTATATAAATGCCCCAGATGTAGCAGATAAAGGAGTAGAAGAATTAAACCAATTTTAGAGCTCAAAAAGACAACTGAAATGAATACGCAGGCGATGTAACTTCAAACCAGAACATGTCTGAGAGTGAGAGGAGATGCTATAATAACTCTAGGACACAGGTGGAGGCTGGACTGTTCTGGGATGTATGGTCATTTACCAAGAGGTCAACTGTCAACCTTGTCATGCTACAGATTAGGAAAAGAAGCCACAGTTCTACACTGTAACTTAGTGAAGTCACAGATTCCCCCAGGGACCAAGTTAGGAGAAAAGTCATCTCTTGATAAAGTTGTGTGTGTGTGTGTTTCTCCTATATAGTTACCTTCCTTTCCAACTACTCTTTTACATGTTTCTATGCTCACCTGGCAAGAGAGGCTAGATAGGAAACTTTGCAAATCATAATGGGGGAACTATGAGAACAAAGGTGAATTCTTACCCTTCAGCTTGTTTTTGGAAGTTAATCTTTTCTTGCCCTTCTCCCTGCACACATGCAGAAGGAATAGGAATAGAATGAAAGGAACGACCTCAGGCATACATTAGTTAGTGAACCACTCATTAGCCAAACCTCACTGTTTCAAGGACTGTGTTACTTCATCTGCTTTAGTGTTATTGCTCTCTGAAGGCTTATTTCAGAATATGAGTTCCCTTTTATGGTTCTTTTCTGATCTTTCTTTCCTAATATTAGCAACCTGGTGAATTTGCATAGATGTTGATGTAGTCTTTTTCCATGTCTTTTGTATTTATCCTCATGTTTTACAGAACTACTATTTAAGCACAAATGTCCAGATGCTGCTTAATACTTTCCCTCTTTCTTTGTACCTGTTCTACCATATGAACTCTGGAACAGATCATATCTACAGGGAGATCTGCAAAAATGCATTATCTGCATTTAATGCCTCTAGTACTCAGCCGAAGTTTAGGGGTTCCTGAGGGGGCCATTAGTGGACCAAGCCCAGCCCCAGAGCTGGATGTTGGGGTGCTTTGTGAATCAACAAGCACCATGAGCTCTGATTCCATATGTTAGGAATCATATTAAAACATTAGCTCATATGAAAACATTAGGTTTTTTTTTTAAGCCCTTCAGGCTGTGGGCATGACTGTGGGTGTTATTGGACCATGTGCCAGGACATCTGTAGTTTCCAGCAGATGATAAAACATGTAACAAACATTTGATTTTACTTGTCCACACTTCATGAAAAACAAAAAGATCTGAACTTACTAGGACTTGTGTTTTTAAGTAAAATTTGTTTATTAAAATCAACTTTATAAAAATTCCTGTTTACGATAATTATTTTGTACATTTAAAATAAAAAAAATCATGTTATTTTAAATTTGTGACCTAAAAAAATGGGTTTTATCCAAAAATGACAACTGCACACAGGGGTCTGAAAGATGAGGTTGTAGGAACTTGCATTCATTGAACTTTCACCACATGCCAAGCATGGTATTATGTGACTTACAGGCCTTAAAACATTAATCCTTATAGCAACATAGTAAAATACATATTATTATGACATATTCTAGATGAGGAAGCTGAGACTCACAAAGTTTGAGTTTATTATCCAAGACCACACAGCTAGTAGATGGTAGAACCTGGGGTTATTTTGGGTTCTATCCAAACCAAAGCACATGCCTTTGTAGAGTGTATTACCTACAGTAATGAGTAAGAGTAAACTTTGTAGAGTGTATTACCAGTTGTAAATAGGAAGCACTGCACAGCCTGAGAAATGTCAGTTTCATCATTATAATTTATTAATCCGTGAAAGGCTACTGGTGCATTTTACTGACAAGAAAGTGAATACTTAGCATTTGTTTACCTCTTTGAGAAGTTCAAGCGAATTCGGTTTTTCAGAATCTGATCCTACAAGAGAGAGATATTTTGAACTTTCAGCAAGAGTCCAGCTGAAAGTAGCTAGAGCTTTTGCAGCCCCGGGACCTAAGTGGAAGGAACAGTTACTCTAACTTGCTTCACAAGACAGCTGAATATGTGCCTGCTATTATTTTCATGGTGAGAGCATTGCTGTATATAAATGCTCCAGATGTAGCAGAATAAAGGAGTAGAAGAATTAAAACAATTTTAGTGCTCAAAAAGAGCTTACCTAAGTGGCAGGCAAAGGTAATGTAGTTCAAGCAATGTCAAACAGCTTAAGCAGAGATTCATATCAGCAATAGACTGGACTTTCCCTGTAATATCAAAATTAGCTAGTTTTTACAGAGGTATTCAGGGGAATCAAAACCATTATTAAAAAGCAACCACTGATCTGTTCTCCCCTGACCACACAGACAGTCACAGGGAGAAACAGTCTAATCATTTCACAGCAATCCGAGGCCTCTCCGTATGTGGCTTTCTGTTTGGAGATCAGATTTGAAACTGCTGTTTTCTCTGTCAATGGTATCTTAATATACTTGGCAAATCTCTTCCAATTAGCCATACTGGGCTCTCCTTGGTACCATTTCAGCAGTTCAGGCGTTTGGTGCAGAGCTCATATTAAAAATCAATTGTCCCAAATTTAGCTTGCAGATTTGGTCACAGTGTATATATCTTTATCCATATATTATAGCAATAGAAAAATATACACATAGACTGGAACTTTATTTTAATAGATCATTTAAAAAAACTCTTGTCCCTGTGGTTTTTCCACTGAAGAAGAATGGTTTGGATACCTGGTATTTAACATACAATCTACATAGTAATTGATCTCCCTCTGTGGTAGAGGTTGCTAGTGCTCACTTATTCCTTCTTTTCTTCCTTGGACCTGCAGGAGACCTCATTCTCCTGCCCATGCAGCGGTGTGAGGCCAGTGAGCGGTTCTGGCCAATGAAATGAGAGCAGAAGGGAAGTACATGTGTTCCCTGCTTGCATGTCACTTGCCCTGATGTCCTGTTCCCCACAGGATAATTACCAAACTCTGATTATGGTTTAAATGTTTGCTCACAGTCTGTTTGCCTCTACCCCTTCAGCCCTCCTCTCATTATTTCCTGCCTTGCTTTTTGTCTCAGCCATCCTGAGCCTTCCTGAAAGCATTAGCTCTTTCTCATCACTGATCTTCACTCAAGTGATAGTAACTTCCTGCAGGTAGTCCACTCCAACTTGGAAAGAATGGTTTAGTTGCCCTTTCTATGTACTTCCTGCAACAGTGCTCTACATTCTCCTAATGATCACACTTATCACATTTTATTGATATTTCCTCCTTCCTTCTCTATGTTCCCCTTCTGAGTTATATATGCTCCTTGAGGGCAGAGACTGATGTGTCTTCAATGGTTTTCTAAATTTATTTCCAAACCTTAGTATTAACCTTCCTTCTAAAAAGGTCCCCCCTATTTTTACTCATAATCTCTCATTTCCCCCTTTGTTTAGAAAAATACTGCAAAGCATCTTTGAGTCCTCTTTTTTGTTCTCCCTCCATATCTCATCCATCAGTAAGTCTTGATGGTTGTATCTCCCAAATTGTGCATCCATGCACTTCAATCCTTTTTACTGCTACCATCTAAATCCAATTTCTTTTTAGATTATGAGAATGCCATTCAAATTGGACTCCCCACTACCTCTCTGAGGGCCGGCCACTGCCTACTCCTCTGACCTCATCTCACCTATGGGCAACACTTCTAGTATGATCTAGAGGTTTGTGTGTGTCTAATATGCTATATGCACATCCCCGTGTGATACTGCAGACTGTTTGGGGACAGGGAGAAAAGGCAAATGCAGTGATATGCCATCTTTACTACCTGCTTGCTTTCTTATGCCATATCACTACACTTCTGGTTGTAATTAGTTTTGCAGCTGTAGATCTTTGTCAGCTAAAGAGAAGTAGACTAAATTACTACATACTGGCTTGTGAATTAGGGGCGTCATTGTAACCAGAAAACATTCCTGTTCTCCTGGAGTGGAAACTTGCTCATTTTGCAGAAAGCTGGTGGGGAAGTAAGTGTACAGAGACAACTTACTGAAATTGAAGCTCTTTATTGACCATCTTTCAGTAATATAGGTGGCACAAAAGAACAGCCCCTTTTAAAGGCTAGTAATAACTGTAATGAGGATGGGACTCTTAAAATTGTATAAAATATCTGGACAAAAATGTGACAAAGGATTGAAAATTGGTACATATTAGTTTTTTTTTTTTTAACCATGAAGCAGGTCAAATTAGGATAGAAAGTCTTTATAAAGTTATTTTAGTAGCGACTACCCTGAAATAAATGCTAAAAATAGAGATAAGCCCTAAATGCTTAAAATAGAGATAGAACAAGAGAAGGTAATAAAAATAGTAAGATGGCAGAACTCAGAAAAGAAATGTGAGAAACAAAAGTGTATCACAAATTAAAAACATAAAATAATTGACAAAAAGAAAACTGAAAATTGGATACTGCTAAAAATGAAATCGGAGATATGAAAGACAGCTGAAGAAATTGAAAAAAGTGGATAAAAAGAACATAGAGAAAGGAAGTAGGGAGAATGTGCTAGAAAGGCAAAGGAGATACCACACACACATTATCGATATTCTTAACAGAAGGGAAAAATGGAACAAAAAAAGATTAAAATAGATATGAGACTACAGCTTCTGGCAGTATTGTAGATGAGATACTCTGAATATTTCTTCCACTTAAAACAACGGAAAATTCTTGGTAAAATACAATAAAAATATTTAGGATGTATCACTGAGCTGACAAAATAAATCCACAAAGGCTATAAGCAAAGTGAAAGCAGGAATACTGGGAGGTGAGGAAGTGTCCTGAGGATACCTGCTCTACCGTAAGTGACCCTGAGCTTCAGGTTGTTTGATTTGTTATTATTTTATTTTGACATAGTTTGAAACTAAAGAAAAGATGTAAAAATATCACAAAGAATCCCTAAATATGCTTTTTCCAGAGACCCCATTTAAATTTGGCTAAGCATCCCAATGATTTTTTTTGTTTGTTTGTTTTTGTTAAATAGAAAAGGTTCTATCCTGTATTAGGCCTTATACTAGTTGTATGTCTCTCTCTTTCAATTTGTAACAGCACCTCAGTCCTTAACTTTCATGACATTAATAGTTTTGCAGACTTTAGGCTAGTCATTTTGTAGAATGTTTCTCAATTTGAGCTACTCTTGTATTGCCTTATCCGTCTCAGGTTATGTATTTTTAAAAAATGTGTTTTTAGCTTTATTTTTTATCTGATTATGAAGGCAATACATGCTTTTACAGCCAGGTTATGTTTTTTATCTGAATATCACTAAATCCTATTGGATAGTGCATGTCTATTTGTCCCATTATTGGTTGAGTTATATATGATTACTTTAAAAAGGTGATACTTGCCAGGTTTCTCCATTGTAGAGTTGTTCCCAGACACCCCTTCCTTTTTAATAATTATTTTATGGTAAGATACTTAAAGACTATGCAAAATCCTGTTTCTTAAATAACTTTGATCAACTAATTTTAGCATTAATGTTTCTTGCTTGAATTAATGACTACTAGTATGGTTATCAAATGGTGATTTTTAAAAATAATACTATTATTTTTTCAACATTTGTTGGCTGGTATCTATTAAGTGAGAAGTTTCTTTTCTCTATACTTATTTATTATATTAGTGTGGGCTTCTGAGCTCCTATTTTATTGGGTGCGATATAATACATTACTACCACTATTTGTTTTGATGCTTTTATTTTCCCTGATTTAGCCAATGGGAATTCCTTCAAGTTGCCTTTTGAGTTCTTTGGCCATGTCCCAATTATTTGTATATGTCTTTACTATCTTGCCCTTCCTGTGTACAAGCCCTTGATTAACCTATTATTCCAAGGACTCTTAGTTCCATTTAGTGGAGAAAGGTATTCAGAAAGCAGTATTTGGGTAGGAGCTGTGCATGGTGCTACTGGGGTGTCATTCCTCCATTGCTCTCAGTGGATGGATTAGGAAATACATGCATGTATATATGTGTACACACACACATATTCACAACACATACATTTATTCCTTTACTTAGATATTTGCTAAAATCCATGAGTTCATACTGGTATCTCCAATTCTAGTCCAACAACAAAAGATTTATTCTACCTTTCCCTTTTTTATAGTTGTTCCCCTTAGTCTAATAAGAAAATTGGTTCCCGTTGGCTCAGTTTCCCTGTGTGAGGCCAATGTTCTCACTCTGTTGGCGGCTAATCCACCCCACCCACTTAGGAGTCTGCCTCTCTAGGACACCACCAAGTTCAGGACTTTTGAATGGCTTTTTGATGAAGGAAAGAAGTCAGTATATTTTTAAAATTAAAAAGAGGAAGGAAGGGGGAAGAGAATTGAATCCCAATTTCCAAAGTTCCCTAGGTCTTGATGTACAGGGATAAAGTTTAGGACATTCTCAATGTGAATAATCTAATAGCAATATGTGAGAGGCTGAATGCTAATAATGTTCCAGAATTCTGGAAGGATATCAATCCATTGACTAGAGAAATGCAAGAATAAAATACAAAATTAAGCAGAATAAACAAAGAGAAATTATAATTTAGATGAGTCAGAGTGAACTGTAGAATGCCAAAAGCAAAAATAAGATATTAATGGTGAAAGCTGCTGAAGCTGGAATGTCAAAGACCCACACTTTAATGTAATGGAGGATGAGTAATGACCCTGCCACACAGAGGAGGGCAAAACACTGACATAGATTGGGAGAAGAAAATATCTCCCCTGATTTTTTGTACCACAACTTAATCCTCATGCAGATTTACTGTCTGGATTCATGTGATTTGTTTGTTCCAAAAATATATCAAGCATAACCACTTTGAATCCTGTGAGAAATTTGTAAGCATATAATTGAGTATTTTTGACTACATAGAGAGATAGAAAATGAAAAAGAGAGAGTAAGAGAAAAAAGGAATAGTGAGAAGGTAATATTCTAAAATATATTTAATTAGAAGTCTAAAAGAAATCAGAGACTGAGGAAGGAGCAATAATTGAGAGGGTAGATACTAAGAATTTTCTAGAATTTTAGAAAGATACCAATCCTTTGAAGAAATACAAGAATGAAATACAATTTTCAGCAGGATAAATAAAAAGAAATCCTAATTTAGATGAGTCAGAGCGGACTGTAGAATGCTAAAGGCAAAAACAAGATGTTAATAGCAAACACAGAAAAAAATGATTACCACAAAGATGTGACAATTTGATCGATGATTGAATTCTTAAAAGCCCTAGCCAAAGATAAGTAAATGTCTTCAAAATGCTGAAGAAAATAACTGTCAGCTTAAAATTGTACATCTGGTGAAAATATCATTTAAGACTATTGGTAAAATAAATAACAAAGACTTGAAACCAACCCAAATGTCCATCAATGATAGACTGGATTAAGAAAATGTGGCCCATATACACCATGGAATACTATGCAGCCATAAAAAAGGATGAGTTCATGTCCTTTGCAGGGACATGGATGTTGCTAGAAACCATCATTCTCAAAAAACTATCACAAGGACAGAAAACCAAACACCGCATGTTCTCACTCATAAGTGGGAGCTGAACAGTGAGAACACATGGACACAGGGCGGGGAAATCACACACCAGGGTCGGTTGTGGGGTGGGGGGAGTGGGGAGGGATAGCATTAGGAGATATACCTAATGTTAATGACAAGTTAATAAGTGCAGCAAACCAGCATGGCACATGTATACCTATGTAACAAACCTGCATAATGTGCACATGTACCCTAGAACTTAAAGTATAATAATAATAAACAGAGTGTTGGTAAAATAAAGACACTTCCAGACAACAATAACTGAGAGCACTTATCGCCAACAGAATATTCAACAGAATATACTTAAAGCAGAATAAAACTTATAGGTAAGCTCTAAGAGGTGAGAATTGGTAAATCAGTTATAAGTAATTGTGTGATACAGGTCTAAATAAACATTTGTTGTGAAAAAAATTGATGAGTATGATTGAAGTTTTCTGGATCACATAGACAGGTAGAAAATGTAGAACTCATAGTTTAAAAGAAAAGAATAGTGAGATATAGCTGAATACATATCATTCAATCTGGACTGGTGGAATGAATATAACAAGATAGAACAAAGAAACTGTAAAACAATAGCATATGATCTAGTAGGGACTTTCAGAATTAAAGTGTTCTAAGACCCTTATATGGCTTTGGAGGAGAATAAGGATCTTTATTAACATGATTCTTGGTCTAGATTGAGTTTGCATGAAATAATTAAAAGAATTAGCACTAAAAGAATTAGCCTAATTCACAAACTAATAGAGGGGATAAATAGATTCAGAATAAGAAAAAAAGATATCCCTATAAAAAGAAGGCAAGCTATGAGGGAAAAAAAAGGAAAATTGAGACAATGAGAAAGTGCAAATAGGGCAGAAAAAAGTCAAAATTTATAGCAACCAAAATAAAGATAAATGGAATATACCCCCAAGTTAAAATACAATAATTGTAAGCACATAATCTAAAATTCAGTTTTGTGATATTTATAAGGGATTTGGCTAAAATAACAATAAAATTTTGAAAGAAAAAGAAATGGAAAATATGATTATATTTTAACCAAAAGAAAGTGAATGAAGCTGAATTAATAGGTAAAGTAGACCTTAAGGTTAAAATAATTTTAAAGGCAATTTTTTAAAAGGTAAGGTTACTTTATTCTTTCATAGAGTCACCCCATAATGAAAAAATCTTTGATTTGCTTGGAAGAAAGAACAATTCTAAACTAAAATTGACATAGTACAAAGATAAATGGAAAAGTCTATAATCAAAAGGGAGAATATATCATATAAGATCCTAGTAAAAGAAGCAGTAAAAAACCAAAATCAGTTAAGTACATGGTAGATTTTGAACAGTAATTAAGAAACTAGATTCAATGACAAAACAAAACATTGCATTGAGCAGTTGGAGAATATACTTAATATCAACCTGTGAGCAAAATATTTAAATGCTAGCTCATAAAGATATTACCATTAGTTACTTGTGAGAAAGGGTTAAAACTGAAAAATTCTTAGAGATCTAAATAAAACACCCTAGATAAAAGCTTATTCTTTAGTCTTTGTGCTTTTCTATTTTGTTCCTAAACCTCCAATCTTTGTAGATATTGAAATTATCTTTATTTGAAGGGAAAACCTGCAGAGAATGAGTTTCTGTTTTCCTCATTCTGTGCGTAATTGTATTTCCATTTTTCATGGGCTGGTCAAATAGAGGAAAATTTGCCTACAAGCAAAGCAGATTGAAAATTCCCATCCAGATGTATCATCAGACAGGCATTAACAAGAGCTTATCATTTTGTCTGGGGCAGACCAAATGTTTAAAGTATTTCTTGAGAATGTTCACATGGACATTTAGTCTCCAATGTTATGCTAAATTACTATATTTAAAAAAAAACTTTTCTTTTTTTCTTGTCATGCCCACTTTTTGTTAGGGCTTGTGAGAATGGTCATATGACAATTCCATATAGATATTTTAACACAAAATGGTAACTTGTTTATCCTTTGACACATGTTGCATTTGTATGTGGTTCGAGAGAGAGAGAGTGTTTCTTAGAGAAACGATGGATGGTCACATAACAATGTAATGTAGTGTATTTCATCTTTTATATCAAATATAAACATAAACAGCTTCCGTCAGATCCAGGCAACTTGTGTTCTACTCTCAAAAGATATTTTACCTACCAAAATATAGCTTAGCCACTGCAGTTCACTGCTGGAAGCATGGTTCCTGTGAAAACAGAGAAATGAGATGTAGTTAAGGGTTAAAAATTATAACTTCTTTTTTTTCTGTAAAACTTCATGATCCTCTATCTGTTGTTTTTCTGAACAACTTCCTGTCTTTTAAAATTGATATAATTCAGCCCCATTTCCTGGTCTCATTCTCCAATTAACCTTAGAAATGATTTCTGGATCTTGTGTGTTTGTCTGGAATACAAGGGACAGGCGTCTTCTCAGGCAACTGAATGTAAAACAGTTGAACATAAGCTGCCCTCTCCACTGAGATGTCATGGTCACATGGGCAGGAGCCTCAAAGCTGGCTCAGAACAGGAATTCCAATGATTGACTATCGGGGCAACTAAATTCCCACTATTAAGTTGCAAGGTTGTAGTGTAAGGTTGTAGCACACGTTTGCAGATAACTCAACGCTTCATAGATGCTCGCTGCTTCAGAAAAATCTGTGTGACTGGCAAGTTCTATGTACATGTATTTTGTTTTTGTGTTTGAATCTGTATCAGAGGATTTGATGTTAAAGGCATCCCCAAATGGCTTCTTTAGTAATGTGAAAATTGATCATACAAATTGAGTCATTTTTGTCATACGCATCTAAAACAGACTCCAGAGGCCAGCGGGGGAAAGCACTCAGGGCATATAACATTGCTCCAAGAATGTAATTCTGTGTAAGCCTGGCTGCTGAAGCTGCCTGTTGTAACCTGAAACCAGTTTTATCTAATAGCTTCTGAAACAAGAGTTTTACCCTTTGCCATCATTTGGAGCTTGTTAGCTCCCTAAAACTTTACTGGTCACAATGAACTTTCTTGCAAAACAGTATGTAACATTTCTCCTTTTTATAGGACCTCCAACCTTCTCTTTGTGCTTTGGACATACCAAAGACCACCTGGACTGTGTGTATGCCTCACATTGCAATTCTTGCTTCCCATATAAAATGTTTTAAATTTAGAAATTTGAGATACTATATTTGACTTCAACAGTAGAAGCATCAATGATGATGTACAGAGGTCAGTTTCTAAAACTTGCATGTGTTTACATGCCATCTGAAGGATCTCATTAAATATGAATTCTGATTCAGGGTGTTTCTGGTGAGGCCAGAGTTTCTGCATTTTTAACAAGACTCCACGTGATCCTGTTTGTCCTAGGACCACACTTGGAGTAGCAAGGGCACAGAGTTTTTGCATGTTGACATGGAATCCTCCAATAGCTACATGGAATCGATATGAACCCCCTTTACAGATGAGGAAATAGAGGCTAGGTGAATTTAGCCCATACCGTCATATAGCCTTATGTCCTCTGAGTCAGCACTTTTCAACTATGCCTCAACTACATTCCTCTTATAATCTCCTTCTTATTCATCTCTTGAATTACTGTTTTCATATATTTGGTTTTCATGTGTAGCAACTGCTGGCCTTTCCTTAGGAATGTTCAGTCTTCTACATTCTTTTATAAATGGTGATATTTAAGTAATGTGTTAGCACTAAGTTTTGAAAATCTTATGGGCTTGTAATTTGTCCAGTTGTACAGATATGAAAACCCCACTATATTCAGTATAGCTGATTGCAATGCAGCTTCAAGTTGACAGACTGCAGAACACGGTATGTTCTACCAGCATAATGCCAGAAAGTTCATCTATTGATAGGATCTCCTACTGTGGGCAAGTTTGTGATTGCTCATTTATTTTGTAGAAAAAAAAATTCTACCAGAAGTTTTTAACATGTGTTGCCAGTTAGAAATAAATGTGAACTTTTAAAAACTGCTATGGCTGGGTGCTACCCCCAAAGTCTGACCAATAGTTCTGGGGTTGGGCTTGGCATTACATGGCTTAAAAGTCTACCAAGTAATTCTTATACGAAATAGGGGCTGAGAAATATTGCTTTAAAAGTACTGATACATAACCACCTATCTACCTGCCCCAAACAATTAAATCATAATTTCTGAGTAGGATCCAAATACAAGTATTTTTAAAAAGCTCTTATGTGATTTTAATGTGTAGCATGTGTGAAAAACATTCCCAACTGATTTTTCCAGTGAATTCATTATATTTGAGGCTTATGACTTATATTAGTATTGTGGTGAAAAACAGAAGCTATGTTCTTTCTCCTAAGAAGATTAATGGCAATTATGAGAAAAAGATAGGGGTTTGGCTTTGGTTAAAAATATGACGGGACAACTGAAGCAACAGAGAAGGGCATTTGGAAGATTAGATCAGTTTATGCATATTTTAAATCTGGTTTCTAAAAAGAATGTGGGAATTATTTGTCAAATAAATGTCAGATAATTCCATTTGTACTATTTTTAAGGCATTTTTGTGTTGTGGATCTTTACCATTAGAATTAATAAAATATGAATAATTCTAGGATGGTAAGTTAAAGAAGTTTGGAGATCTTATTGATCAGGTAAATTCACTCTGTTAAAAGTATCTTCAACATATTTCCCTGTGTTGATTTTTTTATATGTATAAGGTCATACTGCTTTGTCATGTGAGCTATTTTAACCTCATAGATTTTAGTTTCTTATCAGTTTCAAAGCCATGTCCTTTAATATAAAAATTATAACAAATTCATGATGTATTATTCCTGGGTAAGATATATTATGACTAAAATTCATTGCTCAAACTTATCAAGGTTGTGTTACAGAAAAACTAGGTGGTTATACTTGACAGTACAATAAAGTATCTTCAACTTTCCATATCAAAAGGATCTTCAAATTTAGAGGCCTGCCTGCCACTTCCATCAGAGAGGTATCAGGCTTTAAGTTTCTCTCTTCACAATTTATTTAGAGAGAAGCACAATACCTGCCTAAGTTAAGGCAAAATAAAAATATGGGGGGTGAGTTTTCAGGCAGTCAGTGGCTTAGCTTATAAGTATTTCAATCATTATTTTGCATGACCTGAAATCTAACAGCAGGTGTATTTTAATGCTGCACACTGTCATGATGGTTAGCCGGTGATTATTGAAAAGAAGGCAATAAAGTTTTCTGCCTCATTCAATCTCGCGCCCTTCACCAAAACCCCTTATTAGAAAGAGGTCTTAATTTTTGTTTATTTTCAAATCATTGAAGCAAGGAGGAGGAAAGGAATTCTTCTAAGTAGTTTTGTATTATTATTATTATTATTATTATTATTATTATTATTATTATTATTGTGATTTTTGCCTAAATGTAGATCTCACAATGATATTGCCTTATCACCAATAGGTGCTGACAAAAAAGATCAAAGGATTAATAAGAAAATATGCTGGGCCTTTGTGATGGACCATGAGATGCTAACGTCCCTGAGAGTTTTGTGCCATTCTGACAGATGTTTTTCCTCAATTCTTGCCAACTTCTTCTACTTCCTCCTACTCTATGATGAAACCATACTGAATTTCTTTCAGTTCTTGCAGTGAGGTTATATCCTTTATGACCTCTGAACTTTTGCACACATTGCTCCCTTTGCCCAGATCAGGAATTCTCAAGCTGTTTGTTCTTAGGATTCCTTTATACTCATAAAGATTATTGAGAACTCCAAAAAGCCTTTGTTGACATAGGCTATATGTCTACCACATTGGAAATTAAATATCCAAAACTTTAATAATTTCTGATATAACAACATGAACCTATTGTGTTATTACAAATAACATTTTTATGAAGGGCAAACTATATATTTCAAAATAAAACAATTCAGAAGGGTACCATTGTTTCGTATCTTCAAATTTCTTCAATGTCTGCGTTAATAGAAGATACATGAATTGTTCCTTCTGCTTCTGCAACCTTTTGTAATATATTGATTTGGTTGAAGGATCTGTATAAAATCCAGCCTCAAAACAATATGTTGTTGGAAAAGGAAGATGCATTTTAGTAGCCTTTTCAGATAATTGTGAATATTGTTCTTTGTTTTTGCACCATAATTCAACAAGTAATTTCTTAAAGCTCAGTTGTGCTGTGATTTAAGACCACTTCATAATCACATCTAGCCACAGAAAAATGCAAGATTGTTGCCCAAACCACAAAAACAACCTAACATCCCATTTCGTGGCTACTGTGAGCAGAAACTGCTTCTTCACCAATTATAGCTTTAGCCTCACTTAATTCTTCCCACCTTCTAGATAAAACTTAAGATAATTAGAAATTTATGCTAATTTCCTGGAGAAAATAAAGCAAGCCCTCCTTCCACAGACCTCACCCCAGATCACCTAACACAAGCCAAAACCCTGTTTTGAATATTTTCTAAACCTCTCTCGCTGAGATGCCCAATGGTTCTCCATAGTGTGTGTGCTCTCTTATGCAACATTAGTCAATCATGACAACTTTTTTTGACCACGGGCGTATCTCTGGTGATCTTGGGCTGGAGGAAACCAATAATAGTTTTTGATGGCCTTCTCTAAGTGGGTATTTGTAGAGTATATTTTGGCAGGTATATAAAAACTTATTTACCCATTTCCAAGAGATTGTTACAAAGATCAAACAACAGTAGACTGCTTTCAGAATTGGCATTTTTCTGACAACACAACTACCTTCAGTCCTTTGGGTATTTTTGTTTGTTTGTTTGTTTTGTTTGTTTGTTTTTTGAGATGGTGTCTTGCTCTGTCGCCCAGGCTGGAGTGCAATGGCGCGATCTCTGCTCACTGCAAGCTCCACCTCCCGGGTTCATGCCATTCTCCTGCCTCAGCTTCCCAAGTAGCTGGGATTACAGGAACCCACCACCACACCTGGCTAATTTTTTTTGTATTTTTAGTAGAGACAGGGTTTCACCGTGTTAGCCAGGAAAGTCTCGATCTCCTGACGTCGTGACCCGCACGCCTCGGCCTCCCAAAGTGCTGGGATCACAGGCGTGAGCCACCGCACCCGGCCTGGTCTCCTTTTTAGAATACTGTGATACCAAGTAATCAATATTAAAAATGTTGTTGAATTATAATATTTGCATTGGGGCTTGGTTAATCTTGGAATTGTCAATGCTATTTTGAGTTTTTAAATGCTTACGATAATTTGATACATCAGATAACTTTATATATTTTAGTAAATGGAGTCCTTTATATACATAAAGATTATGTACATAAAGACCTTGTATTAAAACCTTCCATTGACATAAATATAAAGATGGGCTTTACCAAAAAAGTTTTCTGAAGCCAGACTGCCTGGGTTCAAATCTCAGCTCTACTGCTTATTAATTGTGTGATCAGGTACACTTATTTATGCTTTCTGTGTCTCAGCTTTCTCATCTATAGAATAGGGTGGATAACAGTACCATCCTCATAAGGATTTAAAGAGTTAGTATTTGTCTTCATTTTGAATAGCGTACAGCACATTATGTATGTGTATTAAGTAAAAAAAATAATTTCTTAAGAACAGAACTAGGACTGTGCATATCTTCTTAAACCTTAGTTTAACTGCATTGGCTTAATTAAAGAAAAACTGAGAATACTGTAAACACCTCTACGCAAATAAACTAGAAAATCTAGAAGAAATGGATAAATTCCTGGACACATATACCCTCCCAAGACTAAACCAGGAAGAAGTTGAATCCCTGAATAGACCAATAAAAGGCTCTGAAATTGAGGCAATAATTATTAGCCTACAAACCAAAAAAAGTCCAGGACCAGACGGATTCACAGCTGAATTCTACCCGAGGTACAAGGAGGAGCTGGTACCATTCCTTCTGAAACTATTCCAATCAGTAAAAAAAGAGGGAATCCTCCCTAACCCATTTTATGAGGCCAGCATCATCCTGATACCAAAGCCTGGCAGAGACAGAATAAAAAAAGAGAATTTTAGACCAATATCCCTGATGAACATTGATGCAAAAATCCTCAGTAAAATACTGGCACACCGAATCCAGCAGCACATCAAAAAGCTTATCCACCATGATCAAGTGGGCTTCATACCTGAGATGCAAGGCTGGTTCAACATACACAAATCAGTAAACGTAATCCAGCATATAAACAGAACCAAAGACAAAAACTACATGATTATCTCAATAGATGCAGAAAAGGCCTTTGACAAAATTCAACAACCTTTCATGCTAAAAACTCTCAATAAATTAGGTATTGATGGGACATATCTCAAAATAATAAGAGCTATTTATGACAAACCCACAGCCAATATCATACTGAGTGGGCAAAAACTGGAAGCATTCCCTTTGAAAACTGGCAGAAGACAGCAGGGATGCCCTCTCTCACCACTCCTATTCAACATAGTGTTGGAAGTTCTGGCCAGGACAATCAGGCAAGAGAAAGAAATTAAGGGTATTCGATTAGGAAAAGAGGAAGTCAAATTGTCCCTGTTTGCAGATGACATGATTGTATATTTAGAAAACCCCATTGTCTCAGCCCAAAATTTCCTTAAGCTGATAAGCAACTTCAGCAAAGTCTCAGGATATAAAATCAATGTGCAAAAATCACAAGCATTCTTATACACCAATAACAGACAAACAGAGAGCCAAATCATGAGTGACCTCCCATTCACAATTGCTTCAAAGAGAATAAAATACCTAGGAATCCAACTTACAAGGGATGTGAAGGACCTCTTCAAGGAGAACTACAAACCACTGCTCAACGAAATAAAAGAGGACACAAACAAATGGAAGAACATTCCATGCTCATGGATAGGAAGAGTCAATATCATGAAAATGGCCATACTGCCCAAAGTAATTTATAGATTCAATGCCATCCCCATCAAGCTACCAATGACTTTCTTCACAGAATTGGAAAAAACTACTTTAAAATTCATATGGAACCAAAAAAGAGCCCGCATTGCCAAGTCAATCCTAAGCCAAAAGAACAAAGCTGGAGGCATCACGCTACCTGACTTCAAATTATACTACAAGGCTACCATAACCAAAACAGCATGGTACTGGTACCAAAACAGAGATATAGACCAATGTAACAGAACAGAGCCCTCAGAAATAATACCACACATCTACAACCATCTGATCTTTGACAAACCTGACAAAAACAAGAAATGGGGAAAGGAGTCCCTATTTAATAAATGGTGCTGGGAAAACTGGCTAGCCATATGTAGAAAGCTGAAACTGGATCCCTTCCTTATACCTTATACAAAAATTAATTCAAGATGGATTAAAGACTTAAATGTTAGACCTAAAACCATAAAAACCCTAGAAGAAAACTTGGGCAATACCATTCAGGACATAGGCATGGGCAAGGACTTCATGTCTAAAACACCAAAAGCAATGGCAACACAAGCCAAAATTGACAAATGGGATCTAATTAAACTAAAGAGCTTCTGCAAAGCAAAAGAAACTACCATTAGAGTGAATAGGCAACCTACAGAATGGGAGAAAATTTTTGCAACCTACTCATCTGACAAAGGGCTAATATCTGGAATCTACAAAGAACTCAAACAAACTTACAAGAAAAAAAAAAACCATCAAAAAGTGGGCAAAGGATATGAACAGACACTTCTCAAAAGAAGACATTTATGCAGCCAACAGACAAACGAAAAAATGCTCATCATCACTGGCCATCAGAGAAATGCAAATCAGAACCACAATGGGATACCATCTCACACCAGTTAGAATGGCAATCATTAAAAAGTCAGGAAACAACAGGTGCTGGAGAGGATGTGGAGAAGTAGGAACACTTTTACACTGTTGGTGGGACTGTAAACTAGTTCAACCATTGTGGAAGACAGTGTGGTGATTCCTCAAAGATCTAGAACTAGAAATACCATTTGATCCAGCGATCCCATTACTGGGTATATACCCAAAGGATTATAAATCATGCTGCTATAAAGACACATGCACACGTATGTTTATTGCGGCATTATTCACAATAGCAAAGACTTGGAACCAACCCAAATGTCCAACAATGATAGACTGGGTAAAGAAAATGTGGCACATATACACCATGGAATATTATGCAGCCATAAATAATGATGAGTTCATGTCCTTTGTAGGGACATGGATGAAGCTGGAAACCATCATTCTCAGCAAACTATTGCAAGGACAGAAAACTAAATACTACATGTTCTCACTCATAGGTGGGAATTGAACAATGAGAACACATGGACACAGGAAGGGGAACATCACACACCGGGGCCTGTCGTGAGGTGGGGGGGAGTGGGGAGGGATAGCATTAGGAGATATACCTAATGTAAATGACAAGTTAATGGGTGCAGCACACCAACATGGCACATGTATACATATGTAACCTGCAGGTTGTGCACACGTACCCTAGAACTTAAGATAAAATAATAAAAAAAAGAAAAACAATGCAAGTATAAGCTGATGAAACTTTGTTTACAATTCTTTAAAGTTGTTTTGTCTGATTGTCACAATAAAACAGTGATGTGACTGGTAGAAAGATACATCTACAATTAAGCATTATAAAGGCTTTTTATAAATGGCAAATAAGGAAAGTTAAAGGTACAATTACATAAAGAGACAATAACAGGTTTTCTCAGAGAGTCATAAAAACATGACATATTTAATGCTTGGGAAGATCTGAGTCTTTGCATTATAATTAGCTAAGCTCTTCTATATTAATAATATGTACTGTATCTCGATCAATATTGGAGGACATAGAAAAGTAATGTGATTTACAATTGAAATTTTTTTATAATCTAAATGTGCTAGTTTTTCATTAGCACAATTTTAACAATTACAACAAACACTTAGAAAATGCAGTAAAAATGACAGGAACCCCCAGCAATTATTTCACATGAACTTTTGTGGTAAAACCTATACATATAGCTATGTCAGTGGATCATCGCTGTCTTGTAACATTTTATGAAAATTTGAAAGAAGTAACTGACACACTTCAGCATACTGACCTTTCCTATCAGTAGCCTGGAAGTCCAGTCTAGTCATTTGATCTGGGCTTCAAAATATAACAGATGGCATCTTAATCAAACATTTTTTTCTATTTAAACTAGCAAGAATTGAAATTTTCTCAATTAATGCAAGAAAACCTTGATGTTTCTCATTTAAACTTCAGTTATTTTCACATTTTAGCATTTGCTGCATGTGATACCCCACTTCAACAAGGACCAATTTCTTTATCATTCAGGATTCTCAGTGACAAATGATAGAGGATGACCCTGGTCAACATACTTTTAAAAGAGGGGGTGAGGTTATGGGAGAATCCCTGTGGTAACCCATAGAATCAAAAGAAGAGTGGGACAATTTAGCTTTGGGGAAGCGGAGAATTAGCTGGAATTTGTGAATTTTCTCTCTAGCGTTCTGATATGTTGATGACTTGGCTCCAAAAATTTTTCATTAATTACCTAAGCCCAGCTCTACTTGCCAAAAACACCCTTTAGATTTCTCAGAAGCTTCTTCAAAACTCAATGATTCTACGTAGTCTGAAAACCCTATTCATTTTACAGTTGAGAAAACGGATCCAGAGAGGTTAAATAACTTGATTAAAGTAAATATAATAAACCTTCTTTGACACAGGTAAATAAACCTTCTTGAATGGTTCTAAGAGTAAATTAACTTTGAAAGCATTCCTAAGAGTAAATGTGATTAAAGTGACATTTTAATAGGGTACGTGTCAGCTCCTTTGTTGTATCATTGACTGTGGCACCATGGTCTTTGCGTCCTTTAAAAAATATTTTTCTCAGTCTTTCTCCTGTTTAATACCAAGATTATGTGTCAATTGTTACTTAGACTTAACCAGTAACACTGCAAATACATTTGAGAAAGACTGTTTAGATATGACAACATAGAAATGTGATTACCCAAAGGTATCCCAATACTTTTCCTCTAGTGGCTTGCTAAAACTGGATTGCTCTGAAAAAATTTGCTCTTTGGAACTTCATTCATTTATCCAGTACAGACTTATTGCACATGTGCTGTGTGTAAGGTACATAGCTATTGGGGTTGCATCAGTGAACGAAACATAAAAATAAATATAAAATATTTGCAGCTTTATGGAAATTTCATTTTAGTTTGAGAAAGCAGACAATAAATGATAAATATACAATCTAGGTAAACTATATAGTGTATTAGCTGACACTAAGCACCGTAGGGAAGAGGGTAGAAGAAGGGTTAAGAATTGGAAAGCCTGGTTGAAATTTTAAATAGAGTGGTAGGGGAAGTCCTCACTGAGAAGATGACATTTGAACAAAGACTGAAAGGAGGTAAGGAACTCTTTCATGTGAGTATCCAGAAGAACATTAGACTTGACTTTGGGTTTTCTTTGGATTTTTAAAATCAATTTTATTGAAGGATAATTTACATACAGCAAAATGCACCCATGGTAACTGTAGAGGTTGATGATTTTTGACAAATATATATTCCATGTTACTGCCATCAGCAACAAAATATAAAACATTTTCAACACCTCCAAAGCTTTCTTTATGCCCTCTCCTAATCAGTCCCTATGCTTCACCACTAGCCCCAGGTATTTACTGATTTGCTTTCTATACCTATACTTTGATTTATCTTTCTAGAATTTTAGATAAATAAAATTATATGTATTTCTTTGCATCTGTCTTCTTTTGCTTAGCATACCTTTTGGTTCATCTTTTTGTTGTGTACCTCAGCAATTCACTGCTTTTCACTGCTGTGTAATTTTCCATTGCATAAAAATATCTAGTTTGTATTTCCATTCATTTGTTAATGTACATTCAGTTTGTTCCCAGTTTTCTGCTTTTTCACTATTACATACAAAACTGCTATAAACATTTAAGACAAGATTTTGTATAGACATGTATTTTTATTTATCTTGTAGATCTTTGGGAAAACATATATTTTTAGATCATACGTAAATTTACTTTCCACTTTTAAGAAACCGTCAAACCACTCCCAAAGTGTTGGCAACATTTTACACTTCCATGATCAGGGTATATGAGTGTTCCAATAGCTCCATGTCTTGCTAACATTAGGCAATGTCAACTTTTTAAAATTTTAGTAATTCTAGTAGGTTTGTAGTGGTATCTCATTGTGGTTTTAATTGTATTTTCTTTATTTTATATATATATATATACACACACACACACACACACACACACACACCATATATCCAGGCTATACACATAGGGTATATATGTATAGTCTCTCTCGCTATATACATATATATATATATATATATATATATATATATATATATATCTCCTCTCTCTGTGTATATAGGTTATTGTTTCCTAGTCTGCAACTTGACATGTAATATAATGTAGATGACTGAGGTTTCCAAATTTAAGGAAGACATGAAATAATTTAGATAAAGCAGGAAATGCTAAATGCAGATGTGAAAGAACTGAATTTTGTGTCAATAATTTTGGTTAACCCAGGGCTATTTCTGACATTAAAGTAACTCTTTTCTTCACCATCTAGCACTTGTTTATATTTTTTCATGGAAATTTTCCTTGGTTTTTCATGTATAGAAGTTTTCTTATCTACATAATAAGTATCTCTTTCCCTAGCCTAGATATGTTGTCTTTTCTTCACTAGACTGTGTTTATTGTGTTTTTCTTCAGTGTTGCCCAGAGCAGCTCTGATTCACTAGATATTTAAAAGTATATTCGTTCATTAACTGAACTTGAATTCCAAAGGCTAGTTTTGAAACTCTTTGGTGGTTTGGTAATTATTTCGGTGGTTTTCCTCATGTGTATTAGTCAGGGTTTTCCAGAGAAATGGAACAGGATATATTTATTTATTATAAGGAATTGGCTCATATGATTATGGAGGAGTATAAACCCCAAGATCTGCATTCAGCAACTCAGAGACCCAAGAGAGCTGATGATGTAGTTTCAGTTCGAGTTTGAAAGCCTGAGAACCAAGAGAGCCAGTGGTGTAAGTTCTAGTCCAAAACCCAGTTTGGTTCGGGACCCTAGAAAAGCCTATGTTTCATTCTGGGTTCAAAGGCAAAAAAAGACTGATGTTTTAGCTCAAAGGCAGTCAGGCAGGAGGAATTTCCTCTTACTCATCGGGGGAGCTAGCCTATTTTTTCTATTTAGGCCTTCAACTGATTAGATAAGGGCCACCCACTTCAGGGAGAACAATCTGCTGTATTCAGTCTACCAGTTCATATGTCAATCTCATCCAAAAACATCATCACAGACACACCCAGAATAATGTTTGACCAACTATCTGAGCACCTGAGGCCCACTAAGTTGACAGATAAATTTAATTATCATATTGTGTAGAAGGGGAACTAAGTACAATAAAAAATCCTTCTAAATTTTGGTCAGTGCATGGCTGACCCAAGTAGGTAACTTTCAATTAATGAGGAGACATAAAACCATGTAAACATATAATATTTGTTACCTACATATATATATTTTTGCTCACTAGATACTTGATATGAATAAGTACCCATTTGTATTATAAACAGGTTTTCATTGATGCTGTTACTACTTTTTAATGAAGGGTGTTTTAGAAGTATATTATTTACTATGCTTTCTAGATAGCTTAAAATATTCAGATGCCAGTTAATAAGCACCTGAAAGTGGCAGAAGTTATATTCCTCATGCAGTCACCGGATTCCTAACATTCCCTAAGTTTTGCAGGGCTTAAAACAGATATTTAGAGAAAGTAGAAAGTCATGTATTTCCAGTTTCCATGAGGTACCATGCTGAGGTCCAAAACCTAATTCTCACTGGTATGCTGAGGACTAAAAATCGTATTCTCAGCTACAAAAACTCTAGTTGGGAGTATATAAAAAATATGTCTCTTTCTTGTACAGCTAGGGACTTGGCATGAACCTGAGGTTGTTTCAGAAGCACTTCTTGCTTTGGCTTTCCAGGGATTCAAAATGATGGTCTAGGGTCAGCTCTATGGGATGCCTATGCAAGACATCTCTGTCTAAACTCGCTACACCTGCCAGAGACACTGGCCCTTGTTAACAGAATGGGAAGCAGCATTGCCTAATGGGATGGAAGCACATGGAAGTTTCAAAAGCTAGTAACTTTGTAGGTGGCATTTGTAAACAACCTTGCCTCCACTGTTGCTGATAGAATAGTATGCCCTTTTGGAATAGCTTCAGATTGCCAAACAAGGAACAGTTGGATATACATGAAGACTAACCCGTCAGGATATGGTTTCATCCTACAAATATTCCAGTTCCTTGGCACTGGCTTCAATGCTGTGGGAGGAGTCCACTTGGTCCATCATGTCACAGCTTTCTTTTAACGTGACAGTGTCTTTATTGTACCAGGCAGATAAAACCCAAAAGGGATTCATTTATTCATTTGGATTTAGGCTTTGAGATGGGAATTGGGTTAAATTGTGTTCCCAGCTCATGTTCTACATATCAAATTCTTGAGCCAAATAAAAACACCAATCCCCTCAAGGTTGACATACACTGGGTTTTACTTCACTTGGCGATACTGGATTTTTGAACAAGGAACATGTCCCTACGTGCCAGTTATGGTTGAATTTTCATTTCAAGCTGTAGGGGAAATCTCAGCAGCATGAGAACATTTGGCGAGACCATCAGCATTTATATCAGAATGTAGGTCCTATTCGATTTTTTTTGTAAGATGGATACTTGTTCCTTAGGATTTTTCTCCTTGGAGATCATATGGTTGAATGATTTTCTTCCTTTAATAAAATACTTTCAACCAGAGAATTTTTATTCCTTAAGCCAGGTGGATTCCAGTGATATTTATCTAGCCCTCACTGGTATCAGTTGTTCACATTAATTCAATTTACTTGGAGCTCTGGCAATTTTCTAAAAGAAAGGAATTTTTTTCTGGGGAGATTTTCACATGATAATCTTTCTGCTTAGCATATATTATATATATATATATATATATATTCCTAAATTTAGATAAACAATTTAAAATCTTCATTTCCGTCTTATTAATATTTATTACTTTATTAGATTTATAAATTGTCTTTGTGGACAAATAGATTGGAAATTTGGGATTGTCTCACTTTTTTTGAAGAATTGCGCATCACTGAAAGTTCCATATCACTAATGTGTGCTTTAATTCATTTTTGTGTCCCCATTTAATATATAAACAATGCTGTGTTCAGTTTTCATTTGATTATAATTATAACATTTTGATCATCATGAAAGCACTCTTAATGCTGCCATTCTAATGTTCATATATTACTGTATCAAAGATAGGCATAGAAAATATAGTATACACTTTTCCACTTAAAGTGTGTATTTAGAACTGACTACTGGTCGTACTACAGGCATTTTTCACAGCTTGTTTTCTTTCTGGGAATTACAAAGTTAGTTTTGGGAGCTGGACAAGTTACTAAGAATTCTGAGAATCTGGATTCTAAAAGTAGTGTATCAGTTCAGAGGTCAGGTGATTTGGCCAGTGAAAGGGCAAGGCTTGGACAAGTGATCATTAGTCATGCTGTCAGAGAACCATTTCTTTCTCCTGCAATAGGCAGCATGGAGAACAGCTTCTTTTCATCCACCTAGTCCCATTCCATCTCCTTAGTGAACATCTGCTGTAGGGACCTGCAGTCTCTGTTTATGGCAAGGACTTTCTGAATATTGGTAAGACTGGGTGCTATTCATCTCTCTCTACTGCTGGAAAGAATGGCTATGTTTGTTTAAAAGTTACTTCAGTGTCTTTATTTCTAAGAGATGAAGTTTCCTTCTCAAAAGCCTGTCTTCAACTATTGCATTTATGGTGATCATAAAATTGAATTACAATTTTGGCAATCATAAATTTTACCAAAGTGGGACACTTATGAGAGTGAAAAGGGTGCTATTAATAATGGCACTGGGAGATAGCTGTAAAGTATGACTGTCCCAGGCAAATGAGAATGAAAGTTCATCCTAGTTATAATGGTGTGGAAATCGTTTCATTCAGGATGTCTCTAGTGAGACTGATGGACAAGGGAAGGGATGTGCGATGTCACAAGGTAAACCAGGTGATGAATCAATGCCGTGCATGTACAAGGACATTAGAAATCATAGGCTGCCAGGACCAACACAAGAGGGAAGAACTGCATCATTGTTACGGATCACCTATATGAGATTGTTTAAGTATGCCAGAATCTGTTCAATTTTGTAATTTACGTATCTGCTGTCCTCAGCTGAAGTACTTGAGGGCAAGTTCTGGGGATGGGAGTCACCTGACAGCTTATCAGTTGCCAGTACTACTCTAAGCAGCTGGAGGAATGGGGTGTTTCTTTCATATGTGGGGATCGGGGTGGGCACCACAGCATTCACTAGAATATTCGTTCTCAACCTTTACTGCATATTAGAGTCTCCTGAGGAGCTCTGCACACTTCCAAAGCCTAGCCTGCACTCCAGATCAATTTAATCATGATTTCTGGGAGTGGGGCCCAGAGGTCAGTGTTTTTTAAAATCCTCCAAATGATTCCAATGAGCAGCCACAGCTAAGTTTGAGAAATATCATATTTTATTATCCTTGTTCACTTATCCAGGTATTTTTTTATTATACCCTAAGTTCTGGGATACATGTGCAGAAAGTGCAGGTTTGTTACATAGGTATACATGTGCCATGGTGGTTTGCTGCACCCATCAACCAGTCATCTACATTAGGTATTTGTGCTAATGCTCTCCCTCCCCTTGCCCCCCACCCTCCTACAGGCCCCAGTGTGTGATGTTCCCCTCCCTGTGCCCATATGTTCTCATTGTTCAACTCCCACTTGTAAGAACATGCGGTGTTTGGTTTTCTGTTCTTGTGTTAGTTTGCTGAGAATGATGGTTTCCAACTTCATTTATGTCCCCGCAAAGAACTTATCCAGGTATTTTAAAATGTCTTAGAGTAAGTTTTTATACTTTTCTCCATGAAGCTCTTTCTTAAATTCATTTCTATCTACTATGTTTTATTGTTATTTAAATTGATGTTTTAAAATTTTATTTTATTGGTTGCTAGTATATAGAAATGAGACTTAAAACTACCTTATGTCCATCAATCTCGATGGATTCTCTTAGTTCTCACAAATTTCCCATGTTAACTTTTGGGGTATCTATGTGTGGGAATAATAATTGTTTAGTTTCTTCCTTTTCAATCTTTATTCCTTCAAACATTGATTTTTCCATGTTACTGGATGGCTTGAACCTTCAGGTCTATGTGGTTAAAAGTGATAATTCCAGATATTATCCATTCCTGAATTTAAAGGGGATGCTTTTAATGATTCACCATCTAGTGTGATATTTATTGTAAGTTTTATGTAGATCCTTTTTATCTGAAAGCATAAAAGGATCTATATAAAACTTACAATAAATATCACACTAGATGGTGATTTTACTGAAATTCCAATCTCTTACTGACTTTTATAAAAGTTTTGTCATTCATTGGTATAGAATTTTTCTGAATGCTTGCCTTGCTTCTGTGATTATCTGAATGTTCTTTACTCTGTTTAGGTGGTGAATAATATTTTCTATTGTAAAATTCATCTTGTATTGATAGAATAAATCTAAAATGTATTACTCATTTTTTTCAATTCTGTTAATAAGGAGTTTAGTCTAAAGTTTCCTTTTAAACTCTAATATTTATATTAAGGTGATGCTATCCTCAAAAAAAGTTACAGCGTGTTTCTTCTCTTCCTCCTTTTTCTGGAAGAGTTTGTGAAGTTTGTAACAATTTTTCTTTATTATTTAGTATAATTTATCTGTAATGTAGTTTGAAATGCTTTGGATGACCTGGGTAGATTTTCAACTGCTAATATTTCTTTAATGGTGTATTAGGGTTCTCAAGAGGGACAGAACTAATAGGATATATATATATATCCTATTATATATAAATATATATATTTCATATATATGAAATATACATATTATATAAAATATATATTATTTTATTATATAATATATAATGTAATAATATAAAATAATATATATTATATGTAATATGTAAAATAAATTATAATTATATTATTAATATTCATATTATAACAATAATATATGTGATATTATATATTATATCTATTATATATTTCCTATAATACATATATTATATTACATATAATACATATTATATATATTATATAATACGTATTATATATAATATATAATATATATAGGAGTTTGTTAAATATTAACTTACACAACTTACACAATCACAAGTTCCCACAATAGTCGGTCTGCAAGCTTGAGGAGCAAGGAGAACCAGTCCAAGTCTCAAAGCTGAAGAACTTGGAGTCCAATGTTCGAGGGCAGGAAGCACCCAACACGGGAGAAAGATGTAGGCTGGGAGGCTAGACCAGTCTCGCCTCTTCATGTTTTTCTGCCTGCTTTATATTTGCTGGCAGCTGATTAGATGGTGCCCACCCGATTAAGGGTGGATCTGCTTTCCCCACCCCACTGATAACATCTTTGGTAACACTGTCACAGACACACCCAGGATCAATATTGCATCCTTCAGTCCAATCAAGTTGACGCTCAGTATTAACCATCACAAATGGTTTATAGACTTTTATGTTTCCTGTTTCTTTTTGAAGGACTTATACTAAACACATATTTGTAGGAAATTGTTTTATTTAGTTTACTAATCATGTTGGCACAATATTAATATATTATTGTCACTTTTCTGATTTTAAAGATATTTTCTGGGGAAGTGGATAAATTGGTCTTTTCCCATTTGTTGAGAACTATAGGTACGTTTATATTCAAATACTTGACCCAGAGAAAACATTTGGATTTCACTAGTGTGTTTCTATAAACAAACCAAAAGTGACTCTAATGACAGACATAGACATAGTTTGGGAGAGGCATGCTTTAAACTCAAGATGTGTTAAAGGCCGTCTATTCTATTTATGAATAAAACTGCTTTGCTTTCATGTACTACCAAGGTTTGTTGTTGTTAAAAATCAATTAAAAATTGAAAAGCATTTGCAAAATAAGTTTAAAGTGTATAGCCAAGCAATAAGCTGGCTAGTTTTGTTCTTTCACTTATTGAATGGTATTTATTAAATGCATAGTATGTGCCAGGCATGATATTAGACATACCACATTACCAAGCACTGCCATTCTCCTGCCTAGGATGCACAATGCCCTTGTAAATTTCTAGAAATCTTAAGAAAAACAGTGGAGGGCCAAGATCAGCAGTAGGATGAAAACACTGTGTCAAACAGTTGATAGAAACTAAAACATTGGACTTCCTCTCTGCCTCTCTTCAACCTAAGTCTTTTTGACAGGAGTATATTTAGGTATGTTTCTCTCCTAGTGCTATTGTTTATGTCAGATTGATGTCACCTAGTGAGGGGGATCATTTGTTTCATACCATTTAAATTGCTGATGGAATCCGAGTAGCATATATATTTCTTTAACTGTGTTATTTTATTTAATCACTGTCATTTCCAATAGATTCTGAGAGAGATTCGGTTACACAGTTTTGTCCACTCCCATATGGCAAAACATTTTTTTGTTTTTTGAGAATTGATAGTCTACAATAATATTGCCAAAATATGAGTCAATAGCCAGTTAGATGAGAACCATTATACAATTCTCAATTTTAACCTGTTGTAATTTGCTTTTCTAGGGGGACAATATTTGGTGTTCTTATTGTCCTTTGCTGGAATATAGATATTAATCTTTCATTCTCTATTATCAACCTTAAATAGAATTGTCTAAACATGCTCCAAAGGCAGTTCCTATTTCAGTGCCCATTTAAATTTGCCTTTAATACTCTGTTTATCAGATTTCCAAAGAGGACTTCAGGCATATTAAAATTGAGTAGCTTTCAATCTAATGTGTATCCCAACACAACTGAGTAATCTCAGATGCTTTCATCAGTAAGGAGATAATCTCATCAGCGATTTGTTTGCATGTGGGTGCTTTTGAAGTTGTTAGAAATCTCCAAGGGAGTTTATTCACAAAGAGTGACTCTCACAAATATTTGTTGAGTGCCCACTACATGTTATACAATATTCTAGCTACCAAAAATGCACTACTGAAATAGGTAGTTATTGCCCTTTAGACTTACATTATATTGGTAGACCTTATTAGGCAATTTCACTGCAGAGGAATAAGAGTTATAGTAGATCAAATACAGGTGCTCAGAGAGCACAAGGAGGTGCACAGAACCCAGAGCTGGAAATTAAGGGAAGACTTCTTGAAATTACCTCTCTGCTGAGATACAAGCAACAACACTTTGCTAGGTAAACAGCTGTCAAGGTTGTAGTTTGGGGGTTGGGAATACCAACAGCAGGAAAAGCAAGCAAACAACAAACATATGGAATGAACTGGGGTTATATGGAGAAGGGCAGGCTTAAATAATTTAACATTCATTAGCTGAATTGAGTGTATACTGGATGAATTGAAGCAGTTTTAGGGCATGGGTCTTTCCCTCTATGTTTTGGGTCATTTCCTTCATATATACTGTAATACATTCGATGCATGCATAGAATTTCAAGCTCATCACACTTCCTACTTAGGACCAAATATTAAATAAATAAAAATGGCAAAAGGAGGTATTTGGAAGACAGCGATGGTTATTAGTGTCTTATCTAGTGAGATGATTACCAAATTTAGTAGAAGAAAACCTCCTTTTAGTCTCTCTTGGCTCCAAGTTACAGAAACCATATGAACTGGCTTCATCTAAAATGGAATTTTTTAGAACAAGGATACTGGTGTACCACATGGAACCCAAGAACAGGGATGTGATGAGCCTGCATCTCATGAAAAATTGGAACAGGGACTCTCTTGCTCTCTTACATCTTTACTTCAATTTGTTTATTTACTTTATCCTTTTCTCTTGCTCAGAATCATCTTTCACATTCTACAGAAGTCACAGAAGCCAACACACAACTCCAGAGTTAAACATATTAAACCCCTGTCATCAGAGAGAACTTTCAAAAAATCTTGAGATGGGACCCATTGGCTCAGACTGAGTCAGATGTCTACCCTTGGACCAATCAACTGTGGTCTCTGTGAATGTAGGCTACTATTATTGCCCTATTTGAGTTTTCTTCCCACTCATGAGCCAATCAACTCTAGACAGAAAAGGGAATGATCTGAAGCTTGGAAGTTCTCACAGGAACCCTATAAATGAAGAAGAGGACAGGACATGTTTTAAGACAAAGAAAAACGCTATGCAACCAAAATACATCTACTACAATAACAGTGATTATTAAAAAGTCATTTAATTTCTCTAAGCCTCAATTTTCTCTTCTCTAAAAGTGTATGAATTGTCTATTGCTATGGATATGTATCAAATAAGATACTTTAAAAGTTTTAAATGACAAACTTCTATACAGTTCTAAAAGGTTGCTCTGATTATTACACTGGTGTCACCAAAGTGGTTTCTAGATTCTATTTCTGCAGAGCTTTCATTTGTAAAATTGGAATGATTTTCTCTACTTTTTATGGTTATGGACTAATTAAAGAGAAATATCTACCATTTATTTATTGATGGTTTAATATATATTATGGTAGGAGGTTTGCACATATTTCCTTTTTTAATTTTCACCACAGTCCTATAAACTAGATAGTCTTACCAAGCATACTGTAATGTAAACAGGTTAAGATGATTAAGTTCCTAACATGAATTAGTGTCAGAGAGAGGATTTAAATCAGGTCTGAGTGATTCCGTGATTCCAAAGGCAAGGTGGGGATTTTAAAGAGCCATACAATAACACTCTTATGTGTTATAATTTTATTGTTCATTTTTATAATTCAATTATAATTGGTTTATTTCTGAGCTAGTTTCCTTAAAATTTTTAATATTTTGCCATTACATTTTTAATGACCTAGTGATTATATTAAAAATCCTATCTTTTATGAAGATATAATGATGCCATACTGTGGATTTGCCAAGTGATGCTCTACTACTTGTTGGGAGAAATTAAAATTTTAATTCTGAATGAGAAGCTTGATATTTGTAAACAATTGCAAGAAGAGAGGGATAAATAATCACAACTTGTTCAGAAACAGTATGTCAGCATCCAGGGAGGTTTCTGGAAGAATTATTAACAGCAGGTTATCATCTTTGGTCTTAACAGTGGAAAGTACAATTAAGGAGTAGTTGTTAGAATTTCTGGGTTCTGATCCACCTGGACAGAATACACATTTTCTTTTGTAATTTATATTAGAAATAAGATACCTGGCCCATCTGAGCATGTATGATTAGTTTGGTGGAATTGTGTTCTAATCAGAAACATTAGAGTATTCTGACCATTTTTGTAAGAAAAAGAGTCTCAATTGCATGGCAAAAACCCCCCAAAAAATGGTATTCTACTTTTATGTTCTTAATTTAATGACATGTTAGATACTCCAGATTCCATTCAAAGAGATGAGTGGGCTAGCTTTTGTGATATTTCTCATTACTGAGATATCATATAACCCTTTCAGGTATTTCTGAAAACACATGAGACAGAATCCTCTCTTCATGAAGTAATATGTGGAAGTCCTCTTCATTATATCAATGCTGTTAGTGTTTACCTCTTGACTTTCAGAAAGTTTCTGTGCAATGCCTTTCTTTTTTGGCTTCACTTTAGGTCTCTCTTCCATTAATCTTGCACATATACTTAATGATTCTCTTTCAAAGAGTGTTTCCTTTAAGGATTAAGCTCCTTTGGGAATTAATCCAAACTTGTAGGTTTACATAGCAGTCTAAAATCATGAATTTTTGTATCTGGGACAACAACTCCATCCACAACACATTATCTCATCATTTACTCAGAGAGTATTCAGATTTCTTTGGACCTGACTCCTTGAAAGTGAGCTGTCCTTCTTATGTATCCAAAAAGTCTCAGGTGTATTATAGCTTTGCTATTTGAAAATAATATCAAAGACAGCATCTTACGATGTTCAAAGGCAATGTTACATTATTTGTTTTTCAGATGATAGGACTGAAATTTTGAAGGCTGAAATGGCTTGCTATGGAATACAATGTCATGTGGCAGATTGGGAAGGAACACTCAGGGCTTCTGGCTCCTAGTCCAGAGTAATTTTTGTGCTCTCTTTACATGTCACCTTCATCTGCACTGTATCATTTGGTTCATAAAATAATATGGCATTCAGGCAGAAACAGATTTGGTCCTCCACTAGTTTACAGATAAGAATATTGAGCCCTAGAGGGATTTTTGTCCAAGGCTATATGACGAGAAATGTTTTGCCCCCAAGTTTAAGGTATTTCCAGTACAATTTGCTGGCTTTCCAACTTAAAAACGTTCTCTATGGCCCATTAATAAATTCTACAATCTCTTTTTATTTTAAACGCCCTTCATATTTTTTAGATTTCTTATATTTATAATATTTTAAAATACATGTTTTATTGAATTAATAAAGCAATAATTTCCATAGTGGTCCACCCTGAACTCTCCAGGGAACCTGCCTGCTGCTCTTGTAGTATAAGAACAGCAGCAAACAGCTTTTTTGTTGGAAGTCTACATGAGTTCTGTTGCTAATAAAATGAACATTTCTTTTTTAATTTTAATTTGAGTTGGGGATACATGTGCAGGTTTGTTACAAGGGTACATTTCATGATGTTGAAGTTTGGACTTTTATAGTCCCATCACCCAGATAGTCAGCATAGTACCTAATGGGAAGTTTTTCATTCCTTTGACCATCTTTAGGCCCCCTAGTATCTATTGTTCCCATCAATATGTTTGTGGGAACTGAACTGAAGGGAACAAACTGAAGGTTTATCTCTCACTTATAAGTGACATTATAAGTGATATTTGGTTTTCTGTTCCTGCATTAATTTGCTTAGGATAATGGCCTCCAGCTGCATCCATGTTGCTGCAAAGGACATGATTTCATTCTTTTTTATGGCTGTGTAGTGTTCGTGGTATATATGTACCACATTTTCTTTATCCAGTCCACTGTTGATGGGCACCTAGGTTGATTCCATTTCTTTGTTATTGTGAATAGTGCTACAATAAACATATGCATGCGTGTGTGTGTGTTGTTTTTTTTTTGGTAGAATGATTTATTTTCCTTTGGTTATATGCCCAGTCATGGGATTGCTGGGTAGAATGGAAGGTCTATTTTTAATTCTTTGAGAAATCTCCAAACTGATTTCTATAGTGAAGTAATTTACATTTCCTCCAACAGAGTATAAGCATTCCCTTTTCTCTGCAGCCTCACCAGTATCTGTTGTTTTTTGACTTTTTAATAATGGTCATTCTGACTGGTGTGAGATGGTATCTCATTGTAGTTTTGATTGGCATTTCTCTGATGATTAGTGTTGTTGAGCCTATTTTTCATATGTTTGTTGGCCTTTTTATGTCTTCTTTTGAGAAGTATCTGTTCATGTACTTGGTCTACTTTTTAATGGGGTTACTTTTTTTCTTGTTGATTTAAGTTCCTTGTAGATTCTGGATATTAGTTCTTTGTTGGATGCATAGCTTGTGAATATTTTCTTCTATTCCTTAGGCTGTCTGTTTACTCTGTTGGTAGTTTCCTTTGCTGTGCAGAAGCTCTTTAGTTTAATTAGGTCCCAATTTTCAATTTTTATTTTCATTGCAATTGGCTTTTGAGGACTTAGTCATACATTCTTTCCCTAGGCCAGTGTCTAGAGGGGTATTTCCTGGGTTTTGTTTTAGGATTTTTATGGTTTGCGGTCTTACATTTAAGTCTTTAATCCACCTTTAGTCATTTTGTATATGGTGATAGGTAGGGGTTCAGTTTCCTTCTTCTACAAACAGCCAGTTTTCACAGCACTGTTTATTGAATAGAAAGTCCTTTCCTAATTACTTATTTTTGTTGAGTTTGTTGAAGATCAGTTGGTTGTAGGTGTGTGGCTTTACTCCTGTGTTCTCTATTTTATTCCATTGGTCTGTGTCTATTTTTGTACCAGTATCATGCTGTTTCAGTCACTGTAGCCTTGTAGTATAGTTCGACATCAGGTATTATGCCTCTAGCTTTATTCTTTTTGCATAGAATTACTTTGGCTATTTGAGCTCTTTTTTGGTTCCATATGAATTTTAGAATAGTTTTTTCTGTGAAAAATGATGATGATTTGATACAAATGGCATTGAATATGTAGATTGTTTTGGGTAATATGGACAATTTGGACAATGTTGATTCTTCCAATCCATAAGCATGAGTGTTTTTTCTATTTGTGTCATCTATGATTTCTTTCAGCAGTGTTTTGTAGTTCTCCTTGTAGAGCTCTCCTACCACCCTGGTTACATGTATTTTATTTTTTTGTGTATGGCTATTGTAAAAATTGTGTTCTTGATTTGGCTCTTAGCTTGAAAATCACTGGTGTATAGAAATGCTACCAACTTTTGTATGTTGATTTTGTATGCTAACACTTTACTGAAGTTATTTATCAGATCCAGGGGCTTTTTGGTGGAGTCTTTAGAGTTTTCTAGATATAGAGTGGTATTGTCAGCAAAGAGAGAAAATTTGACCTCCTCTTTTAACTATTTGGATGCCTTTTATTTCTTTCCCTTACCTGATTGCTCTGGCTAGGGCTTCTAGTACTAGGTTGAATAGCAGTAGTCACAGTACACATCTATGAAAGCTAACATTTCTTAAATGATGTACATGAGACAACTTTTTAAAATGTGGAAATTATTTTCATCTAAGCCAAAACAAAAAGTTTTTGTAATTTTTTTCCTTGAAAACTAATTGATGTTAATTTAAGAAAATCATTTTCTGCATCTTTTCAAAACATTTGTTAATTTGCTAATGTACATTAGGAAGCAGTTCAATAATTATTACCAGGAAACTATGGGTATATTCCAATTTTCCCAATAATAAATTTAAAGATAATAGATAAATTAATAGTACAGTATTTTGCCCCTAATATTTTTCCTAAAAGTTGTAGACTCTGAGGAAATCACATCTCTGTTCACTAAGGTTCTATATGCATTTTCTATTGCTGCCCTTATCAATTACAACAAACTTAGTGGTTTAAACAACACACATATATTATTTTATATCTCGATAGGGAGTAAATTGGACCTGATATGGTTTGGCTCTGTGTCCCCAACCAAAATCTCATCTTGAATTGTAATAATTCTCATGTGCCAAGGGCGGGACCAGGTGGAGATAACCGAATCATTGGTGGAGGTTCCCACATCCTGGTTTCAATATAGTAAGTTCTCATGAGATCTGATGGTTTTATTAAGGGGCTTCCCCCTTCGTTTGGCTCTCATTCTTTCTCCTGCCACCATGTGAAGAAGGACATGTTTGCTTCCCATGCCACCATGATTGTAAGCTTCCTGAGGTCTCCCCAGCTATGTGAAACTGTGAATCAATTAAACCTCTTTTCTTTATAAATTACCCAGCCTTGGGTATGTCTTTATTAGCAGCATGAGAACCGACAAATACAAATTCATTCCCTTGAAGTTGTTAGACTGAGGCACCATTCTTTGCTGGCTCTCAGCTGGTGGTCATTCTCAGCTTCTAGAGGTGGCCTGTATTTCTTAACTTGTGGGCCCTTTTGTCTTCAAATCCAACAATGTAAGTTGTCATCCTTCTCCTGCCTTCTCTCTCCTGCTTTTTTATGTGTCATCACATCTCTCTGACCATTGCTGGGAGAGGTTTTCTATGTTTAAGAGCTGATGTGATTAGATTAGGCCTATTATGATAATCCAGCATAATCTCCCCATCTCAAAATTCATAACCTTGATCACATCTGCAGAGCCTCTTTTGCCACAAAAAGGAACATTCATATATTCTGGGAATTAGGATATAAACATTTTGGGGTCCATTAGTCTACCATAGGTCCTTTGTAAGATTCTGTGACTCTTCAATTCAAGTTTGTGTCTGCAGAATAACTCCTTTTGATTTCAGAGAAATAAAAAATATTGGGAATATTGTGGCTTCTGTGATGAAAAGTCTTTTAATTTTATTACAATTTTAAAAACTTTATGGAAAAATGAAATCTGCCTCAATTTATGCTAAGTATATATCAAACACAAGCCTGATTTTTTGTTAATTCAATCAGTTATTCAATGCAATTAAAACAATTATACTCTTGGTTGTTTAGTGTCAAAGTGACTGAAGGTCCATTTTCAAGGCGTGAAGCAATGCCATGCAAACATAGCGTTGAGGCAAAAAAAAAAAAAAATTAAATTCCAGATTGTCCCCCTTCTTCCTTCTTCTTTTCGTCCTAAGGAAGAGAGGATGGTATTATGGGATAAAATGGTGGGATTTCAAATAAGATACAGATTATTTAATTTGGATATGTTTCAAAGTCTCATATAAGGAACCAATTGCTCTTGAAATAGGAAGGAGACTTTCCTTCTGGTAGCTCGTAAGAAAGGTGAGCTGTTGCAGAGGAATGAGAGCAATGGTACTGTAATTATTGCTCCACACAGGACCCTCCCGTTCTTTTTATTCATTTGTTTATTTACTCAACCATATTCATTCTGAGTTTATCTAAACCAGGAATTATAACAAAGCCAGTCATTCTACCTATAGCCTTCTTTCCAGCTTGTCTTTGGCCACTCTCTCAGAGGAAAACATTATGCTGAATTTTTTGTTTATCTTTTCTTTGACAAAAAAATATTTATAGGCCAGGTGCAGTGGCTCACGCCTGTAATCTCAGCATTTTGGGAGGCTGAAGCGGGCAGATCACTTGAGCCCAGGAATAGAAGTTTACAGTGAGCTGTGATTGCATCACTGCTCTCCAGCCTGGGCAACAGAGCAAGCAAGACCCTGCCTCTAAAATGTTTTTTTTAAATATAAATTCTAGAACTGAAAAATTCAATAATTGAAATTAATTAGTCAACAGATGCATTTATTAGCCAATTGGAAAAACAAAAGATAGGATTAGTGAACCGGAATATAGGCCCACAGAAAATATGCAGACTAAAGCATGGGCCATTAACTGCCAGGCATTTTCAACTTGTCTTACGTGGTACCTGACCAATAACCCTGAGGCAAAGACCAGAATGGGGAGTGCCAGGGTTGTAGACTGGGCTCCAAGTCTGCTAAATGAATTTTTCTTTATGTATGTCTAATTTTAAAAAGCAAGATACAACTTTTTTCCTGACCTATATTTATTATCAACACTTTTGACATCAAATTTGTGGGGGTTTTCTCTATACCAATATATTCTCCAACTCTATGGACACCAACTTTGTGTCCTATGATTGAATTCAATTCTGACGCTAACTCTCCTATGTTAGCACTGAGCCCACAGATTAAAGGGCTCAATCCTACCAAGCTTCACCTACTTCAGATGGCAAATGCCAGTCCCAGGTTGCCATCTTTGCTTTTGGCCAACCAGTTATAAATTGGAGTTTTCTATGTCCCCCTTCTCAAGTTCCATAATTTGCTAGCATGGCTTTTAGAACTCAGGAAAGCACTTTACTATTACTAGTTTATTATGAAGGATGTCATACAGGATACCAATGAATAGCCAGATTAAAAGATACATAGAGTCAGGTATGGACGAGGTGTGTGGAACTTCTGTGCCCTCTCAGGGTGTTCCCAGGACCTCAATGTGTTCATTAACCTGGAAGCTCTCTGAACCCCATTGTTTAGGGAGGTTTCATTACATAGGCATGATTAATTAAATCATTGCCCTTTGGTGATTAACTCAATCTCTGGCCCCACTCTCTTCCCTGCAGGCCAGGAGTTGAAAGCTCTAATACTTCAATCATGCCTTAGTCTTCCTGTTGCCTAGTTCCAATCCCAAAGCTAACTAGGGACCCTCAGTCACCAGTCATCTAATTAGCATACAAGAGACACTCATTTCTTTATGCAGATTCCATGTGTTTTAGGAGCTGTGTGCCAGGGACTGGAAACAAAGACCAGATACTTTTTATAAATGTAATATGTTACATTTCCTTTTAATTTGATGTTGTCCTTTAATTTATGATTCTAGTACATTTATATTTATTGTGATTATTTGTATATTTGGAGCTATTTCTACCATTTAAAACTTATGTTTTCTCCTCTTCCTTTTCTGTGATTGAGTTTTCATTTGTTTTTATCCTCCTTTTCTCACATCTTATTTGCTTAGAATTTATACATGTAACTTCTCTTCTTTAGTCCTTAGCTTTATAATTGTATTGTAAACATTTACTCCAATAGAGCCTTAAAGCTAAACACCATCTTGATCCCTCTCCTATATGATAAATGTATATTAAAACATTTTAGGTTTTATCTTTCCTTCCCTACCAATGTAGTGGCAAGTATTTTGGATGGGATCTTGTGATTAAACCCTGTCAGTTTTTATCTGAAAATATTTTTATTTTGTCCTTATTCTGCTGCAATAATTAATCCAAGTTGACAGTTATTTTCTCTCATCATTTGGAAGTTCTTATTCCATAATCTTCAGGCTGTAATTTTAGTTAAGAATTCTGCTGGCTGGGCTCACACCTGTATACCAGCATTTTGGGAGGCTGAGGCGGGCAGATCACTTGAGGTTAGGAGTTCGAGACCAGCCTGGCCCACATGGCAAAAACCTGTCTCTACTAAAAATACAAAATTAGCCAGGTGTGGTGGCATGTGCCTGTAGTCCCTGCTACTTGGGAGGCTGAGGCAAGAGGATCACTTGAACCCAGGAGGTGGTGGTTGCACTGAGCCAAGATCACGCCACTGCACTGCAGCCTGGGCAACAGAGTGAGACTCCATCTCAATTGAAACAAAAATAATTCTGCTGTCATTTTAATTGATCTTCTTCTTTTAAAAATATGAGCTGTGCTTTTTCTCTAGTTGCTTTTATGAACAAGAGTTCTTTGGAAAGGATTTTGGAGGAAAGAGGCTTTATTCCAGTGAATAGTTTGCAAACTGGAGAAACATAGCAGTGTAAGACAAAGATACATTCCAAAAACAAAGAGAGGGTTTGGGTTTTATAGCAAATGTTCCTGTCTAGTTTCTCAACCAGGTTCACTTATGCAAAAGAAGAATTGAACTTTGCTTAGTTATGATTGGTCAATACAGTTAAGCCCTAATTGGTTGATATAGCTCAGCCCTTGGACTAGGACAAATGAGCTCTGATTGGTTGGTTTCCAACCCTCAAACCAGAAATCTGTCAGATGCTTCTTTCAAATGCCAGGTGTTGGAGGATTTCTGGAAGCAGTTTATCCTGACACTAACAACAATAACTGGTCTGCCTTGATTCTAGAAAGGGAGGTCCTATGATAACTTTTACAACAACTTTCTGAGAACGCAAACTGTGTGATTGCTCCCTCACCCAGCCATGGCCACCTGTTTTAACTTTGAGCACCTCAGCCACAAGGAATGTATTTTGTCTGTAAGTAGGGGCTCACTTTAACACGTTTAAGATTTTTTTTGTATAATTTTATTATGATCTGTCAAATATGGATGTATTTTTGGATCTGTGGTTTCTTATTTTGCATCTCTACTGGGAATTTTACAGCTATTATTGCCTTTCTTTTGTTCTCTTCATTTTCTTTCTTTTTATATATTTTTTTGATCTTCAACAAAATCCAAAGCCTTCTCATTTTGTCCTCTATATCCTCTATATCTTTTATTTTCTTTTATTTATTTTTTTGAGACCAAGTCCTGCTCTGTCACCCAGGCTGGAGTGCAGTGGTGCAATCTCGGCTCATTGCAACCTCTGCCTCCTGGCTCAAGAGATTCTTGTGCCTCAGCCTCCCAGGTAGCTGGGATTATAGGCATGTACCACCAGGCCTGGCTAATTTTTATGTTTTTAGTAGAGATGGGGTTTCACCATGTTGGCCAGGCTGGTCTCGAACTCCTAGCCTCAAGTGATCCATCTGTCTTGGTCTCCCAAAGTGCTGGGATTATAGGCGTGAGCCACTGCACTTGGCCTCTATATCTTTTAATGTTTACTTGTTTTGTCTCATTATGCTACATTGGGGATAAATTATTTTGCTATGTCTTCCTCTAATCTATTATTCTTTTTTTTTTTTGAGACAGAGTTTCGCTCTTATTACCTAGGTTGGAGTGCAATGGTGCCGTCTTGGCCCACTGCAACCTCCACTTCCCAGGTTCCTGCCTCAGCCTCCAGCAGCTGGGATTACAGGTGCCTGCCACCACACCTGGCTAATTTTTGTATTTTTAGTAGAGATGGGGTTTCACCATATTGGCCAGGCTAGTCTCGAACTCCTGACCTCAGGTGGTCTGCCTGCTTTGGCTTCCCAAAGTGCTGGGGTTAAAGCCATGGGCCACCACGCCCAGCCTATTCTATTATTATTACTATTTGTTTGAGTCGGAGTCTGCTTTGTCACCTCACTAGAGTGCAGTGGCTCAATCTCGGCTAACTGCAATATCTACCTCATAGGTTCAAGCGATTCTCCTGCCTCAGCTTCCTGAGTAGCTGGAATTACAGGCATTTGCCACCATGCCTGGCTAATTTTTGTATTTTTAGTAGAGACAGGGTTTCACCACGTTGGCCAGGTTGGTCTGGAACTTCTGACCTCAGGGATCCTCCTGCCTTGGTCTCCCAAAGTCAAAGTGCTGGGATTACATAATCTATTATTCTTTTTTTTGGCAGGGGGAGACGGAGTCTCACTCTGTCGCCCAGGCTGGAGTGCAGGCACGATCTTGGCTTCACTGCAAGCTCCGCCTCCTGGGTTCATGCCATTCTACTGCCTCAGCCTCCCCAGTAGCTGGGACTACACGGGCCTGCTACCACGCCTAGCTAATTTTTTTTTTTTTTTTTTTGTATTTTTAGTAGAGATGGAGTTTCACTGTGTTAGCCAGGATGGTCTTGATCTCCTGACCTCGTGATCTGCCCACCTCAGCCTCCCAAAGTGCTGGGATTATAGGCGTATGATCTATTATTCTTTAAAAAAATTCTTGCTATTTACCTAATATACTTATTGGCCTTTATTGAGCCTTTAATTTCAACAGTTATAATATTTTATTTCTGTAATTACTATCTTTTCAGCTCAATGTGCTTATTTCTCATGTTTTTTACTCTATGCTTCTCTTTGTAACTTCACTTTTCTTTTACAAATTTCATGCATAGCTATTTTCTTTTTTTTTTCTTTTTTTTTTTTTTTTTTTGAGACGGAGTCTTGCTCTGTTGCCCAGGCTGGAGCACAGCAGGGCGATCTGGGCTCACTGCAAGCTCCGCCTCCCAGGTTTATGCCATTCTCCTGCCTCAGCCTCCGGAGTAGCTGGGACTACAGGTGCCTGCCACCCACACCCGGCGAAGTTTTTTGTATTTTTAGTAGAGACGGGGTTTCACCTTGTTAGCCAGGATGGTCTCGATTTCCTGACCTTGTGATCCACCTGCCTCAGCCTCCCGGAGTTCTGGGATTACAGGCGTGAGCCACCGCACCAGGCCCTTATAGCTATTTTCTATTATGTCAGTTTCAAGGTCTGCAATTCCTTCACTTTAAATCTTTGTTTTTTTTTTTTTGTCTGATGATTCTCATACATAGCAGCTTGATTTTCTGTGTATTTGAGAATCCTTGTTTTTAAGGTCATGCTTGCTTTTAATCTGTAGGAGACTTAGCCTACCTGAGGAAAGTTTCCTTCAAGGAGGGCTTGCTTCTGCCTTTGCCTGTGGGTGATTTATCCCAGGCACTTCAGTTGCTATTCTTTCAGTTATGGCTCAGGAGAGGGCTCTGAGACTTCAATTTCCGTCCTGGTGCTATCTCTACAGCATTGTTCCCTGGGGGCACCGCTTTCCAGGGGCACCTGTTGATTTAGTCCAGCTCGATGCCCTCTGGCTGCCCACTGCTCTGACTAACTGCTGCTTTAGCTCAGACTTCCCTTCTCTATGGGCTGGGTCCCGGGATGTTTTTCCTGAAGCCTTCAGGGTTTCCTGCTTTGTATCCAGTCTGACCCAGACTCCCTGTCCTGGAAGTCCTGGAATTAGCAATATTTTGTTGGCTTGTCTGTTTTCTTTTTGGTGGTGGTGGTGTTGACTCCAGGAAATGTTTCCTACCTTTTGTGACACCAGTGGTTGTCTCCAAGGAGGTGCAGTATTTTGTCTGGTTATGAATAAAATGATTGCTCATACCTTTTAAATACTAGTGACCCTGGAAGTAAAAACAAGGTGATGACGTCTTGGCACTGTGATATACAAGTGGCAGTCCCAGAAAGTAGCTATGTTTGTATATGGAGAGTAAAAGAACCATATTTAAGATGTTATATTTTGAGAGGCAAATGTTGGCATTAGTATCTTTCTTGTATTTGTGACCGTCTAACAAGAAGCAGCAGCCAGAGATTTGTCAACATTGGAAAGGTAAAAAGTATTGGTAGGGCACAGTGGCTCATGACTGTAATACCAGCACTTTGAGAGACTGAGTTGGGAGGATCCCTCAAGCCCAGGAGTTTGAGACCAGCCTGGGCAACTTAAGGAGATATCATCTCTATAAAAAAAATTAAAAATTAGCAGGGCATGGTGGTGTGCACCTGTAGTCCCATCTACCAGGGAGGCTGAGGCAGGAGGATCACTTCAGCCCAGGAGTTCAAGGCTGCAGTGAGCTATGATCATGCCGCTACATTCCAGCTTAGCTGACAGAGCTAGACCCTCTGTCTTAAAAAAAAAAATACAGTCAAATTTGTGTTTGCTTTATGGAAAGAAAGAAAAGATAATTCCAATGCTGTTAAGAATATTCTAATTATTAAAGTATTAATTAGCTTTAAATATAAACTATTTTCCCTTCCTACTAGAAAGCAAAAAAACTGGGTAATATATTGGCCGGGCGTGGTGGCTCATGCCTGTAATCCCAGCACTTTGGAAGGCCGAGACGGGTGAATCACTTGATGTCAGGAGTTCGAGAGCAGTCTAGCCAATGTGGTGAAACCCTGCCTCTACTAAAAATACAAAAATTAGCCAGGCATGGTGGCGCACACCTGTAGTCCCAGCTACTCTGGAGGCTGAGGTGGGAGAATTGCTTCAACCCGGGAGCCGAGATCGCGCCATTGCACTCCAGCCTGGGTGACAGAGCGAGACTCTGTCTCAAAAAACAAAACAAAGCAAAAAACTGGGTAATATATGAATGATATAAATGATAATCTGAATATATTTAGATGTATAATTTTAGAGGAGTTGATGTTACATTGTCCAACATATGTAGATAATGTGTGAAAGGCTTCTGAGAATTATATAATTTTCATAATTCAAAATGATCATCTTCATTTAGCCCCTGCAGGAAACTCAATTAAATAAGGGAAAATGTCTTGTTTAAATATGGAGAATTTATGAGTCACACAGCCAATTCAGCACAAGGTTTTTATTTCCAGACTGGTGCTCTTTTTTATTGTAACCTGCTGCCCACAGGGATGGGTGAAGAGGACCTTTAGGGACAAGCTAAATGGAAGAGCATAAGTCTTTTTTTTTTTTTTTTTAATCTAAAACTGTAGTTCACTTCATTTAGGCCTCTAACAAAAAGTACTAATTAGTGAAGAAATGTTAGCAATAACAAATCTTTCTTGAATTATCACTGATTGAAATGTCATGATGTCTGTTGATTAAAACAGTGTGTGCAAAAAAAGGAAAACTTACAGCTTCATTTCTTCCTAATGAAGTAGAAATTGGAATTCATCTACAAATACGTTTAATTTTCATGGCCCTTGTTTCCATCATATGCTATTGAATAGTCGAAGAAAAAATATAGGGAATTAGATTTTTGTCAGGAACAATAATTATAACAGGCACTTTATAGTATTCACACTGTGCCCAGCAGGGCTCTAAGTGATTTATGAATTTAATCCATGTAATCCTTATAACAAGTCCACGAGTTGCGATTATAATCTCTATTTTAAAGAAGAAGAAACAGAAGCAAGAGATAGATCTACTTGCTCTGGGTCAAACAAACAATTAAAATATGAACAGTATGTCCCAATATTAGTTTCCAAAATGAAGTGTTTTAGTAATCCTTATATATTTAGGAATGAATGGCAGAGCAAAAATGACTTTAGAAATCTAAATGGACTGTTTTTTTTTCCTATCAGTGCATTATATGGCTTCTGAAACCATTTTTCTCATTTTAAATATGAAATCTCAAAGAGCTACTCAAGTCAATTCATTATTTTGCTGATTTTTTCATTTTTCTAGACTGCACTTGTTAATACTCTTCAATGAGGCCCAGTTTTACTACAACAAACATTGACATATATATTAGGTTGGTGCAAAAGTAATTGCAGTTTTTGCCATAAAAGAAATGACAAGAACCGTAATTACTTTTGTACCAACCTAATAGAAAGATAAGCAAAGTCAAGGAAACTTTATAGAAAGCAAGGGACTCTGTAGAGAAGTGCCAATGGTGAGATCATTGTGAAATCTCTATATTAATACAAGTGGGGTGTTTCCCTAAGGAGTTATACTCTTATTTAGGAACACAGTATCCTGTACTAGTTTCACATGATTGTCACCTTAAGTGAAGTGACAGATGAGTGATGGCAGTTATAAAACGAAGACTGGTTTCAGAAAATCTAAATAAAAACTAAACAATTGTATACGACAATAGAAAATGATGTTGATGGCAAGAAATGTAGAGACTGTTGGACTGAATAAAAATATGGTCTTGCTTATTCAAAGCTCTTATGGAGATAAATCAGAATGTTTTTCTAACATTTGGCCTGAATAAATTGTAGTACACAAACCACAGAGTATCTAAAACAACAACTAATGTTTCAATCTTAATTTTTGTATTTGGTTCAGAAATGCCACTTGGAATGTTATACATAAAGAATCTGACATTGTGTAAATGGCTGCATAAGCTTAATGTAAAGGAAAATTGTGGAAGAATTTATCAGCTTGGACTGAATATTTCCTCAATTCACAAAATGAACTGCAACTCCAATAGAATGCAGAGTGAAAAATTTCCTGTCTTTTTCCTATTGGGTTTGTAGGACGATTGATAAACACATTGCTGTTGTGTTTGTAGGGATATTGATAAAGACATTGCTAAGGATGGTATGTCACATTTTTTCTTTTATGTTGACCCACAGAAGAAATGTCTGACATATTTCCATGACATGAAAAGTTATGCTTCTTTTGAATGATTGCCTTTTAAAATTATTTGGACATTATATGTCTGATGAGCAATTTTGTTTCTCTTTTTGCTTTGGACACTAGGAATCTCAAAGCTGAATTTGAAAAGCATTTTATTTAACCGTGTAATATCCTGTGGAATTCAATTTTGTGTACTAAATTTATCTAATAGGCCAGCCTTTATTATCCTTTGTATTCATTCTTGGATTTGTTTTTGAGCCTGTTGCATTATCTATATTTCTGTAAGAAAATTCAAATCATTTTGAAAGGACATAGGGTATAATTACCTGAACAAATGTTGTATTTTTCCTTATCAAAATTTATAAGTGCAATAAACAGTAACAAGGAATGAATTATCAACTATGCCAAAGTGACAGATAAAAAATCACATACCATTATTTTCTGAATACGGACTCCAAAGTATGAAGATCAGAAATGAAAAAATCTTAGTGTTGTTATTCCAGTAATGGAAAGGGAGAAAAAAACTGATAATTCATGTTATCATGAATTGTGAATTCATGATAAAATAACACATGCTATTATGCATGTGTTATTAGAAGGAATTAGGTCATCAGAGTCAGAATTTAAAATTTTTAAATGGTTACATATATTTAGGAAAAACTTTGACAGTTACCTTTGAGATGTATGAGCTTTGTAATCTACCTTGCTTAATGTAAACCCTACATTAAATTGCCCTACTTGTTTTTCCATGTTAGCCAATGAGAATATTTAAGGAATCAAATCAAATTTGTTGTACATTCACTTTGGCTAATTCAATGGTCAGATTTTTGGAACCAAATCACAATAGCATAAATAACGGTGGTAGAATTTTGATTAAAGACCAGGCAGTTTGCTTATCCCATTCTTTTAAGACCTGTCCTATATTGTTTATATTTGATGGGGTGTAGGAAGTTAATATGTAATAACAAATGACCCCCAAACTTAGAGGCTTTAAACCATAAAAGCTTATTTCTCATTTACATCTACATGTTCACCATGGGCTGGTTGAGGCTTTGCCATCTGTTGACTTCGTAACTGGACCCGGGCTGATGGAGATTCTGTCAGGGATATTGCAAGGCTCATAACAGAGGGGACATAGAATCATGGTGACTCATGAGCTGAATTGTAAACTTCTGCTGAGAAGTATATCTCACTTTTTGTTCACTTTTCATTGTCCGAAGCAAGTCACATGGCTAAACCTGTTATCAGCAGAGTGGGGATGTATAATCCTCCCACTGAGAGCAATGAATATTTTGAATAAATAATATATTACGTTGCTGCAAGCAAAGGGTTTTACCTCTTGTGTTTTTGGTTTTGCCTGATTGGGCCTGGTACAATGTTTAATACCTAGACTGTTTGACTCTCTAGCATATACAATTACAGATTGTCTAGTTTTGACTCTGGTACAAATAGATGGCATTTCTCTCCCCCCATATCTTCTAGGATGCCTATTTTTTGAGAGGATAAAATTAAAAATAAAAACCTCTCAGGGTAGCCTGTTTTTTTGCACTCTTTTCTAAACTGCTTTATAAAGGACAGACATATTTATCCTTTATAAAGACATATGTGTATATACACACACATATACACATACATACACATGTGTGTATATATATGTGTGTGTATGTATACATATACACACACATACATATACACACACAAAATATACATGTATATATACACATTTATTAGGTTGGTGCGAAAGTAATTGTCACTTTTGCCATTGAAAGTAATGGCAAAAACCGCAATTACTTTTGCACCAATCTAACAAGCATGTGTGTGTGTGTGTATGTGTATGTACATATATATATATGTACATATATGACCTTGGAAGAGATCTGAGGTATGGTAGAGGTTTACCTCTTAGAATTGTTTCGAGGATTAAATGAGATGATTTTTAAGCAGCCTTTAGCAGTGTTTGTGTGGCACATGGTAAGTGCTCAATAAATATTATCTTATTAGTATTATTTCAAGCGTAATATATTTTGATATCTTTAGAGCTCAATTGATACTTGAACAGTCATGAAAAGAAATGATTTACTTTAAAAAACACTTGAAAAACTATCCTATTAGATGAATTTATATTTTATTATAACAATGCATGTAGACACACGTACATACACACAACTAGAAAGGATATATGTGAGAGACATATGTATTTATTTAGTCACAAAAAGAGCAAAATAAATGTGCCAAATCATTTGAAGATCATTTGCAAGAAATCTGCACCCTCTAATCCACCATTATCTTTCAAAATTTCATGGTTACTTTCTTGGCGTACATGGACAAATGTTTCCACTCCTTCCATAGGACACTAATTCTAACTTTGGCCTCCCATTAACTGCAAAACATCTCATGCAACATTATTCTGCAGGTTTAGCTGACTTTATTGGTTAACATCAAGAAAATCACTTAAATGTTAATAATTTGAAATGGAATTGAACTCTCTTGAACTAAATTTTTTATTAAAGCACACATGGTTTTCACATTGAAGGAACAAAATATTCCATAAAATATGTTTTAAATTTAATGAACTCAAGACTGTTAGCAATCATTTGAATCACAATGAAATCAACATGTGTGGCAAAGATTTGTCTACTCTGGTAAGCAGCAATGCATTTGTGCACCAATTTTTACTTTAAATTTTATAGAACTATAACAAAAGAGAATTTCAGCTCAGTTCTTGAAATCATGGACAAAACTTTGCAGAAAAATAAATGAGTCATATCATTCAATACCATACATACAGCTGAGTTGACTTTTATCCAAACTCATTATATATTATCATTTTAGTATTGTCCCCTGCATTTTCTTTGCCTTCTCCTCTAAGAAATATTTTCCTTATGGTAGAAATCCAATTATTTTTTCCCCTGTAATTGAAATTTTCTGTTTTCATGAGGCCAAAGCCGAGCAAATAAGATAGAAATGGAGAGTAGTGAGCAAGAAATATTTGCAGAACAGAATTATATGGGAGCTCCTTCCTTGTATGTAGGGGGCACAGGTATGAATGCATGTGCTAGAACAGGTTTTCCTCACTGAAACAAGTCTTATCACAGAATCACTATGTGAATTAATATTTTGGAAAATGAAATAATTCCTTCCCACTGATTTATAACTATAGAGATATTTAATTCTTTTCTGATCAACCTTTAACATTGTGACCACATTTTCCAACTTTGAAATTATCAATCTTGAATGTGTCCATAAGAATTGGGAAGTACAGTATAGAACCTTAAGATCCATCAGTGCTTTTGTAAAGTGAAATAAACTAATTTAATGGTAGTGATAACTCTCAGTTGCTCTCTTTTTTAAGTTGATCTTTTAATGTTTTGTCATATGCTATTTTTCTTGGCAGTGAATGTATAATGAAAAACCTGTCCATAATATGAATGATTACCCTATAATTTATCTCCTTTGGGGGTGTAGACGAATTGCAAGTTAAATATCAGGAAATGCAGGATGGATGAACACTTCTCTGGGATTGAGAATCAGCTGAGTCTAAGGAATTTTGCCAGAATAGTATAGCTCATGATGTTGGTGGGACACATGGCTCCATAAAAGTCCCACCCATCTTGTGTAAAGGAGGACTTTCACCTTTTCATGCCCTGGTTCCCATGGTGACTGGTATATTATTAGTTTTTGGCATAATAGTGGCATTGTGGCATATCATGTTAAATTATAGCTAGGGACTCAGCTGCAAATGTTTTTGCTTCCTGATTTATGGGAGATAGCATGATTGAGAGAAAAGAATTTGTAAGCAGTAATTAGAGGAGCAGAGGTAAAGAAGTGCACTGAGATATATATTTTTTTTCAGAGAAATGCAGTTAATGGAGCATGTCAATGAAAAGGATTTTCCATTTTTAGGCTGGCTGGTACGTCCCCTGTTTAATAAAATAAGACTGAAGTGTGCCTTTTACTTTCTATACAGTCTGACAAAGGTAATTTAGAATGGAGCTTTTCGATGTCTGTAGGCTGCTGCTGCCAGGATTTATATCTTCATGAACGAAACACAATTGCAGATGCCTTCTCAAGCTGATTGATAGGCAATAAAAAACTGAAACAAGAGCTCAATCTCCAAGAAACAAGAAAAAGTTGTGTGTGTTAAATGGGGCAGAGAGATATCTGCTATCCTCTTGTGATATTTGTGTCTATTTTAATGCCTATGTAGATTTGTGCTGTGGCACATGAAACCAGGTATATATTACCAATGTAACATGCTTCATTTGATTTGCAACATTTTCAGTGAACTGCATATCTCATAGTGCTCAGAGCCAACCTAAAATTTCTGACTGATTAGAATTGTCTGCATTTGTAAATCACTGAGGCTGGACCTGGAAAGAAAAGGGATTTGGCTCCTCTGGGGCCCCTGGTATACATTGTGCTTAATAGAAGAATTTTGATTCAGATCCTTGTTTGATGCTGAAATTATTCTTTTTTCTCCCCATATAAAATCTCCTGAAAATTGAAGGCAAATTCTATAAGGGGCACAATATAGATCATTGTTTATTATGCAACACATTCCTTCTTCCCTCCCTTCTTCCATTCTTAAAAATAGTTTTTGCATCTTTGCTTATCTTTACTTACCCTACAAGGATATTGCTATCTGCTGTGAAGATAGACAAAACTGAATAATTTTGATGCAATGCATCTGGACAATAATAGATAATGTTTGTTATAGAGGATTAGGTCTGTGTAAGACATCTGGAGAGATAGAGTCAGTAACTCTGTTAGGACTGGGGATGAGTCAAGGAAGACTTCACCTAAGAGCACAAGCAGAAAGAAAATTTCAGGCATGGAGAATAGATGGTAACTCAAATACATGAAAGAGTAATGTATTTCCAGCTGATTAGCTCTGGTCAAGGCTCCAAGGAAGGCTGAATAACAAAGGGTAATGACATCAACCTTCCCATACTACTAAGCTGGTTTACCAAGTTGCCTTGATATTGTGAACATTGATGGACCTTTAGGACAAAAGATACGGTCAGGAGCAAAGACTCAACATTAAATGTCCTCTTGATGAAAGTCTCAGGTGCTGGAATGACTGTAATATGAGGATAGGCAAGATGCACATTGATAAAGAAGTTCCAAATATTTGGTGCAGAGAGTAAGAAGCTCCCCAGTTTTGGAGAAAGCATTACCAACGAAAGGATGGTTATTAGTAAAAGGTTATTCTGAGACTTCTGTCTTGGATTACTGATGATGTTGATGCAGGTATAGAACAAGTTAAGTCTGAAGTACTGATGAGCCAAGATAACTGTCTTATAGCTAGAAATATGTATTTCATTCTAGGGCAGAAGCTGAAATTGCAGATATAGATTTGAGAATGTCCATCACAGAGCTGGTAGTTAAAGCCATGGAGTAGTGGATGAGAATACCCAAAATTGCTGTACATGAAACTCTACAAAGCCACAAAATTTACTTCGCGGTCAAGAAGGAAGCTGAGAGAGAGTTATAATGATTGGCATTTGTCTGTGGTCAGCTGAGCAATAATTTCCCCCTTTCCCCTTCCTAACTGTGCCCAGGTTTTTGTTTGGGTATCCATACATCTTCCCATTATGTTGCCGAGATTCCTTAGGAATCTGTCTCAAACACAGCTCTAGGGATGAGCCATGGTTTATACAGCCATTCAGACTAACCTTATATCACTGCCATAATGATTAATTCAAATAACCCAAGCCTAAGTAACATGGCATTTTCAGGATGGGAGGGGCAAAAGATCTAATTAAATTTAATTGGACATGATGGGAAATTTGCTGGATGGAGGTTTCTGGGGAAAGTATATCTTCTGAAAGACAGTCTGTTCATTCTGAAAGGTGTGACATGTTAATATGAAGCTTGGAACTGTTACAACATAGGATAAAACTGACACCAGAGATGCAGAATAGAAGGAAAGAAACCAGGTCCTTGGACAAGCTGCCTAATCCAATCAGCTCTGACCTCTGCCTTATCTGGAAATTTCATTTACATTAACTTATATGTTGTTATTATTTAGACCAATTTTATTTGAGTTTTCCTTTGTTTGAAATGGAAAGCACCCTGATAGCTGCAAATGAACAACATGAGGAATGTAGTTAATAATATTGTATTGCATATTGAAAATTTGCTACAACAGTAAATTTTAGGTGCTCTTACGACATACACTCACACACCCAAAGTGACAATGGAAGTTTCTGCTGTGTATGTATATAAAACACCATGCTGTATACCTTAAATATATACAATTAAAAAGGGACATGTTGAAATAAGACATTAAGAAAAGTGTCAAATGCCACAGAAACCTTAGGCATGAGTTTGGCAATTGCAGTTCTTTCTCTGTCTTTGCTAGATTAGCCCTGTTTGGGGAGAGGGATGGAAGCAGATTTCAGTAGGTAGAAGAGTGAACGGGGGAAAATAAAATGAAGACAGCAAGTTTCAGTAGGGCAAGCATTTTTGTCTTTTTAAAATGTATGACTGACCCCCCAGCCCCTGGAAGAGTACATGAGAAGCAGTAAGCACTTACCATGTACTGGACAGTGGATAAATGTGCAGACATTAATTGCACATTTCCCATTTAAGAAGTGTCAGAAGAGAATAGAAATAGTGTGTCAACATACTGAAAGAAGAGGATAAGTAAAAAATAATTTAAAATTAGAAAAAATTTTAGTTTGGGATGGTCCTTACTATGTAATTAGAAGACATTCAGGAAAACGTAAAAGATAATAGAAAAAGTTAAGAAATGTGAAGAATAGGCCTATAAAATTTTTGAGAAGGTAAAAGATGCAAAGAGAAAATCTGGAAAGTTTCTAAAGAGGCAAAAAAATATTAATAAGCTACTTACAATGGAAGAAAAATGAGATTAGAATTCTGGAAGCAAAGAGATTGTGGACTAACTGGCTGCAGATCAGTAGGAGGAGAGGGCTACAAGCTGGGAATGTGGATATAATTCATCTGCTAAAGGAAAAGAAAGATATTTATGGATTTGTGAGAATTCAGAGAATATGTCATGTATATGCCCCAAATGGGAAAGATTAAAAAAAAAAATAAAGCTTTCATCAGAAGGAAACTCCAGCATGTGGTGGCACATGCCTCTGGTCCCAGTTACTTGGGAGGCTGAGGTGGGAGGATCACTTGAGCCTGGGAAGTTCAGGATGCAGTGAGTCTGTCTTGACTGTGCTGTACAATGCAGCCTGGGTAACAGAGCAAGACCTTGTCTCAAACAAAAAAAAAAAAAAAAAAAAAGAAACTTCCACATAGGTGACTATAAGTCGAAAAACAAATAGCAAGCAAGCAATAAACCTTAAAATGTGTACAATGTACCTAAAATATATAACCAAGGGGATACAAAATGTTTATAAATAAATAGTAGTGATAAGATAACAAGGAATGCATGTTTTAAGTGCTAAATACAAATTGTTGAAACAGAAGGGACATTCAGAGAGGAAAAACTGCAGTTACTAAATGTTCATCAAAACTTAGGAAGGCTCATTCTACAGGGTTCATCACTAAAAGGGAGAATAGAGAAAGAAAAGTCTCTCAGTGGCCTTCTTAGGGAAGAAAAAAACACCACCACCACCACCACCACCGTGGGGAAATAGCACATCTCAGTCAGGAAAATAGTTGTTATTTTGGTTTCATATAAAAAGAGATAGATGTAAGAAGTTGGAAAAGAGAAAGTAAACACTCGTAGAATGGAAAACTACAGAATTTCATATTAAGTCCAAGGAAAAGAAGGAATAAATAGTAAAACATCAAAAGCAAGCAAAAAAATAGTGTAAGCAATATTAAAGAAGCAACAACAAAGTAAAACAGTAGTAAGCAGTAAGATGTAAGGAATAAAACAAAGTAACTAAAAGTTATGTTAAATACGACTTGGCCAAATTCTCTTATTGAAAAATTGACACTGAGAGACTTAAAAAAAAAAAAAAAACCACCCAGATATAGTCAGTAATGAAACACTGAAAGTTATGAAGAAAGTTTAAAAAGAGAAGCCAGACAAAGGCAAAGAAAGAGACAGAATGGCAATATTATTAGGTGGGGTAGAATTTAAGATTAAATGCATCAAATATGTATATGTGAACAAAGAATGAGTTAGATCTGTCAACTCTCTTGAGAAAAAAGAGATTTCTATGTGCGAAATGATAGATGTAGAGAAAATATTGTGAAAATAATTTTTGTAAAACAATCTTCCATCCCTAAGTACGTGTAAATGTGCACGTGTATATGTAATTCTATGAGCAAAAGGAAAACGTGGAAGACTGCAGACTGGTGTTTAGTATTGGCCACCTAGAAGGGACTGGGGCAGCTTGTACAGGATCAGGTGCAGGTGAGGCTGGAGGAAGAAAAATAAGGTTTCAATAACAGCTGACTTGTGGCAAATGCATTGGTAAACTGCCCATCAGCTCCTTCCTAAAGACTTAGGATACAGGCCCTGGATTCAGGAGACATTGGAGAATGACATCAAAGCTCAGGACGAGTCCCATAGAAAAGGTTCTAGAACTGACTCACAGCTGCCTGCTTAGCCACACTACTTAGGAGAATAAATTCCTTTTTATTTTGTTGTATATAAGTATACAAATAAAACTGCAAATAGCATTAAAAAAATTAAAGTGTAAAAACAGATGCTTGAGTCCAATAACAATTGGTTGGGTTCCCTTGAGGCCTAGAAAATTTTCAAAATGTTCTGGATGCATACGTGTTAAGGAGTGTTATTAAGTCAATTTTCCAGAATCCTGGTATCATAGGGCTAATGTAAGACCCAAGGGTCAAGTGTAGAGAGAACAGCAGTATGCACTGAACACTTGGGATCTGTGCTTCACTGACATTTCCCACCTGCAGATAAGTTTTGAACGGATACACATACAGATTTTCCTGTTGTTTCCCCAGCCCCAGGTAATTGCTTTGAACATCCTGCGAAGGTCTGGAGTCACTTGTATTTGGGTGATCGTAAGTAAGAAACAATATAGCATATAACATCTTGGTAATTTAGAATTTTCTCTATTTCAAGGTCCAGTAATTATGACCATGACTGACATGAATATCGAAGGACAGACAAGCTTTCTAACCAGGACATAGGAAATTACCTGATATGAAAAAGCAGATTAACTTTGTGATATATTTAGGTCAATTTAGAGGTGAGATGGATTTTTTTTCTTTCTACAGCTAGAGAAGGCAGCCAGCCAGAAAGCCCCCTGCTTAACAGAGAATCCACAAAAGGGATGAGTTCATTTACAGAGGGCTGGATTGATTATAAGGGTGATGCTGGTAAGCACACTTATAAATTAAGTGTGTAACTTTAACTTCTGATAACAAACATTTTTTATTTACATGGGTGAGTGTGGCTTTCTATAACAAATGTTTCATAAGGTTTGTGGTTATTAAAAGCTTTATGGTTAAAAGTGACATTCCTTTGTGATTAAACCAAAAGGTTAGTTAAGCAGTTGAATATTAAGGCGAGGAGCTTTGATCGTGCTAATAAGAAACAGAGCGTGTAGATTTCAACTTAAATAAGACAATTGTTCCTTATGGCTAACCTCTGTATCACAGGCCACATTGCTCTCTGTCATCCTTTAGGCTCTACCAGCAGAAGCAGTGGCAGGGTATTGAAGACTGGAGGAGAGTGAGTTTTTGAGTATTTATCCCCCCAGCTTCCTCCCTGACCTACTGCCATAGGTTGGCTGCTTTTTGTCTCTGGAAGTCACAGACTTCTGTCCGGCAGCCTCTTTGCATACAACTCTCTTTGGATTCCAGTAACCTCCCCTTTCCTGTGCACCTTTTGGCTTGTGAATGTTAATGGCCCCGCTATAGCCCTTGGCTACTGCACTCTGCTCTAAGCTGTACATAGCAATTCATTACTGAGATCTCATCAATGCCTAGTTTGTGCCTAATGGTTACTGTTAGGCCCCTGACTGATGCCATGTGCTATAACCTTCTAGATGTTATTCACAAGTGCAATTTTAACACAGGACTTTTTAACTTGTGTCAACAAGATAGTTCTCAAAACAATTCTCATCAAATACAATTGTACCTTACATTTTCACAATCCAGGCCAACCAAAGAATTAAAGTTTACTCATCCTGATTTCCAGAGTTATAGCTTGCTTTGTTTGTGGATAATCAGGGGCCATTTAATTATGATGTGGACATTATAACCTACAGTGTATTATTACTGTGAATACTCCCAGGTTTACTACTTTATCTCTTTAGACTGTGGAATTAACATGTTGACATTTTCTGGCAATGATTTGTGTTTAACAGAATCTTGGGCAGGTCTAAGTGACAATAATTTATTACTTTGTCCTTGTTCGTGAGCCTGTCAGGCTCAGTGGAGCTTCTTGGAGTGCATAAGAGAATGCATGTGTATCCACTCTAAAGGGAAGACATATCCACATCTGTGCGTTGTGGGTGATGATGCAGAGTGACTCTGTTCATCTATTTATTTATTCAATTAAGAATTTGTGAACATAGGGAAGCTTGCATCCATAGATAGTGAACTGGAGATTTTTTCTAGCTCCAGACCCTTCAATGTAGCTGATGACAGCAATGTGTTTCTCAAACTGAGAAAATCCTGAAGAGCTTGATGGACGATAAGCAGCCACTAATGGGTGAGTTACCTGACAGCCCAACAGGCAAATTGATGAAGAATTTTTGCAAATCTTAACCTCTGAAAGGTTGGTTTGGGTATAGGAAAAACTCCTGCCAGTAAATACAACACACGGACTGAACTGTGATTGGGATGTGGCTTCTTCTTGACATGAAACAGATGATGGAAGCTTCTGGATATGATTTTTGACCACCTAATTAGTGGTGCATGGTTCATTGCTGGCATCTTCTTCCAGAGACCTTGCTCAGAGATGGGATAAGGAAGGAAGGAATTGGAAATTGTATTGGTCTGTTCTCACACTACTATAGAGAACTAGGTGAGACTAGGTAATTTACAAAGAAAGGAGGTTTAATTGACTCACAATTCCACAGGCTATACAGAAAGCATGGTTGGGAGGCCTCAGGAAACTTACAATCACGGCAGAAGGGCAAAGGGAAAGCAAGTACCTTCTTCACATGCGGAGCAGGAGAGAGAACCATGGGGAACAACCAGATGTCATGAGAACTCACTATCATGAGAAACAGCAAAGGGAAAATCCACCCTCATAATCCAGTCACCTTCCAGCAGGTTTCTCCCTCAACATTGGGAATTACATTTTGGCATGAGATTTGGGTGGAGACAGAGCCAAAGCATATTAGAAGTGTCCCAGCCAGAGGCCTGCCTCTGTTTAGAGGCATTCTTTGAGTATGATGGTGTAATAAACAGGAGAAATTTGGAGCCCCAAGACAATTTTCCCCCGGATAAAGAAAGAAATGAGGGCTATTTTGGAAGACAGTGTGGCAGTTTCTTAACATAGTCTTACCATACAATCCAGCAATCACACTCCTTGGTACTTATAAGTTAAAACTCATGTCTACCCAAAACCCGCACATGGATGTTTATAGCAGTTTTATTGATAGTTGCCAAAACTTGGAAGCAACCAAAATGTCCTTCAGTAGGTGAATGGATAAATGTGGGACATCTAGACAATGGCATATTACTCAGCACTAAAAATAAATAAACTATCAGGCCATGAAGAGAAATAGAAGAACATTAAAAGAATCTTACTTGACATCTCACTTCAGGAGAAGCCAATCTGAAAAAGCAACATACTGTATGACTCCAACTATGAGATGTTCTGGAAAAGGCAAAACCCTAGAGACACGAAAACAATCAGTGGTTGGCAGGGGTTAGTGAGGATGAACAGGGAGATTTCTTTCTAGGGGATTTTTAGGGCAGTGAAAGTATTCTCATACTATACTGGGGAGTACATGTCATTATACATTTATCTAAACGTACAGAATGTATAAGATCGAGAGTGAAACCTAAGGTTAATGAAAGACTTTGGATATAATGACATCAGTGTAGGTTCACTGACTGTAACAACTATACTACTCTGGTGGAGATGTTGATAGTGAGGAATACTGTGTGTGTGGAGGGGAGGGCAGGGGGCAGGTGAAGACAGGGGTATATGGGGACTCTATACTTTCTGCTCAATTTTCCTGTGAACCTAAACTTTTCTTTAAAAAAAAGAAACCCAGATTTAAACATGAATTGAGTAGGTGAGGCAGTGTGTCTTTTGGAGTCTGTGGTCACACATAAAGCAGTTCAAACAGCCTCTGTCTAAGCCCTGTGAGCCTTCCACACTGTGTATCACACTAATACAGCAGGTGTCAGACTGTAAAAGAGGAGAGGTCATTTAGCAGTCATGGGGCATACTCCTATCTCCAACTTATTCTCCTGAAGCATTCTATGCCCATGAGAATCTAAGCTTACTGATGGTGGGAAGTTTAATAAACACTCTGAAGCTATTAAAAGGTTTCTCTACGATTTCTAAAAACCATGCCTAAATAACTGCTTGACACACTTGGGGATGTTCTATTTCTAGAGACAAAGGATCCATCATTCATTGGGTCTTTCGGAGAGAAAGAGAATAAGATAGAATTTGTATTCACACCAAAAACCAGATGAAATATTTTGTGCTGTGACTGTACATCTTTGGAATGCTGGGGCTTTGGGGCAATATTTCCTGAAGCCCTTAATCTTTCAGTAGCTGCCAACTGGCCAAGAAAGAAAAAAGCAGGAGGGTACTTTTCTGTATATTACTATTCATAACAGTTTTGGATATTTTCCCCAGAGTAGTTGATGCTCCTTTGACAGATAGTAAATAATTAATCATCATCTCATTCTCGCAGAGCAAAATGACAGGTTTTTTCGATTTCACAGATGGGGGAAATGTGATCACTAATGGAGAGGAGACTGGCTTAGGACATGGGCCTGGGAGAAGCCCCAGAGGCTTTGTTTCATGGTCAGTTTGAACAGATTAGACTACTGGATGCTCACAGTGCTGCTGGCTGCTGCTTCCAAGAAAGATTGACATGTTTGTCTTGACATCTCGCTTCAGGAATGGATGGATACACAGGGAAGCATAAATTTGGGACTAAAGTGTTCTAACATTTCTCATGCTGTATGTTCATTCGTCTCTTCGGGCAATTCAGCACATGCGTTTATCCCATTAATGGCTGGAGAAAAAGTTCTGATTACCTTCCAATTTACATGATTCATATTAGTGGGTTGGAGCAGTAATGGTGATGAATTCTTCTCTGCTTAGGTTGTGCATGTGTTTAGGGCCCTTGAAATCTGAGAATAGCCACACTGTAAGTAGCTGAGCCTCTTTCTCTAGCACCTGCTCAGATAGAATTTGTTTGTAATTTAAACAAACTAATAAACAACATATTCCAAGCTGGAGAATTCTGAAGATGATGATTATGGCAAATTCTACTTCCAATTTTAGCTGTTTGTGGTGCTTTGCCTTGATTTTATGGATTTAAATTTGCTTTAGGTTAAACAATACCTTAATAATACACACACATGCACTCATATGCATACACAATAACACAATGTCAGCAAGCCTAGCTAGTTTGATCTTCAGAACATTTTGTTCTAGTGTTTTATGTGGCTGCCATAAGAATGTTATGGGCAATGTGGGGAAATGTCAGCATCCTATTGGGAGAGCAGCACTGGGGTAATTTTTTATGTCAAGTTTATTTCCCTCCTGCAAGCTGACATGGAGAAAGAATTGGACAGGTTCTTGATCTAAGGCTCTTTGTCTCCTGTCTTGGTTATGCTTAGGCCAAGTACTTTTGGAGGAATGGTTGAGCTGAGCCTTCTGCAGAATTTTGATTCTAAGGTCCCAAAGATTTTTTTTTTCCATAGACAGAGTCTCACTCTGTCGCCCAGGCTGGAGTGCAGTGGTGCAATCTCGGCTCACTGCAACCTCCACCTCCCAGGTTCAAGTGTTTCTTCTGCCTCAGCCTCCAAAGTAGCTGAGACTACAGGTACATGCCACCATGCCTGGCTAATTTTTGTATTTTTAGTACAGATGGGGTTTCTCCATGTTGGCCAGGCTGGTCTTGAACTCTTGACCTCAAATGATCCACCTGCCTCAGTCTCACAAAGTGCTGGGATTATAGGCATGAGCCAGTGCACCTGGCCAGATCCCAAAGATTAAATTGTATAAATGGCAACAGCAGCAAGAGCCAGAGACACTGAAAAGTAGTGTAGAGTAGGGATTGAGAATGGCTTTGGATTTTGGAGTTTCATTATTAAAATCTCAGCTTTGACCTTTGGTAGTTGCACAATTTTAGGCAAGCTTTAATTTTTTCCATAAACACTTAGGATAGTTTCTGCCCTATGATGAATACTCAATCTGTAGTGCAATGATATTGATGATTGTATGGACAACAGACTTACTTTCTTTTTAAATCAGAACCTGGCAATCATTTCCTGCCTCCTTTACAGAGTTACAGATTCTGAATATCTAAGATTAGGGCCAAGGTGTCTGCGTTTTAGAAAGTTCCATAGATGGTTGTGTAAGGAGTGGATAGAAAATTATGTTTCTGGTGTTGGGAGATTCTCTGACCTCACTCAGCTTGGTCTCTGAACATCTATCTCAGATAACATTAGGCCTTACTCCATGTAGCTAAACTCCTAGTCCCGACTCAGCCCTTACATGTTTCTATACAATCCCTGCCTCACTGCCACAACGATTTCTCTGACCTGCCTCAGAACACTACACTTCAGGGAATAGAGAGAGTGCTGCTAGGAAGATAGTATTTGAAATGAAATGCTAGTTAGACTGAGGCAGGGCAGATCTGTGTAGATATTAAGCTGATGAGGTGTTAAACTAGGAGTGGTAGAATCATATAATGCATGATGAATCTTGCATAGGCAAAGTTGAAAAACAAACTGTTCTGATTCATCTGTACTTGTTGCTGAAATAGTTTTATCTTAACTCCCTATTTTTCTGTGTGTGTTAGGTCTGCAAGAGGGTACTGAACTAAAATCCTCAGATTGGAATTTGCTGTGCTAACTATATGCATTGTTTGGAGAACAGTGAACATTCAAAATTGTATTCACATATGGGCAGTCCCAGGTTCACAGAGGTAGCAGGATGGAGACTGAGCGCAGGTGAGTAGACCATGGTCATTCATGGAGCATCCAAGTGTGGTAGGACTAAACCCTTACAGCCAGGGAACACTGTGAGAGAGTGAAGACAATCTCAGAGACTTGGGAGCATGGTCAAGGAATTACACTCCTGGGAGAGATTTCTAGAAGTGGAACATGGAATCAGAAGTACAATGATGTGAATCTGGGTAAATTTCTATGATGTAGTCTCAGGAGGACAGGCAAAAGTGCCCTAGAATTAAATGAATGGGCATCAAAAAGTAATGAACAGGCTGCAAATCAGAAGAAAGCCTGGGGATGCCACTTTTTCTTTGGAAGAAAAAATGTTTTTGTTATTTTAAGTTCCGGGATACATAGGTAGAATGTGCAGGTTTGTTACATAGGTATACATGTGCCGTGGTGGTTTGCTGCACCTATCAACCCATCATCTAGGTTTTAAGCCCCAGATGCATTAGGTATTTGTTCTAATGCTCTCCCTCCCCTTGCCCCCCACCCCACGGCAGGAACTGTTGTGTGATGTTCCCCTCCCTGTATCCATGTGTTCTCCTTGTTCAGCTCCCACTTATGAATGAGAACATGGGGTGTTTGGTTTTCTGTTCCTGTGTTAGTTTGCTGAGAACGATGGGATGTCGCTTTTTCATGTTGGGGATAACCTAATGCTACAATCCCTTCAAGATAGGGCTTAAGTACTTCCTGTTTCAAGGAATTGTCAGTCAAGGAGATTAGCATATATAATTGTGGGGAATCTTGGGAAAAACAGAGCCCAAAGCAAAGAGGAGAGAGCTCTCACCATCAGAGCATTTCCATCTTTGAATTTTTCTAAATGCAGTTTGCAAAGTATCATCACAGGCGAGTACCAACACCAGCTAGCATTTATTGATCACTTACTCTGTGCCAGGAATTAGACTAAATATTTTACATGTGTCATCTCTTTATTCTTTCCAGCAGCCTTATTGGTAGATTTCTTTTATCATCTCTCTTTGGCCATTCAGGAGATGAAGTTTCAGAGAAGTTACTGTGTCTAGGTGACAGAGGTGTAAGTAGAGGCAATCGAATTCAGACCCAGATGTGTTAACTATTCTTTATCTCCTGATCTTAGGTATTATTTATCGATCTGTGCTAAATCACAACAGTCCTTCCTGAAGTAATTTTCCAAATTTCTTTCCATTGTACCGTTAACTTACCAAGAAGGAAAATGAAGAGATATAATACACTATATATCTCTATCTCGCTGTCATCTATCTTGCTATCTTCCTTTGCCACTCTCTCTCTAATTTGTATCTATACAGTGTTAAAAGAGCATCAGTTATTAAATTACATAAATACTGAGTTTATATTAAATTATATAAATCCTATTCTGTCTTAAACATTTAGTAAGATATTCTCCTTGGACTCAAGAAATGCATGGTCCAGTTGGAACGATAAGACTAATGCCATAATAACATACTGAAGGCCATAGGTATCACATGCTATATAATCAGGCAAAAAACTAAGGTCTAAAAGTGGGGAAGGCCTCTTTGATATTGAGAATAATATTATAGGCAAGGGAGCAGTTCAGCTAGTTCATAGTATTTTGTTAAAAATCAGCTGATCTGGCTGGGCGTGGTGGCTCACGACTGTAATCCCAGCTCTTTGAGAGGCCAAGGCGGGTGGTTTACAAGGTCAAGAGTTCGAGACCAGCCTGGCCAATACGATGAAACCCCGTCTCTACTAAAAATACAAAAATTAGCCAGGCGTGGTGGTGTGTGTGTGTGTGTGTATATATAGATGAATTAGCATTAATGACATTGAATTATTTTGAAAGGTATTTTCAGAAGCAGACCTGTGTGAAACTGATTGTTCTATTAACCATATGAATGTTTCTAATGCTAAATTAGGAATGGCTTTGTTTCATCTGAACAACTAACATGTTTTTACATTTGGGCCCTGTGAATCTTTAATGTGTTCAGGTTTCCTTCTCATGCTTCCTGTAAGAAGATTTAAAGTCAATTTTTTTCCCTAAACTTCAGCAAAATTAAAAACTTTATATATATATATATATATATATATTCTGGGAGCTAATCTCTCTTACTGATCTCCTCTTACTTGTCTTCTTATCATGATTTGTCCTTACTCCAACATGTCTTTTCAAAGGTAAATTTATACCACTACTTAGCATATCATTTCAAAATGTTTTCTTGTCCTTTTTGGAACAAGACAGGTTATGAATAAACAATTGTATGAGGACTTGATCAATCTAAAATAACAGCTATCATTGTATTGAGTGCATATTCACTCATTTTGCGCACTCACCATGAGTGCGTGTCACCCATTTTATGGAAATTATGTAATATTCACAAAGATCCTTTGATGTAGGAAACATTATCTCCATTTACAGATGATGCAGCCAGTTTAAAAACTAGCAATGGATGGGAACAGGCCTCAAACCCACATCTCTCTGACTCTAAAGCCTTCTCACAACTGAGAGTTTATGTAACTAGATGACCTAGATGCACTTCGCCTCAGCCTCAGACCCCTTCCCAGTTGAGCTCTCTTGACAGTCACTGGTGATCAACCCTACTTGACTGGGAGAAGATTTTAAGTTCCATCTCTGGATCCCATGCTCGAACTAAAACATTTCTTTTTGTGGTATTAGGAGGTTACTTTCCCAACTATTTTCTGTTTTGTTCATCCCTTCCCCATCGCTCCCAAGTAAATGAAATAAAAATTGGCTGGGCACAGTGGCTCACGCCTGTAATCCCAACCATTTGAGAAGCCAAGGTGAGGGTCACCTGAGGTCAGGAGTTCGAGACCAGCCTGGCCAACATGGCAAAACCCCATTTCTACTAAAAATACAAAAATTAGCCAGGCATGATGACATGTACCTGTAATCCCAGCTACTCAAGAGGCTGAGGCACGAGAATTGCTTGAACCCAGGAGGTGGAGGTTGAGCTAGGATTGCACCCCTGCACTTCAGCCCAGGTGACAGAGCAAGACTCCATCTCAAAAAAAAAAAAAAAAAAGATAGCATTAGCAGAATGCGGACTAAAATTTATATTTTAAGAAGGAATACACAGCTTTGTGAACTTAGGATACTTGGACAAGTATCTTTGAGAGCTCAGTTTGATTCTATAAAACTTTCCTTCACATTTATGAGTCTGGACTTTGGGACTGTGATGAGTATTTCACTTGATATTCAGTCCTCCTGCCAAAGTGAAACTATGGCCCTCTTCCTGTTTTTAAATCAAATCTGTACAAATCACTCAACCATGCAAAATCTCTACCTGCATTAATAAACTGATGACCTAAAATCAGACAGAAGGGAGGGGTGATGTATACTTTATTTGATCTGTTGGCTGGCTGATGAAGGCAGACAATTTTATGAGATTCAGATTCATATTTTGCTTTGAATCTACTTTTCTTTAAGTCCACAGAATGTTTTTCACTCTCAAATTTTCCACATAAGTAGCTTTGGGAGTTGTCTCTTCAATCCATTCTACGACAGGTCAACAGAGATGGAAGCCTTTGATATACATAGGCTTTCTAAGCTGTACGTAGTCTGTAATATTTATCTGTTGACATAGTTCAGGGAGAACTCAATTTATTTAGAATCAAGACATGAGTACTTGATTGTGGCTGTTACTTCATTTGCTTCATGTAGATAGTATTGTACTTTAGACCCAGGAATATAAGTGTAGATTTGAAGCTAGTATACAAATAGGTTATATTTTTATAGCAAATCCTATCTCCTTTTTTTGATGTCTGTAGGGACTGAATACTTTTAGAAGGTATATATTGCAGAATGCTAAGGAGTATCTTAGAATTGAATAGAACAGTAGAAAATGAGTCTTGGGAAATAAAGTAATATAGTTAAAATAATTCATCCAAAGTAAAGCAATTGTTCTATGCTCAGATCTTCAAAATTATAAACGAAATTGTCTTCTTAGAAAATGGTTAGAAAACTTCAAAGAATTTTTGGTGTAGATTTAGGAAAGGCATTTGTGCGAGTGTTAGTTTCTCTACATCTTTTCTGGCCCCAATCATTTGTTTAAATTTATAGTTTCTGAAGTACTTTGTTTTGAGGTAAAAACAAAATTTTGTCTGATATAGTCAAATAATTGAAGCAAAATTGGATTCTGTAGTTAAATAATTCAAATACTTTCCTTAAATTCTCTTATCACCTAAACTAACATTGGAAAACAAACAAAAAACCTCTAACTACATATTGTGGATGGTATAGAGTTCCTGGGATACAGCAGATATACGGTGTCGAATATTTTAGGACATTCATCAATTCATTAATTCAACAATTATTTACTGACTACCTGCTATACACCAGGCAGTGTTCTAGGTACTGGAGATTCAGCAGTGAAAAAAAAAATGGACAAAAAAATTTCTGTTCTCTTGGAGCTTATATTCTGTTTTAGTCTGTTCTCACACTGCTAATAAAGACATATCCGAGACTGGATAATTTATAAAGAAAAAGAGCTTTAATGGACTCACAGTTCCATGTGGCTGGGCAGGCCTCACAATGATGGCAGGCAAAGGAGGAGCAAAAGCTCAAATTACATGGCAGCAGGCAGGAGAGAGAGCATGTGCAGGGGAATGCCCCATTATAAAACCATTAGATCTTGTGATAGTTATTCACTATCATGAGAACAGCAGGGGAAAACCCTCCACCATGATTCAATCACCTCCCACCAGGTTCCTCCCATGACATGTGGGGATTATTGGAGCTACAATTCAAGATGAGATTTGGGTGGGGACACATCCAAACCATAGCATATTCTAATTAGGGAGGAAGACAATATATGCTATAAAACTCATAGCTTGTTAGTGGTAAGCACTAAAGAGAACAAGAAGAAAGCATTGGAGGAAGACAAAGTTTAGAGCCTGTGGCCAGAGAAGGCTTTGTTGAGAAGGCAGCATTTGAGGAGAGATGCTGGGAGGGAAGGAGTACTATGGTGACAGTACCTCTGTATTGCAGTTTCTGTGCCTTTCTGTCCTTGGCTTCCTGTGAAATGGAAGGCAAGGAGGCCAGCATGGCTGGAGTAGAGCAAGGGAGAGGAAGATCAAGATGAGTTACACAGTAACAGTTGCAGACAGGAGGTAGATACTGTAGAACTTTGCAAGTCATAGCAAGGGCTTTGGCTGTTACTCTAACTCAGGGCTTCCCAATTGGAACACTATTGACATATTACTACAGGGTTGTCCTGGGGATTCCATGATGTTTTGTAGCATCTCTGGCCTCTGTGCATTAGATTACAGTAGCACTTCCCCAGTGTGAAAATTTAAAAATGTCTCTAGACATTGCTAAATATCTCCTGGGGGACAAAACCACTCCCAGTCGGGAACCACTGCTCAAAGTGATACGAGAGGCCACTGAAAGGTTTTGAAGGGAAGATTGCAGATCTGATTTAAAATGTAATAGGATCACTCTGGCTGCAATTTTGAGTACAAATTGGAGAGAGAGAAATCATACAATATTTCTGTAGTTCAATGGATCCTGATTTTTAAAATCTGGATATTGCCAATGAGAATTTTTTTGCATATTCAAGGATCTCTTCTCCTTGTATGATATCTCATGTGCTCAATAGTTAAAGGAAATTCATAGCAATCACAGCAAATCCAAATATGCCATCTCTCCTCCCACTACAAATCAGAAACTTAAAATTTTCTTAACTCATTATAAAAAAGAAATCTCTCTGTAGGTTACCAAGTTATCAGTAAATGACACTAGAAGACTTTGGATTTAATATAAAAACTTTAAAACATTTCTATTGCAAAAATCCATAGATATAGTTAAATGAGACAGTTGACAAACATTATTTTGTATATATTTGTAACATAGAATTTTTTTTGTATTTTTATTTTGTATTTTTTGTTTATATTTTGTATATACAATTTTTATATATTTCTATGTGTTTGTAAGTATATACAAGGGATTAATATCAACATATAAATTTCCTCAGAGTTAAGAAAAAAAGCTTCAATAGGAAGAAAGGACAAATTATATAAATAGAAAGTACATGAAATAAAAAATATAGATAAATGGAATAGGAAATAATTTGGAAAACATGCTTAATACCACTAAGAATCAAATAAATTTAAGTTAAACAATAAGATACATTTTTCATCTATGAGACTAGCAAGGATAAAGAGTATCTTATTTGATATTTACAAGAAACAGATACTCAATTTACATTGCTAGGTAAAGAGTAAACTTTTAAAAATTGCAAGCCATGAATATTTTACTTCTAGGAATTTTTCATATGGAAATAATTAGACAAGTGCCCAAAGTTATAGGTATATGTTTTGTGTTTGCCACTGAAGAGTGGTATCAACCCCTCACCCAAAATAGTTTTGAATGTGCAGACTGATAAAGCCACACACACACAAAGATGGTATGGAAAGGCTTTTAATTTACATAACAGGACTTTCTGGGAGAGCATGGCAGAAACCCAAGCCAATCTGCAAAGGCTCCAGTGATGCGAGAGGTGAGAGGTGATGGTTCTGATTGTGGTTAGGGATTGGAGCTGGGGTGAGTGTTCCTGTGCAGGGCCAGCCACTTGTGTGGTTTGAATTTCCTGCTGGCACCAAAAGACTTTCTTATGGGCCTGCCCAGATGTGGGGCAAAAGGGGCAAGAGAAGGGGTGGGCCTTAAACGCTGTCAGTGAACAAACACCAAAACTGGAGTCAGACTCTTTATTACAATTCATTCCTGATACCTGATCAATGATGGAAATGTGCCATGTCTCATTTAATGAAATTTGAACTTAAATAGGCTATTCTGGCATCCTGTGAGGCCTGCACCCTGAGCCTGGTAAGGAATGTAAAAGTTCCATTCAAGGCTTTGGCGAATGGCCCAGTGTTTTGTATTTTGAGAAATAAAATGAATGCCTTGGTCACCATCAAAAATGACTAGAACTGAAGGGTATAAGGAATGTCTTGGTGAGGCCTTGTGTCATGCCTCAGGGCACAGAGAGATAGGTGTGACTTTGGTGTGTATTTTAGGTATCTGTGGGACAAAGAATTCCCAGAGTTCTTTCTAACGGGATAACCTCAGAGAAGGAACTGTTGCTGTTAGCATTAATTGGATCAGTTAGCCAGACCATTGTCAATAGCCCGAGAGTCTGTAAAAATGTGCAGAAAGAGCTTCCTATTGTCCAAGTCATCTTCTAGTGCTAAGGCGATTGCCTGAAGTTTGGTCAGTTGTTGTAACCCTTGGATCTCGTCTTTGATCAGGGATATCCCAGTTGGGGGATAGACAGCAAAAGCTCTCCAGGGAGCTTCAACACATGTGATATCTCTAAAGGTTATGAACACCCTTTCTGATCACTCAGTTGACTCCTGTGGGCCTCCTAAGTGGTCACTGGGTCCAAAGAGGGATGACCTTCCTCTGGTGTCATCGTACATGACAACGGAATGAGGACAGGGGAAGCTGCTTCCTCTCATAGGTGGAATATGCCAGAGGGTCCAGGTTTGGGTCTATCTGGAAGCACAATTTCCATTTTCATTAGGAGGTCATTGGCCATGCCAAGACTTCAGGGTTCTGTCCCTACAACCTGAGACATAACAATCAGCTAAGTTTGGAGAGTCATAGGCTCAGGGCTTGTGGAAGCCTTCATCTCCAGAAGGGCCTTGTATGAGGCCAGAAATTGCTGCTCCACTGCAATGTGGCATTGGGCTGGGAAGGGCAGTTTCTTGCGTCAGAAACACATGGGCAACTATGGCCACTATGGTTGGTCCAGTGGCTCTAGGAGGCCTGAGAGGAGGTTGGTAAAGCCTCTACAGGAAGGGGTCTCTGGCATACTAATGGGAGTTCCTGTTGCATAGCAATCTGGATGGATTCTAGAGACTACTGCCCCCACCTGCCCCCTCTTTTTTTGTAGAGGACCCAGTTCAAAATGGGGCAATTTGTCAGTGATGACGAATGGCCCAACTTTAATTTACTGATGATGCTGGGATTGAGACATGATTCAACCTGAGACAGATGGATAGGTCCTGGCCAAGGCATACAACCCAGATTCACTATAAAGCAGGCCTCAATTTCATACTCCTGTCCCTAAATGCTAATTATTGGAACATATGACTTAGGTAGGTTAAGTCTATAACAGACGCTCAGAGTAGGACTCTACAAGTGGATCAGAACATGGGAATGCTCAAAATACAAGCTTGACAGCAGACAGCCACACAGCTCAAAGCTTGCATGAGTCAGCAGACAACAGGTCAAAGGGCATGTTTGTAACAACAAATGATCCAGCTGGCAAGCCAAAGGCAAAAGAAGAAAGACCCAGGAAGTAGGAGTCATCATGTAGAACTTCCTGCTTGTAGCGCCAATTATACCTCTCAAAATTGGTTCAGATGCTGAGACTGATGATGCCACACATGCAGTAATGGGATAGGAAAAGTTTTTATACTCAAGCAATAGGATCATTTAAAATGGTTTGCAAAACAGAAGGAAAAATTGGCTTTGATTTTTATTGCATTTAGGGGTTGGAGCTTGGGTGAGGGTTCCTGCAGGATTTGTGTGGCTTGAAGTTCTTCTCTGTGCTAGGAGTAGCAGCACCAGGCTTTCTTATAGGCTTGCCCAGATGTGGGGCAACTGGGGGAAAATAAGGGATGGGATTTGAAAGGGGTCAGTGGTATAATATCAGAAAGGAAGTCAGATTTTTTATTATAATATATTCATCATAATTCTACTTATACTGACAAAGAATTAGAACCAACTTAAATACCCAAGGAGAGGATGTGGTCAATAATTTTGTAGCTCCATGCAATGAAATATTGTGAGACTGGAAATATTGATAGGTGAGGAAATTAAGTTATGTAAAGTAGGTGCAATATGACTTCATTTTTTGTGAATATGCACATATACATCTAAACACACATACACATATATGCACATAAAATTAGAAGCGAATGCACAAAAATGTTAATGATTACTTCTGGTAGGATTATAATGAATTTCATTCTGATTTTGTTTATTTGCATTTTCCTTTAACATATATTTGATTTGTTTTTTTTTCCAAAAAAAAAACAAACAAACAAACCAAGGCTTTTTATTGAAAGTTTGTTTTTGAAACTTTTGGTTTTTAGGCCATTTCTAGCAATGGGGCCACACATAGTGTGTAGGTGAGAGGTGGAGGCTTTGCTGCATGTGGCTTTTGTCCTTCTGCTGTGTGTTTTATCATTTTGCCTGGTCTGGTTTAAAGATGATCCAGATGGCCAAAATTCTATGCTGAGTAAATAGCTTTGCTGCATGGTCTGTTTAACTCTGATTTACCATGGTTCAGAACATCTTGAATTACTTTTGTATTTATTTTGTAATTTTATAAGCCTGCAAATTTCAGAAGTAGAAAGATATTCAGAGTTACTATGGTAAATTACTTTCCCCTCCAATTTTTCAGTGCCTTGCCTAGAAAATGATAAGATCTTTATAATAAAAGTTTTGAATTCTGACAACTGAATAGGGTGAGAATTTGGCCCATCATAAAGATTTCTTTATTAGTAAAGCAAATTCTGTTTAGAGGACACAAACACTTCATAGTGTGAATGAAGGACATATTGCCAGTGAGGCAATTAAAAACTAATTTGCATGTTTGAAAACAGCATTTCTTTCTCTTAAAAGTGAAACGACACTGCTTGAAAAAAGTCACTAGGTGTTTGTTTTTTAAATTTTTAATATTTTTAAAATTATAGTCACTAAGAAAAGTATTCATTTAAAAGTTGATTTAGGAAGCAATCTAAAATTTGGAAGTCTATTATGTGACATTTACTTTCATTATCAGAATATTAATTACAGAGATAACAAATAATGCCCAGTGGGTAATGCTATAGAACTTTATTTTTTTTTTTTTCAATATGGAGTCTCGCTGTGTCTCCCAGGCTGGAGTGCAGTGGCGTGATCTCGGCTCACTACAACCTCCACCTCCCTAGGTTCAAGCAATTCTTCTACCTCAACCTCCTGAGTAGCTGGGATTACAGGTGCCCGCTACCACACCCAGGTAATTTTTGTATTTTTAATAGAGACAGGGTTTCACCATGTTGTCCAGGCTGGCCTCGAACTCATGATCTCAGGTGATCCACCCATCTCGGCCTCCCAAAGTCCTGGGATTACAGGCATGAGCCACAATGCCTGCCTGCCATAGAACTTTCTGAAGATGAAAAAAACTTTTGGCAATAAGTGCATTTATTTCATTCTAGTTATTTTAAAATTGATAATTTGGATAACGTATAGTTCCCATTTAAACATACTAAGCCATGTATCAGAAAACTTATTTTCTTATTGCCAAATATAAAGAATGTATAGAATATGGTTTCCAAAGAAGTTAGTGACATAAGACTAAAAAAGAAAAAAACTTGTCTTACTTGTCTTACTTCCTTACTTGTCTATTATATTCCACACAGAGTAAGAATTTTTACCCGTATTCTTCATCCATTTCTTGTTTCCTAAAATTACTCTAACAACTCTTTTTAAGCATTCATTATGTGCCAGTCTTAAATTAGGGGTCAAGATCTCTTCCTTGATGGAATTTACACCTGTCTTTGTAATTTTAGCCTTATTGAAACTTTTCCAAAGAAGTATTTGTAGTTGACTGATGAGCAGGGTCTGTTTTCAACTCCATTTTCTCAGCATCCCTCCTAGCTAAGGTGTGGGCACACTGGCTCCAGACTTTGAATGGGAAGAGAGTGTCCTGATGAAGCAGAGACCATAGAAAAACAAAATAAAACTGAGCTGGTGACTGATGGAAGCAGTAGGGATTGAAAGAGACATCCATTTTCCAGAGGTGGCCATAGTATCTGAGAGGCAAGCTGAGGCATCTGCCAGTAGGGGCTCCGGTGGAGTTCCTTAGCTTAAGCCTGGTTCTCTGGTCTTCCCTGCAATCCTGTCAGCTACTCAGTATCTTTTAAATCAAGTCTTTTCTTTTTTCTTTTTTTCTGAACAAAACCATAGTCAGCATCTGCTGCTTGCATCTAAGAACCTAAGTCATTTAATATTATTAATCTGATATCATCAAGGAGGGAATAAAATCAGAGTTTAATGAAGACCTATTTGTCTATAAAGTCCATGCTCTTTCTAATATGTTGTGCTACAGAGATGGCTTCTTTTCCAAGCAAAGCTGCCTCTGGGTCCAGTTTTATAAGAAAATCACTCTTGGCTCATTAAAACCTGTATACCCTTCTGCAGTGGCACCTCTAATGAGAGCAGGGACAGGCTTTCTCATCCTAACTCAATTCAGGGGTGTCTGTGATGCTGAAACCATCTTCAGTTCATTCAACTTAGTGAGAAAAAGAGTGCAAAAAAATGGCTGTAAAAATAAAGCTTAGCATTGTGGAAGTGGCTCATTGACTTACTGTGTATCTTAGTTTTCAGGTCATTGTTTTGTCATCAAGTATAAAATAAAAGTATTTTTTGTTTTGTTTTGTTTTTGTTTTTGTTTTTGTTTTTGAGACAGAGTCTCACTCTGTTGCCCAGGCTGTAGTGCAGTGGCTCGATCCTGGCTCACTGCAATCTCTGCCTCCTGAGTTCAAGCGATTCTCCTGCCTCAGCCTCTCGAGTAGCTGGAATTACAGGTGTGTGCCACCACACCCAGCTCCTTTTGTGTATTTAGTAGAGACAGGGTTTCACCATGTTAGCCAGGCTGATCTCAAACTCCCCACCTCTGGTGATCCACCTGCCTTGGCTCTCAAAGGGCTGGGGTTACAGGGGTGAGCTACCACACCCAGCCAAAATAACAATTTTAAAGTAAAACCTGGTCATCTTCTGTTAGTGATGGCCAGGCTGTGTGAGGTGTTATAGAGCTGGAGCTGGGGCCCCGGTCACAATGTCTTATTCCACTCACCCCTGCTGTTTTGTGGAACGTGCTGTCAAGATTTATGTTTGTTTTGAAGTTAATTAGTCTGATGTAAACCTTATGTGCTTCTGATTAATTAGTTTGACACTAGCTAACTCTGATATGCATGTATGATCTGGGACAACATAGGTTGGGGGTGGAGGAGGGCTGGTGGCTCCCAGGAGGCAGTGGATGGGAGGTCTTCCCCTAAGAGGACACTCCATCCTCTCCATTCTCCATTTTATTCTAACAAAACCTGCATACATTTTACACTGACTTGGAGAAAAAAAAAAGTTCACAGCTCACACTGTGTTTTCATGACTCACCATTTTTCATGTTTGGACTAGTTTTCTGACAGTTTCTTTTTTCTTTTTTTTTTTTTTTAAAAAAAAAAAAAAAACAAACCTCTGGGTGTATTTTGTGAAATTTTGATGGTAGTTGTAAGTCTCCTTTTTGTGTACCAGAGCCCTTCATGAGGAAATACTTGCTTTTTCAGATTGTCTTACCTCTTCTCCTTCCCAGATTGATGACGAAGTCTTAGGGCAGTTTGCCATGTGTCGGTGGCTGGTGGAGGGGGTGTTAGGAGGGAGGGCTTCAGATCTGCAGGAGAGTCCCAGAGTTGTTTTCTGGCTCCCTATTGGACTCTACAGCCTGGTTACTCTTGTCCACAAGGTCACTGCTACCCCTGCCTGCTGCAGCCTGTGGCTGGAGAGCATATAAAAAGCTCACTTGTACAAAAGTATTTGTAAGGAGACTAGGGTCAGCTGCTTCTCCTCTCCTCTTCCTGCCCAAACTTTTTCTTCTATACCTTCCCCCATCTTCCTCTTCCAGTCCTGCTTCTCGGAAAGAACCAGTTAAGGCCCATCCTCCCTCCACAGGGCACCTAAGAACTGTGGATACCTTCTACATAGTGTGCAGGCTGCTGGCAGAAGTTCTAGAAGGATAAACTCAGACCTGACTTCTCCTTCACTGCACCATGTCCATGTGTTTACTGTGTGGTGGCCACTCCATGCAAGACTCTTCCCACAGGACAAAATGTGGAACTGGCAAAAAGCCCTCCCACTTTTAGCTTCTCTTCAACCTATGTAATATGCTTCCTACCCCAACTTCAGATTTTGGCTTAAAGTAAAGAGGAGGTCTTGACCACTCCCCACTAATCTTTTTCTTCCCACAGTCTTCTGGGGTTGGAAGAAATTTCTAGGATAGCATCTGTCCTGTCTTGACTTTCTCTGGATCATAATAGCTGTCAAGTTGAAACAAAAGAAACTGGCTCATTTTAAGAGGAGTTTCAAAAATTTTATGTCCTATGAGTGTGTTTGTGTATGTGCCTGCGCATGCATGCATTTAGTTCTATTGAAATTGGATAGGTACATATTCGCTGCACCTTGTAGTTGTAACTTAATGTATAGCTTTCCTTTTGGAAAGTATGCATAATGTATTAGTCTGTTTTTACCCTGCTGAGGAAGACATACCTGAGACTGGGCAATTTACAAAAGAAGGAGGTTTAATGGACTTACAGTTCCACATGGCTGGGGAGGCCACACAATCATGGTGGAAGGCAAGGAGGAGCAAGTCACGTCTTACATGGATGGCAGCAGGCAAAGAGAGCTTGTGCAGGGGAACTCCCCTTTATAAAATAATCAAATCTCATGAGACTTATTCACTATCACGAGAACAGGGGCAGGGAAAGACCTGCCCCCATGATTCAACTACCTCCCTCTGGGTCCCTCCTACAGTACATGGGAATTCAAGATGAGATTTGGGTGGGGACACAGCCAAACCATATCACACAGGTAAATACTTTAAATAATTATTTTTTAAAAGGAGATAGGTGTTCATAAGGAAAGCCATCACCGGTTTCTCCCCTCTCTATCCCATCCTATTCCCCAGAAGAAACCATTATTACCTTTTTATACAAATTCTCTTTACATTTTCCTGCTAATTATATCTACATCACTAAATGATACAGCACCCTTGTGAGGAGGGAAACTGTCAGCCTGCAGGGATCTTCTCCCCCAACCTGGAGGTGAATTCAGAGGTGGATTCAGTGCTTAGGGGGTGGGACAACAGCTACATCAGCTGCATTGTCTCTGTACAGACTTAGAAGCATCAATTCCTCACTGAGAGCTCATTACTTACTAAATGTATGGGTAAGATCAAATCTACAGCATTTAAATTAAGCATGCCCAATTATTTACAGATGTCTTAAAATGTGAAAACCACAACATTTATAATGAAGATTACCTATATGTAATAGGTATGTGTAACTGATGCACTGAATGTATGACTCATAAGATGGATAAAAGCTCTGTCTCCTGACGTCCCTTTCAACTTCATTCGGTGGAGGAAGACTTTCCTCAGCTCCTCAATAGAGTTACTGAAATAATAGACTGTCCCAGAGTCAATATATGTCACAAAATAGTCATAATTCAAGAGTTAGGAGCATCTAGTCCAAGCTGTGAATGAACACTTCTGTCTTTATTGAAAGACATGACTTCTCACCTTCTCCCAGCTAAGGTCTGGGGTGTACTCACTACCTGCACCCTTTCTAATTCTATCCCCCAGTGGATGTTCTATACCCCTCCAGGGGTGAGGCTTGGGGAAAGAAGAGAGGTCAGAAGGCATACAAGTGTCTCTGGGCTGAATGGCTTTATTCTCTCTGGGCTTGGCATGGTTTATGCCCACTCTCTCTCTTGTGGTGTCTTCCATAGGCTCTTTTGAAAATCTCAAATAGAGGACCTCTCACTTGGCTGTTCTTGACCCAGGAGATTGCCTGTCCATTCTAACTAGTCATTTGAACTTCCTTCTGTGGCCTTCAGGAACTCATGTTCATCTCTAGCCCCTTGCTGAAAGATCTCTTTGACCTTTCTAGAACACCAGAGGTGACCCCTCACTAGCTCCTTCTCACTCATGGCACATGGGAAACACTCACACATTCTTTGCTTCAACAAACTCTGGGGATGGCCCCAACCCCAGTGACAAGGCAACTGTCCTGGCTCTGCAACCAAAAGCACTAAGTCACCTGGGCTTATACCTTCTAGTTTTTGCTCTCCATAAAATAGTGTCTAGCCCTCTGCCTCATATTCTGCTTTTATCTCTATCAGCACCCTAATTCACTATGCCCTAAGCTTCAAGGGCTTCAGAGTAAGCTCTCAGTGGAGTCTGATTGGAATCCCTCTTCGCCAGCTTGTGAGGTATGGGGCTAGGTTCCACAATATTCCCTTTGAGGGAGTAGATCTTCCAGCCTTCTGGGGCATGCTCTGAAAGTCCTCTTTGCAGAAGTAGCTCTTTAAAATCATATTCTCTTTCCAATTTGACCTCTTTTTTTATCCTTGTTCTGTCCATGCTGTCCAAAGCATCTTGGACTAAGTTTTGACTTTTTTTTTAAGTGCTGCATTTCCATTTGACATTTTACCTTTGTAAATTTCTATTTTTTTACCTTTGTGACTTATTAAAATATTTTCTTTTCAAAAATTTAAAAGTGACATACAAAATTATATGTGTATGTACAACAAAAGCTTAACTATAACACCTTGTTACATACTTTGCTATCCAGGCCACTGATCCTTTCTTACATAGTAAGTCAGCTATAGTTCATTAGCTTACAGTTTTTAGATACAAGTCTTAATCCATCCCTTCTCCTTTTGTATTCTTTACTTTCTGCAATATTTAAGACTTTTTGCGTTCTGACTAAAAGAAACCACCTGAAATTGGCATATGCAACTGTTCATGAATGAGAACTCGCATGGAATTGAAAGGCAGGAATGCAGCTTGACCTTAGAATGGATTTGATCCAGGAACTAGAAGGTGGGTAGGAAGCCTAGAGAATATCCTCTCTCAAATTCACACACACACATACACACACACACCCTCCTTTCTCCTCCTCTCTGCGGGGCTGAAGTCTTCTTTCTTGACAGGCTGGCTTTCTTTGTTATCAATATTGGTGGTAAGAGGGAAATGATCACTGATGACATTCAGGTTCATATATGACAATGCACACTGCAAAGCCAGACTTCTCTTATTTCTAGGAAATGGATCCTGATTGGCCCATATCTGATCAGGTGTTTGTTTCTTGCTGTAGTAAACAGGAGTGGCAGCAAAATGTTACAACCACAGTTGCCTTTGGGAACCCAGCACAGAAGATGGGGGATAGTAAACAACACATGCACTGAAACATCTCCTATAATGCCTATGCTGATTTTTCTTGTTGAATTGGCTGCCATCTAAGTGTCACTGCAGTTATTAGATACCTTTTTAGTATTCATTTTTATTGCTGTTGTAGCAAATTACCACCCAGTTGGTGGCTTAGATCAACATAAATTTATTACCTTACAGTTTTTTAGGTCAGAATTCTGAAATGAGGCTCACTGGGCTAAAATGAAGGTATCACATGGCTGTATTCCTTTGGGAGGCTCTGAGTAAGAATCTGTTTCTTTGCCATTTCCAACTTCTAGAGGCTGCCTGTATTTCTTAGTTCATGGCTCCTTTGCATCTTCAAAGCCAGAAATAGCTGGAAGAGTCCTTCTCAGGCTGTATTACTTACAGTCAGTGTCTTGCCTCTCTCTCTTATAAGGAATCCCATGATTACATTGGGCTCACCTGCATCACACAGGATAATCTGCCAATCTCAAGAACCTTAATCACATTTGAAAAGTCCCCTTAGCCATGTAATGTAACAGATTCACAGCTTCAGGAAACTAGGATGTAGATATCCATGGGGAGGGAGCATTATTCTGCCTACCACAGCTTTCATTTGTCTACTTTTTTGACCTGACTTCTATTTCTATGTTGTATTTGACCCCATGTTTTAACGTTTCTTTTTCCTTCCTCTTTTCATGGCTACTTACCTTTAGCTAGTCACCTGCACCTAAAGACAGAAATGACATTCTAGTGCTTTATCTAGTCTACTCTGCCCCCTCACTTTATTGAGGCTACAGGAGTTTACTAAATATGTATTAGATTGACTAAAGGGAAAGATTACATAGCCAATAGATCTTGAGAACACATAATCTTGCAAGTTGCCAAAGGAGCAGATAACCTAATCAGTCATGAGTAAGAGAAAGATAAGCTAATCAGATGCAAGTAGGAAAAGAAAAAGCCAATGTCAGCAGAAATTCTTAATTGCCAAAAGAAGATGACATTGAATACATAGTGGTGATGCAAAGTGGTAAATGAAAAATGAAAGTCCAATATGATGTGTTTTTTTCCCCAAAGCTACTAAGGATCTTTTGCAAAGGATCTAGGAAGAATATCATTAATAATTTTAGCTATGAATAAAATCAGAAAGGTAAAATAATAATATATATTTATATGTTAATTAAAATAATGGCTATCATTTATTGGTAACTTAGTATGTGAGAGACATTGTGTTAAGTGCCTTATGTGTATAATAATGAAAATACTCCTGACAGTTGAGGTACTACCATTTGCAGTTTATGACTGCGAGACTAAGAACTAGTTAGATCATGTGTGTTGCACAAGGTCATACAACCTACTGGTCTTGCCTCTACAACCTACTTGTCGTATGACTTTGTGCAACTTACATAGAGAAGCCTGATTATAAACCCCTGTGGTTCAATTTTACTCTATAGCCTCCCTATTATATACTTCAATATCACGCACCCCCTCTCTATTCTCACTACAACCATCAGAGGAAGGCATCAAACCATGGGGAGGATAAGAGACTTGCTCAAGGCCACCCATATTTTGGTGGAACTAGAATGTAGAGGCTAGGTCCTCTACTCCCAATCCACAGATGATAGGTCTTAGGCAGACACAAGAGAAGGGAAAATAAAGGAAGAATGAAGAGGTAAAAAAGGAAATGAAGTAGGAAAGTGAGACAAAGCTGAGAAGAGGCACAAAAGGAACTAAAAGTTGAATAAAACTTTATAAAGATATTCATGGTATGTAGTGGAACATACTGCTGTGTTTTCTTGCTACCTACCTAAAGTACCTGCATTATATTCAAGTGGCCAAGTTATCCCTGTTCTATGTCATTAACATCCACTTTACTGTTTATGGAGACAGTTGCTGGTCCCAAGGGCCTACCAGCCTAGATATACATGTAGCACGTATCTCTCCCAGCTCATTAAATCAAGGATACAGAAAATATATACTTATGATTGGAGGACCTCTTAGAAGTCTGCCTAATTCATATCCCCTGGCACGCACGCCTGGCAAAATCCCTGAGTACTGTGGATATGATAGAATAGAAAAACCATGATTAAGTTATGCTACATGGAACCATTGACTTTAAGAAAGGGAGTTATCCAGGTAGACCTCATCTAATCACATGAGCCTTTTAGAGCTGTTGCTGGGGATCAGAGATAGGAAGTCATAGATTTGAGACACAGGAAAATGGCTTGAAGTTGGCAGAAGCCAAGTGGCAAGGAACTTGAGTATTCTTGAACTGAGAGAGTCCCCTGTATGAAGGTCAGCAAAGAAAAGGGACCTCGATTCTACAACCAAAAGGAATGAAATTCTTCCAACAATAAGCATAAATTTAGAAGTGGGTTTTTTCCTAGAGCCTTCAGACAAAAGCTCTGCCTGTGCGATGCTTTGATTTCAGGCCTGTGATATCCTAACCAGAAAACCCAGGCATGCCATGCTAGACTTACAACCTGTGGAACTATGGCTTAATAAGTGGATCTTGTTTTAAGTCATTAAATTTGTGGTTGTTACACAGCAGAAGAAAACGAACCCACTAGTTTTATTTTTCTTTATGCCAAGTTGGTTTTTAATTCAACTCCCAACCCACATGGTGGCAAACACTAAGTTCAGTTTTTCTACTTTCCCAGGGTTGCTTCTGGGTTACCACCTGTACAAATCCCCCACGGACATTGAAGGAGGCTGCACTAGGTTTCTCTCTATTTGAGTTGGCATCTGTTGAGTCACCTTTTTCTTTTTTTCTTTTTTTTTCAAGATGGAGTCTTGCTCTGTCACCCAGGCTGGAGTGCAGTGGTGCGATCTCGGCTCACTGCAACCTCTGCCTCCCGGGTTCAAGCAATTCTCCTGTCTCAGCTTCCTGAATAGCTGGGCCTACAGACGCATGCCACGACGCCCAGCTAATTTTTGTATTTTTAGTAGAGATGAGGTTTTACCATATTGGTCAGGCTGGTCTTGAACTCCTGACCTCAGGTGATCCACCCGCCTCGGCCTCACAAAGTGCTGGGATTATAGGTGTGAGCCACTACGCCTGGCCGAGTCACCTTTTTCCACAGATTGGTCCAGGATAGTCCACATAGATCATAACTAAGGTATCTCTTGCTTCTAACAAGAAGTCTTCTTCAGACTTTGTGTTTACTTAGCTACCTTACTGTTCCATTTAAGCTTGCCAATCACCTTTGCTCCTGGATCTCACCAGTGCTGTGGAAAACTCTACCTGAGACCTTCCCTGGCTAACCATGCAACGTGGTTTTTATCTTTTCTAGGATTGTTAAGCAAGGGATAGGATAAATACCAGAAAAGACACAATCTGGCATAATCTCTAAATGCCAGACTATCAAAATATACATCACCTCCCAGAATTTTGGCATCCCATATAAGAGACATAATTGGACTAGACATAACCCAGTCAAGTGAGTGACAGGCAAGGACCAAAAAACCTGGCACCCACCCCCACATGCCCTGCCATGGGCTACAGACTTTGAGGTGAATCTTTCCAGCTCCAGAAAGCAAGTAGCAGCATGTTGTGGTTACAAGGCAAATGATCCTTTCTTTCTCCTCTTGTATTATAGCTACAGAGAAGCTCCTTCAAATAGCCTCTCAGATTCATGCCAGCCAATAGCTCAGGGTGCAAACAAGTCACAATACTGCAACTAATGTCTTCTGATATGAAAGCTATGTTTCCAGAGCCACTGGGGCCAGGACGTGGACTCAAGAGAGACAGAAATATGCTCACTGGATACTGTGGCTCAGTAAGGAACCGTGCCAGACCTCTCATATGTAACTGTTCTCTCCATGTCATTAGTATAAGAAAAGAGGAAACTTTGGATGCCACCAAGGCTAGATTGTTCAGGTGATTCTGCTCCATCCCTTCCAAGCTCCCCCATGTAAGTGGAAGGAGGCAAGGGTGTATGTCCGTCTCCTGGAGGAAATCCACTAAGTTCCTAGTTATGGCTGACGATGTGTGCCTCTCCTTGGGATGTCAAACCACATCTTTCCTGCTACCCCTGAAGGTATACATTTCTGTGAGCCTGCACATAGGTTGTAATATCTGCCCTTTCTACTTGCACATCCAGTGGCACCTAGTGAAGGACAAGTCCCACTAGTCCTGATGGTACAACCTTTACAAAGTGTCCAAGGTGTTATATTACCCCTAAATGGGAGAAATATCTCCCTTTGGACATGGAGGACGACTTGGCTGAGTTGGGATGCCAACAGGGGAGTGATTAGGGGTCTTTGTCTCTGGACTACTGCAGCCCTGGAACAGCAAATCTGCCCTGAGGGGGAAACACCAGTACAGCATGATGAAGCCCCACCCGGTTGCCTGACCTGAATATACCTGGAATAGTTGTCTAAATGTCTAAATGGGGATGAGATGATTCTTCCAGGCTGGTAGATGACTTGCATTAAGAAGTTAATGGAGACAAAGGATCCTCAAAACGAGTCCATGTTTTTTTTTATCAAAACAGTAAGAAATAAAGATGAAGTGGGGGATTGAGTGCTGGACCACAAACTGCCTTATGAGATTATCTCACACCAAATAATGTGACTAAAGCTCCTATGAAAAGAGATGGACACAGAGGAAATGATGGCTTCTCAAACTTTTAGATGCAAGGTAGCTTGTTCATATATGGAAACCCAAAGGAAGCTAAAGAAAGTACAAGGAACAGACTAATAGGATATAATGAAGACTAATCTGTGAGCTAGAGCAATTTGTTAGTAGAAGGAGAACCTTCAGAAGATTGAGACAAAGGGAGATCCCTTTAAAGACTAGAATTGTTTGTTCTCATCCTTGATGTTAGCCATGCATGACCCTCAAATCCCGGAATCTTTGAAAGTACATCCAAGAGATGAAGCTAAAGACTTTGTCAAACCAATCTCATTTACATTGGTGGTACTGAAGTGGAGCACATGGAGGAAACTCTTGCTGCTTTCAGCACCATCTTGTAAAACTGATCCTGGTCCCTGAGTGGGAGCCCTTTCACATTAAAAAACTAGTGTTGAGGTCTTGTCCTTCTATCTCCCAGGGAGAATCACCATAAGTGTTGAACTCTTCAAATTCCTACTTTTACTAGATTAAAAACCCCAGGTAACTTTTACCCATGGGTCAGAGAAGCTACAAAATAAATTCTTTTTTTTTTCTTGATTTGAGATTAGTGTTTGCCATTGCTCATAAGCCCAGATCATAATTACTTGATATTTTTCACCTTTTGAATGGAACATGATAGCCCTTCCTTTGTCAGACTGCATAATTGGCAAAGGAAATTTATACTGTAGAAGACCCTCAGTAGGACCTGATGTGTTGATGCTGAATGCACCAGTAGGAACTTCCTATGCTACCAAGACCTGCTATGGTCATTCAAAGTAAGTATTTGCCGATATACATAACCTGGCTCTTGGTTGGCTTGTGTCTTTGATAATAAAACTGTTGGCATCTATTTACCTCTTTTCAGATTTGGTGGAGAGATTTTCCTCATTAAAGGAAAACTTTGACTCTTCAATTTCACATTCCTATTTGATAATAAGTACTTTCTGAGTTGAAGTCCCATAAGGTAAGACAAAATTGAGGATGCTGTCTTGTGAAATAAAAATGGTACATCCAGTCAAGGAATAAGACCATTCCTCCCAGACTCAGTTAACTCCACCTGTAGTTAGCTGCCCATCTATTGGAAAAATATCTACATTAGCTGTTTTTCCTAAAGTTCTAGCTCAAAAAGAGTTTTGTCTTTAAGACTTGACAAGTAAAACTGGTTCCCTGATGAAGCAGTTTACCTCTGAAGTGGTCATAGTCAATGAGCTGCAGCTATCAAGCATAATAATTGGAAATTCTGGTAGCTCTCAGTATTGCCTGCCCTTTCTCAGTGGGCTGAAATCTAAGGTGTGTTCTAATGAGCTATTGCTAATGACCTCATTTGCATGGTCAAACAGGAGGTCATTTAAGACCAGATTTTTAAGGGTATACTCATAAGGGGTATCTCCTATGGAAAAAAAAAACTGGTGTTAACTAGACCTTGGTTGAAGGCAATTAGATGGACATGAATGTGAATGTTCTTTTCTATTGGTGCCTAATAGTCATGCTGACTACAAGGGTACTTCTAACCTCATCTTTGCTTTAAGGCTACTTTCTTCTGCTTCTGAAGTCATGCTTTGCAGTGAAATGCTTATTCCTGAATTCCTGTAGAGCTCGTTGCTCCAGAAAAAGAACAAAGTGTCTGGCTTATCCCCAAGGGTGAAGAAAGACCTTTGATTTGTTGGGTGCATACATCATGACCCCAGGAAGGGCGGAGAGTTATAGGACAAGTAGCTTTTTATCTTTTGCAGTTTGTATATGGGTAGGTAGACCCAAAATTTTTATTAAAACTATCCCAGCTAAGAGTGAAAACTTGTCAGAAAAGTTGATAACAATATTGTACATCCCCTTGATGGGAAGACCTAAATGTAATAAGCTGCTGTAACTAAGAAGAGCCTGTGTGTCTTCCAGATATTCCCTCTCATAAGCTAGCAATAGGATTCCTCTAAAGGCCGCTCATGTGGGCCATTAAGAGGTAATTGGTATTAGTATTAGAGAATAGAATGTTTCTGTTGCCGGCAAGACTAGATAGGATGGCAATTTCAGCTACTGTCCAGGCTTGGAAGTGCCTGCTCCTGCTCTCTGACCTCTCCCCATTCCTGGTGTCTGCTCCAGGGTGGAGCAAAGCTGTGACCAAGCCTGGGTGGTGTTGCAACCTGGCCAAGTATGCGTGTGCTTAGGGTGATGCTGACATACCAGCCCCCTGCTGCCTCGGTCCCCTCTGAACTTCGGGTGCCAACGAGCACAGGAGAGAGGCCAAGGAGGGACTGAGGGCAGCCTGGTGCAGGCACTCCTCAGAATGAACAGCCTGGGTACCATGGATGGCATGTTGATGGTGGCAGGAGGCAGGCAGGCTTCTGGGTGGAAAGGGACAGGTCCCCAGTGAGACCCCACCTTCAAGCCAGGGACAGCCTGAAACCTGGTGGCTGAGCTGCCAGTTCCAGGTGGAGTCTGTGGCCCAGAGTGAGAACTTATGTTGCTTTTTTCAGGCCCACTCATGGCCACCCATAGACAAATCAGCATGCACTTCTTCCCATCAGAGCCCATAAAAACCCTGGACTCAGCCAGACTTGGACAGATATCAGGACTACCAGCTGCTGGAAGAAGCTACCCTCTTTGACTTGTTGGGATGACCTGCCTGTGGAAAGGAGCTACCCACTGCAGGTCTCCTCTCCACTGAGAGCTGGACATTCATTGGGATGACCTGCCTGCATAAAGGAGCTACCCACTTTGGGTCTCTTGAGAGCTGTTCTGTCACTCAATGTAGCTCTTCTCTCTGCCTTGCTCACCCCCCAGTTGTCTGTGTACCTCATTCTTCCTGGACGTGGGGCCAGAACTCAGGATCTTCTAAATGGCAGGACTGAAAGAGCTGTAACAAACCAGGCTGAAACATGCCTGTCTCCCACTTGCCATGTTGTGGGTGATGAAGAGAGAAGAGCTACAGCTGGTAGTGCAAACTGAGCACAGCCAGCTGGGCCAGGTGGGCAGAATGAACCCAGAGGGCATGAGTTATACTCAAGCAGAGGGCGCCACTGGCCACAGAAGTTTCTGGCTGGCAAAGTGACACCCCAAGGATCCCATGACAGCATGTGAGATATATCTGAAATCTGCTTCCTAGACAGACATACCTCATTTCTTCATCTTCAGCTTTTTGCTCAACCGTCATCCTATCAGTGAGGCCATCCCTAACCACCCTACTTCAAGTTGCAGCATTTGTTTACTCCTTGGCAGGCTCTTTCTCCTTTCTCTGCTTTATTTTTCATCAATACATTCAGTTTCTTGTAAAATATTGTCTTTTAAAGATAATTATTATTTGGTTTCATCCCCTTTAATAAAATGTAATTTTTCTGTGAAGGCAGAAATTTGCATGTGTTTAGTTCATTCCTATCACCTAGGAAAGTACTTGAATTTTAGTATATTTCAAATGGAATTTGTTGAATAAAGAATCAAATAAAGATTCCTGGAACAAATAATATGTACCTCTATCTTAACTGATGACCTAAACAAATATTTTCTATATAGACTTCTCTAAAATTTGAGAATTGCAATTTAGAACCAAATTTAATCAAGTATTTGCCTATTTATTTTTTAGCCATAATACCTTACATCTTTAAATGAAGTAGAGGTTATCTCAAGGAGGATTTTGGAAGATTTTATTGTTCCTGCCATAATTTTTAATGTAGAATTTTTCAAGAAGGGCATGCATATTCATCTTGTGATCAGAAAAAAAATTCATAAATGTGTTTTACTGACTCTTTTTAATGTTTGGAATTGTGAATATCTGGACTAAGGATCAATACTGAATGCCACTAACAAATGAAGTATGGAGTGTTACTAATTCAGGGTCATCCAGCATCTCAGTATTTGTCATCTTTTTATGTTTCTTTGCTATGTATTTATGAGGGCCAAAAAGTAAAATTGCTAGATTCAGAATGTATCCTTGCCCCAGGAAAATTCTGTATATATTCCAAAAGATTATTATAAGCAAAAGTAAGCTAGTTGGAATGAAAAGGAAATAGCACATTTCAATATTTATTTTTTTTCTTTAGCGCTTTTGTTGTTTTTTTCTAAGTTGATTTCTGGCATGCATTTATTTTATTTTTATCCATGCTTAATATTACTGAGAACATGGCTTAAGTTTTATTCTGACTTTTATCACTTTCTTATACTTTTCATTTTACTAAAGTAAGAGAATGTTTAAGATAACATAGAATTTATATGAAGCCCCTTTAGAAGGCATACTAAGAGAATTTATAAAAAATTGTCTTAACACTTCGATGATGTAGATATGGAACAAATAGTTGATTTGTTTTTGTTGATATGTTTGAGTTGAACATCTCATATGTTCAAGTTGAAATCTTGATTCAGCATGTGGTATATTTTAGCTCTTTCTGAAATATTTTCTATGAGCCACATCTTACTGAAGTATCTGGGGGAATTTGCAGAATGTGGCAATTTTGGCACAGAATCTTCACATTTAAATAGATGGCAGGATGCAGAAGAGAAAAGAGCCTGGGTTTCTCAGTTGTTAGGTGAATATGTGTAAGTCTGACTGCAGTATTTCAGATCTTGAGGAATGTTGGATCTATGGCTTTTGTATTAGGAACATATAGTGGTGAAGAACTCTGGCTCTGTAGTTATAACAGCTTGAATTAATATAGTCAATTGTAATTTCATATCAGAATAATCTTGGGCTTAATGTCTCTGAGTTCCAGTTTCCTCATCTGTAAAATGCGTGCCATTTTACACATATATTATAGCTACCTGCTTGTCTATAAATACCTTATTTTCCCCAAACCATATAAATTAGATGCTAATGCTGACTTTATGCTAATGATCAGAGAGGTTTAGTGATCCAAGAGCTCAAAATTAGTAAATGGCAGAGTCTGGTTAAGGCTGACACAGCTCCAGTACTGCTGCTGTTCCCATTATGCCCGCAAGAACTGGTTGGACCTGTGGGATCCAACAGAAACAGAAACAGACAATGAAAATAAGAGAGAGGAAGAGAAGTGTTAGGTCAGGGCCTAAGGATACTTTATTGACTTGAGTAAAAATGAAGTGAACCCTAATCATGAAAATATTAAAAAATATTTTTAAGGGGAAAGTAGAGCCATCATATCACTTATCCAAATTCAACTATAGCACTCGACATAGATAATAGATACATACCTTTAAAATCTATTAAATATGGACCTTCTATATTAGCTACTTTATCTCTGCTTGGTGCCCACCTAAAAAACAAAAAGCAGAAACAAAATAGCAGTTTTAGTCTATGTTGGGAGAGTGTACAAAAACACAATGTACTTTATGCGTGGTTTGGGGGCTTATTGAAGGTAATTATGACAATATGAATTTTTTTCATGTACTTCATTTTGGAACATAACGCCTGTTAGAGATTTCATTGTGGTGCTAATGTGAGCTGTTTTCTATGGGTTAGATTAATTTTTGCATAATCGGTTACTATTCATGGATTTGTGCCAACATCTCTACGTTCTGCAAACAGCTATAACTAGCACTAAGTTGGATACATTTTATGGCAATATGTAAGTCTCTTATTTCCTGGTTTGCTTATACTTACGTAGTTTGCACTTTATTCATGCAGTTGTACTCATTTTCACATAGAAACATTGTTATAAATAATGGTTCCCTTCCCAGGAAAGCCATCCCCAAACCCTAGAAACTACAGTAGACCTGAAATACCCCCTTTATAATGAAAGCAACCCCACAATACCAATTTAAAAGTGATCTGCCCTGGATGACTCATAAAGCTGAACACTTACCCATGGAAATGCTTTGAAAGCCATGGAAGAAATGTGCCATCAAAATGTAAATATGTTTTCACTTAAAAAGAAAAAAAAAATTTCTCTGTGGAAACTGGTTTACATAGGATTTGGAGTTAACATTCCAGTTTTTCAACTGATTGAAACCAGTGGCTATTTTATTTACCGATGTTCTTTGGACTTAGTACCATCTGCTGTTCATTGTTAGGGCATGCAAAATTCCTGGGGTTGTATATCCTCCAGCAGATTTCTTTGCTGTGTTCCTTTTTTTTTTTTTTTTTTTTTTAAGACTGTTGGTTCAACTTTTCTTGGTAGCTCCAGTATTCTTTTTTGCTAAAAGCTGTGTCTTGGTATAGTTCTTCCCTGACCTGAACTACCAATTCCTAATTTCCAAAGGAAATGACAAAGCCTATGTAAATTGTTATAGCTTATTCTGACCTTGTTACCTGCACTAACATTTTTGCTTTTGCTGACTAGATTTTTTTCTTCCTCCCGTTTTCATTTGTTCCTCAAACTAAAATCACTTAACTTACATTGTTACCAGATATTGTTTATCAGTACTTCACCCCACTAGCCCATGAAATAAAGCTCCCCCTGGTCTGTTGCTTACTATAGAGGTTGAATTTTGCCCCCCACTCCCCACAAAAAAAGTATGTTGGTGTCTTAACCACCAGTATCTCAGCATGTGACCTTATTTGGAAACAGTCTTATAGAGGTAATCAAGCTAAAATGAGATTATTTGGGTGGGCCCTAATCCAATACGACTGCTGTCTTTATATAAAGGGGAAATTTGGTAAAAGAAAAAAAAAAAAAAGACACATATGGAAAACACCATGTGAATATTGAAAATATTGGAACACACTGCCACAAGCCAAGCTCTGCCACAACTACCTAGCTAGGATCTGGAGATTCTTCCTCAGTGCCTTTGGAAGAAGTATGTCCCTGACCATCCTTTGATCTTGGACTTCTCGCTTCCAGAACCCTGTGACTATCAGCTTAAGTCAGTTTCTGGTGTTTTGTAACTGTAGCCCTGGCAGATGAACATACCTCCTCATACTTTTGCTCATTCCATCTCTTGATATCCCCATCTGTGTTCCCAAACCTTTCCAATTCTTTGCCTTTTTTCATTGCTATTCCTTTGTAATGGACTGCCCTGTTATTGCATCCATATATTCAAAGTTTACCTTTGTTAAGGTCCTGTTGCTCAAATACTGGATTGTTTATGAACATTTTATAAACAATAAACTTCTCATAAAAGGTAGGGGTATCTCCTCCATGAGCTACCTTTTTGAGATCCTCAGTTCAACCCCAAAAAGCCAGAAGTTTTTCTTCATCAGAGTCAGAGCCTGTGTATTCTGCTATGTATATTTATTAAATGAGTTACTGGAAGAAGATGTGAGAGATTCACAGAGAAACTGACATAATTAGGTGTAGTGCTCTGGGTTGGGGGTAGGAAGTCCACATTTATGGAAAGATGCATGGTGGGTGGGAAAATTGTCCATATCTAACCCACGTTTAGTTTCTGGGCATTCCCTCAGAGGCCCTAGACACATTTTTTCTTTATTCCATTTATCCCAGCTCAGCACAGATAGAAAAATCTTCCTCTATCATCTAAAACTGTTCTCCTATATTTTATTCTAGCTTACTCTTTTTAATACTTAGCATTTAATATGAAATTTATTTGGGAGTACAGTATGACCCAACTGATTTTCTACAAGTCAATTTTTTCCAACTCCCTTGAAATAACCCAGTTATTTTTCATTGTACAATGATTAGCATATATTAAAATTTCATATACTCTGATTGATTTTTTAGTTTAAGCTTACATTATTTTAGTTACTGTAACTCCAGAATAAATTTGCATACCTTGTAGGATGCATCTCTTTTTAATTACCTTTTTTTTTTCTTGGTAAAACACTTATTATCTAGATGTTTTAAATTCAAATGTATCAAGAAAAATTTAAATATATTCTTTGTTATCTTTGGGTTTAACTAAACTTTATTCTAGTAAAATGGATATCTTTACAATATTTGGCACTGTCATTATTTAATATAAATTTTTATTCTTTAGAGAAACTTTGTAGTTTTATGAACACAGCATATTATTGAGGTCATTTATATTCATCTTATAATTTTGTTATTTTCCTTTCATTAAATTAGGAGAATGATTATTCATTTGGGAATATTTCATTTTTATTTGGATTTTTTACTGAATGCTAGTAAAATGCTAGTAAGCTTTTAGTCAATTTTCTTGAGCTTTATCAGTAAAGAATTATTTAAATCAGAAAATAATTATTTTTATTGTATTTTCCATGTTGTTACATCTATGTTTTCTGATTTTTATTGAAATTGGCCAGAACGTTTAGAAAAACAAGAAATAATGATGGTCAGAATAGGCATCCTTACTGATTCCCCTTTGAAACAAAAATTTCTCTTAACTGTTGAATTAAGCAAGATAAAAATTATTTGCTTTTTCAGCATCATATGAGATGATTATCCATTTAAACCATTTTTGTAGGCTGACAGTTATTTGTATATTTCTCTTTATGTGCATTTCAGAATATGTTTGGAGGTTTTTTCTTTAAAAATTCTAAGTGCAATGTTTATTGGATTCAATTGAGTTTGTTTATAGATTAAATTGGGGAGAACTTATATCTTTATAATGTTAAGTGGACGCATCCACAGAATATATCTCCATTTATCCAGATAAATATATTGATTCTATTTCCGGTAATCTTGTGAAACTGTCCTACTAATTCTTAATGTTTGCTAATTTAGTTGTTTTTCTCTAGGTTGATGGTGATATTATCTGTTAGCAACATTTAAAAATCTTCCCTTATAAGGTTTACATCATCATCATCATTATCATTATATCATTATTCATCATATTGGGCAGGACCTCTGGTACTATGTTAAATAACATTGTTGGTGGTGGGTATTCTTTTTTTTTTTTTTTTTGAGACCAAGTCTCGCTCTGTTGCCCAGGCTAGAGTGCAGTGGCGCCATCTCAGCTCACTGCAAACTCCACCTCCCGGGTTCACGCCACTCTCCTGCCTCAGCCTCCTGAGTAGCTGGGACTACAGGTGCCTGCCACCACGCCCGGCTAATTTTTTGAATTTTTTTAGTAGAGATGGGGTTTCACCGTGTTAGCCAGGATGGTCTCGATCTCCTGACCTCGTGATCTGCCCGCCTCAGCCTCCCAAAGTGCTGGGAGTACAGGTGTGAGCCACTGCACCCGGCCAGTGGTAGGTATTCTTAATGGAAAAAGTTATTCTACTTTAAGTATATAATTAATCATAGATAGTTGCATTTTTGGTTTACTTTTTGTGTGTGAATGTGAAGTTTAACAAGCTAAAGAAGTTTCTTTCAATTTCTAGTTTGTGATCAGTTTTTTCTTTGTTTAGTTAAAATTATTTTATTTTACTTTTTTGCAAAGACAGTCTCACTACTTTGTCCAGGCTGGTCTTGAACTCCTGGCCTCAAGTTATCCTCCCATGCCAACCTCCCAAAGTGCTGGGATTACAAGCATGAGCCACTGCACCCAGCCAGTTTTTTCTTATAAATGAACCTGGAATTTTTTCAAAATTTTTTTCCTCCACTGAAGCAATCACATTACTTTTCCCTGCTTCATGTGGGCTATTACATTGATCATTTTTTAATGAGATATAATTCAAGTACCTAAAATTATCTACTTTTAAAGTGTATAATTAAGTGGTTTTTGGAATATAGACAAATCTGTGACACTATCACCTCTGTTTTGTTCCAAAATATTTTAATCATCCCCAAAGGAAACCTCTATGCATTAATCAGTTATTCCTCATTGTCCCTTCTGACCAGCCCCTGGCAACCACCAAGCTGCTTTCTGTCTCTGTGGATTTGCCTATTCTGGGAATTTAGTATAAATGGAATTGGACAACATGTGGCCTTTCATATCTGGCTTATTTAACTTAGCATAAAGTCTTCAACGTTCATCTGTGATGTAGCATGTATCAGCACTCCAATCTTTTGTATGGCTGAATAACGATGAAGATTTCAGTTGTTTCTACTCTTTGGCTATTATGAATAATGCTACTATGAGCATTTGGACACAAGTTTTTACATGTATATGTGCTTTCATTTCTCCTAGGTAAATACTTAAGAGCAGAATTGCAGAGTCATAAAGTAACTCTAGGTTGACGTTTTTAACAAATTGCCAAACTTTTTGAAAGCAGCCAAACTTTTTGAAAGCAGCTGCACCTTTTTCATTCACATTAGGACCTACCACATCTTTGCCAAAACCTATTTTCTAATAGCCATCCTGGTAGGTGAAAAATGGTATTTCACTGTGATTTTAATTTTTATTTCACTAATTTCTAATATTATTGAGAACTTTTTCAACTTTTTCCTTCCTATTTGAAGAAATGTCTATTTAATTTATTGGCCCCCCCCTTTTTTTTTTTTTTTTTTTTTTTGAGATGGAGTCTCACTCTGTCGCCCAGGCTGGAGTGCAGTGGCTCGATCTCCGCTCCCTGCAAGCTCCGCCTCCTGGGTTCACGCCATTCTCCTGCCTCAGCCTCCCGAGTAGCTGGGACTACAGACGCCCGCCACCACGCCCAGCTAATTTTTTTGTATTTTTTTAGTAGAGATGGGGTTTCACCATGTTAGCCAGGATGGTCGCGATCTCCTGACCTCATGATCTGCCTGCCTTGGCCTCCCAAAGTGCTGGGATTACAGGCGTGAGCCACCGCGCCCCGCCGGCCCATGTTTTAATTGGGTTATTTGTCCTTTTATTGTTCACTTGTAAGAGTTCTTGATAATCTAGATGCCTTTTGTATTTTCTTCCTGCCTAATGGCTCTGGCTGCAGCCTCTGGTACAAAGTTGAATGCACATCATGAGAGCAAAACGTTTCTTGCTCCTAGTCTTAGGAGAAAAGTTCTCAGTTGTTCACCGTTAAGTATAATGTTAACTGTGAGGTTTTCATAGATGCCCTGGTTGAAGTTCCCTTCTATTCCTAGTTTGTTGACGGTAAAGAATGCTGGATTTGTCACATGCCTTTCTGCATCTACTGAGATGATCATGTGTTTTTGTCTTTTTTCCTACTATTATGGTATATTATGTGGCTAGATTTTCACATATTGAACCAACCTTACATTCCTAGAATAAATCCCACTTGGCCATGGTGTACAGTACATTTTATATGTTGTTGGACTTGGTTTGCTAGTAATTGTTGAAGATTTTTAGGTTTCTATTCATAAAGGATATTAATCTGTATAATTTTCTTATCTGTTTTGGGATCAGAATAATAATGACCTCATAACATAAGTTGGAAAGTAGTCCTTTGGCTTTTAGCTTTTGGAAGAGTTTGACATGGATTCGTGTTAACTCTTTTTAAGTCATCTGAATGTTTCTCTTGAGGGTAGTTCCAGAGGTTCCTCAGAGAGTCTCCATTTGGCTCTAGCTCCCTGATGTAGGCAGCACCTCCTTGGCTGGCTGCTTGTTGCTTGATCCCTCCACATCAGCTTCTGCTGCCTTTAGTGGTAAATCTCCATTTCTTTCCACTTTGCTATTTGAGCTCCAGAACACTGGCGTCGAACTACCAGTGGTTTCTTAAAGCTCCTTATAAGTTATAAGGTGAGCATCTCTTTCTTTCCCCTATGTGGGAGGGGAAAAATGCTACAGTATTCTAGAAAGTTTTGCCATGGAAATGTTCTCTTCTCACCTCTTTAAATTTTACATATTTGTCCTTGATGTGGTGATTGGGCTGTCATCAGCTATTTAGCAATTGCTTCGATGATATTTAGAAAATGATATTAGAAATTGAGAAAATGATAGATTTTTGTGTCATTAAAAATGTGGAATGGCTTACTACATATCTATAATACTTAACACATTGTAGAATTGCAAGAGTATTAGACAAATGGACAAAAAGAATGGAATACAGCGCCCAGAAACCTGATCCCACATATATGGGAACATAGATTATGACTCATGTGGAAATACAAATTAATGAACAAAGAGCTGATAATTATATATGGTCCTTGGACAATTGATTATCCAAATAGATAAAGCAATAAATTAAATTCCTTTCTCATTCCATATACAGAATCCAAGTCCAGCTAGATTAAAGAACAGATTGTGAAAACTTTAAATTTTTACAAGAATTTGTAGAAGATATTTAAGGCCACAGGGCAGAAAATATCTTTAATCATGATACTAAGAGTCCATTACATAAAGATATATGGAATAATTTTTAAAATTATATATGTAAAAGAAAATGTGAAAATATTAAATTTCACATTTAATATGAAAATTAGTGAAATGGTAAATTAGAACAAGTTTCAGATGTGCTTGAGTGTAAGGAAACTGGTGAACCTTTAAATATCATAGCTGCCCTCTTTGCATTAATCAGTTTTGATGAAGGTTATGGCTCTTTTATCTTGCTGTTTCTTCTTCAAAAACTACCTCAAGCTATTTGGAAAGTATTTTAAAGTTTTGTCATCTGTCCATTACATTTCCATCTTCCACCAAAAGCCATCAAAAAAGTTACCTTTGTTCTTTGGGGGAAATCCTTACTTATGTAGGCACCTTTCTCTCAAATATGGATATATGCCTTCCCTTATTTTATGTTTGGCTGTCTGCCTGGATAGAAAGTAGGAACTGATTTGTATTTTCAATTGAGAAAAGGATTTGTGACCCTTTCGTTTTCCAATATTGTTTCACAAAAGTCTGCAGCTACACACTACCCAGATGTAAATAGCCTCTTTGGTTCATCCTAAGAAAAAAATTATACTTTGACTAGAGGGACTAGAACTGTGTCTGCAAGATACCACTGGGACTAGTAAAAACAGCAAAAGGGTTGAAGTATTAGATCAATTAGATATTTTCAAGGGTTTGCTTAATTATGCAGAGTAACACAAAGAATACAGAACACAGGTGAGAGAAAAGCATAGTTTGCATGAAGATTCTTATTACTTGGTGTTAGAATAAGTAAACCATATAAATATTATGCAGGCTAAAATCCATCTCAGTTACTTGATAGAGCTATGTGTGCTGACTGAATCTTATGCTTTTTAAATTTTTGACCCTTGTTTGTGCTTAGAATCCCATTTATTCGAATAAGATTAAGAAATTCAAGGCTCCCATAATAGAATTGGAATGTTCATTGATCTTCTATGGAAAGATAGCTAAAAGAGGATAGAGCTAGTAGCCTAGTAGTTCTAGGTTCTCCTAATCCTATGGGTTGGAAATCATTAACTGCTTAGAAAAGTGGCATAATGGGCCCATCAATGGTAGACTGGATAAAGAAAATGTGGTACATATACACCATGGAATACTATGCAGCCATAAAAAGGAATGAGATCATGTCCTCTGCAGGGACATGGATGAAGCTGGAAGCCATCATCCTTAGCAAACTAACACAGGAACAGAAAACCAAACACTTCATGTTCTTACTCATAAGTGGGAGTTGAACAATGAGAACAGATGGACACATGGAGGGGAACAACACACACCAGGGCCTGTTGGGGGTGGGGGGCAAGGAGATGGAATTTAGAAGATGGGTCAATAGGTGCAGCAAACCACCGTGGCACACATACACCTATGTAACCTGCCTGTTCTGCACATGTATCACGGAACTTAAAAATTTTTTTAAAAAGTGGTATAATGGGATAGAGTCAGAGTGGTACTTTTTTTTTTGCTTAGGTGTTATGCTTTGTTTGTAAATGAGGCAAGTCTTATGTTGTAGATATTGCCACACACAAACACACAAAACAACTCCAAAACCCTTTGGGGGCCAAAGCCCTTGGCTTCATAGAGGTCTGCTTAAAAATCACTGACATTAGGCAGGTTGATTAATAGGAGAAAATACATATAAATTTATTTAATGTGTATACAGGGGAGCCTTCAGAATGAAGACACAACCCCACAACATGATTCAGAAGCCTATATATTATCCTGGCAAAACAGGATATGGGAAGGGGGAGAAAAGGAATTCTATTGGCAATTCTAGGGAGAATGAATGGATCTGGGAAAAGATTGTAAATAATTTTCTTTGACAATGAAAAGGTCTGTTCAGGTGTGGTCTTATATTCTTGGTCTTACAGAGAAGGGAGGAAAAAATAGTTGTTTACTTTGGTGGATCTGGACTTCAGACAGATAAAAGAACGTCAACTTTTTTGGCAAAGACATTGAGGGATGGGGAAGGTCAGAGACCATGAGGCTGCTTCTTTGGTTCAGCATGTCAGTTGGCCATATTTTGGGGTATAAATCTGAGCTTCAACAATACAAATAAGCAAACAATTAAAAACCAGCCTCTGATATTTAAAGTTTCTTCTGTGGTCTGATTACCTGGTTCATTTACCCTTTCAGCTGCTTGAGAATGGGAAGTACCCTTTCAAGAAAGCCTATGTTACCATCTGAATTTTGGGTTGACAGAGTTCTATTATGTGTTCTCCTAACCACTTTTCCTAGGAAATTAAATGATTATAATCTCATCCCTTTTTTTCTTTTCCATCAATAACTATCGGAATACATATTCAAGTCTAATTTTGTTGCTTTGCTCAGAGTTGTGGGAAATTTCTCAAATATTACTTGTGAAAAAGGTCCTTGACTTAATTTTTTATTTTTCTTCTCCATCCTATTTCTTTGCAGATGCTGAGAATTTAATGATCAGTTGTCTCCATGCTGCTTTTATACTCAAATTTGTTTCAGTTAACTGCCCTTCTTCAATAATTTACCACTGGTTTCGCACAGGCTCTTTGTGTGACACAGAAGCTGTCTTCTTGCTAAATGTGAGGGCTTTTATTGCATTTCTTTTTTATTTTATTTTTTTTTTTAGTTAATCTGGAGGTTTCTTTTCTTTTATATATATATATTTGTATTATACTTTAAGTTGTATGGTACATGTGCACAATGTGCAGGTTTGTTACATATGTATACATGTGCCATGTTGGTGTGCTGCACTTATTAACTTGTCATTAACATTAGGTATATCTCCTAATGCTATCCCTCCCCACTCCCCCCACCCCACAACAGGCCCTGGTGTGTGATGCTCCCCTTCCTGTGTCCAAGTGTTCTCGTTGTTCAGTTCCCACCTGTGAGTGAGAACATGCGGTGTTTGGGTTTTTGTCCTTGTGATAGTTTGCTGAGAATGATGGTTTCCAGCTTCATCCATGTCCCTACAAAGGAAATGAACTCATCCTTTTTTATGGCTGCATAGTATTCCATGGTGTATATGTGCCACATTTTCTTAATCCAGTCTATCATTGTTGGACATTTGGGTTGGTTCCAAGTCTTTGCTATTGTGAATAGTGCTGCAGTAAACATACGTGTGCATGTGTCTTTATAGCAGCATGATTTATAATCCTTTGGGTATATACCCAGTAATTGGATGGCTGGGTCAAATGGTATTTCTAGTTCTAGATCCCTGAGGAATCGCCACACTGTCTTCCACAATGGTTGAACTAGTTTACAGTCCCACCAACAGTGTAAAAGTGTTCCTACTTCTCCACATCCTCTCCAGCACCTGTTGTTTCCTGACTTTTTAATGATTGCCATTCTAACTGGTGTGAGATGGTATCTCATTGTGGTTTTGATTTGCATTTCTCTGATGGCCAGTGATGATGAGCATTTTTTCACGTGTCTGTTGGCTGCAAAAATGTCTTCTTTTCAGAAGTGTCTGTTCATATCCTTTGCCCACTGGTTGATGGGGTTGTTTTTTCTTGTAAATTTGTTTGAGTTCATTGTAGATTCTGGATATTAGCCCTTTGTCAGATGAGTAGGTTGCAAAAATGTTCTCCCATTCTGTAGGTTGCCTGTTCACTCTGATGGTGGTTTCTTTTGCTGTGCAGAAGCTCTTTAGTTTAATTAGATCCCATTTGTCAATTTTGGCTTGTGTTGCCATTGCTTTTGGTGTTTTAGACATGAAGTCCTTGCCCATGCCTATGTCCTGAATGGTATTGCCTAGGTTTTCTTCTAGGGTTTTTATGGTTTTAGGTCTAACATTTAAGTCTTTAATCCATCTTGAATTAATTTTTGTATAAGGTGTAAGGAAAGGATCCAGTTTCAGCTTTCTACATATGGCTAGCCAGTTTTCCCAGCACCATTTATTAAATAGGGAATCCTTTCCCCATTTCTTGTTTTTCTCAGGTTTGTGAAAGATCAGATAGTTGTGTATGTGTGGTATTATTTCTGAGGGCTCTGTTCTGTTCCATTGGTCTATATCTCTGTTTTGGTACCAGTACCATGCTGTTTTGGTTACGGTAGCCTTGTAGTATAGTTTGAAGTCAGGTAGTGTGATGCCTCCAGCTTTCTTCTTTTGGCTTAGGATTGACTTGGCAATGCAGGCTCTTTTTTGTTTCCATATGAACTTTAAAGTAGTTTTTTCCAATTTTGTGAAGCAAGTCATTGGTAGCTTGATGGGGATGGCATTGAATCTATAAATTACCTTGGGCAGTATGGTCATTTTCATGATATTGATTCTTCCTATCCATGAGCATGGAATGTTCTTCCATTTGTTTGTGTCCTCTT